>NC_000004.12:19322916-21822916 GCF_000001405.40 Homo sapiens
TATAAAACAAACATAATGCCTTCTCCAAACTGCCTTTACCAAAATGAATGAATTGATTTGATTAAACAAATATTTATTGTACACCTACTATGTGCTAGACAAAAGGACAAACTTCAGATGAACAATGCAGCGGGGCAGCAATTTTACAGCATTTCACCATTAATTTTATCTCTACTTATCCCAATACGTACTTCACACTGTCTTCTCTTTTGCTAAATCTCCATGTTCTTTCTTCCGTACATCATGTTTTATACATGACATCCGTCGCTCATACTTCATAGAGAAATACAAACTGTGTAAGACTTTCTTAGCATGCCACCTACGAACCTGTAAGCCTACATGAATCTGAATTCATCCTTTCCATTCAATTAATTGGCATTCGTTGCATAACCACTCGAATACTTAATATCTTCAAACAACAATCATTTAGTAGCTGAGAATTCTATGACAAGTAAAGTTGGGATCAGCCGGGCAGTTGTTCTGCTGTTTCCTTCTGGGCTGAGTCATGTGGCTATAGCAGGCTGCCTGCTCTCTCACAGCTAGAAGGTCTAGAACACGGCTTTCTGATACCACAGACGCTGGGCACATGTGGCTATTTAGTACTTAGATAGAAGGTGATATGCTACAAGTGTAAAACACACATCAGGCTTTGAAGACTTAATACAAAAAAGTAAAATATCTCAAATATTTTTAATGTTAAGTGTGTGTTTAAATGCTAATATTTGAATATGTTGGCTTAAATAAAATATGCTATTAATTTCACTTATTTTTACCTTTTTTTATTTTTACCTTTAAAACATATGGTAAAATACACAAAGCATATTTACCATCTTTACCACTTTTGAGTCTACTGTCTGGGCATGTTAATTACATTCATATTGTTGTACAACCAATCTCCTCAATTCTTTTCATTTGCGTAATAGGAACTCTACATCCATTAAACAATTTCCATCCCTCCTTTTTCCCAGCCCTTTGAAACCACCATTCTCCTCTTTGTCTCTATAAAGTTGATTACCATAGGTACCTCATATAAGTGGAATCATACAGTATTTTCCCTTTTGTGACTGGCTTTTTTTTACTCAGCTTAACATTCTCAAGATTCACCCATTTCTTTCCTTTTAAAGGTTGAATAATATTACCTTGTATGTATTTACTGTATTTTATTCATCTATGTATTCTTTCATGAACACTTGGACCACTTCCACCTCACTCTTGCATATCAAGTTGCTATGAACATGAGTGTACAAATATCTATTTGAGTTCCTGCTTTCAATACTTTTGTGTATATACTCAGAAGTGAAATTGCTGAATTACCTAATAATTATGTTTTATTTCTTGAATTGTCATACTGTTTTCCTTATCAGTGGCACCATCTCACATTCCCACCAACAGACCTAAGTGTTTTGATTTCCCTTTACAAACACTTGTTAATTTTTTTTTTTTGATAGTAGCTATCTTAATGGGTGTGAGGTTGCTAGCATTCATTGTTAAGTGATAGTTTCAGTAGAAAGGAATTCTCTGCTGACTTTGCAGATATTGTTCCTTGTATTCAGGCTTCTATTGCTGCTTCTCAAAATTTAACTGTGGGTATCATTAATCATCCCTTATTGGCAAGTGCATCTGTTATTTCTTTCTGAATGCTTTTAAGATTGTCTATTTGTCTTTAATGTTCAGAACTTTTATTCACATGTCTAAGTGTTTGCTGATCTATTGAAATGTATTTGTCAGGCCAAAGCTGACATCCAGCCTGCCAAGTAAAATAAATAAATCTCTGTTCTCAGTTTTTAGATACACTTTAGCCTTGCTCAACAGAAATAAATACTATCATATATCTGAAATATTATCTCACAGTCTGTGACTGCCCATTTTCATAGCTTTCCTTTTATTATGCTAGCTAGTAATTCCTGGTCAATTTTTTTTTATATTCCTTATTCTTATCTGACCTCTAAATATTTGATATTTCCAAACCTTTCACTCTCTTTATATACATCTTCTCCCTAGGTGATCACATACAAGTCCATAGATTTAAATATCAACTATATGCATATGATTCACAATTATGTAACTCTGCCCCAAACTCTCTTTTGAGGTTCATATACATATGACAGATTTGCTATATAGAGTGACATTTGAAATGTATTAACAATGTCCTTAAGGCCTATTCACACTATCCTAACATGTTTCTCACTCAGTGGTTTTCATAGAAATAAATGCCATTAGTATCAAGCCAGATGCTCAAGCTGAAACCAGTTAACCTTCTCTTTATCCCCTGCACCTAAACTCTGAGCATATTCTCCAAGTAATGTCTCCATCATCACTGTATATTCTTAGCTGGATCCACTCTTACCTCTAACCTGATTACCTCCAATATAGTTCCCCAGACTGGTCTTTTCATATTACCTTCTACAATCTATTCTATTTTAAATGGAGACACCCTTTGAAAAATGTAAATCAGATCACATTTCTACCCTGCTCAAAAACATCCAATATACTTAGAATGAAGTCCACACAGCCTAATGATAGCCTATAAAACTTAGCATGGTCTGGCCTTGGCCCACCTTTCCAACATCTGCTATTGCTCTCTTCTTTGCTCACTAGGGTGCAGCCATGCTGTTTTCCTATGCAGTGCCTTGACCAGGCCAACCTCATTTGTGCCTTGAAGCCTTTGAATTTGTTGTATCTATAATTGGGATATTCTTTGTTTTTTTTTTTTTTTTTTTCAGCCTTCGGGTCTCACATTTTATTGTAGTCAGCCCTCTGTCCTATCTTGAGTGGCACCATCCTCCCATTCCTAGTCAATATGACTTAAGACATTTTATTTTCTATGAGACACTTCTTACCATCCAATGTCATCCTGCATATTTAAAGTTTGCCTCTTTTAACAAGACCATAAGTTCCATGGGGACAGAGAACATGTTTACCTAGGACCTATCATGATGACTATCATAGAAAATGCTCATTGTTTGCTGAATTAATCTTAAATAATTGATCAGAAAACAAATGATGAATAAAGCATCTCCCAGCATCATCACAGTCTAATGGTGTAGACTGGCATGAAAACATAGCCTTCAAAATAATAATAAACTATAACAATATGAAAGATGATGAAGGATTGTATGTACAGATACTACATATAATTTTCACTTTCTGTAATTGTTTTTGACTCTGATTTTATACCTAATTTATATTCAGAAAAGTGACTTATATAAAATAAAAGTCCACATCTAATTAGATAATAGACTCTGTGTCAGAAACGTCTGGCTCCTTTCAGATAAAGAAGGACTGGTAAAGCAGCTTCTGGATTTTCAAAATAAATTATATTCCAGAATTACTTATATGACAGAATCAATTCAGTCTCTCCTCTCACTTCTTTGAGTCCCACTTGCTTTCAGTAGCTGCAAGTCTTGGCAGTTTTTTAATTGTATCTCATACAAAACATTGCTAATAGTGTTTGTCTAACTCTAACATTACTCTCTTCACCTGCATCCTTACACAACTTCTCTCCAGCACTTCAGGACCTTCTTGATATCTGTAACTGCTCCTCTAGCACTGACCTCAAGCACAGGCTCTAGTTTTATCATCAGAGGATAAAGACTTCATCAGAGGATCAAGTCAGTCTTGTTTAGAATAGTACAACGGGGGATAGTTCCAAGAAGAATGACAGCTACATGGGCTAGAATAGTGAGGGGTGACTTTCATGGCTGGTTTCCCATCCTCATGAGCACAGAATAATGAATCTGATTCCATCTCTGTAAGCTCAGGACTTATCATCATAGATGTGTAATAATGAAAGGGGTTCATACAAAAGCAGTATCACAGTCACACCATCTACTCTCTTAAAATGCATTTTAAGTCCCCTACTTGTAAATGCTCACAACAAATAAGATTCATTCCTTCAAAAAATAATTATAGAAGTGTCACTTTCTTCCAAGCACTGTTCTCACATTGGGAAATCTGCAGTGTATACGAAAAACTGGAGTTTTCGCCCTCATGAAGCAGATATGCTTGTGTGTTATGTGTGTGGGGGGGCAACAAACATAAAAATATATATCTGAAATGTATCGAGTGCATATATGAGCCATAAACTGTTCTAGCTAATACACTGCAGCATTTTTTTTTAAAAAAGATATCAAATTCTATGAAAAAATAAAGTTAAGTAATAGGATACAGAGTGATGATGAAAACCAAGAGGGTCAACTAAAACATACTGTGGTTAGAGATCAACATCAAGTTGAGATTTGAATGATCATGAGGTGATAACTATGCAAAGATATGGGGGAAGCAGAGGCATAGGAAACAGTGCAAATGCACCAAGCTATGAGCTTGGCTTGCCCAATGGAAAAAGTCAGTATGCTTGGAAAATAATGAAAAAAAGGGAAGTAGTAGGAGATGAGATTGTATAGGTAGGAGAGCCCAATATCTTTTAGATAATGGTGGAAAGTTGGATTTTATCTAATCCATGGATATTCATTATTCATTGGGCATTCATGAAATTAATTTTTCATAGGAATGTTGAGTACAGAAGCCTAGCCCTGGTCAATGCGTCCAATGCATTTGCAAGCAGTTGTTTTGCAAAGAGTTATCCTTGTTAATGTTGCCTTGAGTCAGAAACCCTGGTTGCATTCCTTGATTGTGTCATCCATCACAGTTAACAACATAACTTTACAGGAAATAGATCCTCCCTGATCAGAGTTGACTTTCACTGTCCAGTTACAATCCTATTGGGACTTTGCTAAATGAAATGTCTGAAAACTCCCTGGATGAATGAAAGAACTATTCTTTTCCAAACACAACAGACTATGACAAGAAGACAAATTTAATTTTGTATTAGTTATATTTGGTCTGGTTAAAACATTTTATTTCCTTTCAGATAGATAGACTTCCATAGAAACTGTTTTGATGAGTGTTCCCATTAGGTCTTTGAAGCATTCTTAATTGGTAAGTCCAAGTTAAGAATGCATTTAATCAAATTACTAAATTTTGAGTGTATAAAGGCTCTGGCAAGGTTTATACACCAATCTCTAAATATGATCCTCAATATATATACCACTGGAGATGTCTCAATCATATTTTGGTCATATTCTAGCATTAGAAAAAAATGTATTTAATTAATATATTTTGTGTTGATATTTTCACCACATGTGGTCTTGATTTCGTTATCTGGACAGTTTTTTACATTCCTTATACAGTCATGCAACACCACTACATGGCTAGCATATCCTGTCCTAACTCCTGTCTAAATTGAACAAACACAATGCTCAAATTTTTTCCATTCATATTGGTTGCTTACCAGGGTTACAATCCAACAATCTGATTGATCAATAGCCTCCTTAAAGTGTTATGTCCAGAAAAAACAAAATATTTCTGACATGCCCTAGCCAAAGACAAATAAATACTATCACCTTCTTTTTGAAGCCTTTCATTCCTTCTGATAAACTAAAAACTAAGATATCTGCTGCTTTAAGACTTTGTCTTAAATTACCTTTTTGCATTAAACACTTGCTTTGTGAGCTTATAGATGTCTTTTTTTTTTTTTTTTTTTTTTTGAGATGGAGTTTTGCTCTTTTTGCCCAGTCTGGAGTGCAGTGGCACGAACTTGGCTCATTGCAACCTCTGCCTCCTGGGTTCAAGCAATTCTCCTGCCTCAGCCTCCCGAGTAGCTGGGATTACAAGCATGCACCACCACACCCGGCTAATTTTGTATTTTTAGTAGAGACAAAGTTTCTCCATGTTGGTCAGGCTGGTCTCGAACTCCTGACCTCGGGTTATCCTCCCGCCTTGGCCTCCATAGGCGTGAGGCACTGCGCCCGGCCTATGGATGCCCTTCTTAAGGCCTGTGGATCTTTCTGTTTATAATAATAATGGATAATGATAGATAACATCACAATTACGAACTATGTGCTAACTTATTTTATGCTCATCCCTGGAATACTGTTTTTTATCCCCGTGTACTGATGGATGTTTGGGCAAAAAAATGAATAAACGGATGAGTGGTCTGACCATTTTCCCACCTAGTCTGGTGCTGGAAGCGGAACTCAGACGTGATTCCCATTTTTGCAGAATGAGGCTTTCAGTATGCCATTTGATTACTTGATTAATGGAGAATATTGTTCTTCGAATAAGAGACGCTTAGGTGCAGAAAACTTATTTAAAAGTATCAAAAATAATGCTACAATGTATGCAACAATAAATATTTAACTTCTCTCTAATTTAAGGGGGCTTGCTCTCCTTAAAAAATCAAATCACTCCATTTAGGCAATGCCTTATTTCCTGCACACTCCAGCAGCTGTACCTGCCCAAATCCACTGGGCATACAGGCAATCTCTCAGGATCTCAGGCTAGGTAATTATAGGGAGCTGTCCATTCTTGTTCCTTCACACTGGTGTGCCAAACAGCCTTTCAGTCAATCTGGGTAGTTTCTGGGAATTATCCCTGTCTTCTGTAATTCCCGTAAGGCAGCAGCCTACGTATTCCCTTTTCTTAGCACACAGAAGGTTCGCCTTCATTTGCCATCGAGATTTAAGGACAGCACAGCCTAACTCCCAAATTTAATTTCAGACACATGTGCCTTGGATCAAATATCCTGCTGGCCCCTGTCCAAACCTTCTTTTTTCACCTTGGATTTCCTGACTTAATTACCTCAAACTTAGATAAAGCCAAAGCCAAATTGTATGAAAAAGTCATATCTTTAGCCATTATGGTATGGAACATGCTTCAGATTTGAAGCAATTGCAGAACATTAGCTGCAGTAAAACAAGATACAATACTCGCTCCTAAAACAGTTTTCCTATTCAGCATTTTACTGGGTGTGAATATGTTTTAAGTTATCTTCCTCTACATGCCATCTTTGTCAGTTTCCAAGTAAAGAGGTCTGTGTAGCAAGACCTGGACTGGAATTGTTGAAGGGTGACTCAATAACCACCTTCATTATACCAAGTGTGATTATATGGAGGATGGTGACCAGCTGTTCTCCCTCTCTGATGAGGCAAAAATGAGAGAAGGAGGGCATAAATTGCAGCTGGAGGGAATTCAGATGATATAAGGAGAAACACTGGGGTAGCAAGCATGGTTAAGCAGAGGAGGAGTTAGCAGAGCAGTTAATTCCTTCCCTGACAATGTGTCTGGAATAGTTTGTTAAACTTTACATAAGGCAAGGAGTTCACATAGATGACTTTGACAGAACTTGCTGGTTCCAAGATTTTGCCTTCATTCCTCATGTGTATTTCAATTGGTGCTCTCACCGTCTACTTTATGATGTTAATCATTTGCAAAAGTTAAATCAATGAAGGCATCACAAAATTAGTCAGCTAAAGGAGTTATATAATGCAGAAACTATAAAAACTGGCTTTAGAATCAGGCAGAGAGGAGTCCAAGCTAACTATTTATTCATTTTCTGGCCTTAGGCAAGTTACTCGTGTTTCGGGGTTTATTTTACAGTGGTGGTGTGAGAATTAGATAACATATTTAAAAAACACAAAATAAAAATGAATGAAAATATTCTCATTTTAACCAATGATTTTTGTAGACTTTGTAATTGTTGCTTCAGAACATAGATTAGACTTGTTTACATAGCATCTCTTGATTTTCACCATAACCTTTGAGATTGAGGTTTGCTATTTTGTAGTTCTAGAAACTGAGGCTCAAATAAGTTGAGGGACTTGTCCAAGGTGACACAGCTAATGAAGATGATTTAGAAATTCAAATTAAAACTACTGCTTTCATCTCCAGATCTAGAACCAATTATTTCTATTGTTTCATTATTTATCACACTCCATCTTCTAAAACCTGTAAATTTACTGTGACAAAAGAAGAGAATGATCATAACTAACATAACTGTGACCTTTTTTTTCAGAATGCCAAAAATAAAACCACTTAAACCAGATTGTTCTAGGGATATCTTAATTTGTACTTGAAAAACAAAAGGTCTGACATTTGTTTTATGACAATTTTTCAGCTGCAAAGTCTTTACTTAGAAAGTTCCCTTTTCTCCTTGAATATACTAAAAGTATTTTATAATAACCTCAGCATCACTGACATTGACCAACTGGGCCTAGGGCAATATCTTTATTGGCCGTTATTTTTATAACCAGATTTCTATATCGGCATATCTTTATTTGAAGAGAGAAAAGCTACTTTCAGGAGTGAGAAGGCATACTGGAGTAGCTTCCCTAGGAGTAAAATTCTCAACAATGTGGATTACATTGGAAGAAATTAATTATCATGTATGCCACGGTTCACCTGCCCCTAAATTGGTGGTCAGTGTTTGCTGTTCAAGTGATCTTTCCCACATTGTTTTTGAGACTCAAAGAGTGATAGAAAATGTGTGATAGCTTTCCTCAGTTAGGGTTCCTCATCTCAATTGCACAATCCAGAGAATAATTCCAGTGCCTACTATTTCAATCCACCCAAGATGGTACATATGTAATGCCGTTGTAGATGTATAGGAAAGAAGGTCTCTCATTGGATCGAATGGTTGTCTCTTAGAACAGTAGCAATTTATGGTCTTGTGTAGTCCCTGTTTAGAAAGGCTGTTAAGAGAAACTGGGCACTTAGCTTTTCCTTACTCAATGGGCTCCCTAAACGTTTCCATCTTCCTAGGATCCTCCAGTTTCAATAACCATGGGCAAAATACAAACCATGCCAAAAGTCCCTCATCATCCACAGGCCTTGATACAATGTATAGCCTGCTTTGGCTTTGTTTCACAATGAACTATTAATAGTAATGTCCAGTAAAAAAATGAGCATTAAAAAGCCCTGAGTCCTGAGAATAAAAATGTTTATGTAAATTTAATTAATACTAAATACATTTTATGTGCATATAACTGTGCTAATTTCATAAGGAAAAAGAGTATTGCGATAAGCCAGTTCCTGCCCACCACCCACATTATTATTCAGCTAAGATGTAAAGATTTTATTCATAATATATTTAGAAACAAAAGAGGAGGATAGAATACAACTAAATGCCATCATGATAAAAATAAATAAATATCAATTTACAAGATAAAATTCAATATGTAGGTATTCATATATTGGATCTCCCAAAAAGCCCAGATTTTGGATAGAATATACATTGTATATTGCTAAAATTCTGGTTCACAAGGAGGGCAATATATTACAGAGACAATATAACTAAGAATATAAATAGGTATATATACAGTAATACAATATATATGGAATATATATGTATACACATACACATATATACATATATAATTAAATTAACAAAAGTGTATGTATCCCACAGTCAACTGTGGGAGGCACAGTAGCTCAGTCAGAAATAGGTTAGAATTGACTTGGTTATTCTGGGCTCTGTTGAAAGTGCACAAAAGGAAGCTATAATGAAAGCTTGCCTCCCTAGTTTGGTTGTACGGTGATAGAAAATCCACTGTTGTCATCCGGACATGTCTTTTTCCAGTCTGTCCAGACAGGAGGGTGAGTTAGGGGTGTGGATATCAAGAAAATCACTATAAAATCTTATGGTTGACATCTTTACCCGGCCTGAGAAGTACTGTAATTAGGTAGAACTAAATATACCTTATGTTCTGTGTGTCTACAATGTGGCCAGAAATATGGAGGTTAGGTAATATCAGTACTCTACATAGAGCAGAGGCTTTAGGGAATCCACCCAAGAGTTCAAGATAAAATTCCAGCTCTTCTAACAGTGATTTAACTGTGGGTTTGTCAATCATCAAATCTCTGTGTTCTTACCTCAGAAGTGTGAATAATACATAAATTTGCAGGGTTTTGGGAAAACATTAGCATTTACATACATACACTACACATGCCCAATACATGATAGTTATTTTTTGGATAAATACTTGAAGTCATTTCTCCCCCTAACTGTAATAAAAATATATAAAATCCTGCATCCATCCTAATTTGGGGGATTGTCTGTTTACCCCTGACTGTCTGATTATCCCTGATTTGGGTAATCTTTCTTCTTTACTGTCATTATATATGGTGTTGTTAAGGAGGGGATACTTGGTACAACACTTGGAAATAAACATTGCTTCCTACATCATCCTTCTGCCTGTTCTTTCATTGAGTAGGAAGAATAGGCTGGGCATGGTGGCTCACACCTGTAATCCCAGCACTTTGTGGGGCCGAGGTGGGAGGATCACGAGGTCAAGAGATTGAGACCATCCTGGCCAACATGGTGAAACCCTGTCTCTACTAAAAATACAAAAATTAGCCTGGCATGGTGGCGGGTGCTTGTAGTCCCAGCTGCTTGGGAGGCTGAGGCAGGAGAATCACTTGAACCGGGGAGGCGGAGGTTGCAGTGAGCCGAGATTGCGCCACTGCACTCCAGCCTGGTGACAGAGCTAGACTTCATCTCAAAAAAAAAAAAAAAAAATATATATATATATATATATATATATATATATATATATATATATATATGACAAGGTGCCTTAAAAAGTTGACCAAAAATTGCATTTTATGATAAATACCATGCCCATGGAATGGTCAAAATATTTTTCAATCCAAATGCCTGCAGATGTAGGTGGAACTGGAACAGCAACTTAATTTTTCCTTGTGCTACACAGGACTTTCATTTAGGCCCTAACCAAAGTCACTGAGTCACTGTAATTGAATAAGAAAGAGAGCCCAAGCAAAAGGAAGTGTAAAAGGGAACTTCGGGAAGTTAAATTGGTAATAGACTGAAAAAGCAAGGAAAACTGGTAATGAACTGGCAACCTGAAGCATGGCATTGAGCCTCATACAAATTGTAACTGAAAGTCATTACCTCCTGTGAGCTGCCCATTCGACTGTTAGAATGTGTCTCCAGCATTGATTCAGTTTCCGCTGGTCACAAGCCCAGTGTAGGGTCTCTTCTTCTAGGACACCTGTGGCACAAAACCGGGCAAAGATTAAAGAAGTAAATAAAAGAGAGGAGGAAAGAGGAGCACGTGCTGGATTAGTATAAAGAGAGTGTAGCCCTTTGCCCTGGATATGTTCTCTAAATAGGGACACCCATAAGGCAAGAGTGTTCTGCTTGAAAAGAAATGGCCCCCACATATTCAATCCCATTCACAAGCAGCAGCGAATAAATAACAAATAAGCAAAAGGTAAACAATTTTTAAGTATCTATTTTGGAAACTTCTACATCTTCAACATATTAGGAGGGATTACAAATGACCATAGAACTTAAGTGCAGTTGGCAACAGGAAAAAATGACTATTTAGAGGATATTAGAGGAGACTGGATACATTTTCATAATAATAGTAGTAATAATAGCAAGAACATTGCAATAGATTGAACAGCTATTGTGAGAGAAAAACTTTACATGAATTTCCCATTTAGTTTCCACAAGAATCTTACTAGTTCAAAGGAGAAGAAGGGGAATGAATGCTTTAGGTTGAATTGTGTCCCTCAACCAAAATTCACATATTAAAGACCTAACCGCTAGTATCTCAGAATGTGAGCAGATTTAAAAATAAAGTTATTGCAGATGTCACTAAGATAAAGTCATAGTAGAGTAGGATGGGCCCCTAATCCAATGTTATTAGTGTCCTTGTACAAAAAGAAAATTTGGACACACACACACACACACACACACACACACACAGGAAGAATGCCATTGAAGCTTGGAATTGTGCTGCCACAAGTCAACACAATACCAGAAGCTAGGGAAGGATCCTGGAATAGATGTCTTCAAAGGGAACATAGTCCTACCAACACCCTGATCTCAGAATTCTAGCTTCTAGAACAGTGGGACAATAAATATCTGCTGTTTTTTTTTTTTTTTAATTATACTTTAAGTTTTAGGGTACATGTGCACATTGTGCAGGTTAGTTACATATGTATACATGTGCCATGCTGGTGCGCTGCACCCACTAACTCGTCATCTAGCATTAGGTATATCTCCCAATGCTATCCCTCCCCCCTCCCCCGACCCCACCACAGTCCCCAGAGTGTGATATTCCCCTTCCTGTGTCCATGTGATCTCATTGTTCAATTCCCACCTATGAGTGAGAATATGCGGTGTTTGGTTTTTTGTTCTTGCGATAGTTTACTGAGAATGATGGTTTCCAGTTTCATCCATGTCCCTACAAAGGACATGAACTCATCATTTTTTATGGCTGCATAGTATTCCATGGTGTATATGTGCCACATTTTCTTATTCCAGTCTATCATTGTTGGACATTTGGGTTGGTTCCAAGTCTTTGCTATTGTGAATAATGCCACAATAAACATACGTGTGCATGTGTCTTTATAGCAGCATGATTTATAGTCATTTGGGTATATACCCAGTAATGGGATGGCTGGGTCAAATGGTATTTCTAGTTCTAGATCCCTGAGGAATCGCCACACTGATTTCCACAATGGTTGAACTGGTTTACAGTCCCACCAACAGTGTAAAAGTGTTCCTATTTCTCCACATCCTCTCCAGCACCTGTTGTTTCCTGACTTTTTAATGATTGCCATTCTAACTGGTGTGAGATGATATCTCATTGTGGTTTTGATTTGCATTTCTCTGATGGCCAGTGATGATGAGCATTTTTTCATGTGTTTTTTGGCTGCATAAATGTCTTCTTTTGAGAAGTGTCTGTTCATGTCCTTCGCCCACTTTTTGATGGGGTTGTTTGTTTTTTTCTTGTAAATTTGTTTGAGTTCATTGTAGATTCTGGATATTAGCCCTTTGTCAGATGAGTAGGTTGTGAAAATTTTCTCCCATTGTGTAGGTTGCCTGTTCAATCTGATGGTAGTTTCTTTTGCTGTGCAGAAGCTCTTTAGTTTAATTAGATCCCATTTGTCAATTTTGGCTTTTGTTGCCATTGCTTTTGGTGTTTTGGACATGAAGTCCTTGCCCACGCCTATGTCCTGAATGGTAATGCCTAGGTTTTCTTCTAGGGTTTTTATGGTTTTAGGTCTAACGTTTAAATCTTCAATCCATCTTGAATTGATTTTTGTATAAGGTGTAAGGAAGGGATCCAGTTTCAGCTTTCTACATATGGCTAACCAGTTTTCCCAGCACCATTTATTAAATAGGGAATCCTTTCCCCATTGCTTGTTTTTCTCTGGTTTGTCAAAGATCAGATAGTTGTAGGTATGCGGCATTATTTCTGAGGGCTCTGTTCTGTTCCATTGATCTATATCTCTGTTTTGGTACCAGTATCATGCCGTTTTGGTTACTGTAGCCTTGTAGTATAGTTTGAAGTCAGGTAGTGTGATGCCTCCAGCTTTGTTCTTTTGGCTTAGGATTGACTTGGCGATGCGGGCTCTTTTTTGGTTCCATATGAACTTTAAAGTAGTTTTTTCCAATTCTGTGAAGAAAGTCATTGGTAGCTTGATGGGGATGGCATTGAATCTGTAAATTACCTTGGGTAGTATGGCCATTTTCACAATATTGATTCTTCCTACCCATGAGCATGGAATGTTCTTCCATTTGTTTGTATCCTCTTTTATTTCCTTGAGCAGTGGTTTGTAGTTCTCCTTGAAGAGGTCCTTCACATCCCTTGTAAGTTGGATTCCTAGGTATTTTATTCTCTTTGAAGCAATTGTGAATGGGAGTTCACTCATGATTTGGCTCTCTGTTTGTCTGTTGTTGGTGTATAAGAATGCTTGTGATTTTTGTACATTGATTTTGTATCCTGAGACTTTGCTGAAGTTGCTTATCAGCTTAAGGAGATTTTGGGCTGAGACGATGGGGTTTTCTAGATAAACAATCATGTCGTCTGCAAACAGGGACAATTTGACTTCCTCTTTTCCTAATTGAATACCTTTTATTTCCTTCTCCTGCCTGATTGCCCTGGCCAGAACTTCCACCACTATGTTGAATAGGAGCGGTGAGAGAGGGCATCCCTGTCTTGTGCCAGTTTTCAAAGGGAATGCTTCCAGTTTTTGCCCATTCAGTATGATATTGGCTGTGGGTTTGTCATAGATAGCTCTTATTATTTTGAAATACGTCCCATCAATACCTAATTTATTGAGAGTTTTTAGCATGAAGGTTGTTGAATTTTGTCAAAGGCTTTTTCTGCATCTATTGAGATAATCATGTGGTTTTTGTCTTTGGCTCTGTTTATATGCTGGATTACATTTATTGATTTGCGTATATTGAACCAGCCTTGCATCCCAGGGATGAAGCCCACTTGATCATGGTGGATAAGCTTTTTGATGTGCTGCTGGATTCGGTTTGCCAGTATTTTATTGAGGATTTTTGCATCAATGTTCATCAAGGATATTGGTCTAAAATTCTCTTTTTTGGTTGTGTCTCTGCCTGGCTTTGGTATCAGAATGATGTTGGCCTCATAAAATGAGTTAGGGAGGATTCCCTCTTTTTCTATTGATTGGAATAGTTTCAGAAGGAATGGTACCAGTTCCTCCTTGTACCTCTGGTAGAATTCGGCTGTGAATCCATCTGGTCCTGGACTCTTTTTGGTTGGTAAACTATTGATTATTGCCACAATTTCAGCTCCTGTTATTGGTCTATTCAGAGATTCAACTTCTTCCTGGTTTAGTCTTGGGAGAGTGTATGTGTCGAGGAATGTATCCATTTCTTCCAAATTTTCTAGTTTATTTGTGTAGAGGTGTTTGTAGTATTCTCTGATGGTAGTTTGTATTTCTGTGGGATCGGTGGTGATATCCCCTTTATCATTTTTTATTGTGTCTATTTGATTCTTCTCTCTTTTTTTCTTTATTAGTCTTGCTAGCGGTCTTGTGGTCCTTGCGATGTCAGCCCTAGGAGACTAATACAAGCAGTTTGAGAGATGTTAATCAGTTTTTCAAACCTTACAGAGCCAGTCACTTGTGGAATTGCGATTTGAACAATGACCTCTCACTCCAATCCATTTATGTATCCACTTAAGTTCCCCTGTTTCTTCAAACCAGTGCACGGCAACAGGGAAAGGGGTCTGAAATAATGTTTGGTACTACACACTTGATACCTGATTTTGCTTTACAAATCATATCCATGCCAGTGGTTCATCCCACCTCTCCTTCAACATTATTGTACAGATATCTCCTTGCCTTCCAAGACAGATCATTTCAGTTTTGAATAATCAGCAAAGTTAGAAAGCCAAGAATTTCACTCAAAGCTTAGTTCAATCTTAACCTCTGCAAACTTTTCCTCAAATAACCACATCTCAAATTCAGAAGAACTAAGAAATCATTTAGAATTTACTCAGTGCAGCCTATATAGTTCCTTCTCTTTCTGCTTTACTCTGATTTAATAAAGCAAGACAATTTAGTGACTTTGAGCACTTGTTCTCAAAGTGTGGTCCCAAAACCTGAAATATCCGTGCCCCTCTCCCTCGAAGAAATTGTCAGAAATGCAAATTATCGCCCAACCTGAGGACTGCTGAATCAAAAGTGTGGATGAACCAGCAATTGCATTTTAACAAGTCCTCCAAGTGATGTGATTCACACCAAACTTAGAGAACCAACGGCAGAGGACAGATTCAGTCCTGTATGAAGAAGAAGGCTGATGCTTAACTACAGTCTTCTGATTGTGTTTGTTCCCATTCTATGGTAGTTTCTTCCATAATAAGATATATCAGACTATAATATTTATATCAGACTATCATATTAATGATTAATAGAGTAGAAGAAATTGTGTAGGAATAGGAAATTAAAGCTTTCTTAAACTAAAGAAAAAAACAATATAAACAGAGTGAAAAGACATATCATGTGCCAGGTAAAAATAAACAGACTGTACCTAGGAAAATTAAAAATCATATTATTATTATGAAAAACAATAGCATCTGAGGCCTTTGTTTTGTTCTAATAGTCTATATGTCTGTTTTGGTACCAGTATCGTGCTGTTTTGGTTGCTGTAGCCTTGTAATATAGTTTAAAGGCAGGTAGCGTGATGCCTCCAGCTTTGTTCATTTTGCTTAGGATTGTCTTAGCTATAAGGGCTCTTTTTTGGTTGCATATGAAATTTAAAGTAGTTTTTTCTAATTCTGTGAAGAAAGTCAATGGTAGCTTGTTGGGGATACCATTAAATCTGTAAATTACTTTGGGCAGTATGGCCATTTTTATGATATTGACTCTTCCTATCCATGAGCATGGAATGTTTTGCCATTTGTTTGTGTTCTCTCTTATTTCCTTGTGCAGTGGTTTGTAGTTCTTCTTGAAGAGGTCCTTCACATCCCTTGTAAGTTGTATTCCTAGGTATTGTATTCTCTTTGTAGCAATTGGGAATGGGAGTTCACTCATGATTTGGCTCCCCGTTTGTCTATTACTGGTGTATAGGAATGCTTGTGATTTTTGCACATTGATTTTGTATCCTGAGACTTTGCTGAAGTTGCTTATCAGCTTAAGGAGATTTGAGGCTGAGATGATGGGGTTTTCTAAAAATACAATCCTTTCATCTGCAGAGACAATTTGACTTCCTCTCTTCCTAGTTGAATACCCTTTATTTTTCTCTTGCCTGATTCCCCTGGCCAGAATTTCCAATACTATGTTGAATAGGAGTGGTGTGAGAAGGCATCCTTATCTTGTGCTAGTTTTCAAAAGGAATGCTTCCATCTTTTGCCCATTCAGTATGATATTGGCTGTGGGTTTGTCATAAATAGCTTTTATTATTTTGAGATATGTCCATCAATAGCTAGTCTGTTGAGAATTTTTAGCATGAAGGGGTGTTGAATTTTATCAAAGACCTTTTCTGCATCTATTGAGATAATCATGTGTTTTTGCCATTAGTTCTGTTTATGTGATGGATTTCCTTTACTGATTTGCATATGTTGAACCAGCCTTGCATCCCAGGGATGAAGCTGACTTGATCATGGTGGATAAGCTTTTTGATGTGCTGCTGGATATGGTTTGCCAAGATTTTCTTGAGGATTTTCGCATCAATATTCATCAGGGATATTGGCCTGAAATTTTCTTTTTTTGTTGTGTCTCTGCCAAGTTTTGGTACCAGGATGATGCTGGCCTCATAAAATGAGTTATGGAGGAGTCCCCCTTTTTTATTTTTTGGAATAGTTTCAGAAAGAATGGTACCAGCTCCTCTTTGTACCTCTGGTAGAATTTGGCAGTGAATCTGTATGGTCCTGGGTTTTTTGTTTGTTTGTTTGTTTGTTTGGTAGGCTATTGATTGCTGCCTCATTTCCAAAACTTGTTATTGGTCTATTCAGGGATTTGACTTCTTCTTGATTTAGTTTGGGAGGGTGTATGTGTCCAGGAATTTATCCATTTCTTCTAGATTTTCTAGTTTATTTACTTAGAGGTGTTTATAGTATTCTCTGATGGTAGTTTGTATTTCTGTGGGATCAGTGTTGATATCCCCTTTATTATTTTTTTATTGTGTCTTTTTGATTCTTCTCTCTTTTCTTCTTTATTAGTCTGGCTAGCAGTCTATTTTGTTAATCTTTTCAAAAAAGCAGTATCCGGATTCACTGATTTTTTTGAAGGATTTTTTTATGTCTCTGTCTGCTTCAGTTCTGCTCTGAACTTAGTTATTTCTTGTCTTCTGCTAGCTTTTGCATTTGTTTGCTACTGTTTATCTATTTCTTTTAATTATGATGTTAGGGTGTCAATTTTAGATCTTTCCCGCTTTCTCCTGTGGGCATTTAGTGCTGTAATTTTCCCTCTAAACACTGTGTTAGCTGTGTCCCAGAGATTCTGGTACGTTGTGTCTTTGTTCTTATTGGTTTCAAAGAACATTTATATCTGCCTTAATTTTGTTATTCATTCAGGAGCAGGAGTAATAATTCAGAAGCAGGTTCAGGATTAAGAAACTCACTTAAAACTGCACAACTACATGGAGGCTATATACTTTTATCAAGTTATATCAAATTATATGTCTGATGAATTTTATTGCCTGTAAATGACAATTCAATAAGACTGATATCACAAAAAGTAAAAATAAAATATAATAAAAAGTATACTCTTCAAACTAAAGTTTTAAGAAGAAATTTTTGAGGGAAAAAGATGAATTTCTAGCCTAGTTGGCTTTCATACCTAAGAAAGTAACAGGAAAATATATTCTTTGAGATTAAGAAAGCACAAAATGCTACACATGTACAATTATTAAAAGCATACCACACCCCCACACACAACATGTTTTCTGGACAACATACCCTTAATGAAAGAAAAAAAGAAAGAAAACAAAATCAAATACTCATAAAAAGGAAACTACAGCATAATATCCCAGTTGCTCATTCAGTACCATCTGGAGTCCTTATCAGCTTTCCCTCAGCAAGAATTTTTTTCTATTCTCTCATTGACGATTTGATCTTTTCTCTGCCTGCCTCAAACCTCTGCCCTCCTTTGTCAATTGTCTATTGATTACACTAACTTATACTACATAGAGTTACATTCTCACCCCACATAGGACCAATTGCATTTCCACACAGATTCAAAATATAGTCTTTCTTCTCTATTCCTACTTTCTCCACTACACTGTAATGGAAAGCTTAATGCATCCTGCCAATGACCACATCTTACACTTATAACCTAGATCCCATCTCCAACTGTCTTCTGAGCCCTTCCCATCCCTCTTTTTTGCCCTTCCCATCCCTCTTTTTTCCACTTCTACCTCACTTTTGTATCCTTCAAAAAAGTGTATTGAAAGTGTTAATTCTCTGACTTGACTTTCTCACATTCCAATCTCTTTCACCCATTCTAATCTTGTTCCCTTCTCTGCTAAATCTTGCTGTGTTCACAAGTGACCTAGTTGCTGAATCAAATCCATACTTTTTAGTCCTCATTCTTCATTAATTGTGTATTGCATATTTCAGTTGCCTATTTAGTACTCTTATTACTTTCTTCCTTCCTAACAGGATTCTAGTTAATCTGGGCAAATAACCCATCGCCACCTAGCCAGGTGCCTTAGGAGATGTCAATCCTACACTCAGCAGCATTGGAATTAGTCAATTAGCATGATACCCCTTCTATGGCACATGCAGAAATGAGCAAGTGTCCCAATTGTAGTGAACAGAACATAAGGAGATGTTAGTAGGTTTAAAAAGATATATATTTTTTCAAGGGATGCATACTCATATAACTCTATTTTCCACTGTCAAGAGGGGCAGCAAACTTAAGAAAATTTATACTGTGGATGGCAAAGAAAAGAGCCATAATAATTATGCTCCTTTATATCCTTGTTGAGATGCTACATTAATAAACCCTAGCATGTTGATATCCTTTGAAAGTGTGTCCCCACCCATATATCATATTGAAATGTAATCCCCAATGTTGGAGGTGGGGCTTATTGGAAGGTGACTGGAGCAAGGGGATGGTTTATCATGAATGGTTTAGCGTCATTCCCCTTGGTACTGTCCTTGTGATAATGAGGGAGCTTGTGAGACCTGGTCATTTAAAAGTATGAGGCATCTCCTCCCTCGCTCTCTTGCTTCTGCTCTGGCCATGCGATGTGCCTCCTTCCTGTTCACCTTCTGCCATGATTGTAAGTTTCATGAGGCCTCCCCAGAAGCTAAGCAGATGCCAGCATCATGCTTCCTGTAGAGCTTGTAAAATGGAACTATAGGCCAATTAAACCCCTTTTCTTTATAAATTACCCAGTCTCAAGTATTTCTTTATAGCAACATAAGAATGCAGAAATATATGTGTGATCCAGTGTAAGTTCTTGTTGTTTATGACAATCTTAATGCATCCAAAATCTCCTTCTCAGCAGCATTTGAGAACATCTCTATGACAGTTCCCCGATATTCTCCTATCTCTTTAGCTACTTCTCCACATTCTGCTTTGTGTAATCCCACTCCTCTTTGTGACCCCAAATTTGTGTGGTCCTGAGGCCTCATCTCCCACTCTTCAATAGGACTGGTCTACTGTCATTTGCTTAAATTGGATAAGGTTTGTCTTCCTTAAGTTCCCTACACATGCTGATATTTTGCCACAATGTTTCTTTCACAGTCTGTCTGTCTGCATAGATTCTATTCATTCTTCATGGCATATCTTAAATATCATTTCCTCTGAACAGCTTTTATTTTACCCCCTAGTCTATTTCAGCCCTGCTATAATTCCTCATTGTTTCCTCTGCTTTTTTAAATTAGCACCTGACACAATTTATTTTTTAATATCTGGATAACATCAGTAACAACACTTTTTGGAATTGAAGAAAAATAAAAATTACAAAATATTACAGATAAATATAGATATAAATATTGGACGGCATAATGCTAAACAAAATATATATTGAAATAAACATCATCTATATAGTCTTATATTGAAGAATAAAGAGGTGGTTCGATATCATGAAGTTAATAATATCCATAGTGTGTGAAGAAATGATAATATTCCTTGAATCTAATTAGCCATATATGACTTCAGTACCATTTCTCATCAAAGAAAAGTAAATCCTATTCATGTAGTCTTTCTAAATTAATTTTTAGGTTTAATGCAATTCTTACTAACATGTCAACTATGTTTTAAAAATGTTTTTAAAGGAAATTTCTGTAATTTTTTTCCTAAAAATGTTATTTTTAAATAATGGTCCTGAAATAATTGTCCAAAATGATGTTCTAAAGTATGTCTAATAGAGTACATAATCTAGAATATCCAGAACAATTTTGAAAATAAAGTACAATTAAGCAATTTTCAGTCATTATTAAAAGGCATTATAAAATTAAGATTATTAAAATTAGTAAGCAAGGAGACGAGATAATTGACAGACAGATCAACAGAACTGTTTGAAGACTCAAGAAGTAGACAAAAGGTATTTATATGTATAGGAATATATATCTATTCATATATACACACACATATATAAACATATGCATATCATCTTAGAAAAATTATTTTGTAAAAATCATGTAGCAATGTTTTAAGTTAATGTTGTATCATAGAGTAAAATATATATTAAGGAGATTCAATATCTTATTGTAACATAAAAATAAATATTATTAATATACAATAAATTATAGTTGACTGTTTTAGAAATAATGTAATATTACCAAAGGTTGAAATTTAAAATGAAGTCATTGAGAATACTACAATTATACTGAAAGAGAACACCATGAAGTAAAGTAAAACAAATGGCAAATAGAGAAAATATTTAAAATATATATGTAAAAGACATAACATAGTAAAATGTTATTTCAAACTAGGAACAAAAAGACAACATTCATGCACCAGCCTAGTTTTCTCCTACATTCCCAGTTGTGTGTTGTCAATCCTCTCAGCTAGCCTTCTATTCATTCTACATTGATAATTAAAGAGTTGTATTACATCATAATGTTAAAAGCACAAATTCTCAGGTCCAACAGACCTGAATTCCACTTGTACTGCCATTCTTTATAGCTTTCTGAATTTGGGTAGACTACTTGGCATCAATGATCCCACATTTGTAATGTAGGTAAGAAGCACATATTTTGTAGGATTTTTGTGAAGAACAGAAGATCTATTCTCGAGTAAAGCACTGTGAGTTTTATTCTAGTTCCTAGTACATAGTAAGAGCAATATTTTAGTACACACATAAATAAAAAAATTAAAACACAGCATTAGTATAAAAATGGAAATTCTATGTTTTAAATTTTTACAGGATTATTGAACATTAGCTAAATTTAGTAAGACATAATGGAAGCATAAAACCCAATAAGAAATAAACAAATAAGCCAAAATTAATACCAAATAGATCTGATATGATGATAAATGTAAATGTGTTAAACTTTCCAATACAAAATTATCAGAGAGTATGTGAAATCATTAACATGGCTACTTATTGTCTACAGGGATAACATGAAAGATGTGCCCTGTGTATTGTTTATTATCAAAATTAGAATTTAAAAATATGTATATGTGAAAGGAGCTCATTTGGAAATGAATGAAGTGCTACGTGGAACCTCACTCTAATTTTCAGTCATGATGGTAGATGGTTTAAAATTACGGACATTGGGCCAGGCAGGAGCTCATGCCTGTTAATTCCAGCACTTTGGGAGGCCGAGGTGGGCGGATCACGAAGTCAGGAGATCGAGACCATCCTGGCTAACATGGTGAAACTCCGTTTCTACTAAAAACACAAAAAATTTGCCAGGCGTGGTGGCAGGTGCCTGTAGTCCCAGCTACTCGGGAGGCTGAGGCAGGAGAATGGTGTGAACCCGGGAGGCGGAGCTTGCAGTAAGCCAAGATTGCACCATTGCACTCCAGCCTGGGAGACAGAGCGAGACTCCATCTCAAAAAAAAAAAAAAATATGGACATGAAATTGCCAGATCAATTTGACAATGCCAAAAATTAACAAAAATTATATTGCCTTATTTATTGCATATACTATTTTCCTTTTGAAGAACAAAGCCGCTGGATAACTCATTGATATGGTTTGGCTCTGTGTCCCCACTCAAATCTCACCTTGAATTGTAATCCCCATAATCCTCATGTGTCAAGGGCGGGATCAGATGGAGGTAGCTGAATCATAGGGGTGGATTCCCTCATGCTATTTTTGTGATAATAAGTTTGTCTCATAAGATCTGATGGTTTTATAAGCGCTTTGCATCCCCTGCTTGCACTCATTCTTTCTCCTGCTGCTCTGTGAAGATGTGCCTTCTGCCATGTTTGTAAGTTTCCTGAGGCCTCCCCAGCCATGCAGAACTGTGAGTCAATTAAGTCCCTTTTCTTTATAAATCTTGGGTATCTCTTCATAGCAGTGTGATAATGGACTAATTCACTCACTATATGGCGAGTCCTAGTAAATTTGTTCTTGACAATTTTCACTTATTTTTAGAAGTTAAGTTTTCAAGAGGTTATGTTTGTCAGGTGAAATGATAAAGGGTTTCCCTCACATTAAAGAAGTTTGAATTAAAAATATGCAAGTGTAGTAACCTAACTGTTTCCTATATCCTTTTGGCCTCCACATAATGAGATTGAACAAGCTATCCCAGTGCTGCAGCAAAGGTTAAAGAACTCAGAGGCAACTATATGAGGGAGAAAAAAACTTTTCATTAGAAGAGAGTTATAGTTAGATCAAAAAGGCTTTGGAAATTCCCTGGGGAAAATGCCTTAATTAGCAAGGTCACACACTCTGGAGTATATTTATTTATTTTCTTTTAGTTATTTTATTGTTTTAATAGCAACCCATATTGGAGACTTTTCAAGACATCCTATTTTCTCTATACTTTCTTTTATTCAATAGCCTCTTCAAATTTTTATGCGATCTTTTAAGTTGATGTGATTTGTCACTGCTCCCTTTTCTTTCTAATAACTTTTTCTCCCAATTCTATATTTATTTGCTCATTCTTTCAAAAATTTATAATGGAGTCAAGACCCCTTACTGTGTCTCTTCTCCGGAAATACACTTTTCTCTAACTGGGTAGAAAATCTACAAAAAACAACATTTTTGTTTCAAGGTTGTTTTTTTTTCTAATTTCTATATAATTTTCTCTAGTCACATAATATTTGTTCTTAATTGTTCAAATAGTTTTATACAGTCCACCTATAGGAACTTTGAATATATTTTAAAATTAATTTTGATTTTCAAGTAAATTATTATTTTCATACTGTCAGACTATAGAAACTTGCTTTATTTCTCTTTTGGGACCCTCACTTTTGGGCAGGTTTACTGAATAAATTAATAACCTAATCTTTGTTATATAAAGTATTCAGTATGTACTAGAGTAAAATAAATCTCTATAACTTTAAAACTTCAATATTTTCTTCTCCATGAAACTTTCAATATGCAAAACTATCTAGACTAAATGTGAAATCATATTTTCCCCCAATAAATGCTCTTTTTTTCATATAAAGGTGGAAAGTCAACATAAAAAGTGTATTAATTCTTTCTTTAAATGCTTTTAGTAAATAGTTCTCTGTCCAAAAATGAGAAAATGTGGAATATTCTAACCCCAGACTAAATCACTCACCAGTTAAGAGTATCTGTTTCTAAATTATTTTAATCATGTTGAAACTGCAAATAAAAATATGTGTGGTATTTTAAAGAATCACAAGCACTTTGAGATTTATGAAATGAGGGCACTTTGGCCATTTTTCCATTCAGCTGTTGCAACCATGAGAGTTATTGATGGATTAACGGTATGTGTAAGTGGCAGCGATATAAGTAGGTGGAAAGTTTCAGAAGTCTGGAATGTGTAAGTTTTACGTCAAGTGACTTTGAAATGTAGAATTCTTGCAGTTCACTTATAGCAACATGAAATAGCTATTCACTTAGGTTCCAATTTTAGCCTCTGTAACTGGTTCACTGAAAAACAATAATACACCAAAATTCTATTGGAGCAATTTTTCTATAGCAACAAGGCTTGCTTTTATTACCTGTGCATTTTGGTTTAGTTTTCAACAGAGTCAGGTAATTCCCAAAGAGGTTTGTATGTTTCCATTAAATTTTTTAAAGTAATGAGTTTTCAGCATATAATTGAAAGATAGAATAGAAGGGTAATTTTGCAGTGGAAGTTTCAGGAACCAATAGACCACATTTGTAATGCATTCCAGCAGACAGGGACTTGCCACATTTGTTCGATAGGATCCAAGCGATTACTTCCATCAGTGGTTAATTAGCAGGGGATACAATTTCAGTATGTTCTGAAATGTAAACTGCTACTTAAATGTTTCACCCATTTTACATCTAATATTCAAAATCATGGCAGCTGGTCAGTGAGGTAGGAATTGGGCCCTCATTGTTCCCTTCCACTCACTATGCTGTGTGGGACTACCTGATAGGAGAAAACAGGTGGCTTTTTGGTCTTTAGTTGCCCAAGCAGATAAAATTACTTAAAAATATTATATTGTTAAAAGGTCCATATAAAAAAGAAATTTATAAGTATTCTAAAAATGGCAAAACCTCCTTGCAATAAAATATGTGTAAGTCACAGCACACAGTATAGAATCTTTGACACACATTGCTCAGAGCTTCATGTAGGAAACTTGAGCAAGTTAATATGTAGCGGAGTGCTGCCTGAGCGGAGGTCATTCTGTGTGAATGACCACATGTTGAAGTATCTACCAAATCACCATGCCATGTTGAAGCAGCCCTCAAATCACTATGCCATCGCTTCTCTGAACTATGATTCTACTAATAAATGAAGGTTTCCTTTGACAGCTTTAGAAAAAGAATTTATTGCTTCAGTAAATCTTATTCTTATTTGGGAAAGCATGGTGGATGTGCTCTAGGATAATACCCATGATCGTCACTTCTTGGTGTTCAAATGCTTGTGTAGTTTCCTTATCCTAAATCTGGACATGGCCTATGGCTTGTCTCTAACCTACAGAACATGGCAAAGGTGAGCTTATGTAGGTAATTAGGCATACATAATCATGCACATAATATTGTAGTGTTTGCCTTCCTGGAGTCTCTCTCTTTTGATGAATGTGACGAAGCAAGTGGACGTTTTGGGAAACTTTATGTGGCAAGAAGCTGTGAGCACCTCTAAAAATTAGAGCAGTATTTGACCGATAGCCCCGAAGAACCTGGAGCCCTCTGTCTTACACATGCAAGAAATGGAATTCTTATAACAATTTGAGTAAACTTGAAAGTGGATCCTTTCCCTAGTTAAGCCTCAGAAGAGACCATATTCCTGGCCAATGTATTGCTATAGCATTGTAGAGGGCACAGCTAAGCTGTGCCAGGACACCTGACTCATAGAAACTGTAAGATAATGAACACCTCATGTTGTTTTAAGCCATTAAATTTGTGTCGATATTGCCACACAGTAATTAATACACGAAGACACAGCTTATACCGGGATATTTACTCTTTGGCACTTATGCCAACACAAAACCCAGAATAGACACAAAGGAGAAACTCAATAGAAGGTGTTTTTTAATTAGTATCATATGGTTTCAACCAACATCACAATGAAATCTATTGGTTTTTAGAAGTCTTCATTTAGAGACTATTTTACTGATCCATTTCTCTAAGTAAAAGGTATAAGGTCACAACATACGTAATAGCCAATGGGCCAAATTTGATATGCAGACATGCTGTGTGTGTGGACTACATGTTTTTTTTTTAATTGATATGTTTAGCCATAAGAAAACAACTTTGCTGTGTTCATGTAAAGTCTAAATATCTGGAATATAATGAAACATCTGGCAACACTGTGTTTATATTCTTTTTGGAAACAAGCAACAGAAGCTGAGAAGTAGCTACTCTCTTAAACCAAGATGCCTATTGTCCAATTCAGCTCAGTCCAAACCACTTCCTGTTGTTTTCCACACTGAGGCCAAATATCAGTAGTCATTTGTTATTCTCCAGCCATTCATTTAATTTAACTATTGGCCCATTTAACAAATTTACATAATTCTTTTACCCCATTCTAATATTTCTAAGTATTAAACTTAAATTATATCACCAACAGGCATCACATATGGACTGTATTTATTTATAGTTATTTCTCTTGGAAATCAGTTACTGAGATAAATCATCTTTGACCTTCATTAAAATAACCATCTTCAAGGGACCCAGGGGCTGATTGTAAGTCAAAAGTGTATCCAGAATTGTGTGGGATGGTGCCAATTTACTACAATCTAGCATCCCCTTTTATTCATTGATGTGTCCTGGTTCAGATGTTGAATTATTCAGTCAGTTGGTTGTGTATTGCCAAAGACAGATCTTGTATAAAATGACCAAAATTCCCCAGTGTCACACAAATAAGTTGGTAAGATTCAGTTGATTCTGAATCTGGATCATCTGGGCAAGATGATATTTCTTAGGCTAGGTCACACATCTGTGGTCAGTAAGAGATTGGCTATGAGGCTCATCTGATGTTGGTTGAACTCAATCAGATGCCCAGGGGCTGGAGGACTACTGGCTGATGTAGGATGGCTTTGGTTGGGATCACTGGAGTGACTCAGTTCTATTCTCTCTGGGCTAACCCAGGAATATTCTCCTGGTTTTGGCAGAGAAGCAAGACTGAGCAAGTTCAATCACACAGTTCCTCTTCAAGTTCCTGCTTTGTCACATGTTAGTATCTCATTGGCCAAAATAAACCTCATGGTAGAGTTCACGGTGAGAACTGGAGATCAATAAAAGTTATTTTGCAAAAGATATGGTTACAGAGTAGTTGCAGAATTGGGACTCTTAATACAATCAATCTGTCACAGATGTTACCCTACGTTTATCAGCTTTTTCAATATTGGAACAGTAATTTTAATTAAAATATTCACATGGAGACCACATGTCTAGATAATTTCATGAAATATTCTGGTTTTATAAAATGTTAGAACTATATAAAGTCAATGGAATAGATTAATCCAGAACGGTTGAAATAAAAATATCACATAGAATTTACTATGCCTTAACTAAATTTACATGTTACGCAGTTTGTTTCCAATGATTATTTCAAATCCAGATTCACTACTTATTAGCTAAAATTTATTAATTCAAAATGATTAAGGAATTTGCCTCTGTCAACATTTTATATTGATCTACTTTTGTGTTATCCATTTACTTCTCATCTTATGTACTGTACCAGGAATGACAATTGTATGATTATGGTGTGTGTATTTGTTTGTGTTTTGTGTCACAAACCTTTTAAAACGTGTAAAATTCTGGAGTCTCATTTAAAACTGCAAAAACAAAGAATAATTTAAAAAGGTCTCATTAACACAAGTTTCCTAAGCAGCTTCAAATTAAAGAATTTCAAATTCAGAAGATTCTGCATATCATATCCAGCCCTTGACAATCCATACAATGCATATTATTATATTTAAAACACCAAGTCTCATAAAAGAAATAAAACTTAAATTTTATTAAAATTGCTATTTTACTACTTTATTTGCCTAAATAATCACTTTCATAATGAACTTATATATAGCCTGAAAATTTTGCATTTTGTAGGATATGTGGTCAAAAATGTTAACTTTATGGACTCTTTAGAAATTGCATTGATACATGTGGTTCTCTCCAGTTCCCTGCTAAATACCTATGTATGGTTTCTGTATTCTATAGTTTAATATTTATATGGCCCTAAAATTTAGTGGCATTCAAAATCTCACACACATTCATGCATTCTATTGCTCTCTCTCTCTCTTTCTATGTTTCCCCATTGTATCTGATTTCCAACTCAAAAACATTCTGTACTTTTTTCTTAATGTCTTTTATTTTTATTACTTTTATTGTTTCTGCTGTTTGATTTAGCTGCTGTATTCATGGTAAATTATGATTGTAGATAGAAATGTTGACATTTTTATTTTGCTAATTAAAAGATTAATTTATGTTCTGCTGATAATTGGCCATCTCATCTCTGCACAAAGACTGAATTGTTTTTGGTGGCACTAAGCATTGGTTTCTTATATAAATGCCAGTTCTACAGTGGAAATATAAGCACCCTGATAAAGCACAGTATAATTGCTACTTTTCCCCTCTATCATAATTTGGACTCCAGATAATCAACAAATAATTTTTTTTCTCAAATCCTCATTTGACAGAAGAGGAAACTGAGGCTTGCGTGGGTGAAGCAATCTGCCTAAGATAATGTAATGAATAAGTGACAGCTTAGATTGAAACCCAATTAATTCCAATTAACTAAATAAATACATGAGATTGTGAATAAAACATGAGATTGTCAATATGGTGAGAGAGGTCAACCATAGTATGTAGGAATGGAGAGTAGAGTGAAAAAATATTCAAAGAGAGTAGTGTAAGTTTGAGGACTCAAGTTAGAAAATGTATCTACTCTTAACATATGCATCACTATTCTTTAAAAATTGATTAATTTTTTAATAAAGTAATTTATGTAGCAATGCTAAATATATACTTGAAAGACTAAAATGCTATAAATGGTTTCATTATGAAATCAAGAGCTTTGTGTTTCAAAATCACAATCGATACAACTCAAATACATCAATGCTATGTATATAATTAGACATTTATTAAAAGCAAGACACTGTCACATACTGTAAGGTATACAGTTTTTAAGACATGATCATTGGTTTCAAAAGGTGTATCATCAAAGAGGGAAAGAAAATATATGTTCTTTGAAAATTAAAATAAATAGTTGGCAACACCTTTCTCTAGGCAGAGAATGTGCTTAATTTTACATTTATGTGTTTAATTTTCAAATATGTGCAAGCAATTCTGTTGATTGACACGTGACCAAAGCTGCTTTGCTGATGTTGTAATAACATTCATATAATTGTGAAGAAAGGGGTTGTGTCAATCCTCTTGTAGCACCAGGGCTTAGGGCAACAAAAATACTTATTCACTTTGTAGTGGAGAAAGCAAACAGATACCATCTTTTTAATGGTTGAAAGTTAATATTACAAAAGATGGGAAAAATAGACATTGTATTAGTCTTTTCTCACAATACTAATGAAGACATACTCACAACTGGGTAATCTATTAAGGAAAGAGGTTTAATTGACTCACAGTTCCACATGGCTGGGGAGGCCTTACAATCATAGCAGAAGGTGAATAAGAAGTAAAGGCATGCCTTAGATGGCCACAGGCAAGAGAGCGTGTGCAGGGGAACTCCTGTTTGTAAAACCATTGCATCTTGTGAAACTTATTCACTATCACAAGAACAGAACTAGAAAGATCTGCCCACGTGATTCAATTACGTTCCACAGGGTCCCTCCCACAAGTGGGAATTATGGGAGTTACAGTTGAAGATGAGACTTGGGTGTGGACAGAATCAAACCATATCATTTCACCCCAGCCCCTCCCAAATTTAATATCCTCACATTTCAAAACCAATCATGCCTTCCCAGCAGTCTCCCAAAGTCTTAACTCATTTCAGCATTAACTCAAAAGACCACAGTCCAAAGTCTCATCTGAGACAAGTCAAGTCCCTTCCACCTAAGAGCCTGTAAAATCAAAAGCAAGTTAGTTACTTCCTAGATAAAACAGGGGTACAGGCATTGGGTAAATATACCCATTCTAAATAGGATAAATTGGTCAAAATGAAGGGGCTACGGGCCCCATGCAAGTCTGAAATCCAGTGGGGGAGTCAAATCTTAAAGCTCCAAAATGATTTCCTTTGACTGCATGTCTCAATCCAGGTCACACTAATGCAAGAGGTGGGTTAACGTGGTCTTGGGCAGCTCTGCCCCTGTGGCTTTGCAGGATACAGCTCCCCTCCTGGCTGCTTTCATGGGCTAATGTTGAGTGTCTGTGGCTTTTCTAGGTGCACAGTACAAGCTGTCAGTGGATCTACCATTCTGAGGTCTGGAGGATAGGGCCCCTATTTTCACAGCTCTGCTAGGCAATGCCTTAGTGGTGACTGTGTGTGGGGTCTCCAACCCCAAGTTTCCCATCTGTACTGCCCTAGCAGAGGTTGTCCATGAGGGCTCTGCCTCTGCAGCAAATTTTGCCTGGGCATCCAGGCATTTCTACAGATCCTCTGAAATCTAGGCAGAGGTTCCCAAACCTCAATTCTTGACTTCTGCGCACCTGGAGGCTGAACACCACAAGGAAGCTGCCAAGGCTTGGGGCTTGTGCCCTCTGACGCTACAGCCCAGGCTGTACATTGGCCCATTTTTGCCACAGCTGGGATGCAGGGCACTGAGTCCTGAGACTGCACAAAGCTGCAAGGCCCTGGGCCTGGCCCATACAACCATTTTTTCCTTTTAGGTCTCCAGGCCTGTGATTGGAGGGGCTGCCACGAAGACCTCTGATATGCCCTGGAGACATTTTCCCCATTGTCTTGGCTATTAACATTTGGCTCCTCATTACTTATGCAAATTTTGGCAGCCTGTTTGAATTTCTCCTCAGAAAATAGGTTTTCCTTTTCTACTTTTAACAGCGCCCAAGTCACATCTTGAATGCTTTGCTGCTTGGAAATTTCTTCTGCCAGATACCCTAAATCATCTCTCTTAAGTTCAGTTTCACAGATCTCTAATGCAGGCGCAGAATGCTTCCAGTCTCTTTGCTAAAACATAGCAAGAGTCACCTTTATTCTAATTTCCAACAAGTCCCTCATCTAAATCTGAGATGAGCAGCATTTTGTGCAATCCATTCAACAACTGTCTAGGAAGTTCCAAACTTTCCCACATTTTTCTATCTTCTTCTAGCCCTCCAAACTATTCCAACCTCTGCCTGTTACTCAGTTCCAAACTCACTTCCACATTTTTGGGTGTCTTTATGGCAGTGCTCTATTCCTGGTACCAATTTACTGTATTCATTTGTTATCATGCAGCTAATAAAGACATACCCAAGACTGGATAATTTATGAAGGAAAGAGGTTTAATTGACTCACAGTTCCACCTGGCTAGGGAGGCCTCACAATTATGACAGAAGGTGAATGAGAAGCAAAGGCACTTCTTACATGGCCGCAGGCAGGAGAGCCTGTGCAGAGGAACTGCTCTTTATAAGACCATCAGATCTTGTGAGAATTATTCATTATTATGAGAACAGCATGGGAAAGACCCGCCCCCATGATTCAGTTACCTCCCACATAGGAATTATGGGAGCTACCATTCAAGATGATATTTTGGTGGGGACACAGCCAAGCCATATCAGACATCATGTGCCTCCTAATATGATGCTAAGAATGGAACATCACTTCTATGTTCTGTTGTTGTTCTGTGTTCTATGTTGTTTCTGCCAAAAATGGCTAATCTGAATCCATTTAAGGTAAAATAGTTGAAAGACCTACTTGGGAGGGAATTATACAAAATAACTAAACTGTTTTCATTAAAAAAAAATCAAGCTCAAGAAAGGAGGAACTAATCTAAATTCAAGGGAGTGAAAGAGGCATGACCACTAAATGAGCTGTGATGATCCTGGATAGACTTTTGACCAGGAGGTAAAAGGGTAAAAAGGAGGAAGTTTTGTTTATTTGCATATATATATATATATATATATATGTATGTATGGCATTATTTGAACAAGGACAAAATATTAATGGGATCTATGATTTATAAGGTCACTGGCATTGTGTCAATGATAATTTCTAAATTTAATGAGGATACCGTGTTTACAAAGGATGGTATACTTGATCTTAGGAAATGGAAACTGGAGTTATTAGTAGAATGAACATCATGTCACTGACTTACTCTCAAACGCACATGCACAAACACACATATACAGAACTGTAAGTCAATAGTGATAAATGGTGGCAACCTTCTGTGTGTTGAACCTATTTCAAAATAAAAATTAAAAAGTGAAGAAATAATGATTATACACATAAACTCATGAGGTATTTTATCTTTCTAACTACATACTTGTTATAAGATTACATAATATATAGTATATATTTTAATTAAAACATTTTTCCTTTAACACTTCCCACCAAAAGACCTAGAAAAAAATGATTAACCCAATAGCAGTAAGGATTCCTGGTGCCCAGACTATGCTATCGAAATATAATTTTTTTCTTTTTTTCTTTTTTTGAGATGGAGTCTCGCCCTGTTGCCACGATGCAGTGCAGTGGCATGATCTCGGCTCACTGCAACCTCCAGCTCCCTGGTTCAAGCGATACTTCTGCCTCTGCCTCCTGAGTAGCTGGGATTACAGGCACATGCCACCATGCCCCACTAATTTTTGTATTTTTAGTAGAGACAGGGTTTCACCATGTTGGCCAGGATGGTCTTGATCTCCTGACCTCATGATCCACCCACCTTGGCCTCTCAAAGAACTGTGATTACAGGTGTGAGCCACCACGCCAGCCTAAAATATCATTTCTTATTAAAATACTTCATATTTCTTAGCTAAAAGACTGATTTGAAATCTGGATCAGAAAATGCACAATTTAAGCCTGAAATGTATCATTATACCAGAGAGTTTATAAGATAATCAAGGAATGCCTGTATCACATCAAAAGAGTCAACTTAGAGAGGAGTCCCACTAGCAAAAATTGGGACAATTTAAACATTAAAAACAACAATATTTGCACCAGATTGAAACTCGTCAAATGTTTTTAATTCATGAATTAATAGTAATATAATAAATAGTCACTTTTAGAAAATAATTTTAAAAGGCAATTGTTTATATTAAACACTAGAAAATCAAAGGCAAGTTATATAGGCAAATTCAATGAAACAGAGTAGTTTGTTAGAAAAGATCAGTGACATTGACAAACCTCTATCAAGAATTGACAAAGAAAATGTTACTGAAGACACAAATTACAAATGTCAAAAATTAAACACAGGACATCACTAAAGAAACCTGCAGATACCAAAAGGATAGTAAAGAAATGCTTTGAACAACTCTATACACACAAATTTGAAAACGGATGAAATGGACCAATTTCTTGAAAAACTCAAACCACTCCAGTTCGTCCAATATAAAATAGATAACTTGAGTAATGCTATAACTGAAAAAAATTCCTTTTTAGAAACCTCTTTCTCTTGTTTAAAATAATATTCCATGTCCATACGGTTTCACTGTATAATTCTATCAAACGTTCAATGAATGAATACCAATTCTCTTTCAGAAAATAAAAGGGAACATTTTACATTTAATATATAAAGCTGGTGTTACCCTGATAGCAAATCCAGACAAAGACAATATTATCAAAATAAGAAGACTACACCAATATCCCTCTCTAATATAGATGCAAAAATCTTTAACAAATTATCAACATACAGAATTCAGCAATCTTTTAAAAGAATTACATAGCAAGATCAAGTGGAGTTTATTGGAGAAATTTAAAGCTGGTTTAATATTTTAAAAATCAATCAATATATCGAATTATATTTACAGTGTAAACAAGAAGAATCAGATAACTATATCAATCCTTACAGAAAAATCATTTGACAAAATTCAACATTTGTTCTTGTGAAAAACTTTCAGGAAAATAGAAATAGAAGAGAATCCTTCAACTTGATAAAGAACATGCACAAAAACCTGCAGCTAATTTACACTTCATTGTAAAAGGCTGAATGCTTCTCCCATAAGACCGAGCCCAAGGAAGAATGCCTTCTTTCAACATTTTTACCCATCATAATGCTAGAAGTTTTAGCCAGAGCAATAAAGCAAGAAGGAGGTCTACAGATCAGAAAGCAAGAAATGCAACTGGCCCTGTTTGCAGATGACATGACTCTTGATTCTCTACATAGAAAAATCTTTACATATCTACAAAAATAAAACAAAAATCTATTAGAAGTAACATATGAGTTTGACAAAGCCACAGAATACAAGATAAACACATAAAATTAATTATATTTATATATATTATAAATAAACTTGTGGACACCCAAATTAAATATATATTTTTAAAATTCTCTTCACTACGATTTTGTTTTTAAATTCTCTGAACTACAATTCCTCAAAAATACAATATTTAGATGTAAATCTACCAAAATGTGTATAGTACTTGTATGCCAGCAACTACAATATACTGATGAAAAAAATTTAAAAATCCAAATAGATAGAAAGATACATTGTGTTCATGATTAGAAGATTCAATGTAGTAGAGATTTCAGTTCTAGATATAGATATGATTGTTCTAAAATTAATATGAAAAGATAAAGAAACTAGAATAGTTAAACCAATTTGTGAAAGAAAAATGAAGAAAAATAAAGTAATAAAGAATCAGTCCATCTGATTTTAAACTTATGTACCTATGTATCAAAACTGTAATTACTAAAGGAATAGACACATAGAGTAATGGAGCAAAATTAAGAACTCAGTAATATATACCCATACAAATATGCCTAACTGAAATTTGACAAAGGTAAAAAAACAATTCAATGGAAGAATTATCCTTTTTATAAATGATCCTGGGACTAGTGGGAATTTATAAGCCAAAAAAAGAAAAAGAGAAATCTTGACCTAATTCAAAAATGTACTCAAAGCAAATCATGGACTTAAATGTGATATGGAAAATTACAAATCTTTAAACAAAAAACATAGGGGAAAATCCTCAGGATCTAGGGTTAGGCAAACATTTCTTAGCCCATGACCCATAAGAAAATTCCTAAATTAGAATGAATCAACATTAAAAACTTGCTTTGTGTAAGGCTCTTTTAAGGGGATGAAAAGAGGGCTACACTCTGGGAGAAAATATTTGTAAAGCATATATACAAAATATGATGAATATCTAGAATATATAAGGAATTCTTAAAAGTTGAATAATGAAGTAAAAATTCAATTAGAAAATGGGTAAAAGCAAAGAAAAGAGACTTCACTGATGATTATACATAGCTGGAAAATAAGCAAATATGTTCAACATCATCGGTTATGAGGAGAATGCAAATGAAAACCAAAATGAAGTATCAGTACATTACTATTAAAATAACTGAAATAAAAAAGAAATAATGAAATAGCCAAATGTTGGTAAGGATGTAGAGAAACTGTATCATTATAATATTGCTGGTGAAAATATAAAATGGCTCAGACATTCTGAAAAGTGGTTTGGTAGTTTCTTTAAAAATTAGCAGGTGACTACCATATGATGCAATAACTGCACTCCTGGGCATTGATTCCATAGAAATAAAAATGTAATTTCCCACAAAAACGTGTGCACACATGTTCATAGCAGCTTTATTTGTAATAGCTCAAGCTGGAAAATAACACAGGTGTCCTTCAATGAATAAATTATTAAGCAATATCCATACCATAGAATACTACTCAGCAACAAAAGAGGAACAAATTACTCATTCACACAACAAATGGGATGAATCGTCAGAGAATTATGTTGACTCAAAATAGCCAATACAAAAAGATTACTTACTTTATCATTCAATTTATACAATATTTTATAAATAAAAAAATTATAAAACCTATTAGTGGTTGCCAGAAGTTAAAGATAGGGAGGCCTTGGGGCAGGGGCGGGAGTAGGAGGAAAATTGATATGGTTTTAAAAGGGCAATATAGAGGATTCTTGAGGTGATGGAAATGTTCTGTATCTTTATTGTATCAAGGTCAGGATTATGATTGCGGTATTGTAGTTTTGCAAGATGTTACCATTGGGGGAAACTGGATAAGGGGTGCACAGCATATCTCTATTATTTCTTACAACTGCATGTGAATCTATCATTATCATAAAAATAGTTTAATTTAAAAAAAAGAACAGTCAGACAACAAAGGAGTTTTAGAGCAGTGAAGCTACTCTTTATGATACCGTAATGCTGGATATTTGTCATTTTTCATTTGTCCAAATCCAGAGAATGTATAACAGCAAGAGTGATCCTTCATGTGAACTTTGGACTTTGGGTGACAACAATGTGTCTGTGTAGGTTTATCAATTGTAAGGAATGTACCAGTCTGGTGAAGGATGTTGATAATGAAGGAGGCTATGCATGGGTTCAAAGAATTATGTTGGAAACCCCTGTACCTTCTCTCAATTTTATCGTGAATTTAAAACTGCACTAAAAAATATAAAATCCATAAAAAATGTCCAACTACTAAATGAGAAACAAAATTAGAAATTCATAATTATTCAACTTTCAGTGAATGAACAGATATTGTAATTAACATCAACAGCTGCAAAAAGGACAAAAAAAGAGAGACAACAGATACGATATGCCCCCTATAGCCTTCACAATCACCATTTATAGTCACACACCAAAGGGAGCAACTCCAAGTTTAATTAACCCTTGGATTCAGACTGGATTATATGAATATACATGGATATTAGGGGAAATTTGACCAAAAGCGAATTAAGTAAAATCTTTAAAATAAAGATACATTGCAAATTTTAAATTTTGAATGTATTTATGTTGTGTATGCATGTTCCATAAGACTAATGGATTAATTTAACTTTATAAGGTGACTCATTTAAGAAATTATTGAAATACAAATTTGAAGTTATTAAGTTAGAAATAAAAAAAAAAGAAAAGTACTTTTGTTGGTTCTCAAACAGACAACATTTGCTGAGATTTCACTGTGCCCTCAGTAGAGTACTAGGCATGGTGTGGACTGCAGAAAAGTTTAGACCACAGTTCCTGCGCATAAGGATATTACAATCTAGTTGAGAAGACAACAGCATCATTCAAAAGACAGAGTTCATTAATACAAAACAGGAACATATTCAACAATACATTTTATTGTATTGATAGAAAACAATAGGAATTCAGAGGACAACTCCTCACCAGGCACTGTTATTCCTGATCTTGACAAGGAAGCTTTTAAGAAGATGAATATATTAAATAAAGCCTTGAGGGATTGGTAGAAATTGTCTGAAAAGAGACACAAAAGAAAATTCAAGATGAGGTATATGAAGAAAGCCAAGAAAACAGAGATTGGCAGGATGAGTGTAGTTTTTGGAGAGGAAACGAGAAGAGGAAAACAATTAAGCAAAAGATTGATTAAGGAGGAATGAAAAGCCAGACAAGAAGAGTGAGGAAGGGGAGATTATTTGATCAAGGAAATTACTAGATAAATCTGGCTTTGGATAAGTGATGGAGAGATTAGAGCTAGAAAAACAATTAGGAAATGATCAAAAATAAGTCAAGAGGTAGGGAGCTGAGCTAAGCTAAACTAAGACATTGGTGGAGAAAATGGAAAGAAGTTATTCAAATAGAGGAGTTATTTGAAGGAAAGCCAAGAATTTTCAGTGTAATATATCTTCAGAAAAATGTATACATCAAACATTAGCCACAGTTGGGACTACAAAATAACAAAACAAAACAGATAACCAATGACAGTAAGAAAGAAAATGTGTTTAATGCTTCATATATTTCACCACCTAATTCAGTCAACCCAAAGAATCATTTCTTATATTACCTGTATGAGAGTCAATGAAAAAAAGGCCTCATAATGGAAATTTTAAAATAGTTTGATAAATGAAAGATTTGAATCATATAAAAATAGAAAATTCAAAGTTCTAGTTTCTGGTTTAGTGGAATTACTTGCAGTTTACAGTCTAGCCCCTTGAGCTCTCTCGTGTCTTAAATACCTCGCAACAACTATTCCTAGAGCAGGGTTTTATTAGCGTCTACTGCAGTGTATTCTCACTACAGGATTCAGGATAAAGGAAGGGGCTCTAGCTGGAACATGCTGTTCTTGTGACAAATGAAAAAAAGGAAGAGAACCAGTAAAAACGTGTTATGGATATATGTCATTTTCAATAATAGTCCATTGACCAAATCAACTCACATGACCAGAGCTGCCAATGATCCAAAGAAACATATTGCTCCCTAGGAAGGCACTGCAAATCACACAGCACTGGGCAGCAAGTAATGAGGTTCTATTAAACAAAATGGAGCATAAAACTGGGAACAATAATATATATCCACAATATCTTTTTAAGTAACAATGGTTTTTCCTGTCTCCTTCCCATTTTCCTTTCCCCTTTCTGCTACTTTTCTATGGCTTTCTTATTTGACAGTGGAGTAGAATGAAAAAAATCATGTTTCAATGTTGTTCAAATATCAGTGATGTAAAATACAATTTTACAGAAAAGTTATAACTGAAATTCTGCTATTGATTGAATTACTTGTATTATAAACTATTGAAATATTTATAATATGAAATCAATATAATTTTCTTGTGCTTTTATTTGTTTTACAGCCATGAAAAAGGAAAAATATATATACATTAAATACAGATATATCTCATTTTATTTAACTTTGCTTTACTGCACTTCACAGATAATGTCATCCTTACAAATTGAAGCTTTGTGGCAGCCTTGCATGGAGCAAGATTTCCAACAGCATGTGCTTATTTTTGTGTTTCTGTGTCACATTTTTGTAATGCGCACAGTATTTCAAACTTTATTGTTCTTATTAATATTATATTTGGTATGATGATCATAAAGAGTGATCTTTGATGCTACTATTTTAATTATTTTGAGGCATCATGAATCAAACCCACATAATATGGCAAACTTAACGGTTAATATGTGTGTTCCAACTAGTCCACTTCCACTGATCAACCATTCCATATCTCTTTCTTTATCCTCAGACCTCTCTGTTCCTAGAATCACAACAATACTGAAATTAGGCCAATTAATAGGTCTGCAATGACCTCTGTGTGTTCAAGTGAAAGAAAGAGTCTCAGATCTGTAACTTTAAATCAAAAGCTAAAAATGATTAAGCTTAGTCAGGAAGGCATGTTGAAAACTCAGATAAGTCAAAAGCTATGCCTCTTGTGCCAAATAGCACAAGTAGTAAATCCAAAGAAAAAGTTCTTGAAGGAAATTATAAAGTGCTACTCAAGTGAAAACATGAGTGACAAGAAAGTAAAATAGGCTTATTGTTGATATGAAGAAAGTTTGAGTGGTATGGATAAAAGATGAAATCAGCCACAACATTTCTTTAGGCCAAAGCCTAATTCAGAGCAGGGCCATAACTCTCTTCAATGCTATGAAAGCTGAGACAGATGAGGAAGCTACAGAAGAAAAGTTGGAAGGTAGCAGAGATTTGTTCATGAAGTTTAAAAAATAAGCCATCTCCATACCATCAAACTTCAAGTTGAAGAAGCAAGTACTTGTGTAGAAGCTGAAGCAAATCAACCAGAGGATTTAGCTAAGATAATTAATGAAGGTGGATGCACTAAACAACAGATTTTCAATGAAGACACAACAGCCTTCCATTGGGAGAAGAAGCCATCTAGGACATCCATAGCCAGGGAAGATAAGACAATGTCTGGATTCAAAGTTTGAAAGAACAGGCTAACTCTCTTGTTGAGAGCTAATGCACCTGGTCACTTTAATTTAAAGTTAATAATCACTGACCATTCCAAAAGTTCTGGGTCCCTTAAGAACTATGGTAAACATACTCTACCTGTGCCCTACATATGAACAACAAAGCTTTGATGACGACACATCTGTTTAGAGCATGGTTTACTAGATATTTTAAGCCCAGTGTTGAGACCTAGTGCTCAGTAAAAAAAGGAATCCTTTCAAAATATTACTCATTGACAATGTGATGGTCACACAAGAGCACTGATGGAGATGCACAAGGAGACGAATGTTGCTTGCATATCTGCCAACAAAACATCAATTCTGTAGCCTGAGTATCAAGGAGTTATTATGACTTTTAATTTTTATTATCTAGGATATATATTTCATAAGGCTATAGCTGCCACAGATAATGATTCCTCTGATAGATCTTGGGAACATGAATTGAAAACCTATGGAAAGCATTCACCATTTGAAAATACAAATGCCATTAAGAACATTTATGATTCATGGGAGGAGGTCAACGTATCAACATTATCAGGAGTTTTGAAGAAGTTGGTTACAGTCCTCACGAATGACTTAGAGAGGTTCAAGACTTCAGTGGAGGAAGTAACTGCGAATGTGGTGAAAACAGTAAAAGAAGTATCATTAGAATTGGAGCCTTAAGATGTGACTGAATTGCTGCAATCTCATCATGGATGAGGAGTTGCTTCTTATGGTTGAGAAAAGAAAGTAGTTTCTTAAGATCGATTTTACTTCTGGTGAAAATGCTGTGAAGGTTATTGAAAGAACAACAAAGGATTTATTATATTACATAAACTTGGTAAAGCAGCAAGTATCTCAAACCCTGCAGTTTGACACAATTGACAGCATCCTGATCAGCCAGCAGCCATCAACTTTGAGGCAACACTCTCCACCAGCAAAAAGACTGTGTGACCAAAAAATTGTGTGACTTGCTGTATTTCACTATTTGCTTTATTGCAGTGTTCTGGAACTAAACCTACAATATCTCTGAGGTATGCCTGTATACAAAAAGTGCCAAACATTAAAATTTAACTTTAAATCATTAATTTACTGTGTTTGATGATACTATTTTTCATAAATTGCCTTGCCTTTCCAAAGCTAGACAATGGAAAGAAATATTATCTGGCCCAGTTCAAAGGATAGTAGTGTTTTGACTGTAATAATGTTAATGTAGAAAATGCCTATTTGCAATAATATGTATCAAAAGACATTAATATATCTAATTTATCTTTGTAACCTCCATGCCATTTACTTTGTTTATGAGTCTCAACATCAGGTTTAATAACAGTTTAAAATCTTCCCACACAGAGAAGCTTGGGTTCAGATGGCTGCGCTGTAAATTCTATGAAATATTTAAAGAATATATAATACTAAGTCTTCACAAGGCATTACAGATGATAGAGGAGAAGAGCACACTACCAAATGAAAACTGTAAGGCCAATGTTACCGTGACACTAAAGCTTGGCAAAAACATCACAGGAAAAGAGTACTACCTACCAATATCAATAAAAATTATATACCTCCAAAGTCCTCAACAAAGTATGAGCACACCATATCCAGCAATCTGTAAACCAATTATACACCATGGTCTAATGGAGCTTGTTCTAGGAATATAATGTTGGTAGAACAATCAAAAATCAATTAATATTATATACCATATTAATAGAATAAAGAACAATAACCATGTGATTATCTCAATAGAGATAGAAAATGCATTGAAAATTGCAACATCTATTCATAATAAAAACTCCCGACAAATTCAAAGTAGAAGGGTGCCTCTTCAACTGTTAAAGGATACCTTTTTTTTTTTAACTTTTAAATTTTATTTTTATTTTTTGAGAGGGAGTCTTGCTCTGTTGCCCAGACTGGAGTGCAGTGGCGCTCACTGCAAACTCCGCCTCCTGGGTTCAAGCAATTCTCCCATCTCGGCCTCCCGAGTAGCTGGAATTACAGGCATCTGCCACCAGGCCTGGTTAATTTTTGTATTTTTAGTAGAGACGAGGTTTCACCATATTGGTCAGGGTGGTCTTGAACTCCTAACCTCAGGTGATCCACCCACCTCAGCCTCCCAAATTGCTGGGATTACACGCGTGAGCCACCCTCACCTGTCCTAAAGGGTATCTTTAAAAATCCACAAGTTACATCAAAGTTAATAAAGGAAGACAATATATTTTTCCTACTATTTGGAATATGGTGAAGATCTCCACTTTTGTCAATTCTATTAAACACTGTACTGGAGGTTGTAACCAGTGAAAAAGGCAAAAAGTGAGAGAAAGAGAGAAAAATAAATAGAAATAGAGGTAGAGATGCATTCAGGTTGGAAAGGAACAAGTAAAATGTGTTTATGATACTGATACTCTGAACAAAATTCTGAAGTTTTTATGGGGAAGGAGGAGTGGCACTAGGACTGTAAATCAGTTTAGCATATTGCAGGATACAAGATTAATGTACAAAAATCAATTTTTTCTCTATTGTAAGAATAAAAAACCTGATAAAGAAATTACAAAAGCAGTACTTGTTATAATAGAATCAAAAATAATAAAATTCTGAGTTATAATAACAAATAATAACTCATACACTGAAAATTACAATACATAGCTGAAAGAAATTAGTGATAATCTAAAATAAATAAAAAGATAGTTCACTTTTGCAAGTTGGAAGACTCAGTATTGATAAAGAAGTATTCCCCTCATATTGATGTGTAAATTCCATTCATTCTTTTTTCAAAATCCTTGTAGGCTTTTAGTTTGTAAAAATTGATACGTGGATCTTACATTTTATATGGAAATTTAAAGAACCAAGCATAGCCATAAAACTTCTGAAAAAGAACCAAGTTAGAGAATGCACACTACTATCCAATTTGAAGACCTACTATAAAGCCGTAATAATCAAGATAGTGTATTGGCACAAATACACATAGATTAATAAAACACAACTGTGAGTCCAATTGATTTTGAGACAATTGTAAATCCCTATGCCAAAAAGACTAAGAAGGAGAAATAGAAGGAAAAGGAAAGGAACTGAGAATCTCAAGTCATATCATAATACAAAAATATTAACTCAAAATTGTTAGTTATCTAAATGTAAGAGCTAAAACTATAAAACTTCTGAAATAAAATGTAGGAGAAAAATCTTCATGATCTAAGGTTGAACAATGAGTGTTAAGAATTACAATAATCATTTAAAAATACATATATTTGACTTTATGAAAATGATAAACTTGGCACCTCAAAAATTTCAGAAAGTCCAGAGACTAAAAGAAAATATTTTAAGCCATATATTCAATAAAATGAATTATATCTGTAATATCAAGGACACTTTCAATTCAATAATAGATAAACAACACAATTAAAATAAGCAAATTATTTAAATAGATATTTTATTGAAGATTTTACTATCAAAGTCTAGTAAGCACATGAACAGTGCTACTAAAAAGTGTTAGCTATTAGAAAAATGCAATTTAGAAGCACCAAGAGATATAATTACACACAAATTAGATGAATATAATCAAGAAGAGAGACAATACAAGATTTGGGCAGAATATGGAAAAACTGAATCCTTCATACATTGCTGACTGGAATGTGAAATAATACAACCACTTTGGAAAACCATTTGGCAATGTCTTAAACATAGTAGTTAACATTTCCATAAGACTCAGCTATTCCACCCCTAATAGTCTATCCAAAATAAAAGAAAACCTATGTTCCCCAAAGACATGTATACACATGCTCATAGGAACATTTTTTATAATAGTTAAAATTTGGAAATAATCCAAATTCCTACCAACTGGTAAACGGACAAAATGTAAAGCAATATAAAGCAATATTATTATTCAATAAAAATGAATCAACTATTGATAAACATTCTAATGTGAAAAAAACTTAAGATGTCATGCAAAGTGAAAGAAGCTGGACACAAAAGATTGCATATTGTATAATTGCATTTATATGAAATGCTCAGAAAATGCAAATTTATGAAGATTGAGAGCAAATCAGCTGTTGCATAGGATTGGTAGTGAAAGTAAAGATTACATGAAACAGGCACAAGAGAGATTTTGAGGTTTATGAAATGTTCTGAATTATGATGATTGTAATGTAACTATAAATGTACTAAAATCATTCAATTGTACAATTACAATAGGGAAGATTTATATTAGTAAATTATATTTTAATAAAGCTGTTACAAGATGAGTGATTACAGAGAAGAGAACTGTTTGGTGGGTGGTAGATGAGAGATTAGATACAGGAGATTAGTTAGAAATACATTGCACAAGTCTTGGTAAAAGACTATTAAATGAAAGAGCCATGCATACACCAATGCACAGAGTTAGAAATGGAAATGACCCAGGAGATCTTTGTCTTCCCACACTACTGGATTTTAAATTAAAACTCAGTAAAAGTAAATGAGTTTTCTATTTTCAAACAGCTACTTGTTAGAAGAACCTAAACTAGATCCTAGGTCTGATGAAATATCCAGTATTCATTATACAGATCATTTACTCAAGAACTGGTAAGAGCTCAGCTGAAATTGTTAAAAGCAAAGTTTTCTCCTTAAAAACAGTATTGCTTTTTAGAACTATCACAAAAAAGCAAATGCTTTTGTACAAACTGTGTTAGAAGGGGCCTGAGTACATGGTGAGAAAGAAAATAAAACCAGCTAAAGGTGTTTTTCAGAACTTTTATAAATTTGAATGCATTTCTCCAAAGGAAACATAATGAATATCAATTTGTCAAAAAAGAACTATTAATAGTGGAAAGTATTCACAATGTGAGTAATTTCCTTGAAATAATAGCAAGACTTGAGTCTGGCAATGTTTGCTCCACCTAACAAATTGGGAGTGGAAATTGGCAGGTGCTGGGGGTGGGTGTGGAAGAGGGGAATGACATCCACAAGATCAGTCAACTCAGATAATAAAAATTTTGGAATTCAGTTCCATTCACTAATTTTAGAATGACTATTCGATTCATTTATGAACAACAAAGGAAGTGAGGATTCCAAAAGCCGCAATTCCCCTAGGAATAAGATGAGCAAATTTTAGTTTATTTGCCCCAAATTAACAGTGAATTACTGAATTTTATTTATGTAAGGAAAAAAAGGTGATCCACATTCAACATCTCTGCAATTTCAAAGTGATATTCTCAGCCTGTGAAGCACTACATACATGTAAAATCAATCCTAGGGATTTTTATTTTTCCTGTAAAGCAAGTGGCATTTTAATAATTAACCTACCACCAAGTGACACCTACTATAATAAAAATATATTTCTTATAAGGAATTCCAAGAGCTTAATATATAGTCTATTCTTATTCTATAAGCACCTATTTTGATGAGGGATGAATATAGATATCTTGAATGAAATGTTGGCTAATTAAGAGACACTGGATAGAATCACATCTTTACCATAAGTACTCCCTGATTGTAGGATTGTAAACTCAATTCCCTAATCCCTTGACTTCTATGGTAAAAAAATCTGCAGGATTAAAATATCTGAAATATAATCCCGGTACTATCAGTTATTTCTGAAACTTCAGATAAATTGTTGAAAATCTTTGATCTTTAGCTTATCTAATTGTAAAATGGGAACACTGCATTTGCCATTCCTGTCTCAAAAGATCATAATTAATCCTTTTTGGCTAGGGTGTGTTGTGGTAAAATAAAATAAAGTAACCCTAACATGTCCATAGAGACATTTTCCATTCGTGTAAAATTTTATGTGTATTGCTGAACCTCCTTCACTTTGTAGCTATACTATGCAGAACATGTGGCAGCCAAAGTTCCTGTGTTAAGGAATGAGAGAGAGAAGAAGGAGGCATAGGCCAGGCGCGGTGGCTCATGCCTGTAATCCCAGCACTTTGGGAGGCCGAGGTGGTTGGATCATGAGGTCAGGAAATCGAGACCATCTTGGTCAACACAGAGAAACCCCATCTCTACTAAAAAAAAAAAAAAAATACAAAAATTAGCAAGGCGTGGTGGCATGCGCCTGTAGTCCCAGCTACTCAGGAAGCTGAGGCAGGAGTATCCCTTGAACTTGGGAGGCGGAAGTTGCAGTGAGCCAAGATGGCACCACTTCACTCCAGTGCAGTGGGCAACAGAGCAAGACTCTTTCTCAAAAAAAGAAAAGAAGAAAGAAGGAGGCACACAACTTTGAATTGTCTTAACCTGAATCAACAAACATCATTGTTCCTCACTTCTCATTCCCAGGCAGTCCCAACAAATTGCAAGGGAAGCTGGAAATGTGGAGGACTATTTGATGAGTACTAACTGTCATGGCACAGTACTGTTGATGGCTAAAATAATATTATAATAACCATCATTTATTGAACATTTAGCATATGCAAGATTATGTAAGGATCTTATAGCCATTATATCATATAATCTACTTGACAGTCCTCTCTGAAAAGTACTGCCATGCTCCCATTTAGAACTGAGAAAAGAGGTTTAATTACTTTACGGTTTTGCCCAAGGTCACATAGTTAGAAGGTGTTGAATCTGGTAGTCGGATTGAGATCTATCTGATTCAAAAGTTTTCCCCTAAACACTATGTTACGCATTAAAGAGACGTGTGAGACAAATTTAATTCTTATGCTGCCAAATTCCGTGTTGTGCTTGTCATACCTTTAACTTTTGCATCATCCTTTGATGACTATATAGTTCCTACATTCAACTGCACTGGGTCTAGGTTCAATGAATTGTCATGGAGCTTAGTAATGAGTGGTTTATCATTGAAAACTATGACTGGCTTTGCCAGTACACTCATCTGCACTGTCATTGACACATTACCCTACTTGCCCCAATATCCATCAGCCCAAAGCAGATTTTGGCAAGTGGAACCCTGCTCCTATTGTGGCAGCTGGATCACATCATACCTTGTATGCTACAGTGGTGGTGATTTGGAAGGGAGGAACTATGGCATGTTGAAATCAGAAGAAAAAAGAGAAAAAGAGCTGCAAAAGGTGGGAGAGGTGATGCTAAAATCAAGTTATCACCCATCATCAAAGTTTTTATTTGCCGTGAGGTGGATTGTCCATAAACTAAGCATTATGTTTTTCAGGATAATTGTTAGTACACTGAAAGAATGATTATACCTTCAGCCAGCAGTTAGTTATATTTCACCTATTTCTTTACTACTTGGTGCTATAGACTCTGATCTTGCCTCCAGGCAACCTAAACAATTATAAGAACCGGTAACTGCTTTCTTTGAGGAGTGTTTTCAAGGACTAGCAACTTTTAAATGCCAGTGTTATTTCCATTTTTAAAGCTAAGTATTGTTGATGTTGCTTATGTTAATTGAAATAAAATGAGTTGATATTTCACTAATATAATGCTTTGTTCTTAATTAAAATCTAGATCTTTAATGAGAGCATTTCAATAACACAATTGAAAACCAAAGTGACAGGACAATAGCTATTATTTTGTTAATATGTTATAGTATTTTATATGTACAACTAAACACTATTTTGATTTCTTGACTAAAATTAGATTGGAATATACCGTTTGCCATTTTAACCTTTCTAAATGAATCACTGATTCTATTTTGATTTTTCTTTTAGTAAGTAACTCACATTGAACCACTAAAATGCTATCATCAGAGATTACAAAACAATGACATATGCTTTAACAATGTTATTTAATGAAACATCCTGATACATTGAGAGCATCATAATAGAAAAAGCATATTGGCTGTGATATTAAAGGATCTACAGTTCAGAAAGGTAAGCTGTAAGTGATTAAAATATTTATTGCTATTACTTAATTGTAAATCCTTTTTTTCCAAGCATTCGAGGCACAAGGTCGTTTATGTAAATGTTAAGAAAAAGATGGCAAAGCCGTATCAATTTACAGAGCAGCTGGCCCATTATAACTTTTCTGACTGGGTTGAGGTCAAGTATTAGATTAAGTTCCACTGTAATGACAATTATTCCTACTTGCATATTGATTCTTACCTATCCTAAAAACAAAATGATACAACCTTGGGAATTCATAATAAATAATTTGATTAATATGTTTATATCCTGCAATAAAATCATTTTAAAAAGGATGCTTTTTTAAAACATTAAAAGTATATTAAACTTGACTGAATAACAGGATCAATTCATGAATTGTTGTTTCTACATTTACAATGCATTTTAAATACTTTACACTCTTGAAGATATTTGCAGTTAGATGAATATGTTTACTATTGTCAAGCATTAATTTTTGTTTGTCTTCTTTCCCACTTTTGCAAAGAGAATGTTATTTCTTTCCCTAGGCTCTGGTTGTAAATTAGCATTGATTGCAAATGACAGGATATTCCTTTTCTTTCCCTGTACAATTCCTGTCATAAATGTGTTGTTTTTAATAGCAAATCAGCTAATTAGAGACAGTGTGGTGTGGAAAATGGAGTTAATCGAATTAGTATTAAAATACTTAGTAATTAATCATTTCTTGGAATGGCATATTATTCAGAGGTTAAAATTGTTGCCAAAGCTCATTTCTATCTGTATGCTTTCTTAGTATTACCAAAATTTTTCAAAATATATCCTAGGCACGTCCTAAACAGACAAAATTTGCAAGGGAATCATGAACTGATTTAAGATTATATAAGCCTATGTAATTCATAATTTCATTAAATATTCCTTAAGGTCCTATATTGAAATAACTTTCCTATAAAATGAGTTAATATTGCAATGAAGAATCTGAAATAATAAGTTACTACAATTGATCGTTTTAAATCATGAATTGCCCAAGCAACTGGTTAGCGGCTAGGTGAACAACAGCTGCTCTCTCAGTCTCTCTGACTTATTTCTAAGATGATTTTGACCTTTAGATAGCAGACCTTTCAGCGATTTTTTTCCCATTCATCAAGTTTGCCTGAAAAATGAACAACTAGCTCAAATTTTGTGACTGTTTTTCTCTAATTTGTAAACCAGCCTAGGAAAAGCTGCCTAATATCTAATGTGTACCGTCTGTTCTCCTTCAGTATATGGAAAAAAGATAAATTATAAACAAATTGGATAATTGAGAATAGAAAGTTGGCATGACGAGTTATTTATTTAAATTAAATAACTGCTTCTGTTCTCTTATAACTTTGCATTTGGCTGTAAAAGACAAGGAAAGATATTAACATGATTGTATAGAAATTTGGGATGTCATTTTTCATTCATCAATTCATTCAATGAATACACTAGTAGGACTCAATCCTCAACCATATAAGAGGATCTAAAACCCCTTTGGACTATTTTGAAAGTAGACATGTCATTACCCTGGAAGATTCTTTATAAGTAGGCCTGCAATGGAATCCAGACAGCAATACTATTAAGGCTACATAAAGGATGAAATTCTGATATGCACAGAGTTAAGAACCACCATTCTAGATGCTCTTCTAGGCACTGGAAATACAAAGACCAATAAGGCAGGGTTCCTGTAGAGGCTTCCAGTCTTTAACAGTCATGAACCACTAAATAAAATGAGATCAATAGCCAGGGATGGGGGCTCACGCCTGTAATCCCAGCATTTTGGGAGGCCGAGGCAGGCAGATCACCTGAGGTTGGGAATTCGAGACCAGCCTGACCAAAATGGAGAAACCCCATTTCTACTAAAAATACAAAATTAGCTGGACATGGTGGCGCATGCCTGTAGTCCCAGCTACTCGGGAGGCTGAGGCAAGAGAATCACTTGAAACTGTGAGGTGGAGGTTGTGCCAGATCACGCCATTGCACTGCAGCCTGGGCAACAAGAGCGAAACTCAGTCCCCTCCCCCGCACCCCCCCCAAAAAAAGAGTGATGACCCCCATTACATGTGGCATAATTAAACCACACAACTGATGATAGAAATACATCCTATGGCTGAAGAACTTTCTCCCAGAAAAATATTTACTGTTATTTACTTTTTCATATTCAACTAATATTTATTAAGAGCCTGATGTATGCTAGACACTTTCAAATGCTTATTACATGTCATCCTCATGATTACCTTGTAAGGGAGATACCATCAGTACCATTTGGATAAATGAAAAACTGAGACTCAGAGAGATTAAGTGGCTTAGCCAAAACTCCCCAGACAATAAGTGCAGAAGCAAGGATTTGAATTCAGGCCTGTTGGGTTTCCAGTCCAGAAGCTTCCCCACTGTACCACACTGCCTCTCCAAAAGCATAAGGAACCTCTACAACTGACATTGCACCAGGTCCTGAGCTGCTGCCTCCCGAACTCCCGCCAGGCTGTACCCAATAGGTGAAGCCAGCCAGAAGGGAGAGGAGTAAGTAAGAAGGTCCCAGAGGCAACTTGCACCTGGCCCTGTCCAAGAGTGCAGTGCAAGCACTCCCCTGTAGGGGTTATTATGATGGTTAATATTGAGTGTCAACTTGATTGGATTGAAGGATGCAAAGTATTGCTCTTGGGTGTGTCTGTGAGAGTGTTGCCAAAGGAGATTAACATTTGAGTCAGTGGACTGGGAAAGGCAGACTCACTCCCAATCTGGGTGGGCACCATCTAATCAGCTGCCAACACAGTCAGAATTAAAGCAGGCAGAAGAACGTGGAAAGCCTAGACCGGCTGAGTCTTCTGGTTTCCATCTTTCTCCTGTGCTGGATATTTCCTGTCCTTGAACATTGGACTCCAGTTTCTTCAGCTTTGTGACTCCTGGATCTTCAACCACAGACTGAAGACTGCACTGTGGGCTTCCCTACTTTTGAGGCTTTGAGACTCAGACTGGGTTCCTGGCTCCTCCGCTTGCAGATGGCCTATTGTGGGAACTCACCTTGTGATTGTGTGAGTCAATTCTCCTAATAAACTCCCCTTCTCCCATATGTGTGTGTGTGTGTGTGTGTGTGTGTGTGTGTGTGTGTGTGTGTATATATATATATATATATATATATATATATCTCCTATTATTTCTGTCCCTCTAGAGAACCCTAATACAGTTAGAGAGAAACATGACAGGGAGGGGGCTAGAATGCAACCCAGTATTCTCTTTAATGTTCTCTTTTAGTGAAAGAATGTGCTACATTTCTAAGTTTAAAATTCAATAAGTTTTTTTTCTTAAGATCCTCTATTTGATAATACTTTTATAATATACATTTTAATGATGTACGACTTTGGTAGATTCCTTTTATTGTATACACAAGTATAATGGTACTTATTAAAAATGATAGTAAGAGAAGGGATATCTTCTCAATGACAGCCATGGATTGTAGATTTAGAATCGACATTCCAAACCACATATTTTAAACCTATTAGACTATGGCATCTGGATGGCAGGCCCAGGTTTTTGTCATCAATTTATTGCAAGACAAAAACAGTCAGAGACACAAATAAAACATTCAACAAATTTGTGTTGAATTAATGAGTGACTGAGTGAATAGTATAATAGCTCTAAAGAGAATTTGGTAGTGCTTCACTTCGACTAATTTTGATAACCTTTCAGTGAAAGCCAGGGAAAACTTTAAGTATTATAAAAGGGATTTTCTGAATTGCTACCTGAAATTCTAATAGTCATAATGACTAACAGAAATACTTTTCTCACCTGCTGAGCAAACTACCTCACCTCTTTAACAATCTCAGTACAGTCGAATGGTATTGTTGCCAAGATAGGACTTTAAATTATATAAATCTTGGATCCTTCTTTCTGGAATATATCTAAAACAAGACTCAGAAAATTAAGCAAATGCTGCTGAGTCAATAACAATGTTGGTTTCCAATTCCTGACTCTTTTTAGAGGACAAATAACACTGGGAACAAAATTCTGTCAGTACTTAACTATGAAGTTACATGATAAGAACAAAGATGATAGGGAATTTGAGCCAACTTGGATAATTAACTTAAGAATTAAAAATACATTAATATGGCAACAATTGAAAAGATTTATAATACAGTATAAGCTTCTGTGCTGATGTCAGCACACTAGTAAACAATGAAAAATCAAACTCTAATTATCAGTCCTCAGAAAGGGAGAGAACTGATGTGTCAGAATCAACTTCCAAGCATAAAAATGGCTCACGTGTATTAAATGTTGTTTGCACGATCTGAGCCCTGCTCTCAGAAGTGTATGACACTGATCCTTTAATCCTCTAAACAACTCTCTGAGGCACTACAACTATTACTTTTTGTTCTTTTTGTTGTTATGGATGAGGAATGGACAGAGGTGGTAATTGTCAGAGTCAGGATTTGAACCCTAGCATTCTAGTTCCAGTGTCTATGATCTTTACCTCCTGATAAAAATAAACACAATTTCAAAAAACCCTGTTTTAAAGAATATGTTTCCTAGAAGTTCCTTCACTTGTCTTTTAAGAAATGATAAATGAAACATTTTAGGCTCCATTTAGCTTCCAGAAAATATTGCCATATTTTCAAACCCCTCCTCCTTTTGTTACGACATTGTTTTTCCATTACTGAAAAGCCATCCTAGTCAGCATTCATTTTCCCTCCAGAATAGTGTTAAATCATTAGATCTATTGTTAATAAGAACCCACCTGAAACTAAAATATTTAAGGTACAACTATGTACAATAGGCTAGCGAATAAACTGCTGTGATTCCATGACTCTGTAAGATGCTTCACAGTTTCAGTAATATCTTTGGCATTGTATTACTTGTGGGAATTATTTTCTACTATGCTGTAAATATATCTGGAAAATATCCCTGTGTTATGGGTTGTCAGTGTAGAGAGAGAACTGGCAAATGAAAGCAGGAGTGTAATGGATCAGGCTGTGATTTTCAAAATATTAAAAAAAAGAATTTAATAGAATAAACTTCACTTGTCTTAGCTCTCTTTGAATAGTAGAATTTCAATTATGTTAATAGTCTTGTCATAAAAACCAATGAGAATCTTTATGCTCTTCTCAAGCCTTCTAAGGCAGGCTGCTTGACCAAATGAGCTGAATAATCTCTTCCTTTTCCTCGGTGGATTAACCAAGAAAAAAATAACACATGGGCTTACGAGCCTGACATGATGTCTTAAAATTTGAACATTGATAATTCTAGGCTTTATGCCAAGCCCAGCCTTAGCTGTCCCATAGAGGTAAGAGATGCCATTTACTGATTCAGATGAATTATTTGCCTTTCTACTAACAAGACTGTAAATCTTGAAAAGGTGACATGACTCTGGCATCTCCCAGCTGTAGTCAATAATAACTTTCACCTGCAGGCTTAGTCCAGCCAAATTCCTGAGCACTTTTGAACTTACGATCAGCAGCAGCTTTCGCATATGGATCCTACCTCATGTCTCTTCTTTTAGCTAGATTTGTACATTCAGATTTTAGTTTCTGGATTGAGTGCTCCACTGCCCCTTTGGGATGAAACTAATTCATTGACCTCTGGACTGCTTGACTTAACCCCAAGAGTCATATGACCTTTGCCACTTTGATTTCCTGCTTTCAATGCTTCTGGTCTCTTGATTTTGTGTGACTGGCTTAAGCTTCCAGAATAATGAACATGAATGCCTTTGCTCTGATACTTTTAGCCATGTCTCTTATCCACATAATCCTTGGTCACATAAGGTACAGCAATCTCTGTGTAAATAAAGAGCCTGAATCTGTATTTGATGTTTGACTGCTAACTGCTTTCAAGATTCCTCACTGCCCTTTCTCTTGTATTCCACATCTGAGCAAACTCATGAGAAAACCCACCTTCTGTCCTTTTTGGTGCCAGTGGAACAAATCAAGCCCCGCAAGCCCCAAATAATGCATGGGAACCCTCACCTCAGCCTCACCCCCTCACCACCCTAAAGCCCCAAGCCAGTCTCCCTTCCCTGCTTTTTCAAGCCATGCTTAGACCAACTTTGAAGCCCATCCTGTTTCCCAAAAAGCCTCATTATTCAAATAATGAACCTCTCTTACGTACTTGGTGTGTATGTAATATCATTGGAATTGGCATCTGAGCCAAGTTTCTGGGAAGAGTTCATTCTGGTCTTTTGAGTGACTAAAAATATCCTTAATTCTTCTTATATCTTCTCTTATTCTTTTACTTATCTATACAGCCAGTCCTTGGATAATATTAACTTGTTCAAAGTCATTTTGTTATAACATTGATGAGAAAAAAAGTAGATTTCTGGCTGGGGACACTGTCTTTGTGGAGTTTGCACATTCTCCCTATGTCTGTGTAGGTTTATGGGGGGTACTCCAGTTTCCTTCCACATCCCAAAGATGTGCACATTAGGTTAATTGGCATCTCTGCATTGTCCCAATGTGAGTGTGTGTGGGTGTGGGTGTGTGAGCAAGTGCACCTGTGATGGAATGGCATCCCTTTCCAAGGTTGGTTCTCTTATTGTGACCTGAGCTGCTGGGACAGGCTGTCCCAACCTGACTCTGAACTGAAATAAATAGGTTGAAAAATGAAAGAATGAATAAGTCAAAATTATTCCAAAATAAAAATGTGTAAAGTATATGGTAATCATACAAATGCCCAACAATACATAATATAGTACAAAAGCACTCAGTGAGTCATACATGTTATTGTTTGTTTCTGAACTGTGTGGTGTTAGGAGGTGTTCCTTACAATTTTGTCTTTGCAAACAGTTATTCCTTGATTCAACCCACCACCACTACAACTACTATCCCTCACTGATTCACCACAAATTGGGTAAATAGTTATTAATTTACTTATTTTTAAAATTGCTGAAATGTATGTATATGTCACATTTATTTCAATGTTTAGTATTAGACGTGATATATCTCTTTTAATTAGAAGTTTGGTGATGGTTTTGTGAAGAGAAGTATGCCATAAGAACTTAATTCTTGTTTACATCAATTCATTTATGGTACAATTGGTTTCATATATGCTGTTTCACTTGAGTCACAGTTCCAAAGGACCGATCCATTATGTGGAGTGATTATTTACCATACTTCTCTGGCTTGATTCCTTTTGATACTGATCTTATTTATAAGTGCTTTCAGAAATTTCTTCTGGAACAAGGAAGGCAGATCCATCTACTTCCTCATCTACTTCGTGGCCTTTTTTCTCTGTCTCCTTATGTTCTCTGAATCCTGGCTCTGCCTGAGAACGCGTCTTCCTCTATTGTGCCGACCAGTGAAAAAATGTTCATTTTGCCAAACCGGCCATCAATAGCTTCACCTTACTTTCAGGATTCCTATTGTGTATCACAGGTATTATATCTCACACAAACCTCTATACTCTATACCATAGTGTTTTGTGTCTGGTTTTGAGTTTCATTCTTTATCCTAGACACACTGTAAATCTAGGAGAAATCCATAATTACAAACAAGATTCATCCAACTAACCAGTTCCCAATCCCTGGACTTCCTCCACTTAGTGGCTTTGATCTATGTCCTACTTAATTATCCTCTACTATACCATTACCTGGATCTTATTTTCAGGCATGAGTGTATCATAATAGAAAATTTAACATCCAGCGACACACACTCTGACCACTAAGTCTTGTTATTCCAAGACTCACACACTCACATTCATTAAACTTTTAAATTAAAGTATTGAGGCCACCAAGCCACTGACCTTTCATTTCTTCTACTATCGTACTGGAAGCTCAACAAGTGAATAACTGTTAATGTTAATTAATATGAAACAAATAGTTATTGGACACTTCCTTAATTCACCTAGGAAATAAGGTAATTATGCATAGTATTTTTCAGCTTTCCTCTCTTCTGTTTGATTCCCCTCTTTGTTACTTTATACTAATTCCAGACAACGAGATTCCTTTCCCTATCCTTAGCCAGCATCTGACTCTACCAATACCTCTGACCTCATCAGTTCCTGACACCTCTGGGATCTTGTTCCATCAGTGCCCTAACCCCTAGCTCCTCTGTCTTCAACCTCTCTTTCTCTATTTAAACAGCCCTCTCCTCAGCTTATAAATATCTGAAGCCCTAAATAGCTGGAATCACTGTACCCTCAAGCTATTATCCTTCTCTCCCAAGCCATTCTAATGCATGATTTTCAACAGACATCTGCAGTGGCTATGGTCTGTTTTATCATGTCCTTCCTCAATGAATTTTCAGAATCTACTAAAATTGTTGTTACACATGTCACCAATAGCCTTAATTACTGAATATTAATGAATTTTCTACTATTTTCTTCTATCATCTTTACTCTTTATTTAATTTGCCAAGGCCCTCCTTTTGAAATGCTTCATCCTTTTTAATTTTGTGACATCTTTCTCTTCTGCCTAAAGACATTTTTCTGCCTCTTCCATGGGCTTCTCTTCCTCTGCTTTCACTCTGTATGCTTTCTCAAACTTAGACACCCAATTTCATAGTTTTATGCTAATCATCCTTATGCGTATTGCTCAAGCTACCTTAAAAACTTACTTCTAATTTTCCTGGATCCCTTCACCTGAATGTTCATCAATTGCTATATATTGATAATGTCCCAATCTAACTTCCACTAAATCATGTACTATTCATTTGAGTTGGTCACCTTTAGGTAATCTCTCAAACACTTAGCTATCATTCTCACCTCTCCATACTTTCAGCCACCAAATCCAATTATTTATTAAGTCCTAAATACTTATATCAAATTTATGTATTAAATAAGTATTTCCCGTTATTTACATATGTGAAATACACACATACACACACATAAATGTTTTTTCTCTGTCTTCATATCAATGTATCTTTCCTTGTAGATGTCTCTAAACTCAAACAGGTTTATTGCACTAACTTCCTAACTATCCTCTCTGTTTTCAGTTTTGACTCCTTAGATCATGCTGGGACTAGGTTCCATAAATACAAACCCAACTCTGACACTTCTATTTAAAAGTTTCCAGTCACTCCACATTTTCTATGTAATAAAACCAAGTTTTTAAATATGGCTTTCTAGGTATTTTAAAGTTTGAAACTACTCATGCAGATTTATTTCTTGCTATCCTCCTCTTCACCCTTTATACTCCAGCAGCAATGCATTGCTTGTATTTTCTTTACACCCCTCCAGAATATATCACATTACTTTTGCTAATGTTTATCTTTGCCTCGGTGACCCTTTTCTACGCATAGGCCTTCCTCACTAGTCCTCTTTATTCCCCTGTCACCTGCCTGGAAAACTTCTACGCCTCCTTATTTTTTAAGACTCAGGTCTGAGGTCACTCTTTCCAATGCATCTGCTCTGACCCTTCTGGACTGGCTGATGTGTCCCTCTTCTGTATGTAGTTTGTTAGATGCTATAGCATGTTTTGTCCCTACCTTTACCACTAGACTGTGATGTCCTTTAGTGCAAGGGCTATGTCTCATAAATCGCTGTAACTCCAGCATATAGCAAAGTTCCTGACACATGGCCAATAAACTTTTATTGCATAGGGAGTCTTCAAGCCATAAAATGATTCACAGTAGAATTAACGGAGAAGTAACATGGTCCAAGCACTCCTGGAGGAATCAGTGCTCTGTGTGATGCTGGAGAGGTCACTTCACCTTTCTACAGCTCTACTCCTCAGCTGACAAACGACCACCTATATTTTAAGGTTCTTTCCTGTTCCATATTTCTATAAATTACGTCTCTTCATGCTGCATTTATGTTTTTCATGTTTTCTATTATAGAATTTTAACAACTCCCTTAAGATACTTCGCAGACATTCCACACACGGTAACTACATTGAAGTTGAGAACCTATTGTGAATTAAGTCATTTACACAGATTAAGTTCCCCAGCAAAGAAAGATGAGTAAGTGTAAATTGAATAAATAAATACATTTTATTACCAACTTTTAAAAATGTACTGAAGAAATATAAATTTATGGATAGAAACTTCAGTCAACCAAGAATAAAGCATACTCACATAGCCATAGTTTTTTAGGGGGGTATGTGGGAGTATGAATAGTCCAGATAAGCTATGTGCGCTAAAACCTTATTCATTAAGGCAACATTTTTTTGAGAATCTATTGAGTGTTAAGATATTTATTATATGCAGTTGTCAGTCCAGTCATCAATAATTATATTACAAGTATCAATTTAGTTGTATTTCAATGCTACTCATTCTTTTTCACTCAGTGTTGAGGGAACTTTCTTATTCATCTCTCTATGTTTCTGGTAGAATGTAAGTTCTTGAAACTCACCACCAGAGTTAAGATTCTGGTCCTGCTACTTTCTATCTGTGTCTCCCAAGGCAAGATATTTGACCTTCCTTTGCCTTAGATTTCTCTCCTATGAAATGGAGATGAATATACAAGTACCTACACATAGATCAGGTCAGGTATATAAAATGAGTTAATATGTGCAACATAAAAACAAAAACATGTAGAATTAAGTAAGTTACAATCACATACACATTACATATGCTACTGAACATAATGTGTCCAACAATATCCCTGTATTAGATGTTTACTATGTATTTATTGTATTAACATTAACTTGACAATAACACAAATCTATTACATAAGCCATATATACAAAAAGTCCAATGAAAGGTTAAACTATGTCTTAATAGGAGGTAAATTGCGTTGGAGTAGTAAAAGCTGAGAAATATTACTGACATTTAAATTTTTCTAAAGATGCATTGGTATTCATTCAGCAAACATTTATTAAATACACATTACATTGTAGATGCTGTGCTAGGTGCTGAAATAATGCGAACAGAACACATGACTCATGCCTTTATGGACTTTCAGTAGGGAAGACACACATTGAATAACTTTTTGTATTTATAGAATATTAAGATGAAAAAGTTTGATGTCCTACACTTGATCTTAGCCAAAAGGTGAAGAAGTGATGAAAAAGTTTGATGTCCTATAGGAACAAATAAAACATAGATCTAATATGTAAATTAGGAAGGACATTTTGAAGGAAGTAACTTTTTGTGTGAAACCGGGAAAGTAAAGAGATATTAATCCATGCTGCAGGATGTGGAAATGAGGAGTGGTAGGAGAAGAGAAACAAGTTTATTAAAAGCGGCAAGATGTAGCAAAAAGTGTATTTACCTAGGGTCAAAAATGCTTCCCATGTTACTTTCCAAAGTATTCAACTCTAAATTCATTTTGCAATAAATCCTCTTTTATAACCACTGGAGTTTATGCATCCTCCTGAGTTATGTTTAAATGTGTTCACATAGAACATTCTTTGGAGGATTATTCACATCACTATATGAGAAAGTTTCCAGGTATGACTAATGCAACAAAATTTTGTACAATGGTAACTTCCTAAATATTTATATCAAACTTTAAAACCTTGCTTCATTTAATTGTATCATTTAAATTTTACACCTACTAGTGACCTGCATTTGAGTTTCCTCATTATACAAAAATGGGAAGTAAAGCTGATTGGTGTTTGCAAAGTCACACAGCTAATGTTACTAGAAATCAGGTGACCGAACTGTAGATCCTGAAAATATTGTGGTACAGAGCCCAAGCTTATTTGTATTGATTAGGGCTCACTTTGCATAGTGAATATGAAGGAGAGTCATTCATTCCATAAATGTTTAATGGATACCTTTCAAGCACCAGGCACTGATTTAGATATTGGGGATAAATCAGTGAACAATGCAAGCAACTGTCCTGTCTTCACGAAGCTTACTTCCTAGATGGCAGAGGTAGAAACAAACAAGATGAATGAGTAAATTACAGCTTGTTAGCAGTGGCAAGGGCTAAGAAGACAAATAATTGAGAAAGGAGGATAAACAGCATAAATGTGCAGTTTTTGAATAAGCAAAGAAAGCCTCACTGGAATTATAACTTTTAACCAAAGACCCATAGGAGAAGAGGGATAGAGCCACACTGAGATCTCAGAGAAAGTCTTCCAAGTAAAGGCAATTGTTACATAAAAACCACAGGGCTTGGGGGCTGTGTGGAACAGTAAGGTAGCCAACGTGCCTGGAGTGGAAAGAACAAGGCAGAAAGTGGTAGGAAAGGTAACAAGGGGTTAGATTTTACAGGGCATTAGGCCATGGTGAGAAATTTTGCTTTTAGGATGAGTGAGATGGGAAGTCATTGCGGGGTTCAGAGCACAAGAAAGTCAATGCCTGGTTTATATTATAAGAGGATAACCTAGACGGTTATGTTGTGAGGGGACTGTTCGCAAAGGCCAATGCAGAAAGGCCAGTTAGGAGTCCATTAAAATAACAGATGATGGTAGATGTGTCCAGTGAATAGGAGATGACAAGACAAGATCAAATTCTGATATCTTTTTCAGGTTAGGATGACAGGATATAGAATTGTTTTAGCGTTAGATATGGGTGTAAAAGGAAGAGAGGTATCAATGAGTACCACAAGTTTAAAGACAACAGGTAATATATCAACCTCATTTATCTTCCTGCTAGCCTTGTGAGTATGTGTTACTGTTGTTTTATTATTTTTATTGTTGTTTTTCTGTTTATTAGTTATATTGCAGAAGTGGTTTGAGAAAGTTGAATAGAAAGAGTAAGAAGAGTGAGGGTACTTATTGGGCTGGGAACCTGGTGAAAGTTCAAATAAACTTCAGGAAGGATATTTGTAGCTGACCTGTAATAAAAACATCATTTCGGAAGCCAGGAATTTTTTTTTTCACATAGAAAATTGTTACTGTTTTATAGGTAGAAATTAGAGAAAATGGCAGAATTGGGTTATATTTTCTATAGAACTTGGTTGTTTGTAACTAAATCAACAAAAATTATCTCTATACAGCATCCTCTTAGAGCTAGTAACAGCTTGGCCATCCTAAACTCTTCTTTGATATGTTATTTGTCTTGAATAGTATTTCATCTGGAGTAAAAATTAAGAATTGTATTTCCACAAAAAAGCATGCTTATTAGTCTGCAATTTTCTCAAAGTCAGCAGTTGAATCATTTTGAGAGTAAACACCTTGATGTGAATACTTAGAAAGTGTATTTAAGGGTTAGCAAGGATAGACAGTAATTCTGAACAATGACACGTATGACTTCAGTGCTAGACTTCATGCTGAGGGTTCACTGCACTTGTTATTTCACAATGGCTGCCTCAGAAGATGAGCTAACATAACAACCTACTGCCAATGCCATAAACAATTGCCAATTTCATTTTACAGGAGTCACATGGAAGAGCTGAACCAGAAAAAGTGATGATGGTAGACAAAACTGAATACGTATGACTCATTCAGAGCTGGGCATTAGCACAGAATCAATGTTGGATTTCCCAAGTTCAAACCGGAATTTTGCCAGTAATTACTTACATGACCTTGAGGAGACCACTGAGCTTACTTCTTCACTTTAAAACATAAGGAGTTAATGTAGACTTCCACTGGAGAATCATGTGACTCAAATGAGACGAGGCATGTGTAAAAATGTTTTAAAACACTGAAACAATACTTGATGTTACTGAACAGATTTTCCATTTGAAAGAAGGAAAGGCGGAGAATTTAGCAATTATTTAAATTATTTAAATGATTTAGCAATTACTCAGTACTTTCCTTGGCTTCAGGAATTGCCCACATGCTACTCCATTGAATCTGAACAACAACATAATTTATCTATCTATCTATCTATCTATCTATCTATCTATCTATCTATCTATCATCTGTGTACTTAACAACAATCTGTCGTGCATCTTTCCCAATGTCATTGCATATGTCAAAATCAAGATCCAAACTTAGGTCTGTCTTGCTCCCAAACCTGCATAATTCCTGTTATACCAACTCACCCTCTGTCCATTTTACACTGTATCAGGGATGGAGGAAATAATAGAGATTATCTAATGAAACGGTTTTCAAATATTTGTTTGCAAAGTCCTGTTGAGAAACTTAATATTTGCTAGAAGTAGGGTTGCCCTTGTTAAAGCAGCAGTGGGAACCCCAAAATTGTTTCTCCACTTGGCTCTCTTCCACTTCTGTCCTTGGGATAGTGAGTACCTTAGAGTTTCAAAAAACATTATTGTAGCGCATTCCCCTCACTTTTGTACCTTTTAAAAAAGCAAAGGCTCTGGGAGTCTAACTGATTTAGCCAAGAGCACACATCTTTTTTTTTTTTCTTGTTTTGTCGTTAAAAAAAGGCAATGTTCATATGTAAATAATCTCTATGAATAATATTCCTGTTTCCTATCAAATTGCTGAACCAGTTAAGAGATAAATTTGTTATCTCTTAACTATCAATCACATAATTGATGGAGCTGCTGGGGAAGCATGGCTCACCGTGTGGCAACAAAAGGCTGCTCCCAGAATCAGCAATACCATGTTACAGGTAAGACCGCTTTTCCCTAGCTCAGAGCCTTTCCCAGTAAACTTGCTACTGGGGCAAAAACGGACCAGAATATAAGCTCCTTGGAGGTCAAATCCTATAGCTGAAGGGGTAGTGAGGTTGAGTTCTGTCTACTCAATTACTTCTTTATTAGTCAATTTTCATGCTGCTGATAAAGATGTGCCCAAGACGGGGCAACCTACGAAAGAAAGAGGTTGAATGGACTTACAGTTCTGCATGGCTGGGGAGACCTCACAATCATGGTGGAAGGAAAAAGTCATGTCTCACATGGCGGCAGATGAGAAGAGAGAGCTTTTGCAGGGAAACTCCCGTTTTAAAAACCATCAGATCTTGTGAGAGTTATTCACTATCACGACAACAACATGGGAAACACCCGCTCCCATGATTCAGGTATCTCCCACCGGATCCTTCCCACAACATGTGGGAATTATGGGAGCTACAAGATGAGATTTGAGTGGGGAAACAGAGCCAAATCCTATCATCCCCCTAACTCACCAGATCACTCATCCATTCCTAGGAATAGTGAGGGTCCATTGTTGCGTTAATATAAGACACTTGTTATGAAATAAACATCAGGAAAATGGGCGTAGAGACACTACATAATGGAATAATGCAGGTGATGAGAACTGCACGTAGTAACAATAGTTTTATTTTTTTTAACATCTGGGTTTTACTTCTGATTTGTTTATTGTGCTATTAAGTATTATGGATTTATGGCTTCATAATTTGCAGATGAACTTGTTTCTAAAATGCATGTTATTGTAGTGAGTTATCATGTGAGGTGAAAGTAAACCTTAAAATACAAATTTTCTCTATCACCTTAAAGGAGCAAAGTTAGAGGGATTGTCAGGTCTTCAAAACAGGAAACATCCAAAGGACAGGGAGAATGGTGGGGTATCAGAATTAGCGAGACCATGCAGGACTTGTGAGAATCAAATAAAGAGACTGTGGAACAATAGGAATTGATAAAGGAATACTTAGATATAAAGACAAATTTGACACTTACCCTCTAGGTATTATTAAACAGCTGTTGCAGATCCTATGTAAGATTCCAATATATCTTGAATTTATGAATACGTGGGAATTACTAGATCTGGTTTTTACATAATCATCCAGTTTAACTCACAAACAAGCTTAATATTTGGGAGCATCAATTAAAAAAAAAAATTTGTTGAAAAGTCAACACACCGCAGCAGATAAGAAAGCCATCAGATTATTAAAATCTTTAGATCTCATTTCAATAAGTAGGCATTCAAAATAAAGTTAAAATGATTTTAGTATAATAAAAATAAATATATATCCTAGCTTTAATTCCTCACAAAAGAAAAATTACATATTCCTTTCCATTATTCTCATTTTCCCTCTAAATCCCAGATCTAATTTCTATCGCTGGGATACAGATGACTTTGGTGAAAGACCTGTATCTACTCATGTGGCTGTTGCCACTAACTTCAAGTCATTCTCCAGTTCTCAGTTTCAATATCACTTCTGTAAATAACTCTATTATTAATTTCAAATGAGAATTAGTTTCCCTGTTGTGTTCTCTCATATCATCCTAATATTCTTTCCAAAGTAGTGATTACTAAGATTGGAATGAGGGCAGGATATGTGGAGATATAGGTCAAGAAATCTAGAGTAGTAAATACATAAAATGAACAAATTAAAAAATATAACATACAGAATGAGGAATACAGTCAGCAATAGTGTATTGTATTCAGTAATTTTGCTAATGAGCAAGTTATACCTGCTCTTGACATAGGGGAGAAAATGGGTAGCTATGTAAGAACATGAATATGTTAACTTGTTTCACTCTAGTAATCATTGATATATATACACATTTTTATAAATATATTTATATACATTTAAAACATTGTATATCTTAAACATACACAGTGCAATTTATTTAAAATTTTTTTTGCCCATTTTCATAGCATTTTTACCCTTCTAATTTGTTCCTTCAGTTAGTCAAGAGTATTTATTGAGCATCTATTACATGTCATCCATTTTTCTAGGATCTTAATATACAATGATAAACAGGATAGACTAGATTCCTGTTCTTATGGAGTGTACATTCTAGTGGGTATTCCAAGTGGTCAAAAATCTTAGACACTTTTTTTTATAACCCACTGATATTAGCTAAACTTCTGTCATAGTTATTGATATACAAATAAATATTTATTGAAGAAATAAATCAAAATTATAAGGAATAAATACATCAGATATTGACAAAAGTTATGCATATGCAGAAAATTAGTATTGGGTGAAGGAATTGATAGTCAGTGACCTATTCTAGATTAATTGTTCATGGAAGTCCTCTCTGAGGACTTGGAATTCAACTTGAGATATGCATAATAGAAAAAGCCAGTTGTATGTACTACTAGCCAGAAGCAACCATTCTCTGAGAAGCCCAAGCAACGGTGAGAGGCTTGCAGATTAAGACACCACAAAAAGACAGACAGGGAAGATGAAAAGAGAGGACAGAAAAGAATGAAAGGAATGAAAGTAAAGAAAGGGTACAGAAGGTAAGAGAAGAGAAGAAAATAGAGTCACCAAGGCAAACCACAGTACCAGGCATGAGTGAAGATGCTTTTGGAAATAGACATTCCAGTCATAACTGTCACTCCACCTGAATTCCTCCTGACCAATAAAATTGCGAGCAAGAATAACATGGCTGTTTTATGTCATTACGTGCTGGAGTTGTTCCACAACCACAGATTACTGAAGCATGTGTCTTTCACAGTCACTGCAGCATCCACAGAGCTTAGTTACTGATCCATACTGAATGAGATAAAAAAAGTAAAAAGGATAATTAAAGTGAAAAATTATTAATCACTAGCTGTATGATATTTGGTATGCTCTCTCTTTGAGCGTCAATGTCTTTACATGTAAAGTAAAAATGCTATATACATTTCAGAGTGTTTAAGAGAATAAAATAAGGTAATATGTGTAAACGTTTTATATTGTGCTTGCACACAGTGGTTATGGAAGTAGTAGAATCACTTCATTTAATGTTTAGTCTATAGTATCTAAAGCAACACCTATGATATAAAATTTCATTAGTTTTTTTTTAACAAATGAGGAAATGAATGCATTGAATAACTACTAAAAGGCACTGTTCAAGTCCCTAAAATTATGACAAATAAGGTTCAGTGCCATGTGTTTCATGCTACATGAGTTTCCTGTGGCCTAAGAACTGGCCTGGCCTAAACGCATTGCTACTGGCCACACTGCTCCCACCACTTATGGAGCCACCATGTGTCATGTGTGCCTGCTGGGGCCCAAGAGCTGGCACAGCCAGTGCCCACTGCCACTAGCAATGTCATCCCCTATGACCAGAGAGCAACTGCACTCAGCTTGCATCTCTGCAGGGCCTGAAAACCATCCTTCCAGGTGGTCACTGCCTCCAGCAAAGCCACACTTCTGCCTCCACAAACAATCTAGTCCACTGAGGCACTTGTAGATACCACTGAAATTGATTACAGCCAAATAAATTACATGAAGGCTACAGTACTGTGCCCACCTGTAACCAAAGTCAAATCACCTGACTGAATAAAGCATACACATCTACACAAAACAAATGTGCTTTTATGAAAGCTACTCCGTAAAATTGGAAGATGTAACTGTTCTACCAGATGCAAAAGAATTAATGTAGGAACATAAGAGAAATTTAAAAGTAAGGAAATATGATACCTGCAAAATAATGTGATAATTCTCCAATAACATTCTCCAAATAGGAGAAAATCTATGAAATATATGAAAAGGAATTGAAAATAATGACCTTAAAAAACTAAAAAAGATATAAGAAAATTCAGATAGACAATTCACAATATCAGGAAAATAATTTATGATTGAAATGAGAAACATAACAAAGTTATATATCATTAAAAATTAAAAACAAGGCTGGGCGTGATGGAGAAGCCTGTATGCCAGTACTTTTGGAGGCTGAGGCAGGTGGATCACCTGAGGTCAGGAGTTCAAGACCAGTCTGGCCAACTTGGCAAAACCCCATCTCTACTAAAAATTACAAAAAATTAGCTGGGCTTGGTGGTGGGTGCCTGTAATCCCAGCAACTGGGGAGGCTGAGGCAGGAGAATTGCTTGAACCCAGAAGGTGGAGGTTGCAGTGAGCCAAGATGGTACCACTGCACTCCAGCCTGGGCAACAGAGAGAGACTCCGTCTCAAAAAAAAAAAAAAAAAAAAAAAGGGAAAAACAGGAATCTTCAAGCTTAAGAATTCAATCAGTGAAATATAAATGCAATCAAAAGCTTGAGTAGCAGACTAGATGAAGCAGAAGAAAAGATTTCTGAACTTGATAACAGGTTTATTGAAATGAAGAAGAAATAAAATTTTCCCCACACAAGCAAAAACAGAGGGGATTTATCACAACTACACAAGCTTTACAAAAATTACTTAAGGTAGTTTTACATTTGGAAGAGAAATGATGATAGATACCATCCTAAAAACACGTAAAATTATGAAACTCACTGGCAGAGCAGTACACATATGAGAAAGAGAGAAGAAGCAAATCTTATCACAATGAAATCTACCAAACTGTCATGATAAACAAAATGAAAGGGAGAAATGCACAAAGGATATTTAAGACAATCAGAAAACAACTAACAAAATGACAGGAATAAGTCTTCACCTATCACTAATATCTTTGACTGTAAATGGATGAAATTTCCCAATTAAAAGTTATGGAAAGGCTAAATAGTCAATAAAAACAAGACTCTAGTGTATTCTGTCTTCAAGAAACTCATCTCACCTGTAAAGATATACATAGAGTGAAAGTGAAGGAATGGAAAATATATATTACAAGCAAATGCAAACCCAAAGCAAGTAGGAGTGGCCATACTTAGATGAAATACATTTCAAGTTAAAAATTGTAGAAGGAGAAAAAGAAATTCATTATATAATGAGAGGAAAATCAATTCAGCAAGAGGATGTAACAATTGTAAATATACATGAAATGCCAAACCAGAGAAACCAGACATATAAAGCAAATATTATCATATCAAAAGGGAAATATAGACTCCAATATAATAAGAGTTGGAGGTATTATTACCACATTTTAACCATTTGTTAGATTTAGACATATAATCAAAAAAGAAACATTGAACTTAAACCACACTCTAGACCTATTATCTACATCTATCTAACAGAAATTCACAGAACATTTCAACCAACAGCTGCAAAATTTACATTTTTCTTTTCAGCACATAGAGCATTCTTCAGGAAAAACCATAAGTTATGTCACACAACAAGGCTTGACAAATTTTAATAATCAAAATACTGTCAAGGTGTCTGTTCCGACCACAATGACATAAAATTAGAAATCAAGAGAAAGAACTTTGGAAACTGTAAATATATGCATAGTAAACATATTCCTAAATGACCAGTGCATCAATGAGGAAATTAAGAGGAAAACTAATAATGCCTTGATGTGAATAAAAATAAAAACAAAATATATGGGAGAAGGTAAAACCAGTACTAAAAGGATAATCTATCACAATAAATGACTGTATCAAAAAAGTAGAAACATTTTAAATAAACAACCCACTAAAACTTCTTATGAAACTGAAGAAAAGAATAAAAATAAACCACAAATTATAATCACAGAAGGAAAGAAATAATAAAGATCAGAGCAGAAATAAACAAAATTGAGACTAAAAAACAAAACAACAAAAACAAAAAACCAAAAAAGTGTTTTTTGAAAAGATAAACAAATTGGCAATCTATTAGCTAGACTAATTAAAAAATAGCAGTTACAAATAAATAAAATCAAAAATAGAAAGGAGACATTAAAATACAATAGATCATTAGATATTATTATGCAGAACTATACAGAAAGAAATTAGAAAAGCAAAAATAGCATTTGATAAAATTCAAATTCCCTTCCTGATAAAACTTCTACACAAATTTGTTTAGAAAAAAGGTACCTCAACATAGTAAAGGTCATATGTAATATAGTAAAGGTCATACATATGTAACAAACCCAAAGCTAACATCATACTGAAAAGGGAATAGTTGAAAACTTTGTCTCTACAAATCGGAACAAGTCGAGAAGATCCATTTTAACCACGCTTATCCAACATACTACTGGAAGTTTTAGCCAAAATAATTAGGCAGGAGAAATAAGGAGCATCGAAACTGGAAATGATGAAGTCCAAATTTCCCAGTTTGCAGACACGATCTTGTATGTAGCAAAACCTAAAGACTCCATCAAAACACTCTCAGAACCGATAAACAAATTTGGTAAAGTTGCAGGATACAAAATCAACATACAAAAACCAGTGGATTTTCTATACTGCAATAATGAATTAGATGAAAAAGAAATTGAGAAAGCAACTCATTTAAAATACCTGCAGAAAAAAGTGAAAGAACTCTATGAGGAAAACTAAAATACTGATGAAAGAAATTAAAGGGTAGACACCACAAAATGGAAAGACATCTCTTGTTGATTAATTTGAATAATTTTATTATTAAAATGTCTATGCCACCAAAAGTGATGTACAGATTCAATGCAACTCTACAAAAATACCAAAGCATACTGTGCAGAAATATAAAAAAATGAGCCAAAAGGTTTTTGAGCTATTTGAGTATAATGAAGACCTCAAATAGCCAAAGCCATCCTGAGCAAAAAGAACACGCTGGAGGCATCACACTGCCTAACTTCAAAGTATACTCTAAAGCTATAGTAATCAAAACAATAGGTACTGGTATAAAATACAGATACATAGGTCAATGGAACAGAATAGAGGATGCAGAAATAAACACATGTATTTGCAGCCTGATTTCCAGCACAGGCACCAATAAAATACATTGGGGAAAGGACAGTGTCTTCAATAAATGGTGCTGAGAAAAGTGGGTATCAATATGCTGAAGAATAAAACTAGACCCCTATCTCTCACCATATGCAACAATTAACTCAAAATGAATTAATGACAAATATGAGAACCTAAACCTATGAAACCACTAGAGCAAACCACAGGAGAAATGCTTTAGGACCCAGTTGGAACAATGATTTTATGGTCAAGATACCAAAAGCACAGACAGCAGAAGAAAAAGTAGACAAATGGTATTACAACAAACTAAAAATCTTCACAGCAAAGGAAAATTTCACAGAGTGAAGAAACAATCTTCAGAATAGAAAAAATATGTTTGCAAAGTGTTTATCAAATAAGGTAGCAATATCTAGAATATATAAGAAACTCAACAACAAAAATAAAAATAACTCAAAAATGAGCAACTGATCTAAACAGACATTTCTCAAAAGAAGACAAATGTTCAACAGATATATGAAAATATGCTCAACATCACTAATTGTCAGGGAAATTGAAATATAAAAGAATGACAATTAGAATTATCAGGATAATTTTCAAAAAGACAAAATAAATGCTGGCAAGGTTGCAGAGAAAAGAGGACTCATACATTGCAGGTGGAAATGTAAGTTAGTACAGCTATTATAGAAAACAGTATGGAGGTTTATCAAAAACTAAATATAGAACTACCATGAGATCCAGGATTCCCACTGCTAAGTATATGTCCAAAGTGAAAAAAAAAAAAAAGTCAATTTGTCCAAGAGATACCTGCACTCTCAATTTTATTGTCGCACTATTCACAATAGCCAAAATATGAAATCAACTTATGTGTTCATCATCAGATTGATAAAGAGAATGTGGTATATATCCACAATAGAATAATACTCAACCATATAAATAAATAAAATTCTGTCATTTGTGGCAACATGAATGAGCATGAAGGACATTGTCTTAGGTAAAATAAGCCAGGCACAGAAAGACAAATACTGCCTGTTCTCCCTCATATGTGGAACTAAATGTTACTTTATAAAAGCAAAGAGTAGGATAGTGGTTACTAGAGGCTGGGAAGAGTAGGGAGATAAGGGTATAGGTAAAAGTTGGTTAAGGAATATGAACTTACAGCTAGATAGGTGGAATAAGTTCCATTATTCCATAGCACTGTAGAGTGAGTATAGTTGAAATATTTTATTGTATATTTTCAAATAGCTAGAGAAGAAAATTCTGAATGTTTCCAACACATAGAAATCATAAATGTTTGAGGTAATAGATATGCTAAAAACCCTGATTTGATCATTGCAAATTGTATACACATATCAGAATATCACACTATGCCCTATAGATATGTACAATTATTATGTGTAAAGACTAATAATAAAAAATTGAAAAAAACAGGATTTTTTTTGTTTTGAGTATAATGGCACATCTAATTGTTCCTTATGAATATAAGATCTAATGGCATTTTAAGCAAAGGAAAGAGCTAGAAGAAATACTGAAATGATACTGACATATGGTATATCAAGGGACTTCAGATGCTATAATTTGGCTGAGGCATAGTATGTATGTGGAGAATGACATCAGTAGTCAGAGAAGCAGAACTCAGATCATGAAGGGTTGAGTATGCCATAACAATGTGTTTGACCTTCTCTGTATAGGGAATAGAGAGACAGTTACTAATTTTATTCAGGACCCAGGCACTCTCGACTTCCATTTTAGGAGAATTATTTTAGATCATTGTGATGAATGAAATAGAATGCTTGAGATGGAAGCAAAGTCTAATTCCAAAGCTGATGCTATTACCAACAAGAGGAATGATACTGACATGAACTAAAGCCAGTGTTTAGTGAAAAAGTGACAGATACGGAAAAATTTAATAGAAGTAAGGTATAGGCTCTAATTGATTTTATATGGAAGTTGAGGAAAATAGTGGTCAAGATGATGTGAAGTTATTGACTTATATGAACATCAGAGTAATCAGATATTGCTTTCCATAAAAGGACATTTTTTAAACCCTCGAATTCTTGGTAACTAATGAAACAATCATTTATTTTTCTGGGTCAAATAACTATAAGTGTGCGAAGGATTGGCTCAACTCAACTGGGCTTGGCTCTTGGTTGTGAGTCTAGCTCAGGCCTGTTTCATGTATCATTCAATCTTCTTGGACCATAAGCTATCTGGAGTACATGTGTCCCATTGAAAATGCAGGAGCTCAAGAGGAAAAGCAGAAACATGCAAGGCCTCTTATGGCATAGGCACATGAACCATACACTGTCATTTCCACTTACATGCCATTAGCCCAATTAAATAACATGGCCAAGCTCAACATCAGCAGGGCAGCAACACATACTTGATTCACACCAGAAGGCATTCCACGATTATATGCCAAAGACGGGTATACAATTCTAATATGGAAGAGAGTGAGAAAGTGGAGACAGTGACACAACCACCACAAATCATGTTAGCACATGAAACAGGGACATTCATAAGTAAAGCTGTAGGAAGAAACATTAGACATTTCTATACTGGGTATCTTTCTCCCTACAAAGCTTCATTATACTCACTTCATGGTACTTTGAAGTCATTGCTTTATAGGGTCTCTTATGCTGAGTTACTTACTTGCTATATCACATTTGATTAATTTTGGAACTACTTTATGTGAAGAAGGCTGCCATAATAAAACTCAAGCCAATCTTTTCCAATGATGACAAGTCATGAACACTGGCAGGTATAGATGAATGTCAGGACCTCATGGTATCACAGGTTGTTCCCTAAGAATGATTTTTTCCATCGGAAATCAATACCAGTCAAGCTTCAAGTGCTGCTATTTTTCTGAGATTCAAATGTTGACTTCCGACCATTCTTTTACTGTTTTTAATATGATCAGTACAATGCTGAAGGAGGTAGACAAGACTTTGCTAATGGTTCAGAAATGGCAAAAGATAAACAGCCCAAGAAAGTATCAAGATAAATGTAACTTCACTTCATGATACATGCAGTAACTTACTTACTTGGCCCCTGGAGAACTCTCTCTACCCAGCAGCAGTGGTTACATAGTCATACCTTAAAGTGTGTTAAAACTCATATCCAAGAGAATAGGACCCAGAGGTTCTTAGTTAAACCCTTGTAGTAGGTAGAATTACGGCCTTGAAAGATGTTGATGTCCTAACATACAGCATTTCTGAAAATTTTACTATACATGACAGCAGGGAATTAAGGTTGCCAGATAGAATTAAGCTTACTAATCAGTTGACTTTAAGATATAAAAGATTATCCTACATTATCTGAGTAGGCCCAATGTAATCATAAGAATCCCTTAAAATAGAAGAGGGAGGTAGAATGAGAAGTCAGAGTCAGAGAGTGATTTGAAAAGGCTGTGGAGCTGTATTTGAAGTTAGAAGAAGTGGCCACAATATAAAGAATGCAACTGATCTCTTGAAGTTGGAAAAGGCAAGAAACAGAATATCCCTTATCACCTTCACAAGAAAGGTTGGGTTACCCACAAAGGGAAGCCCATCAAACTAACAGCGGATATCTCGGCAGAAACTCTACAAGCCAGAAGAGAGTGGGGGCCAATATTCAACATTCTTAAAGAGAAGAATTTTCAACCCAGAATTTCATATCCAGCCAAACTAAGCTTCATAAGTGAAGGAGAAATAAAATACTTTACAGACAAGCAAATGCTGAGAGATTTTGTCACCACCAGGCCTGCCCTAAAAGAGCTCCTGAAGGAAGCACTAAACATGGAAAGGAACAACCAGTACCAGCCACTGCAAAATCATGCCAAATTGTAAAGACCATCGAGGCTAGGAAGAAACCGCATTAACTAACGAGCAAAGTAACCAGCTAACACCAAAATGACAGGATCAATTTCACACATAACAATATTAACTTTAAATGTAAATGGACTAAATGCTCCAATTAAGACACAGACTGGCAAACTGGATAAAGAGTCAAGATCCATCAGTGTGCTGTATTCAGGAAACCCATCTCATGTTCAGAGACACACATAGGTTCAAAATAAAAACGATGGAGGAAGATTTACCAAGCAAATAGAAAACAAAAAAAGGCAGGGGTTGCAATCCTAGTCTCTGATAAAACAGACTTTAAACCAACAAAGATCAAATGAGACAAAAAAGGCCATTACATAATGGTAAAGGGATCAATTCAACAAGAGCTAACTATCCTAAATATATATGCACCCATTACAGGAGCACCCAGATTCATAAAGCAAGTTCTGAGTGACCTACAAAGAGACTTAGACTCCCACACAATAATAATGGGAGACTTTAACACCCCACTGTCAACATTAGACAGATCAACGAGACAAAAAGTTAACAAGGATACCCAGGAATTGAACTCAGCTCTGCACCAAGCAGATCTAATAGACATCTACAGAACTCTCCACCCCAAATCAACAGAATATACATTTTTTTCAGCATGACACCACACCTACTCCAAAATTGACCACATAGTTGGAAGTAAAGCTCTCCTCAGCAAATGTAAAAGATCAGACATTATAACAGTCTCTCAGACCACAGTGCAATCAAACTAGAACTCAGGATTAAGAAACTCACTCAAAACTACTCAACTACATGGAAACTGAACAACCTGCTCCTGAATTGACTACTGGGTACATAACGAAATGAAGGCAGAAATAAAGATGTTCTTTGAAACCAACGAGAACAAAGACACAACATACCAGAATCTCTGGGACACATTCAAAGCAGTGTGTAGAGGGAAATTTATAGCACTAAATGCCCACAAGAGAAAGCAGGAAAGATCCGAAATTGACACCCTAACATCACAATTAAAAGAACTAGAAAAGCAAGAGCAAACACATTCAAAAGCTAGCAGAAGGCAAGAAATAACTAAAATCAGAGCAGAACTAAAGGAAATAGAGACACAAAAAACCCTTCAAAAAATTAATGAATCCAGGAGCTGGTTTTTTGAAAGGATCAACAAAATTGATAGACCGCTAGCAAGACTAATAAAGAAGAAAAGAGAGAAGAATCAAATAGACGCAATAAAAAATGATAAAGGGGATATCACCACCAATCCCACAGAAATACAAACTACCATCAGAGAATACTACAAACACCTCTACGCAAATAAACTAGAAAATCTAGAAGAAATGGATAAATTCCTGGACACATACACCCTCCCAAGACTAAACCAGGAAGAAGTTGAATCTCTGAATAGACCAATAACAGACTCTGAAATTGTGGCAATAATCAATAGCGTACCAACCAAAAAGAGTCCAGGACCAGATGGATTCACAGCCAAATTCTACCAGAGGTACAAGGAGGAAATGGTACCATTCCTTCTGAAACTAGTCCAATCAATAGAAAAAGAGGGAATCCTCCCTAATTCATTTTATGAGGCCAGCATCATCCTGATACCAAAGGCTGGCCGAGACACAACCAAAAAAGAGAATTTTAGACCAATACCCTTGAAGAACATTGATGCAAAAATCCTCAATAAAATACTGGCAAACTGAATCCAGCAGCACATCAAAAAGCTTATCCATCATGATCAAGTGGGCTTCATCCCTGGGATGCAAGGCTGGTTCAATATATGCAAATCAATAAATGTAATCCAGCATATAAACAGAACCAAAGACAAAAACCACATGATTTTCTCAAAAGATGCAGAAAAGGCCTTTGACAAAATTCAACAACCCTTCATGCTAAAAACTCTCAATAAATTAGGTATTGATGGGACATATCTCAAAATAATAAGAGCTATTTATGACAAACCCACAGCCAATATCATAAAGAATGGGCAAAAACTGGAAGCATTTCCTTTGAAAACTGGCACAAGACAGGGATGCCTTGTCTCACCACTCCTATACAACATAGTGTTGGAAGTTCTGGCCATGGCAATCAGGCAGGAGAAGGAAATAAAGGGTATTCAATTAGGAAAAGAGGAAGTCAAATTGTACCTGTTTGCAGATGACATGATTGTATATCTAGAAAACCCCATCGTCTCAACCCAAAATCTCCTTCAGCTGATAAGCAACTTCAGCAAAGTCTCAGGATATAAAATCAATGTACAAAAATCACAAGCATTCTTATACACCAATAACAGACAAACAGAGAGCCAAATCATGAGTGAACTCCCATTCACAATTGCTTCAAAGAGAATAAAATACCTAAGAATCCAACTTACAAGGGACGTGAAGGACCTCTTCAAGGAGAACTACAAACCACTGTTCAATGAAATAAAAGAGGATACAAACAAATGGAAGTACATTCCATGCTCATGGGTAGGAAGAATCAATATTGTGAAAATGGCCGTACTGCCCAAGGTCATTTATAGATTCAACGCTATCCCCATCAAACTACCAATGACTTTCTTCACAGAATTGGCAAAAACAACTTTAAAGTTCACATGGAACCAAAAAAGAGCCCGCATTGCCAAGTCAATCCTAAGCCAAAAGAACAAAGCTGGAGGCATCACACTACTGACTTCAAACTATACTACAAGGCTACAGTAACCAAAACAGCATGGTACTGGTACCAAAACAGACATATAGATCAATGGAACAGAACAGAGCCCTCAGAAATAACGCCGCATATCTACAACTATCTGATCTTTGACAAACTTGAGAAAAACAAGCAATGGGGAAAGGATTCCCTATTTAATAAATGGTGCTGAGAAAACTGGCTAGCCATATGTAGAAAGCTGAAACTGGATTCCTTCCTTACACCTTATACAAAAATTAATTCAAGATGGATTAAAGACTTAAATGTTAGACCTAAAACCATAAAAACCCTAGAAGAAAACCTAGGCATTACCATTCAGGACATAGGCATGGGCAAGGACTTCATGTCTGAAACACCAAAAGCAATGGCAACAAAAGCCAAAATTGACAAATGGGATCTAATTAAACTAAAGAGCTTCTGCACAGCAAAAGAAACTACCATCAGAGTGAACAGGCAACCTACAAAATGGGAGAAAACTTTCGCAACCTACTCATCTGACAAAGGACTAATATCCAGAATCTACAATGAACTCAAAACAAATTTACAAGAAAAAAACAAACAACCCCATCAAAAAGTGGGCGAAGGACATGAACAGACACTTCTCAAAAGAAGACATTTATGCAGCCAAAAAACACATGAAAAAATGCTCACCGTCACTGGCTATCAGAGAAATGCAAATCAAAACCACAATGAGACACCATCTCACACCAGTTTGAAAGGCAATCATTAAAAAGTCAGGAAACAACAGGTGCTGGAGAGGATGTGGAGAAATAGGAACACTTTTACACTGTTGGTGGGACTGTAAACTAGTTCAACCATTGTGGAAGTCAGTATGGCGATTCCTCAGGGATCCAGAACTAGAAATACCATTTGACCCAGCCATCCCATTACTGGGTATATACCCAAAGGGCTATAAATCATGCTGCTATAAAGACACATGCACACGTATGTTTATTGTGGCACTATTCACAATAGCAAAGACTTGGAACCAACAATGATAGACTGGATTAAGAAAATGTGGCACAAATACACCATGGAATACTATGCAGCCATAAAAAATGATGAGTTCATGTCCTTTGTAGGGACATGGATGAAACTGGAAATCATCATTCTCAGTAAACTATAGCAAGAACAAAAAACCAAACACTGCATATTCTCACTCATAGGTGGGAATTGAACAATGTGAACACATGGACACAGGAAGGGGAACATCACACTCTGGGGCCTGTTGTGGGGTGGGGGGAGGGGGGAGGGATAGCTTTAGGAGATATACTTAATGCTAAATGACGAGTTAATGGGTGTAGCACACCAGCATGGCACATGTATACATATGTAACTAACCTGCACATTGTGCACATGTACCCTAAAACTTAAAGTATAATAAAAAAAACAAAAAAAAAAAAGAAATGCAGCCTGCTGACACTTTGGTTTTAGCCCAGTGAAATCCCTTTTGGACATCTTATCTCCATAACTGTATGACAATAAATTTGTGATGCTTTGGGCCACTATGTTTGTTTTAATTTGTTACATTAGCCATAGGAAATGAATGTAGCCTCCAAATATTTTGTTGATGATTAATACCAAAAATATTAAAGTCTCTTGAAAGAGAAGGCTCTCCAACAGAGGATTAAAGTTATCCTCTAAAAAATCACACCAGAATGCAATAAAATAAATATAATTTTAAACAAGATAAAGACAGCAATCTAATATGATTTTCCCCCTTTAAATTATTTACCATCTCATCTATTCTTACAGAATTTTCTCAAAAATAATTGACCATTTAAAACAAAAAAAAATAAAAATTATTTAGATTTATTGTGTATGTCCTAGAAATCTGGCTTTCCTCCCTTCTGGTATGGTAATAGGGTTTACTATGGGAAATTTACAAACTCTTCAACTAAAGTAAAAACTTAATTTGTCCTATGATATTGTAAGGTACTTATAGTTTAAAATACACACAAACACACATTTCTGAGATATACATTAAATATAAAATATTTCATATTTTATATTTAATAAAAATATATTTTATTTTTATTTATTTATTTATTTAATAAAAATATAAAATAAAATATTTTATATTTAATGATATTTGTTACTTTTTAATATTTTGATAATTATATATGTATATATTATGCTTCTTTGTATCGGTCATTATGCTTCACCACCTCAAAACAATCAAAATTCTTATCTCATTCCAATGTCAATGAGCTCAGATTGACTGAAATTTCATGTCTGCCTCTCTAGAGTCTAATGATGTACCTGCCATATAATTCCTGCTACATAATTATTGTTGGCTTAATTGACATTAAATACTGTTGAATTGGCTCATAGCACTTTACAATTTATAACAGGTCTGAGACAGAGCTTTTATAGACCAGAAACTCTTTTCAGATAATTCAGGCATTATGAGTACACCTAGGCAAAGTAGTACTTACATATTTACCATATTAATATGCTTGAACAATAAAAGACAAAAATATCTGTAAGCAAAGTTTTAAGAACAAGAATGATTTATCTTAGAATACATTAAAATGGATTTGCAATAAGACTTTACATTGAACATTTGGTTATTTTTAACTGTTTTTCATTTCTTTGTGCTGTGTTCTAGAGTAACTTTTCATTCATATTTTATTTCTAGAACTATAAAACGTAAATTAGTTTAATCAGTACACTCAATGGACTAATTAGTTATAGATACTTTCAGGACATTTAAAACTAAAAATACTACAACTAAAAAAGTGAATATACTATAAATTATATTCGAGGACTGTTATTAAAGGAAATAAAAGCTCTTTAAAATAAACAGACTCTTTGGCAGTTGAAACACATGGGTTTCATCTTAAATTACTATTTGGTTTAACCGAATTAATTTTTCCAAGTAAAATAATGACTTGGCTGATATAATGCCCCCTAAGTTCTCATTTGCTATTTTCAGTCCTTGAACATTTCAAGGTCTACAAGTCTTACAGGAATCTGACATCAAATTATTGCATGGCCAAAAGCAGGTAAAGGTGGCCTGGGAAACATAGAGCAATTTGACTCAAATCTATACGTAATGCTGTGGCTTTAAACATTTGCATAAAATTAATAAAGCCAAATTATTTTAGATTAAACATTTCTTACTTTACCTACTGGTTGCTTCTCCACACTTTGTAACTCTAGGTCCCACACACAATGAGATAAAAGTAGGACCAAAATATTTCAGAAAGAGAGAATTTATTCTCTGTGCTCATAACCAGTCCATGAACAAACCAATTAAAGAATGCACTAGTAGGGACAAGTGTTGCCCCCCCCCTTTTTTTTTTTTTTCTGAAGTTGCCGCTGTCCAACATTGAGTCACTCACAATCACACACAGCAGGATGCAAACAGCTGGGGCTCAAGGCAGAGGGCACCAGATTTACCCACACAGAAGCCACCATTTAAGCAAAATAGGTGATCTGAAGATATTTACAGTGGTTGAGATCTGGGAATGTAATTAGAAGATGTGGGACCATGTCTGCTACAAAAATGGCAGTGAAATGTGAAATGAAACTGATAACTAATGCCATTGTAAAGTACTCATGTTGCTATTCATAATATTTTTCTTAAAAATGCAGACAATATTAGTAGAAAGGCATTAAATTGGGATTCTGTGTATTGGTGTGTGTCTTGGCTCTTGGCTTTTGGATCTATCACTGAGTAATTTGGGTAGGTATTTAAACTTCTCTGAGTCTCATGAGAACACTGAAAACTAATTCTCAGAGTTGGATTTTTTCAAAATCTGGAAATATTTTCTAATTATAGCAGTGACCTAAGAAGCACAGCTGGTTTTCAATGGATTTTTTGCCATTACAAATGGAATAAACCTGCTTGGCTAGAGGGGTAAGAAGACATGTTATTTTGCCTCTACTTTTTGCCCTGTCTCAGAGACTAGAGAATGGTGTACTCTTTTTGAGAGGGATAGAGTACAGTATTCTTCCTTTCCATCAGTATCTTTCTTTCTAAGATTATTTAGTGACTTCCATTTCAAAACAACAACCACCATTGGGGTAGGAAGAAAAATTAAAGCAAAGAACTAGAATTGGCTCATTGCATTCTTGAAATGTGCTTTTCAAGAAAAAAAATAGTGAAGCAAGAGCCAAAAGCATTCTAGAAGTGGTGCGAGCTGTGGCTCATACTTCTGAAATTTATATTTCTATGTATTACATAATGAGAAAATGGTTCCAGTTTTTATTCAGCAGGGCTGCTTTAAATAAATTTATTTTTGATGATGAATATGGGATTATTGTTGCATTTGGCATTTTCTGCAGCTGTAAATCTGAAAAACAGATTCTACTCAAAAACCCAACAGAAAGTGAGAAAAGCTGAGGGAAAGTCCTGTGTTATATCTCCCAGTCTGCATGTAAAGTGCATTTCAAATGCCAGTGTGCCTACAGATCACCTGTGGATCCAGCTAAAATACAGATTCTGGGACACAGCCCAGCTCCTAGCAAGCTCTCAAGCCCTTGCTGTTCAGGACTATATCTTGAGTAGCAAGACAGTAAACTGCACCAAATGAGATAAACTCTGCTTAGAATAAATACACAGAAAACAAAAAAGAGAGTGCATGACCAAAAGATATTGTAGGATTAAATGACATAATACATGAAAAATACCTAACTTACTTCAGGAAAAAAAGATAGGAAGTTAGGAAGGAAGAAAATTGAAGAAGAAAGAAAAAAAGAGGGAACAAAAGAAGAGAAGAAAGCACAGGAAATCACATTAAAAAGACCAATAAAAATATGCTTGGGAAGAGAGAGAGAGAGAAAAAAAAAAAAGACAATCCAAGGGGTGGGGGCGGTGGGGAAGACAATCCAAGGGAAAAGGACTCCCTAAGGAGTGTTTCATTAAAGATTTGAAGTAGTTGTCCTTCTAAAGATTAGAAGTAATTCTGTGTAGTTGAACCTGCCTGGATTTGAAATCCAGCTCAGCCACTAGTTACTATATGACTTTGGCCAATTACTCAATGTCTCTGAGCTTCCATTTCTTTGCCCGAATCAAGGGGATAAGGATAGCAACTTCTTAATTTGGTGTTCTGGGAAGTTAAGAAAGATTCTTGGAGACATTTAAAACAGAAACTGGAGCATTAAGTCTATCTGCAACTCCTTTGCTCATAACTTTCAATGGTTTCTCATATCCCTCAGTACAAAGCAAAATCCCTTGAATGGCTTCCAGAACCCTACGTGACCAAGCTCACTGCTATTTCTCCAAACATTCCCCTACTACACTTGTTCTTGCTCACTCACAAATGTCTAATATATCTAACTTTACAGTCCTAATGTCCTGTCACCAATGGCACTCTGTATCTATGGTACCTTAATGTATAGACAACTTAACATATACTATGTGTGCCCTTGTTGATCATCTGTCTCCCTTTCACTAGAATATAAATTCTGTGAGGTTGGGACTTTAACTATTTGTGCCCTGCTATATATCTGGTACCTAAACAGTACCTAGGGCTCAATATATATTTGTTAAATGAATAAATTATGTGCATAAAATCAGTATCAAATTTAAAATAAAACTAAATTTCATGACACACAAACACACACACACACACACACACACACACACACACACCCCTACTCAAGCACTCTACCATTTCAACCTAACACATGCCTCTCATCTTACTATTAGGGTAGTGCAAAAGTAGTGGCCAGAACCGTAGTTACGTTTTGCACCAACCTAATAGATGTTTTATATACATTATTTCATTTAATTAAAGCAGCAGTACTGAGAGTTTTTAGTTCCCATTTTTCAGGTTGTCACTAATTCGTAGAATTGGGCCTGTGTGTTTCCAGCACACTCTGCTCATCATTAGGCCTTGCTTGATACATGCATTTGTCCTTGATCTAAAAATGATATAACATATCCCTTCTATAAATTTAGTCCAACTCACACAAATATCATCCACTTATCTTAAAATGTACCCCTTGCCTAATTGTTGGCATTGTTTTGTCAGCAGAGATCCTAAACTGACATTGTGTCCTCTGGTTATACCTTCACAAATATACTTTCATTGAAAATACCTGAAAAATTGCAAAATTAAAAAAGCACTGGATTATTTTGCAATTGTTTAGATATTATGTACTTACTTAAAAAAAAGAACATTGTAAAACAGCAATTGAAATTTTCATGTGAATTATATAAGAGCAATGGTTTGGTAGAAAGACATTTAATTGTGATCCATTTTTTTTCCAGTTTATTAACACTCTTGGCATCCTCACTCTGATTTCATTTTGGCCCTTGTTCACTGACATGACAGGTCTAATGATCACGTGTCGGTATTCCAAGAGCTTCCTGCTTAACAGAATACTGCTATTTCTCAGGAATACTCCAGTCACCTCTCATCTACTAACCTTTCCCCTCACAACATTTATCACCAGTGACACTGACTGATGAGCAGCATGATCTCCTGACCTCCAATTTATTAATGTTGATGGTCTTGACACTCTTTCTAGTCTCCCAGGCTCCACACAGCTGCCTAATATCATCAGTGGATCCTTACTTCCCAGAAATACTTTCCATTTCCTCACTCTATGACACGTATTACTTGTTCTCCTATCAAGCATGACCTGTCACTTTTTTTTTTCACTTACCGCTCTTCAAAATCTTCAGACTCCCACCGCACTGACTTTTCTAGGTCATTCATTTAGTTACATATTGTTTGTCCCTCTTAAGGGGTCATTTTCTAGAAAAGGGATGCTCTTTTTGGTAGAATATCCTCATCAACCAGGTGAGAAATTCTCATCCCTTATGAAGGAAAAATTAACCTAATTGGAGCCTACACATCTTTTGTTTATGATAACTGTGTTCATGTCTTCACCTAATAATGGCTACTATTATTAATCCCATGTCTGTTTCTTAGAAGATTTAGCAAATCATGATGCTAATAAATATATTGTTCTTGCAAACAATAATAAGTACCATTTATTGTTCACTATTTTTAAAAATAGAATAAATGAAGAAAGGAATAAACAATAATATTAATATTTATAATAATAAAAAGCCTTTCTTGAACACTTAACTTGTGTCAGAAACTGTCGTTAGTACAGTAAGTTATTATCTTACTTAATCATACCATCAGTATTGTGAGGCAAATTATATTACCACCCTTAGTTGGAAAACAAGGAAACTGAGACACAGTGAACCTTTCCACAATCACATGGCCGGTCACTGGCAGAAATAGAATTTAGTTCGGTGATTCAATAATCATTTTGAATTAACTAGCTTCATCTGACAAATCTCTTTCATAAAGGAAAAATAGTAATGACGATGATAATAAAGCAATATAAATAATAAAACTAGTATCTCTTGTGCTAGGCAATGTTCTTTATACTTTACATACAGAGTCTTGCTTGTTTTAATTCTTAAAAACATCAGGGTGGTTATTATCATCCCCATTTTATAGATCAGGTGATTGAAAATTAGAGATGTGAAGTATTTTTCTCAAGACAACAGGAGTAACTCTAGGCTGATCCATTTGCCATCTGAATGCTTCCTTTGGTGCCACGTGGGTGTCTAGAACATAAATCTTTTCATTAAGGAAAACCTTTACTAGCAGTTGTAGCCGATGGGCAGTTCTATCAAACTAGAACTGCAGGTAGAAATACATTTTCCTCATCTTTCCCTTAAATTCATTTTCCTCATCTTCCTCTTAAATAGACTTTAGGGTTTTATTTTCAACTCTTATTTTAGATTCTCAGGGTACATGTGCAAATGTGTTACAAAGGTACATTGCATGAGGTTTGGAGTACGCTTGAACCCATCGCCTATGATGTGAGCATAGTACTCAATAGGTATTTTTTTTACCCCTTCCTTCCCTCTCCCCACTCTTTTTTCCCCACTGGCCATTGTTCCCATCTTTACATTCATGAGTATCCACTGTTTAGCTCCCATTTACAAACTAGAACATGCACTATTTGGTTTTCTGTTTCTGCTTTAGTTGCTTTAGGATAATGACCTCCAGCTGCTTCCAAGTTGCTGCAAAGGACATGATTTTGTTCTTCTTTTATGACTGTGTCATATTTCATGGTGTATATGACTACATTTTATTTATTCATTCCATTCTTCCAAAAAGACACATGGACCTGTAAATTCATCACAGCAATATTGACAATAGATTTCCTGATAGCAAGTGGTTTGTGTTATCTGTCAATGTAGCCCATATATTTCCTCAATAAATAGTTGTTGAATTAAATAGACTAAAGGAAAGGAAGCTTAGAAGGTGGAGTGCATAGACCAGGTTTCTAGGGCCAGATGGTAAACAAGAAAGGACTTTGTGCCCCGTTGTGTTCTGATGCTTTTTTCCATGATCACTTTCATGAATTTACAGATGGGGAATTAAAAACATGGAAAATATTTGTATGGTATTTTTGGATGGTTATTAGAAATCAGAATATAACCTCTTAATTGACATTCCAGTATTTATTCCTTTATTACTAATCTACAATTAGCTATTGAACATAGCATTTCTCCCTTATTCATAAAATATTCATCATTTTCATCTCTACTTTGTCTCCTTCAAAATGCTTTCTCCTCATTAGTCATAATAATGCATTCGCTTATTTGCAAAAGAATTGCTGTATTTATGTTAAAGTCTTAGAAAACAATAAGTCTTAGATGCATTGCCTAATTTTGAAAGGACACTTTTTCCTTAAATATTTGTCTATTTACAGTGGATAAAATAAATGAGTTTTTCAAGTATTCCAAAGAGACTTTTGCTCACTTGTCACCACTTGTGACCACATTGTGAAACAAGCACTCTGATTGCTTTACATTACCCAAGAGAATTAACCATATCTGGAACTATGTTTTCATAGAAGAAAGATGTATAAATAATGTGTTTTATATCATCTTTACCTATTGTAAAGTGTAAATGCTTTGACTTAAATAAGTCTTCAAAATAAAACAAAGGGGAGTAAAAAGAGATAGATATAATCATAAAAACATAAATCCATGAATTAGAAGAAATAGCATAATGAATAAATAAAAATTGAGGCTGATGCCTTCAACAAAATTTTTAAAATATTGATACATGCTGCAACATGGATAAAATCTCAAAAACATTGTGCTAAGTAAAAGAGGGCAGTCACAAAGGACAACAAATTGTATGATTCCATTTATAGTAATTTTCCATATCAGAAAGTATGTCAGTAATTGCATGGGGCTAGAGGTGGGAATAAGATTGGCTGAAAATGGTATGAGGGGTTATGGGTACTGGGGTTATGGAAAAGTTCCAAAACTGGATTTTGCTGAAAATTAAACAACTCAGTAAATATACTAAAAGAAATGCTGACATGTACATTTAAAATGTGAAATTTTCACAATGTATATTATATCTCAATAAAGTTGTTTTTTAAATAAGACTAAAATATCTTAAGAATAGAAATCTTCTAGTATTTAAATGTAATTATATAAAAAATATATTTACCAAACCTCATTTTTTCCATGATCACCCTTTCATGAGTTTACAGAAGGAAAATTAAGGAAATGAAAAATATGTTTGTATGGTATTTTTCAATGGTCCAGAATGTAACCTCTTAATTGACATTGAAGTTTTTATTTACTATTAATCTGCAATTCGTTATTGAACATGACATTTATCCTTTATTCATAAAGGATACATTTTTCCTCAGTTTTCAAGGAAGAATTACTATATTTATTTCTGTTTTTAATATGTAATTGCTTGCCTTGATCTTTTTATTTTACAGTCATTACAATCAATTGCATCATCTAACAGCAATAGTTTTATCAGTCTTGTTAACATTTCACATTTCATTCTTCCTTAAAAATTGCCTGAATAATTAATCCATACATTCAGTTCAACAATCTCATTAAGAATATACCTGCGCTTACGGCAGCATGGATTCAGTATTTGATTTTCCTAATTGTATGTCCATATCTTGATATTCTCTCAGGGACAATTTGACTTCACATGTAGCTTTTACCAGTAGAATGGCATCGATTAACAATTATTATAAATCACATGAAGAAAGTTTGAATTAAATGTTAGTGTGCCTCTAGAGATAATACAACATAGAACACTAATGTATCTCCTCTATAGTCATTAGATAGTTATCTGGCACTGTATGTATCAGATGTCAGGGATGCTATAATAGCTAACACTCTTAGTGCTCTATAAGAGTAAGTAGTTCAACTGAGGAGGCAAACATACACACTGGAAAGTATAATACAAGGTGAAAATTGGTATGTTTAGGGTTCTTGCTGGGAGATTTAGGAGTTAACATTTTAGCAAGGCTTAGCCAAGATTTGGGGTCAAGGAGACCTCTCTTGATAATGTCTTGCCTACAGTAAGTAGGGAAGAGTGCTTAGGAGTTAGTTAGGTGAGAAGGGGTGGGGACATTAATCCAAGTTGAGAAAAGCTGCATTTGGAGAAACTAGGCAGGATAGGAGCTCGACATCAGCAGGTCTGACTGACTGGAACAGAATAGTGAAGAGTTTGTGTTTGGAGATTGCCAAGAAAAGGACACTATTATTCAGTTTCTATTGGGCCATGTCCAGGGACAATAACGGACCATGAAGAGAAAGGTAAGAGATACGTAAAAAAATGACTCATTGGATTAATTTGGATTAATATTTCACTAAATTTGTGAAGCGAAATATTACTCTCACTATAACTTAATATGTTTTCAAAGCTTTTTTTCATATGAGGATGGTAAAAAATCACAAGTATCTGGAATGATTTCTCTATTTTTGATGTATACTTAGCATGAGAGGACAAGAAAGTATCTGCTTTAGAACCTAAGAATAGACATATAGTAGAAATGTTTAAAAATAACCCTGATTAATTTAATTGTTCAACAAATATTTGAGTTTTCATTATGTGGTAGATATTGAGCTAACATGAACACTCAGTGACGGACAATGTAGATTTGTTTCCCATTTTCTTAGAACTCATGGTCTAGTCTGTGAGAAAAAAAAAAAAAAAAAGAGCTTAGACAGATAATGTGTGCATCAGACCCCAGCAGGAAATTTCTCCCTAAGGGATGGGAAAGTTTCCTAGCAGGAAAGCAAAATGCTCACAAATTGCAGTGTTCACAGCTACTATGCAAGGTAACATGAATGCATGAGGCAATTCAGGTGCCAATATACTTTTATTGCAATAATGATTAATTATGTTGTAGTAATACTGCTGTTTGAAATATAACACATGCCAAATAAAAAGTCAAATCAAAGCACGATCATTACTTGAAAAATAAATCCACTAGTATAATGGAGGATTATGAGGGAGACCTTTGAGAGACTATCACAGAGGCTCCGTGACCCCGGATCATTGAGATTACAGAACAGAAGTATATAGAGGCCCCAAAACTCACAATGATAGTAAATAATTACCACATTAATCAAAGGAAAAAAAGGAGAGTAGAGGAAATAGGTTTATATTATTTATCAGCTTAAGAAGGCAACTGAGAAAATAATAAAAAAACCACCTATCCTGGAAAATTATGAATACAAGCACAAAACAGACAAACAAAACATTTTATACATTAAGAGGTTCAAAATAACAGCATTTATAATAAGTGGAGAGCCAGGCATGGTGGCTCATGCCTATAATCCTAGCACTTTGGGAGACCAAGGCAGGTGGATCACTTGAGGTTGGGAGTTAGAGACAAGCCTGGCCAACATGGTGAAACCCCGTGCCTACTAAAAATACAAAAATTAGCCAGGCGTTGTGGTGGGTGCCTGTAATCCCAGCTACTCGGGAGGCTGAGGCAGGAGAATAACTTGAACTCGGAAGGTGGAGGATGCAGTGAGCCGAGATCGCGCCACTGCACTACAGCCTGGGTGATACAGGGAGACCCCGTCTCAAAAAGAAAATAATAGTAATAATGATAATAAGTGGAGAAAATCTAATAGTAAAAATAGTGACCTGGTTAGACAAGTATGGCAGATACTCTGGAATATTACACCACAGTTGAAACACTCCTGAACCAATTGCCTTTATCATAGCTGGGATGTTAGCAAAGTTTCTGTAGGAGCCTCATCATCTTAAGTTCTACCAGCTTTCTTCTCCTGAGACTGTTGGATTCTACTTGTTTTGTCATTTTCATAACGTCAGTAGCATTCGCCCAGCATTTCTTTCTCATTCTGAATATTCCATGTGCCTTGTATCCTTATCTAAATTACTGTTAAATAAATACGTTAAATTCCTATTTATTAGTGATTAATAATGACTTCTCTGCCCAGAGAAAATTACATCCTAAAGTGTATTACAGTCTTATGCTTAACACGGGAATACTTTAGGCAGAAGGGAGTAAAAGGAGGGAGATTTCTGGAGGTTGGCTCTATTTATGAAATCTGTAATCACCATAGCATGCAAGTGGTTTTGCACAAAACTATGCACGCACCCCTCCCTTTCTGATCATCTTTATGTCTTTATTTAATAGATGAAAGAAGTAAGGCTCAGAGGTTTAGTGAAGCTGAGAGACTGACTTTAGCAGTCTGCTTTCAGTTAATGTTTCTCTGCCCTACTGCATGAGGCCTTCCTATTATTTTGAAAGCATTTCTGATTACACCTTACTCTTCAAATATGGTCCTCAGTGTTGCTGGCCCCAATCTTGTTCACCATCATTGAGATTTTCTCTCCTGTTCTGCTGCTTTGACTGCCAGGGACAAGGTCTATCTCCAGACAATTCCAGTTCTAACATTCTAGATCTGAAGTCAAATGTCTTATATTTATATGTGTTACTGATAGAAAGAAATATTCAAAAGGAAATATGAATCAATCCTTAAGTGAAAAATCATGCAGTTTATATATTGCTTGGGGTTGGTATAATTTAATTCAAGTCTGAGTCAATAACTAGTATTTTCCAGAAAATGACAAATAGCACAATAAAATCATGGCCATGAATTCTACCAACATTTAAAAAAAATTTAATATCAAATTATAGTTCACTGATTCTCCAACATTCATTTCATGTATAAACTGCTGCACTTAAAATTACTGATTTCTAAATGAGAATTGTATCAACATTTTGATAAAGTAAAAGACTTAAAATACTGTCTCAATGTCTAACCACTGATACCAGTAAAGACAGGGATTAGCTTTTAAACAAAGTAAGTCCTTGTGAATTGGCCGAGATTGTTTTTTTTGGGGAAAAGAAGGAGGAAGGAGAAAGAGAAGAGGAAGGAGAAGGAAAAGGAGGAGATGGAGAAGAGGAAGAAGAAAAAGAAGGAGAAGGAGGAAGAGGAGAAGAAGTGTGTGTGTGTGTGTGTGTGTGTGTGTGTATAGAGAGAGAGAGAGAGAGAGAGAGAGACAACAATAAGATCATGAAAGCTTAAGTAATCGCTGATTTTATTTGGAATATCTGTGTTTACCTAAGTCCTACTTTGTCTTTTGCAGTAAGATTATTAATTTTTTAAGGTTTAAGGTTAAAATCAACTGTCTCCTTGCACTTTTCACTATCACTGTGAAGTGTATCCTCATATAAATGATTTAGTGATTGCTTTCATGTCCATGTCTGCCTGTATTGATTAACCTTCAAGATGGAGGCTATTGTGTGTATGGCAGGCATTAACAGTGCTCACTGGAGATTTTTCTCCTTCTGGGTTCATAAGGATTATACATCCCTAGTCCTGTTAAGTTAGGACTGGTTATGGGATTATTTTAGCCAGTAAGTTGAACGTGGAGATGGCATATGTTATTTCTGGGCCAGAGTATTTAATCTCAAGCGTGAGACACTACAGCATTCTCTTCCCCTGCTGTGGATATCACGGATAGTAATGCAGGGATGGAATAGATATCGGGATGTCCCTAACTGAGTATGACATGCAGATTCCCTATATTTAAAAAGAGCAATCTACTTTTAAAAAGAGCAAGAACAAGACAAAAGTTTTTCTTTTATTATTTTGTGGGGTTTTTTTTTTTTTGCTTTGTATATTTAAATACTTTTCTATTGTTTAGGTTACTCTAACAGAGAATGGATCATATTCATTTTTGATTCCACCATAATACAACACTTACCTCAACGCTTACATATGTTCAGCATTCAAGACATATTTGGAATTGATTATTATTTGTCACCTTTTGTCATTGCTTGTTTATTAATTGGTTATATGACATACTAAATCCTAGGGTTGAATTTTAAGAAGATTATCGACCTTCAAAGGATAAGGATTTCTTTAGAATGCCATAAAGTATGGGTTCATTTCTTTTGATGTAGGCATGTGGAATTCTTAGATTGGGTGAGAATATTACCTATGCATTTATTATTATATTTTTTCATGTCACCTTATCTCAAAGTGCACCCAATGCTTCAAGTTTTGTAGTAGAATCCAGAATTGTGACTTTTTTTTCAGAAATTGAAAATAAAAAACGAGCTTTATTTCCAATCAAAATACACTTAAATGTTCATAGAATTTATTAGATGTTAAAATATTCCACAGTAAAATTCAACCTAATTTAACAAAACATAGCAAAGGCTTTACTCCAATTTTTTTAAGTTATGATTTGCTTTAAGGGGTAATTATATTGAGGCTAAGAAAAACTCCTTTCATGTGCATAAAAATGCAGGATGCATATGTGTACTTAAAAATAATCTTGATGAATTCTGGTAATCAAATACTCAAATGAGACCTCCATATGTTATATGTGGGAGGTAAGATCTCTCTCACTGCAACATTGTGCATGATCACCAAATTCACAATCCCATAGGGATAATATTTATTATCATAAAATGTACTATAGCATTTGAAATCTGAGGTTAAACATTTTACTGCAAGGTTTATGAGGAGACTGTGAATCTCAAGCGAATTCATTGCATGAGAAAAGTGAATTTATTATCAAGGGCATGAAAAGAATCAGTCTTCTGAATGCTTAATACATTCTGTTAAAACATGTTATTCCAAAATCCACAATGCAAGATGTGTCTAACCTCTAAATTTCAGTACTTTTAAGGTCTTGACAAAAAGGTAAATCATGTGTATTTATCATTTAAAAAATACCAAAGAATAGCCAATGTTACAATACTGATTTTTCTAAGCTATTTGGTAAGAAAGGAATCTAATGCAGTCTAAGGTAAAGGGCTTGCCTTTCAATGTGCATCACATACAAAGTGGTCAAAATCTTAAAATATCACAAAAAATGCTGGGTGTGGTGGCTCATGCCTGTAATCCCAGCACTTTGGGAGGCCGAGACGGGCGGATCACGAGGTCAAGAGATAGAGACTATGCTGGCCAACGTGGTGAAACCCCGTCTCTACTAAAAGTAGAAAAATTAGCCGGGCGTGGTGGCGTGTGCCTGTAGTCCCAGCTACTCGGGAGGCTGAGACAGAAGAATCGCTTGAACCCGGAAGGCAGAGGTTGCAGTGAGCCAAGATCGTGCCACTGCACTCTATCTCAAAAAAAAAAAAAAAAAAAAAAAATCACAATAAAGTGATGGGTGGAGTTGATGATAATTTTTTAAAACATCTTGGAGTATAAAACATACATTCTTGATGGTTCGCAAATATTGAGTTACTACGTGATGTGCTAGATTTTAAAAAATATAACTGTCTTGAAATGTCACCACAGAACAGGTCAGTAAAACTGAATTGGCAATATCATGAGATCTTTGATGGAATCTAATTAGCAACAAGTTCAGATTCTGAAAACATTTTGTTAGACTGACAAGAGATTAGAAAGGAAACAGATGATACTTGAGAAAGGTCCTTTCCCCCCAATATATATGTATAATTTCCATTATGAAGAATTAGAATTTCATACACGGAACAGTGAAAAAATAGACCAGAACATATTTTCTTTCTTGAAAAGCACTATTTCAGCAGCAATGGAACAGACTGCTGAGGTCAGGAGGGTCCCAGAGCTAGACGGTGTTTGCGAAGCCAGGGAACAGGTTTTAGTGTGAAAGAAATTCTCCGTGGCCAAATGATGGAAATATAAGGAAATTATTCTGATGAATATGAAACATATTGAGCATTATTTACTCTCATCATAAAATAGTATAACCAGCTTTCGTTTTGCCACATGTAGCTTTTGGGGCCTACTTTTTTTTTTTTTTTTTTGACAAATAACAAATGAGAAAACAAGTTGGAGTTAGGCAAGCTCTGGTGATGGCATAAGGTAAAATGGCCACCCAAGCTGTGAACTTGCCATTGAATTAATGCTGCTACCGAGTAAATGAAAATCCGAAGACGACAGGAACCGCCCCCCGCCCGCCCCCCCCCCCCCCCCCCGCCACACACACACACAAAACAGTACGTGGAAATTTGCAAACAGGTTTTAAGGCAAGTCTATTTTGGTCCCTGATCTAGAACCAAGCATAACTTTTTCCTTCAGAAACTCTGGTATCTTTCAACAAAGAGGTTGCATGAAATGAAAGCAGGTGGCAACACATTTGGAAAGAGATAGGACGGTGCCCATCTTTTTCTGATTTATATGACCCACCCATACAGGACTAGCTTACAAACTGTTCTTATCTCTGTAGGAGGAGTCATGATAGTCAGTTGCAGTAATCATTTCACAGGGCTTCCTCCCCCTTTACACAGTGATCTTCCTTCAAGGAAGAAGCTGTATGTTCTCTTTGAACCCCCGGAACCTGATTCAATAATGAATGATCATCTTGTGTTTATTCATCAAAATGGATTAAAATATATTTAATCAGTTAATTGCAGGATTTTGACAATAATCCAAATACAGGGAATGTTACAGTGTCTTATATCCTAAGTGATTTACACTTTTTGCCATTTTGGTCCAAAGAAGGGGAAAGATTTATTAAATGAGAAATGAGTATAAACAAAGAAGCCTTTTTAAAAAAAGCAATCATGAACAAAGGATGATATATTTTTACAAGGGCCATTTTTCTATTAAAATTCTGCTCAAAGCCATCATGTACCAACAAAAACTGTGTAGACGAGAAACAATACCTTTTCCAAAATCCTGGGAGCAAACACCAGACGGTGACTGTGAAATTAGTGGAAAAAAAAAAAAAATAGAAAAACATAATGGCCAGAATGAAGTTCGTACTGGAGGTTCTGCAAGGGCAATCAGCATGGCACCTATCTAATGTGGCCAAGATGGTCAAAAAGAAATAAAAGATAACCAGGTAACTAAAATTGGGAGTGCTTTGAAGAACAGAAGAATTCAGACTTTTCTTGTAGGGCATGTAATAGAAGAAAAAAGTCAAAACAAAATCAGAGGATACCATAGCCTATTTTACATATTAAATTTCAGAGCAACAAATTTTACACAGTGTGAAAGTCCACAAACAGGACTTCTGTAAAGAATACATACACATTTAGGTCCATAGTTAGAAATGGGTATAAAAAGATTTAAGGAATAAGAATAGAAAGTCCCTACATAAAAAGTACAGAGACAGAAAGGTCTAGAAGCTAAAAACTAAGAGTAGATAACGTAATGCCAGGGTTAAGCAGAAACTGTACATCTGAAAACAAAGGGTGACCACAAGGCAAAGTATATCAAATAACACACATAGGAGAGGCAGATGAATGTATGTGGGCCACCCTGGCATCCTTATGCATTATTGTGGAGAGGTATTATGTTTGCCTAAGTAAGTGTTGTCATTTTGTTTTGTTCTGCTGCTTTTTCTTCCAATTCCACAGTGCTAGAGAGTACTCCACAGAGAGAAAAGTGTGACAAAAGCTGATACCAGAACACATTGATTCCAGAAGTAATAAAGCCTAACAAGTAAAAAAGGGTGTTGTGAGGGAGAATATCAAACCATTGAGGATGGAACATCTAATTTTGCTTTTCTGCAATCCCAGCTATCTTCAGGAAAGGAATTTATTTTTTTATAACTCATACAATCAAGAAAATGGGGAGATGGGAGAGTAGACATAGTAACAATAGCTTAGAAGCTGGAAAACAGGTGGATGTATGGTAAATGACTTATGAATGAGTACTAACCGGCAGTACCACATTCCTTTGACTGTCGGAGTTGGGGGCAAGGAAGGAAGCATCTAAAATAAAGAAAGAGGGTCAAAGGGATAGTTGAAGGTGTTGGAGAAGTAGTTAAAGCTATTACATATCAATTATAGAGCTGGTCATAAATCAGAGATACTGTAATCAAAGAAAAGCAGAGACACTAGGCTAAAACATTAATTACATATCTCGCAATTTTTTTTTTTATCAGAAAGGCCTAAAGGACTTTATCCACTGTAAGCACACATTTTGCATATTACTTTCCCCGGTTTAGTGATCTGTTTTACAAACACTAAAAATTAAAACTCAACTTAGATTTCATCAGGAAATAGAGCTACTGTAGTCTGCAGCCAGATAAAATAAGAGCATTCAGAAAGAGGAACAAGTGTCTAACTTGTGAAGGAAGTGTCCTTGGATGGTTTATGTTGGACAAACACATAGCCATATCCTCAGTGGCATTAATCTCCCAAATATTGCATCAACATCAAACCATGAGCAATCAGCTGAATTTGAGAGAAAAGATGTCTATCGTGTGTTTTAGAAGCTTTTTCATCTAAGACAGAATTATAAAGTCCTAACACTTGAAAATGTACCTTTGGCAACTTGGATTCATTATGTACAATTCTTCATTCCCTGGCAGTATTATATACATGAAGTGTCACCACTTTCACAGTCCCTCCTAGTTAGAACATCTCCTCCTCACTGCATTACCCAAACATTGGGGAATTTACATGCAGAGAAAGCAGAAATCAGCTGAAGGTCCTGGCACTTATAAAATGCAAATGAAAGGGAATCATAAAATATATCTATATTTCTCCAGGGAGCTATGCTTTGGCTAGAAAGAGGAAATGTCATGGTTGTTGAGATTTTGCTCCACTGTAAATGTTAAATTATTAACACATGATTAGGGAAATTTTTAAGTGAATGTATTAAAACTTATTTTAGATATAGATTTTGGTTTGGTAAGGCTATGAAAAACAAGGGTGTATCCATATACATTTTGTGATTTTTCACTCTCATTTTCTCCCAAAATTCATTAATTACACAGAAGTTTCATAAAGAAAAGTCAGATTTCTGACCTCAATTTTCCTGCGGTTAATGTAGCCAAGTAAAGAAGTAAAGCAGGGTAATGCTTTGAAATGTCATCCAAAGTATTTTCTTTTTTCTTTTTTTAATGTATGTTTCCTCCCTGGAATTATCTTGGAATTAAGACTAGGCCAAGGCGATTAGGTTTACTGCTATAGATAAGAGGCAGGAAGACACTGCCTAGGAAAAAAAAAAAAAAAAAAAAGGAAAGGAAAAGTCAGTGCTCAGCTTTGAACTTCAAACTAAATGCCCCAGGTTGAGTTCTCTGGAAGCAGATGTTGAGACAGAGTTTAGCATGTGAGAAATTTATTAGAGATTCACACCTGTAGAAAAAAGTGAGAGGAAGCAGGGTCAGGCAAAGGGAAAAGTGGAATTGCCACGAGGCCAGTGGGCTTACCGTTCCCTGAGTGATTTGTATGCAGGTTGAGCTGCTGCTGAAAGCTGAGGTGAAGCTACAAATTACTTCCTTGAAAGAGGATCTAGCAGTGCAAACATGAGTCTATACACTAGATTTTTATAAAACATCAATTGCAAGTTTCCAGTCATGCTGTCAAAAGAAAGATTTCTTGGACATCCTACAGCTGAGTTTTTACATATCAATGCCCAAAATTTAGAGAATTAATCTCAGAGTAAGCTAAAGGGCTAGGAGGAAGGAGAGCTCAAAGTGAAGAAATTTACCACACCAATTAGTCCTTCAAAACTGCTAAGGACAGCTGACGTTGGGAAGAGAGAAAGGAGAGAGAATATGACCATGATCTTCTCATGCCAAAAAACTCAGTTTTGGAGAATCTCCCAGAATTTGAATGCTGGTTCTTTTTTTCCTGACTGTGGCCTGGAGATTCTGGAAGACCGTAGGAGAATTCTGCTTCCTATTGCCTGGAAATAGTAGAGTGGCAGTGGCTGGAGAAACCTAAGATCTGGGTCTGAGAGCTTCCTCAGAGAGGTACACACACTCCAGCATTTGTGGTGACATCCAGTAAGATTTCTTTATTCCAAGAGTTAGGAATTAGAAATTCTACCAAAAAAAAAAAATGTGGTGAGAGAAGGCATCCCAGTTTTCAAAGGGAATGCTTCCCATTTTTGCCCATTCAGTATGATATTGACTATAGATCATACACAGATCTTAATTAGAGATCTTATTATCTCTAATAGATAATATCATAATTAGATCTTATTATCAATACGATATCTAATATCATAAATAGATCTTATTATTTTGAGATATGTCCCATCAATACCTAGTTTATTGAGCGTTTTTAGCATGAAGGCTGTTGAATTTTGTCGAAGGCCTTTTCTGCATCTGTTGAGAGAATCACGTGGTTTTTGTCTTTGGTTCTGTTTATATGACGGATTATGTTTATTGATTTGCATATGTTGAACCAGCCTTGCGTCCCAGGGATGAAGCCAACTTGATCTTGGTGGATAAGGTTTTTGATGTGCTGCTGGATTCGGTTTGCCAGTATTTGGCCCTCTCTCAGCACTCCTATTCAACATAGTGTTGGAAGTTCTGGCCAGGGCAATCAGGCAGGAGAAAGAAATAAAGGGTATTCAATTACGAAAAGAGGAAGTCAAATTGTCCCTGTTTGCAGATGACATGTTTGTATATCTAGAAAACCCCATCATCTCAGCCCAAAATCTCCTTAAGCTGATAATCAACTTCAGCAAAGTCTCAGGATACAAAATCAGTGTGCAAAAATCACAGGCATTCCCATACACCAATAACAGACAAACAGAGAGCCAAATTATGAGTGAACTCCCATTCACAATTGCTTCAAAGAGAATAAAATACCTAGGAATACAACTTACAAGGGATGCGAAGGACTTCTTCAAGGAGCACTACAAATTCCTGCTCAACGAAATAGAAGAGGACACAAAAAAATGGAAGAACATTCCATGCTCATGGATAGGAAGAATCAATATCATGAAAATGGCCATACTGCCCAAGGTAATTTATAGATTCAATGCCATCCCCATCAAGCTACCAATGACTTTCTTCAAAGAATTGGAAAAAACTACTTTAAAGTTCATATGGAACCAAAAAAGAGCCCACATTGCCAAGACAATCCTAATCAAAAAGAACAAAGCTGGAGGCATCATGCTACCTGACTTCTAACTATACTACAAGGCTACAGTAACCAAAACAGCATGGTACTGGTACCAAAACAGAGATATAGATCAATGGAATAGAACAGAGCCCTCAGAAATAATACCACACATCTACAACCATCTGATCTTTGACAAACCTGACAAAAACAAGAAATGGGGAAATGATTCCCTATTCAATAAATGGTGCTAGGAAAACTGGCTAGCCATATGTAGAAAGCTGAAACTGGATCCCTTCCTTACACCTTATACAAAACTCAATTCAAGATGGATTAGAGACTTAAATGTTAGACCTAAAACCATAAAAACCCTAGAAGAAAACCTAGGCAATACCATTCAGGACACAGGCATGGGCAAGGACTTCATGTCTAAAACACCAAAAGCAATGGCAACAAAAGCCAAAATTGACAAATAGGATCTAAGTAAACTAAAGAGCTTCTGCACAGCAAAAGAAAATACCAGCAGAGTGAACAGGCAACCTACAGAATGGGAGAAAATTTTTACAATCTACCCATCTAACAAAGGGCTAATATCCAGAAGCTACAAAGAACTTAAACAAATTTACAATAAAAAATCAAACAACCCCATCAAAAAGTGGGTGAAGGATATGAACAGACACTTTTCAAAAGAAGACATTTATGCAGCCAACAGACACATGGAAAAATGCTCATCATCACTGGCCATCAGAGAAATGCAAATCAAAACCACAATGAGATACCATCTCACACCAGTTAGAATGGCGATCATTAAAAAGTCAGGATACAACAGGTGCTGGAGAGGATGTGGAGAAACAGGAACACTTTTACACTGTTGGTGGGACTGTAAACTTATTCAACCATTGTGGAAGACAGTGTGGCGATTCCTCAAGGATCTAGAACTAGAAAAACCATTTGACCCAGCCATCCCATTGCTGGGTTTATACCCAAAGGATTATAAATCATGCTGCTATAAAGACACATGCACATGTATGTTTATTGCGGCACTATTTACAATAGCAAAGACTTGGAACCAACCTAAATGTCCATCAATGATAGACTGGAATAAGAAAATGTGGCACATATACACCATGGAATACTATGCAGCCATAAAAAATGATGAGTTCATGTCCTTCATAGGGACATGGATGAAGCTGGAAACCATCATTCTGAGGAAACTATCGCAAGGACAGAAAACCAAACACCGCATGTTCTCACTCATAGGTGGGAATTTGACAATGAGAACACTTGGACACAGGGTGGGGAACATCACACACCGGGGCCTGTAGTGGGGTGGGAAGCTGGGAGAGGGATAGCATTAGAAGATATACCTAATGTAAATGACAAGTTAATGGGTGCAGCACACCAACATGGCACATGTATACATATGTAACAAACCTGCACGTTGTGCACATGTACCCTAGAACTTAAAGTATAATTTAAAAAAATGTGGATTTAAATAGACTTAGGGGTCAGAGGAAGGACACTGACTTATAAGAGGCAAAACTCATAGTTCTCAAGTTTACATGTGAACACAATTGCTAAATCATCAAATGAATTTCTATCCCTTAGCAAGTACTGTTATCAGAACTCTGTACAACCAGAAGGACATAGTTATGAAATCTAGATCCAGATACAAAACAAAGGACTCAAGGAGAACAGAAGCTAAGGTCCAGAGACAAAGGATAATGACACAGCACAATGACCAGACAACATTCCTACAATACTATAAGGATACTTAAACACAGAGAACTGATACTCCTACCACGTCTCAACACTCAGAAACCATTGTGGGGACAGGACAAGAGAAGGTGGGATGTCACAAGAGGACTCTTGAGAAGAACAAATTCAGAAAGATTTAAAATTAGTTAAAATGGGATGATATAAGATTCACTAAAATAATGCTAAAATTATATTTGTCAAATGTTTTTAGTAGAGTCAAAGATAGATTTGGACTCCCCAAAATGCTAGCCATTAGCCACATGTGGTTAGTTAAATTAATTAACTGATTAAAATTAACTTGAAGTCAAATAAATTAAAATAAAGTTAAATAAAATTAAAGTTAAATAAAATTGAAAATGCAGCTTCCCTTTCGTTGTATTAACATTTCTTAGCTTAATAGTCACATATGCTAGGGGCTTCCATATTGAACAATTTAAATATAGAACATTATCTCCATCACAAAATGTTCTATTGGACAGTACTATAAGATAAATATGAAATTAATTATTTTAAAATATTTATGTTTTTACATTTTGGACATTTTAATTGAATGTATATCTTTTAATCATGCTACATGAAGAAACACTTCTTCAACCTGTTTGGAGTGAGAAAGAAATTTAAAAAAAATTCTTTTTGAAACTAGTTTCTTCACTCTTTACGAAAATACCATACTCAGGCTCACTACAACTCTTTTGCTTTCACCAACTTGCCTTCTATTCCAAATAGCACGCATTTGAAAAATTCCTAGATGAATTTGTCTTTTCATAATTGTCTCCACAGCAGAATAAATGTTCCATAAAGTTATCTATTATTTCTCTAATATTTAAGACAAGAGTGATCAAATATGTGTCAGAAGGCTTCCACTTAGCAGGACATTTTTGAGGGCCCTCCACATTGCAGCAGACATCATTACTTCATTCCATTTCATGGCTAAATATATTCTATGGTAGTGATATACTACACTTTGTTAATCTATTCATCTGTTGATGGATATAGATATTTTGGTTGTTTTTTCCTTTTGACTATTGAAAATAGTACATCTATCAATATTTGTGCACAAGTATTTGAATACCACTTTTCAATGTGGGGGTTATATAAATAGGAGTTGGATGGTTGGGCCATCCATTAATTCTGTGTTTAATTTTTGGAGGAATCACCAAACTGTTCTCACAGCTGTTATATCATTTTATATTCCTATAATTAACGTAAGATGGTTCCTTTTCTCCACAACCTCACAAACTCTTATAAGTGTTGCCTGCTTTTGTTTCGTTTTTAAATATTAGCCATTCTAATGGGTATAAAGTGATTTTGATTTGCATTTCCCTGATTACTGATAATGTTGAACATCTTTTTCATATGCCTATTGGCCATTCGTATATCTTGTTCAGAGGAACGTCTACTTAGGTCTATTTATTTTTATTTATTTGTTTATTTTATTTTATTTTATTTTATTTTATTTCTTGAGACGGAGTCTTGCTCTGTCTCCCAGGCTGGAGTGCAGTAGCATGATCTCGGCTCACTGCAAGCTCCGCCTCCCGGGTTCAGGCCATTCTCCTGCCTCAGCCTCCCGAGTAGCTGGGACTACAGGCGCCCGCCACCACGCCCGGCTAATTTTTTGTATTTTTAGTAGAGACGGGGTTTCACCGTGTTAGCCAGGTTGGTCTTGATTTCCTGACCTCGTGATCCGCCTGCCTTGGCCTCCCAAAGTGCTGGGATTACAGGCGTGAGCCACCACGTCCGGCACGTCTACTTAGGTCTAAAGGATGTACTTAACATGTGGGAAAATAGGCACTTAATAACTTTAAAAAAATGCCTGTGGTTATATACCAATAGACATCATTATCAAATATTAATCCTTATCACCAACAAGGGACATATATAGAGATTTGCAATTATTATTTTACTCCCTTTTAATAATAACCAAAATGTTGTTATGCCTGTTGTTATGGTCTGAATGTTTTTGTCCCCCTAAAATTTTTATGTTGAAATCTTAATCCCCATGCTGTTGGATTAGTGCCCTCATGGGATTAGTGCCCTATTAAAAGAAGCCTGAGAGAGATTCCACAGCAAAAAGTCCTCTACTATGATTAGGATCTGCTCCAGATAGGACATACAAAAACAAATTGATCTTGGACTTCCCAGCCTTTCCAAATTTTCCGTTTTCTTTGTCTCAATATTCTTTCCATAGATATTGGCTCTTTGGCATCACTTTTTAAGGTCGTGCTTCAAGAAAGTGTTGTGATGACAGAGCAGACAATATAAATGGACTTTCACTGTCCAATTCTAGGGAAATCTGAGAATGAAAAAATAATGGAAAAAATGGATTATAAAGTATATGTGTGCAGAGAGAAAAAGAAAGAAAGAAGGAAGGAAGGAAGGAAAAAGAAAGAAAGAAGAAAGAAAGAGAAAGAAAAAAGAGAGAGAAAGGAAGGAAGGAAAAGAAAGAAAGGAGGGAGGGGGAGGGAGGAAAGAAGGAAAAAAGGAAAGAAGTAAGAAAGGGAGGACGGAAGGAAGGAAGATTGGTTTTCTTTATAGTGATATGTCAACCAATAAATGCAGAAGTAATGGGAGCATTAGAACAGTAATAACAGTTAGAGATGGATACTTAAACTAGTGGTAGAAGTTTGGTCAAGATTATGATACTCACATCATTTCAATGTACTTTTCCACAAATCCCTTTTCTCTCACACATGGTAATAATAGTAATTTAAAATGAAAAAACCTGACAAACATTACTTTATTAAAGACATCAAAGTTAACATCATAAATGGGCAAGCCTATACCATGTATCTTTTTATATGTTGCACTAAGAAGGATGCAGTACAAACATCTGATATTCATAATCTGTCAATATGCATAATCGGAATCTCATCATTAGGAAATAACAAACTCAAACTAAGGAACATTCTACAAAAAAACTTGTTTGTACTCTTCAAAATTGTTACTTTCATATAAGACAAGAAAGTCAAAAGACTATTCTAAAGAAAGTGATCAAACAGATATGAAAAACCTGAAATACATCATTCTAGATTGGTTCCTTGGCTGTGAAAAAACATGTCTATAAAGGACATTATTAGGATAATTAGTAAAATTTTACTATAAAGTATGGATTAAAAATGTGCTATATCAAAATTAAACGTCTTCATTTTGATATTTGTTTCATAGTTATATGAGTATGACCTTATTCTTAGAAAAAGCACACTTTACTATTTTGGGGGCGAAATGGCAATCATGTATACAGTTCATTCTGAAACAGTTCCAATCTATGTACATTGGGCTAACTGTGAATTTTAAAAGTTTACTTTGGACTCAACTCCACAAATGTTGCCTTCATTCATTTGAATCACATTAGCCACCTTCACATTGTATCTTACCTCTTTGTGGACAATTTTCTGATCACTCAATGCCCCTAGCACATATTCTAAGAAAATTTTTTTCATTATAAAGTGATTGATATGCCACAGAGGTAAATCAAAAACTGTATGTATTGAAGCCAAACATATGGCAACCACCTGAAAAATTGGTCAAGAAAATAATCACTAGTTTGACTACTGCTATAATAACTTTAAATCTATTAGTATTACCTTCTGGCCTTTAAAAATAACGAAGGTTGGAGAAACTCTACAGTAAATATTTTGATGGTTTCTCATACAACTTTATAACCCTCTTCTGTTTATAACTTCAAAGAAACTGTTTTTGGACTTTGTGATGTTTTCAATATTTTATCAGTTGTAAATGAAATTCAGCTTTTCTATGGAAATTGCTAAGAAGCTAGACTACAGATCTTTCAAAGTGGTATTTATTAAGTACTTTAAGTATTATGCAATGCTAAAGGTTTGATTTAAAAGTATAATATAAAAAGTGAGAGTTAAAAGGTAAATTCATTGGGGATCAGAATTTTCGTTGTTAAATTGTTGTGGAAAATGCATAATAAGGTAAAAAAATAAATGTCTGTTCAATATCATGTTGATTTGCTTATTAAGATGTATGCTATAAGACATGGTATAAACTTACTTAACAAATACGTTAATTAATCACCACCTATATAATAAGCAAGGAGTTACAATGCTGATACTCTTGGATAATCATAATTCCATATTCAAACAGCTCATAAAACAACACACAGTTAAATAGGGAAGAAAAGAGTATGCTGAGCAGAGGGTTCAGTGAGAGCACACTACTAGGCTGGGCACGGTGGCTCATGCCTGTAATCCCAGCACTTTGGGAAGCCGAGGCGGGCAGATCACGTGGTCAGGAGTTCGAGGTCAGCCTGGCCAATATGGTGAAACCCCATCTCTACTACAAATACAAAAATTGGCCGGGTGTAGTGTTGCGCACCTGTAGTCCCAGCTACTTGGGAAGCTGAGGCAGAAGAATTGCTTGAACCCAGAGGCAGAGGTTGCAGTGAACGGAGATGCGCCACTGCACTCTAGCCTGGGTGACAGAGCAAGACTGTATCTCAAAAAAAAAAGAAAGAAAAAAAGAAAGCCCCAAGTATGGCAGGTTAGGGAAATGGAACTAACTGACCTGCACTGGGGCTTTCTAAGTAGTTCATCCTGGCTGAACACAAGATTGTACTGCGAGCCCTGAAGGAAGATGAAATAGTTTATCTTGTCCTTAAAGTTAGCCCAATTATCTATCATAAAATTCCAAACTTTAAGAAAATTAGGCAAATTGGAAAATATGTACAGAGCACCATTCCTTTATTTTCATAGAAGTGTTACTACATTAGGAGAAAGAAAATAAACCACATTTCTGTTCATCACATAAATCATGCAATTTTTCATACCTTTTAAGTTTGGCAAAAATATAACATGTGGTTTTCTAAGTGCTTTTCTTTCTTAATTTTTAAACCCAGACATTTTTTCACAGAAATTAAATCCTTATGCTCCTCATTCTTTTCCACTTAACACATCAAAAAATGTCTCTGCATAAGATATTTGACATTCAGCATACATTTTATTCTTTATTCTTCTTAAACATATGAAGTTATATTTTGCCAATGGTAAACAATACAAAATATTGAACTTCAGGTTAAATTGATAAAGTAGTATATGCTTGTGTGCCTGCATGTGGATGCTACTTGAGGGAAAACAGATGTCTACTCTGTTCTAAAAGCTATATTGACATGATAACAAGTGAATTGAAGAGGAGAAAAAAGAAATAATATACCTACATTCTGCATAAACAAAAATAGCCATCCTTGTAAAGAAGTCAAGATAATAATTAGTTCACAGGACACAAAAATAATAGATTGATTCCATAATTCTGTTTTCTCCAGTATTTCAGTTGCATTCATTGGTATTAAATATTTTATAAATTAAGCTTTCAGGAAAAATAACATCTAATATTATGAGAAACAATGCCATTTTAATACATATTACCTATTTTTTAATTTTGAAATCATCTGGAGAAGAACAATTATTTCCATTATACAGATGAAATGTTTAAGGCATTGAAAGATTAAGTGACTTCCTGAGTTGCACATCTGTAATCAATTAAGACAGGACTCATATCCAGATCTCCTGGTTTCTAAAGTATAAGATTTTTCCCCTTATACTTTCTCATTCTCTTTGGCTTGTGAAACTCTATTATCTTCTAATTAATTTAAAGGAATAAATTGTTTTGATCTGGGTCAATATGAATCTAACCTTCATCCACTTATGTTAGAAACATATAAAGGATCACCTATTGGTAAAATATTATGCCTTCTTACATAATTTTAATTAGTTTATGATAGCATCAAACAGGGTTCAATTTACAAAATAATATTTGAAGTCCTGGCATTCATATTTAAAGATTATTTTACTTTTCCAAAGATTGATGTCTGAAAGTTCAAGAAATCCACTATTACATTATTAACAACACATTTAAGGTCATAAATACTAAGTAGACATTACAGATAAAGAACTAAAGGAGTTCATTTGGTAAACTCTTTTTCTCTAAAAGTTTCCATACAAAGTATACAAAAGGTGTTTTCTCCATAAAATTATTATTAAAATGTAGTTAAATACTAGACATAGAGGTCCTCCTGCTATAAGAACTTAGGTCTTAAAAGCTACATTTGCCTTTTCTGAAGTAACTTAAAGATATGTATATTCATTAATTAGGAAATATGAAGCAAACTGTTCCTTGTGAAACTTAGTATTCATTTGAATAAATATGTAGACAATTGTTGTGCCAATTTGTTCAAAGAACATGAATGCTTTCCAAAGATGACATGTTAGTCTTATTTTATGTTGGAAAATCAGAGAGTGATATTAAGGCTCAGCTGACCAGATATTTCACTAGTGATAACAAAGACATATAATTGATGCTCAGGATGTAGTAAGAGTATATGACAGAGCTTAAAACTGAAAGAACACTGGGCTTGGAGTACTAAAATAGGGTAAACAAATAGATGAATAGAAAGGATGAAGTAGACAGTATTTGGTGCATCAATTTGACCCAGAAGTTGGCTCCTGCTGCTGGATTGGAACATTTTTTCTTTTTTTTATGAATAATATATTGGACAAAATTTACAAAGAGGCAGCTTTCAGTTCAAGTTTGAAAGACTGTTTAAGGAAATAGAGCTAGCCCAAAATACAAAATAGGTCATTAAAGGACATATGTTCCCCCTCTCAGATAAGCTGAATTTTTTATTACCCTCATATCCCCATCATAGCACCAATTGCAACGGATATTAATGTTTGTTAGTTCTAAATCTTCTTAAGAAGTCTGCACTCTTCCAAAAGAATGACCTGTTTTATTCATGTCTGTATCATGGTATAATTAAAGTCTCATGGAAGGCCATGAACATAAAAATTTTTTATTTTATTAATAATTAGTCAAGTTAATTATTAATTAGTATAATTAACCAAAAATTATAACAATTTAATAAATTATAGTCATTCCTACTTCCTTCTGCCTTTCACACATTGTGAGATTAATTTCAGTAGTATCTGAGAGGCAGGTGAATTTTTTCTCTGTGAATGGGATGCTAGGTTAGATGGACAAGACGTACTCTGGAATGACAGAATAAAGACTTTTGAAATCCAAGTTTTAAAAAAGCAATAAGAAAACTTGCAAAGATATCAAAATTACCATTTTCAGAAATCCAAAAATTAAGAAGAAGCTTGAAATAAACTAAAGAACATTTATTCAAGGAAAAATGGTAAGTCTCAGTTACAACAGCAAGATTTGCATCATTTTAACTTGCCCAAATCCACCCTGCTTTCCCCAGGTCTGCAGTAGCCCAGAAAACCAAAGACCATGCAAATGGAGTACCGATAGAAACCAATGGCCTAACAGATGTCAAAGGAAGAAGAAAGGGAATGGCGCTCCCCAAAAACCTCAGCCTGAGAGAACTGTCACAATTTGACCTCTTGGGAAGCTCTCTGAAAGGCTCTAGCTTCAGGACTTGTTTTTATCTGAATCAGAGCTCACTCTGTCTGAATATCATTACTCTTATGGCATCCGTTGAAAATTGTCCATGGGAATTTTTAACATCACAGCTGCTTAAGGCAGCAATACCAGTTTGGGTTAACAGGAGGCAGATGTAAAAACCTGAAAGGAGAAACTGAGGAATGTAGTGTCCAAATGGGACTTTCAAAAACTCTCAGGTATTTTTGGGAATATAAAAGCAAGTATATGGTTGTGGGAACACACAGGAAATATCTAAAGAGAGCTAATATCTTACTTATGGTTGATCTTGAAGCTCTGTACCACCAAGAAGTGAAGGCTAAGGCAGAGTTATAAATTTCCTGCTGGAGCTTTGAAAACATGCCATATGACACACACAAGACCTACTGGCAAACTCTGGCAGACATTAATTCAAGATAGTCAGGTAAATCTCTTTTCAATTTTTAGCCAATCAAGCAGAGATTTTATTGACTGTCTACCAAAGTATATGTATAGTGACAAGGACTACAGACTTTACAGAATTGGTCCAGGAAAGTCACTAATCAAATGACAATCTCAAAAACTACATACAATAAATCCAGGGGGCTCCTTTTCAGAGTTGTTATGTTACATTATTTAAAATGTCAATTAGATGAAGCAGGGTATTTCCCTGACCCTTTCACAGGACTTGTGACAGGTGTGCCTCATTTACTCAGCCCACTGCTCTCAACTTCTTGTGGGAGGGAGTGTGTGAGTAAATGAAGTGGGAACTGGAGTGCATGAGTGGTAGAACCACCCAGCGGCTTCAGTTCAGGCTGCAGCAAATTCCACTCAGCCCCACTGTGTTCCACCCCTTGTGGGAGGGAGTGTGTAGGTGAGTGAGTGCAGGAGATGGGGCAAGCCCTTTTGGGTGCCAGGAGGACCAAACTCCATGCGGGCCCTGCGGCAGCATCTGGGGGCAGGGCCTGTAAACCCTGAAGTCCCAGAGGGCATGTTACAGTGCTCTTTTAGCTCTGCCATCTGCTGACAGCTTAAGTGTTAATAGCTCAGTAAGCCCTATGCCTTTTCATATGTGGTGGCTACCCTCCACCAGTGAGGGCAAAGGGCCAGTGTGACAGCATTTTGTATCCACATCCATGGCTCCTGAGCTGTTGTCTGACATCCAGGAAAAATGAGGTTGCCCGAATGGATTGAAGAATGGTAAATGTGGGGGATTTCATTGATGAAGAAAATGGCTCTCAGTGGGAAAGGGAGCTGAAAAGGGGATGGAGCAGGTAGGTAATCTTCCCCTGAAATCCAGACATCTCCAGTCGGATTCTTCTTTGAAGTTATACCATCAAGCTGTCCCTATGACATGAAGCCACTTCTCTCCAACATCCAGCCCTAGTCCCTGAAGTCCAGCTGCCCTCTCATCTCTGCCAGCTGAGTCTGAGGTCTTTATATGGCACAGGATGGGGGGGTGGGGCAGGCCATGGGTAATTTAGGAAAAGACAAAATTCAGGTGGAAAAAACAGGAATAAAAGTTTTCATTTTGCACCATGGTTTCAGGCTTTTTGACTTGAGGGTGAGGTTTTCTCAGGGACTTGCTCTTTTCTGCCTAGAATTTCTCTGCCCCCTGTCCCTATCAAAAGATGCAAAGAAAGAAGAAAGTATGGCCCAGTCACAGGAGGAAATGCTATCAATAGAACTTTCCCTGATGGAGTCCAAATATTGAGTTCAACAGACAAAAACTTTAAATCAGCTACACTAAACATGTTAAAAATTAAAGAAAACCATATTGTGCGAGTTCAGGCAGGCTGGTGGGAAAAATTTTAAAGACAGTTATAAGAAAAAGATACAAACCTCTTGGAAGGCCCTGGGGTTGGGGGTTGCATAACTTCAGTAATAGATCTGGCTGAAGGTAGCCTAATCCTCTTACCTTAAGTAAACAGCTTAAAGTAGTACAAAGGAATGTAAGGGAGTTTATCTAAATAACTTGCTTACTCATGTGGTCCTAAAACTAACCTTTGATCTTTCAGGGGCAGGATGGCTCTCTCGGAGGGAGGGCAACCAGGTTAATTACCCTCTAGTTGTGTTGACTCAAAGCCTTTGTCCTTTAATGTGTGCTGAATAAATGCCGGCAGGGCAGGGCCAGCTAATCAGGGCCTCAGCTGCTACAATTCTTTCAGTCAGCGACCTGGTCCCCAGCCTGCTCTTTCACTGAATATTGATGTCTGAGTACGTTATTCATCTGTCATGCAGCTGGGGTCTGCAGGATACACCCTTGCACCGTATTTTAAAATGCAAAGGGAAAATGAGAGTGATTTCTCACTGAATAGAGAACATCATTGAGGAGATAGAACTTATCTTCAAAAAGAATAAGTTACAAATTCTGAAGCCAATATACAACTAAACAATAAAAATATACTCTTTGGCCTTAACAGCAGGTTTGAATTGGCTGAAGAAAGAATTAGTGACCTTGAAGATAGTTTAATTCAGATTAGCTGGTGTGAGGAATAGAAAGAAAAAAGAATAAAGAAAAATGAACAGGGTTTCATGAGACCTGAGAGACTCAATCATGAATACCAATATATGCACAGTGGAATTCCCAAAAAAAGAGAATATAGAAAAACAGAAACAAAGTATATTTGAAGAAACAATGGCTGAAAACTTTGTAATTTATTGTAAACATTAACCTGCACTCCAGAAACCCAGTAAATGAAAATCAAATAAACTGAAAACATGCACACATAAATGTATCATAGTTAAATTGTCAAAAGACAAAGACTCCTGAAAGCAACAAAAGAAGAGAAATCTATCAAATAGAAATGTCCTCAATAATAAAAAACAGCTGAGTTTTCCTTAGAAACCATTGAAGCCAAGAGGCAACCGAATGACATACTAATAGTATTGAATGAAAAAACACTATCAAGCAAGAATTCTATATCCAGCAAAATCCTTTTTAAAAAATAAAGAAAGGATTTCTAGCTATTGGTTCACTATGTCAGAAGCTTGGAAATAACCCCTCCATCTTAACAAGTAAAAATCTGAACAGACTGTAAACTCAGACATTATTCTTAGATCTGTCTGAGAAGTGAGGTCACAGGGCAAACTGCTGCCTCAAAACTAGACAGATAGGCAAATACAGAGAATCAACAACCTATTAGCATAGAAATCCATGAGTACAAACCTCTGTGGGAACCACTGCTGAAGTCTCACCGTGGGACAGGCTCAAGAGATAGAAACTGGAGGGGACTAAGTCATCAGGAGACCCCCTCCCAAACTTTTCTGAGTTTTACCTCCTAGAACTCTTCTAGGGTCTCACAGTGAATTTCAGAGAAAATGCTCCTTTTGTGTTTTAGACAAGAGGAGAAAAAGAAAGGAACCATTTTGACATAAGCCAAAGAATTCTGTTCTTCTTACAAAACATGCCCTCAGTAGAAACTACTTAACCAGAAACCAGAGCTTAACCTGCTGGAGTTTTATCGGAGCCTAATGTCCTGTGGGAAGGATAATATCCCATTTCAATCATCTCTAGACTTCCACATGGAGAAATGGAAATTCTCCATGTGGAAATCCAACTCCAACCCATTTTAGCCATCCTATCTCACCTATGGTGGTGAAGGGACGGAGAAACGTGTTTAAAGTTCACATCCAGAGGAACAGGCAGACTTAAAGACTAAGACTTTATCATGGGACTTTAGATTGCTTGTCCTCTTCTCAGAAATTATCATCACATTACTAAAGGCCTATTTATGACAGTACCTTTTAATCAGTACATCATGTCTAGCCATGAAGACAAAAAATGCAGGCATACCAAAATGCAAAAGTCACAAGTTATAAGAGATAGAACAAAAATCAAAACCAGACTCAGATAGGGCAGGGATGTTGGAACCATCAAACTGTGAATTTAAAACAATTGTGATCACTTCTCAAAGGGCTCTACAGGGTAAACTAGACAGTATGCAAAAAGAGATGGACAATGTACACAGAGAAATAAAAATTCTATGAAAGAAGCAATAAATTCTGAAGATCAAGAACATTAAAAGAAATAAATGCCTTTTATAGTTGACTGTACACATGTGAGGAAAGAGTCTCTGACATTGGGTATAACTCAATTGAAACTGCCAAAACCGAAGAGCAAAGAGAAAAAATAGACTGATAGAACAGAGAAGAACAAAACTGTGGAACAACTACCAAAAGTGAAATGTACTTATAATGAAATACCAGAAGGAGAGGAAAGAGAGCGAGGAACAGAAGCAATATTTAAAACATTAATAACTGAGAATTTCCACCAATTAATATCAGACAGCTAACTACAGATCCAGGAAGCTCAGAGAACACAAAGCAAGATAAGTGTAGAAATAAATAAATAAACATAAGAACACCTAAGCTAATCATATTCAAACTACATAAGGTCAATTTTTTTTAATGCTAAAAAAAGCAAGAAAGTGGACAGTGAGAAATGTCTTGCATATAGAAGAGAAAAGATAAAAAATACATCTCACATGTCTTAGAAATCATGCAATGAAGAAGAGAATGGAGTAAAATATTAAAAATGTTGAGAGACAAAATCCACTATCCTAGAATTCTCTACCCTGCAAAATTGTCCTTCAACAGTAAAGAACATATAAAGACTAAGACAAAAAACGCTACAGGAATTTGGTCCCAGTAGACATGACTTGCAAGAAAGTAAAAAGAAGTTCATTAGAACAAATATGATATAGGTCAGAAACTTGGGTCTACAGAAAGAAGGGTATTGGAGAAGAAATGAGTGGATGTAACATGCAAATTTTAATTTTCTATTCTTAATTACTCTAACATAACAATTTGTTAAAAAATAATAATAGCGACATGCATCTCCCAGGTACAGGATGTCTAAGTATGACCTGTAGTTTCACTGTTGACTTCCTGATTTTAATAAATGAACTGTTTTTATGAAAGAGAGTGTCTTGGTTCATTTAGGCTGCTATAGCAAAATATCATGGACTGCATGTCTTATAAGCAACATACATTTTGTTTCCCAAAGTTTTGAAACCTGAGAAGTTCAAGATGAAGTCACTAGTAGGTTTGGTGTCTGATGAAGGTCCACTTTATGATTCATAGATGATGCCTTCTTTTTTTTTTTTTTTTTTTTGAGACAGAGTCTACCTCTGTCACCTAGGCTGGAGTGCAGTGGCACAATCTTGGCTCCCTGCGACTGCTGCCTCCCAGGTTCAAGTGATTCTCCTACCTCAGCCTCCTGAATAGCTGGGATAACAGGTGCCCAACACCATGCCCAGCTAATTTTTGTATTTTTAGTAGCGACAAGATTTCACTGTGTTGGCCATGCTGGTCTCAAACTCCTGACCTCATGATCCACCAGCTTGGCCTCCCAAAGTGCTAGGATTATAAGCGTGAGCCAGTGTGCCTGGCGAGATGATGACTTCTTACTGTGTTCTCATATGGCAGAAGGATCAAATGAGCTCCCTACAGTTACTCTCATAAGAACACTAGTCCCATTTATGAAGCCTCCACCCTCATGACCTAATTCCCTCTTGAAAACCTCAATTCCAAATAACATGATATTGGGTATTAGGTTAAACATGTAAGAGTAAAGGGGTACAAATTTTCCAATTTACTTTCGGTTGTTTAGCGCACACACACACACACACACACACACACGCACTTTACAATATGCATTTTTAAACTATCAAAATCTACTGTCAAATCATATTATACCCCTTCATATATAATGTAAACCTTAACAGTATACATTGACTTCCCTGTTTTAACCTTTATACTCATGTTTTTATACATTTTACTTTTGCTTATCTTTTAAACTGCTCAATTCATCAACATGATCTTTGCTTTACACAATCAATTTTAATGGTATTAAAATTCAAAAGAAAATATTTAATATGTACCAGCACATTTAATATCTTGGTGATCTTTTATTTGTGAAGATCTGAGTTTCCATTATGCAGCATTTTCTCTCAGCCTGAATAATTTTCTTTCACATTTCCTGTAGAGGTCAGCTAGTGATAGTATCCCTTGATGTTTCTTTTCTGAAAAGGTTTCATATTCACTTATGAATTACATTTTTCTTGGATATAAAAATATAGGTTGATATGCATTCTTTTAAGTTCATTAAATAAGCCTCTGGTTTCTATTTATTCCAGTGATAACCATAATTTTTATAGATATTGTCCTATGTAATGCCTCTCATAACTGGCTACTTTTAAGATTTTTTTCTTTATCACTGGTTTTCAGCAATTTGATTACACTATGCCCTAATGTAGTGTTATTGTGTTTATCCTGCTTGAAATTTACTGAGCTTCTTGGATCTCTGAGTTTTCGGTTTTCAGTTTTCTTCAAATTTGGAAATACATTCAGCTTTTATTTTATTTTATATTTTATATTTCATTTTATTTTATTTTATTTTATTTTATTTTATTTTATTTTAGATGGAGTCTTGCTCTGTCTCCAGGCTGGAGTGCAGTGGCACGATGTTGGCTCACTGCAACCTCCGCCTCCCAGTTTCAAGTGATTCTCCTGCCTCAGCCTCCCAAGTAGCTGGGACTACAGGCACGCACCACCATGCCCAGCTAATTTTTTGTATTTTAGTAGAGACAGCATTTCATCATATTGGTCAGGCTGTTCTCAAACTCTTGACCTCAGATGATCCACCTGCCTTGGCCTCTCAAAGTGCTGGGATTATACATGTGAGCCAATGCGCCTGGCCCTGCCCTTATTTTTTAAACAATTATTTCATGCTTCCCTCACCCCTCATTTTACCCTGGAACTTGAGTTTCATGTACATTGAACTGATCAATGTTTTTCCACAGTCACTAGATTCCATTCACTATCCTCCATTTTTTTCTCTCTCATTCTCTCTCTGTCTAAAAAATTTCTAATTATTTCTCTGCATGTTTACTAATCTTCTCAGTAGTGTTTTATTTGGTTTTAATCCCATTTATGAGTTATTCAAAAAAATTAGGTATTTTATTTTCAGCTCTAGAAGTTATATTTACTATATTTTATATCTCTGAATTCTCATTTTGCTATATATTTTCCATTGAATCATTAAGTATATTTATAACTGTGTAAAGCACTTTGCTTTATATTTTCATTTACTTTGTCATTTCTAGTTCTCTTTCTACAGTTGATTCTTCTCCTACTTATGATTCACACATTCTTGATTCTTTTCTGTTATAGTGCTTGTTGATTGAATGCTGGGGAATGTGCTTTTTTTGTTTTTGAATACGAGTTTTATGCTGTTCCTTTAAAGCATATTGAAAGTTGTTTTTGATACTTAGGATACTTTCAAATCAGCTTGCTTTTTAGAAAGTTTGATTCTTTAAACTCTGTTAAGATGCTTCTAACATAGATTTTACTCTAGTGCTACTTAGACTTACCACTAGGAGCGATGTTCTGGGATCTTTACTGAATTCCCTGAGTGCTCCCTGACTTCTCTCTTTTATGGTTAGTTAGAATTCAAATGAATTCCAGCCTGGTATATTCTACAAATCTTTCAGCTAATAATTCTGATATCAAATCTCATCTTGAATTGTAACTCCCACAATTCCCATGTGTCATAGGAGGAAACTTATCGGAGGGAGGTGATTTAATTGTGGGGGCAGGTCTTTCCTGTGCTTGCGATAGTGAATGAGTCTCACAAGATCTGATGATTTCAAAGCGGGAGTTTCCCTGAACAAGCCCTCTCTGCCTGCTGCCATACATGTTAAGATGTAGCTTGCTCCTCCTTGCCTTCCACCATGATTGTGAGGCCTCCCTGGCCATGTGGAATTCTAAGTCCATTAAACCTCTTTCTTTTGTAAATTTCCCAGTCTCAGGTATGTCATTATCAGCAGTGTGAGAGCAGACTAATACAAATTCCTTGGTAGGTGTTTGGTTTTGTTTGGTTTTGCTTTGCCCAGGCTTGTGGAGTTTCTCTATGAATGTGCAATTTAGTATTAAGCCAGAGACTCAAAAGCCATGTAAGATTTCTACAACTTTTTGTCTGAATAGCATCTTCATCTCCAGTACTTAGTCCAACAAATTCCAATGATATTGGCTGCACTGAACACTCTTTCCTCAGCTCAGTGAAACTTCTTTTCACTACGTGTATGTTTTCTCCTTCCATTAACAGAAGTATCAAAAGTGCCTTCAGAAAAAAAAGAAAACTAAATTTATTTATTTCCCTCTGTTATTGAATAGGTTTTAATATAACTTGTTCAGTTTTCTTGTGCTTTACAATGAGAGAGGAGTATCTAGTTCTGCTTACTTCAACATAATAGCAAATAGAAGCTACTATGTTGACTAATATAAAACAAAATAATATGTACCAGTTTAGTGTATCTGGCACTCTGAGCATGGATACTGATATGGTTAGGTTTCATGTCTCCAATCAAATCTCATCTTGAATTGAAATCCCCAGGTACTGAGGGAGAGACCTGGTGGGACATGATTGGATCATGGGGGTGGTTTCCTGTGTGCTGTTCTCTTGACAGTGAGTGAGATCTCATGAAAGCTGATGATTTTATAAGGCAGTTTTCCCTGCTTTCTCTTGCACACACTCTCTCTCCTGCTGACTTGTGAAGAATATGCCTGCTTGACTTCTCCCTTTATTGTAAGTTTCCCAAGGCCTCCCCAGCCATGCAGAACTGTCAGTCAATTAAACCTTTTTCTTTTACAAATTACCCAGTCTTGGGTATTTATTTATAGCAGTGTGAGAATGAACTAATACAGTAAATTGATACTGCGGAGAGTGAGGTACTTCTATAACGATACCTAAAAATGTGGAAGCAACTTTAGAACTGGGTAACAAGCAGAGGTTGGAAGAGTTTGGAGGGCTCAGAAAAAGACAGGATGATGTGGAAAAGTTTAGAATTTCCTGGAGACTTGTTGAATGGTTTTGACCAAAATGCTGATAATGATATGGCCAATGATGCCCAGACTGAGATAGTCTCAGATGGAGATGAGGAACTTGGTGGCCACTGGAATAAAGGTGATTCTTACTATGCTTTGGCAAAGACTGGTGGCATTTTGCTCCTGTTCTAGTGATCTCTGGAACTTTGAATGTGAGAGAAATGATTTGAAATTGGAACTTATGTTTAAAAAGGAAGCAGAAGATAAAAGTTTAAAAAAATTGCAGCCTGGTGTTGTGATAGAAGAGCAAAACCAATTTTCTGGTGAGAAATTCAAGCCAGCTTCAGAAATTTGCAGAAGAAACCAGGAGCCAAATGTTAATGACCAAGACAATGGGGAAAATGTCTCTAGGTCATGTCAGAGACCTTTGTGGCAGCCCCTCTCATCACAGGCCAGGAGGCCTAGGAGGAAAAAATGGTTTCCTAGCTCGGGTCCATGACCCCCTGCTGTGTGCAGCCTTGGGATTTGGTGCCCTGCATCCCAGTGACTCCAGCAATAACTAAAAGGGGCCAAGGTATAGCTTGGGCTTTTGCTTCACAGGATGCAAGCCCCAAGGCTTGGCAGCTTCCACATGGTGTTGGGCCAGAGGGTGTGCTGAAGATAAGAACTGAAGTTTGGGAACCTCCACCTAGATGTCAGAGGACGTATGGAAATGCCTGGATGTCCAGGCCAAGGTGTGCTTCAGGGGTGGAGTCCTCATGGAGACCCTCTGCTAGGGCAATGTGGAAGGAAAATGTGGGTTTGGAGCCCCCACACAGAGTCCCCACTGGGGCACTGCCTAATGGAGCTGTGAGAAGAGGGCCACCATCCTCTAGACCCCAGAATGGTAGATCCCCTGATAGCTTGCACAGTGTGCCTGGAACAGCTGCAGATACTCAATGTCAGACGTGAATGCAGCTAGGGCTGGGGGCTGTACCCTGCAAAGCCTGTGAAGGAGCTGCCCAAGGCCATGGGAGCCCACCTCTTGCATCAGCGTGCCCTGGATGTGAGATATGGAGTCAAAAAATATTATTTTGGAGCTTTAAAGATTTAATGACAGCCCCACTGGATTTTGGACATGCTTGGGACCTGTAGCCCCCTTGTTTTGGCCAATTGTTCCCATTTGAAATGAGAACATTTATCCAATGCATGTACACCTATTGTATCTTGGAAGTAACTAACTTGCTCTTGATTTTACAGGCTCCTATGCAGGAGGAATTTTCTTTGTCTTAGGTAAAACTTTGGACTTGAACATAATGCTGAAATGAGGTACAACTTTGAGGGACTGTTGGGAAAGCATGATTGCTTTTGAAATGTGAGGACATGAGATTTGGGAGGGGGCAAGGACGGTATGATATGGTTAGGCTTTGTGTCTCCACTCAAATCTCATTTTGAATTGTAATCCCCAGGTGTTGAAGGAGAGACCTGGTGGGAGGTTATTGGATCATGAGGGTGGTTTCTCACAAGATCTGATGGTTTTAGAAGGCAGTTTTCTCTGCTCTCTCTTGCACATGCTGTCTCTCCTGCCACCTTGTGAAGAAGTCGCCTGCTTCCCCTTCCACCTTGATCATAAGTTTCCTGAAGCCTCCTCAGCCATGCAGAAGTGTGAGTAAGTTAAACCTCTTTCCTTTATAAATGACCCAGTCCAGGGAATTTCTTTATAGCAGTGTAAGAATGGACTAATACAAATACTAAGGGATTTCATATGTAAACAATGACTCTAAACATTTTCTGTAGGATGACTCAACCTTTTTTGCCTACTATTTGGCCTCTGTTTAATACTTTAAGCTCAATATACTCTGATGTGTTTGAAATAAGCTCCTTTTAAAGCATCTTCAAATTTTGGTTAATGCCACATTATTTGTGGACACAGAACATGTTTTCAAAATAGAAGTTGGTTTATATTGTTTATAAGATAACTTTTAAAATAAAAAGCATTTTGATTCTAACATAAAATAAAGTGTAGTATTCCTGGCTAGGAATAAGTTACAGAGTTTTGAAGACTGTCTGTTTTCTGGATTTCCATGGGGAATGTGCAGATTATATTAATGTTCTTGATGTTTCCCAGCTTCACGTATGTCATGACTAGCTATGAAATTCTTGGATCTATAACAATGTAACACATTTTCTTTCCCATGTTTAAATTGATTTAGAGAAGTGAGCATGTATTGAGCATTTGAGTTAAAGCATGGCAGGGAGGCTAGGTTGCTAAACTTCCAAGTTTTCAAATGCAATCTCAATCACTGTACTTCTTCTTTTTCTTCTAGCTCATTGTTCCATTTCCTGATGTGTTGAAAGTTTATGGCAGGGCACGGTGGCTCACGCCTGTAATCCCAGCACTTTGGGAGGCCAGAGTGGGCAGATCACGAGGTCAGGAGATCGAGACCATCCTGGCTAACACGGTGAAACCCCGTCTCTACTAAGAATACAAAAAAAAAAAAAAAATGAGCCAGGCATGGTGGTGGGCACCTATAGTCCCAGCTACTCCGGAGGCTGAGGCAGGAGAATGGCATGAGCCTGGGAGGCGGAGCTTGCAGTGAGCCAAGATAGTGCCACTGCACTCCAGCCTGGACCACAGAGCAACACTCCGTCTCAAAAAGAAAAAATAAATAAAAGTGTATGATCTCTGCAAGTTTCAAGCTGTTATCAAAACAATCTCTTTCCTTTTATTGCACATGAATTGTGTTGTTATATATATACCATATTTTAGGCTTTATCAAATTATCTGAAACTATATGTCCCTGAAGTTCTTGAGCTCATGTGCCTAGATGTGTTCTGCATTCTTTCATAGTGTAATGCAAAGATCAGATTACATTTCCACTTTTTAAAAATTTTACCAATGTCCATGTTAACTGGACAAAAGACTAACTGTATAACGTTAACTATATAAGAATCCTAATTACCCAAATAGCCTCTCCAAATACTAAAAATTAATGGTATATTTGTTAGGAGATATTGTAGTTGGCTAAATACTGCTCCCTGTTCACTTAATGACCACTTTAGCTTCAGAGTGTGACCTTATGTTGAAATTGGGTCGTGACAGATGTATTTAGTTAAGGATTTGGGGATAAAAATCATACTTAATTTAGATTGGGCTCTAAATCCAATGACCACTTTCCGTATAGGAGGAGAAAGAAGACAGAGTTATTCAGAAAAATCTATTTAGGTGGAGCAGAAACTGGCATTATTTTCCCCAGATCCTTTAGAAGCAGCATGGCCCTGCTGATACCTTGAATTTTAATTTCTAGCCTTTATAACCGTAATATAATAATTTCTGTCATTTTAATCCACCGAGTTGTGCTAATTTGTTATGGAAGCTGTACGAAACTAACGTGGTGTGTTTTTTAGAAATCTTGAATAATATGCCTTGTATTAATCTATGCATCTCTAAGAATCACTTACTTTTGATGAAAAAATATAAAATGAATATAAATATCCCAAAGATAGAATTGACAAACGCATTACATCGTCCATTTAAACCACATATTTTGATGCTGGTTCTGGTAAGTATCTAATATCTGGCTGATTCTGTAGCTCAAGTAGCTACAGTAAACTATAAAAATGTTAAGATTGCTAGCCAGTTAGCTTTAACTCTGTTCTTTCCTAACATGATTTATGATCAGAACTCCAAGTCCAGACAATTTCCCATGAAATCTGTATGTGTGTGCATTTTACGTGTGTGAGAGAGGCTGTTCTGTTTTTCCCAGCGTTCCAAGAATAAAGAGCTCTGTAGTTGACCCAATCAACCTTGGAAATTACTGTATCAAATACTGTGGTTAAGTTCATCTTTATATGATACTAATTGAAGAATAAGCTAGACTTTGGGACCATCTCATTATCTGCAGTGAAGTGACTACCATCGAGTAGGATTATGTTACTTAAATTAGGAACTCCACAAGCAAATAATAGGTCTTTACTCCACAAAAGGTTTCTGTGGTGGAAAATATATGATTAAAAAATGTTAAACATATTTATTTAAGAAATCTTCACAGGCCATAATATACTAGTATGTATTATGAATCTTCAGGAAGAAAAATATGCAGTATTTTTCAAGCTTATTTGTTCTTTTAACAGTTTTTATTAAATATCTATAGCAATTCCAAGTGCAAGTGCTCTGGAGAGCATCATGTGGATATAGCACTTCAATGCATGGTGGCATCATGGGCTTTTAGAGTAAGAATGACATAATAGTTACTCTTATACAATATTGTCTTACGTTTTCATAGTCCTTGCATAACTGTTTTTTTTTTTTGTTTGTTTGTTTTTTAGAATGAGTCTCACTCTGCTGCCCAGGCTGGAGTGCAGTGGCACAATCTCAGCTCAGCTCACTGCAACCTCCACCTCCCAGAATCGAGTAATTATACTGCCTCAGCCTCCCAAGGAGCTGGGATTACAGGCCTCTGCCACCACACCTGGCTAATTTTTTTTTTTTTGTATTTTTGGTAGAGACAGGGTTTCGCCATGTTTGCCAGGCTGGTTTTGAACTCCTGATCTCAAGAGATCCACCCACCTCAGCCTCCCAAAGTGTCAGGATTACAAGCATGAGCCACCACACCCAGCCAACTCTTATTCTTATATTGTACATTGTTACAGGTACTAATGTAGGCATTGTACTTTCATTAAGTCACTTAATATTTTCAATACTCTTATAGCATAGGTATTATTATTATACCTAATTAACATACTTAAGTCACATGTCCACTGTAACATAAGGGCATTACATTACAGCAGGAATTTAAAATGCAGGGCATCTGGTTACAGTCTGCAGATTTAACATACAATAAGAACTCATGGGCAAATATTGAAGCTTGATGAAGGCAAGAATAAACTAAGTAAATCAGTGTTCCTTAACTAGATTTGATCATGGATTCACTTGAAAATAGAAAGAAAGCCACAGAAGATATCTTCATAACAGTGTATACGCATATATCTAAAAACGTGTATATATGACTTTTGGGGCATTGCAAATCTCCTAAATTATCCAATGGACAACAGGGTGATAATCACTAATTTAACTACCTTTATGTGAAGTATGACTAAATTAATAGGTGCCAGATCTAGAAAAACTATTAAAGTAGATTAGTGTGTAGTGGAATCATAAGAAATTTTTGAGGTTGAGGTATGGAAAAAACAAACTATTCCATATCATTCATTGGACTGGAATCTTATCCATACTGATATTGTTGTTTGCTGGCCCACTTTAATAATTCTTAGCTCTTTTTCTGTTTATTTTCTCAAAAATATTTTGGATAGCTAATTACCCTTATTTTGAATCAAAATTGTTGGTAATCTGGTGGGACAGGACAGCCCTCTAGTTCATTTGTTTACTCTAATCTAATTAAATGTATATGGCTTATATCTGGTTTTATTTCCATTTGACTTGGGTTATTAATTTCATCTTACAGGAAAGATGTAAGTTGAAATTATGAAGTACTTTGCAAATTAAAACAGTAAAATAAAATTAAATTAAAATTAATAGGCTTTTATTTTATTATCAAATCAAGAGACATTAAAATGAGTTTTTAATTTAAATGAATATATTAGTAGACTAGAACCTGACTATGCCCCCCAAAAACACAAATATTTTCAGAATAATGACTGAACGGTGGATTACTTGAATGCAGCCATGCATAATGAAAAAGACATGAAAAGTAAAAGAAAATATGCCTGGGTTTATAATCACTTACATTCAACAAATATCCATTGAGTATATTTTGGATAGTGTAACTTGTGCTACTTACCTAAATCTTATGTAAGGGCAGAGATTACATCTTGTTCCCCATAGTATCCTTCAAGTACCCCTGTTCTAACTGTCTACCACTTATAAAGGGACTTCAAAATGGCTGATGAGAGCCACAAAGAAGAACCAAAATACCAAGTAAATACTTACAGTTCGGGTAGATCATCTAAGAGAGAATATTGGTATTCAACAGAGAAGTGACAGGAAATGTCTAAGTCAAGGAAGGAGAGGGAAGTGAGGCAGCCTGCTCGGCCAGGATTGGCTGGGAGCCTGGAAAGGGTCCCCAATGTGGGGCAGGGGTAAGTGAGTGACTCACAGCTATCCACATTCCCACCACAGACTCCTACAATCCTAGCCACCAGAGAGTCCCTTGACCCATGTGGGCTCTGAGACTAACATAGGGAACTGCATGGTCATGGTGTGACTGCATTGTTCCAGAAAGAAGTTCATGCTGGGTCCCACCCTTATCTTGAGATCTAAGCAGCTACAGCTAGGTGCCATTTTGAGAGCCCAACCCCTATCAGACTGTCCTAGGGCCCAACCACTACTACATCTCCCCATCTCTGGGGATTCATTGATTTCCTCTGCTCACAGCAAGGCATTGCTCTGGCTGTTGCCACCATGGCCAAAGTACAAGACATTGGTAGTAAACCCACTGCCTCCAGGGCCAAAGCACATTTAAAAGTGCTCTGAGAAAAGGCTACCCCACTTATAGCCACCACATCGGGCCAAAGTACATGCTCTCCAGTCACCTATACATAACTGCTGCCACTAAGATCAACTTTGCCCTTCCTGGAAGCAGGACCACAGTGTAGACACTGATACCACCATCCTCACATTGTGTTTTAGTCCTGGGCGTCATCTTTACTTACCTACCACAGTAAGTTCCTACACACACTGTTGTGTAGGAAAGGCCCACCCACCCAGGCTTCAAACACCCAAACCTGCCCCCTGGAGGATACCATCTAGGGGCCTGGAGATATCCTCACCACATTCACCATCATTAACACCTGAACATTCCTCCCTGGGGCCTGAGATCAGGCCTGCAGAGCCTGCCACTACCATAATAGCTGTCAGTCACATGCATGCACCAACTAGGGGCCTGAGTACTGGGCAGCTACCATCAACAACAACATGGATTGCTCGGGAGCCAGAGGATTGTCCCACCACTGCTATTGTCATTGCCAATCCACACCTACTGCTTTAGGGGCTTAGGGATCCAGATCACCACTGCCACTGCCAGCACCTGAGCAAGCCACATGGAAGTCCAAGAATAAGCCTGCCTGGACTCACTAACACCAGTGCCAGCATTTGTTGTCCTAGGGCCTAACTACAGGCATATTTGGTCTATTGCTGCCACCATTGCAACCCAAGGACTGGCCTGCCTGATGTCCCTGTGCCCAGCAAAACTTCACTAATACAGCCTCCACTAACAACTGTACCCTAAGCCATTGAGGAAATCACAGACATAACTGATGCTATTTCCAGCCAAATAAATCATACAGGACTACCCTACTGCACATACTAAGAAACAAAGCCAAAGTACCATGCACAACAAACACCATGGACACGTCTTTAGGAAAAAGTCCCCCAGTATAAAAGCAAATTCAAGAAATTGATAGAGTCAACTATTACATCAGGTGTACAGATATAAGGACAATGTAAGGACACAATAAACATTAGAAAGCAAGGAAATATGATACTTTTAAAGGAACACAATACTTCTCTAACAAAATATGCCAATAAAAAAGTTTATGAAATTCCAGAAAAATAGTTCAAAATAATGACATTAAAAAATGTCATTGAATTTCCAGAGGACTCAGAAAAGCTATACTAACAGTTCAGAAAAAATAATTCAGGATATGAATAATAAACTTACCAAAAAGTTAGACATTATCAAAAAGAATCAAGCAAATCATGAAATTGAAGAATTCAGTGAGGGAAATAAAAAATACATTCAAAAACTTTAACGATGGACTCGATGATGCAGAAAAAAGAATTTTAGAACTTGATAAGTTTTTTTTAAGATTATCTAGTCAGACAAAAGTTAAAAAGACTAAGAAGAAATGGAGCCTACATGACATATCGGACACCACAAAGTGATCCAATGTTGATGCATTGGTGTTCCAGAAGGCAAAGAGAAAATGAAAGGAACAGAAAACCTATTTAACAAAATAATGGCTGAAAAACACCCAAGTCTAGCAAGAGATTTAGACATTTAGATATGGAAGCTTCAAGGTCCCCAAACAAGCACAAACAAAAAGGTTTTCTCCATGGTGCATTACAGTCAAGCTGTCAAAAGTCAAAACAAAAAAGAACTCTAAAACAGTAAGAGATAAATGTCTAGTCACTTATAAGGGAACTTATATCAGACTTACAGTAGATTTTTCAGTGGAAACCTTACAGGCCAGGAAATCAGATGACATACTAAAAGTGCTGGAAGAAAAACAAAAAAACCTCCTAACCAAGAATGTTATATCCAGAAAAGCTAACTTTCATACATGAAGGAGAAATAAAGTACTTCTCATACAAATGTTAGCTGAGAGAATTCACCACCACTAGACCAGCTCAACAAGAAATGCTTACATTAGTCCTATAAGCAGAAATAAAAGGAGGATAACTACCATTATGAAAACACTTAAAAGTACAAAACACACTGGTAGACCAAAGACACCAATAAGGAAAAGAAAGGATTCAAATGTTACTAATACAGAAAATCACCATGTCACAATGATAAACAATAAGGGAAAGAAATAAACAAAACAACCGTAAATAAATGAATAAAATGACACAAATAAGCCCTCACATATCAACAATAACCTTGAATGTAACTAAATTAGACTTTCCACATAAATAATATAGACTGGCTGAATGGATTTAAAAATAACCCAACTATATGCTGCTATAAGAAACTCATCTCACCTGTAAATACACATATACATTAAAAATTAAAGGATAGCAAAAGATATTCCATAAAAAGAGAAACTAAAAATCCACAGGAGCAGCTATACTTCTAATAGATATAACAGACTTTACTTCTAAAACACTAAAAAGAGACAAAGAAAGTCATTCCATAATAACAGGTATCATTCCAATAAGGGTATATAACAATTCTCAATTTTATATATATATATATATATATATATATACACCCAACACCAGAGTGCCTATATACATAATGCAAATATTAGATTTAAAAAGAGTGGGTTGAGGCCAGGTGTGGTGGCTCACACCTGTAATTCCAGCACTTTGGGAGGCCGAGGTGGATGGAACACGAGGTCAGGAGGTTGAGACCATCCTGGCCAACATGGTGAAACCCCGTCTCTACTAAAAATACAAAAATTATCTGGGTGTGGTGGCACACGCCTGTAATCCCAGCTACTCAGGAGGCTGAGGCAGGAGAATCGCTTGAACCCGGGAGGTGGAGGTTGCAGTGAGCCGAGATCACGCCACTGTACTCCAGCCTGGTGACAGAGGGAGACTCTGTCTGAAACAAACAAACAAACAAAAAAAAAAAAAAAAGAGTGGGTTGAGTGTCGGGGCTCACACCTGTAATCCTAGCACTTTGGGAGGCTGAAGCAGGTAAATCCCTTTAGCCTAGGAGTTCAAGACCAGCCTGGGCAACATGGTGAAACCCTGTCTCTACAAAATACATAAAAATTAGCTGGGCATGGTGGTGCAGACCTGCAGTTCCAGCTACTCAGTAGGCTGCAGCAGGAGGACAAAGCAAGTACCAGCCTGGTACTGACAGAGTGAAACACTCTGTCAAACAAACAAACAAACAAACAAAAATTTAAAGGGAGAGATAGACTCCAATGACTCCAATGTCATGATAGTTTGGGACTTCAAAACCCCACTGCCAGAATTAGACAGGTCATCTAGACAGAAAATTAACAAATAAACATTGGATTTAACCAAACTTTAGACCAAATGAACATAAAGGACATTTACAGAATATTCCCTCCAATCTCCAGGACTGATCATTTATTAGGTGAAAAACAAGTTTCAACAAAGCTTTAAAAATTGATATCATGTTAATTATATTCACAGACCAGAAGATAATAAAACCAGAATCAATAACAGGAGAAACTTTGGAAGCACAATTACATAGAAATTAAACAGCATGCTCCGGAATGACCATTGGGTCAAGAAATAAATTCAGAAGAAAATTAAAAAAAAAAATCCATGAAATAAATGAAAATTAAAACTCATACCAAGTTAGGATGCAGCAAAATCAGTACTAAGAAGAAACTTTATAGTAATAAACACCTACATCAAAAAAGTAAAAAGATTTGAAATAAACAATATAATGATGCATACTAATAATGAGTAATGAGATTGAATTTGTAATAATAATGAAAAAACCTCCCAACAACGAAAAGTTCAGGACCCAATGCCTTTACCACTGAATTCTGCTACACTTACAAGGAAGAACTAATGCTGATACTCTTCAAACTATTCCAAAACACAGAAGAGGAGGGAATACTCCCAAACTCATATTATGAGGCAATAATTACTACAAGACTATATTAAACTAAAAAGTTTCTGCATAGCAATGGAAACAACAGATTGAACAGACAATCTGATGAATGAGAGACAATATTTGCAAACAATTCATTAAGCAGGGGACTAATATCTGGAATATACAAGGAACTCAACAGGAAAAAATCAAATACTCTCATCAAAAAGGGGACACAGGGCATGAATAAACATTTCTCCAAAGGAGACATACAAATGGTCAACAGGTATATGAGAAAAATGCTCGACATCACTAATGATCAGTGAAATGCAAGTAAAAATCACAATGAGACATCATCTTATCCTAGTTAGAATAATTATTATTAAGAAGACAAAAAACAACAGATGTTGGTGAGGATGTAGAGAAAAAGGAACTATTATACATTTTTGGAGGGAATGTAAATTAGTATAGCACCATGGAAAACATAATGGTGATTTCTCAAAAAGTCATAGATAGAACTACCATACTATCCAGCAATCCCACTACTGGGTATGTATCCAAAGGCAGAGAAATTAATGTATCAAAGGCATACTTGCACTGCCATATTTATTGTAACATTATTCACAATAGCAAAGGCATGGAATCAATCCGAGTGCCCATCAACAGATGAATGAATAAAGAAAACTTGGCATATATACACAATAGAATACTGTTCAGCCATTAAAAAGGAATGACATCATGTCTTTTGGGCAGCATGGACGGAACTGGAAATCATTATGTTAAGCAAACTAAACCAGGCACAGAAAGACAAATATTATGTTTTCTCACTTATATGTGGGAGCTAAAAAAGTTGAATTGATGAAGTAGGGAGTACAGTGATAGATATCAAAGGGCCTGTGAGGTGAAGGAGTATAAAGAGGGTTTGGCTATGTGGGAATTCAAGATGAGATTTGGGTGGGGACATAGCCAAACCATATCACAAAGATAGAAGGAATAAGTTCTAATGTGTGATAACAGAGTAGGCTGACTATATTTAACAACAATATATTGTTTATTTCAATATAGTTGGAAGAAAGACTTAAAATGTTTCCAACACATAGAAATGTTAAATACTCCAGGTTATGGAAACCCCAAATATCCTGACTTGATCATTACACATACTATGTATGTAACAAAATATTACATGTGCTCCATAAATATGTATGAACACTGTGTATCAATAATAAATAAATGAATGCATAAATTTGAGAGTTTGCTTTTTCAGTGCAAAAAAGAAATAGTTTACCATGTATGGTTTGTATGACAAGGTGCAAATGACTTAATTTCTTTCTTTATGTAAATAGAAACAATAATTATACAATAATTATCACATAATGACTTGCTAATTTAAATAATATGGCAACATACAGACAGCAGTTTATCAGGGTCTAGCACAATGTCTTTGGCTCATAAATATCTGTTGAATGATTGTGTAAATGAAGAAATAAAGAATTAATGTTCTGGGAGTTAAAACATGTCAAATATATCATGGCATATACCAGTGCCCAGTGCACAGTCATTGCTGAAAATATATTTCTTCTTTTTCCTCTATAATTTCACAATGACTAGGAAATCTCAAGTTAACAATAGGATTTCATGGGCATGACAGTTAGTAAACTCGAGAATAATTAATAACACTGGGTAAAAAAGGTATTTTTCTGAATGTCTCTTAGAGCTTGCTTTACTCTTGTGTGCAGTATTCTCACATTATACATTTATTTGTAAAGAAACAGTGATTTATCAAGTTATTTCTCTATAAAGAACTTTGCTTCGAGTGCTATGAAAGCTTACAGTACAGGGAAAGCCAAGTTCCTCTCAAAAAGAATACTATTTTACTAGAGACAAAAGAAGCTTAGTCCTTGAAAATACTATCAAAGGAAAAATATAAACCAATATGACTTTTTAGTGTCAAAATCCATGCCACAAGAAAGGACATGTCTGGAGCCAGGTGGACTTAGTTGGGAGGAGATTACTGGAGATGGAATTGCTTTTCATCCATTAAATGTGATATTTATTTGTTTAGCAACTGGCACACCACAAGGTGTTCTACATATGATATTTTACATATGATACATCATAATATACATGATATATTTTAGGTGATACATCGTAATCATCCAAAGTCTATCATTTAAGTTAGCATTAACTCTTGAGTGTTGAACATTCTACGGATTTGTACAAATGTATAATGACATTTATTCACTATTATAGTTCTCTTTCAGAGTATTTTCACTGACCTAAAAATCCCCTTTTCTCCAACTATTCATCCTTACCTCCCACTTCCAACTTGTATTTCACTGTTATTTCAATTTGCATTTTCCTTATCAAATATGATGTGGAGCATGTATTCATGTGGTTCTTTGCCATTTGTTTACGTTATTTGGTGAGATGTTTGTTAAGGTCTTTGGCATATTTTTTTTTTTTTTTTTTTTTGAAACGGAGTCTCACTGTGTCGCCAGGCTGGAGTGCAGTGGCACAATCTCCGCTCACTGCAACCTCCGCCTCCCGGGTTCAAGCAATTCTCCTGCCTCAGCCTCCCGAGTAGCTGGGACTACAGGCGCCTGCTACCACACCCGGCTAATTTTTTGTATTTTTGGTAGAGACGGGGTTTCATCGTGTTAGCCAGGATGATCTCGATCTCCTGGCCTCGTGATCCACCCGCCCCAGCCTCCCAAAGTGCTGGGATTACACTATGATTCATTTTAAGATACTTTTTGTGAAATATGTAAGGTCTCTGCTTGGATCCTTTTTCTTCCCCCTGTGGATGTCCAGTGGTGCTAGCACCACTTCTTGGAAAGACAATCTTGGCTTCATTGTATTTCCTTTGATACTTTGTAAAAGACAAATTGACTACACAATTGATCCTTGAAGAACACAGAGGTTAGGGTCACTGTATTAGTCCATTCTCACACTGCTCTAAGAACATATCCAAGACCATGTAATAAAGGAAAGAGGTTTAATTGGCTCACAATTCCATATGGCTGGGGAGGTCTCAGGAAACTTATAATAGGGATGAAAGGGGAAGAAAACACATACTTCTTTACAGGGAAGCAGGAGAGAGAAGTGCTGAGCAAAGGGGGAAAAGACCATTATAAAACCGTTAGATCTCATGAGAACACACCATCACGAGAACACATGAAGGCAATTGCCTCCATGATTCAATTCCTTCCACTGGATCCCTCCCATGACATACGGGCATTATAGGAACTAAATTCAAGGTAAGACTTGGGTGGGGACATGGCCAAACCATATCATTCCATCCCTGGTCCCACCTAAATCTCATGTCCTCCCATTTCAAACACAATCATGGCCTTTCAACAGTCTCCCAAAATCTTAACTCATTCCAGCATCAACACAAAATTCCATATCCAAAGTTGCAACTGAGACAAGCAAGTCGCTTCTGCCTATGAGCATGTAAAATCAAAAGCATGTTAGTAAATACGTAGATACAGTGGGGTTACAGGCATTGGGTAAATACACCTGATCCAAAAGGGAGAAATTGGCCACAACAAAGGGCCTGCAGGTGCCATGCAAGTCTGAAATCCAAGAAGGCAGTCATTAAGCCGTAACATGCCAAAATGATTTCCTTTGACTCCATGTCTCACATCCAGGGCACATTGATGCAAGAGGTGGGCTCCCATGGCCTTGGGCATCTCTGCCCTTGTGGCTTTGCAGGGTACAGCCCCCCTCCCGCCTGCTTTCTTGAGCCGATGTTGAGTGTCTGTGGCTTTTCCAGGTGCATAATGCAAACTGTCGGTGGATCTACTACCATTGTGGGGTCTGGAAGACAGTGGCCCTCTTCTCACTGCTCCACTAGGCTGTGCCCTATTAGGGACTCTGTGTGGTGGCTCCAACGCCACATTTCCCTTCCACTCTGCCCTAGCAGAGGTTTTTCATGAGGGCCCTGCTGCTGCAGCAAACTTCTGCCTAGTCATTCAGGCATTTTCATACACCCCCTGAAATCCCAAACCTCAATTATTGACTTCCGTGTACCTGCAGGCCCAACACCATGTGCACACTGCCCATGCTTGGGGATTGCAACCTCTGAAGTAATGGCCTAAGCTGTAAATTGGTCCCTTTTAGCCACCGTTGGAGCCGAAGCACCTGGGATTTAGGGCACCATGTCACATGGCTGCACAGAGCAGGGGGACCCTGGGCTTGGCCCATGAAATAATTTTTCCCTCCTAGGCCTCTGGGCCTGTGATGGAAGGGGCTGCTACAAAAGTCTCTGACATGCCATAGAGACATTTTCCCCATTGTCTTGGTGATTAACATTCAGCTCCTCATTACTTATGCAAATTTGTGTAGCCAGCTTCAATTTCTCTCCGAAATGGGGTTTTCTTTTCCAACACATCATTAGGTTTCAAAGTTTCCAGACTTTTATAGTCTACTTTCTCTAAGGCTTTCCCTGTAGACATTTCTTCTGCCAGATACCTTAAATCATCTCTCCCAAGTTCAAAGTTCCACAGATCTCTAGGGTAGTGGCAAAATGCCACCAGTCTCTTTGCATAGCAAGAGTGACCTTTACTCCAGTTCCCAACAAGTTCCTTATCTCCATCTGAGACCCCTTAGCCTGGACCTCAGTGTCCATATTACTCTGATCATTTCCGTCAAAGCTACTCAAGAAGACTCTAGGAAGTTCCAAAGTTTCCCACATCTTCCTGTCTTCTGAGCCCTCCAAGTCTCTAGAAAGTTCCAAATTTTCCCACATTTTCTTATCTTCTTCTGAGCCTTCCAAAATGTTCCGACCTCAACCTGTTACCCAGTTCCAAAGTCACATGCACATTTTCGGGTATCTTTATAGCAGCACCCCATTCCTGGTATGAATTTACTGCATCAGTTTATTCTCATGTTGCTATAAGGCAAACCCAAGACTGAGTAATTTATAAAGAAAAGATGTTGGCCTGGCACAGTGGCTCATGCCTCTAATCTGAGCACTTTGGGAGGCTGAGGCGGGCGGATCACGAGGTCAGGAGATTGAGAGCATCCTGGCTAACATGGTGAAACCCCGTCTCTACTAAAAATACAAAAATAAAATTAGCCAGCCTTGGTGGCGGGTATCTGTAGTCCCAGCTACTCAGGAGACTGAGATGGGAAAATGGTGTAAACCCAGTAGGTGGAGCTTGCAGTGAGCCAAGATGGTGCCACTGCACTGCATCCTGGGTGACAGAGCAAGACTCTGTCTCAAAAAAAAAAAAAAAAAAAAAAAAAAAAAACAGAAAAGAAAGATGTTTAATTGACTCACAGTTCTGCATAGCTGGGGAGGTCTCCAGAAACTTACAATCGTGGTGGAAGGGGAAGTAAACATGTTCTTCTTCACAGGGCAGCAGGAAAGAGAAGTGTCAGTCAAAGAAGAAAAAATCCCTTATAAAACCATCAGATCTCGAAAGAACTCATTATCATGAGAATAACATGAGGGTAACTGCCCTTATGTTTCAATTACCTCTCACTGGGTCCTTCTCATGACAGTTGCTAACCTCCATGGAATGAAAAATCCACTTGTAACTTTTGACTCCTCAAAACCTAACTACTAATGGCTTACTGTTGAACAGAAGCCTGACTGACAACATAAACAGTTGATTAACACATATTTTGTATGTTATATGCATTCATATTACAATATTACAATAAAGTAGGCTAGAGAAAAGTAAATTATAAGAAAATCGTAAGAAAAAGAAAATATATTTATTTTTCATTAAGTTAAAGTGGATCATCATAAAGGTTTTCATTCTCATCTTCTTCACATTGAGATGGCTGAGATGGAGGAGGAAGAGGAGGGTTTGGTTTTGCTCTCTCAGGGGTGGCAGAGGCAGAAAAAGTTCATATATAAGCAGATCCATACAATTCAAACCCATGGTGTTCAGTGGTCAACTGTATGTGTGTGGGCATATTTCTGGGCTCTGTATTGTTCCATTGATCTATTAATCTTTTCTTTTATCAATACCAGACTGTCTTGATTACTGTTTTTATTTTTATCTTTGTGTTTGTAAGATGGTTAACAGCATCAACTGAGAGTAAGTGTTCTCAGTAGAGAAAAAGAGAGAGGAGAGAGAGAGAGAGAGAGATTGTTTCCAAAACCATCCAATAAAAGTTTTCAGTCTTCCACTGTTAACTCACTTCTGAATAAATTTTTATGGCAAAGCACATAAAGGAGGATGATAGTTCAAGATATCAGGACTAATCACTGGAAAAGTGGATGAGGAAGACTTTTAATTTTAACTGACACATCAGGAATCTAAAGAAATCTAGATCTATATTAACAGTTGTAGAAATGATAAATTTAATCATATGCCTTGGAAAGGAAATGAAATGAAGGAAATGATAGATGTACTAAGCTAATTAAAAACAGAATACCGTTGAATTTTCTAAGACCGAAATTTTGAAAAAAAACAATGGAAAAGTAGAGGTACTAAACACATTATTTAATTCACTCCCTTCTGAGACAATAATATGTCCTCTGGGTTACATATGTGTCTCAATAAGATGTTTGACATAATTTGGTTCTGTGTTCCCACTCAAATCTCATCTCGAATTGTAATCCCCGTGTGTCAAAGGAGGCAGCTGGTGGGAGGTGATTGCATCAAGGGGGCAGATTTCCCCCATGATGTTCTCATGATAGTGAGTTTTCATGAGATCTCGTTGTTTGATAAATATCTGGTGCTTCCCCCTTCTCACTCTCTCTCTCCTGACACCATGTAAAATGTGCCTTGCTTCCCCTTCACTTTCTACCATAAGTGAAAGTTTCCTGAGGCCTCCCCAGCCATGGGGAACTGTGAATCAATTAAACCTCTTTCCTTTATAAATTACCCAGTCTCAGATAGTATCTTTATAGCAGTGTGAGAACAGAGTGATAGTGTCTCAGTTCGAGTACAGATGAGCTGGATGTCATAATAATATAAATTCTGACATACTGTCTGTGCTTGAGTTCTGACAACGCCAATTCCTAGTTGCATTATTTTGGACAGAAAATGATTTATGTCCCACTCTGTTTCCTCATCTGTAAAATGCTAACAACAATGGTAACTGCTTTGCACTGTTTCTGTAAACATGATCAAATAATGTATACAATGTATATAATGCTCAGTAAAATGCCTGACATTTGTAAACTCAATTTATGCTAGCTAATAATTTGGTTGAGATCAATCAAGCATTAGACTTATGAAGATTTATACATTTGTTCTGCAAAGCCATCTATCTGCTTGTTATTTCTATCTAATATTCTGCGTAAATTACTTCCAGTCAATGTCATTGTTTCTATCTGTGAAGAATTAAAAGAGTGATAGGAACAAGGATAAACAACAAGTTGTTTTGGCATTCTTACAAACGGGCTTTCATTTTTGATTTGCTTTCCTGTTCCAGGAATTTGTTTATTTGCAAAAGACAAAAATAAAAGCTACTAAGGGCTTCATGCCATGCAATCAGAGGAAAACTTGGCATGGCTTTGAAACTTTGTGATCAAAGCACTTGGGAAAACATGTTAGGGGTACCCAAGAATATTTGGTTTTGTGATGGGTTACATGTGACGTTAAAGAGCTTTAATTTAGAGGCACAAATTGGCATAGACTAGAGAAAAATATAACATATTCAAAGGTACCTGATTGCTCTTAGTTGTCGTTACATGAGGTTATTACCACCACTGACCTTCAATCATAATCAGCTTCACATATATAGTAAAGAGTTGGACAATTAAGAATCCTCATGGTAAGAGAGAACTTTTGGAGTCACAAATCCTTGAGTCTTCTCCATTTCTGCCACCTGCTTGGTGGCCACCATCTTGGACAAGCTGGTTAACATCTATAAGAATTGATTTCCTCATCTGATATATTTGTATAATAACATTGATCTCAGGGCTTTTGAAAGCATTAAATATATATAAAGCCCAGCATGGTGGCTCACACCTACAGTCCTACCTACTGGGAGTATGTGATTATGGAGTATCCATTGTGTGACGTAAAAGTATGTGTGTCTTATAGTAAAGTGCTCCATAATCACATACTTTATTTTTCATGTGTTCATATGTTCATATATATCACTTGTTATAAAACACATCTTAAGTCCATTATGAAGCTTATATCTACCTTAAACAATGCATGCTTGTATATAATAATTTTTAAAAAGAAAAAAATATAAATAATAGAAAGGCTGGAACAACAAATGAATACAGGAATGATGCTAATATAAAAATACAAACCCTAAATTTTCTTTATATATTTTGAGGGTAAGCTAGTTTCAGATTTTTCTCTAAGGTTTTGTAGGAAGAGAAAAATTGGTCACACTAACGCCATTTTAAAATATGCCCCCATCTGTAAGAGGCAGAGCCACCTGAGGTGAAAAGGTAAACGGCTTGTGTAAGATTTGGCTGAAAGTCCAGAAATTAACTCAAGTCCTGGAACATGTCCTGGGACACTCCCCCGGAACGATTGTTCAAGTCCTGGAGTACGTTTCGGAACGCTGCTCCCGGAACACCGCTCCTGGAGCGATTGTTTCAATGTTGCTTGCTCGGAATGGCCCTCCTGAGCAAACAACAGACGGTGCTCAAAGTAACAACTGGACTTAATAAAAGGAGCTTACACGAAGGAGGAGCTGAAGGCTGCTGTGGTCGTGTGCTGGGGGCTGCCCCAGCTCCAGCTGCAGGACCCCGGCCGTCTGCCTTCCGACTCCGGTGATGATTCTTCCTGCGGTCTGGTGAGCTTTGGTTACATGTTGTCTTCTATTGTTAGTTCTTTTATACCTACTTAAGACCTGCTTTTGCTGTGATATTTGCTCACTTTTTTTTTCTTTTTTTTTTCGAGATGGAGTCTCACTCTGTCACCCAGGCTGGAGGGCAGTGGTGCAATCTCGGCTCACTGCAGTCTCCGCCTCCAGGTTCCAGCAATTCTCCTGTCTCAGCTTCCCAAGTAGCTGGGATTACAGGCATGCGCCACCACACCCGGCTAATTTTTGTATTTTTAGTAGAGTGAACTATGTTGACCAGTCTGGTCTCGAACTCCCGACCCTAAGGTGATCCGCCCCCCGGGGCCTCCCAAAGTGCTGAGATTATAGGCGTGAGCCACCGCGCCTGGCCTTGCTTAACGACTGCAGGCTCCCGGGCATCTCCCTTCAGACTCCCGTGATAGGGCTTCCTGTGGTATTATGAGCTTCCGGTTACATTTTACTGAGCTTTGGTTACATTTTGTTTTCTCTTGTTATAAGGCTAATTTTCTATTGCTATTTGCTTAAAGTAATAAAGTTTTAGTTTACCCCTCCCTCCCACTTGAGTGTTCGGCTGTCCTTCTGACACCATCTTGAAACAGGTTTATTCAAAGATAAAAAAGGCAGTACGAACTCTGCAATAATTCACAGAGCCCATTACATAATGTAAAACAACCAGTCAGTGAAAGCAAAACTCTTCATTCGTTACTGAGACTCCTACTTGTGAAGCTGCTGGGGAGGTGACGGGAGGACAACTGGCTGCACCCCTCAAACACTGCTCTGGCAGCCCAGTCCCCACAGCTCCGTTTCTGAGCCCTGGCGTCCACTACTGTCTGGCCTATGGGCAGTACGCTCCTCAGTTTGGTTTCCCTCTCTTCTGCCCACACCTTGGTAATTAGACCTGCATTAATTAGCTTCCACTGTGTTATGCCGAGATAAAAACTACCCCCACATTTTAGTGTCTTTTAACAATAGTTTTTCACTTACATTGTGTGGAAATCACCGGAGGTTGGTGGCAGCTCTGCTCCACCTGTCTCATCTTGAAGAGGATGAGTCCAGACTGAAGATGCAGCCCGTATGTGGAATATGCCACTTCTGAGGCAGACAGGAAGAACCTGAGAGCTGCCAGAAACAAGCAGCCCTCTTAAAGCTTTCATTCGCACTTTGGGAGGCCGAGGCGGGCGGGTCACGAGGTCAGGACATCAAGACCATCCTGGCTAACATGGTGAAACCCCGTCTCTACTAACAATACAAAAAAACAAAAACAAACAAAAAAAAATTAGCCGGGCATGATGGCAGGCGCCTGTGGTCCCGCGTACTCGGGAGGCTGAGGCAGGAGAATGGCGTGAACCCGGGAGGCGGAGCTTGCAGTGAGCCGAGATCGCGCCACTGCACTCCAGCCTGGGACACAGAGCGAGACTCCGTCTGGAAAAAAAAAAAAAAAAAAAAAAGCTTTCATTCAGCTCTGACATCTCCTGTCCCATGTCATGAGTGTGTCAGGGTGTAGTGCAAGCTGCCAAACGTGCTTCTCCCAAAAGAAGGCCTCTTGAGGGACAGAACTCTGGGTTGTGGTTGGAGGGTGTGTATCGGTGAGAGGATGGTGGATGTGTAATTCCCTTACAGGAAAGGGGACTGCTGCTCACCGGGAATGGTAATATAATCTGCAGCCTTTTAAAACTTTGCTCAACTTTCTTAATCAGAATCACTTGTCTCCTAGCATTCTGACCTTTACATTGTTTAGGGGAGAAAGAAAACAGATACTCCAGTTGAGGAGGGATGATATTCAGTGACAAAACCTTGGCAATAAAAATATTGACAAAATGAACATTCATACAATTTTTAAAATGTAAACAAAATGTTTCAAAAATATGTATTATTGTTTGCTATATTCCCTCTTTAAACTATCATGACTTCTTAAATTATCTTACCAGTACCTACCTATTTACTGCACGCTTTACAGAAGAGGAGTCTTTCTAAGGCTGTGTATACATTTGCCACAGAACCAAATGGGTTTGTTTACTGTTAGTTTTATATATTCCTCTAGGTCATTAATTTTATACAAGATTCAAGAGTATTTATTTGTGTTGGTAAACCGTAATCCATAATTCTCATTTATTTATTTATTGTAGAGACAGAATCTCATTACGTTGCCCAGGCTGGTCTCAGACACCTGGGCTCAGGCAGTCCTCCTGCCTAGGCTTCCCAAAGTGCTGGATTAGACATGAGCCACTGCACCTGGCCCATAATCCATCAATCATTGCACCAATCTACTATACCAGCCCTTTTGGTTATTTCTATTTTTTTTTTACTATTGTAATTTCACTATGCATTTGTCAAATTATTTTCCTTTTTTTTAAAGTCACATCAAGATTTCAAATCTTATCTCTTTTAAATCTCTTGCTAGTTAGCATTAATGGCCATCCAGAAAAAATACCAATTTTTATTTTCTTTAGGGGTCTCTTTCCTTTACATCTTTCATTATATTCCTTTAAAATTATTAATTTTTAAAAAACTTAAAAAAATTTGTGGGTACATAGTAGGTGTATATATTTATGGGTTACCTGAGATATTTTGATACAGGCATGCAATGTGAAATTTGATCTTTGCTAATCTTAAGGTGAATGATCATACTTCTGGCAACTGGTGAATTCAGTGGTGTATAGATATGCTTGATACATGTTTTTTTGTATAAATACATATATACATGCATATATATAACATGTATACGTACATGTATTATACATATATACATGTATATATATGCAAGTATTTTTTATATATCCACATGTTTTAGTTTCAAATAAATATGCTTGCTTTATAATTTTTCTAATATTAATGTATTTTATACAGAATTTAAAAACAAAGTTATTTGATATGATTCTAAAGATCAAAGTTGTATAAATAATCTTTCATAGTTTTGGTACATTATTAAATTTCAAAAAATAAAAATATAATGAATCCAGAATTAATTTTTAAATATGGTATGATTTAGGCACCTAATATTTTTTAAATAAACAGTCACATTTCCATATATCATTTATAAAATAACATTTTTAACTTTTATTAATTTGACTACCACCTTTATTATATAATTTAGTTTTTACACATTAGTGTTTTCTTATATACCCCATTAAGTGCCTATTTCTCTGCTACTACAACATAATTTAAATTTTTGTCACTTTATACCCTGTTTCTGTAACAGGCCGATCTCTCCTTTTTCTCTCTTTTTAAGTTAAAATTTTTTTTTCCATATACGTAAGTCCATATGAACTTAATTTAAAAACAATGTAAAACAAAATGTTTTTTAATTTTGTTAAATATATACATTATTTTGAAAAAATGCCACTTTTAGTATATTGTCTTCCTGTGCAAGAACATTATCTCTCCATTTACTTTTCTAATATTTATATTGATTAAAGTGTTGTATTTCTCATATTTCTCAAAATTAAAAACATTTCTTGGTTTTTAATTTTTGCCCATTTTCATTATATATCAGATATTTTCAACATAATGTTAGAAAATTATCAATTTAAAACAATAAAATATATTATTGAAAATTTTCTGAATTCTGCCATTGTTTTACAGATATTACTCTTAGTCAAAAATTTTATCCACTGCAGAAAATTATGATTTGAACTCCTCCATTCTGATCAATGATGCTATTGTTGCCTTTGCAATAGCAATGCCAACTCACTTCAGTTACAGTGGTGATTGTAGTATTCTTTCTATTCTTTTATTGTATTTAATTAATATCCTAGTGATTTACCATTAAGTATCATTCTGATCCTTAATTTAAGATTTTTTTTCTTTAATAATATGAAGGAACTATATGTCTTTATTGGACCGTAAGTTTATTTTATTAAAAAGTAATTTTATTAAAGCATTTGAATTTATCAAAACTATTACATATTCATTTTATTTTCCTTCTACATAGAACATGATTCACACTTTTGAATATTAATTTGCAAGTTCAATTCAAAATAGTGTTCTTCCATTGTATCATTTATTATCATTTCCTTTCCACTTGTTTTTTCTCTTTCTTTGCACTGGCATTTCTCTTTATCTGGGAATAAAGATCTCTTTTCCTATACTGGACAAGTCTGGAAACCAAGATAAACTAGACACATTTGAATGCAAAGATCCCATTGCTAGCAAGTAGCATTCCCATTTGACATTTGGCTTGAAGTCTGGTAAAGAGGACGGGTAGGATAAATATGTAGTGAGAAAAAATAATCATATTTTTACCCCTACATCATTACTTGTGCCCATATTGCAGATATTATATAGAGAACAAATGTTTGTTCTTCCATAGCATGTTAATTCCTAAGAGAGTTGGAAACCAAATGAATAATACACTCACTATTTATTTATTTATTTATTTATTTATTTATTTCTGAGATGAGGTCTGGCTCTGTTGCCTAGGCTCAAGTACAGTGGTGCAATCACATTTCACTGCAGTTGAGCCTCAAACTCTCAGACTCAAAGGATCTTCCTGCCTCCACCTCCCACGTAGCTGGGACTAGCGCATTTGTCTAGCACATTAAAGGTGGTTCCTTGTAGAGATAATGTACAATCATATTTTTTTTACTATTTATCTACCTCATTATGTAATCTACAAATAGAAACCATGAAAACCTGTGTATATATACTATATGTCCTTAAATGTACATATGTATGCACCACCATGCCTGGCTTATGTTTTAAAATTTTTTGTAGAGATGAGGTCTCACTGTGTTGCCCAGGTTGATTTTGAACTCCTGGGCTCAAGCAATCCTCCCACTTTGGACCCTCAAAATGCTAGGATTACAGGCATAAGCCACTCATGTTTGTAATAACAGAGTTCAATTGCCTCATCAGGAGATATTTCTGAATTTTCTTCATTCATTAGAACTAGAAGATCTGAATTCTCATGTGGTCATTTTTGTGTCATGTGCTTTCAAAACAAATGGAAGGTATTTCTACTCATTTGGAATGTGTCAATTTGGGAACAATTGTAAATATATATGTAATAGAACTACTTTATTGAGAATGAAAGGAGTGCAATTGAGCATGTGGATTGTAATTTTACCCTCAGCCTATCTCTCACAATATCACTGGAACACCCAACCCTCTTTATTGCCTTTTCCTACACCTTATTCTCTTCACTTGAAACTCTATTTTTTCCAAGAGTAAAGCTATGTTATCATCAGATTAAACAAGGCTCTGGCAGCTACTCTTCACTGTTACTCTTCACCTAGACTGCCTAGCGATTTTCTCTTTTGCTGTTGAATAGCTTCAGAATGTGGCTCTTGCTCCCTACTCTATTCACAGTTGCCACTGGTCCTCTCACTCTTCCTACCATAATTCATGGCCTGGAATGGAGGTTTCTCTTCCATCAGTGACTTGATAGAGAAAGAGAAGAGAAGAGAAATGAGCTTCTTGCTCATTCCCCAAAGGACATGCTGAAACTTCTTGTGCTTTATGGGCTTTACTTTCATGAATGTTAAGATGTTTTCTTTTTGGGCATTGTCAGAGAACAATGAAAGGATAGCTTACAATCAAAAGTCTTTTTTTAATAATAGCAAATAGGTTTTCCAGGAACATCTTAGTCATAGTGTCAGTATCTGCCATATGGAAATATTTTTATGAGTATCTGCCATACTCATCTGCTGTCTCTGAATATCTGCTATAAGTACTCCTGCCTTTCCTTTGTTTCAGAATCTTAATTTTTATATATTAGTCCCAGTTTTCTTCCAGTATTTTTTTATAGTAGGCCTAGGTTTTCATGCAGTAGAAGACACATTGGTCTACCAGGATATTCTACTATTCCCAAAGTAGACTTACTAATTAAGTTCCATGGTCTTAAAAGATATTTTACTTTGTGGTTATCTGCCTTTTCTGTTTAAGGGAACATATCTGATGTTGAAGCCATTTTTTGCCTTAGTTTAGCCTATCCTAAAGGTTACATATACATCCACTGATAAATTAGCGAGACCAACAAATATTAATGTGGGATGTAGCTGCCAGAGCCTTGTTTAATCTGGTGATAACATGGCTTTACTCTTGGAAAACATAGAGTTTAAATAACACTTTTATAGAAATGATCTCATTTTATCTTTACAAGAGGACAACAAATTGTACTTCATTTTATGGGGGAAAATCTTAGTAAGGCTGAGAGAAACTAAACCACTTGCCCATAGTTAGCCTGCCAAGAGAGTGAAACAACTAGGGTTTCCCCTCAGGATTTTTGTCCCTCATTACTAAATAATTAAATTTCCAAACTGGACTTTTGGACACAAGACATTGCCTTGAAGGGCTCATCTATTTCTTATTTGAAACTAGATATAGTTTTGAAATCAACTCATCCTTCCCCTCTCAAACTAGTTTCTTCTCTTACATTATCGATATTCTCCTAGAAATCTGGGGGCCTTTTGTCAGCCATTAACCCTTCCCCTCATGTACACATATACATACGTGTCAAGTCCTAGTGACTTTCCTCCTAAATGTTTTTTGAACTTTTCTCCTTACACAATGCCCCTACTTCCATTTCCTTAGTTCTGAATCTTGAAACTCTTCACAGGAATCACTACACTGTCTTTTCAACTGGTCCTCTTCTCTCCAAAGATTTATTGCCACCAACAGAGCATGATCAAATAGATATGACTCATTGTGTCAAAATAGATATAAGATTCACTATAAACAGATCTTTTTCTACCTAAGCAATGCATCATTTGACACTCCCTGCCTCGTAGTCTATGCTTTAGAAATCCTGATTTACCAATTACCTACATTTTCTGTGGTTCATCTTTCTCTTGTCTCTATCTTTTCTGTATACTTCTCTTTCTGTTGGAGATTTCTTTATCTTCTCCATATGCCTCATTCCTTTTTGTTCATGCATTGCCTTCATCATGCAACTTTCACTAACATCTTCAATTATTGTGCAAAGGATCCCTTCCTGGTGTTGCTATAACACCATAATACAATGTTAATACATTTATTGCTGTACTTTATTAGTTGTTAAGATTTATATTATTTCCAGTGTGTTGGTATAATGTATTTATCTCTTTATTTGATAATTAAATATTTATGTCAGATATCTTGTCTGTTTATATGCTCTCTCTCCTAATTAAACTGTAATCTTTTTAAGGGAATTATTTTCACTGACTCCTTACTTTGTCTAGCATATTAAAGGTGGTACCTTGTAAAGATAATGTACAATCACATATTTATTTACTATTTATCTCATTATGTAATCTACAAATAGAAACCATGAACATCTGTGTATATATACGTATATCCTTAAATGTACATATAAATGGACATACATGTGCACACATACATACATGGGATATATACACAAATATCCATGTGTGTCTACAACATATATGTATGTGTTCTTTTTTTCTCTCCCTCTCCAACTGAAAGGATACATGTTCTTTGAATTTAAAGTTTGGAATATAAAGACTTGAAGAAATATTTTACACAAAATTAAACATCTGATTCTAAAATCCAAACCCTACTCTAAGGAGTATGCTTGTGTGGGCCAGTAAAACTGAATGAGTTGGGCATGAGTTGGATGGGAGGATATAGATGGTTTTGCACTAGTTTCTCAGCTATTCCCTGATTAGAATAGTGTCTTGGGTTGTGTATTGAGGTCAAGTTGTTGACAAAGGTGACAATATCATCTTCCCTACAGTGTTATATAAAATATAAAACTGTTAGTGTAAGTGAATCCAAGAATGTAGAAAGGTCAAATCCTTAGAAAAACTCCTGTAATTCACAAAGTCTGTGCATTCTGAGAAGTGAATACAAAAAAAATTGCAATTTGTTTTATATATTGTACGTAATCATTACACACTATGCAAACACATTCATTAAAGGGATTTTAAAGTATAGATTAAATAAGTGATGATTCAAACATATAATATTAAGCAGAAATATTTTGTGGATTGCTAAATAAGGCGGTAAAGTATTTAATATCCTGGATAATTTTTTGTGCTTTTAGATGGGTTGAAAACACGTTTTTCACCATTTAAAATAAGGCATACAGGCTTCCACTATCAGAAATATTGCTAACACCTTGTGGGGAAATAATTTGATTGAGAAAAGCAGGAGAATACACACCCAAAGATAATAATAAATATATATATATCACATATAAATACATATATATGTATATATACATTTATATGTACATGTATATGTGTGTGTGTTTACATATCAATCATATGTAAAGCACATGAGACAAAGCCATATCACAGTCCTACTGCTTTACTACTATTTTCCTGGTTATGAGATATGATTGATTTCAGCAAAAGTCTCAATACTTATTAAGTGGACCTACCTTAGAATATTTTTTCTATTCTAATGCTATATTATTAGAACATTTTAATATATTTTAGTCTTATATTTTGATATGTATGTTTCAATTTAAAAAATTTTTTCTGTCTCTTGTACTAACAGCTTCCATTTTCTGATTAAATCACCTCTAATTTTATGTAAAGCATCTAATACACTGTCTTTGTGAAACTGAAGTCTGTGACATGGGGAAGTGGGGTTCTATGATTAAGAATGAAAGACTTGATGCCCTCTTATTGTGTTGTTTTCCTTTTTTTTTTTTTTTTTTTTTAATGAGTGGTTGGGACATGCAAGGTTTCTCTGTTTCTGCAAGGCCAGGATTCTGTATCAAATGTCACTTCCCCCAAATTAAGATTCTAACTCAATCTAAATACCAAGCACCTCATCTACTAATTAATGGCATCTGTAGATTCCAAGCCTAGAATTTCCTTTGATTTATTTCATGTTCAAACTTAAACTGTTCTTTAGGGATATAAGTATCCTTATTTCATCAGTCCTAATAAAGCTCAATTTATTCAAATCCCTTGCAAGAACTTGAGCATCTCACACTTAAAACATAGTGATTATTTCTAATCCTTGTTAAGCAAATCACTCTAACCATCATACCGTTGACATCTAGAGGAGCATATTCAGGGTTAGGGAATTCTTTTTCCCTAGCTGGAAAGTTTCACAGTGTAATGAACCTAGCTCTAGATCAGCAGTTCTCATACTCGTCATATAAGTGTAAGCAGCACAATCACCTGGAAGGCTTATTTAGACACAGATTGCTGAACCCCACCCCCAGAGTATTAGATTCAATAGGCCTCGGTTAGAGCCCAAAATTTGCATTTCTAACAACTTCCCAAGTTACCTCATGCTGCTGGAGCCAAAACTGCACTTTGAGAACTATTGCTCTAGATCAAAACCCAACACTCTTGCTTCTTACACTTAACTCTTTATTAAACATGTAACTTTAAGTTTGTGCCTTGTTCTCCCTGAGCTTCAAGTTCCTCATTAGCTCTGTAACATAGTTCAGTGCTCATAAGGGCCACACACATGCTAAGCAGCTGAGCTATGAAAGAGAGAACATACCCATGAACAATGGTCAGACCATATATAACAGTAGAACCTCTGTCCCAAAATCTCTGCAGCAACCAGCCCAGAAACCGCAACCTCTAAAGCAATTGGCCCAGAATGTCAGGACTTGGACAACAACTTACAGCTTTTCCATTATGTCCGTTTCCACCTCAGCACCAACTAGAGAAAACTGACTATGCTCCCCAAACCAACCACAATTCTAGATAACACAAATACAGTTTTCCCATGTCAAAACATCCAATTAGGGCACACCTGAAGCCTTCCCTTTGTTTTCACTATAACATTTTCCCATTTCCATGCTTGCCTTTGAATCTCTGCCAAACACAAGTGATTGCGGCTTACTCCTTTGCTATAGAAAGCTCTGAATATTTATGAATATTATGGAAAACTATTTAGCCTCTGTTTTTACACATTTGGGTGGTCTTAATTTGTTTTCACAGCTAGTACTGAACCAAAACTTCTAAGTTCAGTGGTATTTCTACTTCATCGTAGCTACCACCAGTAAAAATAATAATGTCACAGTTGCATTTTTTCCTGGTATGTTTCTCAGTTTTATAGGGGAGCCACCTTATATGTGAAACATTGTTTATTTCCTGGGGAAAATATAGATAAGTTGTTTTAAGGAGATCACGTTTTAGTGTAAAAAAAAATCTGCTTTACAACAATAGAGGTAAATGCAGAGTATCACAATTGTGCGCACAAAGAGCATATAACCCAAACATGCAGGAAGGAGGGAATCATTCAAAGCGGATTCAGTATAAAATAATCATTTATAGGATACATTTCTACAGGTGCAGGATTCTTAGGAGAGTGATGATAAACTACCCCACAAAGAAAACTCCAGGCTCAAATTGCTTCACCAGTATTTTCTGCCAAACCTTTAAAGAAGAGATTGTACTAATTGTATAAAATTCTTCTAAAAAATTGAAGAGGTGGCAATATTTTTCAACTCATTCTATGATGCCAGCATTTCTTTGATACCAAAACCAGACAAAAGTGTTAAAAAGAAAGAACGCTGTAGACATAAAACATCTCTTACGAACATACGTGGAAAAGTTCTTAATACAATATCAGAAAATTGAATCTAACAATACATAAAATAACATGAAGGACAAATGGAGTTTATATCAGGAATACAAGGTTAATTTAGCATTCACAATTCAATCAATGTAATTCCTGCTATGAACATACTTGTATTAGCCTGTTTTTGTTTTGCTACAAAGAAATACCTGAGACTGGATAATTTATGAAGAAAAGAGGTTGAACTGGCTCATGGTTCCACAGGCTGTACAGGAAGCATGATGGCTTCTGGTGAAGGGGAAGTAGGCACATCTTATATGGCCAGAGCAGGAAGAAGAGAGAGAGCGGGGAGGTACCACACGTTTAAACAACCAGATCTTGTGAGCATTCACTCACTATCACAAGGGCAGCATTGAGGGGAAAAATCTGCCCCCATAATCTAATTGCCTGCCACCAGGCCCTACCTCCACCATTGGGCATTACAATTCGACATGAGATTTGGGTGGGATATGATTGAATAATGGGGGCAGATCCAAACCATATAAATACTAAGAAAGTAAGAAAACATAGAATTATCTCCATAGACTCCATAGGCATTTTACAAATCTAACACCCGTTCCTAATAAAACTTTGTAGCAAACTAGGAACAGAATGGGCTTATTTCAGCTTGAAAAAGAGCCTATACAAAAATTCTACTTCCTTGTTAATTTACTAATTAAGTAGTTAATTAGTAATCATAACTCACTAGGATTCTTACAACCTAGTAAATAGTAAAATATTTAGTGCTTCCCACTTATATAAAGAATAAGGAAAAGAAGACCATTCTAGAACTTGCATTCATCATTGCTACATCCATGGAAAGGTATACTACTCAGTAATAAAAAGGAACAACCCACTAAAAGACACCACAAGATAAAATAATTATACTAAATGAAAGAAGTCAGAGGAGAAAAAAAGGTACATGATATGGACAAAATATTCTATTTATATAAAATTTGAGAAAATGCAAAGTAATCTGTAGTTAAAAAAAGCATATCAGTTGTTGTCTGGAGATGGGCTAGTTTGGAGGCAGGGAGTGAGGGAGGGAGAAGTTACACAGGGGCCTGAGAAAACCTAATGGGTAATTTATTTTTTCATTTCTTGATCATAGTAAAGTTTTTAACTTGTACAGATATATGTCCAAACATCAAATTGTACATTTCAAATATGTGCAGGTTATTTTATATGTATTATACCTCAATAGAGCTACTAAAAATCAATTAAAAAATGTGAAAGGGAGCCAAGAGAATCTTTTAAATTTATTTTTTAAATCTTATTTTAGAACACTAGAGCATAATTCTCCCAAATCTATGAACATTTCTTGCTACACTTGTGTAATTTTGTTCCACAGAATCATGTTTATAGCAATATTATCTGTGCTGTGGTGGAGGTATTTACAGAGAACTTTCTATAGTTACTCTGTACCTCGTACCCCTCTGACCACAAAGAGAGAATAAGAGAATGAGAGGGCAAAAATATTAAATTAAACATTTCAAATTTACAGAGTACACACACACATAAATTATGTATTCACATGCCCCATGCATCACAAATATTTGTGTGTGTGTGTGTATATATATATATATATATTTAATATGCATATATAGTTGTATGTGTATTTATATTACACACAAAAATATATTTTGGGAGTGTGGAGAACCAATAATTGGACAAAATGAGCTTATTGTTTTGTAAACTCATTATGAAGAAATGTATACTGAATATACAGGTATTACTTAGTGACTTGTGGTCTTTAATAGGTTGAAAAATGATTATTCTACTTTATTACAGAGTACATCAATGTCTATTATAAAACTCCATACAACGTTTTCCTCCTAAAACACTATCTGTCATTAAAATACACATAGTGCTGTGTAAATTCCATTAAGTAGCATGTTTTTCAACACAGAAGCCAATGAATATGATTGCATTCAAGTTTTCTCAAAGTTGTTAATAAAAGTTATATCATGCAGCTTAGACACTATAAAGACAGCAGATAAAGAAATGTGCTTCATTCCTCCCTTCTCATCATGATTCTAATAGGGCAATGAAAAGTTGTTTTAATTAAACTTCAGATTGTGCAGATAGTAGAATGTCTCATTTCCTTTTATTTCTGTGCTCCTGCAGAAACGTGCTTGTCTCGGAAAGTGTCAGATGTTCCACATTTTCCTTTTTTTTTTTTAATATGACAAAGGATGGAAGTTGAAATCTGACGATTTTTCATGGAAAGAGAAGACACAAAAAGACTTGTGTAGGAAGAAGGGTTAGGGGAAGCAAAGAGAAAATATCACATCTCTAAAAGGATGCTTTCTAAGTCAATGCCCGTTTCTGACAGATGTGGAAATAGATATCCAAGACAGGAAGTGCGTATCAAGATTGCAAAGTAAGTTAGAGGAGACTCAGGAGTAAAATCTGTTGCCTCTTGAAAGGCACCTAACTCAGGGAGGCTAGTGGAGGTTTTCTCACAACAGGACCTCCAATGTTCTATATCCACATTAATTAAATGGGGGGAAAAGCCTAGGAATCAGATTTTAACCAAAACATGTACTTGGCTGTGTAATACACTTTGCCTTTTTAAAGTGAATAGCCTATGACGGACTCAGCAAATTTGTTCCAGTTAGATAAAGTACTTTCAACTCCTCTCAACAACTGGCAATGCTTAAGTGCCAATAGGCAGGAGTTAAATCAAGGTTTCTAACCTCAGCACTATTGACAGTTAGGGCTGGATACTTTATTGTTGGCGGCTGTTCTGTGCATTGTAAGGTGTTTAACAGCATCCTTGGTCTCTTCCCGCTAGATGCCAGTAGGCCCCATTCCATTTGTGACAACCAAAATGTCTCCAACCATTGCCAAATAGACCCTTAGGAGGCAAAATGTCACCAGGTAAAAATCGTGAGGTAAACCATCTCTAGATGGTTTATTTCTGATATTGCCTATTAAGTTTAACCTGAAGAATACTTGTATTCATTCGGATATAGTTTATTTCTCATCAACTTTTATTTTGTATTTTCCTTTTTTTTTTTTTTTTAATTTCTTGAGACAAGTCTCACTCTGTCGCCCATGCAGTGGCACTATCTCGGCTCACTGTAACCTCCGCCTCCCAGGTTCAAGTGGTTCTCCTGCTTCAGACTCCCAAGTAGCTGGGATTACAGGTGTGTACTACTACACCTGGCAAATTTTTTGTATTTTCAGTAGAGACGGGGTTTCACCATGTTGGTCAGGCTGGTCTCAAACTCCTGACCTCAAATGATCCGCCCACCTCAGCCTCTCAAGGTTTGAGGATTACAGGCGTGCGCCACTGAGCCAGACCCATATTTTCCTATTTTAGATTCACAGGGTACAAGCCTGGGTATGTTACATGGATATGTTGTGTAATGCTAGGGTTTAAGCTTCTGTTTAACCCATCAATCAAACAGTGAATGTATTCCCCAATAGACAGTTTTCAGTCTCCAAACTACTTTCCGTAGTGGGAGAACCCATTCATTGTGGAGGCAAACGTAACTCCGTCTAATCTGCCATGTTGGCTTCTGATTAATGCCTAATCCAGGAAGGCCTGTAAGATTTCAGCTTATCTTTTGTTCCTTGTGTTAGAGCAGGTACTAACTGTAAGCCCCTAGGTAAAATGACCTTGACGTTATTGCACTTCAATTGTCTTACATATCTCTTCTGAACTACTCCTTCCCTATGGTATAAGAGCACTGGGTCTGGGAGATAATGGCCTGGGGATCCACCATCTTGTCTCCCTGTGACACAACACACAAACATGGCTTCTGTTCACAAGTCCCTATTTAATGTTTCTTTTGGTGAAACTGGATTTATCAGCCTCTTTTTTTGGCCTCTCCTCAGATTTTGGGGTAGGTGGGCATAGACCCGCCCACTGTGGAACATTTACGTTCCCACCAGCAGTTTAAAAGCACTCTCTTTTCACTGTAGGCTCACTAGCATATTTTTTTTAATGTTTTAATAATAGCCATTCTAGCTTTTGTGAGATGGTATCTCGTTGTGGTTTTAATTTGCATTTCTGTCATAGTGAGGTTGAGCATTTTTTCATGTTAGTTGACCACTTGTATATCTTCTTTTAAGAAGTGTCAGCTGGGCATGGTGGCTCAGGCCTGTAATTTCAGCACCTTGGGAGGCCAAGGTGGGTGGATCATCTGAGGTCAGGAGTTCAAGACCAGCCTGGTCAACATGGTGAAAACCCTGTCTCTACTAAAAATACAAAAATTATCCGGGAATGGTGGTGTGTGCCTATAGTCCCAGCTACTCGAGAGGCTGAGGCACGAGAATCCCTTGAACCCAGGAGGCCGAGGTTGCAGTGAGCCAAGATCACACCATTGAACTCTAGCCTGGGCAACAAGAGTGAAACTCCATCTCAAAAAAAAAAAAAAGTGTCTATTCATAACTTTTGCCCACTTTTTAATGAGATTATTCATATTTTCTTCCTGATTTGTTTAGCTTCCTTATAGATTCCGGATATTAGTCCTTTGTCAGATGCATAATGTGCAAATATTTTCTCCCATTCTGTAGGTTGCCTGTTTACACTGTTGATAGTTTCTTTTGCTGTGCAGAAGTCTTCAGTTTAAGTCCCATTCGTCAATTTTTATTTTTGTTACATTTGCCTTTGAGGCTTTAGTCATAAATTCTTTGCCTAGGCCAATGTCCAGAAGAGTATTTCCTAGATTTTCTTCTAGGGTGTTTATAGTTTGGGGTCTTACAGGTAAGTCTTAATCCATATTGAGTTAATTTTTGTATATGGTGAGAGATAGGGGTCCAGTTTCATTCTTCTGCATATGGATAGCCAGTTTTCCTGGCCTTATTTATTAAATAGGGTGTCCTTTCGTCATTGTTTATTTTTATCAGTTTTGTGAAAGATCATTTTGTTGTAGAAGTGTGGCTTTGTTTCTGGGCTCTCTATTCTGTTACATTGTTTTGTACCTATACCATGCTGTTTTAGTTACTATACCCTTTTAGTATAGTTTGAAATTAGGTAATGTGATGGCTCCAGCTTTGTTCTTTTTGCTTAGGATTGCTTTAGCTATTTTGGCTCTTTTTTGGCTCCATATGAATTTTAGAATTGTTTTTCCTAATTCTGTGAAAAATTACGTTAGTAATTTGATAAGGATTTTATTGCATCTCTGATTGCTTTGGGCATTATAGACATTTTAATAATACTGATTGTTCCAGTCTGTGAGCATGGGGTGTTTTTTTCATTTGTTTGTGTCTTCTATGATTTCTCTCAACCGTGTTTTATAATTCTCCTTGTAGAGATCTTTGACCTCCCTAGTTAGATGTATTCCTTGATATTTTATATATTTTGGCTATTCTAAGTGAAATTGTTTTCTTGATTTAAGTATCAGCTTGAATTTTACTGGTGTGTAGACATGCTACGGATTTTTGCATGCTGACTTTGTATCCTAATATTTTACTCAAGTTGCTTATCAGGTCTAAGAGTCTTTTCACAGAATCTTTATGATTGTCTAGGTATAGAGTCATATTGTTTGTAATCAGAGATCAGATCACTGGACAGCCTCTTTTCCTATTTGAGTGCCTTTTACTTCATTCTTTTGCCTGATTTCTCTGATTAGGATGCTCAGTACTATAAATATATGAAAGCTCAACAACTAAGTTGCTCCTGAATGAGTTTTGGGTAAGCAAAAAGAAATTAAGGGAGACATCAAAATAATATTTGAAACAAAAGAAAATAGAGACATGACATACCAGATCTTCTGGGATGCAGCAAAAGCTGTTAGGAGGAAAGTTTAAAGCACTATATTCCTACATCATGAAGATAGAAAGCTATCAAATTAACAGCTTAACATCACACACAACTATAAAAACAAGAACAGACCAAATCCAGAGCTAGCAGAAGAAAGAAATAACTAAGTTCAGAGTAGAACTAAATGAAATTGGTATCAAAAATAAATACAAAGGATCAAAAAAATGAAAAGTTGGTTTTTTGAAAGGATGAACAGGATTGATAGACAGCTAGCTTGATTGACAAAGGAAAAATAGAGTATCCAAACAAGCACAATGAGAAATGAAAAAGGTGACATTACAAATGTACCACAGATATATACAAAAGACCCTTAGAGACCACTGCTAGCATCTCTACATGCACAAACTAGAAAACCTAGAGGAAGTGGATAAATTCCTGGAAACAGCCTCCCAAAACTGAATCAGGAAGAAACTGAAATCCTGAATGAGTTACAAATTTGAGTCAGTAATAAAAAACCTACCAATGAAAAAGCCCTAGATCAAATGGATCCACAGCCCAATTCTACCAGACATACAAAGAAGAACTGGTATGGATCTTTCTGAAACTATTCCAAGAAAGTAACTCATTCTACAAACCAGTATCATCCTGATACCAAAGTCTGGCAAGGATACAGCAACAGCAAAAAGAAAACTACAGGCAATATCCGTGATGAACACAGATACGAAAATCCTCAACAAAATACTAGCAAACTGAATCCAGCAGCACATCAAAAAGATAATTCATCATAACCAAGTGGACTTCATTCCTGGGATACAAAGATGTTTCAACATATGCAGATCAATAAATGTGATTCATCATATAAACAGTATTTAAAAAGTATGATAATCTTAATAGATGCAGAAAAAGTATTTGAAAAAAATCCAACATCCTTTCATTATAAAAATCCTCAACAAACTTGGCATCGAGGACCATATCTTAAAATAACATCACACTGAATGCCCAAAAGTTGCAAAAGAATTCTCCCTAAGTATTGGAATAAGACAAGAATGTCTACACTTAACCACTCCCATTCAACACAGTATTGTAAGTCTCATCAAAGTTCAAGTGACTTGACTTTTTTTGTGGTTTGTTTTACTTTGTTTTAATCTACATATAATTGGCTTATTGAAGAATCTCAGTTTTGACTACAAGCAAAATGTTTATTTTGTCCAATTATTGTGGTGTTATGTTGATCACTCCTTTCCTGCAGAAGAATAAACCATTTAATGGAAGTTTAAGCATATTCCATGGGCTTTTGTTCAACTTTCATTTTAATGGTGGTTAATATTCATCTAGTTTTGTCCTCATATCAGATCCTAAGCTCATCTCCAGTATTCCCAATTCAGATCATCTATGGTTCTAGTTGCATGGAGGTGCAAGGTTTGGAAGCTTCATCTTGTCTCAGACACATGCTCCAGAGAGAGGAAAACATAGTTCCTTATTTGGCTGACAAAAGAGATATTCACTCCTCCTTGATTGCCATCATGTGTTTTAAAGATAATTTAACCCCTTGTGAGTGTTTTAATTTCAATGCATGGTCGCCATCTAATTCGCCTAGTTTTTGTAGGTTCCTTGAATCCTTTGGATGATTAAGCCTCATTTGTTTCTGAGCTCCAGCTCACAGTCTTGATCAACAGTGCTCTCATTTGTGTATTCTTAATCTATGGTGCCTTCTAGCAAGTCCATGGTTCACATTTTCCTCCGTGGTCTTCAATTTCAGGGCTTGAGGACATATTATTGATTCCTTGTCTCAGAACCCAGAAATTAGAAAAATGGCCCTACCCTCTCTGTTAGCCTGTCTTACATCTTACCAGGGACCTTTCTCTTGCTTATTTCTCCAATCCTCAGAAGCAGTAGGCAATCTTCCAGGACAATGACTTGGCAAATTTTAGATAGGAGATAATTACAGTCTTAACATTTGGCAACAAAGAGACACTTTGTGTACCCCTAACATAAAAAGTGAGTCTCTCCCCATTTTCTCTCTCCTCATTGTTTTGGTAGGGAATTTGGATGCCTTGCATTAGAATTCTGTTTTAAAGATCTTTAAAAGTTATGAAATTCCTGCCATTATCACTATGATTGCCATACCTCAAATGGTATTACAACTGATTATTTTTCTAATCTGTCATTCTCAGTATTTTGTAAATTTCATTGCAGTAATTGAACCTTCAGCACCAAACACAATTTCTGGAACATAGTATGTCAACAATTATTGAACAAGTGAATACCTGAATAATGTATTCTCTGTGTGTGTGTGTGTGTGTGTGTGTGTGTGTGTGTGTGATTGTATGTTTCTTATGTATATCTTGGGTTTTATTTATATTTCCAATTCTCGTATCAGTATCGCTGTGATTTTATTAATTTAGTTTTATAATAATTTAAATGGCTTATTCCCTTTTGAGGGTCTTTATTTTAATAACAATGGCATCTTAATTTTTCTTGCTGTTTAAGTTTCCAAGAGATACATAGATTTCTTTTTATCAAGTTACAAAAATAAACAAAAATAACAAAAAGCAGATGAGATTTTGAAAACTGAGTGCCTACTTTGGCCCACATATTGTGCTAAACACTGTGCATTCATTACCTTATTTAATTTTCACATGAATTTGGGGTAAATGCTATTATATTCCCATTCTACTCATGCCCACAGCTACAAAACTCATACATCACAGAGACAGAATTTGAGCCCATGCTCTTAAATAGTAAAATGTATAGTTTTAACCACTATACTGTGAATGTATTATTTATAAAATAGTCTAAGAATAAATGACCTGTTTGTAAAGTAAGTCCTTTCATCAGGTGCATTGGATTAATCTGTATTTCTTCAATTTTCATTTTTATGTTTTTATAGAATGCTATTCCTTCATATAAATGCTAGTCAATGTTAAATTTACTTCCTTTTGTTTTTGATTGCCATTGTGTATGGGATCTGTTTACTGCTATGTTTTTTTATTTTGTAATTTAGTGCTATATAGAAAAGATATTTATTTTGACATTTACATTTTGCATCATACTGTCTTAATAAACAGCACCAATTTAAAAAATACTCAAGCTGAATAGGTATTCAAGCATACTTTCTGAAAATAATAGTAATGTTAACCAATCAGTATTATTTATCCGTAATAATTTTACAGTATCAAATATATTTTTATTCTCAAACTTCTATAAAGCATAAAATAAGGAATGGTTTTACATTTCATCAAAATTTTTTGTATCTTTCTTTACCTAGAATTCATGGAAGGCATTGTTTAGATATTTTTGTATAATTGCCAAGCTTAAAATTAAACTAATATTTTTAAAGCTATTAGTCTCATATTTTCATTTTATTAAATGTTGAAAATGAATAAAAATATATATGATATAAACAAAATGAATGAACTACAATAAATACTAATGAGTCCCAACCCTTTTGCAATCACTGTTAATATTTCTGTGCATTTCCTATGCTTTAGGCACATTACTCTCCTTTTAATTATTATTTCGTATACTTATCATTGTCCCATATAAAATGTGGCATATAGTATTAATAACCATACATTTCTAATTTTACTTAACTATTTCTCTTATGGGGATATATTCTTGGTGGTGGGGAACGAAGAGAGCATTCAGAGATTAAATAAGGAATAAATATAATAATAATTAAATTGTATAGTATGTTAAAATGGGATAAATTTTATTTAATTTTATTTTTTCCCACCCCTTCAGGAGGTGATAAATTTTACAGAACAAAACTAAAGCAGGAAGAAGGGGCTAAGTAGTGCTGAAACTAGTATTGCAATTTTTAATAGGTGGCTATATTTAATAGGTGCAATTTTTAATAGGTATTGTAATTTTTAATTTGAGCACTGACTTGGAGAAAAGAAGTAAGCCCCACCCACAGGCAGAGAACTCTGAAAGCAGAGAACTCTCCTGGGAAAATATCCTATGGAAATGTACCTGGTGTGTTTGAAAAACAGCAAGGAGGACGGTGTGATTGAAACTGAGAGGGTGAGAGGAATATGCAAGGTCAGAAAGCAACGGGTCACCCAAATTACATGTGCCTTCTTGGCTATTGCAAGGCCTCTGAGGACAATCTTTTATTCATAGAGAAATGGAGAAAAACTGGAGAATTTTGAGTAAAGGTGGCAGAGAAACTCTTCTATACAAATCTTTGGCCACATATTTAATGATTTTTTTTTTTTAGACAGAGTCTCACTCTGTTGCAGTTGGAGTGCAGTAGTGTGATCTTGGCTCGCTACAGCCTCTGCCTCCCAGGTTCAAGCGATTCTCCTGCCTCAGCCTCCCGAGTAGCTGGGACTACAGGTGCGTGCCACCATGCCCAGCTAATTTTTGTATTTTTACTAGAGACAGAGTTTCACCATGTTGGTCAGGCTGGTCTCAAACTCCTGACTTCGTGATCTGCCCGCCTGGACCTCCCACAGTGCTGGGATTACAGGCATGGGCCACCACGCCTGGCCATGAATTTTTATGGAAAGGGGCTCTTGCATAATTTTAAACTAATTTTTCAGATAGATCATATAATAATGAATACCCCCAAAACAGGACAAGAAAATGCTGCGTTTTACCACACCCTCATCATTATAGTGCAGTATTTTTCAGGCTCCTGTGTCTCCTGTCTACTGAAGAAATAAACTGTACATCATAATCTAGTGCATAAATACATATGTGGATGCTCTATAGTAGGGATCTCCAAGCCCCAGGTCACTTATCGCTACCTGTCTGTGCCCTGTTAGGAAACTGGCTGCACAGGAGATGAGCAGTTAGCATTACCACCTGTACCACCTGACCTCTGCCTCCTGTCAGATTAGCAGTGGCATTAGATTCTCATACGCATGTGAACCCTGTTGTGAACTGTGCATGTGAGTGATCTAGGTTGTGGGCTGCTGATGAGAATCTAACAACTGATGATCTGTCACTGTCTCCCATCACCCCCAGATGGAACTGTCTAGTCACAGGAAAATAAATTCAGGGCTCCCACTGATTCTACCTACAGTGAGTTGTATAATTATTTTATCATATATGACAATATAATAATAGAAATAAAGTGCACAATAAATATAATGCACTTAAATCATCCAGAAACCATCCCCCTTACCCCCCAGTCCATGGAAAAATTGTCTTCCATGAAACTGGTACCTGGTGCCAAAAAAGGTTGAGGACCACTGCTCTATAGGTAACACAGATAGAGACATAGATGTAGATGTCATGAATAAGTTCTAGTTATTCTTTATGAGGAAGATGCTCTCTTATGTTTGCTATCCCATTGTTTTCTTTATCTGAAACAATCCTGTTCTTAAGCTATTGAATTAATTTCACAACACACTTTTCAGGTCACATTTGCTAGCCAATTATTTTGGATATTAGAGATTATCTTAATCCTTTGTGTAAATTCTTTGTGTATTCATGACATTAACTTTATAATATTTGCCTGTTAATGTAGTTGATATTGACTTAGAACAGTCAGATATTTTATTTGCATGAAATAAAAATTACCATTTTTTTCTGCAATACTGTTAATTATTAAAATTTTAGGGATTTAGAAGTCAGAAAAATATTCAACTTTTAAAATATCTTATGGAAGGACTATTTTATATTTAATAATTTAATCCATAGGATTACGCTTTGCCGCATACTTTGAGGTGAGGCTTTAACTTGAATTTTACTCTAAAACAAAAGGCTTATTTGTGATGTCTCTTATTTTAGATCTATTTCAAAAGTCTTTGCAATTCATTTTTTTTCCCATGGCTGATCATCTATAACCGTCAAATTAGTTCAAGTATAATAACCTTATAGAATTGTCTAATACTAATATTAATAAGCAGCTTTCTAGTGCTTCTTAATACAGTTATTTTAGAGTTTAATACATTTAAAAGTTATTAACATGGTGAATGGGTATTTAATCACAATTTAAAAAATGGAAAAAAATAGACTTTGGAGTCAAGACAAAACTGAATTTGAATCCTGGCTATTGCAATTTCTAGCTGTGGAACCCCAGGAAGGTTACTTAATGTCTGTGAGCTTTTCTTCCTTAGTCTAAAAACGAGAATGACAATTAAATTACATAATATATTCAAGATACTTAAGACAATGCATGATATAAAGGGAATGCTCAGTCAATTGCAATCATCAATTTACAATTTCGTTAAAGTTATTCTTAGATTATGTTTACATAATACATTTTTCTTACATGAAATAATTTTGCTAAGTAATCTTTTAATATTATCTACATATAAGCATGTTTACCAGCAAATGTTAAAAATGATTATTCCTTATCTGATATCTATTTACTACCTTCTTGCATTCATAAAACTTTCCCCCTAAAATGAAAATTTATAATTTTGTTTCTCATTTTAATTAAGGCATCTGTTTTATTTAACCAGCAATTAAAATTTTCACATTTGCTTTTTCATGTTAAAAAGATGGCTGTGTTTTGGTCAGTTTTTTAGGAGTTATCACTGAGGCAGGGCCTTACTTCTATGGAATTTCCATTGTGCTCTTTCTCATTAATCCTGTTGAAATCAACTTGATAATAGTTCATTTTTTTAAATTTATATCCATAAATGATATCATTTTATATTTTTCCTTTGATAGTTTCTTTGTCAGATGTAAATGAGCTTCATGAAATAAATTATGCAATATTCCATAATTCTGGAAAATAGTTTATGGAGCATCTCAATTAAACTTTTTAAACAAAAATTTAAAGTAACAGGCTGGGCGAGGTGGCTCACGCCTGTAATCCCAGCACTTTGGGAGGCTGAGGCAGGCGGATCACGAGGTCAGGAGATCGAAACCATCCTGGCTAACATGGTGAAACCCTGTCTCTACTAAAAATACAAAAAATTAGCCAGGCGTGGTGGCACTCACCTGTAGTCCCAGCTACTTGGGAAACTGAGGCAGAAGAATTGCTTGAACCAGGGAGGTGGAGGTTGCAGTGAGCTGAGATCACAACACTGCACTCCAGCCTAGGCGACAGAGCGAGACTCCATCTCAAAAATAAATAAATAAATGAATTGAAAATAACACACAAAAATTTCCTAAGTCTACAGTATTTTGGTAATTCTTTCTTGGTAAGTTTTGCATGTTTACTCTATGGTCATTGACTCACTTAGGAATTTGAATCATTTTTTTGACTCAGTTTTAGTAAGTTATGTTTTATTCTGCATGAAAGGTATTCATTCTATAAACATTTTCTAAAAGCCTATAGTTGTACATAGTATTATCCCATACAAACTTAGTCCTTAGTATCCTATTCTATATTTGTATCTCCATAGTTATAGATTTCAGTATCATTCCTTGATAATTCCCTGCCTTTTACATTTTATACAATTATTTACTTTCAAAGAACTAGGTATTTATTATTTTCCATTTCTACTCCATTTTAAAATTCTTACATTTTGCTTTTATATCATAACTATATTTATATGTGCATTCTTGTGGTTCTGCTTATCACTTTTCTAAATCTATGAACTGAAATTATTTCACTTTACTTTCTGTTTAAATACTACAAATAAAATAGCCATAAATTCTGCTTAGACAATGACCAAAGCATTATTTTCTCAAGAGTGTCTGACTAAAATTCTTACTTCCCATTTGGTTTCTGTTTTGGTAAAGAGGGTGTTGGGGTTGAATCTCCTAATGGTTAATTCTTCATACATTTCTTTTTCTTTCACTGAAAACACAAATATCTTTATAGTCTATCTTGTCATGAACAGGTAGAAGACATTTCAAGTAGAGCCTGATCTATAGACTTTGGCATAATACTATTTCAGGAATATGAAATGACTAAATACTTACTAAATTATCATTAAAATATATTAACATTACAGAAAAACAAGAGTTTGGATTAAAAATAAAGATATGATAAATACCTGTTTTAATATTAAATAGATATATGTTTATACATATAAATACAAATACGAATATATACATACAAGTATGATCTTTCAACTGAGATAATATTTCACCACAAATTTGTTGATGTATGGTCTCTATAATGAAATCAATTGAGGGTTGAATTTGTATGCCTTGGCAGTAGTGGGTCCTTGAAAAAATTATTTAATTGATGTGAGTCACAGTTTGCTGATTTTCCTTCATCAAATGGTAAAAAAAAAAAAAAAAAAAAAAAAGCCTCACATGATTAGACGAGGGAACACTTCCAAGGCCCACCACAGTGCTGGTTTCATAGTTTTTGCTTAATAAATATTGTTAAAAAGTGTCCAACACAGCATCCATTTCCATTGGACCCCACCTTTATCCTCCACCAACATGCTGCCCACTACCCAAGCTTAGTGTTCTTTTATACCTGCAATCGTTCCTGAGTGAAATATGAGATAGCTGCATGCTAAATATTTTATACTCCAACTACCCAGTGGCCTCCCTCCTTCTGCCTATTAACACCTTCCATCACAAGATTATATCCCAGGGCAGGTCTTGTATCAGATGAATCACTGCCTTCTGTAAAAGAAACCTGTTACCTTCCCTGATTGTCCAAATGGCCAAATGCTTTACGGAGGAAAAAAGCTAGAAAGTTGGAAACCAATATATTGTTATTTATTTATTTAGAGGCAGAGTCTTGCTTTGTCACCCAGGCTGGAGTGCAATGGCTTGATCTTGGCTCACTGCAACCTCTGCCTCCTGGGTTCAAGCAATTCTCCTGCCTCAGCCTCCCAAATAGCTGGGATTACAGGTGTGCGCCACCACACCTGGCTAATTTTTTGTATTTTTAGTAGAGATGGGGTTTCACTGTATTAGCCAGAATGGTCTCGATCTCCTGACCTTGTGATCTGCCTACCTCAGCCTCCCAAAGTGCTGGGATTACAGGCGTGAGCCACTGCACCCTGCCTAGACTGGAATTTAAATGTCAGCTTTGGCTTTGTGAACCTGGTCAAGTTATTTAATCTAATGTAAACTGTGTGTCCCTATTTTCGAAAGAAAGTAATCACAATCAATACCCAGTGGTGTTCTGTAAATTGGATGAGATAAAACAGGAAGAAGTTCCAGGTACAGGTCCTACCTTTGAAACACTGCCTTACCCACCTTTCCTCCCTTCCTCCCTCCCTCCCTTACTCCCTCCTCCCTCTCTCCCTCTGTCCCTCCCTTTCCTTCCTTCCTTCCTTCCTACCTTCCTTCCTTCCTTCCTTCTCTTTCCCTTCCTCCCTTTCTTCTTTCCTTTATGCCTGTCATATCCACTTTAATGTACAAAATCAGCTTTGAAAATATTTTTTTTTCTTTTTTTTAAATTATACTTTAAATTCTGCGATACATATGCAGAACATGCAGGTTTGTTGCATAGGTATACACGTGTCATGGTAGTTTGCCACACCCATTAACCCTTCATCTACATTAGGTGTTTCTCCTAATGCTATACCTGCCCTAGGCCCCCACCTCCCAACAGGCCCCGGTGTGTGATGTTCCCCTCTGTGTCCATGTGTTCTCATTGTTCAACTCCCACTTATGAGTAAGAACATGTGGTGTTTGGTTTTCTGTTCTTGTGTTAGTTTGCTGAAATCTTTAATATAAAAAAACGAGTAACTCTTCTGCAGACAAATGTCAAACATGGAGTTCAAATTCACAAAAATAGGAGGATGCAATTTCTTGAGTAGTTCTGTATTCCTTAGATTTTAATCTTAGAATATCACAAAACAATTATCTATTACTTTTAACTGCTAATTACTACAGTGAATACAATTATGTTTCCAAGAAGTTGTGTATTTTTTATTTAGCGTTAACCCAGTGCTTAATTATCATATAATGATGTAATATACAAATTGCTTAATTTTAATTGTTGAAATAAGGTTTGGCAAATGAGAAAATATTTTTAAATTGTTAATGTTGAGATAATTTCTATATAAATGATTTAAACTAGAAACGAGATTTGGGTTTTTTCAACTTATTTCTTAAAGAAAATAAAACTTAAATTTCCACTTTTTGTATGGTGAACATTTCCATTTTTGAATATTTGAATAATTTTAATTAGCCTAGGCAACACAGAACTTTTAAAACATGTATTCTGTTATTGCTAGGTATGTTTTTCAAAAACAAATATGTCTAGTCAATTTCTATCACTTACCTCTATGCAAATAAGAGATAGTTAGAAACAGAGATAGAGAGATACATAGTCAGAGACAGAATGCCAGAGCCAGAGAAATGAATGAGATGAGGGATACTAAGAGAGCTGAAAGACACACAAGACAGAGAACGAACAATTTACACTGTAAGGAGAGTTTGCCCACATAAAGAGTGAAACTTGGGAGTGACCATGACATGCAATGTGGGATTTGCCATTCTTTCATTCGTTCTCAGGTCCATTGTGCTTCTGATTTTATCATCATCTGAGCATATTGAATTTGTTTTTTTATGGAACCATGCTGCATATACACATTTCTGGAACCAGAAATGTTTAAAAAGAAAAGTGAGGTACTCTAGGCAATGCTTAGAAACATATAAAGCTGCATTGTGGAGCATCCAAGGTATTCAAATGAGTATTGTATAACATAAATAAACTATCTCTATTCAGGATAACCTAGACTATCCCAGTCAACCCAGGGAGCTGTCAGAATTATTACTGCATTTATTTTAAACACTGACTCTGTTCCTCAATATCTGGCATATCTTACATCACACTGTCTATAGTTGGTGATTTCTTATGTACAGTCTTTTTTTTTCTTTCTTCAAAGTTTTCTGCTAGTATTAATCACCACAAAGCTTCAATTTGGTTTCATAAACTATTTTATCTCTCATCTGCATTTCTATTCCCTTTCTTTCCAGGATACCACTGAAATCTTATGATAGTTCAGGCATTTTGCACTTCCTGAAACATTTAAACTCTATTTACTATTGATACTATTTTAATATATATAAAATAGATATTAAAGTGAGTATCTGCTCAAAAGATTTTACAATACTTTGATAAAGAAAGTACATAAACATTTAGGAACACATGCAGCTCCTATAAACACTTTATGCCTGGTATTAAGTTTAAAATTGCTGACACATTTAATGTCACATTTGAAAAAATTCAAAGTGTCTTGTAGAAAATATTAAGCAAATAAATGTCAGAAACACACTTTTTTTTTTGATGGAGCACTATCTGTCACCTGATAGTAACAGCATTTATAAATTATTGGATATAGTTTGCATAGTACATAATTATCCATCGATTGACCATTATTTGGAAAATGTTGATAATATTCCTCACTAACTCATCATAAAAAATTAGCAAACTGGAAATAAAAAGAAATGTCTTTACCTGAGCCGTCAAAAATAGCATGCTGAAGTATATTTTAAAAAGAGTGGGCCGGGCGCGGTGGCTCACGCCTGTAATCCCAGCACTTTGGGAGGCCGAGGCAGGGGGATCACGAGGTCAAGAGATGGAGACCATCCTGGCCAACATGGTGAAACCCCGTCTCTACTAAAAATACAAAAATTAGCCGGGTGTGGTGGTGTGTGCCTATAATCCCACCTACTCGGGAGGCTGAGGCAGGAGAATCGCTTGAACCAGGGAGGCGGAGGTTGCAGTGAGCAGAGATCTCGCCACCGCACTCCAGCCTGGCGGTAGAGGGACACTCTGTCTAAAAAAAAAAGTAAAAAGAGTCCCATTAGAATTAAGCAGAAAGCAAGTATGTGCACCAGCCTACTTACTACTATATTAACCAGGACCCCCTAAACAATAAAAAATTTTGTGTGACAATTGAAAAAGAAGAGATAAAAATAATCGATTATTTTCAGGAAATAGGTTTCAATTTATATAAAATGTATATAAAAGCCAAGAATGTGTATAAATTATTAAAAGTAATAAGACGATTTAATAAGAATGCTGGTGCAGGCCAGGCGTGGTGGCTCATGCCTGTAATCCCAGCACTTTGGGAGGCCGAGGTGGGAGGATCACAAGGTCAGGAGATGGAGACCATCCTGGCTAACACGGTGAAACCCCATCTCTACTAAAAATACAAAAAATTAGCCGGGCGTGGTGGTGGGCCCCTGTAATCGCAGCTACTCGGGAGGCTGAGGCCGGAGAATTGCGTGAACCTGGGAGGCAGAGCTTGCTGTGAGCCGAAATCGTGCCACTGCACTCCAGCCTGGGCAACAGATTGAGACTCCGTCTCAAAAAAAAAAAAAAAAAAAAAAAGAAAAAAAAAGAATGCTGGTGCAAAACAGTGTTCAAATTAAGGTATTCTTAGACACCATTAATCGCCAATGAATATAGGAATAAATTATAACACATAATAGAAGAACAATCTGATGGTATGTAGTAAATTTTGTTTAAATAAAGTACTGGAATTTTACATGTAGATTTAAAATCTTTCTTCACCTAAATTAAGACTAAAGACAAAGAAGGCCGGGTGCAGTGTCTCACCTCTGTAATATCAGCACTTTGGGAGGCCGAGGTGGGTGTTATCACGAGGTCAGGAGTTTGGGACCAGCCTGGCCAACATGGTGAAATGCCGTCTCTACTAAAAATACAAAAAATTAGCCAGGCGTGGTGGCACGCGCCTGTGATCCCAACTACTCGGGAGACTGAGGCGGGAGAATCACTTGAACCTGCGAGGCAGGTGTTGCAGTGAGCTGAGATCATGCCACTGCACTCCAGCCTGGGCAACAGAGCGAGACTCTGTCTTAAAAAAAAAAAAAAAACAAACAAAAACAAAACAAAGATAAGGTAGCCAATGTCCTGAATAACAAGACTCACTAACATAAAAATGTCAGATAACACCAGATAACACTACAAGTAAATTGTGAAGACAATGTAATTTAAATTTAAATTCCCCCAGGGTTTGTTGTGGATCTTGGCAAGTTGATCCTAAAATTCCTATTGAAGGGTTAAAGGGCTAAGAATAAGAAGAACAAAGTTGGGCAATTGATCATCTCATATGTCAAAAGTCTTTTAGAAGTATATTAATTAAGACCACATGATATAGGGAGAGTATTAGACAAATGGGTCATTGGAATAGGAAAGAAAACCCAGAAATAGAGCCTTAAAATATTATTTATAGGTAAGAGGTCATGTTACAATCAAATGCGGAGAAAATACATTGCTCACTAAATGATGAAAGAAACATTGAATTTTTTTATGAGAACATAGTTCTCTACATTATATTATGGACCAAAGTAAATTTCACGTATATTAAAAGTATAAATATTAAAATCAAATTATCAGACTTTCAGAATAACATGTAGGACGATAGATTTTTGTTAGTAGCAGAATGAATTATTTCACAGAAACTGAGAACAAGTCATAAAAATTAGACTCTGGTAAATAAAATAAATAACTCCTACCAAAATGAATACACAAATTCAAAATATGAATCATAGGCTCAGAGAAGATATTTGCAATGTATATTAGACAAAGATTTAGTGGCCACAAAACATTACACCATTCTGCATGTTGTTTTTGGAAACAAACATCCCTTCTCTCACACACAAACACAAAATGGTTGAAGCATTTATTAGATACTTCACATAATAATAGAATTAAGTGAATAAAAATTATGAAAAAGTATACAAATTTACTAATAATCACGGAAAGGTGAATACAGACAATAAAATACTTATATCTACAAAATTTAAACAATGATGATAACAAGGTAGGCTATTGTGTGGAGAAAGTCTTATAAGTTAATAATTTGTGGAGGCACATGCCCTATAAGCCAGCTGTTCCACTTTTTGATTTAATCACTAAGAGAATGTACCACGTATCTACATGTATTAACTTCTGAAGGTTGCCGTAATAAATTAAAACAAACTGGGTGGATTAAAGCAGTAGAAATGTATTCTTTCAAAATTCTGAAGGCCAAAAATCTGAAATTAAGGATAGTTCTTTGTGGAACTCTGAGGGTAAGTCTGTTTCATGACTCCCTTCTACCTCTGGTGGATGTGAACAATTGGTGGCGTTCCTTGATTTGCAGACACATCACTCCAGTCTGGCTTTGTCTTCACGTGGTGTCCTCCTCTGTGTGTGCTCTTTGTCTAATTTCCCTCTCTTCTTACAAGGACACAGTTATTAGATTAGGGTCCACCCTAATCCATTAGGCCCTTGTCTTAACTTGGTACATCTGCAGCACCCTTATTTCCAAACAAAGTCATGTCCTAACATTCTGTGTGAAAATGAATTTGGGGGGACACTATTCAATCCAGTACACCACACAGAGAAAAATGTATAATAAAGTTTATCACAGCCCTCTTTGTCAAGGAGAACAATTTAAAACAACAGAATGTCCACTTATACACTAATGGATAAAAAATAAGGGCAAAAGACATATAATGGTTATACAGGTGTTAAAACCAGTGACTCAGACATATGAATATCAAAGTTGATAAATATTAAAAACATATTGAGTGAAAGAAAGAAATTGTAGGATATTCGACAGTTTTCTATCTGATATGTAAGAATAATGAATACACAACAAAACATAGTGTTTAATACATATGAAATAAAATATACAAATATGCAGTGTTACCTGCACATCAGTTTTAGGTTAGAGGTTATCTCTAAAGTGGGAAAGGGAAGAATGAGATCAGGAGTAAAGAAATCCTTTGAATATATTTATAATATTTTTCTTATTTAAAGGAGAGGAGATTTGGAGCAAATGTGTTGAAATGTTAACATCTGATACAGTTGAATGGTCAGTATAGCGCAGAGTTTCTCAACACCTGCACTACTGGTATTTGGCACAGGATTCTTTGCTGTGTGGAGCTGTCCTAGGCATTGCAGATCATTTTGATGTTTATCAGTTTGCCTGGCCTGTGTCCACTAGATGCCAGTAGCAAACCTTCCCCTCACCCCCAGTTATGACAATCAAAAATGTTGCCAAACGTTTTGTTCTGTGGATAAAAATCAACTCCGGTTTAGAACTACTGGTGTAGAGTATTCATTATATGTTTCTGTTTGTCTTTGCACATATTTAAAATATATTATTGTATATTGTGATAAAATAAAAATGTATTTCTTGCATACTAAGTTTTAATAAAAAATAAAGGTAATTATCAACATATAAACATATATAATATAAAGTATGCCATGTCATAAATTCAAGATATAAAAAATACTTACATAATAAAGAAAATTTGCAACTAACTTTGAGCTGTTTAAGATAGGCTACACTAAAGAAAAAATGTGTTGGTTTCACCTTTAAAGATGTGTAGTATTTTATAAGTTTGAGAAGTGTGGAATACCATTATAAGCAGGAACGGCAAGGGAGCAGAAGCTACATAATTATTTTACAGAATAATGAATTCTTCTGTGAAACTGAAACATAGAGTCTCAAATTTTCATGCCTTCAATGGCAATAGCATATGTGTGTAGAGCAAATGGTTGTAAGAAATTTTAGAACAGTGCGGCCTACAACAGATTGGAGAGGGCACCGAGCAGACCATGCAAAACAAGTTTGAGGGCAGATTCAGTCCATATTTTTAATTGCCCTTGTCTTAAAATGTATGGAGGGAACTACTAGAAATATGCTGGCAAGAAATAATTGATACCATTAAGAAACAGTCATTTAAATTAATATTCTTGTAGAATGTTGACACGTTAAAATTGCTTGAGTAATATACAACTTCATGGATTAGACATTTTAATATGATTAATATATCAATGCTCCACAAATTAACTTGCTGATTAAATGCATTGACAAATATAATTCTGGCAGGATTTTTGAAAAATTGGCATGATGACTTTGAAAATCCATATGAAAATGCAAAGTATCAAGAACAAATTTGGAGATCTCATACTGCATGTCTTTGAGAGGTATTGTGAAGCTATCTGATCATGAAGTGTGATAGTGACGTAAGAATCATCAAATAGATCAGTGGAACAAAATGAACAGACCAGCAACAGAGCTACACTTATTCAGTCCTTTAATTTTCTACAAAGCTTTCAATATTATTCAATTTGTATCAGTATTTGTCTTTTCGACAAGCGGTGGGATAAATAGATACTATAACTTGACGATCTTTACATTATAATATATACAAAACATAATTCAAGACACACCATAGACCTTAACATAAAAGCTAAAACCATAAGGTTTTTAGAGGAGAACATCAGAATTTCTTTGTGATTTGGAAATATGCGAAAGTATCCCAGACTAGAAACAAAAAACAATAATAACAAAAAAACTGACAAATTAGGCTTGATCAAAAATTTAAAATAAATCTTAAAATATTTTCTAAGAAAATGATTCCATTAAGCAAAATAACAGGAATGTTACAGATCTAGAGAAAATACTTGCAATACATATATGTCATACTGAGAACTGGTATTGAGGATTTTACGTAACTTCTACAAATCAATGATAATAAGATTCAAAATGAGCAAAGAATCCAGAAACTCCACAACAAAATCTACAGAAATAGTCAATAGGCACTAGAAAATATGTCTATCACAGTAATCTGGGAAATGACAATTAAAGGCATAACTGGAGAATCATCAGCAATAACAATGACATATTTTGAGAGTAAGTGGATCAATTGATATTCTCACACATTTCTGGGAGAAATGCAAAATGTTAAACTCTTTTAGAAACAGGTTTGGACATTTTTATTTATTTATTTTTGTCAAGGACTGTGTTCTCTATTAGAGAAAGATCAGAAAAGGGTCTTTTGTTTCTGCAACACTATGAATATTTTATGTATACCATTCAATAACTTTCCAGCAGCAGTTGCTTTTAACATGTTAATTTAATGCTGAAGGCCATGCCCATTATAAAATCATGTACTAATCTCTGGTGTGTATTTGAGTTTTTATATATTCTGAAGAGTGTCCCAAGAAATGCACAATTAGAACTACAATTAAAAATTCTCTGGGTAAATAATCATATGTCATATCTGTGTTATTATTTTTTATCTATATACTATGAAGAATTTTTGTTGGATAAAACATGCATGCTCTTTATTATATTCATATAGATAAGGTATGTTAACTATTTACTTAAAAGTATTTGCCTTTTCATAGACTCAAATACCAGGAGGGCAAAAATTGTGTCTTGGTCACATTTGTTTCCCAGTGCTTAGAAGAATGTCTGGCATATAATAAAAACCCAATGAATATTTGCCAAATGAAGGAATATGACAACCAGAATCGAATAGCTGCAAGACTATAAATGTTTATGAGTTATCTGTGTCTTCATTAAAAATGACATTTTAGGAGGCCATGTGGCTTGCTGAATATCTGCAGTTAATATATACTATTTTGCAAGAAATTATAAAATATTTTTTACCTTTGTAGATTTTTTAAAGTTTAAATTTTTCTTCAAATATTCTATAGAGCAGGAATTTGTATTTGCATCTTTTAATAATGCATGCTAATTACAATTTAGGGACATGAAGGCTTATATAAATGCTGAGTAAATTTTATATGTACACATTTCCCATTCAAATGATTTTCATAGCTCATGGGGCATTCAGTTAAACGCAATCACTCTTTATGTTTCATGGAAATGGAATGGGATCTGAGAGAGATGCATTTTTTTCCTCACCAATTCATTTCTCATTATAGTTCAGCGCTATATTTCTTTAATACAATAAGAATTGCATTTTGTTGTTGCTGATTTTCTTTATACCTGTTATTTTCTACAGTATTATTGGGAATCAAAATCTTCTATTTTTATATTAGGTTTTTTTTAATTTAGTTTTTTCTTGGACAATTTAGGTCATTTTTTATATATTAGGTTTTTCTTTGGCAATTTCTACTAATGCAGGTGAACAATATGTGATGATTGTAGGATTGCCAAAATTAGATCTCTACATAACAAGAAGTAAGTCATTTGTTTCCATTATCACTTTTTAACAATTATGCATGCATAGGGATTGAATCTCACTTTTAAAAAGTCAATTTTTGATCTTGCAAATGTGTTTTACTCTCCCATTGCCTGATCAGTGGAGGTTTTCAGTAGAAAGTCAAAAGAGGAAATGACTGCTTTCATGTTTTCTAATTAAAACACACACACACACACACACACACACACACACCACACAAACACATACATCTGATTTAAGAGGTGGCCTCAAAGAATTGCAAATAGCTCTTATAGTTAGAAGAAAAAAAGAAATAATTACAGTCTTTTTCATAATTTCCTTTCAAAAAATGAAGGTTAAAAAATATTGTGTTTCTGGAAACTTAAGTAATCATGCTTATTATGAAAAATATAGGAGGAAATAAAATGGCATAAAAAAGGAGATGAGGTGATCCAGTATATAAACTATTAACAATTTAGTATACGTCACTCCAGTTATCTACCAATTTATAAAACAGATTATTAGTATATTGTATTTACTGTGTTGTAATTTGAATGTATCATTTTTCCCTTAGCAATAATCTTGAATGATTAAATATTAATCTGCAATATGATTCTTAATGACTTTTTAGTATTCCACTAGTTAGCTGGAGAATGTTTTACCAGATCAATCACTTATTATTGAACATTTCTTCTGTTTCCAATTGCAATGATTACCCCTGTCTTTACTTTCATATCTGATAGCCTTCTTATAGGGTGTTTTAGAGTAAAACTGATACTTTCCATTAGCTTAAACTATTAACAAGAAAAGAACGTGATTATTTTGACTTAATGGAATAAGCTGTGGTGTGACTCTGGTTCTCATCCAAATTAATTATATGACCTTGAGGTATTTCAGTTCTTTGAGCTTCAGTTTCTTCTTCTGTAAAGTAGGTATTGGATGAATAATTACTGATTATCCTTCAAGTCCTAACATTTTCTAACAGCTGTGGGTGTTCCCTACAGATTTAATGGTATACAGTTCCTGAGTACAAAGCAGGAAGTAGTTTTATCCATGGTTTTCAAGTTATCTGTCCAATTTTAAGCTACAGTAGGTGTCCAAGGGGGAGAATACAGTCATGAATTCCTAGCTTCTGTTTCTGGTTGGGCGAGTAAGGCCCCTTCCTAGTCCCTTTTTTCTGCTTATCACTAGAGACAAAATAAAAACCATAGCTTCAGGCTGCTAAAAGCCTAAAACAAAAGAAAACAGGACAACAACAAAATAAGGTGGGTTGGACAAGCCAGAACATTTATCCTCTGCTTACAGAGTTTGAAGATTCTTCCATGTCTGGCTTTTAATCTCAAGTGCCTGAATGAAAGTGAACAATAATGACACGAGTGTGTATCACATGGTCCTTATCCATATTGAGTGGCTAACTGCGAGGATTCCAACTCTGCAAAAAGGGATCTCTCCACAAAGAAAGCTAGACCAAACTCTAGTACTGTTCTATCTTTCTTTAATTTTCTTCTCTTGATACTTATTTTATAGTTTTCGTTTCATCAATATCTGCTTTGCTTTTGAACATTCATTTGTTTGGATTTATTTTTCTCACTTTTGCTTTCTACTTAATCTAAGCTGTAATTTAAAATGACCAACAAATGACACAGCACTGGAAATAGTAAAGTTAGTCATACTCAGTAGAACCAGGATGCATTTCATCCATAGGGTGCCCCAAAGAGATCATTAAGTATATCACACTGTAACAACAGATCTCTCATGTATTCGTAAATACTGTCTTCAGATGGCTTGAACTTAACTCCCCCTATCATTCTCTTTGGATTGCAGTCTTGATTTAGTTAAATGTGATCATTCTAAACCTCCTATATCATCTAGCCTTTACTGGAGGCTTGTAGCTAATGTATTTTATGACTACACATTTTTACATATTTTATTGGAATGAAACTATTTATCTTCAAGACTGATTGTGCCAATAGCAAATAAGGATGGTCCCACCTCTCTGTGTTCCTACTGGGAAGTTCCACTAAATTAACAGGAATTAGATTGTGTCACATAGATCTATCCAGAAATAAGAGGCATATGAGAATGAGGCTCATATTACCTCTAAGACGTGAGCCTAGGTGACTTCTAAAAAATGTTTATGACAAAAATGAACAGCGAGATGCAGTCTTTTAATATTTGTCTTCTCAAGGAATGTTGATTATTCTTTGCATGAATTTTCTGAAAATGGCATTTAACCTAGTAATATTCTGAATAGTTACTGAATTATTAGAGTACCCTCACATTTATTTCCAAAGATGGATGTCTATTAGAACCCACTCTAGTACAGGTAACCTGGGGGATAAATTTGTAGGCATACCTATTTCAGAGAAACAGTTAGTTGTATTGTATCTGGACCTACAGGAGCCAGATAATCAGATCTAGGTTAAGTCATTCTGAAGAAAACAGAGGCTTAAGTAGATATTTTGAAAGTCCGAAGATTGTTCATTACATTTTCTTCTTTTTATAAACACTCAGAGCTGTTATAGCATAACTGTTATAGCATAACTGTTATAGCACAGCTATTATAGCATAACTATCTTGTTTTTATTTTGCTTGGTAAAACAATCACCTTGGTTAATTCTATCACCTACTTTGTGTCCTAACCCATCAGCCCAACAAGGTTGAAGAAACACAAGAAAATAAAACTAGTCTCATTTTATATTTATGACCCCTGATCTTGGTACTCATTGCTGTGAAGCAATAATATTCCATTTCCAAATTCTATTCTCTGTTCAAGTCTTTTAGACATATCTTTTACCTTTTACTTCTCCTTAAATATATAATACCTCTTCTCCCATTCTCACACATAGGTGATGAACTTGTTTTATTTCACTAACAAAATTGAAAAAATCAGAAGAGAACACCTACAGGCTTCAACCATCATATTTATCCCATAACTTTCATCTGTACCCAGGCACTCTCCTTCACAGTCTATGACTATAGATTATTAATTCTACCGATTCTCACAGAAGACTACCCTATCTAACAAACACAAATATATAATTCCAGTAATTCACCTTTTTCTCCTATATTATGAATTATCCCCCTGCTAGGCTGTTAATATTCAAACATACTGTCTATTCTCCCATCTTAAGAAATACATTTTTTTAGTACCTACTCACCAGTCCAGCTATTGCCTCATTTCTCTTCCTTTTGCGGGAAAACTTCTCATAAATGTTAATCATACTGATGTTTCAAATTTACATCTTCCCATATCCTTTGAAATAGCTCTAAATAGGCCTTTACTCTTACCATTCTTCTAAAACTGTTATATTTAAGGTCACCTATAATGCTGTTGATCAGTTTTTAGTAGTCATGTTATTTGTTCCATCAGAAGTATTTGACACAGCAGAATTATGTTTCTTCATTGGCTGTCCAGGACCTCACATTCTTACTTTTACTTGTAAATTGCTGGCCATTAGTTACTCAGGGATTGATGCTTCAATATGTCTTTTCTGAATTCTAATACTTGCAATGGTAATGACATCCAGTTTCATGGCTTTGATATCATCTGTCAGTCAATCTCTGTCTCTATGTATCTCTGTCTGTCTGTCTATCTATCTATCTATCTATCTATCTATCTATCTATCTATCTATCTACCTCCTACCTACCTATAATTGGTCTATCCCAGAACTCTTGCCTGGGTTCCAAGTTCATACTTCCAACTGCTTACTACATTTTTTCCATGTGAATATCTAATAGACACTTAGATCCTAACATGGACAATTGACCTTCTAACCTTTTCTTCATGCACTGGTTCTGGTCCATTTCTTCCTATCTCAGTTAATGATTAAACTCTAGGCCAAAATTTGGTTTATACTTGACTCTCCTCTTTCAAATCGTACATTTAATCTGTCTATAAATCTTGTGGCTCTTCATTTGAACTGTATCTCAACACTTCTGCTGCTACCACCCTTCCATAAATGATAAGCTTCTCTCTCCTGGATTATAGCAACCACTTATTTCCTTGCTGGTCTCTCTTTTCTGAACAATCTCTTCCAGAAATCATGTAACTCATGTAGTCATCTCTTTGCCTTCTCACTGAAGTCTTTCCCAACCAACATATGTGAAGTTTCTAGTAACCCCTATCTCATTGCTGGCCCTATTTCTCCCTAGCAAAAATCATATTCTACCATGTTCTATATTTTAACATTTTATACTGTTATTTATCTGTCCACACAATATGTAAACTCCTTGACAATCGAAATAAAGATTTCTGCTTTATTTATTACTAGGAACAAAGTAGCAGTTAAATAAATATGAGCACTTTTCTAATCCAGAATACTTTTTTTGTTTGCTGATAATATTCTTCATTTAGATTCTAGAATGTGAGCCAGTTGAGAATTAATATTAAGCTTTATATAAGTTTTTAAATGCTATATGCTTATGAGAAGACTCAAAAATACTCATATTCCCACATTTAAGGGTTTTGACCTCTCAGGAGAAAAATAGAGTGATTAAGGGTGTTTTGGTCACCACTCTCATATTCGTTATTTTCAGGAGAATATGTCTTAAGCCTCCTAGCTCCCTTAACTAAAATTATTATCTTCCTTCCAGTCCTGAGTCAATTTTCTGACAAATTGGACATGATTTGTCTTAACACTTACAATTCCCTGTCAAGGCAAACGCAGTCTGCTCACACATATGGTCTCTTTTGGACAATATTTTAACTTTAATTTATTCTGCACACCTCTAAGACTTGGCGAACTCTGGGGACCTTGCCTGGATTGGAGGCAGATCAGATGAAGGCCTTCTTGGACTCAATGGCTAATGAGTGAATTTCTTCCTATTCTTTCACATACAGCATCATTAATCTAAATTGAAAATGTATCACCATCATTTATGGTTCTGAATGGCACCATATGGTGTTAATTAATCTGGAGGAATTTTACTTTTACTATTACTTTTTTGGCCATTGACCTAGATGTTACTAAAATGAGGGTACCTCACGTTTGACTACTGATCTTTCGATGGCTCTTCTGTATGAGAACACAAAGGCAGAGTTTCTTCTTGGTTTTAATTCTGGGCATAGCAAGTCTAGAACATTTCAACTGCAATTTTCCCTAAGAGAGAAAGAAAGATAAAAGGTCTAAGATACACACAAGGACTTTCAAACTCTATTAGTGACTCATAGTTGTATTTTCTCCCCATAATGGCTGCATTCTCTAATATAAACAGGTAGAATAAAGGTGTGTAACAAATTGATCTGTTGAAATTATTTATTCTTTTTAATATTAAATTAATTATTTTAATTATTTGGGAGTATGCCATTCTATAGTCTATGGACACATTTCAATACCGGAAATAACTAAAGATATTCTGAATTGTGTTTGGTGAATCAGTAAGTGATCAGTCTAGATGACAAATACAAACTAATAGTCATATTTACAAAAAAAGTCTGAAGATAATTCTCTAAAATTTGTTAAGCTATAACTTAACCTTCAGAATAATGAACCTACTTTGAAGCAATGCATTCATGAAGATTGCACATTCTGGCATACTTAGTAATTTCACAGTAATAATGAGTCATTCCTGAATGCTTTCAAAAATAATATTTGAAGATGTATTCTTAGGATCACTATGTATATTCTAGTAATAAGAGCTAATATTTGTTAGCACTTTTCATGTACCAGACAATATGCTAACATTTTTATAACATCTTTCAGTTTTTCTTTCAGTAAATATATATTGAATGCTTGCTCAATGTCAAGTACTGTGCTAAGAACTTGAGGTACATAATAAACAAATAAAAAGACAAAGGCCCCTGCTACCATAGAGCATTATGGTGGAAGACAATTGGCAAAAAATGGCAGACATAGACTGTAACAGGCTAATTACAATATCGCTATGGGTTGAATTGTATACCCCTAAAATTCTTGTTAAAATCTTCAGCTTCATTGCCTCAGAAAGTGACCTCATTTGGAAATAGGGTCTTTATAGAGATAATTCAGTTTAAAAAAGGTTATTCCAATAAGCCCCAATCCAATATGTCTGGTGCACTTTTAAAAGGTATAACTTTGAAGACAGTTCCACATGCAGAAAGAATGCCAAGTGAAGATGAAGGCAGAATCAGAGGATGCTTCCACAAGCCAAGGAACATCAAAGACTTCCAGAAACTCCCCAGTAGCTAGGCAAGAAGCAAGGGTAGGTTTTCTCTCACAACCCCAGGAAGAAACCAGTCCTACTAACAACTTGGTCTTAGACTGAGTCTTCAGAACTGAATAATAAATTTCTGTTTATAAGCCACCCATTTGTGGTACTTTAAGGTAGCCCAGTAGTGTATGTAGCCCAAGTATGTAAGATGGTATGGAAGAATGCCTTTAAATATGGCTATGAAAAATGTGTTTTCCCCATAGATGCATTTCAATCTTCCCATCATAAAATGGAGTGTATTTACTTTTGTATCCAAACTAGTCATGCGCTTTACTTTTAACAACAGCATGAGGCTGTGCCAGTGCCAGGAAGAGCTTAAAAAGACCTGACAGTTTCACCTTAGTTTTCTGGGAGTCCAGCTTCCATGCTTTAAACTGGAACCAAGTCTAGACTTCTGGAGGAAGAATAGCCACATGCAGCATAATCAACATATCTCAGATCCAACCAGTACCAACTCACAAATAGATCAGTGAGGTGGTGGTGTACATTCCAATCCCCAGCTGAACCCCCATCTTAATGCAGCTGCATAAGCGACCTGAACTAACATTGCACAGAGCCAAACTGCACAACTGAATCTTAGCTAGATTCATAGTCATGAGAAATGATACGCCATTGTTGAGTTAAACATTTATGTTTTCAGGTGATTTGTTACACATCAATAAATCATTAAAACATAGACCAACAAGTTCCAGGAAAATAACAAAGGTAGAATGGAAATTGAATAAGAGTGTTTCTATGTGCCACAGTAGTGGTGGGGGAGAGTAGGAGGCTGCAATCCTCACAGCAGTTTATGAGGTTGATACCTCATAACTGTTTGTCAGTTACAGACAAACAACTGAAATTACAGAGGTTAAGCAGGGTGGCAATTGCTACCTAGTGAAGGCTAGATTCAAATTCAGAGTATCTGTCCAAACCACACTATCAAATAAATTACTGGAGATGAGAGTAGAGTAGGTCATTAATGACGACAAAGTGTCAACAGAGTGAATTTTTCTCTCCAAGATAACAGTCTAGAAAAATACTTTTAAAATAAATACTTTAAAAAAAATACTTTTAAAATAAATATTTTAAGGAAGATGTCATGTTTATTCTATGTGTTGACTTAGCCCTGCTGATATGGTTTGGCTTTATGTCATCACCCAAATCTTATTTCAAATTGTAGTCCCCACATGTTGAGGGAGTGACCTGGTGAGAGGTGATTGGATCATGGGGTTTATTTCCCTCATGCTGTTCTTGTGATAACCAGTGAGTGCTCATGAGATCTTGTTGTTTAAGTGTCTGTCACTCCCCTCTTCTTGCTCTCTCTCTCTCCTGTCGCCATGTAAAATGTGCCTTGCTTCTCCTTTGCCTTCTACCATGATTGTAAGTCTCCTGAGGTCTCCCCAGCCACGTGGAGCTATGAGTCAATTAAACATATTTTCTTTATAAATTACCCAGTCTCAGGCAGTATCTTTTTGTTGTTGTTGTTGTTGTTGAGACGGAGTCTCGCTTTGTTGCCTAGCTTGAAGTGCAGTGGCGTGATCTCAGCTCACTGCAACCTCCATCTCCTGGGTTCAAGCAATTCTCCTGTCTCATCCTTCTCAGTAGCTGGGACTACAATCACATGCCACCATGCTCGGCTAATTTTTATATTTTTAGTAGAGATGGGGTTTCACCATAATGGTCAGGCTGGTCTAGAACTCCTGCTATCAGGTGATCCACCCACCTTTGCCTCCTAAAGTGCTGGGATTACAGGTGTGAGCCCCATGCCTGGACTCATCAGTATCTTTATAGCAGTGTGAAAATGGACTATAACACATTCAGTGCCCAGACATTCAGTAAAACATTATTCTGGGTGTGTCTGTGATAGTGTTTCAGGAGACTGAGTAAAGGGGTTTGACTTCCCAAATATGAGTAGACCTCATCCAACTATTTGATCTATTTGATGGCCTGAATAGGAAAAAAAGAAAAAAAAAGACTGACTATCCTTGAGTAAGCAGGAACTCCTCCTGCCTGGCTACCTTTGAGCTAGAACATTAACTTTTTCCTGCCCTTGGATTTATACTCAAATATTAGCTCCTGCTAGGTCTCAAGCCTATCAGCCTTCAGTCTGGAATGACATCATCAGCTCTGCAGGTTCTCAGGCCTTCAGACTCAGACTGGAACCACATCATCATCTCTGCTGTGCCTCCAGTTTGAGGACTACAAACCTTGAGACCTGTCAGCTTCTATAATCATTTGAGACAATCCTCACAATAAATCTTTCTACACATTTATGGATCCTATTTGTTTTTTGTTTGTTTGCTGTGGAAAACCTTGATTAATATAGAAGTTATGTCTCCACCCTGTGTGTGTGCATGTGTGTGTGTGTGTTTTTTTTGTGTGTGTGTGTATGATAGGTGAATATGGCATCTGAGATTTAGAGAGAAATTTTGGAAACCCAGTCTAAACCTCCTTTTCTTAAAGTTATTAAAAAGCCAAGAAGAATAACGCTTATAGAAGGGGCTGACTAGTAGGAATATTGTATAACACACTAAAAGCCTGCATGAGATTCATAAAATCAAAATTGAGTTTTCCATCTATATTTCTGGGTTTTTTTGAGACACAGATTCACTCTTGCCAAGGCTGGAGTGCAATGGCACGATCTCGGCTGACTGCATGACTGCAACATCTGCCTCCACGGTTAAAGGGATTCTCCTGACTCAGCCTCCCAAGTAGCTGGGATTATAGGCATGTGCCACCATGCTTGGCTAATTTTGCTACTTTTAGTAGAGACGGGATTTCACTATGTTGGTTGAACTCCTGACCTCAGGTGATCCACCCACCTCAGCCCATCTAGATTTCTTTATATTTTATATTTTAAATGATTTTAAAGTAACATATTAATGGAAAATTGAAAAAGCAGCATCAAGAGAAATGAATCACATATAAGCCTGCAAATTAAGCAACTTGTATTTTTAAGTGAAGTTTTCTTTTTCATAACATGATCGCTGCATTTGTAGGCAAACTTGCATGTGAAAAATACATTTTGTGGGAGAATAAATGGATATTGCTTAGGGAGTTTCAGATTCTAAATAACAAAGACATCCATCATATCTTTAACTGTATTTGGTATGGTATGCAAAAATAATAATTTGATTAAGCACAATTTATCCAATAAATAAATAAAGTTCTTTCCTTTGTCCTTCAGTCTTCCAGATGGTCATAGTCTCTTTCATCCTCTTTTACCTGACCTTGTAGTTTTGATTGTTGCATTGTGCACAGTCACCAAAAGTGAAACAAAAATGACACTACATTCAAGTTATAAAGAAGAAAAAGAAAAAGAAAATGGAATACTAACATGCTAACATAACAATAACATCAAAAATACCTGTGTGTTCCCGTTTTCCTCATATAAAAACTAAATTATTACTTCCATCTTTCATGGATTCAGATCTTGATTGTACTGGAACTAGTAATAGTCTGTGTAATGCAAATAATGTTTTCTTATTAATCAAATTCCAATTATCCTATTTGCTTTATGAAATCTCACACTGTAGGAGAACTGCCTCTGCTTATATTTTGCAGCATTTCCTTTGAAAGGGAAGTAATTTTTCTTCATACATTTTTAAATAGAATCAGAAAATATATGGTTTGTGGTTTTCAGCTAGCACAGTTTTCATAAATTGTATCTTCTTGGGGGGTGGGGGTGGGAAACCCAGATACTTTCTAACTGTATTTTCTTCATGATGAAAAATTTTGTTCATTTTGTGATAAGAGAAAGGCATGTGGAGATGAAGTAGAATGCCTCATTCCAGCTTCATTATTAATTTTCTATATGACTGTAGTAATATTACACCAACTTTCTGAAGCTACATTTTTCTCTCTCAATAATGATAATAATAATAACAAAAATGATGATAACAATTCTTAATTAGAAGGGTTTTGAAATGATTAAAGGTAGTATATGAGATATAACTTAGTCCATCTTGAGTTTTCTGATAACATTAGTTGTCCATAATATTGCTGCTGTTTTTTGATTACTACCATTATTTTGTTTTCTTTCTTTTTTTTTTTTTTGTTTGAGATGGAGCCTCGCTCTATCACCAGGCTGGAGTGCAGTGGCGGCATCTTGGCTCACTGCAACCTCTGCCTCCTGGGTTCAAGCGATTCTCTTGCCTCACCCTCCTGAGTAACTGGGACTATAGCCACGGGCCACCACACCCAGATAATTTTTGTATTTTTAGTGGAGACGGGGTTTCACCATGTTTGCCAGGATTGTCTCGATCTTTTGACCTCGTGATCCACCCGCCTTGGCCTCCCAAAGTGCTGAGATTATAGGCGTGAGCCACCGCGCCCAGCCAATTAATACTATTATTACTGCTTTTTAGAAACATGTCATCTATTTTAATTGTCTGAATAGGGAAGAAAAAGGAGCCATACTCCTTCCTCAATGATTTGGTAATGACATAAGTGCCACACATAGATACAGATCCATGAAAGAAGCACTGTTGGGCTGGATTTCTAAAACCTACACCTTCATGATTATAAAGATTGTCTCTCTCCTATGAACAAATGTGGATATAACATCGGAAATTCCATTTTGATTTTTCCATGTAGTCTATAAGCTATTGGGCCATAAATTCTACTTTCATGAACTTGTCCTAGTGATCCTGGGAAGCCACTTATCCTTTCCTAATGTCAGTTTTTCATTTGAAAATGGTCAATAATGTTTTAATTATATTAATCTTGATATTATGAGACTGCTATAAGCAAATAAGATTATATATGTATGCACATACACATATACATGAATATATATACATATATACGTATATATGTATTTCTTTATATCAGTGTGTTTCTTTATATCAGTGTGAGAATGGACTAATACACACCTATTATAATTATTTTACTTATGATTCCTATTTTTTTCTGTGTCTTTCCCACATCCTTTGTCCTTTAACAGCAAGATGATCCAATAGTGTTTATCAAAAAATAAGTGTTTTTGTAAATCAGAGAATTTATTTGTGTTTTCTTTTTTTAGATGCATATATATGTAATTTATAAATTGCAAAAATAGTTACACAAATACCGCTAATGAAGTGTTACAGTAATTAAACACAATATAAACATTTATTCATATTTTGTAATATTGAAAACACAAATGCCAACTAAGTTCAATACTATAAACTGAGTTCAATTAGTTTTAACATTATGATTCTTATGAGATATAAATATGTAGGGTTTTTTTCATAATATTACCTTTCCATAGCATTGTTTCCAGGCAGTACTCTGATTTTCACGTTAAGACTGCAGATACTTATATTTTGGTCTATTATAAAATTACATTTCAATCCCCATTTTTTGTGACAGTTGTTTATTTACTTATATACTCAGCCATGTATATAGAGACTGTGACTTTTTTTCCAGCAAGACAATTTTTGCATTCATGAACAGTGATAGCTCTTAAAAACGACACTGTTGTGGCATTGTTTCTGGACAGATACTAATTCTTACCACATGGAAAGTTTCAACCTGATCAAAGATTTTATCACTAGTTACTGTCTTACTGGGGTAAGCCATATTTGAAAAAAGTATATAAAAGTTGTGACACCCATCTAAATAAATTTTATATATATATATATGAATTATATATATATATATGAATTATATATATATATATATATATATGAGCAAATGTGGAAGCTATTTACTCTAGTATAGAAATCATGATAACTACATCCAGATAGAATTTGAAAACTCTAACCAAAAATCTGCCATACATTACCTGATTTTCTTTCTTTCTTTTTTAAGGGATTCTTAGCAAAAATTGTTTCTGTATTTGCACATAACTAATTAGTGTAGGTGAATCCGTATTACAGGAAGCCTCCTTTGGATGAAGCTCTCTTAGTAATTTAGTTTCCCCTGAGTGATCATGAGAGTTGTAAGGATTAAAATAGTAAGTTTATAAAACACTTGGACCAGTCCCTGGCAAATAATAAGAACTCAATAATTTATAATTTTTTTTTACTAATAAAGAAAACTATACTGCAAAGGCTAGAGAGACAAATTTCCTCACTACCAGGTCCTGTTGTTTTGAAACACCACAAACTGAAGCTCAGTTTCCTCTTCTGCAAGTTGAAACTGTTTCCTCCTTGATATTTTCTTGGTGCCTTCTCCATGCATCAGTTATAGCGTTTTCCACCTTGATATGGTTTGGCTGTGTCCCCACCAAAATCTCATCTTGAATTGTAGTTCCCATAATCTCCATGCATTGTGGGAGGGAGCCAGTGGGAGGTAATTGAATCATGGGGCGGTTACCCTCATGCTATTCTTGTGGTAGTGAGTGAGTTCTCACAAGATCTGCTTGTTTTATAAGGGGCTTTCCTCCTTAGCTAGGCACTTCTCTCTCCTGCTGCTATATCAAAAGGATTTGTTTGCTAGTCCCTTTCTGCCATGCTTATAAGTTTCCTGAGGCCTCCCCAGCAATGTGGAACTGTGAGTCAATTAAACCTCTTTTCCTTTATAAATTACCCAGTCTCGAGTATTTCTTTATATCAGTGTGAGAATGGACTAATACACACCTATTATAATTCTTTTACTTATGATTCCTATTTTTTCCTGTGTCTTTCCCACATCCTTTGTCCTTTAACAGTAAGATGATCCAATAGTGTTTATCAAAAAATAAGTGTTTTTGTAAATCAGTCAGAGAATTGATTTGTGTTTTCTTTTTTTTAATTTATTTTATTTATTTATTATTTTTAGACAGAGTCTCACTCTGTCGCCAGGCTGGAGTGCAGTGGCGCGGTCTCAGATCACTGCAACCTCCACCTCCCGGGTTCAAATGATTCTCCTGCCTCAGTCTCCCGAGTAGCTGGGACTACAGGCATGCGCCACCATGCCGGGATAATTTTTGTATTTTCAGTAGAAACGGGGTTTCCCTATGTTGGCCAGGCTGGTCTTGAACTCTCGACCTCGTGATCCACCGCCTTGGCCTTCCAAAGTCTTGGGATTACAGGCGTGAGCCACCACGCCTAGCCTGATTTGTGTTTTCTATTTAGGTAACTTGTGATTTTCATTTTGCCCTAGTTTGGATTGAAATGAGGCTAACTCAAGTACTGTTTTCAATGTTTAATTTTATATTTTATCTTATATGGCTCATGATATCCTGATGAAAGAGGTGTGGTGTCATTTCCTAGATGACAAACTGAGGCTCAGCCAGCATGTTAAATATTCACAACAAAGCTGCGGGGTCAGAGCCAGGGTTTAGACCAGGTCTTTTAGTCAGTAGTCTTTGTATACTATCTTATGCTGATTCTGTTGATATTTACATTGACAAAAAAAGAAAAGAAAAGAAATATTGAACAATCTTAAAAGATATCAGTTAAATAACTAACTAACATCTGAATGTAGGGCCACATCTATCTTACATGGATAGTGAGGCATGTAAGAGACCTGAATGATGTTGCCAGCCTTCTGGGAGATTAATTACAACATTTCCCAAACAAACACACACACAAGCACAGTTACCACTTAGTGGTTCTTCAACAAGTTCAAAGTGTTACTCAATCCTGGGTGCATCACAGCTACAGTTGTGTGTTTGAAGATAAGGTGTAGGAACAGCTGTTGTCAGTGTTTTATGATCTCCTGCCTAACAGGTTCACCACTGTGTCTTCTTTACCTAGGAAATGGACAGAGCGTATAACAAAGGCTCAATAAATATGTGTTGAATAAATTTGTTGAATGAATTTTGTTTAATATAAAAATTTGTTTTAAAAAGTCCTGTTTATGGTATTCCAGGTCTGTGCCATAAAATTGATATACATTTATTCGTTCATTTGATTCAACAATTATTGATACCTTCATGTTTTAGATTCTATATGTCCATGGAACTCATTTTCTGTGTCTCCTTTATTCTGTTAGAATTGCCTAGTTTGTTGTTACCTAGAATTCTGTATCACATTCATTATTTTTACCATACTGTAGTATTTTTAAAATAAATTTTCTTTTTTCTTTTTAAATTCAATAGTATTAGTCTCATGCTAAAAGATAATATCCGTGAAGTCACCTATTCGATGTGATTGTTATATTTTTCTAATACATAAAATTAAATAAATATATTATTGATATAGACATATGTATTTATCATTTGAAACTATCGCACAAAAAGTTTTTGGGTTTAAGGAACAGTTTGGAAAATACTGATCTGAATTGACCCTGTTAATTTGGAGTTAACACATTGAAGACGATGGTGGTTAACTGGTATAATCAAGGTCAAATAAATGGTTCATGGCAGCACACACCAAAACACAGGTTTTCTTTTATGAATAAGTGATGCCTCATATACTTCACTTTAAATTAGAAGCATTATCAGTACATACTACAATATTCATTCATTTTATAGTGTAACATTATTATTTTTTGCTTCTTACAGTATTGTAAAAAAATATTTGTGGGGACATGGGCCCAGTCATGTTTACCGATTGAGGGCTCTAGGTTCAGGTTGTAGTCAAATCCCGGCTCTAACACTTACCAGATTTTTAATATTAGGAAAGTGATTTCACTTCCTTGGGCTGGGATGTCCTTATCTATATAAATATGCATAATAAATATTATTTTTAAAGATAGGATAATAATACCTATGTAGAGACACAGTTTTGCCATTAAATAAAATTATCTATGCTGGCATTTCAACAATACCTGGCACATATTAATTAGCTATGTTAACTCTTAAAATTGCTATGACTATTGGAGAATTTGATTAATGCTATTGATCTTATTTATTGAAAACTATATAGTTGCACATAAAATCAAAATTTTGAAGACAAAGATCAGAGTTTTCTCAGACTTCTTAAAGCTTGAAACTTCTAGCTTAAGAGATCTATTGAAATTCTTAAAGATTCAAGTAATAGGTAAAAAGAATTGCCCTATTTCTAATAGTTTTTCTTGAAAACAAATTGGTTATCAACTTCCTAAGTCAACTCAGCAAATACAACAACTTTTTAAAATAAATTATAATATAGTGAGCTGAGGAAATGTTATTGTAGTAATCTTAATTATATAAGATCATATGAACCCACTTTTTAAATATAGAGGGCAAGAATATTGCTCATATAAAGCAATCTGTTTAAATTATTGATAACAGAGTTATGGAACATGTTAGAAGTAAAGATTTTTAATAAAAAGGCATATAGCATTTCTGCACACATAGAGATATGTTGGATAGATAAGGATAAATAATAATTCTGAAGCTCCATTCTTTTCCTTGCTTGTCTACAGTGCTGTTCCTTGAGAAGTTTCAGAAGAAAAATAGGTGGATTGGATGTGAGTGACTGAGTTAGGAAGCCATTAGGTATCTAAGAACCAACATTCTTAGATATAGCCCTACACTTCTCACAAACATGAGAGAGAAATCATAGAGGAGGCCTATAGGAGAGTGACAGAGTTAAAAAGAAATTCAAGAATAGTGAAAGAAGGCACATAGAGAAAAGAAGAGAGAGAGGCCATGTCTAGACTAATAACATTCTGAGGACAGAGGAATGCAGATAGAAATAGGAGAAGGTTTTGGAAAAAATATTTCATAGGGCAAGAGTAGACCAAGAATAAAAAAGAATCTTGAAAATTATCAGTATACTTCAACCAAACCACAGGAAATTTATAGTTAAAAAAAGAATAGACTTTCAATGGAAGCAAAAGAAGTCGACATGATCATCATCATCCTCTGTCTTCTGTTAGAGTATAAACACAGGCACAAGGGCTTTAGCCAGACCACTGGATGCATAGAACCGAACTGAGAATGGTGGTACCAGTGGATAGATGGGCCAAATGAGAAAGCAAAACATTAAGGACAAACCTAAATTGAGACATAAGAGCATGCCTGAATCCATGAATTTATTTAAATATTTTAAAAAGAAAGTATAAAATTACTAATGAATTTTAAAATTCATCTCAGAAAACAGCAGACCATGAAGATTATTTTTAATATATTCAGTGCTTAAAAGAAAATTGATAGGTTGGGCTAAATCATAGAATACAGAATTACCTATTTCTTGTCCAATATTGCAGGCATGTGTGTTCTTCCTACCTCCCACTAAAATACATTATTAATAATACAGTAATACCTTCTCAACTACAAATTTTGCTTCATATGGATAAAACATATAATTTTGGATTTTTTTATAAATGTGAGGATTTTGTTTCCCTTATATCTACGATGTGGACTTTTCCCCATGAGAATAATTAAGAAACCTGGAAAATGGTCATGGCAACTAGGAGACGGAGCCAAACAGCACCCAAGTGTGCATGAGGCTTTTGCTATCACTAATGGAGGAATAAAAGAAGTAGGAGAAAGTAAAGTCAGATTTGAACTACATGGTCTTATGTGCTAGGATATATGGGGCAGGTATGAATAAGAGGGACTGAACAGATAATGCTTTTGTCCTTCTATGAGACCATAATAGTTCCGAAAGGTGATAGATCAGTATTCTTAAGTACAACATCAGAGAGCTTTAGACTTTCGAATGGACAACAAAGTGTAGAAAAATCATGCCTGTTAATTAAATAATATCATCAACAAAGCTCAATTGTTTACAAGCAACTTATTATAACTGTAGAATAAGGAAAGCATGTAATTATTATTAAGGGAAGAATAAATAGAAATTAAATGAACAGTATATAAATTATTGATTAAAATATATAAGATATAATTGATTATTTACTTATTGTTTTATTTAATATATTGAGTACCAAATAGGTCAAGGACTTGGCTAGGCAATTTTAAAAATGTTATTTTATTTTTATATTTTAAGAGCTTTTTAAAAGAAGAATTTTAGGTTCACACCAAAATTGAGAGGAAGGTAAGACATCCCATATACTCCCTCTCCCTATATGTTCATGACCTCCCTCATTAACAACATCCCCCAACAGAGTGGTGCATTTGTAATAAATGACAAATCTATGTTAATACAACATTATCACTTAATGACCATAGTTTACATTAGGATTCATTCTTCTACATAGATTTGAGACCAGGTAATTTTAATACATTATCTCTTAATTTTGAAACAGCCACAGTGTAACTTAAGCTTTGCTAAAATAAATGATATATTTAAATCATAAAACTGACAAGTGATAAACTCACAAGTGACAATAACCATTATCTTTCATTGAGGTCATAGTGCAAGGTTGGTACAAAGATAAATCGGCTATTTATATTACCTTGTTTAATCCTCATATTAACCTTATAAGAGAGGTGTTATTGTTTCCATTTTAAAGATTAGGAAACTGTGGTTTATAAATGCTAAGAAACATGCAAGGATCACCCAACCATTAAATGATAAAGCTTGTATTTAAACCCATGCCAACAAAAGATGTAAATCTTACCTTTAAAATGTGAGTTATTACAGCAATCATATCTATCAGAAAAGCAGAATTTCTGTGACTAACAAAGTATAAGGGTTTATTTTTAGGAATTAGACCTTACACAATTATGGGGGCTGGTTAAGAAGTCTGTGTGGCCAGGCGCAGTGGCTCATGCCTGTAATCCCAGCACTTTAGGAGGCCAAGGTGAGTGGATCACTTGAGACCAGGAGTTTGAGAACAGCCTGGTCAACATAGTGAAACTCCATCTCTACTAAATACAAAAATTAGCCGGGCATGGTGGCACATGCTTGTAATCTCAGCTACTTGGGAGGCTCGCTTGAACCGGGAGGCAGAGGCTGCAGTGAGCCAAGATTGAGCCATTGCACTCCAGTCTGGGCAACAAGAGCAAACTCTATCTCAAAAAAAAAAAAAAAAAAAAAGAAGTCTATGCAACAGCATTGTCTTTGCATTTGGTGTTGGGTGGGCCTGAATGATCCATAAGTTAGCTGGGGCATCTGATGGGTAGGGTAACTCAAGTGTAGGAGAGCAAAGACCATCAGAAACTTATGAAGTCATACATCTTCACAGATACCCACATCCGTATCTCATGATTGCCAACTCTGATGGTGCAGGTGACCTGCAAGAGAATTTGGCACCTTTTGCCATGGAGCTAATTACATATCTGGCCCAGGATTTGCAGAATTTGAAGGGAGAAGCCTGGTAAGATTGGGGGTAGCTGTGGGCCAGGCAGCTTTCCCTCACTCAGCTAACTGTTTCAGTACATTAATGAAGACACGTGCAAGATGTCATGGTGCCTATCACACTATGTCTGTCTTCTGAGTGTCAAACTGGTTCTTCCTTCATCTCTTTCCAAAAATCTTGCAAATCTCTCTGTATGCATCTCTCACTTGGAACCACATAGAGAAGAGAATTCTACAAAAAGTATCAGTTGAGCTAAGTTTTATCACCACAGGGACCTAGTGAGAATATATCATGAAAATACACACATGTAGGTGCATGTGCATGTGTCTGTGTGTTCACTTTTGACATTCGTTTTATTGATTTTTTTCCCCATTAGTTGTGAGTTTCTTCAACTCTTACTTTCCTCAACTTCATCAGCTCTCTTAATCATAGTGGTTTTCAGCAACGCCATGATTAGAGTGGGACTACTGAATGCAGTATTTTCTTTGAAGAGCAGAATAGCCATAATAATAGAATTTAAAATAACATAATAATTATTATTCAATTGTCCAACCCAAATAACAATAATAAATAACCCAAATAACAATAAATCTCTAACCCAAATAACAATAAATAAAATTGTTGCATAGTTTCACTTAACAGTTCCTGGAAGTAAAACTGCATCGTATTTTGCATTGACACGTCCAATCAATCTGTAGTGGCTGTTGAAAGTGCTGCCTCAAGACAACCTCTGAAGAACATATGAGGTCAATGGGCTTGAGGGTGATTAATTACCAATGCGTTTCAAAGATTCTAATCAAAGAGTGAGTCACATATGCTGCACAATAGATATTGCATTCACACTTTAAAAAACAATCATTATACATAGATAGCTACCGTCACCCATCTCATGCCCTGGTTATTAGTAATACAGAAGTCCTTCCTGTGACCTGAATACTTTGCTTCTACTAATGCAGCCTAAATTTGCCTTTTCTTTTTCAGCCACAAATTACATTAAATCCCCAAGATTGTAACTGCGTGTTCTGGTTGCAAACAAGGACTTTGTCATCCTATACTTAGTTGAATTTCTGAAGCAAAGCAAAGGACTCTTTATATTGATTTTGTAAGGGAGATACTATTGTTCCCATTTTATGGATAAGGAAATTGAGGCGCCTAAATGCTAAGTAACTTGCAAGCATCACTTAACCAGTAGATGGCAAAGTTTACATTTAAACAAACCCATGACAACAAAAGGTTGGCATTTTATATATTTCTATGTGTCTGTTTTGACCCATTGTTTCAGCCTGTTGACAAACATTTTGAATATCATAGTGATCAACTGGATATTTTTTAGATGACCTATCTGTCTGAGCCTGCTAGAATGAGTTTTTGCTTTCCAAGTAAAAGTGTTTTAAGCAGTTCTCCATAGCTATAAGAACACCATTCTGTCATTTGGTTCTCCCACTTCTTGGTTGACCTCATATGTTTCCTTTTTTTTTTTTTTTTTTTTGTGAGACAGAGTCTCACTCTGTCACCCAGGCTGGAGTGCAGTGGCGCAATCTCAGCTCACTGCAAACTTCGCCTCCCAGATTCAAGCTATTTTCCTGCCTCAGCCTCCGGAGTAGCTGGGATTACAGGTGCCTGCCACCACGCCCAGCTAATTTTTGTAGTTTTAGTAGAGACAGGGTTTCCCCATCTTGGCTAAGCTGGTCTTGAACTCCTGACCTTGTGATCCACCTGCCTCGGTCTCTCAAAGTGCTGGGATTACAGGCATGAGCCAGCATGCCTGGCCTATTTCCTTTCTAAAAATATTTAAGAAATTTAAGTAATTTTTAAATTAATATCCACTTCCTTGAGGTTCAAAATCAACATTATACTCTGACATCTCGCTTTATGTATGAATTTTTGAAGGGTAAGGCCTTCTTTTGTTTTCTTTCTTGAAATGCATATCCTTCCTTCTTAAGTTGTTTTTGCACTTTCTCTTTTACATTAGCAAACCTTCAGTGATTAACACTGAACACTATGTAATCATCCCCTGATCCATATAATTGGGGCATTCATTATATTCACCACATAAGGTTGTTGAGATGATAAAAGCACAAAATAATTCATGTAGCACGCTGAATAGAATGCTGAAAATGCTCACTTTGAGTTAACTCTTGATTACTAGTCATGTGGCTTATCTGTTCTTCAGATATCTCTTTTGATTTTTGTCCAGGTCCCTGAAATCATCTCTTAGATAATTATCTTTTGCTTCTGGCCCTATTACTTTCTTCTTTCCTCACTGTGTTGGACACAAAGTGTATCAGAGTGAGCATAATACCAGAAAACAGGAAATGTGTAGGGTGATCAATAGGCTTGAAGGGATAAAAGGCTTACTGCGCCTATTAATTTTAAAAGGGGAAGATACCAGCTCCCTGCTACACCTAAAGACATGAGTGAGAGACTTCTGGTCATCACAAGGAAGGTCTGGAGTTGCTATCTATGCTCAGAAGCCGGAAGTGTTAAATGCTTTTCACTGAATGGGATGTTTGGCCTTAAGTGCCATGATAGTCAGGTGAAATCAATGCAATGAGCAACACAGCAGAAGAATCATGAGGGTTACTTGGTGGGGATATGGAGCAACAGGAATAGTGGGGCTCATAAGCTATATTCATATGCAGTCTGGAAGCATTTTATATGGATTTGAAATACAATATCATAATGTAATATAAAGCTATAATCGGTTGTGCCCAATTTGAAAGTATGTGATATCTCCCAGATCTTCAGAATTTATCGAGGAATACAAAATTTCCAAGATTACAATTTAGATAACTTATATACTGTACTTTAATATTATTAAAAGGAAGTGCCATTTATATGGCAAATAGAAATACTAACAATCCTTGTTGGTATTACTTGAATCTCACAGTTATTTCCCTGTGTTGAAACTTCTGCAGATGCTTTGGTGATGCAAGCTCTGTGCTTACACTATTATTATAATTTAAAATCTTCTTAAATGTTCTACAACACTGCTGTGTAAAAGCTAGAGATAATGCAGTAAAATGCACTAAGAGATCAATAACCTGGAAAGGAAGTTAAATAACATAAAAATGCCACAAAGAAGACCAAATGACCTCCATAATATGCCATACATTTAATTTAAGAGTGAGTAACCTGAGAAATATTAGTGATAATTCTGAGGAAACCACAAAGCATTATTAAAGAAACTATAGCTTTAATTTTACAAAAATAATCATATAACTGGTCAAGGATAATGAGAAGATGCTGACTGCAAGATCAATGCTACTGACATGTGCTTCTAACCCAAGTTACCATCTGTACTAAGGCATAAAGTATTCTTGATTTTAGAGGAGATAATATATTTAAATATACATATTTTTGCAAGAATTTACTTGTGCTTAGAAAGTATATACATATGCAAATATGTATTACAATGTTTGTAGATGCATGTGCTCTGAAAAACAACCTCCCTTTTTTATTTTAGTCTGTGAGAAAAGTACCCTTAAATGCTTTCATTCTGCTATTGTGTTATGAATTTAGAAGTCAGACTGATTTCTCTATTCTACCACTGTAAAACTCTGAGCTACAAATCTCAGATCTGTTTTCTCAAACACCCAACTTCCCAGATTTGATTGAAGAGTAAACGAAATGATGTGTGTTAAGTTCTTAATAGAGAACAAGCTCTTAACCTTCGGCACATACCATCAAAATAGTAATAGCTAATGCTACTGTAGCCCTTATGACAGGTCAGCCTTCATTCTAAATGTCTCACACGTATCATCTCCTTTAGTCCTCAAAATACTTCTCTGATGTAAATACTATACTATCACTCCCATTTTTCAGATGAGGACATTGAGCAACAAGAAAGCTAAGCAGCTTTTATAAATTCCCATGCCAGAAAGTAGCTAATTTGAACCTCAGCAATCCAGCTTTAAAAACCTGTGTACAGCTTAGTGCTTGCCATTGACAAACGTTAGCTCTCGACTTAATCCTGGGTCACTTATAAGCAGACTGCTACTTCAACCTAGATCTCCACTCATTATGTATAAGTTGTTCATCCAGCATTCAAAATGAGACCAAATTAGATATTTGGTGATGATGCTGATGAGTGATTGTCAGCAAATCGGACACTGGTTGGAGTTTGGGACTATTTTCTATATAGACGCATATGCCAAAGTTAACTATTGCTTTGAAAAGTCTTCATTAATGAAGAATAGAAAGAACCAGAAACATAAGATGAAGGACTAGGCTCTAACTAGAGATCTTGAAAAGAAGCATAATATTCCAATAGTGGTAGTGTGGAGTGGGGAAGCTTGCAGTGCACAGGGGCCAAAAATATCATGATCCTGAGAAAATTTTAAGATAGCCATGGAAAACTAAAGGCATAGGCAATATTATGCTTGAAAACTGCCTAGCATTTTAATGGAGAGCTCTTTTCTCTTGTTAGAGAATATTAAAGCATGTAACAGCTGGCCAAGGGCCAAATGCACTTGAATACCCCATGTTCTCAAAAATGGTAGGGTTGTTGTTTCTACCTGGGATAGAGCTGACCAGAAAAATGAAATCCTTTAACTACTTTGCTTTTTAAATGGCGTTTGGGGGTTTATACTCAGAGTGAACTCACTAAACCACCTGTGTTTTTATTTTACTGAAACAAAAATGCTCTTTCCAAACTCTAATTAAAGTTTGCTGTTTAAGCTAGCCTTTTATGTGGTGACTGCAGCCATGGAGTGTGAGATCCTTTAATGTCTTATTGAGCCACTACTGTTGTTCATGGATAGGGGAATAATGGAAAGCCAAAATGTACATTTATTTCTGCCCAGTGGTAAATATTTGAAATTATAGTGCTTACATTTCAGAAAGCCATTAAACATAGAATAAATTGATATGAGTTTGACCCAGTTCAGGTTTGGAATTGTTGCAGGCATCATGCATTGTGATGCTATAGAAGGAAAGCTTTCTAAAACCTGCTGGTATCACCCTGGCACAATGCTATAAAAATTCTTGAAATCTTTTATTTCTGTATTAGACTTATGACCACACAAGGTGGAAGTAAGGACAACATTGCTGAAAATGACCTAGGCATTAATGAGATGGACTGCTGTGCAGGGAGTATAGAGCTCCTGATACCGGAAGAGGGAAAATCTTTTTCTTAACTCCTGACCTCCTCAGGCACCACATTTAGAAGGTTAATAGTGTGATGAATGAGAGGCACCTGAGTTGAAACCTTGATGTGGCTTCATCTCTTGCTCATTTGAAGACCTTTAGAAAAAAAATTTTTCTTTAACTTCTCTGTGGTTATGAAACTACACAGAAGTATTGGAGGATAGAATGATATAAAATGTATAAAGCTCATAGTGATAAATTTATATACATTTTTTATGGCTCAGCTCAAATCTGCCTCCTATAAACTGACGCCTATGGCCATTCCTTCCTCTGCTTCTGTCACATGAATCTTTGTGCTGCATAATTAACAAGAGAGGAAACACTACATATGCTCTAAGAGTGTCTGCTAAGAAGGGGAGCAGCATTACATGCTTATTTACCTTTGGAAGTAAAAAAGAAAATATGCTCCCCACCCCAATAAAAAGTTATTAGGCTAACAATTTAGACCAGGGGTCAGCCAACTAGGGCTCTCAGGCCAATTCCAGCCAGCTGCTTAGGTCAATAAAGTTTTATTGGAAAACAGCTATGCCCATTTATATCCATATGTCTATGGCAACTCTACTGCCACAACAGCAAAAGTCAAGTATTTGCAGCAAAGACCGTATAACCTACTAGACCTAAAGTAGTTACCATCAAGCCTTTTACAGAAAAAGTTTGTAGACTCCACTCTATGAACGTATGCCCCTAATAAATTATATGAATCTATCGTTCTCTCAGTTGGCTTCTGTTTTATTCTGTGGTTTGAAGGTGGTTCCCAATGTTTAAAGGTCAAGAAAGCAAGGGTTTTTTCCTATTGTCTATTATATGCAATGTATGCAACTCCTTCATATGGTACAGCTAAGGAAACAGTAACCTGTTCATACATAAGAAGAAAACTGACTATTGAAAGAATTCATAGGCTGGGCGCGGTGGCTCAGGCCTGTAATCCCAGCATTTTGGGAGGCCGAGTGGGCGGATCACTTGAGGCCAGGAGTTCAAGACCAGCCTGGCCAACATGGTGAAACCCAATCTCTACTAAAAATACAAAAAAAAAGGTGGGCGTGGTGGTGTGCACCTGTAATCTTAGCTACTCAGGAGGCCGAGGCAGGAGAATCACTTGAACCCGGGAGGCAGAGGTTGCAGTGAGCTGAGATCGTGCCATTGCACTCTGCCCTTGGAAATAGACTACAACTCTGGTTTAAAAAAAAAGAAAGTATTCATAGATGGTTTGTAGATTCTTCAGTGTGCCATTACTCAGAGGAAAGACAATTATAATTTCCACTCTAAAGTGATACTCTCACTTTAGGCACTAATGTTTAAGCTTCAGTCATGCTCCCTAATACCAATTTAAGTTGTGATTCGACTATACAATACAGCACAGTTAAAAATACCTTCAGCTGTTTCTTCAGATGTTTTGCAGCATTTTTAATGTTCTGCTTTATCATCCAGTCATAATCCTACATGCTTTTAGTCAAGGTACTCAATTAAGTTCTCTTTGAGCATGCTGACTCACATATGTATCTCTAGGCCTCTGACTTCCTTGTTCCTTCTACTTGGTGTAGCAGATACCACCAGGTGTCTTTCAATATCTACCCTTCCCTTTTTCTTGGAAATAGCTTTTTTTTTTTTTTTTACCAGAACATATGCCTGCATAGCCTCCCTTTTGGCTTGGAGTGGTCATGTGATTAGGTTATGCCTAATGGAAAATATAAGGGGAGGTGGTATGTGCAACTTCTGGGTCATGACCATATAGGGAGAGATTGTCCTTCTTGCCCTGGCTAATCTTCCACTATTCTGCAGCCTAGATTGTTAATGTAATAATGAGATACCCTGGACAACACAGAAATATTCTAAGAGTAGTGGAGAAACATGATAGGTTCCAGGTTTCTGATATTGGGGAGCTGCCAGAAAAGGCATAACAGTTGTAAGCAAGAGAAACATGCCTCTGACTTCTTGAAGCTACTTTATTTGGAGTCTCTCTTTTATGAAGCAATATCTACTTTCTTTTTGTTTTTGCTGTTTTCCTGGGACAGGGTCTTGCTCTGTCACCTAGGCTGGAGTTCAGTACAGTTTCAAACTTCTGGGCTCAAGAAATCCTCTTGCCTCAGCTTCCCAAGTAGCTGGGACTACAGGTGCATGCCACCATGCCTAGCTAATATGTTTATTTATTTTATTTATTTTGTCGAGACAGAGTCTTGCTATGTTGCCCAGGTTGGTCTCAAACTCCTGGGTTCAAGTGATTCTCCTGCCTCAGCCTCCAAAAATATTGGGATTACAGGCATGAGCCTCAATGTCCTGACCAATACCTATTTTCTGATGGAAACCCAGTCACTAGCCTCAAAGTGTGTACAGTCAAGTAATTAAGTTAACTGTTTATCAACTCGTTATATCAATGAGTATGTAATTTAAGTTTAAATATATGCAGGAATCTGTATCTTATAGAGGCTTTTAAAATTTTTATTTTTATTTTTTTTCAAAAGGATCTAATCAATGTGCTGTGAGAGGAAAATAAAATTCTCTTCTGAAGTAAAGACATCGAAAGTTCTAGAATTTATTATTTATTTCTGATACTTTGCACTTTGCTCTTTTCTGCCTGGTAAGCTCTTTCTTCCATGTGTATAGCATATACAGCTTTAGCATAGGAGTTTCTCCCTCACTTTCTTTAGGCCTCTGCACAAATATCACATGAATGGAAAAGATTTCCTGATGTTATGCAAAAGCATCCCTAATAGCATTGTTAACCACCTGACATACTCTATAGTCATGTATTTACTAAATGCCTGACCCTCCACACTCATACACTAAAAAATATGTTCTAGGCAATTCCAAACTGCATCTGTTTTACTTTATTAACTATTCTTTGGAATGAAGAAAAATGCCTGACAAGAACTAGATCCTTTGATATGGCTTGGCTGTGTCCCCACCCAAATTTAATCTTGTAGCTCTCCAAATTCCCATGTGTCATGGGAGGGACCTGGTGGGAGATAATTGAATCATGGGGATGGGTTTTTCTCATGCTGTTCTCATGAAAGTGAATAAATCTCACCAGATCTGATGGTTTTAAAAACCACAACTTCCCTGTACAAGCTCTCTTCTTTTGTCTGCTGCCATGTGAGATGTGCCTTTCACCTTCTGCCATGATCGTGAGGCCTCCCCAGCCACATTGAACTGTAAGTCCAATAAACCTCTTTCTTTTGTAAATTGGCCAGTCTTGAGTATATCTTTATCAGCAGCATGAAAACAAAATAATACAGTAAATAGGTAACAGTAGAGTGGAGCACTGATAAAAAGATATGCTAAAATGTGAAAGCAACTTTGGAACTGGGTAACAGGCAGAGGTTGGAATGGTTTGGAGGGCTCAGAAGACGACGGAAAAGTGTGGGAAAGTTTGGAACTTCTTAGAGCATTGTTGAATGGCTTTGACCAAAATGCTGATAGTGATATGAACCATAAGGTCCAGGCTGAGGAGGTCTCAGATAGAGATGAGGAAATTGTTGGGAACTGGAACAAAGGTGACTCTTGTTATGTTTTAGCCAAGAGACTGGCAGTATTTGCCCCCGCCCTAGAGATTTGTAGAACTTGCAACTTGAGAGAGATGATTTAGGGTATCTGATGAAAGAATTTCTAAGCAGCAAAGCATTCAAGAGATGACTTGGGTGCTATTAAAGGCATTCAGCTTTATAAGGGCAGCAGAGCATAAAAGTTCAGAAAATTTGCAGACTGACAATGTGATAGAAAAGAAAATCCCATTTTCTGAGGAGAAATTCAATCTGGCTGCAGAAATTTGCATAAATAACAAGGAGCTGAATGTTATTCCCCAAGACAATGGGGAAAATATCTCCAGGGCATGCCAGAGGTCTTCACAGCAGTCACTCCCATCACAGGTCCAGAGGCCTAGGAGGAAGAAGTGGTTTTCTGGACTGGGCCCAGGGTCCCTGTGCTGTGTGCAGCCTAGGAACTTGGTGCCCTGCATCCCAGCCACTCCAACTGCGGCTGAAAGGGGCCAATGTAGAGTTTGGGCAGTGGTTTCAGAGGGTGCAAGCCCCATGCCTTGACAGCTTCCACATGGTGTTGAGCCTGCATGCAGGTGCACAGAAATCAAGAATTGAGGCTTGGGAACCTTGGCCTAGATTTCAGAGGATGTATGGAAATGCCCAGATGTCTAGGCAGAAGTTTACTACAAGAATGGTGCTCTCATGGAGAACCTCTGCTAGAGCAGTGCAGAAGGGAAATGTGGGGTTGGAGCCCCCACACAGAGTCCCTACTGGGGCACCACCTGGTGGAGCTGTGAAAAGAGGGCCATTGTCCTCCAGACCCCAGAATGGTAGATCCACTGACAGCTTGCACTGTGTGCCTGGAAAAGCCGCAGACACTCAACACCAGCTCATGAAGGCAGCCAGGAGGGAGGCTATATCCTGCAAAGCCACAGGGGCAGAGCTGAACAAGAACATGAGAATCCACCTGTTGCATCAGTATGAGCTGGATGTGAGACATGAATTCAAAGGAGATCATTTTGGAGCTTTAAGATTTGACTGCCCTGCTGGATTTCAAATGTGCATGGGGCCTGTAGCCCTTTTGTTTTGGCCAATTTGGAACAGCTGTCTTTACCTGATGCCTATACCCCCATTGTATCTAGGAAGCAACTAACTTGCTTTTGATTTTATGGGCTCATAGGAGGAAAGGACTTGCCTTGCCTCAGATGAGACTTTGGACTGTGGACTTTTGTGTTAATGCTGAAATGAGTTAAGACTTTGGGAAACTGTTGGGAAGGCATGATTGGTTTTGAAATGTGAAGACATGAGATTTAGGAGGGGTCGGGGTGAAATGATATGGTATGGCTCTGTGTCCCCACCCAAATCTCACCTTGTAGCTCCCATAATTCCCACATGTTGTGGGAAGAACCTGGTGGGAATTAATTGAATCATGGGGGTGGGTCTTTCCCATACTGTTCTTGTGATAGTGAATAAGTCTCACAAGATTTAATGGTTTAAAAAAAGGGGGTGGGGTCCCTGCACAAGCTCTATTCTCTTGTCTGCCACCATGTGAGATGTGCTTTTCACCTTTGCCTATCATTGTGAGGCCTCCCTAGACATGTGGAACTGTTTTATTTGAGTCCAATAAGCCTCTTTCTTTTGTAAATTGCCTAGTCTTGGGTATGCCTTTATCAGCAGTGCCAAAAAAGATTAATACACCCCTAATAAAGTTTTGCTGAGTGATTGAATGAATCAATGACCACTTATCAAGAAGACCAGAACCACCATCATATAGACAGTAAAGGAGTAGTGACTGAGATGAGCCTCAGAGCTAGGCTGAACCAGCTCCTGAAGGTGCATGTCAGTCACATGAAGAGTTTTGTCTTTCTCCCAAGAGCAGTAGAAGACATTGAAAGGTTTTAAAGGGACCAGAGTGCTTGTGATCAGATTAGGGAATGTGAAGAGACCATTCTCTCTCCAGTGTGGAAAAGGGAGGGAAGTCAGAGTTGTAGTGGGGGAGCTGTGGCAGACCATTGTAGTCATTTAGGGAAGAGATTGTGGTCATGTGGATTTGGGTGGAACAGCAAGGCTATGCTTTGGAAAGAGTGCTGGTCGTTTTTCAAGTTTCTCTCATTTCATCTGCTCTCCCTAGGCTCTGTGTCCCAGGGCCTTAGTCAGCCCAGGCAGCTATAACAAATTACTATAGGCTGGGAGGCTTATATGCAGCAGAAATTTATTTCTTACTGGAAGGCTGGAAATCTGAGATCAGGGTGCCAGCATGGCCAGGTTTTGCTGAGGGATCTCTTCAGAATTTCAGACTGCTGATTTTTTTCTTTTTTTTTTTTTTGAGACGGAGTTTCACTCTTGTTGCCCAGGCTGGAGTGCAGTGGCATGATCGCAGCTCACTGCAACCTCCACCCCACGGTTCAAGTGATTCTCCTGCCTCAGCCTCCTGAGTAGCTGGGATTACAGGCACATACCACCACGCCTGGCTTATTTTCGTATTTTTTTAGCAGAGACGGGGTTTCACCATGTTGGCCAGGCTAGTCTGGAACCCCTGACCTCAGATGATCCAACCACCTCGGCCTCCCAAAGTGCTGGGATTACAGGAATGAGCCACCACGCCATGTCCAGACTGCTGACTTCTAACTTTATCCTTTCATGGCAAAAAGGGGAAGGACCCCTTCTAAGGTCTCTTGTATAAGGGCACTAAATCCATGCATATGAGTGGGCCCCAACTCCTGAAGGCCTCCACATATCATCATAGTGAGGATGGATTAGATTTTAACATATTTATTTTGGGGAAACATAAACATTCAATCTATAGCACCTAGATACCTTGCCTACTGGCTTCTGGCTGGATTTGCCAATAGGAAGCACCTGCAGGAGACTTGCGGGTGTAGGAAAGGGAGAATCAAAGTATTAATCCCACTTCTGCCTGAAAACAGTTTTCAGCGCAGTTACTGTGTGTCTTTTATGGTTCCAGCTCTCACCTCCCTCAGCCCCTCTTTCTGTGGTCTCAGCTGCCACGGGGCAGTCAACCTCCTTGGATCCAGCTCCTACATGGTGTCCCCAGCTTTGAGTGGTACCATGCTTTCTGCTCTCTCCCATTGTGAGACTGATAGATGTCTCCTGCAGTTGGTCATCTCTGGCTGGCCTTTTAGTCCCCTGTTTGGTTTACCAATAATTCATTATCTGACTAACCAATTTCCTCTATTATATTATGTATTTCTGAAAAACTCAAAGCATTTTTGTTTTATGGACAGGACACTGGCAGATACAGTTCTATAGTCTGCCACATTGATACCTTTCTTTAAAAAACTTTATTATAGAAATGAGTATTATACATATATGTATATACATACATACATACATACATACATACACACGTACATACATACACACGTACATACATACACACGTACATACACACGTACATACATACACACGTACATACACACGTACATACATACACACGTACATACACACGTACATACATACACACGTACATACACACGTACATACATACACACGTACATACACACGTACATACATACACACGTACATACACACGTACATACATACACACGTACATACACACGTACATACACACGTACATACACACGTACATACACACGTACATACATACGTATACACGTACATACACACGTACATACATACGTATACACGTACATACACACGTACATACATACGTATACACGTACATACACACGTACATACATACGTATACACGTACATACACACGTACATACATACGTATACACGTACATACACACGTACATACATACGTATACACGTACATACACACGTACATACATACGTATACACGTACATACACACGTACATACATACGTATACACGTACATACACACGTACATACATACGTATACACGTACATATACACGTACATACATACGTATACACGTACATATACACGTACATACATACGTATATACGTACATATACACGTACATATATACGTATATACGTACATATACACGTACATATATACATACATATATATATATATTCATGTAGTACAATTTCTTCTAGGAAGAAATTGCTACTTTAAATATGATGAATAGCATTGCAAGCTTCTTGGAAACAATGTTTACATCCCTTTATCTTCTTACTTTCCAGGTACTAGCTCCAAGTTTGCCTTGTTTAAATCAGAGAGAAAATGTTAGCAACACTGTGGCCTTAGGCATATGGATGTTTGGAAGTAAAGATTCTAATCATTGACTCTCTTTTGCTGTTATCTCTCTAAATAAAATGGACAACATAGGCTTTTTATGTTTTGCTATTTTTCCATTAAAAATTATAGATCTTATTACACCATATTTCTGCTGCAAATTAGCTTAATAGCAGTTAGCACAGTATATCATCGGTGTGGCCCAGCTGCTATTGTTTTTATTGCACTATTCCACTGCCTTGGGGTAATTACCTTTGAGACCTCAAATGCATTTTCATATGTAAAACTCATTCTTTCATGTTTAGTATTTTGAAGTATACAACCTCAGCATTTGTTTTATTTTCTCATATTTATTCATTCACAATGACCATTTCATAATTAGCTTTAGATGTTCTCATAGAAGTCTCAAGGAGCACATCCAAGGGCACGCAAATGCACTCTGTGTTTTTCAGAACCCAAGAGGTATTTAACACTTTGGCAGGAGTTTGGGGCTGTGTAGAAGCCGTGAGTGATGATTCTAGTTCCTGCCTTTGCATGCATTAACTGCTGGTCGCCTCTGAATAATTGGCTAAAAATATTGGTTAACACATCAAGTGAAAATGTATGTGGCAGTGCCTGTCTCCATCGTCCCAGGAGAACATCTGTCCACTTCCCAAATCCACTAAACAATTTGGCTCTGTCTGTGTGACTGGCAGCCGTTCCCAGTGAGGCCCTTTGCCACAAAGCAGGGACGGAGGAAGTTTGGGCTTGAGTTGTGTTGGCAGGTTTTGTTGAAACACTTGGAGAGTAATTTTACAAAATTTGCCCGCTGGTGATATTAGCCCTTTATTTTTGTGAAAGTCAAGAGGAAAAAAGAAATCACAACTCTTTCTGTGCATATAAATTGCTTTGGGAAATAACTCGTTGGGTATATTCAGGTTATTCTGTAAAAATGTGTTGAGCTTCTCCAAGCTGAAGGCTTGACCCCTACTCTCAAAATATTCAGTTTTTCACAGGGCCAGAAACATTAAAAAATACAATTTCTTATAGTGAACATGCAGACTATTCTGAGGGACAAAGGTATTGCATCTGCATGGAAAAAAAGAAAACTCAGAAAAAAAACAAACAAATTCAAAATGTCATAGTACAATTTAATTAAAAAGAAATTGAATCAAGGACAAATTGTTCAACTAGATTCAAGATTGCAAATCAATGCTAAAGCTTAGAATTTGCCATCTGAAGAGCCATTTTCTATTGTTTGGTTTATGTATCCAAGCTATATGTGGACATGCTGTCATAATGATCATGAGGGTGTTGGCCCCCTTTGAAGATATACGTACTATCAAGAATTGCCTGAATTGCTGGAATTAGCATAGGAATTTCAAAACATTCATCTCTAAAATCATCCACCTGCATTTTCTGCTAATACCAAAAACTTCTATATTACATATTTTCCTGCATCATTAATAGTTTATTTTGAACTTTGAAGTCACTGCATATTTAGGCTCTCTGAAGGAAGCAAGGAATGTGCAGATTACCAAAGAGGCTTTCCATCATCCCTGGCTGAAATATATAGTCATCAGCCCAAATCTCCTTGGTTTTCTAGACCTAACTCTGTTGTATCAGAAATTTCAAAAGATGATTTGATCTGTTTAACATAGATCTGGAGTTTCTGTTGGTGACATGGATTATCTGCTGGAACTTCCAACTTCATTAAGGGTTGATCATTTCTCTTGATGGAAATCAATTTCTGGTATTTATGTAGATAAGTAGTGGTTCAAAGCATCTCCAAATTAACAGGCTAGGAAGTCAGATAAAATTTAGAAGACTGCTATTCCTGTTATTTTAAAAGCTTAATGACTTTACAGGGGAAATGTTTGCACACAATTCTCCCATTTAGGATAAGATTTTGACAAGGATCCTGGATGAACTTAAAGGCACATAAACTTGAATCTGGATATATTTTTAAAAAATTGAATATGCAGGCCGGTCACGGTGGCTCACACCTGTAATCCCAGCACTTTGGGAGGCCGAGGTGGTGGATCACGAGGTCAGGAGATCGAGACCATGCTGGCTAACCTGGTGAAACCCCATCTCTACTAAAAGTACAAAAAATTAGCCGGCATGGTGGCACACACCTGTAGTCCCAGCTACTCAGGAGGCTGAGGTAGGAGAATCACTTGAATCCGGGAGGCAAAGGTTGCAGTGATCCGAGATCACGCCACTGCACTCCAGCCTGGGTGACAGAGAGACTCTGTCTCAGAAAAGCAAACAAACAAACAAACAAAAAGCCCAAAAACAAAACGGTATATGCATCTAAGAGTGGTTTATGCATGTATTAATATATAAATATATAATATGTTATATACATAAAAATAAATATAATCAGTCTCCTAATTTTCATATCTGCATCTGTTTTATTGGTGTTTTCATGCAACTGCACTTACTATAGTAATTTAGCACAAAGGAATGACATTAATCCCCTCACCACCTCACCAAGATCCTGTTCCACATATGCATCTTAAATTACGAAACCCTTTGGAAATGCATGTTTTCTCACTCTCTCTGCATTCCTATACAGTCACTCATGAGCCCCTTGTCATATATGTTCTACCCCTGCCACTTTTCTAGAACTGCTGCTTTGTAATGATAAAATATAGTTACAGTCTTAGACATCTCATCATTTGACCTCACTCCGATATTCCTTGTTGGAACCATTTCTTTCCTTCGTAAACTCACTTCTCTTTGAATCCTCATTGTTGATACCTCACTGTAAGTCTCCCCTTCGGTTCTATTTGAACTCGCTTTCCTTATCTTCTCTAAATTCTCTCCCTCTGAAATTGCATTCCAGTGTGTTATTTGACATCTTCCATATCGTCAGATCCCCATCGGCTTCTCTGCCAAGCAGACATCCTCTATTTCTAATGGATACTGATCATCCCCTCCTAAATGTCCCGAGGGCATCCTTAAGCAACATACCCCCAAATCAAGTTCATCCTTTTTTTTTTACACCCAGAATAGCTACTGTGACTAATCTCTATTTCCATGAATGTCATAAAAGATCTGTTATAAAAGATTGAACCCTGGGAGTTATCAATAGCTCCTCCTGTTCTCTTAGTCTACCCGGGTGACAGAGAGACAAGCTCTGGAAATGCTGCCATATCTCTGGAATATGTGCCACCCCTTTATCCCTTCTGCCTCAATCCAGTTCAGACAATTATTACCTCTTCTATGGATTATTCCAGCAACTTTATAATAGATCCTTTTCTATAAGCTATCCATTCTCCCAACTGTCCTAATTAACACTAATACTTTAACTCAGGGCAGCACAAATAATTAGAATCACTTCCACCAATCTCTAAACTATCTTCTAATCTCTGGACATAAGCATTTTCTAGTACTATCTTAAAATTTTCTCACACCCATGCTCTACATTTATGCTAAATTGAACTATTCATTGAACCTCAAAAATACGATCTGCCCTGTGTCTACTTTACTCATGCTGTTTGCTCCACTACATAAGTCATACGCCTTATCCTGCCCATCAAATATTACTCATCTTTCAAGGGTTAACTTACTTGCCACTTCTATTATAAAGCCTTTTAAATGTCCACAGTCTAATAGTGTGTAGTCATTTTTTGAAGTGCCTTGAGATTTAATATACTTGTGTTACAATCCTACCACATATTGGAGCTCAGTATATAAGTAAAGTTCATTATTTACTCAACTGCATTTGTATTCCTCAAATTTGAAACTTACATTATTCCATTTTGTATGGTTAGAAGTGCCTGGAACAAATGCCATTTGTTAAGTCATTATTAAGTGAAAGAGAAAAATGTCTGACACAAATAACTCAGTAACTACAATTTTGATAGTTATTTTCAGTTTTTAGTTATATACTAATAATTCTAGAGTTTTAAAATTTATGATTAACTTTTGAACTTAAAAAACCAAGTGTACTAATGTCATGATAAATGGAACAATTGTCTTAGATATGAGCCATTTCATTTAGACATTTAATTATGTCCTATTTCTCTGGCTAAATACATTGAAAGTTATAAGCTGTTCATGTAGAAGGCATGTAATAAATGTATAGGATAACAATATGGGCAATAGTCACCCTCCAGACTCTTAAAAATTCCCACCTGGCCGGGCGCCGTGGCTCACACCTGTAATCCCAGTACTTTGGGACGCCAAGGCGGGCGGATCATGAGGTCAGGAGATCGAGACCATCCTGGTTAACACGGTGAAACCCTGTCTCTACTAAAAATACAAAAAAATTAGCCTGTAATCCCAGCTACTCAGGAGGCTGAGGCAGGAGAATCGCTTGAACCTGGGAGGTGGAGGTTGCAGTGAGCCAAGATCGCCACTGCACTCCAACCTGAGTGACAGAGCAAACCTCAAAAAAAACAAAAAAAGTACCACCAACTCTTGGCCCAGATGGCTACACTTGTCCTTTCTGGAGACAAGATGGAATATTGGCTTGAATGGATCTTTAGGTTTTTTCTAAGCTCTAGAGTTCCATAGAAAAGTATTAATTGGGACAGACATGGTGGCTCACACCTGTAATCCCAGCAGTTTGGGAGGCTGAAGTGGGCAGATCAGCTGAGGTCAGGATTTCAAGACTAGCCTGGCTAACGTGGTGAAACCCTGTTTCTACTAAAAAATACAAAAAATTAGCCAGGAGCGGTGGCATGCACCTGTAATCCCAGGTACTCGGGAGGTTGAGGCAGGAGAATCGCTTGAACCTGGGAGGTGGAGGTTGCAGTGAGCCGAGATAGCGCCATTGCACTCCAGCTTGGGCAACAGGAACAAAACTCCGTCTCTATTAAAAAAAGAAGAAGAAAAAAAAAAGGGCCAGGCGTGGTGGCTCACCCCTGTAATCTGAGCACTTTGGGAGGCCAAGGCAGGCGGATCACCTGAAGTCAGGAAATGGAGACCATCCTCGGCAAGATGGTGAAACCTCGTCTCTACTAAATATACAAAAATTAGCTGGGTGTGGTGGTGCACACCTATAGTCCCAGCTACTCTGGAGGCTGAGGCAGGAGAATCGCTTGAACCTGAGAGGCCAAGGTTGCAGTGAGCTGAGATCGTGACATTGCACTTTAGCCTCCTGGAGACAGAGCGAGACTCCCTCCCTCACCACAAAAAAAAAAAAAAAAAAAAAAAAAATTAATTGGTGAAAACACATCACATTCCCTTTAAATTAAGTAAATTACTCATAATGAGAATGGAAATTGTTATTTAAACATTAAAATTTTATTCATTGTTGCGCATGTGAAAAAAACAGTAGCTAAACAATATACTTGCATGTCTAACATGTGGCCCACAGCATGCTAAAAATGTCTGGCCATTTTTTTACAAGTAAATTAAAAAATACTTGACAATATACTTTGATAAAAAATAAGACTCCATAACTATATTATTTCTCAAGAATGCAGTATACAATAATATACTGCATTCTTGAGAAATGCCAAGATAGTATATATTGAGTGCTCTTTCCACAAAAATAATATGTGGGATGATGCATTTGTTAGCTAGCTAGATTTCATCATTCATTTATACATATGCATCAGAAATTATGTTGTACATGACAAATACATATGTCAATTTAAAACATAAATTTGAAAAAAGTAGTTGGGGACATGACAAAAAGTAAACGTATGATTGAATTAGTGTTTCACTTTCAATTTATTTCTTTGATGTTATGAAGATACAGTCAAAAGCTGAGATATATTACCTACATTATATTGTGAATATGTTATATATTGCTGGAGACTGTCAAATAGAACCAGAGCCAGATGCTAGTTAAAGGCAGTAAATACAATAATATTTGTTCTGTGGCTGTTAGATGAAATGCTCTACCTTTGTCTCTTAGGTCCATTTGGTTTAAAGTAGGGTTCAAGTCCAGTGTTTCCTTATTGATTTTCTGTTTGGATGATCTATCTATTGTTGAAAGTAAGGTATTAAAGGCCACTACTATAACTGTATTCCTGTCTATCTTTCAGATATTTTAACATTTGCTTTATATATTGAGGTGCTCCAATGTTGGGTGCATATATACTTACAATTGTTACATATCCCTGATGAATTGACCCCTTTATCATTATATAATGAGTTTGTCTCTTTCTATAGTTTTAGACTTCAAGTATATTTTGTCTGATATAAGTGTAGTTACCCTAGCTTTCTTTTAGTTTCCATTTGCATGATTTTTTTTTATCCCTTCACTTTCAGTCTATGTTTGTTCTTCAAGCTGAGGTGGGTCTCTTTAAGCAGCATATAATTGAGTTTTATTTTATCCATTCAGCCACTTTATGTCTTTTGATTGAAAGATTTAATCCACTTACATTTATCTTGATTGTAGTAATCATTTCACAATTATATGTATATCAGAACACCATATTTTATACCTTGAATATGTACAATTTTATTTGTCAATTATACCTCAATAAAGCTGAAAAATACAATAAGTAAATAAATAAAGCAGTAAAGATATATTTTATTTAGTAACTCTTGTAAACAGAGAAAAGAGACATCAGTATAGAAGGAAGCTCAATTCTGAATACAACAGGAACAAGTAGGAATTTATAGCCAAGGAGCAGGGACTAGAGGGTGGTAGTGGTAAATGAAAAATTAGCGAGAGACTTCAAGGGTAGGATAATCTAACACAATCACATGGAATTTATTCCAGAAATGCAAGGATGTTTTAACATAAATAAATAAATCACATCAATAGAATAAAAAACAAATACCATATAATCATCTCAATAGACACAGAAAAAGCATATGAAAAAAGTCAGTATCATTTCATGATAAAAGTGCTCAAGAATTAGGCATAGAAAAAACACTCCTCAACATAATAAATGCCATATATAACAAACCCACAGCTAACATCACACAGAATGGGGAAAAGCCAAAAGCCTTTCCTCTAAGAACTGGAACAAGACAAGGATGCCCACTTTGAGCACTTGCATTCAGCATACACTGGAAGTTCTAGCCAGAGCAATTAAGCAAGAGAAAAAAATCCACATTGGAAAAGAAAAAGTCAAATTGTCCTTCTTTGTAAATAATATGAGCTTACAGATAGAAAAACCTAAAGTTTGCACTACAGAACTCTTAGAATTTATATACTACTGTATCTTGCAACAGTAAAATTGTGGGATAAAAAATCAACTTAAAAAATTATTAGTGTTTCTATTCACCAAAAATGGACTAACTGAACAAGGAATAAAGAAAATAATCCCATTTACAATAGCTACAAAAAATGTCTAAAATAGGTAAAAATAAATTTAATCAAAGATACAAAATAACACTATAACATAAACTACAAAACACTGATGAAAGAAATTGAATAGAACACAAACAAATGGAAAGACACACCAAATTCAGTGGAATAATTAATATTGTTAAAATGACCGTACTACCCAAAGCAATCTAAAATTCAATGCAATTCCTATCAAACTACCAACTACATTTTTCATGGAAATAGAAAAAGAAATAGTTCTAAAATTTATATGGGACTACAAAAAACTTGAATAGCTAAAGCAATACTGATCAAAAAGAACGAAACCAGAGGCATCCCACTACCTGCCTTCAAAATATATTAAAAAGCCACAGTCACCAAAAGAGCATGGTATTCCTATAAAAACAGACAATAGAGAATGAAACACAATAGAGAATCTAGAAAAAAACCACACATTTAGAGCCAGCTGATTTTTGAAAAGGTGCCAAAGCGTACATTAAATGGAGCTGGGAAAACTGAATATCCACATGCACAAGAATGAGACTGGACTCTCCTGTCTTTCACTATATAAAAAAATTAACCCAAAATGGATTAAAGACATGAATGTAAGCCCCCAAATTATGAAGCTACTAGAAGAAAACTCGGAAAGCATTTTAGAATATTAGCCTAGGCAAAGACTTTATAGTGAAGACATCAAAGCCATTGGCAAAAAGAAAAAGAGAGACAGAGAGAGAGAAATGGAACTATATTGTATGGAAAACCTTCTCTACAGCAAAGGAAACAATTAACAGAATGAAGAAACAACCTATTGAATGAGAGAAAATATTTGAAAATTATTCGTCCAACCAGGGACCACTATCCAGAATATACAATAAACTCAAACAACTAAACAGCAAAAAAAATGACAACAGGCAATTCCATTAAAAAAGAATTCTCAAAAGAGGACATACAAATGACCAACATACATGAAAAAATACTCAACAACACTAATAATCAGATGAATGCAAATCAAAACCATAATGAGATATCATCTTATCACAGTTAGAATGGCTATTATCAAAAAGACAAAGAAAATGTTGGCTAAGATGCAGAAAAAGAAAACTCTTAATACACTGTGAGAATATAAATTATTGCAGCCATTATGAAAAACAGTATGGAGGCCTCTCAAAAAACTAAAAATAGAACAACCATGCATTCCAGCAATCCTACAGTGGGTATTTATCCAGAGGAAAGGAAATCAGTATTTTAAAGGAATACCAGCCAGATGCAGTGGCTCATGCCTGTAATCCCAGCACTTTGGGAGGCTGAAGCAGGTGGATCACCTGAGGTCAGGAGTTTGGGACCAACCTGACCAATATGGTGAAGACCTGTCTGTACTAAAATACAAAAATTAGCTGGGCGAGGTGGTGTGCGCCTATAGTCCCAGCTACTCAGGAGGCTAAGACAGGAGAATTGCTTGAAATTGGGAGGCGGAGGTTGCAGTGAGTGAGTGAGATTGTGCCACTGCATTCCAGGCTGAGCAACAGAGTGAGACTCCATCTCAAAAAAAAAAAAAACAATAGTACATAAAGAAATAAAAGGAATATCTATAGGTCCATGTTTATTGCAGCACTATTCACAATAGCTAAGATATATCCATCCACAGATGAATGGATAAAGAAAATGTGGTGTAGATGCATAGTGGAATACTATTCTGCCATAAAAAATAATAAAATCCTGTTATTTGTGCAACATGGATGAGCCTAGAGGACAATATGTTAAGTGAAATAAGTCACGTACAGAAAGAAAAATACCTTATGTTCTCACTCATGTGGGAGCCAAAATGATTTTTTTAAGCTCATGGAAATAGAAAGTAGAATTCTAGTTATTAGAGGCTGGTAAGTGTAGGAGGGAAAGGAAGACAGAGAGAGGTTGATTAAGGGATACAAAATTATAGCTAGATAGAGAGAATGAGTTTTTGTGTTTTGCAGCACTGTAGCATGAATATGGTTAGCTATAATTTATTGTATACTTTCAAAAAGCTGGAGGAGGATTTTGAATGTTCACAACAACAAAGAAATGATGAAGGTTTGAGGCAAAACATATGCTAGTTACTGTGATTTGATTATTATATATTGTATGCACAGATCAAAATATCACTCTATCTCCCATAAATATGTAGAATTATTACTTGTCAACTAAAAAAGAAAAAGAAAAGCCAGAGGACAGTGCTACAGGACTCCTTTAGATGGTTGTTCCCTCTGAAGATAATCAGAGATGAGCATCATGCCTCCAAATTTTAAATGCCAGATCATGATATTTTATGAAGAAAAACAAAAGAAGCAATATATTTAGATAACATTTCACCTTTATTAGTTTTCTATTGTTGCTGGAGCAAATTACCACAAATTTAGCAGCATAAAACAACACAAATTTCTCATCCCAAGTTTTGTGTGTCAGAAGTCTGACCCAGGACTCACTAGGATCACATCAAGGTGTCATGAGGGCTACATTCTTTTCTGGGCATTCTAGGGGAGAATCTATTTATTTGTGTTTTCTAACTTTTTAGAGGCAGGGTTGGCTCATAGTCTACCTTCCTCCACCTTGAAAGCCAGAATTAATAATTGGAGTCTCAGGTTACCTTAGTCTAATTTACTTTGACCATCACATCTTTTTCTCTGATTCTTCTCCTTGCCTCTCTTTATCACTTTTGAGAACCTGGTAATTATATTGAGGACACTCAGATAATCCAGCTGATGAGCTGCTTTAATTATCTTTTGCCTTGTAATATAACATATTCTCAGACTGTTAGCATTAGGATTTGTATATCTTTTCAGGCCATTATTCTGCCTACCACCCAACAATTGGCACAGAATCTAAATGTATATAAGCATACACAAAATGCAATATGTAAAATTTAGAAATTATTTTTATAAGGAAAATGAACAAGACTTACATGTTTTCCCACAAAGAACTGCGTATCTCATTTGCTGTATTTCCTTATACACAGAAAAATAACTAAAAGTAACTAAAAGATAAGCCATCTCTCAGATCTGACAATCTCATGACAAAAAGCAATTCAGGAGAAAATGATATCTACTTCAAAAATGCAAAATACATTGCCGGGCATGGTGGCTCATGCCTGTAATCCCAGTACTTTTGGACACTGAGGCAGGCGGATCACTTGAGGTCAGGAGTTCGAGACCAGCCTGGCCAACATGGCGAAACCCCGTCTCTATTAAAAGTACAAAAATTAACTGGGCATGGTGGCACACACCTGTAATCCCAGCTACTTGGGAGGTTGAGGCAGGAGAATTGCTTGAACCCGGGAGGCAGAGGTTGCAGTGAGCCTGAGCTGAGATAGTGCCACTGCACTCCAGCCTGGGCAACAGAGACTCTGTCTCAACATATTCTGTACCTTGTATTGAAATGATTTGATATAATTGTAACATTTAATTACCGCAATCTTTTTTGTTTTCTGCTTCAACCCTAAATCCAGTTTAAGAAATCCACTAACTGATAGTTCTCATCTTTGAGGAAAGTTATTCTTGGCAATTTTTTTGCACTTTTCACATATGTAGGACCCACCCTCAGGTTAATCTCACATCAACCTGTCCATAAACTCTTGGGCCCATACCTTGTATTACAGGTAGCAATGTTCTGTGACTTGGTTTGAGCCTTCCAGTAGGAAACTCTCTGCTTTGCTTCTTCAGTGGAGATCCCTAACACTTCATAGCAAGCACTGCTTTGTCTTTGACTGAGGATGACAATGTCTACCTCAATTAAATGAAGTAATTCACTAAAAATGCTGAGGACAGAACATGTTATACAGAAAACATGTGATATGCGATGCTTATATTTAATATTCTTTTCTTCTTATTCCTCTTTGAACTCAGGGTGCACTTGTTATGTCTGGCATTTGACGCTCAACTTCGTCTGATCAACTTTATCTTGGACTGGCTCCTACCTTTTGCAGTTCTGAACTGCCTTGGTTGTTAGGGCCCTTGGGAACCCCAACTTTGGCATTCTTTTCTTGCCTCTTATCCCAGCTGGTTTATATTCCCCACCCTTTCTTCATGGGGCATGGGAGGATTCAGAACTATTTGGAGTTCAGCTGCTTCATAAACTACATAGCATTTCAATTTATTCAATTTTTTATGAATAATTTGTGGAGACAAAGGAAAGAAGGGCATTTGTATTACTTAGGGGGCTTAGGAGTGTCTGTGTTGCTGGCGGTTACATTGCATTCAGGGAGAGTCAGCTCTGCTCTGGTATGTCTGCCAGATCTGGACAAAAGATGCCTGTCATTCCCATCCAGACGAAAGAACATCAATATCAACAATAGGTGCAGATTTGGAGTTATCTGAAGCCAGGGCATTCTGTCTTTTCAGCCAAGTTTGAGGTGAACAGAGGGTGTCTACTATGCCAAACATGTGGGACACACAAGCATTCTTTACAAGTCCCATCTCCAACCTGCTGCAATCTGCCCTCAGTCTGAACTTTAGACCAGAGCTATGCAGAAGAGTTCCTGTGCAAGCTCCTGTTACACTTCTTGGCATCACCAGCCAAACACTGAGCATAGAGCAGTGGGCAATGTTCAGAGGCTTTTTCTAGGTTCCAAAGGGAAAGGTTTATGGTTAGGAGCACTTGATTCTCTCAAATCCTGATCCTGCCAATTAAAAAGAGGAGTGACCTCTGGAAAACTGCATGCCCCAGTTTTCTCCTCTGAAAAACAGAATTTTTTGGGTTGCTCCTTTTAGGATTGTTGTGAGGAATAAGTTACATAAGTCACGCAAAATACCTAGGACAGTTCCCAGCACATAGCGGGAGCCTCCTATATGGCAGCTGCCACTCCTTATTCAGTGAAAACCTTTGTGATCCTACTCGAAAGAATCCAGAGTTCCTTTGTCCAGACAAAATGGGTGGGAGTAAAGGGAGCTGCACAGTGTTTCTGGAGACCTCATTCTCTCTATGCTAGTTTCTTTCTTCAAATTACTATTTAGGCCTCAGTAGTCTTTCTTCACATGACCCCAAGAAATTATCTGAAATTCATTTGCACTATCATGAAACGATTACTAGAAACTTTAATCAGACCTCTACAAACTTTAAAGGGAAAAAATATTCTAATGGGAAATTCATGCATTCATTCATTTATCCATTCATCAAACCTGTCTTAACACCAACCCATAACCAGGCACCCTGCTAGGTACTCCCTGATATAGGAAAGATTAAGGTAAGTTCTTTTTAAGGTTCATGGGGATCTCATACCTATAACCAGAAATCTGTTTTAAGATGACTGCTACAATGACTTATTCATAAAAAAGCTTTAATTGTATAGAGACAGGAGGGCCTTCTTTTACTTCTAGGGAAAGAAAAAAAAATGATTTGAAGGGGAAAATTTATATATTCGAAGGAATATGAAATCAGATCATGTGGGTGGCCACTTACTTGCCTATGTGTTGTGCTTACGACTTCTGTTTATGTTAAGATTGACTTTGGGTCTGTTGTAGCTGGCAGGAGCACCAATACACATTATCCTCCAAATAGGTACAATCAATTGCAATGCTTTCTCAAGAATCGGGATATGTTTGAGATATAAAATGTGTTTTAAATTTGTAATTTAATAAATATTCCATAAGTGATGTCCTTGCATCTTTTGAATATAATTGTGATATTGGTATTATCATTTCCATTTTACAGATCAAGATTCTATGCAGTTAACTTTGTATCCAAGGATCTATAGCCAAGAAATTTGGAGCTCAGTTTCAAACGCAAGTATTCTGGGTCCAAATTTTCTGCCTTTTCCCTTAAAACAACTGAATTTTATTTTATTGGGAAACAGAAATACAGAATTCAAGAGTTATTAGATATTATAAAATCTAACACTCTAAGTTAACATACAAGGAGACATAGCGTTTCAATGACAAATGTCATACATAAAACTGCTTCATATCAGAGGCAGAAAGAGAGCTTGCTTTTCCTGTAGTTTCTGTAACACAGAGCTGTCCAGCTCATTCTATGTATGAAATTGATATATAATCAAGACAGATTTCCCATCCCATAAATTTTATGCCACTTGATTGTGTCTTTGTTATTTGTTAGCAGCAGTTTATGTGAGAGAATATTTTGGAGCCAATTCAAATCTGCCATTAATTATTTCACTGAATATTAAGAAAATTGAGATTATAGTATTTAGCTAGGAGATATGAACATGTTTTTTTCTCTTGTTGTCTAAATCATAAATACCCTCATTTAATCATCTTCATTTAAAAGGGGGATTTGGACTAGAAACTATAATTGGAAGCCTGTGGCCCAGGAGAGCTTAGCCTATTTATTAAAAGTATCACTGCGTATTCAGAGTTATAAAACTGAGTTCTAAGGAGGCCTAATATTCTGCAGCTGGGAGTGGAAGGGCAAAAGGTGAATTGTATTTTTTAAGCCTGTCACTTTGAAAACTCCCTGCTTCAAAACTCAATGCATTTCCAGGATTGTCGACTTCACAGCAGCAGTGAAGCGGGAGATGCAAAGGCATCTTTGGAAGCAGCTACATGTAGAAGTGCTTAATATCTCCCCAGGCTTGTGAGAACTTGTTTATCTGGCAGGTATTTCCAAGCACTCTCTGTTCTTTGGACAATGGAGTTGGCAATCTGGAGACTGTAACTTCATAATAGAGAGGCTTTAGGGAGAGAAGCTTCCATTTAAATTCATTTAAATGGATAAGTATTAGATAACTTCCCTGAAAAAATGTTAACATAGTTATTAAATATATTCAGGTTCCATTCTGATCTCATTCTCTGAACAATTGAACCCCTTTTCACTGGGCATTATGCTGCAATTTTATGGTAGGTTAAATGATACCAAGTGCATTGAAGTTATTCTTAAAATGCCTCTCAGTATTTCTTATATAGTACTGAATAGTTCATCGATGAATAAAATCTCTATTTTCCAGCCATTTTTGAAATAGCACATGGCACATAACTGAAAAAGCCCACGTGGCTAACCTATATTCTGGGTACCATTACATCACAATTGAATTCTGTTGTGATTTTAGTCAAAGCCCTTAACTTCATAAATATATCACAAAAAGCCTGTATCAAGGCCATTGGTCATTGCTGCTTGCAAGAAATAGAGACACATGTGAAGTAGGAAAAAAAGGCTTGTTTAGTGACAATAGAGAAGACAATAACAATACAAAATTATTTTAGATTTAGCTGGGCTTCATGGAGATTGATTCAATTGAGGATTTAAAGGTCTGAAAATGAAATCATTTATGAATTAAGATGCTTATAACCACACAGAAATTATATGCCCAAGTACTATGGCTAGAATAAATAAGGATATTTTTTATCTAACATACCAAAAAATTTAATGATACTTCAGTTGTATATATGTTAATTCAAAACTTAACACAATCACCAGAGACCAAGTCTTTTTTCCTGTTTCAGTCTACTATCTTCAATGTGCTGTCTGTGGTCCTTTGGTTTATCACCTCCTGGTTACAAGATGGTTGCTGTAGCGCCATAACACTATGTCTTTACTTAGCACCATCCAAGGGTAAAAAGTGCATTTTTTTTCTTGTCTCTCTTTTTAACCAGAAGGGAACCATTCCCAGAAGTCCTCCGTAGGTCATAAACCCACTCTTTAGCTATAAAGGAAGCTGAAGAAATATGTATCTGGCATCATTAGCCTATATAATAAGAAATTCCTCTGCCAGAATGGGGAAATATTTGGGAGATATATACTTGGAAAATCACGAGCCAAGTCAGCCATTGCTTTTCCCTTTCTCAGAGCCCAGATTGATATTATCTGTTGTTCTTTCTGTTTCCACTAACTTTTGATCAGTTTGTTGTGCTTACTGAGCCGGTGGCTGTAAAATGTGTATCTGCCGTAGATCCTTCATGAACTACCCAGACTTAACATTTGTCTCATTAAAATTGGTTGAGGAGGGAGTAAAGGCTGGTGTCACATAGTCCACTTTGAATTCAGCAGGAGTTGTGGATGCTAAACATGTCTAGAATTCTATGAATGTATTTTCCCAAGACACACACAGATGCACTTTCTCTTCTAGTTTGCTGGTGTTTTTATAGTATATGATTCTGGTTCTCAACCACTTCATTTGCTTATTTATTAAATTCAGCCTCAGTCAAAATAACCCTTATCCTACTAACCAAATATCCTTTTTTTCTAGATATAAATACCTTTAAATTTATAACTAAATAATGAATATGAGTGTACTTTAAAGTTAAAAAAAGCTACAATTGTAAATTATTTTAATTGCAAAATTAAAATACCTAATTCAATCATCCTAAAAATATTCTACAATAAAATACAAACTCAAATATATATTTTTATAATATATGGTATGGTAACACAAAATATAGAAGATATGCTGCTTCTGCATTGTTTAAAATATAGAGGTTAGTTATTACTGAGCAAGCACCAATGTCTATTATATTTATTGGTCATCGTCTAATAATTCAGCCTGATCTGCATTGGTAATATACTAAAAAAGTAACCACAGTAATGGACTTCTTATATTGCATACTTAGAGTTGTATTTCAAGACACTAGGGAGAAATATATTAATTTATTCCTGTTTGAAGTCTCTGAATACCTGTGTGATTCATTGTTAAATTTAAATAGCTTCACTCCGATATGGTTGTCATCAGCTACACCTCACTTTTGTAGAAACCATGACCCCTCTAATAACAATTCTTAGAGAATATAATCGTGGAAATGTGAAATTAAAATTCTGAAATCTATTAAAATCTGTTCTTAGATGAAGTCAGTAAACACCTCAATATCTAGAACTGTGTCCTAACTATTTGTACCTCCAGAACCTAGCACATTACATTCAATTTTTATTGTTGAAATGAACCAAAACAGTCTATGATTTATACATTAAATCTGCAACTAAGGACCTCTGGCATGATCCAGTGCTAGTCTGTGTTTCGGGTACAAATAGTAAAATAATGTTTCTGCTCTCAATGATCTTTCAACTTGGGTGAAATGATGCATTATAGAAAAATAAAAATATGGCAAACATATTAAGGCTGTCTGTGAGAAGAACCAAATTTGTGACACATAAACACTAAGAATTGAAGATAAATTATTTCTTGTTTTCTGAAGGACCTGGACAGATATAAGAATTCAGTTTGTCTCTTTTCTAGGCCAAAGGAAATTGTAGTGGGAAATTCCAAGGGTAGCAGAGTTATGCAAAGTCACAGAAAAAAGAAATAATAGCAGAAGTAGGTATTATAATTTTGAACTTCCCTTTTATTCCTATATCTATCTTCTATCTATCCATGCATCTATTCTTAGTTATCATCCTTTATATCTAACTATGATCTATGTATCTGTCAACTTTATCTGCTATCTATCAGTTTATCTTCCTATTCTTTAATTATTTATTATTGACTATTTGGTGATTTAATGACTATAATAAGCCTTGACACCAGAAAAATACACATATTTGCTTATACAAAACTTGCTTTGCTACAGAGTCAAAAACAACTCATTTCTACTTGTGAATGTACATTAGGTTATTCCCCCAAGTAGAGTAACTTGGGTAGAATCACATTTTCATTGGAGCTATTGGTTCTAATAGATTTTCATATGTAACTTAAAAGCAGAAGATAATAAATGAAGAGGAGATAATAGACTCTAATAAAAATTAACCCACTCAAAGCCTGAGATTTCTTTAATTTCTGTGGTTTAAAGAAATCCAAATTGTATTTTATATATATATATATATATCACATATATCTATTTACTGCAACATAAAATCACATTGCGAATTATTTTCCATCTAAAACTCATATTTATCTTACAGTTTTACATGTCATCTTCATAATAATGGATATCACCCCCTGCCTGCTAATCCTCTGGGTGTGAGATTATATTGAGAACTACTGAATAAGAGACCAGTTCAAATAATGTTAAAATTATCCTCCTTAGCCTGAATGATGGAATCCTGCATGATCTGACCCTTCTATAGTTGTATCTCTTACTCATCCCTTCCTAGCATTAAAATACCTAGTCCAGTCTCAAACTCCCTCCAGAACTCTGTCTGTTCTCTTCTCCATGTGTTTGTACACATGATAGTCCACTGCCCACATGTACTCACTCCCTTCACTGCACCATCTCTTATTCATCCTTTCAGACTATGTCAATGAGTCTTCTGGAAGCCTTTTCTCAACCTCTGGGTCTACCACTGACATTATATTTATTTATTACACATTAGTCATCTCTTTATGAGTCTGTGTCTTCTTCTAGCTCCATAATCCATCTTCATTGTCTCTCATGTGTCCCAGGAGAAGGCCTGGAATATAATAGATTCTCAGTTAATACTGGTTGAAGTAAACTTATTTGAGCACAGTAGAATTAACTTGACAATCACTGATGACAGCACTGGTAAAAGTAACTTTTTTGATGTATTCTGGCATTGAGGAGAGGAGTACATACATGTGGGTAGAGGTCAGGCACACCAACTAGGAAGCTACCACTTATGGTTCAGGAATGGGTTAATATCAGCCAGCACTAACGCGGGAATAGGTGGGGTGAAACAGAAGAAGCAAATTTAAGAGGCAAGCCTTGGAAAATGAGACAGAGGCAAAACAAGGAGCCAAAGTTATCCCTGAAGTTTCCAGGCTGAATGATGGTGAATGAAACTGGACCAGTCTTTAGTTGTGTTAAAAGGACCTCCTAGATTTGTCTCCCTGAAGGGAGAGGGTACATGTATAGGCTGCTGCAGGGGCAGTGGTAGTGGACAGAAGTCATTTCGAAAGGGGAAGATGGAAGCAAAGCTTAGAAACCAGCTACAAAGAAACCAGAGAGCTTTAATATTAGTGGACAAAATGAAGGCCGCTTGCTGAAACCAAGAGCCTTCTACATCAGAGAGAGTCAGGTTGAAGATGAACCTTATAGTGGCAGCAGGAGGGAAAGGAAGCTTGTCATCCTCCTGGCGGATGCTCCATTAGGCATCCCAAGACAGCCATTAACAACCAGTGAAGTTGAGTCTAAGCCAGCCCAGGGTGGAACCCACAACGGTCTCTCATCACACCCACACTCCCAAGGCACAGCTTCACAAGCAGCATTATTTCCAAGTTCAAAAGTCCTATTATTGCCACTTTAAAAACTGCTCTAACATCTATAAAATTCCAATATTAATTTCTCTTTGTTTCAATGCCAATTTTGTTTAAGACCAATTTAGTTGTATACTCATTATTATCGCCTGTGTTCTGTTTCCATGCCGTGATCTCAGTCCACTCCAGTTGACAAGGAAATCACCCAACTAGCTTTACTATTTGAATTGAGCCAGTTTAACCTCCAAAATAATTTCCTGTATGGACAGAAATTTTCTTAACTGGAAACTAAATTGAATGAGGCAAGAACCTGCTATCTCCCGTGGGCTTCTTCCAAATGGCAACTTTTGCCTATTATACCATAGGACGTCAGCCTCTGCTAACAATCTCCTGTGGGCCCCTCTCTTATCTGTGTCCTGATTGTGTCTTCTTCCTTCATGGACTTATTTAAATGAGTACTCTCAGCTGGGGTTTTTCCTCAGGAAGCCTGTGCCAGAGCTGGCCTAGAGGTGAGGTTGGGCAGTCCCTAGATATGTGGAGTGATAGAAACACAGCCATAAGTACTTCCTGAAAAACACATTTATTCATTTATTCCTTTGTTCATTTTCTTATTCGTTCATACATGTATTCATTCTCTAATTATGCATTCCTCCTTTATAGTTAATATTTCCTGGGTATTACTTAAGTCCCATCCATTGCATTCACAATGTTTGGTAGATCTGAAGGATAGTCAGGAGTGGAATAAGAGAAAAATATAAGGAATATGGGAATAAAGGAAACAGACAAAGTGGTACTCAAGCTGTGGTCTATCAAAGACAACATGCATTTTAAAGTTTCACATTCCTGGGTTCACTTTGCATCAACTGATTCAGAACACTAAGATGAAGACCCAGGAATATTTATTTTACATCCACGGCCAAATTTTCTTACACACGTTAACACGTGTGAACCCCTGCAGTATAGAAAGAAAGAGGATAAGGACAAATTTGGAAATCAAAGATGAGCTTAGAAATAATTTGTTAAATAATGCTGAATCTTTAAAAATATATATTTGTTTAAGTGCTTAAGGCTGAGAACAAACATGAAGATATTACACTTTTGTAAAAATACAGACCAAGATTGGATCCTCTTATTTTATATATGACGTGAGGTGACTTGTTTAATGCCATAGAACTTTGATTTCTCATAATTTTGTTTCCAAACAAGAGTAAGATAATTATAGGGAATTTATTTTACATCTTATATAGAGAAAAACTACCAAATACAAAAGAGTATATTTAATTATGGGGGGGAACATCTGCCCATAAATAATATAAATGTATACATTAACATCTTTTTTGGAATTTTTGCCTGAATTTCCAGGAATCTAGATTTTCTCTTTTTATTAAATTTAAATTTAAATTAATTAAATTAAATTTAATTTTTATTTAAATATAGGTTTTATTTTTATTCTTTTTATAGTCACACAAGTGGATATACCTCTGAAATTACTTTTTTAGAATTTATTTTATTTTAAGTTCAGTGGTACATGTGTTGAAGTGAACTTAGTTTAAGCTTGTTGATTTACTTAGAAACAAAACAAAACAAAAACACTGATTGAGCACTACTGTAGGTCCCGAAGATACAGTGGTGGGTGAATCATGGTCTCTGCATTTGAAAAGCTGAAAAATGAATAGGCAAATAAAACATAATTGGTAAATAATGTGATGGGATAACATGGGGCCTCATGAGGAGATGGAGTTAGCCAAGGGAGCCTTCTTGGAGAAGATGATGGCTAAGCCAGGGTTTGAGAAACTAGTCGATATTAACCAGGAACATTGAGTAAATGTGTGTCCAATGTGAAGGAAAGTCAATGGGAGTGTGAAGTAGAATATCTCCACAATATTCCATCTTTGTTCACTTCTGTCTATGCAGCTCACCTGCTTTCTTCCCCCACTTTGTAGACTGATCCAAAATCAAAATAAAAACAAAAGCAATGACTAAACAATCACAAAATGAATTTGCTTAGGCCCCAAACACCCTTATTTTGAAAGCTGCCGTGATTTTAAAGCCTCTGTCCTCAGTTCTATCTAATTCTCTGAGCCTTGCCTAGACTCTCAGTATCTGTGTGGGCCACCTGGGTGATTGCTATTTCTGGGTCCTCTCTGACACCTTGTCTGTCTCTGTTTTCTGTTTTATTCTTGGGTCCTGCCTGCAGTCATGCTTCGGTTTTACCTTCTGAATTCTGCTTTACCATAGTGGTTTACATGTGACATCATTCAAAATCTGGCTCTTTCTGGGTTAGCAATGAACCGTATATATATATATATATATATATTTTTTTTTTTTTCCTGAGGCACGTTGTTGGATGACTTCACTCATATTTGTTCTACTTCAAGCCAGTCTGTACCAGGCTTCATCTGATTACTTTATTCTACAACTGAGCCAAATACATAATTAAGTGGGTGTAACCAATGAGTTGCTAAGACTCCAGGAATTGACATTTCTTTGTTTGGGGAAATGAGAAAAAAAAATGCACTATTAAAACATAATGCATGGGATTAACAACACATAAAATCGTCCTTTAAATCTGCTTTCTCATCTCAGAAATAAAATCAAACACGTAAAAATGGCTGCCTCAGCTTCTTGAATGATGTTAGATATTAAGAAAGAAAAAAAGTAAGGATATGTTCATTTCTAATTGTAAGTGTCAATTTCAATCAATTGAACTATTTATTAGGGACAATGTTCCGTCCTGGTCCTTTGCCTTTAACTCAAGCACCCCACTGCTTTCTCAAAGTAAAAATCCTATTCTGCCAAAGTGAATATTTGTTTTGGAAGTTGAGGGCCAATATCCTCACTCTTCTTCTGGTAAGCGCTTTTCTCGATTCCCACTTTCTGACTCTGGGGCATGGATGAGCTTACCTTATTTTCATTTTTAGTGGCTGGCTCATGAATGAATGTACGATCCAATTTTGGGTAATGAGTGTCAGACCTAGGACTTGTATTTGAATTTTTAAGAACAAATCCCTTCTTTGTTACAAACTTGGAGTTGGGGTCAAGCATGTTGTTGGCATTCATTTTACCTGAGAATAAACAGGGCCAACTAAGTGAAAAACAGGTGAGAGGTGAGAGATACGGTGTCCTGAAAATTTCCTTGAGCCTGTGAATCTAGCCATTCTTTGAAGGCAAAGCTTCCCTAGTTTTTAAGAGTATAAAACGCTGATTCTGGTTCATGTTTACGTTATGGTTTTTGAGGCTGTTTGATTAAGATCATTTAGATCTTTGGAAAATGAAACTAAAAGAGTTTTGCTTAATGTACTTGAGAAAATTTACTCAATCCTATTTTCTCCCGATGCTTTCCCAAATCTTTTACATTGATCTTAATCCGCAGTCCCATTTCCTTGTGTTGATGAATGTGGATTGTCTGTCAGAGCACCCTATGTAGTTTATTTTACAGGATAGCTACTTTTGCATAAGTGTGTCTTCCCCAGTACATTCTTACAACTTGGAGGATAAGGACTACACACATTCATCTACCCATACACACAGTGAAACACATGTGTAGCTTAAATAAAACAGACATTCTCCAAGGATTTCTCCAATTATAATAATTGATTGGGCTTCAAAAACTCAAGGTTGAATTTCAGCTTCTAACTTGATGAGAATGGCTGTCTTAATTCTGTCATTTTTTGTTAATTTTACTTCCAGGAAGTCAGGGCTGTGATTTGAGGCTTTTTTCTCTAAGCTTCTGTGATGGAGATGAATTTATTAAAGTGGGGCCATAATGTCTTTTTGAGCAACATTAAAACTGAGTCATCAGAATTAGGAAGTATCAGAAGTCAAGATCAATTTTCAAGAACAGGAGCATAAAATTCGAACTCAATCTGTGTTAACATTAAGAGATTTAGAAGCTCATTCAGACTGATAACTAACGAATAATATAGCTTTCATTTGTTGGAGACTTTATGTGAGCCAGCCAGTTATACATGTTATTTATAATCCCCACAGTAACACTGCAAGGTAGTTATCAACTCTATTTTGCAGTTGAGGAAATTGAGGCTAAGAAATATGCCATTTAACTTTTGCTGCATAACAAACTACCCCAAAAGCTAATGGTTTAAAACAATATGCATCTTTTGTGTCTCAGCATTTTGAGGTCCCAGTGAGTAGCTCTTCTGGTCTGGATTAGTTCAGCTATCTGCAGTCTGCTAACATATCTGGTGCTAGATGATCTACAATGACTTTACCCACTTAGTAAATCTAGTTGATGGTAGGTTTTGTTCAGGTACCCTCAACTCTCCTCCATGAGACTGGTGTGAAAAGCTGCCTTGAGCTCAATCATGTCATGGACTCAAGTTTTCAAGCACAGCAAGAGAGGAAAAGCCCCAGTAATTGAGCATTTTTTCAAATATATGCTTGTGTTAAATTTTCTAATTTAAAAATTTTCCATTTTAAAATTTCTAACTTCTAGTTGACCAAACAATTCAGATGACCATTCCCAGATTTGAGAAGTAGAGAAATAGAGTCATGTCAAGAGAGGAGGAATGGCTCAGTTGCAATTCAAAGGGGTGTGCATATGATGACCAGAAGAATTACTGTGATTAATTTAAAAAAAAAATGAATTCTACCAAAAAAAAAGTAACTCAACTAATGATACAGAGCTCATACTAAAGCACAAAAGAGCTTGACTTAAAAACATGATAGTTAGTATTCTATATTTTATGAGACTGACTCACACACACCAGAAAAAAAAAACACACAAACAAACAAAAAGAAACCAAAAAAGCACCTAGCTAAGGGCACAGTTGTAATTCATCCTACAGAGTGCATTTTTTTTATATTTTCTGTTCCCAGCAGGGCTTCTTCTTTCACCACACCAGTGTTTGTGTCTCCCTGGATCAAATGAGAATGTCTATGTCTAGATCACTTGTTGGAGAAATCGTCTTTAATGAATATCTCATCTGTAGTGGTATTCAGTAGCAAAAGTCACATGTAAGAATGGCCCAAACTCAAGTTTAAGACAATAGGGAGATAAAGCGTCTGTGGCAATATGAAGCATCTGCCCCATCTAAAAGTATCCAAATTAGGGAAAAAAAGCACAACACTCTATTGCCCAAAGTAAATCTGTCTCGGAGCCAGAAATGGCCGACAACTACCTGTTTGTGGTCTCTGCCATATAAACACCTACCTACTCGTACCTGGAATTAGCAACATTCCAACAAAAACTGTCCCCCCAGAGTCCTGTCCTTCTACAACTGAGACATGGAGAAGTGGGAATCTTTTCAAAAGAAACCCCGATGGGCTTTTTGGTAATGGTGAGATAACCAGCATATCTGCATCTTCACAGGGTCCTGTCATTTGATGCATCCAGCAGAGGGATTGTCTGTTCAGGAAGTCACATAGACACTGAGGCTGAGTGAGACATCATTCTCCACCTGAGATGTGGGTTCATGTGTCATGAAAACTGCCAGGTAGAGGAAATATACCCCTAGATTCACACACACAAAAGGCCTGGAGGTTCAGTTTGTCAGCCGTCAAAGGGCAATGGAAAGCTGTGTGCTTTTTCTCTAAAACTGTGAGAAAACCAAGAATTTAATACCTCCGTTCCAACTTCAAACCAATCAAACATTGGCAGTTTGGGATTGTTTTATTTTGAGGCTTTAGCTTATCTCCGTGGGATAAAAGCCTTTCCAAACTGGCTTTAACTAAAAATGTCATCAATCCCAGCTGCTCACTGGTTAGCAAAAAGAGTGGTAACAGAAGGTCCCTTTTGATAGTCCCCTTCCATAATATCATTATCCAAATTTGCATGGCAAAGATGTGGGAGCTATTTATATGTTGATTATTACAGTGCTGCAGTTTATATTTTTCCCAGCACAGTTGAAAATTATATTTAGAAAGGCTGACTTCATCTTTAAATATATATTATAGCTCTCATTTGATGGAGATGAGATGTTGAAATACATGCCACCTACTCAACGTCTCAGAAAAATGGCATAGATATTTCACACATGGTTATATATAAACGTGTACACTGGCATGGAACTGAACTGGCAGCTATAAGACTTTGAAGGAGTTTTGTGGGCTCTGGTTTTTGCCTTCTCAGTTTGCTCTTTATTTAAAAAGGAGGGTGGGCACTGTGATTTGGTTGTAAGAACAGGGCTTCATAGCCAGAAAGTATGGGTTCTGAATTCTAGCTCTGCTAGAATAGTAGAATAGTAGCTGTGTGATTCTGAAAAAGATACTTATCCACTGTAAACATCTATATTTCTCAAGTATAAGATGTCACTGAGTGCTCACTTGAGAGATATTAGAAGTAAATTGTGCAGCACAGTTAACAGTTAATGAAAAAGAATGGTTAGCATTATGAAACATTTTCCCAACAATGGAATGCATGCTTTACATAAATTGTGATGGTTAATTTTGTGTGTCAACTTGATTGGACCATGGGGTGCAAAGATATTTGATCAAACAGTATTCTTGGGTGGCTTTGGATGAGATTAATATCAAAATCAGTAGAATGAGGAAAGAAGATTGCCCTCCCTAATGTAGGTAGGCCTCACCCAATCAGTTGAAGGTCTAAATTGAACAAAGTAGTTGACCCTCTCCTGAGTAAGGTAACTTTTCCTTCTTGGCTGCCTTTGAAATAGAAACATCTGCATTTTTTTCTTGTCTTTGGACTGAACGTTTGCTCTTCTTGGGTTTTATCAGCTTTTGAATAGGAATCATACCATCAGTTCTTCTAGTTCTCAGGGCTTCAGGCTACACCTGGGACTAAATCATGCACTCTCCCAGAACTCCACTTGCAGACTCACCCTGCAGTTCTTGAGACTTGCCAGTCTTCATAATCATGTGAGCCAATTCTTTATAATAAATCTTTCTCTCTCTCTCTCCCCATACATATAGATAGATAGATATAAAGATATAGATAGATAGATTAGATAGATAGATATGTGTCTGTGTGTGTATATATATGTATATGTAGGTATAAATGTACAGTATATATATCATATGTTTCTTATTCTGTTTCTTTGCAGAACTCTGAAAAATACACAGATTATTCACTTAAGTATTTTGTTTCCTAGGATAATTTATTAAGATAGAAGATATTGCTCTAAGTTTCCCTATCCTTATCCTGTTTAAGAGATGACGAAATTGAGGCCTCCAGAAGCAAAATAATATGTTCTAAGGATATATAGGCATGACCTGGTGGAGGCAGAATTTGAAACTTGGAAACCCGATGTTATATTTTACCCATTTAACTACTTCCTTAACTTGTCTAGAGGTTAGACAAAGTTAGCTGCTGTCCCAACCCTGAGAAGATTCTGGAAGCCTGAACTCACAGTGAATCACAACCAAGGGCACTGTAAGATAACAGCCCACCTCAGGACAATGTGTAAGGAGCATCTGACTGTAGTGTGGTGGGGTGCAGAGCAAGCGATAAAACCTGCAGGCATAACTCCGTGGAGTGTAGTTGGAACTGGGTAATATTTTGATTTCTCTAGCCCATCAATCTCCACCCATCTATCTTGAACCTGGAATCTGACTGCTGACTCAGGTTAGATTTGTGTTTGCAATTCTGTGGCACATCTGAGAGACCATGGCCCAGGAGGGATATTCATAACTCAAATTTAATCAAATTTGTTTTAATTCTATAAGAAAGCAAATTTAAAATAGCATTTTCTTTCTTAGCTTTTAAGTGTCAGAGTCCACAATTTCACCAACAGGGCTTCATAGTTTAGAGTGATTAAAAATTAAATTTTTGATATATATGCCAGCTTTCATTATTCAATGAGAAAAGCTAGATATTAAAGATAAATGTACCTCTTGAAGGATTATAGTACCATCATATTTAATAATGTGAGGCCCCTAAATGACATTTAGGTGTTGTATTTTGCCAAACTTGACTATTATAAAAAATTCTTTGAAAATCATTTACCCCACAAATGGAAATAAAAATACAGCTGCAAGTGCTAAGAGTAGTGAGATGACATTTTATTTTTTATAAACTAGTTGGCAAAAAATCAAGTTTTATAAGCACATATGCCTGTCCTGAGCTTTTAAGGAGTCAGTTTTATGTTTCATGCCATTCTCTCTTCTTGCCTAGTTAGCAATTTTCAGTTTGAGCCAAGATCAGTTTTTACATGAAGCTCAGAGGTAAAACATTTTATATAACATTTGCATAGACATAATTGTTTCTACACGTTTCTTCCCCACTACCCCCCATGGACTGCATATCATTGTCAAAGTGATTGGTTTGAAACCTCACTCTCAATGTGTCATGCCTTGGTTCAAGAAAAAGGCTCTATTTCATTAAAACAAAATGTTTCATGCTGGCATCCATGGTCCTATATAATCTTTTGTAGTTATAATGAGAATAATTTCCTTTTTTTATAAAAGAGGTTTTTTTAAATCTTTTTTTTTCCCTCTTTCTTTTTGACTTCTATGAAACCTCAAGGAGAGGTTTGAAGCAGACCATAAATAATAATTGCCTTGGCCTCTGTAGTTCAGAAACAATTGACAATTAAGATATGAGAGCCATGAAGATTCAGATCAAAGACTCAACATCATTAATATTAAGGTCAATATGAGAACAACATGGCTTGCAATGTCCGTCATGTAGGCCCTTCAAAGATCCTCTCTCCTTTACTCTAATTTGTCCCCACAAACGGTGGAGAATCCCTTGTAGGGGCAGTTCTTATTCCTGGTTAGCTCACCACACCAGCAAGAACAGACAAGAATTTGCCCTCTCAGCAAGAAGCTGACTTGAAAAACTGGGAGAATAGGCTGATTCAATATGTCCTTCCTTCTCTCACTCTCCAGTGCAAGAAATCCAGATCAAGCAGGCATAAGTAGAAAGAAGATGGGTATATTTCTCATTAGAGCTCTGTATTAATTTTCCATTGCTGCATTACAAATTACCACAAACTTAGGAATATTTAAACCCCTATGAGCTGGCACTTCTATAAGTCAGAAGATTAGAAACAGCATAGCAAAGTTTGCTACTCAGAGTAACAGGCTAGAGTCAAGACTTGGTGCTCATCTGGCACCTTTGTCCCCCTTGTGCACTTTATTTTTTTCTTTTTTTTGATACAGAGTTTCACTCTTGTTGCCCAGGCGTGCAGTGGCATGATCTCGGCTCACTGCAACCTCCACCTCCCAGGTTCAAGCAATTATTCTGCCTCAGCTTCCTGAGTAGATGGAATTACAGGCACCTGCCACCATGCCCAGCTAATTTTTTTGTATTTTAGCAGAGACGGGGGTTTCACCATGTTGGCCAGTCTGGTCTCAAACTCCTGACCTCAGGTGATCCACCCACCTCGGCCTCCCAAAGTGCTGGGATTACAGGTGTGAGCCACCAGGCCCTGTCCCCTTGTTCACTTGCAAGCTCATTGTTGGTGTTGGAAGAATTTAGTTGCTGTAATTGTTGGACTGAGATCACTGATTTCTTGTTGGCTGCTACACAGGGGCTACTCTCAGTTACAGGAGGCCACACTCACTCCTTGTCCCATGACCCCCCTTACTTTCAAGTTAGCAACAATACATCAAATGTGTCTTGTGCTTCAAATCTCTAATTTCTGTCTCTGACCTCTACACCCAGATTTTTTTTAATTGGCTTTTTACATAAGAACTGTTTTAAATTTATAGTATCATTGTGAATACAGAATAACCTGGTTCCCAATTATTGATATCTTTCATTAGTATGGGATGTTTGTCACAAATAAAGAACCAATGCTGACATATTATTAACTAAACTCCCTATTTAACCAGAACTCTCGTTTTTTTTTTTTTTTTTCTAAGGTATTTTTTTTCTGTTACAGAGTTCATCCATTATGCCACACTGTATTTAGTAAGCATGGATTTTAGTCCTCTTGGTCATAACAATTTCTTAGATTTGCCTACTTTTGATGACCTTGACAGTTTTGAGAACTACTAATTGGGTATTTTGTAGAATGTCCCACAATTGAGGCTTGTCTAATGTTTTTATCATGATGAGACTGGTGCAATGTGTTTATAGATGGAAGACCACAAGTAAGAAGCAATCCTTAACACATTTTATCAAGTATACTTACTATCAACGTGACTTATTACCATTGATGTTAAACTTGGCCATTTGGCTTGAGGTAGTGTTTATTTGTACTTACTTTTTCATTCTCCCATTTCACTACTATATTATTGAAAAGTAAGTTAGAAAATATGGTCCACATGTAGAGATGGAAAGCTAGACTTTACCTCTTTCGTGGTAGAGTATGTACATAAACTATTGAAATTCTTATGCATGGAATATTTGTCTCTTCTCTCATTTATTTACTCAGTCATTCATTTATATTTTAGGGACTCATGGATATTTAGTTAACACTTTGGGTTATGGTACAATATTTATTTATCTATTTCATATATCAAATTATTTCAGCTTTAGCCACTGGGAGCTCCTTCAGTTGGTCCCTGTGTGTGTATATATATGTATATGTAGGTATAAATGTACAGTATATATATCATATGTTTCTTATTTGTTCTGTTTCTTTGGAGAACCCCAGTCATCCCATCATCATGATTTTTTTTAGCACTTCCTTACTTTCTGACACTACAACTTGCTCCAGGCTCACTGTTTATTTCCTACCCATGTTAGCACTAGCTAGGACTTCCAGTATATTGTTGAATAGGGGTGGTAAAAAAGGACATCCTTGCCTGGTTCCTGATATTAAGGGGAAAACATTTAGTTTATCATCATTAAGTATGATGTTACTTGTAGATTTACTTGTAGATTTTCATAGATATTCTTTATCAAGTAGAGGATGTTCATCTCTGTTATGAGCTAAACTTTGTCCCTGCTAAGCAAATGTACACATTGAAGCCCTGACCTTCAGTACCTCAGAATGTGACTATATTTGGAAGTTGAGCCTTTATAGAGGTAATTACGTTAAAATGAGTTCATTCAAATGATTTCTAATCCTATCTCACTAGTATGCTTATAAAAATAAAATTTGGTAACACAAGAGACACCAAAGGTGCACATGCACAGAGAAAAGACCATATGAAGATACAGTGAAAAAGTGACCATTTGCAAACTAAGGAGAGAGGCTTTAGAAGAACCAATTCTGGCCGGGTGTGGTGGCTCACGCCTGTAATCCCAGCACTTTTGGAGACCGAGGCAGGTGGATCACGAGGTCAGGAGATCAAGACCATCCTAGCTAACACAGTGAAACCCCGTCTCTACTGAAAATACAAAAAATTAGCCAGGCATGGTGGTGGGCACCTGTAGTCCTAGCTACTCGGGAGGCTGAGGCAGGAGAATGGCATGAACCCGGGAGGCAGAGCTTGCAGTGAGAGGAGATCAGGCCACTGCACTCCAGCCTGGGCGACAGAGCGAGACTCCGTCTCAAAAAACAAAAACAACAACAAAAGAAACCAATTCTGCTGACACCTTGATTTTGGATTTCCAACATCAAACAGAAATGAAGAACATATTATTAAACACTGTAGAAAAGGTGATATTTATTATAAAGTAGCAGATAACTGGGGTGAATTGTGTTCTAGTATTTTTTCAGAGGATAGAACTTGCGAGTGATGACCCTGGATATTTAACTGAACCTGTTTCTAAGCAAAGTGTTGAAAATGCAGCCTGGCATCTCCTTGCCTCTTCTCATAAAGTGCAAAAGGGTAGACAGAAATGGAAGAAGTCATTGTTTAGCAAAAAAGGAACTAGAACTTGAAGATCTGGAAATTTTTCAGCCTATCCATATTTCAAAAGATGAGAAAGTATTTTCTGGAGAGCACATGAGGAGTGTATCTAGAAAATCATGTGATAATATATCAAGGTGTGATTTATGTATCTAATCAGCCATCTCAACAGAAGCCAAGAATAGTGATTTGAGTGTTACCATCAGAAACACTTTCAGCTTAGACTAACAGGATCAGGAATGGACAAAAGTGAAGAATGGTTTTCAGACTCTGTGATTTTACATTATAGAAAAATAGAATTAATTGGTTTTGAATATGTGTTATCCTTCAAGAAAGTGGAAGAATGGCCATGAATATAATTCTCACATTGGCAAGGCTGATACTCTTACCACAGGTCTGATGGATGAGGCTGTCTCCTCCTCAGTTTCAGACAGTGGTACTACCTTTTGGATGTTCTTAGAAAAGTGGGCCAGGCTGCTGCTTCAACAGGGTCCCAGTAGTAGGGTAGCCACCCAGGGCCTTAAGGATTAGTCTCCTGCCTTGGGCCTCAAGGGCAGCACTGCTGCCTCAGTGTACCTGGAAGGAGAGATTTTAGGCCTCCAGAAATAATACTCTGGCTCAGTGTTTGTGCCCTGCATCCAGTGGAGTATTGTTCCTGGAGGTGTAAAACCTGAAAATCTGAAATTTGCTCTGCTAGGTTTTGGGATTGCTTGTGACCCATTACTGCCTTCTTCTTTTTGGTTTCTCCCTTGCATTAGTTTGTTTTCATGCTGCTGATAAAGACATGCCCAAGACTGGGTAATTTATAAAGTAAAAGAGGTTTAATGGACTCACAGTTTCACGTGGTTGGAGAGGTCTCACAATCATGGTGGAAGGTGAAAGGTACATCTTACATGGTGGCAGACAAAAGCAAATGAGAGCCAAGGAAAAGAGGAAACCCCTTATAAAACCATCAGCTCTTGTGAGACTCATTCACTACCATGAGAACAGTATGGGGAAACCACCACCATGATTCAATTATCTCCCACAGGGTCCCTCCCACAGCACATAGGAATTATGAGCTTTACAATTCAAGATGAGATTTTGGTGGGATCACAGCCACACCATATTATCCTTTTTGGGAAGGGGCATGTTTATCCTATACCTGTCTCACCATTGTATTTTGGGAGCACATAAATTGTCTTGTTTCACAGCTGGAGAGGAATTTTGTCTCATAAGTTTTACCTCAAATCTCACCCACACTTGAGTTAGATGGTATTTAGATAAAATTTAGAATTTAGAGTTGGTGCTGAAATTTATTAATACTTTTAGGCTGTCAGGATATATTGAATGTATTTTTTTTTTTTACATCAGAAGGACATGAATTTGGAGGGTACAGAATGTTATAAACTAAACCATGCTCCCTAAAATTGTTATGTTGAAGTCCCAACCCCCAGTACTCACAATGTAATCATATTTGGAGACAAATTATTTAAACAGGTGATTAAGTTAAAGGTCTGTTAGTGTAGGCCCCTAGTCCAATATAACTGGTGTCATTTTAAAAAGAGAAAGAGCCACCATAGATGCGCATGCATGAAGAAAAGGTCTTGTGAAAACACAGCACAAGAAAGTTGCCATCTGCAAGCTAAGCAGACAGGCCTTGAAAGAAGCAAATCTGCTGACATTTTGATCTTAGACTTCTAACCTCCAGAACTCTGAGAAAATAGATTTCTGTTGTTTAAGTCATTCAGTCTGTGATAATTTGTTATGATAGCTCTTTCAAACTAATATATCAATTTTGCAGGCAATGCCGCCTTCTCATCTTCAGCAGACCCATTTGCTACCCAGGGTCTCAGGGGTGAGGTTGCCACTTAGGGCCTCAGAGTATATTGGCGTAATTCTTTTTTATCTTTCTTAAAGGCATTAGAGAACTAACCAATGAACCTATATGAGCCTAATACTTTCTGTTTTACAAAACTATGAATTGTTAATTCAGTGTATTAAATGTAGATAATAGGCCAATATAGATTATCTATTTCTCTTTGTGTGAGTTTTGGTTCATTGTGTTTTTTTTAAAGAATTTATCCATTTTACTGAGGTTATCAAATTCATAGGTATATATGTGTTTTATTAAATTTTATATATTTATTTATTTTTAGAGAGACGATCTTACTCTGTCCTCCCAGGCTGGAATACAGTAGTGTGATCATAGCTTATTATAACCTTGACCTTCTGGTCTCAAGTGATACTCCTGTCTCAGCCCTCTGAGTAGCTATAACTACAGGTGTGCACCATCATGCCTGGCTAATTTTTGAATTTTCTGTAGAGATGGGGCCTCAGTATGTTGCCCCAGCTGGTCTTGAATTTCCAGCCTCAAGCTATCCCCTCTCCTTGGCCTCCCAACTTGCTGGGATTACAAATGTAAAATACCTTGCCAGGCCTACAATAATTCTTTATTATTCTTTTAATATCCTTGGAATTAGGAAAGATGACCTCTCTTTAATTTCTGATGTTAATAATTTGTGGCTTCTGTCTTTTTATTGTTGTTTGTATTTTCATTAACCCGGCTTTCGGTTTGTTTGTTTGTTTTTTTCATTTTTCTCTATTATTTTCCTGTTTTTAATTTCATTGATTTCTGCTCTAATTTTTATTATTTTTAATTATACTGTTTTTGTTTTAAATTGTTTTTCCTTTTTGTAGTTTCCTATGATGTAAACTTAGATTAGTTATGTTAGATCTTTATTCGTTTCTAATATATGCAGATAATTCTATAGATTTCCTTCAAACCACTGTTTTCATTGGTTGCTACAAATTTTGATAAATTGTTTTTAAATTTCCATTTAGTTAAAAATATGTTTTTATTTCACTTGAGACTTCTTTGATTCATGCTGTTAGGAGTAACTTTTACAATTTGCAAATGTTTAAGTATGTTTTAGTTATCTTTTTGTTACTATTTTTCTGTACAATTACTTGAGGTCTGAGAACATACTCATTTTTTGCATGTTTTTGAATATATTTTGATTTTTTTTAGCTAGAGTGTAGTTTAACTTGGTAAATATTTCCTGTGAGCTTGAGAAGAATGTGTCTTCTTCTATTGCTGATAGAGTATTATATAAATGTCAACTAAATCAAGTAGATGGAGAGTATTATTGATGTTCAAAAATATTCATAGTGAATTTTTGCCTCTTTGCTCTAAAAATTATTGATAGGAAGGTGTTGAAGTCTGCAACTATACTAGAAGATTTGCCTGTATTTTCTTTCAGTTGTATTCAATTTTGCTTGACATATTTTGATGTTTGATTTTTAATTTGATTGTCAGTTTTGTTATGTATTTTTGGAGAATTTACCTATTTATCATATAGTGCCTATTTTATTCCTGAAAGTACTCTTGATCTACTTTGTCTGAAATTGGCATATTTACTGCAACTTTATTGTTAACATGCTATATTTTTATATATTTTTCTTCTCTTTACTTTTGAACTTACAATTTTTTTAATAGACAATATATAGTTAATTGTTTGGTTTTATTTGCTCTGACAAAATCTGTCTTTTAATTAATGTATTCAGATCAATCATATTTAAAGTGATTATTGATATATTAGGATTAATATCAACCATGTTTGTAAATGTCTTATATTCATTGCTAATGACTTCTCTTTTTGCCTCTTCAGTTTTTAGTTCAGCATTTTATATGATTTCACACTTTTGGCATATAATTTATACTTCTTTAAAAATAGTTTTTGGTTGCTGCCCTAGAGTTTACTAAATATATATATATATATATATATATATATATATATTTTTTTTTTTTTTTTTTTTTTTTTTTTTTTCCTCTGTTGCCCAGGCTGGAGTGCAGTGACACGATCTCAGCTCAGTGCAACCTCTGCCTCCCAGGTTTAAGAGATTCTCCTGCCTCAGCCTACTGAATAGTTGGGATTACAGACACTCGCCACCATTACTGGCTAATTTTTGTATTTTTAGTAGAGACGGGGTTTCGAATTCCTGGCCTCAGGTGATCCACCTACCTCAGCCTCCCAAAGTGCTGGGATTACAGGCATGAGCCACTGCACCCAGCAATAAACATTTTTTTAATAATACAAGTCTAAATTCAAACAACACTTGCTGCCCTAGAGTTTACAATAAATATTTTTTAATTATATAATTTTTAATAATAATATTTTTAATAATTAAAATATTTTAATAATGTAAGTCTAAATTCAAACAACACTATTCCGCCTCATGTGTAGTGCAAGTACCACATAACAAAGTATTCCCTGTTACTACTCATTTCCATGGTATTGTGCCATTAATTTCATTTTTTTATATGTCATGATCAGCTAATACATTGATTGTATCATTACATAAGTTGCTTTAGATTAATTTAATTTTTTTTTTTTTTTGATATGGAGTTTTGCTCTTGTTGCCGGGGCTGGAGTGCAGTGGCGTGATCTCAGCTCACTGCCACCTCCCAGTCCCAGGTTCAAGTGATTCTCCTGCCTCAGCCTCCCAAGTAGCTGGGATTACAGGTGCCTGCCACCACAACCGGCTAATTTTTTTTCTTATTTTTAGTAGAGACAGGGTTTCATCATGTTGCCGAGGCTGGTCTTGAACTCGTGACCTCAGGTGATCTGCCTGCCTTGGCCTCCCAAAGTGCTAGGATTACAAGCATGAGCCAGTGAGCCCAGCCACTTTAGATTAATTTTAAAAATAAAAATAAAACATTTTATTTTACCATCAGTTATTCCTTTTTCAGTGATCTCCTTTTCTTTATGCAGATTCATAACATTTCACTCCATTCTTTTTTTGCTTGCATGGTTTCTGATGAGAAATTTACTGTACTTCTTTTTCTTTTCTTTTCTTTTCTTTTCTTTTCTTTTCTTTTCTTTTCTTTTCTTTTCTTTTCTTTTCTTTGAGATGGAGTCTTGCTCTGTCGCCCAGGCTGGAGTGCAAAGGCGTGATCTCGGCTCACTGCAACCTCCACCTCCTGGGTTCAAGTGATTCTCCTGCCTCAGCTTCCTGAGTGGCTAGGACTACAGACATGCACCACCATGTCTGGCTAATTTTTTTATATTTTTAGTAGAGACGGTGTTTCACCATGTTGGCCAAGCTGGTCTTGAACTCCTGACCTCGAGCAATCCTCCCGCCTCATCCTTCCAAACTTCTAGGTTTTCAGGTGTGAGCCACCACGCCCGGCCATTTATTGTACTTCTTATCCCTGTTTATCTATAGGTAAGATTCACTTCCTCCCTCTGGCATCTTTCAATATTTTCTGTTTGTCTTTGTCTTTCCACTGTTTGAATATGATATACCTAAATGTTGTTTCTGTTAATTCTGCTTAATGTTCTCTGAAGTTCCTGGATTTGTGGTTTGGTGTCTGTTATTAATTTGAAAATGTCAGGGCTTTAATATTTTAAATATTTATTCTGTTCCATTCTTTCCATTTTCTCCTTCTGTTATCCCAATTACACATGCACTGTATATTTTGAGACCATAATTCTCATTCTTGGCTCTTCTGTTTTTGCTTATGTGGGACAGAGAGTTTCTAGGGTGCCAGATGAGTTGGTCTCCTGTGTGTGAGGCACCCATGGGGAGCCATGGGCGGCCTCTAAGGAGAAAAGTCTCCTTATTGCCTTCATGTCTTTATACCCCTAGAGCATAAACGCTCTGCGGCATTCCACAGGTTGCTCCGGGAGATAACACTCCCTGAAGCGGTGGAGTATAATCAAACATCTTGGCTCCTCCTGAAACTCACTCCCATCCATTTCAATCCCGATAAGTTAAAGATCTTGAGTAGTTTAGACACACGCCTTTACTCAAGGAAATTCACAGAAACCACCACTACTATACATATTATTGAATGACTCACGAGTTCTCCTTCACTGATTAATCCTTTTCCTCATCCCTTCCTACCCCTCCCATCTGCCCTAAGAACAAAGAGCTTGTAAATCAATAAATTGGGCGGAGCCAAAGAGCTCTGGGCCATGAGCAAGCCTCCAACGCTCCGGTCCCCTGGACCTGCCTTTTAAACTCTTATTCTGTCTCTTTCTAACTTCTTTGTCTCCGCTGGACTCGGGGTACCCGCTGGGTGGTGTGGGGCTGGCTTCCCCAACAGCTTATTTGTATTGTTTCTTCTATTTGCATTTTGAGAAGCTTCTATTGGCTTGTATTCAAGATTACTAATTCTTCCCTTGGTCTTACTGAGTCTACTATTGAACCCATCAATGATATTTTTCATTTCTTTATACTAATTTTGATTACTAACATTTCCTTTTGAATTTTCTGTTAGAATTTTGATCTCTTTGCTTACATTGCCCATTTGCTCTTAATGTTGCCTACTTTTTCAATGGAAGCCTTGATATCATAGTTATTGTAAATTTCCTTGTAATTAATCTGCATCGTGTCTGAGTAAAACTCTGATGCGTGGTTTGTTTCTTATGACTCTATTTTATTGCTATTTGACATGCTTTGTGACTTTTTTGTTGTTGAAAGCTGGGCATATTGTATTAAGTACTAGCAACTGAGAAAAATAGGCCTCTAGTATAAGAATTTGTTAATCTGGCTAAGAGTTTGTATTTGTTTAATGTTTGTTGCATAATAGGGTAACAGAAGCTCAAATCTTTCTGGTATCTGTATTTTTATCTTTCAACTTGACTTTGGTCTTTACTAAGTACTCTTCTTCAGAGAAAGCATATTTTCTCCAACTCTTTAAGCCATAATCACTTTCGTTTTGTGTCTGTGAAAGACTGGTAGTTCACAGATGGGAATGGTCCATGGCTCACACTGTGAATCACATTGATATAGTAATCTGATCCCAGGCCATCTCCTCCCCTCCTGCTCATCTCATTGCAACCTCCTTTTTTTTTTTTTTTTTTTTTTTTTTGAAAATTGCACGTGCTTGGTCTTCTTGTATCACACATTTTTATTTATTGCTATGTAACAAACTACCATTAATTTAGCAGCACAAAATTACACACATTTATTATTTTACAATTTCTGTGAGGAATCTGGGCATGCCTTATTTTGGGTCTCCCAAAGTGTCATCAAAGTTTTTATCTGAGTTTGAGGTCTTCTTCCAAACTCATTGTGGTTGTTGGCAGAATCTGGCTCTGTGAAGTTGTAGCACTGAGACCCTCATTTCCTAGGTAACACCTACAGTGCTCTGCTATGTGGCCCTCTCCACTGGCAGTGACAACGTAGAAAATTATTCCCCAAAGCCAGCAAGAAGGAGTCTTTTCCTGCAGTCTGCTAAGGTGGAGTCTTATATAACATAACATACACACAGGAATCACATTCCATCATCTTTGTCATATAATGTAACCTAAAAAATGGCACTCTATTATATTTGCCATATTCATTAGTTAGAAATAAGTTGTAGGTTCCACCTACACTCAACAGGAGGAGATAATACAAAATCGTAAATACACAGAGATGGGAAATCATTACTGGTGACCTTAGGATCTAAGTGGGCTCACCTCAGAGTCTTCGCATTTGCTTTTCCCCTCCTTTCTTTCAGGTCTCTGTTCAAATGTCACATCCTCATAGACTCCTAAATGCACCCTGTTTCCTAATATAGCCATGTCCATCACAGTCATTGCTAGTCTGTTACTCTATTTTATTTTTCTTCAGAGCACTGATCATCCTCTGACATGATAGGTTTACTTGTTCAAAATCTGTTTCCTCTTTTAGATGTAAGCTGATTTCAATATGTAAGAAATTAATCTGCCATACAGCACATGTTAAAAAATGTTTGTGGACTGATTCAGTAAAAAAAAAAAAAAGTTTGCAGGAATTATCACCAAAGCCTGTCTAATTTGACCCATTCATTTTATCACTAGATTATAACAATGCAAGTTGATGTTAATGTTTAATCTTGTCTCTTTTGTGAAGCAGCAAGCAGAGACAGATGGTATAGCAGAAATAGTAGCAGGCTTTAGGACAGGATAGACTGAAATCAAACTCAGGCTGTTACTACCTTTGTGGCCTAAGAGGTTAATTTCTCTGAATTCCAATTAAAAGATCAAAGAAAACAGTGCCTTCTTTCTGTCAGGTAGATTTGGGTTTTAATCATAGATCCACTACATACTAGTGTAACTTTAGAACAGTTTCTCGGGTTTTTAGAGGCATAATGACTTCATCTGTAAGATGGGTCATAGTAATAATTTCTCCCATGTAGGATGACTGTGCGGTTAAATGGATACCTACATAAGAATCACCTACCCTGGTGATGGAAACATTATTTGTAGTCAGTATAAGTTAGCTTTTATTAATATGAATACTTTTATACATATTGATATAATATACATGATTATATTGTCAACATCAATATAATTTCAATGGCATAAAATGTGTTAAATAGTATCCATTATCTTCTTACATCTTTCATTTGGAAACAGCATAGAGATAGATATAAGAATAACAGGCCTGATGCAGTGTCTCTTGCCTATAATCCCAGCAATTGGGGGGGCTGAGACAGAAGGATTCCTTTAGGCCAAGAGTTTGAGACCAGCCTGGGCAACATAGCAAGACTTAATCTCTACAAAAAATTAAAACATAAGCCAGGTGTGGTGATGGGCATCTGTAGTCCCAGCTACTTGGGAGGCTGAGGCAGGAGAATCACTTGAGTCCAGAAGTTCGAGGTTACAGTGAGTTACGATGACACCACTGCACTCCAGACTGGGTGACAGAGCGAGACCCTGTCCCTAAAATAAAAAAATAAAATAATAATAATAGTAAAAACTACCATTTATAGAAGAATTTATTATAAGCCTAAGCAACTAGATGATTAACAGGTGATAAACAGGTGTTGACATTCTACATTTAGCTAACTCTTCTGTGGAACTTTGAGAAAAACACATAAATTACTATCTATTAGTTTTAAACTATGGGATGTTGCTGTTCAATGAGTATACAGTTTCAGTTGTGCTTATAGTTTACAGTACAGGATAGTACATTAAAGATTGAGAGGGTAGATCTCATGTTACTTTTTTTACTGCAATAAAAATGCATATATATATATATATAATTTTTTTTGAGACAGGGTCTCGCTGTGTTGCCCATCCTGGAATGCAGTGGCACAATCTTGGCCCACTGCAGCCTCTGCCTCCCAGGTTCAAGCAATTCTCCCACCTCAGCCTCCTGAGTAGCTGGGATTACAGTGGCGCACCACCACGCCTGGCTAATTTTTGTATTTTTAGTAGAGAAGGGGTTTCACCATGTTGGCTAGGCTACTCTCGAACTCCTGACCTTAGGTGATCCACCTGCCTTGGCCTCCCAAAGTGCTGGGATTATAAGCATGAGCCACCATGCCCACCTGTAAATATTTTTATTATTTTCTAAAAATCTGCTCATAGTATCTCACAAATTATCTGTTCCTATGTAAGGGCAGATCAAACAAAAACTTTAAAGAGTCATTTTTTTTTTTTTACTCCTAAGCCATATAAAATACTCATAAAATTATGATTATAGAGTACTATTTTATTTTACCTTGATTTATTATTACATAGAGTCTGTGAAATTCTTCATTACTTTTGAAATACTATTTAATTAAACTTTAGTGTTCTGACAAAGAAAGAATGAGGGGGAGTTCTTTTCTGTAAAAACCAAAAGCCAAACCAAAACAAAAACCCAGTTAATATGTGGAGGAAGCTAGATAGATTTCAAAAATAATCATTCAGCCCCCTTAAATAAAGTAATTAGTTTAGGCAGTTGTAATCAATGGATAAAACTCTTAGATGGAAATTGATGATGAACTTTATTATGGAATCATCAGACAATCTCAACCTGGACCTGTAAATAATCTTAGCCCCACTAAAAGTGGGATAAACAGACATGTGTGAGTTGATGTACCTTACCATTTATGAACTACTGTTTTAAAAAATGTGAAGTTAATCAAGCTTCTAGAAGAAATTTTTGTTCCAAGGGACAACTCACACGGTGTCTGCAATAAGTCAAAGACATGAAAAAAAAAAAAAGTCATGAGGAATGGACCCAACCAAGCTTAACAGTAGTCTCTGTTCAGATCCTGATATGAACAAACCAACTGTGAAAGCACATTTTGATATACTTTAGAAAATATGAAAATGGGCTGAATGTTAAAGGAATATTGAGAATATTGCTAATTATTCTTATTTACAATAGTGTGATTTGAGAGAAAGAAAATGCTTATTTTGAAAATATTATTTGTGAAGTGCATAGAGTTGAAATGATAAAACATCTGAAATTGGCTTTAAAATATTTCATTGCAGAGGATAAAAGTCAAAAGGGAAAACGAAACAAATACGACCAAATCTTGAAAAATGTCGAGTTCAGTGACATATGGAAATACTTTATATTGGTTTACTGTCACACATGTTCATATATTTTAATTAAAATAAAAAAGAAAACAAAGTAAAACCCACTCTATCTCTAGAATATGGACTTTCCACTATGGTTAAGATTTCCATATGGTTAAGGTCTCTGTTCTTAGAGACCTTTTACCTGACTGGAGTGTCCATTCACATGCTATCCTCAGTCTGAGTGTGGGATAAGTGTATCATCCTCTTCACAAACTCCTTCTTCCCTTTTTCTTTAGTCTTATAAATCATACAGTGAGCATCATAGTCTCCCCTTCTTGCATTAGCGTAATCTCAATTTCTGACTATTCTGAGCTGTCATGAGAGCATCGCAATGCATGAACTGAAGTCCTAAGCCCTGGTCCTTGCACACATTCCTGTGCTAAAACATGGATTGTGATAATCATGAAATAATTTGTTGAAAATCAAGAAAGGAATAACAGTTTTTATTTTTAAAGAATAAGGCTTTGTCATTACAGGTCAAGGAATTAGGGGAAAAATAGCCCAAAGGCCTTTGTGAGCCCAATAAACTTTAGATTGCTAAGGATAATCAAGAGACTAGCTTGCTTATTAATTATAGCAATGAAAATAATAACCAGTTTCTTTTCATTCAGTTTATACTAGGCACTGGGATGAGGAACTTAGAATCATCATATCATTTATTTCCTGCAATAATCCCTCAATATGGTCTATAGGAATGTTCATATTTCACAATGCTTAATTAACTCATACAAATAGAACAACTACAAAGAGAAGGAGCCAGGATTTTGCCCCAGGTCTGATTCCATAGCTCCCATTCTGCTTAAAACAAATAGAGAAAATAAATTTGTCTCCCAAAATGTGAGAACCTCCATTAAGTCCAGAAACAGTTTTTTAAAAAGGACACTTTTTAAATTTTATTTAATCACTATTCACTCATTGTCTGTTATGTGTCAGGTCTTGTGCCAATATTAGAAGCATAGTGATATATATGACCTGGTTCCAGCTTTGGGGAGCTCAAAATTTAGTTGATGAGACACACAATTTCATCATCAGAATGCAATATTATAGGTGTTAAAATCGAGGTGGATAAAGTGGTTGTTTTTCTGTCTTTCAGTTTGCCTGGGAGTCATACTTCAGAATAAGGGCTAAAATTGGGGTCTAAGAAAGGTGTGAATAAGGAAAACATTAAATACTTTTACCTAAAAGAGAGTTGGGAGAGACAGTTTAGGGGACAAGTTACTGAATAAGAAAAATTAGTAAGACGTCAGCAGGGCATAGAGTGGCAGAGGTAAGCAAGAGAATGGAAGGCTCACGGAGTTCACATCCCACAGGACCGAGAAGAGCTGAGGTGTGGATCTGAAGATGGCTGGAGGCCTAATAGGGGTGGCTTTTCCCAGGATACCTTGATACCCTTATTTTTTTTTTCAGGCAGACATAGAAAAAGGTGGTCAGTATGAAAAAAAAAAAAAAAATTACCGAATCTTTTTGACCAGTGCCCAATTTTGAGAATGAATTGTGTGATAAACTATTAAAGACAACCTTTCCTTGAAACAATTCTATTTTTTTTCTTTTTTAGTAGGGAACCAAATATCTATATACTTGGACTGTACTTTGATCTTACCATGTTAAGGGAAGTAAAACCCACTACACTGTTTTATAAATGAGTCGTTCCTTCAGAATGCCACCTGAGCCCGTTGGCAAGCACAAAGTCTGCTTGTGATGCCAGCCCTGGCCATGGCAGATAGCGGGGATAATAGTAATTGCTCTTTCCAACCCTTTTGGAAGTTTCCAAGCTGTCTTTGGCATCTGCTCCATTCATGCTCCACTGGCAGCAAGGGAGTAAGGGATTTTGAAGATACTATTAACATTTTTTGCCAATTAGGAAATGTGTGATCAAATAATTGCCCTAAACTATTCAAGATGGCCCACCTCAGAGAGCTGGATTGAAGCAATGGAAAGCTGCCTGTACTTCACCTTAGAAGTGGAGCTTAACGCATGATACAGTGTTACATGAAAAATGTAACTTATGAAAGATTCTTCGGTGTTTGTTGCTCGACGTGATTTGGAAAAAAATCAGCTTATTTGATCATTCTTTATTCAACTCAGTATCCTGGCAAAATAAACTATTCCATTTTCTCCGTATATTAATATAACCTGGCATGCCCTACTTCAGTGCCCATAATGATTCTCTTTCCTCCATAAGGGAGATGTGTTCCTTTCATCTTAACCTTTTTAAATGTTGTTTGTTCCATCCACACCTGAATTAATTCCCGATTTTAACATTTAACAGTTGAGTGACCTTGGACAAGCCTATTAACTTTTTTTACACCCCAGTTCCCTCTTCTGTAAAATGGAGATGACTATACTTAACACTTAGAATCCTTATAAGAATTAAAGAAGATAATGTGCATGAAGCCCTTCGCACATGTAAGTGCTTAGTAATTGTCACCTATCATTCTAATATAAATTATAAACTGTTAATAGCCTGCCCTAGTGCCATCATCCTGGTGCAGTCATTCTTATTCTCTGTTCGGAAGTTATCTTCTGCTTACCTTGCGTTCCCATTGCAATGTATCCGCACCCTTCTCATGGAGTGCATCACTTCTTACCTTAGGTTTCAGATCATTACACAAGTTCTGTCTGCCCTGAAACTTTTAGAGGTCAGTGTCCACATTTGATTTACCTATATATCCTCATTTTCTAGACTGGTGATACACGTAGGGAACTACTTAACAAATTTGTCCCATGAAAATCTGATCCCCTTCATATTTTGAAAGTGATCATCAGATAACTTTTCCATGTAAGTTAGAACATCTCAATGGAGCCACCGGGTGCTCTTCCTCAGATGGTCCTCAGGGTCTCCTGACTGTCCTTCTTGTCTCCAGCCCTGGTGCCTCCACCCACGATATCTACTCAGAGTGATTTTCCAAAGGCACAGAGCTGATGAGGTTACTCCCTTGCTTTGCAATCTAAAATGGCGTTCTATGGTTACTCTAATGCTTAGCATTGCCATAGGAAAAAACTTCATGATTGTCTGGTGTTTATTCTCTCTTCTCTAGCCTTATCCCCCGCCCTTCTGTTTCCTTATGCAATGTGTAGTACCCATACTGGACTGCTTAAAATATTAAAATGTCCTAACTCATTTTTACCCCTCTTATGTGTACTCTTTCTCTTTGTCTGGAATAAATTCCTTACCACTTTCCAGTATCACCTAGTTTACTGAGTCTCACGTATTAGGATTGGGTTTAAATGTAACCTGTATTGCCTCACCCAGAAAGCCTTTCCAGTCTACCCCTGCTTTGATTATTTCCCTATCCTCTATGCTGCCTTTGTTCCCTGTGTGTCTCTCCACAACAGCAATTAGAGCACATATGATTTATTATCTCACATATTGGTCTCAACTTTCAGTCTATGAAGTCTCTGCGCACAGAAGCTCATGAGCGTTTTCTTCCTTTCTGTGGATTACCTTTGCAAAGGCCCGAGACCACCAGAGAACCTGCCTTCCTACCTCTCTTCCTCATCTCCACCCATTCCCTGCCTCACATTCAGTTAACACCAAACTGCATGACGTTTTCTTCAGGTGCTACTTGATTGATGCTTTCATGCATCCCTGTACGCTGCTCAACCTGCCTTTGTGACTCTTTTCCACTTTACTTTCCTGATCAATACTTCACTTATTACACAATCTTACATATTAGAGATTTATCTCTGGAGTTATTTTTTCTAGGAAAATTTTATGAACACTAAATTTGGGTTAGATACCCTTCCCTGTTCTCTGACACATATAACACTTATGACTTCTGTTGCTTTATGAATAGGTTTTTTTTTTCAACACAAATAAGGTGCTATTGAGATCTTAGACCAGATAATTATTGTTGTACGGACCGTACTGTGTGTTATAGTATGTTTAGTAATATTTCTGACCCCTATGCACTAGATGCCAGCAGTGTAAACCCTTGCCCTTGCTGAAAGAAAGAAAAAGAAAGAAAGAAAGAAAGAAAGAAAGAAAGAAAGAAAGAAAGAAAGAAAGAAAGAAAGAAAGAAAGAACAAACGAACCTCTGGATGTTGCCAAATATCACCATATCACCTATGGGGAAAAAATCTCTTGAAACGTGGTCTCACTCTGTCACACAGAGTGGAATGAAGTGGCATGATCTCAGCTCACTGCAACCTCTGCCTCCCTGGCTCAAGCAATCCTCTCATCTCAGCCTCTTGAGTAGCTGGGACTACAGGCACACACCACCACACCTGGCTAATTTTTGTGTATTTTGTAGAGACAGTTTTGCTACGTTGCTCAGGCTGGTCTGGAACTCCTGGACTCAAGCAGTTTACCTGCCTCAGCCTCCCACAAGTGCTGAGCCACTGTGCCTGGCCAAAAAAAACTTTCTCAATTGAGGAATATTGCTCTAGACAATAAGACTAGATCTTAGAATTCATCTTTCTGCTTATAGTGATGGATGGTTATTTGACCTTGTTCAACAAAGACTACTTATTTTGGTAGCATTATTACTAGTAAAAGGTACATGATTAGAACATAGGAAATGAATTATATTTGTCATTCATGTCTGACTCTTTTATTTATAAGAAGTTTATCTGTTTATAAACAAAACAAACAAGAAGTTTTTCTATTTGTAACAAATACACGAGGTAATAACCAAACGTATTATAACATTACCACTGCAAGTAATAGAGAGTAAAAACTAAGTAAGTTAGTAGCCTAAGATCAAACCAAAAATGTTGCCAAAGAGTTGTAGATGTGAACAAGTTATTGTTCATTTAACGTTCTTCAGTATTTCATTTTCAGTAACATTAATTGTGTCAACATTCACTACTTTTCAAAAACATTCTAAATTACTCTATGAATTACATGTATTTCCTTTATGGCCTGCTGATAGGGCTCATTCCTTTTCAATTTAACTCAAAACAAGTGAGGTTTATACAATTAAACATACTTTATAAACCTTGTCTGTGTGCCTAACTTTTGCATAAAGGTGTAGGACATTGCCCCTTTATTCAGTTGTGTCTGATTTCCAAAGAAAGACTACAATTAGGTGAAAAAAATCTTGTTGGTTGTAGAGGGTTTTCAGTAGATGGAATGGGTTTGAAGAATAAGTAGGAATCTGCAGGTAGAAAAGTAATGGAAATCAGGATACCATTTCCCCAAATGTGGCATCTCAGTATTTGAGGACACAGCAGAAGTAGGAAAGTCACTCTCACCTTCCCCTCAATTTTCTCCCCTAAAGCAGGCCATAAAATAATTCTCTAAATTTCCTCTACAGCAGGTCATAAAACCCTCATTCCAGAGGGTTCCTGCTATACCCAGAGTAAAGGAATGTCACACAGGGATGCCAGTAAGAATCTGGCAACAACCAGGCCTTGCTAAATTGCCTCAGGTTATTAACATTAAGTCATACTTTATTGTCCTCTAGTAATACTTCTGCACCATTGTCCATAAAAGTTCACAAATTTCTCTGTTTCTTTGAGTCTGCAATTTTGAAAGGTCCTATGTCACATAAAACCTATGTGATATGGTTTGGTCTTGTGTCCCCTCCCAAATCTCATCTTGAATTTTGTAATCCTATATGTCAAGAGAGGAACCCTAGAAGAGGTTATTGGATCATGGGGGCAGCTTCCCCCATGCTGTTCTCATGATACTGAGTGAGTTCTCATGAGATCTGATGGTTTTATAAGTAAGTGTCTCGCCTTTCCCCCCACTCCTCTCTCCTGCCGCCCTGTGAAGAAGGTCCTTGTTTCCCTTTCACCTTCTGCCATGATTGTAAGTTTCCTGAGGCCTCCCCAGGCATGTGGAACTGTAAGTCAATGAAACCTCTTTGCTTAATGAATTACCCAGTCTTTGGTATTTATGGTAGTATGAGGACAGACTAATACACTATGTTAAATACATTTGTATTTTTTCTCTTGTTAATCTCTCTTTCGTTATAGGATTCTCAGCCATGAACCAAGAAATGGATGAGAAAAAGTATCATTTCTTCTTTTCAAAACAAGGCAGTAGGAAGGTACCACAGGTTGACACCAGAAAGCAAATCAATTTTTGCTACCAGAAACTCAACAGTACAGAATATTTAAATTCTGGCTTAAGGTTCTTGTTGCTTTGGGACTGGTAAATTACCTTTTTTGTTGACTAGAAGAGGTTCACTATCTATGCTTTAAGTAACTTTTTTGTAGGCACAAAGAGCAGTATTTATGGACCTGAGTCACAATATCATCGTAGTAAACTTATTCTATCAGAATTTCTGCTGATTTAACTATAGCATAACATTGAATATGATGAAGGTAAAAATTAAATTAAGAAAAGAAGCCCTTTCCTCTCTACAGTGAAACAGGTCTAAGTCATGCTATTTTCTTATAACTCAATATTTGGATGAGACATATTTGAAAACTATCCAAACTATATACTCCTAACATTTTTGAAAAGCTAAAACTATTCTATAATAAAATGCTTATTTTCTTAAAGATTTCACAAGCAGAAAAAAATAGCCTGAACAAAAGAAGGTCAGCAGGGGAGGATTGTTAGGCAAAGCCAGGCAGTGAACCATTGGAAAAGGATTGAGTTTCCTATATTTTTGCAATTGCAGATCTCTAACCTTAGCCCCTCCGTGATCCTTTTCTTACTATTTGCACCCTTGCTCCCACTTCCTACTATTACTAATTAGCCTGTTTTATGTGAATTTCAGCATGCAATATTTCATATTTAATAACCCTGCATCAGAAGAAATGGGAAGTCAAAGAAGCTGGAATTTATTTCCAGGTGTTCTGGAAAGCACCAGGGGGCATTTATAGGGAACCCACAAAATTCCTCAATACCCTGAGGAGTCCACAACCCACACTTTCAAGAATCCAATAAGTTTCAGCTGAGAATACTATAAATACCACAGAATAAGAGCCATACCCTGATCAAGCTCATTCACTGGTTAGTCAGGAGACAGGAAGTTGAAGTTCAGGGGTAGCCGTAATTGGCCTTTGCATTTAGCACCTTGTTAACATAAATGGAGTAAGTTCACACCTCTAATCTTTCATTACTAATGTCACCTACTAGTATCTGAACTCAATAAGATGAGGTTGGCTTGCTGGCAACGCCGCTTATTTTTCTGAACAGGAGGAAAGGGATTTAAATGTTTCAACTGAGAGACATGGAATCTGACATAGGAGGTATCTTAAGTCTTTGAGGCAGCTTCCAAAGCTAGAGGTTAAAGTCTTAAGGTCACTAAGGTTGTCACTCAGAGTACCCATGATTTCAGTCTCATCTTGTTTTATATATAGCTTTTCTTATTTTCTCTTTTCTTATGTCAGATCCTAGAGCCAAATTGATTACTGTGATTCATCCAGATAGATTACCCTCCTCTCTCCTTTATTCACAATGTACCTATCCTCTCAATGCCATTTCCTCCTGTTATCAAAAGTCTACTTCCCATTATCCCTTTAAACTCCTGTTCAAATTCATCCTCTTTCAAAAAGTCTAAAGAATTTAAATTTTAATTTATTCTTAAAGTCTTCTTTACTTCTTCAAATGCCACTGTTTATTCCTGTCTATGATTGCTATCTTTATTATCACAAAATTTGACAACTTGTTATATGTGACCTTGTGTCTTAACATTTGTCATGTATTCTTCCTTAGCAAAATATCAAGCTTTTTGCAGACAACTATCTCAAACTTCTCTATTCTAACAGTGCCTAAGACAGTGCCAGTGTTAGTTATGGCACTGTCAAAAAGAAAGTCACCTTTTGTAAAGCTTGCTGTTGGGAGATTGCTTACTTTGGCTGATAGACATTAGGATAGTGATTATAAGTTAAGATTGTTTAAGCCAGATAAAGAGAGATAAGCCTCTCTTTAAAAATGCCAGAGTTGGGGACATTAAAAAGGCAGTGGAAGGGTTATCTGAAAAGAGATGAGCAAGAACTTCAGGACTGAGAGAGCAGAATAAGGCTGATTAAACAGAATTTCATTTCCTCAGCTCAGAACCCAATAAATATATATTTATTTAATTATACATATTAAATAATATATATATTATATAAAAATAATATATATAATATATAATATATAAATAATATATATATTATATAAAAATAATATATATAATATATAATATATAAATAATAAATTATATATATTATATATATAAAATAAATGTAGAAAATTTATTTCTACAGCAACAAAACACAGGAAATAGAATCACCTAGTTTCTAATGATTCAGAAGTTGGAGGTCACATAATGAATTATTTAGGTAGTAGCTTAAAATGTCTATACACCTTGACATTGCTTTCACCTTAGAAGCCTTACTAACAAGCTTACAAATCTGGAGATTTTTTTTTACCATCTCCCTAACATTTTGAAAGAAACAAACTAAGTGGGTATTCTTAAATTCCATTATCACTGGTAAGTAGTAGATAGAGTTGCTAAAATACCTACTAAAAGAAGGAAACCCAGGGCTCCAGAGGCACCCTGAAATTGGATAGTCGTAAGTATGCCGTGAGAATGGATTATATTTCACAACTAGGAGAAATGAAACTTGATAAAGAACCCTTAATCAAACATCAAAAGTTAAAAATAAAAAAAGATTAGGTAACGTAAAAACTTTGCACACTCACTATCCTAGAGTTCTTTATGCCACCATGCTATAGAGGAATGGACAGAATAGCAAATATCTAACACTCAAACCACCCTTTGATAAGGAAAACAAAATAGTCATGGATAAATAAGGAAGAGATTCTGTTTCAAAAAGTCACCCTGGAAATAGCAGAGACAATTGAAAATCTAGACAGAACTGCCCAGAAGTGAGGAAAATTTCAAAAACAAATGGCAGAATAACTATACAGACTTAGCTAAGGAAAAGGTGTGAGGAGTATCAAAAACATAGCATTTCAAATACAAATCAAATCTAAAAGGAAAAGTAAACAAAGGGGCAGAAGAAAATTCCTTGTAAGTGGTATCTTCTATGACAAATATAATTACTATATGAATTCAATAAACCAAAGTCTCAAAATTATGAAGATAAACTAACCACCAAAATCATAAACATAAAGCAGCAACAAAAGTTGAAAGGATATATCGAAAACCTAACGAAGAAAACAACATTATTACCAAATTAATAAATAAGTTGGAATCAGCAAGGGACCAAACACAGCCAGCTGAAAAATCAAATTACAACAGAAAAAAAAAAGGCTTGAGACAAGCAACAATAATGCAGGCAAGAAAAGCAAATTATATTAAACCGATCAGACAGGTGATAGGAAAAATTGATATACTTGAAACAGAGAAAAAAATAAAAAGCAACCAAAGAACATTTTCTTAAAATGAACATAGAACTAAGTTGGCAGATATTAAGAATAGACAATATTTGAGTAAAATGTGATATAGAACAATCATCACCAATTATTATGTTTAAGTTATAGAATTTTAAGTGCAAAGAACATTTTATTTAAGCATTCAGGCAGCAAAAACAAGTTAGTCATATAATGCATAGATAGAGATAAGTAGTTATAACCCATAGGAAGATATAACCAGACTGGCTTCAGACCACTCTTCATAGAAACCTTCAATGCTGAAAGACAATGGGTCTTTGCTTATAAATATCTGAGGAGAATAAATGTGTGTAATAATGTATGTTTCAAAACATCATGTTGTATACCACAAGTATACACAATTTTTGTCAACTATAAATGACTAAATAAAAGTTGGACAGAAGTAATTTTATTCATATATTAAATCAGTGGTTATGCATGCCTTTATTTTTCATTTATGTTATTAGCAACTGTAAGATATAAAAGTTGAGTGATTATTGTAAGTGGCATAACACTTTATATACACAAATATTTATAGACATTTTGACATAAACTGTGAGGTGTAAGTTTTAATTATTAGGTAACTTTTAATTATTTAAGGGAGATAAGTATTGGCATATTTGGGTGGTCTGACAGTTTTTATAGTGGTGGCTGTTGAATGCAATGAAGGATGAGTGGAACAAGGAAATGTGATGGAGAGGAGACAGTTCAAGCAGCAGGAATAGGATAAGCAAAGGCATGAAAATGGAAGTTGTCTGGTCCATTCTGGGTAGTGAAACTCAGGTCATGATGGCATGGTTGGCAGACATGGGTGAAGGTAACAATAGAATAGTGGGTTGACACGCATTTATGAAACGCCTTGTACACCTCTTATATTTTATGCATGAACTAGCATGAAACCACAGAAGCTTTTAGAAATAGAAGTGCCTTTTAGGGTATCTAGTTTCTAACCCACCACCTAAAAAGATTAATATAGGAACAGCTTCTGTATTATCTTACATACTTTAATTCAGATGCATTCATTATCTTTTATTCTTTTAAGAGAAAAGAAATGCATGACTTTCAAAGGATATCCTGACATAATTTTTTGAACAGCTACACATGTATTAAATATGTAGCACGTGTAAGACCCTGTTCTTGGAACAGGATCATTTCTGAATTTATAGTACTATATTATAATCACTAATGTTTAGCTGGATAACCTGAAGTTTTGTCAGTAAAAATACTATCAGGATTAGTAACATAAGGGAATCAATTCATTGATCTAAACAGGTTCTTAAAATGGTTAGAAAATATAAGGCTTTGTCTTAGAAATCAAGAAAATTCAATTTTGCCAAACATTATGTTCCCTAAGTATTCTGCTTTTCTGAATTCTACTCTAGTGAGTAAAGCACTGTGAAAGACTGGCTCTTTTTTTATCGCCATGGCTGAGAATATCAGCTGTGTTAATCATTTTCAAATTCTTACCCCCTGTAGAAATGGACAATTTCTTTTTTCCTCAATGACCTGATAGCTAGTTTCTTGTGTAGAAAAGAACATTGATTATACCTCAGGACGTAATTATTAGCTGTATAATCTTGGCTATGAGAGTCAGCCTCTGGGACTGTAAGTTTCCTTACCTGTAAACAGGAAGAATACTAAGTAGTGGCCACGGTTATGGTAAACATTAAGTGAGTTAATATATAGAAAGGATCTACAAAGTCATACTGTATGTGCACAATAAATATTAATCAGCTACATTTCTCCTTCTTTTGTCAATGGTGTGGAATCAAGAAACCAGATATTTTTATGATTTAAATTCATAGTATTAGCTTGTACAGACACTTAAGCAATTAAAGCCCTTGACTATAATACATCTCTTATGTTTCTTCCAGGACTGAAACCTGTGAGATAAATATTGTGTAAAGTTGTTTTCAAGAGCAGTTATAGGGTGCAGGGGAGTGAAAGCATTTAGCATTGCTACCCAAATGGTTATAAAATCTGGTCTGTACAATGCCTGAGAAGTAACTCATTGCTTCACAAAGAGTCAGGGAAGCGCAGGCACTAAGAAGAGCATAACTATTGTACACAGACAACTTTTACTCTTATTTTTGCCTATTTTACTCTGAAGGATATTGTTCACAGACGGCAAATTCACACACCCGAATGAAACTCCTATGAGACCCACATGCACGGATTTATTCAGGTCAGTCTGATCACTGGCTGAAACTTGTGCATCCCAAATGCTATAATTTATGTTTTTTTGGAGAGAATTATTTTGGAAAAGTTCTCATCCAGAAGCTGATTATGAAATAGCTGGCCAGGTGCAGTGGCTCATGCCTGTAATCCCAGCACTTTGGGAGGCCGAGCCAGGCGGATTACCTGAGATCGGGAGTTCGAGACCAGTCTGGCCAACATCGTGAAACCCCATCTCTACTAAAAATACAAAAAAATTATCCAGGTGTGGAGGCGTGCACCTGTAATCCCAGCTACTCGGTAGGCTGAGGCACGAGAGTCGCTTGAACCCAGGAGGCCAGAGGTTGCAGTGAGCCGAGCTCATGCCTCTGTACTCTAGCCTGGGCAACAGAGCAAGACTCAGTCTCAAAAAAATTAAAAAAAAAGAAATGGCAGGACTTTGATTTTCCATTTACAGTTCTTCCTTTCTGTGAAGAGCCTGGAAAGTGACAGGCCAGAAGTGAAATGGCAGGCAGTAAGAAATGAGTTTCATTGTCATTCTGAATTTTCTCAAACCTCTTCATCATTTAGGATAACTGGTAACATTTTATGATTTTGGAGAATAAGTTAAATAGTATTTCTCTTTGATAAATTATTACTGATTTAACCAATGGAAAACTTGAAAGAACTTCAGCACACATAGGTTAAACAAATTACGAACTGTGGCCCACATATGTGAATACTGATTTTAAATTTCAGCTGGGCTACATTTTACAGGCGTTAAGAAACAATCATACTAGAAGAATAACAAATAGTGTAGAAGACTGCATAAATTGTATGCTTTTTATTTAGTTAGGTTTTCTGGCATTCCTGCAGAATATGGTTCTTATGAAAGATCATTTATTTCTTCATTAGGTGGTATTGGAATCCATTTAAGCAGAGGTGATATGGATCCAGACTCCACTGAATGGCCACACTGATTTAAGTGTCTTGGTCTTAAGTGGAGGCTACTCAAAATAAAGACCAAGTATGAAAATATTCCAGATGGAAATACTACTATGTTAGAGGTATTATGACTTTTCTTGTTAAATCTTCTCTAAAATTAACCCTTGGCTCAAACACTGCGGGTAAACAAGCATCACTTCAAGATATTTAGATCTATGGGTTCAATAGGGCAATATAGCAACTTATTTCAAAAGTAAAAATATCATGTGCGAAGATCAACTCTATTCCCTTGCCAAACAAAATTCCATTAACTAACTTAAATTGGACTTAATAACAATCACATAAACTAATTAGTTTCCATTTATAACTCCATTAGGAGTATTATTCATCACAGCATTGCCCGATAGAGCTGTGCTTCTTCAGACTTTCAACAGATTAAATAAATATAACCTGGGGTGCTAATTATACAATGATGATGCAGAGACTCCAAGATTTCTCCCTTAATATAGATAGAATTTTTGTGAAATGGATTTTTTTTTCAGAAAATGTCCTTGGTCTAAACTCTTGATTTTCTTATTTTATATTTTAAATGAGTGTGCATCCCTAACATATGATTGGAGCTATCATATCCTGTGGGCATTGGTGATAACTTTGCTTTTGCAAATCCAGATAACCTTTATTTTTGCATTATTCACAAGGTACATCACTTTCCAAGTGCTCTGTCTTATGTAGTTTTAGAATTCTTTGTGGTTCATAGATGGAAATTAGATGACCCATAGCTCATGCCCTACTCCTGGAACTCTACCAGTATTGTGTCTCAGGGCTTGCTCCTGAAACTTTAAAAAAATTTAAAGCATTTTCCTCCATAATCTCATGCTCGTAGTACTATGTGCTTATACCTCCCAAATCCATAACCACAACTAGAATCTCTTGGGTATCTCCACTTGATTTGATTACAATGAAACTTTCATTTCTGCTCATCTAGGGCACAGACAATGGAACCAAATGACCTGAGTTGGTAGCCCGAATTGGAAAACCATCTAGCACCAAATAAACTCTCAATACATACTAATCATCTGTTATTATTACTGAAGAGCTGTGAAGCCTAATGCAAACTTCCAGGTTTGCTTCATTAAGAACCTGGTGAAAAACTACAGACAGATATAATTAAGAATAGCTCCCTAATGATAACTAAATATCTCTTTTTTATTGTGTAGCCATTCCTCAGGTTCTTTTCAAGTTATCCTGTTTTTGCTTTCAGAATCATTTAGTTTGAATGCCACTTCCTTGTTCAAGACCTTATTACTATTCTCAGAATTCTTACTGTCTGCAGTTAAAATCCAGAGCCAAAACTGAACACCAGAATATTCCCAAGGACTAAATATTTATCCCTCAGAAGGAGTGCTCTCACTAATATACTCTAGAACTTGGGTGGGTGGGAGTAGGGGGAATTCCATCAGTGGATTATTTTATAAATAAAGTTTATTGATACAGTCACATCCATTATTCATTTGTGTTGTATCTGTGGCTATTTTCACACCACAATGGCAGCATTAAGTAGCTGCAAAACAGAATATATGGCCAATAAAACCTAAGATGTTTGTTATTTGGCCTTCTACAAAACAATTTTGCCAGCTCCTGCTTTAGAAATTTCTGTCCTCACTAAAACCTGTATCATAGCAGTTGACATCATATTCCCATTTAAGAATTTTCAATTTCAATGAAACATGTTATATACTTAATTGTATACTCAAATTTGTATTAGTTTCATAATTTGATAGTTAAAGTATTTTGGCTTTATGTTTGCATAAGAACTATAAACATAAGGAGTTTATGTGTTTTTGTTTGAAATTAAAGTATTATAAGTAATTTAAGTATGTATTAAAGGTCTAGGAGCATTTGATTTTCTTTAACAAAGTCCTTTTCTCTTAAGTTTGAAAAATCTTTCACTAGATAATTAATTAAAAATTCTGACCTACATGGCTGTAAGCTGGCACTGGGCTTCATGAGCCTTCTCTGGGCTTCATCTGTACTCTGGATCTATAGCAGCTACTCAGACTCTTTGACATTAAGAACTTGTTTTTTTTCACCCCATATATCTAATTAATACTCTTTTAAAAATCAATAAAATAATTATTGAAATATGATCATGAACTTGGATGTGCAATTATGTCAAATAGCTACAAAATTTACTGAATGTACATTCTCAATTTCTGTACTCATCTCATGGAATATCAGAAACAACAAGAAGTGGGTGAACACCAGCTAATGGACCATGGTAGCACTGGACTGCAGTATGCATATGGGATATGGAAGCCATTGAAAAGGGAAAAGGGGAAGGGATTGTCTCTAAATTTAAGGATCATCTGGATTTCTAAAGTAAGCTTAGAAATGAGTAAATTTCTCCCCATTCTTTGTAGAAAATCTTTAGGACCCTTAAATCTACTTTGCATAATGTCTACATTTGGACACTGAGGACCATGACTTTTTGGAAACACATTTGAAAGTATATCCACTGTCCACTGTGTTCATTTATTAATCATAAATGTAGCAAATATTGAACAGATAAGATGTTCCAAAAACTTCTAGTTACTGAAGATAGAGCCTTGAGCAAGACAAAAATCCCTGCTCTCATATGGTATATATCATAGTAAGGGAAATTGGAAAATGAACAAACAAATACATCAGCAAGAAAAAACTGAGAATAACAATTGGTGTTATGCAGGGAATTAAAACAATGTGATTTGATACATCTTGACAGGGTGTCTGCTTTCATTTGGGTAGCTAGCCAAGCCCTCACTAAAAAGCTGCCCTTTAGGCTGAAATGTGAATGATAAGAAGGAAGTGGCCATGATTAGGGAAAAATAATTCACAAAGAAAAAAACAGGAAGTGAAAAGTTCTCAATGAGATCATGACTTTGGCGAGTCAGAGTGAAGAAACAAGGCTTTGTGGCTGAATTGTCATAGGTGACAAGGAACACGATAAAAGGTAAAATCATAGAGGTCGCCGGGCGCAGTGGCTCACACCTGTAATCCCTTTGTAAGCCCTTTGGGAGGCTGAGGCAGGGGGATCACCTGAGGTCAGGAGTTTGAGACCAGCCTGGCCAACATGGTGAAACCCTGTCTCTACTGAAAGTACAAAAATTAGCTTGGTGTGGTGGCATGCCCCCTGTAGTCCCAGCAACTCTGGAGGTTGACGCAGGAAAATCGCTTGAACCAGGGAGGTGGAGGCAGAGGTTGCAGTGAGCCGAGATAGTGCCACTGCACTCCAGCCTGGGCAACAGAGTGAGATGCTGTCTCAAAAAAAAAAAAAAAAATCATAGAGGTAATCTGGGGACAGGTAATATAGATTAAAGTCCAAAACCAGGCCAGAGTAGGAATGCTTTTACTGAAATGCCCTGCCAAAAAGCAAATTAAATATGCCTATCTTTTAGCAACACTAGAGTGTAGAGCAAAAACCATGCTCTGTTGTAAACAATCACATGTATTTGGGATATCTGCATCTTCACGTACTAGCTATCAGATTTAAGTTGCTTAATTTCTCTGAATCCTAATGTCCTTAACATATAACGGGAAAGGAAGGTGTAATTTTTAGATTGTAGTGAGAATTAGAGAAAATAAAGCTAAAATATTTTATTAATTAGTTTTGTATATAGTTAATTGTCTTATTTTGGGGTTGTCTTCAAGTGATGACTTATATTCAGGTAGAGCTGATAGGATGATCTCAGCATGGGATCTCATCGACAGTGATGTTGACTTGGGAGAATCATCTTTCCCATCACTACACTCTCCTCCTTAGAAAAAGATCTTTATTCTTTATTCCACCAACCAAGGAACAGCCCAAACAGACAGACTATTCATATGCATTCCAGATCAGTAATGTGAAGCATAAGAGGGAGGAACTCTAAATTTAAAAGTGGAATAACACTCTTATTCCCTCCAATTGCTAAAATCGCAGAGAGGAACAATATTTTATCCAAATTGTCTGGCTTTCATTGTACATATTAGAGCCAGACATGTAGTAAACCAGATGTAATTTGAGACTTGTGGAATTTATTTCTCAGCCAAGCAAGAAGCTGAATTAATAGATTTTTACTTTTACTTTTGTTGAAATGAGAAAGCTAAAGAGTTTCCAGCATATTCCTACCAGATGGCCTGCTTCATTGCATGCAATTTTGCTCCCTGCAACTTGGTCTCCTCAAAGGTGAAGAGGAAAAATATGTATCTGCCTATTTGTATGGTAATCAAAGTAGAAGAGATAGGAAAGATCAATCTGCCCACCTCCAGCTGTGGTTCACCTTAACCTAACTGTGCATTTATTTAGGACTCTGGTGAGATAAGACATGTCTTCCTAAAAGCAGGGAGAATTATTCAATTTTGGTATGACAAATAAAGTGAATTCATGTTTGATGTTTAATAACCTAAATATGCGAGAATGTCCTGATATTTATGAGGTCTCTAGGTGATGATAGAAAAGAAGGGCTGACTTTATTGATCAAAACCAACTGAGCACGTCTACCACTTGAAAGTCATTGTTTAAACCATAAGCATCAATTTGTTACTTATATTTTCATATGAGATTGCTAAAATTCTTTGGTGGGTCACAGAAAGTGTTATAAATAACAGTAGAATCAGAAAAGAGTTTTACTGATAATTATATTTAGGTCATTTTAGATTAAAATCTTACATTTTACAGTTAAGTGATCCAGAGAAGTGAGAAATGTAACAGCAAGTAAGAATAAGTGAATGTTTATACAGTGATTTGAAGCTGAATTCTAAGCTCTCCCTAATAACTGATCATTACAAGTAGCATATTTCTGATAATCTTTACAAAACCTATCCGTAAATATGATAAGGGATAGTTTAAAAAATACCTAGTAATCTTTCAGGATGGCACTACTCTGTTAATCCCATAATTGGCCCATTTTTATATTGGTTTGTTGGGAAAGCAAGTGACCATGCACCAGTGTAGAAACTAACATCAGTGAAGTAGAGCCAGTACTTTTGCAGGTTTCTACCTGTTCTCACATTGCTGATTAAAATGGCGAGAGACCATCCTTAATTTATTTTACTTTGCCCTCAAGTGGGCAAAGATGTCAGCTTCAAGGAGGAAGTGCTGATTGCATAAATTTTTAAACATAATATTTGGCCCAGCGCTTTATAAATCATATCCACATACATCATCTCTTTTAAGCTCCATAATATCTCTTCCCATTTCAGGTCACTATGTTAAAAACTATGGAAAATATTTATTGTTGCTCCTTGGGTTATCTGATTGACTCTGGCTGTGATAGGACAGAAAATATGTATTTTGAATCCTTTACAGCCAGGGTGGAGGATGTCCACCTAGAATGATCTTCCCCCACTAATACATAAAATAGGAGGCAATCATGCCACAAAAAAATACATAGACTTAAGTCAGAATAACAGGGTGGATTCTAGGAAGTAAAAAAATAAAATAAAATAAAATCACATTTCTCCTCTGCAAGGCAAAAATGAGATTCAAACCTTTGACTCGTTAACATTGTGCCTTGACTATTTTTATCCCTCCATACATCCCCCCTTTCCCTAACATGAAATATTTTCCTCCAAGAGTTAGATCCTCTGAACTTGGCATCTTCATATGAATATTTCCATATATTTCTTCTATTTTATGTAACTTTAGAAACTCATTGCAGGCCCTCATTTGCTATACTGAAAATGCCACATTTATCAAGTGAGTCAGTTGTGTGTTCTCTTATTGTTATATAATATTAACCCTGAATATAATTTTAATAAGTTCTCCAGTCTTTCCAGAATGCCTTATCATATCTGCCAGTTATCCAGGGAATTCATTCTGGAGCAGTGTTATATTAGCAATACTAAAACTGGGCTGCAGCATAGATGGGAATGGTAATGAGTACAAATTAGTGAGAAAGAATGGATAAGACCTACTATTTCATAGCAAAATAAGTTGACTATAGTCAATAATAACTTAATTTTACATTTTAAAATAATTTATAGTGTAATTGGATTGTTTGTAACTCAAAGTATAAATGCTTGAGAGGATGAATATCTCATTCTCGATGTGCTTATTTCATATTGCATGCCTGTATCAAAACATCTTATGTATCCCCATATAGATACACCTACTATATACCCATGAAAATTTGAAAAATAAAATTAAATTGTATGTTTTTTGTTTTTTGGGTGGAAAGTGATTCAAGGATTACTTAAAAAAATTACAGTTGAGATTCACTTGTTCCAGTAATTTCTTAATACTCAAGACATTAAATTAAAGATCATTTCTATTTATTTTGTGCTATGGGAGCAACTGTAATTTGTGGCAATGAGGATTTTTAGTTTATAGCACATGAGGGGGGAAAAAGTGTTAGCTGTTCAACTGCCTAGGAAAAGGAAATGTAGTGATTTATAGCTTGAGGGGAATTTACTGGTGTCATCGAATACAACTCCTTCTGTTATAAATTAAAAAATAAAGTCATGTCCTGCACTAGCCCTGTATTTATTTTACCTTGTGGTCTATAAATAAACTCTATAAAGGCAAAGTGATAAAACTTTTAAAGTGCTCTTTTCTTTTTGACATAGATCTTGATTTCCTCTTACTGGCCAACTGAAGGCAGAAAATACTGAACTATATGTTTATCCAATTGCACTCTTTAATCAAGAACTCCAACCATTCCTTTCCCCACAATTCCTCCCGGCCCTCGTACTGCCCACTCAGTGCACTCTGCATCCAGGTCAAGGCTCCTCACCTGAACTTTGACTGTTTACTTCTCTGGCCCATGGCAAGAGTAACAAGTATCCTCACTTGAACAAAACTACAATAAAATAAAATGTTATAAAATAGAAAAAATATATTAGTTTTTCAGTAGATAAGAAGCACCAAATCTGTTGTATATCAAATACGATGGAAGACACCCTATGAAATATTTTGAATAATCCACCCTGTTCTAGAATTGTGCAATAGCATTTCCTTCTTTTGGCTTTCTCAATTAACAGACGGAAAATCTCTTACTCGCCCACATGCTTGGCTATTAAACTTTCAATACACTGCCAAAAAATTCTTGTCAAACAAATAACCAGACATACCGCAGAAAGCAAGTTCTAGAATGATGAAGTGAAATCTAATCATGCTAACAGGTATAATGTTAGAATTATAACATTGAAAGTTTTTGTGTGTGAAATATTCCATGCTTAGCAACCCTTAAGTAGTTTAAGAGTTATTTAAATATTTTTCCTGAATCTGAATCACATCTTATAAAATTCCAGGGACTTTCATTCACTTCCTCGAATATACACCCTCATGAACAAATGACATAACTTGATTTGATTGGAATTCCTTTAAACTCTTGTGGAAAAGGAGAGGACTTCTTTTTCTTCTTCTTGCTTTTGACTTTTCTTTCTTCATTTTTTTAAGAATAGAAAGACAAAGGTCAAGAACATACAAATAAACAAGGAAGAAAAGGAGGAGGAAGAAGAGGAAGTGGAGGAGGAAGGAAAAGAAAAAGGGAAAAATCACTACAGACATAAAAATGGCTTTATGTTCTATTAATCAGAGAAATTTGCATCCATCAATGTGAAAACCAAAATACCATTTATAATATACAATTTATAAAGTTTCCCACTTTTTGAAATACAAGACATAATCTGGGAAGAGTTATGACTCCTTCTTAATTGACATTAGATAAGTTACAAAGTCTTTTATTGAAGCCAGAGACTTACTTTTAACTCCGAAATTCCACTATACTATTAGGTCAAATGGATTACTTTTTTATGTAACTTAAAAATTTGAGAGAGTTATATACAAAAGGATGTCTAAATCACATGCAAGTACACACACATGCATGAGCACACACACACATACAAAGTTTAATGAGTAGGTAGGCTAAAGCGAGCATGTGAATAATACTACTGAGATTTTAAGGAATAAAAATAGAATTTTGCCCATCCCTTGGAAAGCACAGGAATTCCCCGCTTCCTGTCTCCCACACAAGGCTATTAATATGATATTTGTGTTAAAATCTGGATTTATTGCTTTTCTTGGTAATTTTCTAATTTATGTACCTATCCTAAAAAAGATACAGTTTAGTTTTTCTGTAATTGGGATCTATATAAATAGACTCATGCTGTATGAGTATGTATTCATTGGTGACATGTTCCTTTCACCCCATGTGTTGAGGTCCATCCATGTTCACGTGTGGATTTGTAGTTCCGTCATTTTCATTGTTATATAGTAATCCATTGACTATTGAGTTGTTTAGCAGAACTTTTTAGTTTTGGTAATCATTTGAGATGTTTCAAGTTGGAAAGTATCATTAACAATGATATCACGATCAGTTTTATATATGTACCTTGATGTAAATATGCATACTTTTTTTTCTGAGACAGGAATCTTGGAGAAAGCCAAAATATTTAAATGTATGCTTCTATGTTGAGGGTATTAGGATTCTTGTTGCACTCCTTTGCTGGAGATTTTCACGTTTTTACTCTTTGCTAGTAGGGTCACGTGGTTTTAATTGCACACCCTTATTGCTAATAGATTTGCACACTTGTTTTTCTGCAATACTATCACTACCCTGTGTCGAGTGTCCACATATATTCATTGGCTATGTGAATTTTCACTTCTTTGAAATTATTATTTGGGCTTTCTGTTCATGTCCTGTAGTTTTAAAAATTGATATATGACTTTTTTAATATCAAGAATGTTAATTCCACAATATAAACTGCTGTTGCTAAAAATATAACTTACTATATTAACATATTTGCCTCAGCACTTTATAACAAATTACTCAGATTTCTGTACAAGCTCATCACCTTGACTGAAGGTCCTCTTCAGTATAGTAGCAATCCATTTTTCCATACTGGAATAATTTTCTATGATGTTCCTGTAAAAATACTCTTTTTTTCAAAATGAATTATCTTTTACCTTTTCTAGAGAGCATTTTGCTCAGTCTTCATTTGCTCAGTCCAATCCATCAAGACATATCTTGACTATCACATCCTCCACAATTTTACCCTTGATTCTCATCTAGAGATGAGTCCTTCCTCATTTTCCCATTCTTTTCCTATTTTTGCAAATTTGTTTTGCTTCTGGGAAGTAAAGGAACTCTAACTTTTTGTGTCTATTTGCTAAAATGTCAGGCCAGATTTTATTTATGTATTTATTTTAATTTTATTTCATTTTATTTTATTTATTTATTTAAATCTTCATCAAATAATGTGGCAAAAAGTATTAAACACATTTGGTAGATTAAAAAAAAAAGCTGAAATTTGGGTCAAGGAGGGGGAAAACCAACTGGTAATGGTAAAGCCAAAGTTCAGACTCCTTTCTGCCTGATACCAATGATTGCGCCTTCTCTACTATTCAGATCTACCAAGAGATATGTTACTATGCCATTCAATATATTTACTTAATATATGGAGTTACAGCAATGGCATTGCAGCCAGAAAGCTTGGCGTAGCAGGTTGATGGTGTTTCCTAAAAAGGTATGTTCACATCCTAACCCCATTAACTATGAATGTGATTATATTCAAAAATAAAAAAGAGTTTAGCAGATGTAATCACATGAAGGATTTTAATATAAAATCATCCTGGATTATCTGGTTGGACCCTATTCAATGGCATGTGTCCTTATAAAAGGAGACAGAAGAAAAGAAGATAAAGAGAGTCAAGGAGAGGGTCATATGAAGACAAGACAAGGAAGGATTGTAGTGATGCAGCTACAGGGAATATTGACGATAACCAGAAGCTAGAAGAAGCAAGGAAGGATTCTCCCTAAAGCATCAAGGGCGCCTCTGTTAACACCTTCATTTCAGACTTCTTGTTTCCAGAGCTGTGAGAGAATAAGTTTCTGTTATTTTAAGCCACTGAATAATAGCAATTTATTATGGTAACCCTAGGCAACTAATATACCTGGATTGGCAACATAGTTGACAAAATTTTTTTTGCCATGTAACCTAGAGCAAAATGTTAAAGCTCTCTGGGACTCAGTGCCTTCATTTATAAAATGGGAATAAAAAGAGCAATCTGGTTGTTTTAACAATTAAATGATTCAATAAATGTCATGTATTCCTCAAAAAAATCTTAACTATTTTTATTATTTATTATCTTGTCAGCTAAACTTTAAAGTTTTTGAGAGTAAGATCTAAAATATGCTTATCCTTATATTCTTACAGAAAAGCCTAGAATGATTCGCATTTAAATAGTTACCAAACTGAAATAGGGAACAGCTAGGGCTAACTGACAAATTAATCTTCTCCATCCCAGTTCTAGGAATATAAGGTATTAAGAAAATAAGTATTATTTTCAACCACACTTTAGTCATGGCTTAAACTTTTAAGAAAACAGCTCCCTGGCACTTCAATAATGTTTGCATTTTAGAAAATATAGGAGGTTAAATGTTAAGGAGACTATAATATCAAATATAGAATTTATTTTTAAATATTTTGGAAAACAAAATTAAATATGGTTCCCTACCTCTAATTGCTTTAACTGTTTCAAGATTATCAGTCTTTGACAAACCAAATTCAACATTTTTTATTAACATTACTTCTCGGGCACTCACAAAATGTGTTGAGTATGGCCACAGTTCTCTCTGAGTGAACTTGAGCACAAGAACTTTTTTTTTCACAAACCAGTCAGAAGCAACCCTGGCTTGGAGGGCTGTGGTCATAGTGTCGATTACATCATCTGTTCATTTTGGCTCATCCTCATAATGTCTAGGTGTTTCTGCAGTGTCTCTTTGGCTAGAGTTTCTCATTTCACCTATTAAGATACCTTCTTACCAGTGAGTCTGCCACTGCCCTTCTGGGCTCCACCCAAGGAGCTGGGCTCCACCCAAGGAGCTTGTATCCAAACCCTTCTTGGCTGGTAAACAGGAACCAGGGGTAATAATTGTATCTGGCAGGACTCTACCAGCCTGAACAAGGGGGAGCTGCCTAACTGGATTAACAATCTCTGCTTCTGGTGAATTTTTCAATGAAACTCAATTGTATAAATAATTATTACAAAAATCCATCAGTTTCTCTATTTTACATTTCTATCATTATAAATGCACTTCTTTCTTTTTTCTTTTTTTTTTTTTTCTTTGAGACGGAATCTTGCTCTGTCACCCAGGATGGAATGCAATGGTGCAATCTTGGCTCACTGCAACCTCCAACTCCTGGGCTCAAGCGATTCTACTGCCTCAGCCTCCTGAGTAGCTGGGATTACAGGCACACACCACTGCACCTAGATAATTTTTGTATTTTTAATAGATACAGGGTTTCACCATGTTGCCCAGGCTGGTCTCGAACTCCTGACCTCAGGCGATCCACATGCTTTGGCCTCCGAAAGTGCTGGGATTACAGGCATGAGCCACCATGCCTGGCCACAAATGCACTTCTATCAAAGTACATATCAAGCAAGTACCAAGACATTTAGCATAGTATCAGGTTATATGAGCATGTCTGGACAGAAAATCTGAGTTCAAATTTTAGCAAAGCCAAATGATATAAATAATTGTGTCAAAAATACATCAATGTCTGTATTTTACATATCTATCATTACAAATAGAAAGTACATATCAAGAAAGTACCAATACATTCAGCTTGTATAAGTTATGTGAGCATGTCTGGACACAAAATCTGAGTTCAAATTTCAGCAGCATCATGGGGAGTAAGAATGTGGGCAAGTTGCTTGACCCCTCTGTTATAGTTTTACTTTGTAAAATGGGTTAATAAAAGGACCCAAAACAGTGGGTTGTCATAAGGATTCAGTGAGTTGATGCATTTCTGCTATATAAATAAGCAATCAATAAATATTAGCTATTATTTCAATAAATATTTATTTTGAAGGAAAGTTTAGAAAATGTGAGAGTTTATGTTTATTGGTTGAAGAAAAGACAGAGTTAGTCTTTTCGCAATGACTTGGTCTACTTTTTCAAAGTGGTTCACTTTAAAATGTGTCCAGCCAGAGCTTATAGATGGGGTGTTATAGGCAGAATTGTGTCCTTTACCCGAATCACAGATTTATATGTTGAAGCTGTAATCCCCAATGTGATTGTCTTTGCAGACAGGGACTTTAAACAAGTAATTAAGCTTAAATGAGGTCCATGGTGAGTCCTCATCTAATATGACAGGTGTCCTTATAAGAAGAGGAAGAGATATCAGGGATGCCTGTGCATAGATCAAGGGACATGGGAAGGCACAGCAAGAAGTCAGCCATCTCCAAGGCAAGTAGAGAAGGCTTAGAAGAAACGAAACCTGCCAGTACCTGCATCTTGTACTTCCAGCATCCAGAACTGTGAGAAAATGAATTTCTGTTTGGCTTAAACACCATCCAGCCTGTGGTATTTTGTTATGGCAGCCCTAGCAGACTAATACATGAGGTCCATTAAAAGGCAAATAAATAAAATAAATAGCACCCCTTTTTCTAACCAAAGTTTGGAACCAATTTTGATGTAATGTAAAGGAGTTGGCTTTCTTATAAACACAAGTGTGGTGCATTCTAAGCTCACTATCCTTTAGGTGTCATCTTGGAATGACAGTCCCAATAAAAGATTGAGTCTGCAGAATAGACAAAAATGCCAAGTTGATATCTCCTGCTAGTCTCAAGGCATCGGGAAGAAGCAAGGGAACAAAGCCACTACCCATGCCCACTCTACACTCAGAGTCTTCAATAGATTTTTCACCACAAATGAGAAACATGAACAAATGGTTGACACCAACCAGGTCACTCTCAGCACCTCTGCAAAGGCCTCCATCTTCAGAAAAACTGCATGAATGAGTGAGGAGCACTGGAGAAGAGCTTCCTGAACCACACTGGAGTGGTCACACGGGGTCATCCCATGTAACTTCCCAGTATTTTCTTTTGGAGTCAGGATCTTGTTCTGCTGCCCAGGCTGGAGTACAGTGGTGTGATCATAGCTCACTGCAGCCTTGAACTAGGCTCAAGTGATTCTCCTGCCTCAGCCTCCCCAGGAGTAGCTGGGATTACAGGCATGAGCCATCATGCCTGGCCCAATATGATTTTCTAATGGTATTTCCACAAGACCTCTTCTCTCTTGGCTAGGGAGAATGCAGTATAAAAAATGATTAAAACAAATGTTTTATCTAACAAATGGGCTAAAACACATTTGAAATACAGTAGTAGATCATGAGCATCTAGATGTAAGCCTTTGCCACTAATGGAAACAAAGAATTCTGCAGTTAGACATCTTGGGTTTGAATTCTGACTTTGCCCATTATTAGTCATGTGACCAGTAAGTTATTTAACTTCTTTGAATCTCAGTTTTCTCAAACATAAAATAGTGAAAATTGCGCCTACCTTAAGGGATGATTAAGGTTTAAGTGAATAAATAAATACATTACTTAGAAGAGTGCCTAGTACACAATAAGCACTTAATATTTATTAATAACATTGTTCTTAAAATTGCTCTTTTTCCTTTGTCGTCTCCAAAGTGACTAGCACATAGCAGATGTTTATGAACTATTTGATGGATATATGAAAAAAATTCTTTATCAATTACTTCAATATGATGTTTCAAGGGCTCTAGAAGTATAATGAGATGAATCTACAACAGGACAAACTTTCATAAATGTAGGCAACTGGTAACTCAAATTTCATTTAGACAGAAAGGAAATTACCAAACAAATACTAAAATTAAATCCAGCAATGAGCCATTTAGCATTGATTTATCAAAAACATATCGAAAAACACTTATTGAAGCTTAAAGTCAGTGTACATAAGTGGTTGTAGTGATCATAGTCAACCCAGTTTTAAAAAGAGCCATCCCTTTAAGGATGCATAAACTTTATTTGGAGAAATAATGCCAATGATATCACAATTTTTAAGCTGTGCAAAAGATTTTAAAGTGTAAAATGGGATGAAGAAATTAACATGGACTACGTGCCAACCTAGTGCTGGGAACTGCATTAAGCACATCAGATATTCAATCTTATTTAATCCTTACCCCCACCCTGTGAGGCAAGTATAATTATCCTTTTTCTTTTCTTTTTGTTTAAGAGATGAGGACACAGACACTCAAATGATTATGTGAATTTTCAAGACCAGACAACTAGTAAGGGAAGAAGCTGGAATTGACAGTTGGCCCTTACCTTTATTTAACTACAAATATCTTGCTGTTAGCAATATTCGAAGATAATGGAGACAGATAGGAAGGGAAGAATTTTATGAAACTTAAGATTAATTTCCTGCTTTAGTAAAACTGTACTGAAACATGTAATGATACTTTACTAAACATGGAAATATCATAGGAGAATAAAAAATCATAAATGATAATTCATGTGGATCTGCATATGTTATTTTATGATTTTTAAATGTTACTCCATGAGAAATTGTATCAGCTGTAATTTAAAATATGAAGGTAGTTGAGAAGTCACATAAAGATTCAGACATAATAATCTGACTTCCTTTCAATGATATATATTCCCTTGAACCTATCCTGCTATAATTTAAGATGAATTTGGCTACCTGGCAAGCTACAGTGCTGACGTGCCTTGGACCATGAAAGGCAGGTAGATCAAGTTGCCAAAAATGCTTTTAAAAGAAAGGGTAAAAATAAAATGTGGTCAAATAGATTACGTCCAATATATAATTTCTAGATGCAGTTATGCAAGTGGTATAAATATTTTAATAGTGTGTCCACGCACTGTAAAAGATACGGAGAGAGTAGCCAGTTTCTGTAGAGCAAACTTAACCTGAAAAACCACCCCCACCTTCTTCTTAAACTAGCCATACATTAAATTGGCAGATTTTAAAAGTTCTTACTCACATTTTTTTTAAATGGCCCTTTCTGATAAACACTCTGTTGCAATTAAACAAGTTTCCTTTTAGAAAATTTGCTAGAAAAAGATGTATGATGATAAAACTCTGAGGTGGTCATAACCCTGCACACATAATTCCCTTGCCTTGACTGTATGTCTGTCCTGTCATTTGCTTCTAACCAACAGAATACAGAAAGGGAGAGGAGATGTGTGTATGTGCATATGATCACAACACATGAGTTATGACACCCATCTTCCTAAGGCTCCCTGATTTGCTTGAGAAAGCAAGGGGCTATTTTGAGAAGGCACACATGGCAAGAAATTGATATAAGCCTCTGGCTGAAAGACAGCAAGATACTGAGGTCCTTAGTCCTCCAACATGATAGGAACTGGAAGTTGCCAACAGTCACATGAGCTTGGAGAGGTAGATGACCCCCCACCGCCAGTCAAGCTCAGATGAGACTGCAGCCCTCACTGCCACTGAGTGCAGCTTTGTGAGAACGTGAAGTAGAGAGCCCTGCTAGGGAAACCCAGAGTTTTTTACCCACAAAAAGCGCAAAATAATAAATACTTGTTTTAAGTCACAAAGGTTGTGATAACACTGCAATGCAGCAATAGATAACTAAGACAAATCACGTAGTATCCTCCTGATTTCAGATTTTTCATCGACAGTTATTTACTGAGCACCTACCATCTGCCAAGATTCATCCTAGGGTAAACATATGCTTACTGGCCTCAAGGATGTTTATTCTTTTGGAAAAGACCAGGTGTGTATAACACAAAGAGCAAAGTATGGTAACTATCTCACAATATTATTATAATGAAAAAATGAGATAATGGATACAAAAACATTAAGCAGTATGCCTGATGCATGGTAGTTATTAATGTAATTACAGAAAATAATTTTGTTTGAAATTAAAAGCTATGCTACCTGTTGCTTAGGCAAAGAGTTAAGAGAGGTGAGATTTCTATCAGCTGTGGAAATATAAATGTTCTTATAGAAGGAGAGTGGAGCTGTGGAAATATAAATGTTCTCATAGAAGGCCTGAGTGGACTTTTCCTGGGGGAAACGAATGGTATTGTCTTAGTAGGTATATTTGTAAATAGTAGAGTCATAGATGGCCTGTATTTGAGTACTAGGAAGGGGAGGAATATGAGTAACAATAGTAGTAAATATAATTGTTTTTATATATTGCAAAAGAAAGGACAGGCAATTGCTTTTTAATTAGCTAAAGAACTAGATCCTAAGCCAGAAATTATCCTACTAATTAAAAAAAAAAAAGGAAAACTACTTCTTGAGAAGAATTTTAATGTTTCAAAAGAAATAATAAATGTTTGAGGTGATGAATATCCTAATTACCCTGATTTGATCATCACACATTGTATACATATATCAAAATATCACATGTTCTCCCAAAATATGGGTATCTATGATATATCAATAAACAACCTACTTCTCAAATCATTGCAATGTGAAAAGAATTGATTATCTTTTGAAGTTTTCCAAAAAGCATTCAAACAAATTAGAAAATATTCGATTGAGAATTATGTTCTGACCTAAATCACTGTGCTTATCAGTGGTGTTTGTAATTTCAGCTGCAGCAGTCAACTGTAGCTGCTACCAGACAAATTTGTGCTTAGTAACTCTATTGCCAATTCATTGGTTTTTATGATTTATGTTTGAAATTTCAGCAGTGGCATTAGCCATAGCTTCTAGCCGATACAATTATGCTTGGGAAATCTATTGCCAAGTAAATCTGAGTGTACTGCTCAGTGGTATATGTTAATGAATTTCACTTTGCTTCTTAATCAGAATAGTTACGTTAGCCTATTAACAAATGCTTAAATAAAAATAGCACAATGCTTCATAAAATAGGGCCAGATTATCTCAAGACATCTGTTATTTAAAATAGTCATTCCAATTATTAAAGACCCACAGGCTTCAATGAAATTAAAGCTATCCAAGAAAAATCAGGAAGGATTCAAATATAGCATAATTCAAACATAAAGCAAAACAAAAATCTTATTACTAGAGTATTTATGTACTGTAATTTGTCATCTAAACTGGGACACTTGTGAGTTCCATGTTGTCTCATGATGCAACATCCAGGTGAAATCTATGGCTATCACAAGCACAGTGTGATGTATGGTCACCTTTTACTGTTAGGTATTAATGATTATTGTTCTTAGTCAAATTGTGGGCCCTCAGTGATTTATTTGTTTTTGAAATTAAATAGCCTCATAGACATAGTGGTAATTCTGAAGTGGAGTAATAAAAATGCGATGGTTGGAGATGTTCTACTGTAGCAGTCCTATATGTCTGTTTAGTTTTTTATAGTTGTATTACTCTGTTCTCACACTGCTATAAAGAACTACCTGAGACTGGGTAATTTATGAAGAAAAGAGGTTTAATTGAATCACAATTCTGCAGGTTTAATAGGAATAATGATTGGGAGGCCTTAGGAAACTTACAGTCATGGGGAAATTGAAGGGGAAGCAAGCATGTCTTATCATGGTGGAGCAAGAAAGAGACAGTGAGAAGGGGGAGGTGCCACACACCTTTAAACCATTAGATCTCATGAGAACCCAGTCACTGTCAAGAGAACAGCAAGGTGAAAATCTGCCCCCCGATACAATTACCTCATACCAGGTCCCTCTCTTGACACATGGGGATTACAATTCGTCATGAGATTTGGGTGGGGACACAGGGCAAAACCATATCAATAGGTAATAGTTTCAAAGAAACATTACATGAACTTACTACATAGGACAATAGTTTATTATCTAAGTATATATCCATTCAATAAATACTGAGTACTTTCTATGTGCCAGGCACTGCTGTAGCTCTTGGGTATACATTGGACACAAGATAGACAAGGTTCCTGCTCTATGAAATTTATATTCCAATGAAAATATAGAAAATGAAGGTTGTGGAGAAAAAGGAACACTTATACACAGTTGATGGGAATGTAAATTAGTTCAGCCATTGTGGAAGACAGTGTGGCAATTCCTCAAAGACCTAAAAACAGAAATATCATTTGACTTAGCAATCCCATTACTGAATATATACCCAAAGGAATGTAAATTATTCTATATAGATACATGCACACATATGTTCATTGCAGCACTATTCACAATAACAAAGACATGGAATCAACCTAAAGTCCCATCAATGATAGACTGGATAAGGAAAATGTGGTACATATACACTATGGAATACTACACAGCCATAAAAAAGAATAAGATCATGTCCTTTGCAGGGACATGGATGATGTTGGAAGTCATTATCCTTAGCAAACTGACACCGGAATAGAAAACTAAATACTGCGTGTTCTCACTTTTAAGTGGGAGTTAATTAATGAGAGCACATGGACACTTAGTGGGGAACAACAAACACTGGGGCTTTTCAGAAAGCAGAGGGTGGGATGAGGGAGACAATCAGGAAAAATAACAAATGGGTACTAAGCTTAATACCTGGGTGATGCAATAATCTGTACAACAAATCCCCATGACACAAATTTACCTATGTAACAAACCTTCACTTGTACTCCTGAACTTAAAATGAAAGTTAAAAAAAAGATTAAAAAAATACGAAATAATTTCATCAGAACAAAGTTACCTAATTAACACCAATCTAGAAACATTCATCCAACACTTTTTAATGTCCTATGACTGAGCTAAACAACTGGTCGCTTTGGGAGTTATTAATGTCATTTAAGAAATTAAGAAATTGGCCGGGCACAGTGGTTCATGCCTGTAATCCCAGCACTTTGGGAGGCCAAGACGGGCAGAGCATGAGGTCTGCCCAAAATGAACATTATACTTTAAAGACATTATACATATCAGAGAAGAGATCAAGACCATCCTGGCTAACATGTTGAAACTCTATCTCTAACAACAACAACAAAAAAAATTAGCTGAGTGTGGTGGCATTCACCTGTAATCCCAGCTACTTGGGAGGCTGAGGCAGGAGAATTGCTTGAACATGGGAGGCAGAGGTTGCAGTGAGCAGAGATTGTGCCACTGCACTCCAGCCTGGTGACAGAGCGAGACTAGAAAGAGAGAGAGAGAGAGAGAGAGACACTGAGAGAGAGAGAGAGAGGGAGGAAGGAAGGAAGGAAGGAAGGAAGGAAGGAAGGAAGGAAGGAAGGAAGGAAGGAAGGAAGGAAGGAAGTCTCAAACTGACCAAGCAGAGCTTTAACTTAAATCTGTAACGTCATAAGTAAAGGAACCTATCACAAATAAAAGCCAAGATGAACATTATAATTTAAAGATGTTTTACATGTCAGAGAAGAGACTGTCACCAACATCCATATTTTCGTTTTCTTCCTAATAACACACAGAAACTATGAGTTTAGTGTCCCTTTCAGTTAGATTAGGCCACGTGAATGAAATCTAGATAATAGAAAGTTAAAAGCGATGCCTGCCATTTTCAGACCTGGCTCCTATAAACCTCCCATATGGTAACACTCAACATATCTTCTCCATTCCAGCTAGAATTGAAATAGTATCCACCAGGTGAGTCATTGAATGACTGCACAGGAAGGGCTGTCCCACAATCCTGTTCAATTGTGCCATATTCTCTTGAGACCTAGAAACAAACATCAGTTGTATGTTAACCAATGCACATTTCAGTCTATTGTATACAGCAGTTCACCTATCTTAAGTAAAACAGAAACCTGCAAATGTCCTGCGATTGTACAGCCACTCCTCTCTATTGTGACTTCCTATTGATTTCTTTTTTTTTCTGAGTCAACATAGAGCTCAAAATTTTTCAAGATCCAGTGCTGCACAGAGCCAATGTCAGTTGAATAGAATCATGATACAAAGTGAAACCTGGTGGTCACTTTATTAACCCTCTTTAATTTACAGATGATAGAATGAAGCCTTAGAGAGGTTATAACATTTAACCTAAATCATCTGGGGCATTAAGTTAGCCATAGATATCAGGGCTGTCCCTCTATCCCAGCATGCTGGAGAATATCATACCAACGGGTAAATGAAATTTGTTGTCTTAAATTTTGAATAAGCTTTTTGGTTAAAATACATTGGAATATTATCTAATCTGCATTCTGGACTCTTACTAAAGACAACTATTTTTATTTTTATTTTCATTTTGTTTTTTTTCAAGGATGTGACATCATATTTTAATAAAACTCAAGTCACAATTAACAGAACTAAATGAAACAAATATAACTTGAAATAATGGAGTAGTGGTAAGAACTACATTAAATTTTGCTATATGGAATTTCTTTAAAATTATTTGCAGTGATAGCATTGACTCTTGTTACTGAAACATATATAATAAATACATGTTTAGCATGAAGTTGGCACATGATAATTATTCCATATATAATTATGGAATAATATTATATATGGAATATTATTATTCCATATATAATAACTTACATATGTGTGATTATGATTGTGCTATGTTTTTAAGGAAATATGGAGGAGTGGTTAAGAGAATGGGCTGTGCTGTTGTACTATCTGAGTTGAAATCTTTACTCCACCACTACCTATTCAATATTGACCAAGCCATAAGCTCTTTCTGGTTTAGTTTCCCCCTGAAACATCAGAAAATTGAAAAAAAAATAACATGAAGGTGTTAAGAAAATTGAATAGTAACTGCATAGGAATTACCTCTAACAAAACAACAGGTGCTGGAGAGGATGTGGAGAAATAGGAACACTTTTACACTGCTGGTAGGACTGTAAACTGGTTCAATCATTGTGGAAATCAGTGTGGCGATTCCTCAGGGATCTAGAACTAGACATACCGTTTGAACCAGCGATCCCATTACTGGGTATATACCCAAAGGACTATAAATCATGCTGCTGTAAAGACACATGCACACATATGTTTATTGCGGCACTATTCACAATAGCAAAGACTTGGAACCAACCCAAATGTCCAACAATGATAGACTGGATTAAGAAAATGTGTCACATATACACCATGGAATACTATGCAGCCATAAAAAATGATGAGTTCATGTCTTTGTAGGGACATGGATGAAATTGAAAATCATCATTCTCAGTAAACTATCGCAAGGACAAAAAACCAAACACGGCATGTTCTCACTCATAGGTGGGAATTGAACAATGAGAACACATGGACACAGGAAGGGGAACATCACACACTGGGGACGGTTGTGGGGTGGGGGGAGGGGGAAGGGATAGCATTAGGAGATATACCTAATGCTAAATGACGAGTTAATGGGTGCAGCACACCAGCATGGCACATGTATACATATGTAACTAACCTACACATTGTGCACATGTACCCTACAACTTAAAGTATAATAATAATAAAAGAAAAAAAAAGAAAAAAGAAAAAGAAAATGTCACTGGAAAAAAAAAAGAAACAATTCAATTAATGTTAGCGTTTGTTAACACAAGGGACATGAAAAGGATTTCTTTTTTGAATGCAGCTGCCTCTGGAACTGAATGAATAGTTTTGGCATTTTTCTCCCCATTTCTAAAGAGATGAGAATAAAGTTTTTAAAAATGGTGCAGATCTCTAAGCCCCTTCTCTAATAATTAAAAGCAATGATTAAAAATAATGCTGTCAACTGGGCACAGTGGCTCACATCTGTAATCCCAGCAATTTGGGAGGCCAAAGTGAGTGGATCATTTGAGGTCAGGAGTTCGATACCAGCTTGGCCAACATGGTGAAACCCTGCCTTTACTAACAATACAAAGATTAGCTGGGTGTGGTGGCAGGCGCCTGTACTCCCAGCTACTAGGGAGGTTGAAGTAGGAGAATCGCTCAAACCCAGGGAAGCAGAGGTTGCAGTGAGCCAAGATCTCGCCACTGCATTCCAGCCTGGACAACAGAGCGAAACTCACTCTCAAAAAAAAAAAAAAAAAAAAAAAAAAAAAAAGTTGTCTATTAGAAAGTAATACCTAAAAGGGTAGGGTATTTAAAATACCGTATTATAAACACATATCAAAACATTACATTGTATCCCATAAATATATACAATGATTGTCAATTAAAAATATATATATATTTTAAAAGTACTCACTAATGAGTCAGCATGAAAATTCTGCCCTCCTGCAATTGACTTTGAGCTAATATTTTCAACTGGGCTATTTTAGGATGGTTGCAATATTATGATTTTTATGACAAAATGGTTAACTCCAGATAACATATCACTGAGTTCAGTTCAAAGGCTGTGATTAAACCTTTGAAAGGAGAACTTGAAATTCAAATGTATCTTACTTTTTCTTGTCATTTTATTAGCTGACTGCATGCAAGTAGAAAAGAAGGTATTAATCAAAAAATAATTATCTGGTCAGAAAAAAACTTTCTTCTAATTTTTCAAAGAGGATAAAAGAAGAAAAGAAAAGAAAAGTAAAATGTTGGCAGCCCAGCAGTTTAGAAACTTTGCTAAGACTTTGAAATTTGAATGTGAACTGCAAGAGAACATTCAGGAAAAGATTGAAATTAGTAGGTTTCATTGTATTTAGTTTGGCCTCTTAAATGTAACACGATGGAACTTGTAACCTAGAAATATTTTCTTAGGTATATTCACTGGGGAAGGCGAGCATAATTACATCTGTTCAGACTTCATGCAAACCAAATTGGCGTTGTGGACAATTAATCTTTTGAAATGTTAAGATAGCTCTGTAATTTCTCACTTTTGTAAAAAGTAAGAAGAAGGCAACATAAATCAAAATTTAGTCAGTAGGCCAGAAGTTTACTTAATTGACAGTGTAAGACAAAGCCTCATTAAATTTTTATTACATTAGGGCAACCATAATTCACAACAGTCTATATGCTACTGAGCATGCATAATTACTAATACATCCTAATTAGGAATTACCTAGGAGGGTACCAGATAGGCTTTTTTCCTACTGTAGTTTTGGGTTTAAGATTGATTGAGATAACTTATCAACAGGTTGGGATTTCTTAGAATAAAATGATATTATGACATGTTATTCACTCATACATGCTAAATGCCTTATGCTGCTTGTAACCTTGACAACGAAAAACACATTTCACACACATACATACACACACACACACACACACACACAAACAAACACACACCATGATTCAAGTGGATTTGATGAACTGGAAACCAGATTAGCTACTATGGACTTGGAAAAATCAATAAACATTGTAAAAAAAAAAGTCTCTTACCATTGAAGAAAATCACTAAATTTAGTTTTGCAATGGTGACCGGTTATATTTAGGATAGATATGGAAAGTGTTGGGCTCAATGTGTATCTGGGATAAAGAAATTGTCCAAGTTAAATTAGAGAGGGAAAAGGATCGCTGCTATTTATGACACATTTATTGAAAGTCAGTGCTGGCTTTAAGCTGAGTTTCTTATAAATTCAGAAATATATAGATTGCTATATGCAACTCTTCGGTTATGTGCCTGCATGTAACAGAGAGAAGCCAATTACCTTTACCATATGCTTCCCTCCTTTTCCACTGGGAGTCTCTCATGTTTTGCCTCTGCCTCTTCTTGTGTACTGTATTGCATTTTATTTTAATTGCCACCTTACAATCAAATGAAAGGGAAATACTGCTGTAGGGAAGGGTGGAAATTATAGGATTTTCAACATTCCCCAGATGGGCTGGCTGCCTGACTTAGGTACCACGTTTTCCAGAATGTTAAGTTTGAAGGTCATGGCCCATTTTCTAAGATCTATGGAAAACAACACAGCTTGTGGCTTGGAAAAAGAAGATTTTGAGCACAAGCTGTGGAGTAGAAGGAGCTCAGGCTGTCCAGTTCTGGACTGTGTGGCCATGTCATGTAATCTCTCTCAGCCTCAACTCTAAAATTAATTCTGTGGACTCGTTAACCTCTAATACCTCTTTTAGTTATAACATATTTTTCCTCTGAAATTGAGATGAGATTCTGTCTCCTCTGTAGGACTTTTCTTCTCCCCGTCACTCCCAAGACTGAGTTAGGTGCATTCCTATATCGAGATACTCTATTGTAATTTCTGTTTTCCTGTAGATATTTCCATAGTCATAGACCTGTTTCCTGTAGACAGAAATTCTGCCTTACTCGTGATTCGAGCTTCAGCTCTTTGCATAGCGTCTAGCCCATGGTAGACACTCAGTAATCACTGACTGAGTTAAAAAAGAAAGAAAGAATGAAATAAATGACTTAATGGTATTAATCATACAAACAACAGCTTTAAACAACAGTGAACCTCTTGAACATCCAATTTTTTTTTTTTACTTCTTGAGTGCAATACTGACACTAGAGAAGCCTAAAAGGTAAGGGAATATACCCCTCTTATTTCACACAGGATGGTATGAACAATAATAGCTAAAATGATTGGGTGCTTAGTGCAGACACCATGAATGAAGACATCTTATTTAATATGCACAAAATCCTTGATACAAGTATAATTAACATCATCATTTTATGGACAAAAACCCTGAGTTTTAGAGTTTTCTAATCTGTTCAACATTTCACAGCTAGTGAGCAATGAAGTTTGGTTTGTGACCAATCTGACACCCAAACCACTACGTAATTGTCTCCAAGCCCCAACCTCTACAGCCAACTCAGGGTCTGAACTACGACTGCAGTTCTAAACGTTGTCCCATACCTCTAGCACATTCTGTCAATCTTCATGAAAGCAAAGTCAGTCATAACTAACTATAATTGGAATTATCTGCCCACAAGGAAAGTGGACTGATGTTAATTCACTAGGAGCTGCCCTTGTTGCTTGTGAGTTAATGAAGTAGGGGGATGCACCAAATCTATAAATTTCCTTAGTCAGTTTCAGTCACAAATAAAAACAGAGCACCACTAACTACAAAAGAATATGCAAAAACAACGTGGATGATATAGTTGTAGCATTTCCATATTATCAAAAAAGAAAATACAATGAGGAAATGAAATTTGGTAAGATGTTTTCAGATTATAAAGCAAGGTACTTGGATGATATAATGGCTAAAACACATCTTAAAAGCAGGAGTGGAGTGTTCATTGAGAGAAATAAAGAACATATATATTTCTGTGTTTGTGGACACATTGTATAGTATGAAAACTGACAAAGTACATATATATATATATATATATTTAAATGCATGTATTCCATATATGTGTAGGTATATCTTAAGATTTTCTGAAGTGAGGTAATTGTTTATTCTTTCTGTTTATATGAAATCACCAAAAATATCTTTTTCACACCTTGCAACCTAAATGCCTCTGATAATGTCATGACATGACTTTTGCCTGCCTTTTTTATCTTTCATTTTTTTACCTGGTTATATAGCTCCCTTTTCCGCATCAATAGACACTTTTTTGTTTTGCTTCTTCATTCTTCATGAAGATGGTGCCAACAGCTGAAGGCAGGTATATGCGTTTTTTTTTTTATTTTTTATTTTTTATTTTTTTTTAATTTATGGTAGCCGTAACTCCTTAGCAATAGTTTACATTGAATTTAGAAACAAGGGCCTTTAAACCCTGCTGTGAATCTAAAACTTTTCAGCTGTATAATGCCTATGGTGTTGGAAATGATAACAATTCAGCTATAATGTTTTTATTAAGTGTCTTTTGTTCAACCACGGATAGCAAAATAGTGCAAGAAAAAAAGAAAAAACATATCTTCTTTCCATTTAGACTTATTAAATATTCAAGTGATTCCTCAAATATACTCAGCCTTGCTGTGGCTTCATTAAAGTGCAGCTCCATTGCATTTTACAATGGAACACTGATACAATATGCTTCCTGCAGTGGCTACCCACAAGCAAACAGATTGCTGCATTCCTCACCAGCCGAAGCTCAAAAGTAGCCCAAAGTCAAGAGTATTATAGTAATCAAGGCCACAGGTTAGAGGCATGGATAATGATGGCAAAATCCACATCAGTGAAAAAAGAGGCCACAACTTCCTCATCAAGTGCAGATGGAAATAACAAACAGCTATTCCTAGTCAAGGCTTAGTGCCCCTTATTTAAGAAGTCACTTCTGAAGATCTGCCTCAGAAAGCTTACATCTCCATCCGGAGGTCAATTCACTAGAGACAGTATTTGAAGTGATTAAAAATGAACATTTGACTATGTTAAAAAATAAACTAAATGCCTACTGTGAAAAAATAGATGAAATCAAATCACAACATGAAGGAATCAAGCACATTTGTGAATTTTGATTGCAATTGCTAAAAGTATATGGCCATAGGGACTGAGATTAGAAAAATACACAGCAAACCTTAAAACCTATAATGATAAGTTCCATTGTTTGAGCAACTATTTCAAGCATTTCTTGAGGCTTTTTATTTATATTATTGTATATAATTATTTAAACAATCCAGATATGTAGATATAGGCACACATTTATAAATAGGAAAACAAAGCCACTGCTACAAAATGTGATGTGCCCAATGATATATAGCTAGATAAGCATATAAAACTGTGTTCTGTGGGACTCTAAATAATTTCCACTATGCTATATTACTTTCTCAGGATAAACATTATTTGGTCAGATGACAGAATTATACGTAAAATATATCTTTTATTTTTCTAATTGTATTAAACTCATTTTAAATTAACATTTTTAAATCTGCTTTGGAATATACACAAATATCATGTTTGTGTCTAGCTGTAATAGTTCAGATGCACCTTCCAGAGGTTTTTCTTACTTAAGTGCAGATACTGAGTCATGCTGGAGCTGCTTTTTGTTAGCTTTAGCTCAGATTGTCACTCTAGTCTTTTTAGAAGAAATCTGAACACAAGCTTATAGGGAACAGTCAGCCTAGAAGGTTCAGTTTTGAAGTGAACTGTGCATTATACCATTTGAGGTGGAATTTTGAATCTACTTTGGAACATGTGATAGTCTCTTCCAAAGTCTTCTGCAAAACCTAATGATATATTGGTGTCATTACTTCTGAAGTTCTCAGAAGTCACCATAGTTATGCTAGGATGATCTATCTGTACAGATAATCCAATGGAAGTCTTTGGACATAAAATAATGAAATATATTATAAGTAAAATATCTTTAACACCTGCATCCTCCATCTCCATCCCCTCCAACTTCTCTAGAAGAAACTGCCTTTAATTGTAGGTTGTAGTCAGATTTTCATTCATTCATATATGATAGAAATATTTGTGTGTGTTTTTATTGCTGGGTACTCTCACAGCCCTGGGGAAGGGAAGGCGCAGTAATTATCAATAGGCTGATAGAATCTCAGAGAAGAAAATCAAGTAAAAAGGCAATTACAGTAGGATTACAAGCACATGACTCCTCAAGATTAATCTTTTGGCAAGTGTGAATAATAATGGCTCTTAAATAAGATAAACTTACAAACCTTCCATACCACTGCCTAACAGAACTGGAATAATTAGAAAGGTTTTTGTCTCTCTTCATAATCAATTGGTCATTTTGCAGGCTGCCTATGAAAATTCAGTAAATCAATTTTAGTGCAGTCCATAAAGAAAAGTCAATATATTCAGCCTGAATGCCCTCAACATATTTATTATTTTTTTGCAAAACATCAATACTTATCTTTGGAATATGTTAATTCATCTCCATAGCTCATTTATGTAGGATATTTCTAAACATATCAGTGACCAGCTAGAGTCAACTACTGGCAAATACAAGAGACCTAAAATGTTTAAGAATTTAAAAAGCTAAAATTTAGAAGGAATGCAAGCTTATTTTATAACCCATTTCTTCATTTGTTTCAATATTCATTCTCTTAAGGCAAGGAGAGAAAGCTATGTGTGTTGTGGGGATAGGGGTAGATGTGTAGGTGTGCGTGTACACTGCTAGGCATTCTGTGAGTTCAGGATCTGGGGAAGAAGATGAGGTATTATGCTCCTAAGTAGCTTATGGCTTCCATCTCCAAGGATCTTACAGTCGAGTGGGTACATATGAAATGAATAATTATCTCATCAAAAAGGGTAAAATAATAAGCATAAGAGAGTGTTTGAAGAAGCTTAAAAGAAGAGAGAGAATGTCAATCTTAGGTCAAAGTTTTATAAGTGGCATTAAATAAAAAACTAAATTCAGAAGACCTTAAGCCCCAAAGGCTATAGTTTTTCAGGGAAGAGCCAAAGAAGAAGTCTTCTTTCTAGCTTTAAATTCAGTGATTTGACCCTATTCTGTGTGCTCCAGGTAAAGTAATGATGAAAATTATTTCTTCCTCATATGATACCGTAGAATTAAGGATTTTTTTAAATTGGGAAATAACTTCTATTAAAGATGGATATCAAGTTAAAAATTAGACTTAATATATCATAGATAAAATTAGTGTGTTTATTGTTTTATTTGTCCTTATAAATGACATTTTTATTATTTTGTTTTATTTTTATTGTTATAAATTTAGTGAGGACAAGTGAGTTTTGTTACATAGATGCATTATATAGTGGTGAAGTCTGGGCTTTTAGTATACTCATTGCTCAGTGGATACACTAAATTACTTACTGCACCCATTAAGTTTTTTCTCATCTCCCCTCCCCTTTCACCCTCCCTTCCTTCTGGCTCTCTAAGGACTGTATTAGTCCATTCTCACACTTCTATAAAGAACTACCTGAGAGTGGGTAATTTATGAAGAAAAGAGCTTTAATTGATTCACAGTTCCGTGGGTTTAATAGGGAGCGTGACTGGGAGGCCTCAGGAAACTTACAAACAGGGTGGAAGGTGAAGAAGGAGCAAGCACTTTCTTCACAAGGTGGTAGGAGAGAAAGCAAGAAAAGGGGTAAGTGCCACACACTTTTAAACCATCAGATTTTATGAAAACTCACTTACTATCATGAGAACAGCAAGGGGAAAATCAGCCCTCATGATTCAATCATCTCCCGCCAGGCCCCTCCTCCAATTTGGCATGAGTTTTGGGAGGGGACACAAATTCAAATGACAACACTATTATTCCACATTCTATGTCCATATCTATACTTTATTTAGCTCCCACTTATACATGAGAACATGCAGTGATTGACTTGTATTAACAAATAAAAAACTTGGTTCAAAGATTCTTGTCTTCCCAGTAATGTTTTCTTGTAAGTTACCCTAAATTGCTCATCCTGTCTTCCTCATATCCCGTCAGAGACAAAAATCAAATTTAGTGCATACACTCAGTTAAGCGAAGCTAGTAAGGGCTTACCATGTGCCACAGTCTTTAATTACATCATTTAATGAATTCTCAATACAGCTTTATAGAGGTGATATATTCTTCCTCTTTGATAAAGAGGGATCTGTTCTTGTGATAGTTTACTGAGAATGATGATTTCCAATTTCATCCATGTCCCTACAAAGGACATGAACTCATCATTTTTTATGGCTGCATAGTATTCCATGGTGTATATGTGACACATTTTCTTAACCCAGTCTATCATTGTTGGACATTTGGGTTGGTTGCAAGTCTTTGCTATTGTGAATAATGCCGCAATAAACATACGTGTGCATGTGTCTTTATAGCAGCATGATTTATAGTCCTTTGGGTATATACCCAGTAATGGGATGGCTGGGTCAAATGGTATTTCTAGTTCTAGATCCCTGAGGAATCGCCACACTGACTTCCACAATGGTTGGGAATTGAACAATGAGAACACATGGACACAGGAAGGGGAACATCACACTCTGGGGCCTTTTGTGGGGTCGGGGGAGAGGGGAGGGATAGCATTGGGAGATATACCTAATGCTAGATGACGAGTTAGTGGGTGCAGTGCACCAGCATGGCACATGTATACATATGTAACTAACCTGCACATTGTGCACACGTACCCTAAAACTTAAAGTATAATAATAATAAAAAAAAGGATCTGATGTTAAATAAGCTATTTAGTAATATTTAAAGCCAAACATAATGTGTGTTAGTATGTTTTGTCTTCTATCACAAAATGCTGTCAATTGGGTAGCTTATAAACAACATAAATTTATTTATCACACAGTTCTAGAGTCTAAGTCCAAGATCAAGGTGCTAGCAGGTTCCGTGTCTGAGGCAACCCATTTCCTGGTTTATGGATCATGTCTTCTGGCTGCATTCTTCCATGGTGTAAAGGGTCAGTTAGCTCTGTGTGGTCTCTTTTTTAAGGGTGTTAATCTCATGAATGAGAGAGGATCCTTTAATGCCTAATTGCCTCCAAACGGGTCTGTCCCCCTAATATCATCACTATCATTTTTTATTGATAAATATACATGCAAATTGATGCCATGTTATTTGTTATTTCATAGCATTATGCACAGACCAGTGAACACATAAATGTTTTGAATAATGTAAATTTCATGGGCTTTAGGGGATTTTGTTTGCTTGTTTAATGTCATTTGGTAAAAATATTTTTCTTCTAAATTTTAATAGCATTTAAAGTTTTCATTTACTCTTAGACTAAGATGTAGAACAAGCATAAACAATAATTGAAAATTCTAGGTAATATAGATAGATGATATAAGTATAAGGTGTAGGTTTAAGGGCAGCTGTAAGTAATAGAAATAGATATCAATATAGATGTAGACATATACAGATAGAGATAAAGATAGAGAGAGAGATATAGAGAGATCACACTAACATTTAAATTCTGCTTACTAAGCACAGGGCATTATTCTGAGTACATTATATAGATTGACTCCTTAATTCTCCTAAAACCTCTATTAAGCAAGTACTATTTTCACCCTCACTTTACAGCTGGAGAAATTAAAGTAAAACTAGGTGTTACTCATTTCCTTTGGCATCTGCAGCAAATAATCACAAAGTGAGTGATTTAGAACAAGAGAAATTTATTCTCACAGTCTGGAAACCTGAAATCCAAAATCATTATCATTGGGACAAATCAAGATGTCATCAGAGTTGCACCATCTCGGGGCTCTAGGGGCACATTGTTTCTTGCCTTTTCCAGCTTCTGGCTGCTCTCCTGGCGTTCCTTCCTTGGGGCTGCATCACCCCTCTCTGCCTTCATCTTCACACTGCTCTCACCTTTGTGTGTGTGCCCTTTGTCTTCTCTCTGTGTCAATATTCCTCTGCCTTTCTGTTATAGGACACTTGCTATTACAGTCATTGCCCAGCTGAAAATCCAGGACAAAATTATCATCCCAAGATTGTTAATTCAACCACATCTGCAAATATCATTTTTCCTTATTAGGTAACATTTGCAGGTTCCAGAAATTAGGAATTGATATCATTGGGTGACTTTTATTCAACCTTCTCCACAGCTAGGTAACTTATGAAAAGATCACACAGCTTGAAATTTGGGGAACCTGTCAAACACACAGTGCATATATATTCTATATATCAACAATTCTTATCACTGACCACTGCCTATTACTTCTTTCTACAATATTGCTGAGGATAAAGTGATTCCAAGAGAATGAAATGTTTTCATTTTATAATAAATTAGTCTTAAATTATATCCATTTCATTCATAGTGACTGTGAACAACAGGTACCAATGACTGTCCACAGGAGGCCAGACATAATCTGTGATAGTTGGGGCCAAACTATGTCATGTGAATCCATTGCTCAAAAATTGATATTTGAGTCCTTCTATGAGCCACAACAGAGTAATAAAAAGTAATCAGAATTTATTTCAATCTTTTAAAGTTTATCTCAAAGGCATGTTTTGATTCTAACAGAAAGCCCTTTCTTGCTTGCTTTATAAGTAATTATTTCATGTGGTTTAAACATTTTCCTAAATTTTATCTCATGGCATTATGAGGAAAATTTACAAAATAATCAGGTTTCTCAAAATAATGCAATTAATTTGACCCCAAATCATTAATGCCACATTTAAAATAGTGTGTTTATGCTTTAATTTGTCCTTACAAATGATGTTTTTATTATATTGTCTTACTTTTATTGATATAAATTTAGAGGGGACAAGTGCAGTTTTGTCACATGGATGTATTATATAGTGGTGAAGTCTAGCATTATCCTATCATTGAGAATATTTTAATATTGATTTTCCCCAAGACCAGTGAAACCATCTCAAACACTGGATGCTTCCATCAACACTTTGCAATATAGCAGGATTACAAAGAAACTTCTGTTGAAGTTATTTAAATTCCTTAGTGACAGTGCTGCAAAGAAAATTACTCCAGTACAAACTTAGTTAATTTTATTCTGTGTAGGCAGTCTGATATTAATTATAAGGTATGGTATAACTACCACTTTCTGGATGGGTTGCATAATCAACTGAATAATAATGTGTTTATACTTAAGAATACAGTTGTTTGATAGATTTTCAAAGTGTTAAGGTTTGTGAATATTATGACATATTATGAAGGTAAGAATATAATATAAAATAATATATATGTATTTTGTTATATGTAATATCATATACTCTTGTACCCTCTTATGAAACGTCAGTGAAGATTTGAATACAGCTTAGAGAAAACTTGTCATTAGCACAGTATGAGCTGAGTGACACCACAGAACCATGGATATAGGATGGACTAGAGTTCTAAATATAAGGTTGATTTCCTGGCTTTCTATTAATTACTGGGCATAGAGTCTTGGACACTTTTGCTGACCTCTCTTAGGGTCAGTTTCCCCGTGCCACCTATCTTATAAGATGGTTGCATTGGTTGGAATTGAATAGGGTGTGTTTTGCAGACTGCATGTCACCTTCAGGTGTTTTCTGTCTACACTGTTAATGCATCCTGACATTTGAGGAGGGGAACCCTTTACATACGTGAAAGTCCCAAGGCTAAACCGGATGAAACTGTTGCTGTAGCAGGATGCCTAAGACCCATCCTCTATCCTCACTTATTACTGCTCACCTAACCCCTACATCTGGCACCTGCATAATGGAAACCCAGGGATCGGGGGAGTAAACCTATAAACACACACTGCATTATCTGCCCTTAAAGATAAATGTTTTAATTCCTCTCTCTCTCCCTCCCCCACCTCTCTATTGAACATATATTTGACTAAGTGTCTCCTCCCATTCCAGGGGCAAGGGGAAAAGTACAAATGGATGCCCACATTATCATATGTCTAAATAATTACAACATAAGCTAATATTTATTCTGCTAAATAAAAAATATCTTCCCTCCTGTATTGAGACACTTGCTTCTAAATGACCTAGAAAGCCAGGTTCAAACTGAAAATTTTCAGATTTCTTGGAGTTCTGACCTCTGGTCCCTGACCCCCAGCATGTTCTCCCTCTTTTCCCATCTCCAAGTTCATCCATACCATGACAGGTGTTGTACACACACAAGTGGACATTCCAACCAATATGTCAAAACTTTATCCATCCCAAACAGCAAAAAAGCTCATTCTATTCTTGACCACCACTGTGGCCTAGGGGTGCTTATATTGGCAGAATGATCATTCCTTAGGACTGATCTGGGAAATAGGCTCTGACAGACCATGAGAGAGGGTACAAGGCCTTTGGAGCTTGGACTCCCAGGGCTGCAGGTCCTTGACGCATATGGTAGAAGGAGAGTTTTGCCTATTAAATGAACATGTGTTCTTAGTCCCTGTGACTCCTTATCCCATGGGAAAGGTAATTAATAAAGAAAGGATTTTTTTTCCTCTTTACAAATCTAAAGGGAGAAGAAGGTTCCCAATTTTGACATAATTTTTCAGTTGTCATATTGTTACAGTTGAGAGTTATTGTGTTGATCCAGGCATCTTTCCCTATTCAGTTGCTCCTGGTAACTGAAATCATTTACTTGACCAGCATTTCATAAGGAAATAAAATTCTGAAGGCAAATTAGAGACAATTCTTGTTTTCAGCTTTGATAGTAGGTGATGAATTTGGGTGGGTGTATTAGTCTGCTAGGAATGCCATAACACAATATCACAGACTGAGTGGGTGGCTTAAATAACATAAATTAATTTTTCACAGTACTGAAGCCTGGGAGCCCAAGATGAAGGTGCTAGCAGGGTTGTTTTTTTCTGTGATCTTCTTTCCTGGATTGCAATCTTCTTCTTATGTCCTCACATGTCCTTTTCTCTATGCATGTGCACTCATGATGTATGTCTCTGTCTCTTCTTATAAGGCCATCATTCCTATTGTATTATGTCCCCATTCTTATAATCTAATTTAAACTTAGTTGACCTATCTCCAAATACAGTCACATTGGGGGTTAGGGCTTCAATACAGGATTTTAGGGAAGGGAGGCAAAATTCAGTCCATAATGGCGGGTCATATAGATTCCAATCAACAGGTTTAAATATCAGATACAAAGAACTGTGCTAGGTGCTCTGGAGAATAAAAAGACTAAATGGCTTAACTTCACCCTCTTACTTCCCTGCACACTTACTCCCAAAACTTTGCACGTTGGACAATCATAAAATTTGTGTTAACTAAAAAAGTTGGTCCAAAGTTTCTTACCTTTCCAGTATTGTTTTCTTGTAAAGTTAACGTAAAGTGTTCATCCTGTCTGCCTTATAACCTATGAAAGAGAAAAATCAAATTTATTACATGTTCTCAATTAAGAGAAGCTAGTGAGGGCCCACCATGTGCCAGGGTCTTTAATTCCATCATTTAATGAATTATCAGTAGTACTCAATACAATATAAAAGTGATATATATCCTCCCTATAAAGGAGGAATCTGAAGTTCCTCCTTTAAATTGTTTAAATATTACTAAATAAGTTGTTTAGTAATCTTTGAAGCCAAAAACAATGTATCTTCATGTGTTTGAGATTCTATAACAAAATACCATAGACTGGGTAGCTTATAAACAATAGAAATTTATTTCTCACAGTTCTGGAGGCTGGGAAGTCCAAGATGAAGGTGCTAGCAGATTATCTGTCTGATAAGGGCCCATTTTCTGATTTATAGATACTGTCTTCTAGCTGCATCCCTACTTGGTGGAAATGACTAGTTAGTTCTGTGAGGTCTCCTTTCTACAGGTGCCATTCATAAGAGAGGATCCCTTACAACCTAATAATCTCCAAAAGGGCCTGCCCCTGTTAATGCCATCACTTTTGGGGTTAGAATTGTATATTAATCATGAGAGGGCAGAAATAGTCAGGCCATAGCACTGTGTGATATCACCACTTTGTCCTGTCGCAGTAGCTCTGCTGCAGGTAGACTGGGATCTTCCTTCCTACCCAGCTCATAGTTTCCTGAGGCAAAGCAGAAAAATAATATGCTGCACTACACAATTTAGATCACCACTAATTATTTAAATGAATGGTAGTAGAGGCATAGCTCCAAGACCTGGATATCTCTATATTCTTGAATTGACAATAGCAATAACTTTGTATTAAAAAATTGATATAAATTGAAGATAATTTTTAAGCCATATGATTCCATAAAGTAAAATTTATCACAAAGTAATTGATCCTATTGTCTTTGGTTTATTTTTTTTCTTTATCAATTCCTGCTCAAACATTATCTTTGATGAGAATGTGAAGGCTTCCTTGAAGGCAGTAAGGGAAATTTAACTCCCAATAATTGTAATCACAATAATGAACAAAGGAGGAACCCTAAAAATAAATCGAATTGAGAATATTACTTTGTTATTTTCTGGCAGTATTTTGATCACAATATCCCATCATTGCTGATTTGTAAGAAAAAGGGAGGAACTTAAGGCTTTTCTTTTAAATTCTTCTCTTCTTTGGAAGATAGTGACAGAGCAAAGCATTGGCTGCAGGAGACATTACTTGCTATAGCATTTGTCTCTCCTCATGGCTCCAGATGTGGTTTTACTGACTATATTGGAATTGCCTCTGGTCCTGGGTTTTTGGAAGAGGCTGTTCTGATTTAACTAGGAAACCTTTCTTCCTAGAAGCTGTTCTCCTTTGAATAACCTTCAATTTTAATTTGTAAACTAGGAAAAATATAAGTGAAAATTTTGGGGGTCTATTTTCCTGTAGTACAAATATAAAGCAAGTCAAATATGCAAAAAATATAATTTTCATTTGACTCACTCTAGTTAAAATTGTGCAATTATAAGTAATAATATATAGATGATTGTTTCAGCAAATTTGGAATAATTCACTAAATACAGTGGCTTCTTTTGTATTTTTATTTATTTGTATTTAATTTTTTATTTTATTTTATTTTTTGAGACGGATTCTTGCTCTGTCACCCAGGCTGGAGTGCAATAGCACGATCTTGGCTCACTGCAACCTCTGCCTCCAGGGTTCAAGCCATTCTCAATGCCTCAGCCTCCTGAGTAGCTGGGACTACAGGCATGTGCCACCATGCCCGGCTAATTTTTGTATTTTTTTAGTAGAGACGGGGTTTCACTATGTGGGCCAGGCCAGTCTTGAACTCCTGACCTCAAGTGATCCACCCACCTCAGCCTCCCAAAGTGTTGGAATTACAGGCATCAACCACAGCCCCCATCCCAATTGCTTCTTTAAAGATAGATTTAATAATAGGAAAATATATGTTTTGCAGGTATTAATTTTATGATCATTATTATTATTAACCTAATTATAATGTTATGACTTCGGAAACCTTTTTACTATTCTGTTATATAACAAGTTTTGCTTTTTATTTTTTCTATTTTTAAAATACCTATCAGGATAATTTTCGCAGAAAAGAGTAAGAAATGCAAGCATTCTCCAGATAACAAGAATGATAGGAAGTTGAATGAGGATAATAATGGGAATTAGATTGATCCAATATGGACATGTTTCATAGATCTTTAAACTATATTAAATTATCATAATAAATAAACTATTTAAACTTTATTAAATTGTCCATTTAAAATGTTTATTTATGGGATAATGATGTGAGTTGAATGTGCAGAGTGTGGAACATAAAATGTAAATAGTTTGGTACATAGTATGGAAACAATAGTGCCACAGAACTAGTCTTTAAGCCTACCTAGATGGCATAAATAATAGAATCTTCTGGTTATTTTCCTAAAGATAATTTTCATGCCTAAGAAAGAAACAATATTCAAATGAGGTTGAGCTACCAAGTCATAAAAAGACCTGAAGAACTTTAAAAGCATATTGCTAAGTGAAAGAAGCCAATCTAAAATGGCTACATCTATATTATTCTAACTACATGACATTTTAGAAAAGGCAAGACTATTAAGAGAGTAAAAAGATCATTGATTGGCTGGGGCATTGGGGGAGGGTGGATGTATATAGGTGAAGTCTAGGAGAGTGTATGAGCCGTGAAACTACTTCGTATGATAATATAATGCTAAATATATGTCATTATACATTTGTCAAAATCCAGAGACTGTACAATATGAAGAGTGAATTCTAATGTAAATTATGAGCTCTAGTCACAAAGTGTCAATATTGGCTGATCAATTAAAACAAATATAACACACTAATGGAAAACGTTAATAACGGGGGAAATGGAGAGGGGGGATTTGTGAGGTGGTATATGAAAACTCTATTGTGAGCTCATTTTGGTGAAAACTTACAACTTTTCTAACAGCAAAGTCTCAGGATACAAAATCAATGTACAAAAATCACAAGCATTCTTATACACCAATAACAGACAAACAGAGAGCCAAATCATGAGTGAACTCCCATTCACAACTGCTTCAAAGAGAATAAAGTACCTAGGAATCCAACTTACAAGGGACTTGAAGGACCTCTTCAAGGAGAACTACAAACCACTGCTCAATGAAATAAAAGAGGATATAAACAAATGGAAGAACATTCCATGCTCATGGGTAGGAAGAATCAGTATCGTGAAAATGGCCATATTGTCCAAGGTAATTTATAGATTCAATGCCATCCCCATCAAGCTACCAATGACTTTCTTCACAGAATTGGAAAAAACTACTTTAAAGTTCATATGGAACCAAAAAAGAGCCTGCATCGCCAAGTCAATCCTAAGTCAAAAGAACAAAGCTGGAGGCATCACACTACCTGACTTCAAACTATACTACAAGGCTACAGTAACCAAAACAGCATGGTACTGGTACCAAAACAGAGATATAGACCAGTAGAACAGAACAGAGCCCTCAGAAATAATGCCACATATCTACAACCATCTGATCTTTGAGAAACCTGACAAAAACAAGCAATGGGGAAAGGATTCCCTATTTAATAAATGGTGCTGGGAAAACTGGCTAGCCATATGGAGAAAACTGAAACTGGATCCCTTCCTTACACCTTATACAAAAATCAATTCAAGATGGATTAAAGACTTAAATGTTAGACCTAAAACCATAAAAACCCTAGGCAATACCATTCAGGACATAGGCATGGGCAAGGACTTCATGTCTAAAACACCAAAAGCAATGGCAACAAAAGCCAAAATTGACAAATGGGATCTAATTAAACTAAAGAGCTTCTGCACAGCAAAAGAAACTACCATCAGCATGAACAGGCAACCTATAGAATGGGAGAAAATTTTTGCAATCTACTCATCTGACAAAGGGCTAATATCCAGAATCTACAATGAACTCAAACAAATTTACAAGAAAAAAAAAAACAATCCCATCGAAAAGTGGGCAAAGGATATGAACAGACATTTCTCAAAAGAAGACATTTATGCAGCCAAAAGACACATGAAAAAATGCTCATCATCACTGGCATCAGGGAAATGCAAATCAAAACCACAATGAGATACCATCTCACACCAGTTAGAATGGCAATCATTAAAAAGTCAGGAAACAGCAGGTGCTGGAGAGGATGTGGAGAAATAGGAACACTTTTGCACTGTTGGTGGGACTGTAAACTAGTTCAACCATTGTGGAAGTCAGTGTGGCAATTCCTCAGGGATCTAAAACTAGAAATACTATTTGACCCAGCCATCCCATTACTGGGTATATACCCAAACGATTATAAATCATGCTGCTATAAAGACACATGCACACGTACATTTATTGCGGCACTATTCACAATAGCAAAGACTTGGAACCAACCCAAATGTCCAACAATGATAGACTGGATTAAGAAAATGTGGCACATATACACCATGGAATACTATGCAGCCATAAAAAATGATGAGTTCATGTCCTTTGTAGGGACATGGATGAAGCTGGAAACCATCATTCTCAGCAAACTATGGCAAGGACAAAAAACCAAACACCCCATGTTCTCACTCATAGGTGGGAATCGAACAATGAGAACACATGGACACAGGAAGGGGAACATCACACACTGGGGCCTGTTGTGGGGTGGGAGGAGGGGGTAGGGATAACATTTGGAGATATACCTAATGTTAAATGACGAGTTACTGGGTTCAGCACACCAACATGGCACATGTATACATATGTAACTAACCTACACGTTGTGCACATGTACCCTAAAATTTAAAGTATAATAATAAAAAGATCTATATATATATATATATATATATATATATATATATATATATATATATAAAGTCTGTTAATTCAAAAAATAATAATCAGCTCCTCTCTAATAAGAGCAGCGATGGAGTATGCTGTTGGCATTCATATGTCCCTTCATACCACAACAACATAAAGATGAACATAAAGATGACAGCTTTGACAGATGTCAAAAGACAGCTGTAAGGGACAGGGAAATTGACAGGTAACATTCCACTATTGAATTCCAGTTGTTACTGAAGTCCAAATTTATTTCTGATTTTCCTATATTTTTATTGCTCAACTGTTCTTACCTGTGTTCTGGGATCAGCATACTATTCTCCCTTCTCAATTTTCTCACTAAAATCATTAAAATTAAGTTGTTTGTTTGTTTGTTATGTATAGCTAAGAGTGCTAGTACTGCCAGAGACATAAAGAGTGAATTGTACCTAATCAGCAAGCTTATCTATCATTGCATTTCAAGATTCAAATAGGCAGTTGTGTACCATTCTGCCAGCTTTTACCCTTATGTTGATTATGTAAGTTAATTTTTAATCTTACCATAGCCACAGATAGAGAAATTGAAGACAGTGCATCTTTAACAATTGAGTGTTCGCAAAATCACAGGAAACAAAAGAAAAGTGTGTGCTTCCCAGTCATCTGCATATATTTCCTTCCTAAATAGGATCAACAATTTAGGAAGATGAAAGTGTAGTAAAAATTTAAAAAACAGCTGTCTGTACCTAACATGTGAAACATGGGTTTGGGAAATATAGCTATTGTGAAGATTTAGAAATCACTCTAATTGTACATGAGCACCCCCAGGATTATTATTATTTTAACATACAGTAGGACAAAGTCATTCACTTTTCTATTTTCTAGACCTAAGAAAGTTTGGTGCATGGTCCCAGTATCTCCATCATAGTCCTTCAAAATTTAGGCCTTGGGGGTCAGGTGTGGTGGTGCACACCTGTAATTCCAGCACTTTGGGAGTCCGAGTTGGGTGGATCACCTGAGGTCAGGAGTTCGAAACCAGCCTGACCAACAGGGTAAAACCCCATCTCTGTTAAATACAAAAAATTAGCTAGGTGTGGTGGTGCATGCCTGTAATCCTAGCTACTTGGGAGGCTGAGGTAGGAGAATCACTTGAACCCAGGAGGCAGAGGCAGAGGTTGTAGTGAGCTGAGATGGTGCCGTTGCACTCCAGCCTGGCCAACAAGAGTGAAACTCCATCTAAAAAAAAAAAAAGAAAAAGCAATTTAGGCCTTGGATAATTGTTCTAATTTTGTGTTCCCCAGGGTTGTCAATCTTTGATGTCATTGGTTTCAATGTTAGAAAAATGCTAGATTTCTGCAGAAGATCATTCGTAAATACTGAAAGATATTGCCTACTGGTTTCAAAGGTTTAAAGTCTGGGATATATTGATAGGGTTCATGGACTCTATTCTACATATAGATAGAAAAATGCATGCAACATACTATCCTTTTCAGGTATTAAATCAGCTGACCAAAGAGTATCTGTGTTTCTTCCTTTATCTTATATTTTTAAATGATATCTCTACATTACTGTGTTTTCAGACCTAATAATGAGGAGATAAGTTGTACAGATTTGAAAGCATTTTGTACTACTTATGCAGTTGCAATAAGTTATCTTTTTAAATTATTTATCTTCTCATATATATTTCAAACTGTATTATTATGTAGATTTTTCACAGCATTTCAGATAATTAGTGTAACCTCGACCCTGATGTTCAGAAAAATTTGCAACCAAAAAATAATATTTTGATTTCTTTTGATTTCTTAAGAATACTTTGATGTACTTGGTTGTATAAATGAATGGAACCAGAATTCATTATTTTTACAAGGAAGTAATTATAAAATATACTTAAAAATAATATGTAAGTGATATCACACCACAATACATGTGCATTTAAAAAATGCTGAAAAAACTGTTTTCAAATGAATAATGGTTAAAAGTTGACTATAATATATTAGTACCTTTGTAGAGTTTCAGGTTGTCATTATATAATTTCACTTATTTGTTCATCACAATAGGACATTTCTCCCCTTCCCTTTTATACATAAAAGAACAATGAACCTCAGGAATTTAAGTGACTAAAGTGCCCAGAAATCAGGCAGACAAGCTGGGTCATGTTTTTGCTTGGACTTGAACCACAATATTCTACCCTTATATTCATTGCATAATCTGCTGGCCCACAAGAACATTGACCCATTCTTTCGCCAAGTATTTTTAAAGTACACTATATAAGCCACATTCTGAGGATTTCTTTGTAATGTGCAAAAGTTATACTTTTCTCCATGGTTGTTTCAATCTAATGAGTAAAACAGTGATCCAAGTAACAATTGAAAATGTAATCAAGAGGATCTTTAAGAGAGCTGACTTGAAGCATCTGCTACTCACCCCCTCCACAAGAAGAACTAAAATAGAGAGTAGATAATCACACTAGAATAGATCATCTAAGAAAGAACATTGGAATTCAACAGAGAAGTGAGAGGAAACACCTAAAGCAAGAAAGGAGAGGGAAATGAGCCAGCCTACTTGGCCATGATCAGCTCAGAGCCTTGAGAGTCTTCCAAATGCAGGGAAAGCATAAGCGAATGACCCCCAGCAGTCCACATTGGCACTGCAGACTTCTGGAAGTCTGCAGCCATGAGAAAGCCCTTAGACTCATGTGGACCCTAAGACTGACTTAGGGAGCTGCCTGGAGACTGTGGGAAGACATTGCTCCAGAGAGGAAGATAATCCTGGGTCCCACACACCCCCCACCCACGCTCTAAGCAGCTACAGCAAGATGCCATTTGGAGAGCCCAGCCGCCACCAACCCCCATCATACCTGGGAGCCAATAGCTTCTGTATCTCCACATCTCTGGAGCCACATTGACATTTCCTGCCCACAGCTCCTGTTGTCAGGGCTGAAGCATAAGCCATTGCCAAAGACCTTCCTACATCCAGCAATGACACCTCAGCACATATTTACACACTTGTAGGGCAAGCTCCCTTGACCACAGCAACTGCTGCTGTGGGCTGCCATTGCCAGGGAGGAAATGCAAGAGAAGTGTGTGCTTCCCAGTCATTTGCATACAGCTGTTGCCACTGAAAGCAACCCCTCTCACTTGGAGCAGGGCTGCAGTGCAGCCACTGCCATCATGACCTGAGCATTACAGCATAGGTCTAGTATCACCTCCCACCCACACCTACTGCAAGAAGCACCTGCACACATCACCAGAGGTCCTGAGAACAGGTCTGACTGGTCTGGCTCCAACCCCCAAGTGCCCAAGCACACCTTCTGGGGGCCAGAGGATTGCATAGCCCAGTCCACGACAGTTGACACCTGAGAATTCCTCCCAGGTGACTGAGTTTGGGCGCACCAAACCTGCTGCTATCAGCTACCTGTGGACCTGGTACTGGCCTGCCAAGCCAATCACTGTCACTGTCAATACCGGGATAGACAACTCGGAAGCCAGAGGTTTGTCCTGCCACGGCTACTGATATTGCCCATAGCATACTTCATGCCCAGGAGCCCAAAAACCTGCCCACCCAACTGGCCTACTGCTGTCACTACCAGTAACCAGGCAAGCCACCTAGAGGTTCAAGAATCAGCTCTCTGGACTAGCTAACACTAATGCCATTATACACTGCCCTAGGTCCCAAGGAAAGGAATATTTGGCCTACCACTGCCGTGACTAGAACCTGAAGACATGCCTACCTGGCATCCAAGTCACCAGCAAAACTTCACCATAGCCTGTACTAACAACTGCACCTTAAGCCACTGAGGAAATCACAGACACTGCTGACACTTATAACAGCTGAAGAAATAATATGTAGATTACACTACTGCAAACACCCTGAATTGAAACCAAAATGTCCTGCCCAAGCAACATCATAGATAATATGTTTAGGAAAAAGTTCTTCCCTACAATAGCAAAATCAAAAATTTGAAAAAGTGACTGTCACAGCCGATGCAGAGATAGCAATATAACAACATAAGAATCATAAAAAAACAAGGAAATATAATACCTCCAAAAGAAAACTATAATTCTTCAGTAAAATATTCGAATGAAAAACTATAAAAATCACAGAAAAATAATTTATATTAATAATATTAAATAAGCCAAATGACATACAAAGAATGCAGAAAAACAATACAAAGAAATCAGAAAAACAACTCAGGATACTAATGACAAACTTACTGAAGAGAAGTATCACAAAAAAGAATCAAACAGAAATTCTGGAACTGAAGAATTTATTAGATGGAATACAACATATTTTCAAAAGTTTCAACAATAGAATAGATGAAGCAGAAGAAAGAATTTTAGACAAAGATTTTTCACAGGAATTTGTTTTAAAAGCTAATTTGACATATGGGACATCATAAAGCAAATAAATGTTTGAATTTTCTGGATCCCACAAGGTTAAAAAAAGGGATAGAAATGCTATTTAACAAAATAATAGCTGAAAACTTCTTAAGTCTAGCAAGAGATTTAGAAATCCAGTTACAGGAAGTTCAGAGATACCCAAACAGGCACAATTCCAAAAAGTATTCTCCATAAGACATTATAGTTAAATTCTAAAAAGTCAAAGACAGAGAGAATTCTAAAAGCAGCAAGAAAAAATGTCTAGTCACCTATAACGGAACCCCCATTCGACTAACAGAGGGTTTCTCACCAGTAACCTTAAAAGCCAAGAGAACATGGGATGATATATTCAAAGCACTGAAAGAAAAATATTGCCAGCCAGGGATACTATACCCAGAAAACTTATCATTCATACATAAAGACTGGTCCTACAAGAAATGGGAGCCCTGCACCTGGAAGTAAAAGGACAATATGTACCATTATGAAAGTACATGAAAGTCTGAAGCCTGCTAGTAAAGCAAACACACAAATAAAGAAGAGAAAGAACTCAAATGTTACCAATACAGAAAAACCACCAAATGACAATAATAAAAAATAAAAGAGAAGGAAAGGAATAAAGAATAACAAAAGATAGGAAACAACCAGAAATTATTTAATATAATGACAGAAATAAGCTCTTGCATGTCAATATAAGCTCTCACATTGAATGTAAATGGTTAAAATTCCATTTACATGGAATTTTATAAAAGATATGTTTTATAAAATATATAAATTTTATAAAAGATATAAAGTAACTGGCTTATGCAAATAAATGAGTAAACAAAAAAGACCCTGCTATATGTTGCCTACAAGAAAACTCATCTCACCAATAAAGACACATGTACAGTGAAAATAAAGGAATAGAAAATATATTCTATGCAAATGGAAACCAAAACAATTCTAAGTAGCTATATTTATATCAGGTAAAACAGACTCTAAGTCAAAAATAATAAAAAGAGACAAAGAAGGTTGCTATGTAATAATAATAAAGTATCAAATAAAATAATTTAGAACAATCCTAAACATATGCATACCCAACACTGCAGTAACCAAAAGTATAAAGCAAATCTTATGCCAATACAATAGTAGTTGGGACAGCAAAACCACACTGTCAGCATTAGACAGATCATCCAGAGAAAAACTTTAGAAGGAAATATTGGAGTTAAACTGCAATTTAGAACAAATGGAAACAGCAGACATATGCAGAATATTTCATCCAATAGCTACAGAATACACATTATCCTCTTTAGCATATGAAATACTCTTTAGGAAAGGCCATATATCAGGCCACAAAACAAGTGTCAACAATTTTTTTAAAATCAGGTTATATCAAGTATCTGTTTGGACCATAATAAAATAAAAATAGAAATAAATAATTTTTTAAAAACTTTGTAAATTGTACAAATCCATGGAAATTAAACAGCATGCTCCTGAATTGCCAATGGGTCAAGGAAGAAATTAAGAAAAAAATCAAAATATTTCTTGAAATAAATTAAAATTTTAAAAAATCTTAACAAAACCTGTGAAATATGGCAAAATCAGTACTAATAAGAAACTGTATAGCAATAAATGCCTATCTCAGAAAAGTATAAGTATTTTAAATAAAGAATATAATAATGCACCTCAAAAAAAATGGAAAAGCAAGAGGAAACCAGGCACAAAATTAGTAGAAAGAAAGAAAGGATAAAGATCACAGCAGAATGAAAGTACTGGAGATTAGAAAAAAAAAACAATAAGCTTTGTATTTCATTATATATAGATATAGTATATATATTCATAATGTATGTATATACATATAAAATACAAAGAACAAATGAAATGAAAAATTTGTTTTCTGAAAAGACAGACAAAATCAACAAATTGTTAACTGGACTAAGCAAATCAAAAAGAGGAAGACAGCCTAAATACACAAAATCAGAAATGAAAAAGGAGACGTTACAATTGATACTACTGAAAAAACAAAAGATTATTAGAGACTACTATGAACACCTATATGCTAACAAACTGGAGAACCTAGAGGAAATGGATAAATTCCTCAATCCATACAACCTACCATGTTAGAATTAAGAAGAGAAAATCTGAATAGATCAATAATAAACAATGAGATGTTGTCAGTAATAAAAGGTTTCCCAACAAAGAAAAGTCAAGGACAAAGTGGCTTCACTGTCAAATTCTACCAAACTGCTAAAGAAACACTAACACTAATTGTTATCAAACTTTACCAAAATATTGAAAAGGTGGAAATTCTATTTCTATGAGGCCAGTATTACCCTAATACCAAAACCAGATGAGGAGACAACAACAAAAAAAAACTATAGGCCAATAACCCTGATGAACACACATAGATGCAAATATCCTCCACAAAATACTAGCAAACTGAATCTAACAGCACATCAAAAAGATAACGCAGGGCAGGCATGGTGGCTCACTCCTCTAATCCCAGCACTTAGGGAGGCCAAGACAAGTGGATCACTTGAGTTCGGGAGTTCGAGATCAGCCTGGCCAACATGGTGAAACCCTGTCTCTACTAGAAATACAAAAATTAGCTGGGCATGGTGGCAGGCACTTGTGATCCCAGCTACTCGGGTGGCTGAGGCAGGAGAATGGCTTGAACCTGGGAGGTGGATGTTGCAGTGGGCCGAGATTGCACCACTGCACTCCACCCTGGGCGACAGAGGGAGACTCTGTCCAAAAAAAAAAAAAAAGGTAATGCATCACAATCAAGTGGGTTTCCCACCCCACCCCCCCCAGGGATTCAAGTATGGCTCAACATATTCAAATCAATAAATTCAATTCACCACATAAGCAGAATTAAAAACAAAAAACATGTAATTATCTCAATAGATGCAGAGAAAGCATTTGATAAAATCCCTCAACAATTTAGGCATTGAAAACACGTACCTTGCAATTATAAAAGCCAAATATGACAAACCCACGGCCAACATCATACTTAATTGGCAAAAGTTGGGATCATTTATTCTAAGAACTAGAACAAGACAAGGATGCCTATTTTCACCATAGTACTGGAAGTCATATTTAACCTATCATTGGAAATCCTAGCCAGAGCATTTAGACGAAAGAAATAAAAGTCATTCAAACTGGAAAAGAGGAAGTCAAATTTCCTCTGTTCAATGACGACATGATCTTATATACAGAAAATCCTAAACACTTCTCCAAGATACTGTAATTGATAAATCACTTCAGTAAAGTTTCAGTATACAAAATCAACCTTAAAAAATTAGTAACATTTCTATACACCAATAACATTCAAGCTAAAAACCAAATCAAGAACTCAATCCCTTTTACAATAGCCACACACAAACACAGATATGTAGGGATACATTTAACTAAAGAGACTGGCGAAAGAAATCTCTACGCAAATACTACAAAACATCAATTAAAGAAAATACAGGCAACACAAACAGATAAATATCTCATGCTCGTGGATTGGAATAATAAATAGCATTAGAATGTTAATACTGCTCAAAGCAATCTATAGATTCAATACAATTCCTATCAAAATATCAACATAATTTTTCACAGAATTAGAAAAAAAATTTTAAATTTACATGAAACCAAAAGTGCCTGAATAGCCAAATCAATCCTAAGCAAAAATAACAAAGCTGTATGCATCACATTTGCCAACTTCAAATTATAATCCAGGGATATATTAACCAAAACAGTATAATACTAGCATAAAAATCAACACATAGATGAATGAAATAGAATAGAAAACCCAGAAATAAGTTATTTACCTACAAGCAACTGATCTTCAACAAAGTTGACAAAATATACAATAGGGAAAAGACATCCTCCTATTCAATTAATGATGCTGGGAAAATTTGCTAGCCATATTCAAAATAATGAAGCTAAACACTTAGCTCTCACCAGTTACAAAAAAGTGATTCATCATGGAGTAAAGACTTAAATGTAAGACCTGGCACTGCAAAAATTATAGAAGATAACCTAGGAAAAAGTCTTCAGGATAGTGTCTTAGGCAAAGAATTTATGACTAAGATCTCAAAAGTAAATGCAATGTACACCAAAATAGACACAGAAATTCTATCAAACTGAAAAACTTCACAGCAATAGTAATAATAATCAACAGAGTAAACAGCCTGCAGAATGGGAAAAATATTTGCAAACTATGCATCCAACAGAGGGCTAATATCTAGAACCTAGAAGGAACTCAAACAACCCAAAAATATAACAAATAACCTCATTACAAAATGGGCAAATGACATGAACAGACATTTCTCAAGAAATGGACATATCAACAGCCAACAAACTTATTAAACAATGTCCAACATCAGAGGAATGATAATTAAAACCACCCTAAGTTAGCATCTCACCCAGTCAGAATGGGTGTTACAAAAATGAAAAAATAATGTGGGCAAGGATGAAGAAAAAAAGGGAACACTTACATTCTGATGGTGGGAATGTAAACTAGCACAAACTCTATGGAGAACAGTATGAAGATATTTCAATCAACTGAAAACAGAAATACCATTTTATGCACCAACCCCACTACAGGATATATACAGAAAGGAAAATAAATTATTACCTCACAAATACACCTGCACTTGTATGTTTATTGCAGCACTATTTACAATAGCAAAATCATAGACTCAACCAAATTGTCCATCAATGGATGACTGAAACTGGATAAAGAACATGTGGTACATATACAGAATACCATGCAATCATTATGAAGAATAAAATCATGTCTTTTGCAGCAACATGGAACTGGAGGCCCTTATCCTAAGTGAGATAATTCATAAGCAAAAAGTCAAAAACCACATGTTCTCACTTATAAGAGGGAGCTCAAAAATGGGTGCACCTATGGACATACAGAGGGGCATATTAGACCCTGGGGACTACAAAACTGAAGAGTGGGAGGGGGGTGAGAATTGAAAAATTAGCTATTGGGTATAATGTTCACTATTGATTTAATGGGAACACTAGATGCCCAAGCCCCACTACTACACAGTCTGTCCATGTAACAAACCTGTACATGTACTCCTCGAATCCATAAAAATTAAAAACAAACAAATACATAAATAATTAAATATAACTCATACAAATGGCCAACAGATATAAGAAAAAATGTTCAACATCACTAATCATCAGATAAATGCAAATCAAAACCACAAAGAGATATTATCTTACCCAGTTATAATGGCTATTATTAAAAAGACAAAAATACTGAGAAGGATGTGCAAAAAAAGGAATTATTGGTGGTGGGAATGTAAATTAGGTCAGCCACTATGGAAAACAGTATAAAGATTTCTGTAAAAAGCCAAAACAGAGCTTCCATGTGATCCAGCAATCCACTACTGGGTTGATACGATTTGCGTCTGCCCCACCCAAATCTCATCTTGTAGCTTCCATAATTCCCACAGGTTGTGGGAGGGACCCAATGGGAGATCATTGAATTATAGGGGAGGGTCTTTCCCATGCTGTTCTCATGATAGTGAATAAGTCTTACAAAATTTGATGGTTTTAAAAATGGTAGTTCCCCTGCATAAGCTCTCTTTGCCTGCTGCCATCCATGTAAGATGTGACTTGCTGCTCCCTGCCTTCCAGCATGATTGTGAGGCCTCCCCAGCTATGTGTAACTATAAGTCCATTAAATGTCTTTTTCTTTCCAGTTTTGGGTGTGTCTTGATCAGCAGCATAAAAACAGACTAATACATGTGTATTTATCCAAAGGAAAATAAATAGTATATCAAAGGCATACCTTTATTTATTATTTATTTATTACAGCATTATTCACAATTACAAAGATAGGGAAGCAATGTAATGTTCATTAACAGGTGAATGGATAAAACGTTAAATATATATGCCCAGTGAAATACTATTTGGCCTTAGTGAATAATGAAATCTTGTTATTTGCAGCAAAATTAATGGGACTGGTGGTCATTGTGTTAAGTGAAGTAAGCCAGGCACAGAAGGGCAAATATTGCCTGCTGTCACTCATATGTGGGAGCTAAGAGGTTGAACTCATGGAGGTAGAGAGTAGAGTGACAGATACCAGACACTGGGAAGGATGTGTGGTTGGGGGTAGATAAAGAGATATTGGTTAATGGTTAAAAACATACAGTTAAACAGAAGGAATAAATTATAATGTTTCATAGTAGACAGAAGGAATAAATTATAATGTTTGATAGCAGAAAGAAGGAATAAAATGTTTATTAGTAGAGTAGGGTCACCATACCTTACAACAGTGTATTGTATATTGCAAAATAGCTAGGACAGAGGACTAGAAATGATTCCAACACATAGAAGTGATAAATACTCAAGGACACACTCAAGGATAAATACTCAAGGGCACCTGACTTCATCATTGCACAGGCTATGCATATAATAAAATGTCACTTGTACACCATAAACGTGTACACATATGTGTATGTATTATGTATATTTACACATAATAATATTTTCTCAAAAACTTAAACATGAAACTTTCATGCAATCCATCATTTCTCCTTTAGGGTATAAACCCAAAGGAGTTCAAGCAGGGACTCAAATATTTGTACACTGAGGTTCATAGGATCATTTTTCATAATAGCCAAATGAGAGAAAAAATCCAAATGCCCATTGATTGGTGAATGGATAAGCATAACGTAATATATATGTACAATGAAATATTCAAGCTCAAAAAGGAAGGGAATACTGACGGATGCCACAAAATAGATGTGCCTTAAGATGTTATGCTAAGTGAAACAAGTCACTCACAAAAGACAAATATTTATGTGGTTCCATTTTATATGAATAAGAACATAAACTTGTGAGAATCTAAAAGACATTTTTTACAAATTTCAGATAAGCACAGAAACTTTTACAAGACCATCATTTAAAAATTTGTGTATCAAGCATTATCTATATCCCAAATACTCCCAAGTGAAAAGTAATTTGCTTATTTCATTTAGAGAAAGATAGATGTTAAAGTTTAGGTTTCAAGAATTATTCAGAAATGTCCATTTAGTATGAATACTTTGTATTTTTAGTAGACCACATGTAAAGAATGTGTCTGTTTTTTTTTTTATGAAATACATTTTGGATTGCAAATTTCTTTTGTTTAACAATAGTCTGTGTCCCACCAGTAGCAGGAAAGAATCATGGAGGCATTTAAATATATTTATGATAAATCCAGGTTTGTTTATTTTTTTCATTCTAGCTGACAGTTCAGGAGGAAAGTTTCTTGGCTCTGACAGATAGCCCACTCCTCTACCTCCACAAAATACTGAGATACACACAGGGGAACAATGCATATTTTCATTTTTTTTTTTTTTGAATTTGAAATTTTAGTTGCGTCATGAGTCTGATACCAAAAAGCAGCCTTAGAGGAAAATACCTTTTATTGACTGCAATAGTATTGTGAAAAGTTTCAATCATGTGGATGTGTATAGACCTTGTGTTTGAAGATAAACATTCAATTGCAGTAATCTTATTTTGGTATTGGGTGTCTTATTAGGAAATGGCATAACTCACTGCTCAGTGAGTCATGTAAGTGGGTCAAAAGAGGTGAATGCAAGTTTATGGTTTGGGACCAACCAATTTGATAGTGATTATTTTGATATTTCTTGAAATCAAGTTGACCATTTATGGTCAAAATAATAATAGAAAAACACAATATGTCCATTGTACCTTGGCTTAAAAAATACATGAACATCATTTTCTAAATAGCATTTTGTATTATCTACCTGGCTTGTAAAGTAGGTAGAGCAAATCTGGAAACAAAGACACAAGAACGTGTCTGAGAACCTAAAATTAAAAGTATAAATATAGGGCATTGGATTTGCCTTTGTTTTGGTTTTATTTTTAAATTATATTTAAAAATTGATAGATAAAATTTTATGTATTTACCATGTATAACATAGTGTTTTCAAGCATATGTCTATTGTGAAATGACAAAATCTAACCATTCAAAATCTACGTTACCTCACATTGTCATCATTTTTGTGTTGGAAACATTTTGCATAGGAGCATCAGATTTGAAATTTAAAACAAGTCTTCCATTGATCATTTCAAATCATTACACATATTTTGAATGTATACATCTACTTGTCTTCACAAAACTTTTCTCTTTTATTCTAAAGTTTCCTTTTGGCTTATGAGTATGCTCCATAACAACTACTTCAGTGCTAAATTTATTAATTTTTTTATTTATTTTTTAAACTTTAAGTTCAGAGTACATGTGCAGGCTTGTTATATAGGTAAACTAGTGGCATGGGGGTTTGTTGTACAGATTATTTCATTATCCAGGTATTAAGCCTAGTACACATTAGTTATTTTTCCTGATCCTCTCCCACCTTCTCCTGCCCTTCACCTTCCAGTAGGCTCCAGTGTCTGTGTGTGTCCCCTCTGTATGTCCATGTATTCTCCTCCTTTAGCTCCCACTTATAAGAGAGACGGTGAGATTTGGTTTCTGTTCCTTCGTTAGTTTGCTGAGGATAATGGCCTCTAGCTTCAGCCATGTTCCTGAAAAGGACATGATCTTGTTCTTTTTTATGGCTACATAGTATTCCATAGCATATATGTGCCACATGTTCTTTATTTAGGAAACCATTGGTGAGCATTTAAGTTGATACCATATCTTTGCTATTGTGAATAGTGCTGCAGTGAACATACATGTGCATGTATCTTTATGACAGATTGATTTATATTCCTTTGGGTATACCCGGTGATACGGTTTGGCTCTGTGTCCCCACCCAAGTCTCATCTCAAATTGTAATCCCTATGCATCAAGGGAGTGACTTGGTAGGAGGTGATTGGCTCATGGGGGTGGTTTCCCCCACGCTGTGAGAATGAGGGAGTTCTCATGAAATCTAATGGTTTTAAACTTCCTTGCTCTGTCTTGCTCTTGTCTGCCACATATAAGATGTGCTTCGCTTCCCCTTTACCTTCCGTCATGATTGTAAGTTTCCTGAGTCTTCTCCAGCCATGCAGAGCTGTGAGTCAGTTAAACCTCTTTTGTTTACAAATTACCCAGTCTCAGGTAGTGTCTTTATAGCAGTATGAAAATGGACTAACATACCCAGTAATGGGATTGGATTGCTGAGTTGAATGGTAGTTCTGTTTTTAGCTCATATAGGAAAAACCCACACTGCTTTCCACAATGACTGAACTAAGTTACACTCCCACAAACAGTGTATAAGCATTCCTTTTTCTCTGCAACCTCACCAGCCTCTATTATTTTTTTCACTTTTTAATAGTAGCCATTCTGACTGGTGTTAGATGGCATCTCATTGTGGTTTTGATTTTCATTTATCTAATGATCAGTGATGGTGAGCTTTTTTTTATGTGCTTGTTGGCCACATGTATGTCTTCTTTTGAAAAATGTCTGTTCATGTCCTCTGCCCACTTTTTTGTGGGGTAGTTTGTTTTCTTGTAAATTCATTTAACTTCCTTATAGATACTGTATATTAGACCTTTGTCAGATGCATAGTTCGCAAAATTTTCTCTCACTGTAGATTATCTGTTTATGCTGCTTATAGTTTCTTTTGCTGTGCAGAAGCTCTTTAGTTTAATTAGCTAACATTTCTCAATATTTGCTTTTTTTGCAGTTGCTTTTGGCATCTTCTTCATGACGTCTTCACCCTTGCCTATGTCCAGAATGGTATTTCCTAGGTTTTCTTCCAGGGCTTTTGCAGTTTTGCGTTTTACATTTAAATCTTTAACCCATCTCGAGTTGACTTTTTTTATATGGTGTAAGGAAAAGGTCCAGTTTGAATCTTCTGCATATGCCATATTCCAGCACCATTTATTTACAATGGAGTCCTTTTCCTATTGCTTATTTTTGTCAGCTTTGTCAAATATCAGTTGGTTTTAGGTGTGTGGCCCTATTTCTTGGCCTCTATTCTGTTCCACTGGGCTATGTGTCTGTTTTTGTACCAGTACCATGATGTTTTGGTTATTGTAGCCCTGTATCATAGTTTGAAGTTGAGTAATGCGATGCCTCCACCTTTGTTCTTTTTGCTTAAAATCGCCTTGGTTATTCGGACTCTTTTGTGGTTCCATATGAATTTTAAAATAGTTTGTTTTTCTAGTTCTGTGAAGAATATCATTGGTAATTGGGTAGGAATAGCATTAAATCTATAAATTGCTTTGGAGAGGATGACAGCCCTAAATTTAAATGAGCTTTTCTTAATAGACATTTATTTCATGTTTACCTATTCTATGGTTTCTCAACCATGGCACTATACACATTTTGGCTCATATAATTCACTGTTCTGGAGGTTGTCCACTGCATTGTAGGATGTTTAGCAGCATCCCTGGGCCCTCTACCCACCAGATGCCAGAATTATCCTTGCTTTCCCAGTTGTGACAACTGAAGATGTCTTCAACCATTGCAAAATGTCATCTGGGGTTTTAAATAACATCCAACTGAGAACAACCAATTTATGCAAAATATTTATATAACTTCATTTACTATTTGGATATGTTTGGGTACTGATAAGCCTAAAGATTCTTCCTTTAGTTCAGTTGCTTGCTCCTTGCTTAAGTCTTTGGGCTGGTTCACAGGAAATTAAGTAAAAGCCATTGTCCCACAACAGGTCTTATGGTGGGTATATTTCTCCTTTTAGGAAGACTTACAGGCTGGTTGACATAAGTACCGACAACTCTAGCACTGGCTGAATGTGTTTTGCCAACTGAGTAATCTCGGTTGATAAGCTAAACACAGTTGGCAGGAGGATATCTTTCTCACCAGAAGCCTTGGCATTGAAGTGATTCTAGTTGTGGGTACATGATTTTATCTTTGTAAACTTCTTGTTATGGATTATAATATTGGTAATTATCATCAACTAATAATTAACAAGAAGAAGGGTATTTAATGTAGACCCAAGGCAGAAGTTGATTTTCGCCCCTCTTTTAGTAAAGGAAATAACAATTCCAGGTTCTAATGATCCTGGTGGTACTGAGTCCCTGACCAGTTTTTTAGGAATTATCAAAGATAAATCTGGATTCCATTTTAACAGTAGGAAATCCAGCTTAATACTCTTAAATTCAAACCAGTATGCTAAGTGTATCCATTTTCCCAAACTTTACTTACTCAAGCAACAGAATATGGCATACTAGAAATCTATAGAAGACAGGTAGCATTTTTTGGCTCCTTCTAATTCCGTATACTCAGTAAGAACTTGAACTTATCACGTTATTTTAATATTTACAGTGTTTATTGCCTAATCTTACCATCACACCCTCACAGAGGTTAAGTAACTTACCCAATGTCCAACAGCTAGGAACAAGTAGCGCCATGGTTCAAATTCAAGTATTTCTGTTTTCAGAGCCCACTCTTTCTAAACTACTCTGCCTTTAGTGACAATGAATCATTTTTCCTGAAGAAAGAGATGATGTTTCACACTGCATTTGAGCGTAGTACAGCACACCTGATGTAGAGAAAGTAATTGTTTCTTTCTCTTTGTTTATCTTTAGAGATGCATACTTTATATACTTCTGCTGAGAGGAACAGGACATAAAGATTCCTACCACTAATAAACTGCTACTGGTTTGATTACTGAGCCTTAATAAGTCCATTCAAGAGCGTTATTTGTAAGGCATGGAATAATATAATTCTGATATAGTGCATAAAGTGTGCAAGGAAACTCATAAGCTCATAAAAAGTGAGAATTTATACTTTTGATTCCGAAGTATTATCATCTATTTTATGCCTGTCTTCCACATGCCGACTTTATGCTAGGTATTTGGGGTAAAATGTTATATAAGCATAGTCTCTTTCCTTAGTTCCTAGGGCTGCTATAACAAATCACCACAAATGTGGTGGCTTAATATGACATACATTTTATTCTATCACAGTTCTTTAAGACAGAAACAGAAATCAAGGTATCAGTAGTACCATGGCCACTCTGAAGGTTATGGGGGAAAGATTCCTCCTTGCCTCTTTGAGCTTCTGAATGTGGCTCCCAGAATTCCTTGGCCTTTGGCTGTATGACACTAATCTCTGCCTCTGTCTTCACATGCTCTTATCCTCTGTCTGTGCTTTTCTCCTTTGTCTGTTATAAGGACATGTATCATTGGATTTAGGACCCTTGCAATCCCTGCCCTTACAACTTAGATCTGGGAGGGTTTATTGTTAAGCAGAAGATTTCTAATATAGAAAGTGTGATCTATTTTAGTCTTCACTATGATGTCATATTAAACTTGAAACTTGTGTTTAGGAAGAAACTGGACATGTTGACTGGGGGCCAGGACATTTTCTGGGCACTGGCTATTTCTGTTCCTTCAAAGGCCTGGCCTGCTAATCAAAAAGAACTCATCTGATATCCACATCACTCTATATGTGGCCCCAAATCCCATAATATTCTTACACAGCATGATAACTACTGGCAACACCAAATCATACATTGCTGTAGGTCAGACAATATTTGGGCTCTTCCCATGGCTGTAGATTTGGGGACGTTTGGACTTGCTTGTTTTCAGATGACAAATGTCCACCTAAATCTGATAATTGGCTTATTATGTAATTTATTGGTTTTATTATAGTAGAGATTGGTAACCTACAGTAAAATTTTCAGATAACCTGGTAATCAGATAACTCAGATAATCCAGGATGATGTTATTTTGATATCCCTAACTTAATTACATCTGCAAAGACCCCTTTTCCAAAGAGAGTCACATTCAAAAGACCTGGGGTTTAGGGCATGGCATACTTTTGGGGGACACCGGTCAACCCACTGCAATTTCTTCTCTGGAGGAATTCAAAATTTAACATTGGAATTGTCAGGCAAACAAATACATGCTAGAATTTTACAGATCCTGTGACAGAAGTCTGTACATGGCATAGTAGAGGACACAAAGGAGTAAAACACATACCATCTGGAGGGAATTCAAGAAAGGCTGCATTTAAAAAAAGATACTTCTTCAACTTGTTCTTGAAACCAAAGAATGAAAATATAGGAGAAAGAAATTATTTGGGCTTCCTAAGCAGAAGTAATACACTGTATTTCATTGCCTGCAGATGTGTTTTGTTTGGCCCATACCATATTTGCCTACACAATGTTTAAAAATTAACTGAATTAGTTGTCAACGTTTAAATCCTGAAACATTTTGCACAAAAATCTGGATTTCCTGCTTCTTTTTAAAAAGTGGAAGATCTAGCATTATTAGTCCTATATTAATGTTTGACAAAAATCAGCTGGAGCTGAGTGGAAATACTACCTTTGGATGAACCTGCACTTTCCAGTTCTAAAATATCCATAGAACTCCCTCTCATTTATGACATAATTAGGCCAAGTGTCAAGTGGCATTTGTTGTTGTTGCTGCTATCATACTTGTGCTGTTTTCTGCATGATAGAGTTAGGAGTAAAGACAAACATTAACTGTGTCTCTATGAAAAAAAGCTAAGTAATGATAGAGAGGACTTTGTTATTTAAAACAATGTGAGAGTGCATACTTGTATATAGAAGGAAATAACTTTTTTGTCTTTAACATGCAACGTGTGTTTGGGCTGAAAATAGAAAATGTTCTTATCCTTGCTCACTTGATTCACTTGATTTATTGATGTTCCCTGTGCATTTTGCTTCTGTGGGCATTGGAATTGCAACCCCCCCCTTACAACTTAGATCTGGGAGGGTTTATTGTTAAGCAGAAGATTTCTAATATAGAAAGTGTGATCTATTTTTGTCCTCACTATGATGTAATATTAAGCTTGAAACTTATGTTTAGGAAAAAACTGGACATGTCGACTAGGGGCCAGGACATTTTCTGGGCACTAGCTATTTCTGTTCCTTCAAAGGCCTGGCCTGCTAATCAAAAAGGACTCATTTGATATCCACATCACTCTATATGTGGCCCCAAATCCCATAATATTCTTGCACAGCACGATAACTAATGGCAACACCAAATCATACATTGCTGTAGTCCAAAGAATATTTGGGCTCTTCGCATGGCTGTAGATTTGGAGACGTTTGGACTTGCATGTTTTCAGATGACAAATGTCCACCTAAATCTGATAACTGGCTTATTATGTAATTTATTGGTGTTATTATAGTAGAGATTGGTAATCTACAGTAAGATTTTCAGTTAGGATTTGAGATTATGATAATAACTAATAGAATATTTCTAAATTGGAATTAGAAGATTGTTGTATGACAGAGAGTCAGGACTTGCCATTTGGCAAACATCAAAGTCATTGTTTGGTGTGTAATAGTACAAAATCATCTTGCTTAACAGAGAAAGGATATCTGTTGCTCCCGAATGAAACAATTTTTCTGAAATAGAGGGCCCAGAATTGGTCTCTGACAATTAATAAAGACATCAAAGATAGCAAAATGATTTTTATATCTTAGGGCCAATACTACCAATTTAATAATTAAAACAAGTTCTGGTGAGCTCTGAACTTGGCAGAATTGGTGGCAACATAGACTTTGGATTTTCCAAATTCCCCACATAAAACAAAGGGGATCAACTAGATAGAAAAACCAGAAACCTTTGGAAATATCTGTTAAAAAAAGAAAAAAAAAACTTGCAGTAAGCAAGTGCAAAAACGTAAACAAAACAAACAACAACAACAAAAACACCAACAGTCACAAAACTCTTATATCATCACTGGAAATCACGGAAGGGTACTTGACAACAGCTGAATCTGAGGAGGTCTTTGTTCACTCAAAAAATTAGTTAATACAAGGGGTTGTTGTCAGAGATTTTAGGGGCTAAAACTGTCTATTCCCTATGAATTCTAGAAATGGACTATCTGGGGAGCTGTATTAAAACAGAACCAAACACTGGAAACAGTGCTGTAAATGGAAGAAGAATTGAGAAGGATAAAATAAAAATAGATGAATAATAGATATGATTAAAATACAAGTGGAAGGGGAAAACAAAGCCAGGGAATCTCAGGAAATCAAGACATTATATTTTAGTTTACACCACGAAAACAACAGAAAATGAAAAAAATTAGAAATACATAACTTTAGAAAAATATAATTTCTTCTAAAAGTTAAAAAGCTAAATTTATATAAAAATAAATGACAGAAATTTATAAAGCCAAAATCTGATGCAATGTTACTATAAAACATAAAAAGAATAAAGAGCAAAATAACATCCCTGGAAATCATGAAAGCACACTGCATAGACATGCTCACAAAATCAATGCTGTAATATACAGTATCAAAGCAAGCTAGAAGACATTAGAAGATGATACCAGAGTGAAACAATATAAACCATAATTTAAGAAAACTAATAAAATACTTGAAAATAGTCAACAAAGAATTAAAAATAAAAACTTTTTCAGAATTAAACACAAAATATGAATAAAATTAAGAACTAACAAACACAGCAAATAATGATTCAAAAGAAATAAATACTGAAAAGCATAAAACTTTATAACAAAAAAAGAGCTAAAAGGATTCAAAAGAGAAAGAATATTAAAAATAGGTAAGGAAGATACAACTTATAAACAATAGAAGTCCCTGAATAATAAAAACAAAGCAAGAGAATAGAAGAAATACTAAATGCTACAATAAAGAAATCTTTCTTAAAATTAAGGAAAGAGAGAGAGAGACAGAGAGAGAGAGAGAGAGAACTACATATCAGAAACATACATTATATGTCAAATCAGGAAAATCAACACTAAAACATATTCTAGTAAAGTTACGTGAAAGAAAACAAATCATTTAAATAATGGACCAAAAATAGCACACAATATATAATTAGACTTTTATCTGACTTCTTGACAGCAACACTTTATCCCAGAAGATAATGAAGTAAATTTTTTAGGAAAAGGAAAAGAATGTGAACCAAAGAGTTTATATTTAGCAAAGCTGAATGAAGAGCATAAATAAAATGTGGTCAGCATGCAATAATTCAACAAAAGCCTAAGTTATTCTTAAATCTACTAGTGAATGATGTCAGACAACCAAAATGACTAGAGAGACATGTATATTAAGACTAGTAAAGATAATTAAATATATAAGTTTTTATAGAATTGCTATTGAGGATTAAAGGAAGATACTAACCTGTGTAATAGCTATGTGATCTGACAATATGGACATAGACAAACTCTAAAAAGGGACACTGGAGATAGCATGCATGAAAATATTTAATTGTTTTTAGTAATCACAAATGAGTACTTTTTTTTTAATTCTTTATATCCTTGAGGACCTGGATTCTCAGTTTGGAATCAAGGAGATAAGAATGTAATAGAGAAGAAATTACAATATGGTAAAAACACCATATTTCTGAATTTAAATTGGAAATTGTGGATGAACTCAGTGTGCATCATCTATCTATAAACAATAAATAACTCAATGTCAGTGAGTATCTCTAGCACCCAGATTTTGGTCCTAAAATACTATCTATTATTAAAAATGTTGAGACTTTTGCAGAAAAGATGGCTGATTTCAAGTCTGAAGAAAAAATGCACACTAAAACTGGAACATCTTTATACATCACAAATGAGACTACTAGTGTCATATTAATAGTCTCAGAGGCAAACATGAAGAGCTCACCACTGACTTCAAATAGGAAATTTTTAGCTCCAGTAAGGATAACAATGTTAGTGGATTGAAACTCATCAAATATATTTAAACTCATGAGTTTATAATAACATTAAAAAACAGCTAATTGGTAATTTTGAAAGATGATGAGGAACCAACTTATTATCTTGAAAACTGAATATGTAATGGAAGAAGTCAAGCATTTATTTTTCTTTTCTATATGAACTGCACAACTGAGTAACCAAATAGTGTGTAAATAAAATCACTACCTTATAAAGTTATCTCTGTTAAAATAAAAGCCAAATTATAAAATTTAAATCTAGACATTCAATGTCAATGGCTGTTAACAACACAAAAGAGAAAGCAGGTACTATGATAAAAGAACAAATCTATCCAAAAGTTTATCATAGGGATAGAACTCAAGTCTGATCAAGACTCCACCAGTCCATTTACACTAAATACAGAGTTCAGAAGAACATGTTGGAACACAGCACAATATACAATCAACAAAATCCAGATTGTAGGGAATTCTGTGGGTCAAATGTTCTGGGTCTTCGAGAAATAAATTATTAAGGAAAAAAATAAAGAGAGAAAGACATGGAGTGGAAACTATAGCTTTAAATAAAAGACATTGTCAAGCTGAAAGAAAATGTGCTGGCCATGTTCTGCCTAAGTTTGAAAAAAATGGTCTAGAATTTCTACCTTTCAGTCACATGACATCTAGACTGTTACTAATCTCAGTTTGACATTCTTCTAAGCAGTTCAATAAACATGTGACTTTCTGGAATTAGAAAGTAATTTTCCAACTGGAATAGTTGTTTACAAAACATATTAAGAATTTTTAGGATAAAAAGGAAGAATATATGTTTATTTTAACTCAATTTTGTCCTCTTTCCCTACTCAGTGCTTTCAAATATGCCATTTTCTGTGTCTGAAATTGGATCTGATAGCTCGTCATCCTTCATTTCTGTGTCTAACATGTCAAATTTTGAGACAAGCTCCTCTGTGATCACTCTTTAAACCAACTTCTGTTCCTTATGAAAACAAATTCTTGTTTTATTGACTCTGCCCATGCTGTGTAGAGTTGCCCATGTGAGAAGTGTTGCCCGTATCTCAATCAGTAGCAATTTTGGGGATCTCATTAGAAACCTGTTGGGGAATAGGACCCCAAATCTGGCCATAAACTGGCCCCAAAACTGGCCATAAACAAAATCTCTGCAGCACTGTGACATGTTTGTGATGGCCATGACGCCCACACTGAAGGTTGTGGGTTTACCAGAATGAGGGCAAGAAACACCTGGCCTACTCAAGGTGGAAAAACCGCTTAAAGGCATTCCTAAGCCACAAACAATAGCATGAGCAATCTGTGCCTTAAGGACATGTTCCTGCTGCAGATAACTAGCCAGAGCCCATCGCTTTGTTTCTGCCCATCCCTTTGTTTCCCATAAGGAATATTTTTAGTAAATCTATAATCTACAGAAACAATGCTTATCACTGGTTTGCTATCAATAAATATGTGGGGAAATCTCTGTTCGAGGCTCTCAGCTTTGAAGGCCGTGAGACCCCTGATTTCCCACTCCACATACTATATTTCTGTGTGAGTGTGTCTTTAATTCCTCTAGTGCCAATGGGTTAGGGTCTCCACAACCGAGCTGGTCTTGGCAGAAACCACCCCTTGTTTTCTCTATCCATTGCAACCGAGTATCTGTTAAATGTCTCTCACAGGCCTCTCATTACACTTTATATTTTGCAACTCTGGAAAATGTTTTTCTTTAATATTTCCCAAAACTCAAGAAGCAAATTTATTATAGGCTGTGTAGCTTATAATCATACCTTTTAATGTATATCCTTGAATCTCGTGATCATTTTTAGTCATCTTTTTAAAAAATGTGGCAACATACATGCAAAAAATTTTGCATATATATGTATACATTGTATTCTTTATATATTTATTGCCCAGTGTCCCTACACACTAGAAATGATGGTTCATGAAAGAATTAAATGTGTATCTATATATTTTTCATTACAATTCCCAGTTCCTAGCATTATACATGAAAGAGAAGCCTGTTGATATCTATTAAGTAAATGCCTAAGTGTCTAAACAAATTTAATTTGTTAGTATCTTTCTTTATGTGCATTACCCAGTATAAATACATGATTCCAAATGTGATCTATGGCAGAGTGCAGTGATTCCACATGTTCCCTTAATCTGAATGTCCTCCAACCAACTTTTATTATTGACATTTTTAATACAGTGAAATTTGATTGTCATTTATCTTTGTTAAATTTTCTTTTACATTTTCTAATCTAGGAGTCCAACTTGTTGAGATCATTTTGGATATTCCAAAATATGAGCTGTCTTTCCCAGATTTATAGAAGCAACAAATTTGCCTTCATACAAGGCATTGATAAAAATATTGCACAATGAAGCCCACTATAGAATACTGAGGGCCTAAATGGCCTTTTCTTTTATAGGCGAGGGTCTCAAAATCAACTACATTTATAATATTCTTCCTCAGAATTGTAATCCAACTCTACTTTATTCTTTCTGTTTCCAAAGGTTGCTTGAGGAAATTTCTCAAATGATGGGATGAAAACAAAGTGAGATTGAAACTTAAAGAGAGAAACAGAGGAAATGGGAAAGAGAGAACTATTGATTAAATAATCCGTTAATGTGATCAAGATGAAAATGAGGATCATTTGGCATAGTTTATTTTTAACAAAAGTATTTTTGAATTCCTGTGATACTGCCTTTATTTCTGAGTCCTAAAACATTATTCAGTTAGCATTGCTTTCTCACAAAGTTGTGGAATTCATTCATTGTTTCCCTAGTTTAGTTTTTAAAATATATACCTTCTTTCCCTTGGAAATTTGAGAAAATATTTGCATAAACACCAGCCTTTATCAACCTTAAACCTTTTGTATAATTATGCTTGATGGATTTCAAGAGGCTTTATAGTAAAATATACATATTAATTTTATAATAAATATTTATCAGATATTAATTTTGTCAGAGTGTTGGGAATCTGGCCATACTCTAATAGATATTACAGATAGGTGCATTTATTTGTTGAAAAATATTTGGAATATTTTTCAGCAGCATCTGATAAAGACTAAGATTTAATTTTTACATCTAATTTATTTTATATCTAATTTATTTATAAACTTTCTTCATCAATTCTGATGGCTCAGACTTTGACTTCACTTCTAACCGTTGCTACTGCCACTTAACTAGACAGGTAAACTTTTCCTCATTTCTTAAACTTGCCAGCCTTTCTCCTATTTGTGTTATGAGATAATAGTCCTTTACATAATACAGTTTTGAAAAATGAAAGTAAAGTGGTAGATTTAAGGCAATTTTCATAGTACTTAACACCTAAAAATATCTCAATAAATGTTTATTTTCATAATAACTTCCATAATGAAAAAGACTGCAACTGCTCATTAATGTGCATTTGTGCAATTCATCTATTAATACATTATAAATGAGCTAGAATAGAACCTAAAACCATAAAGTGTATTTTTCTGTATGCATATGTTTATATTCTCCTTATTTTGGATCACCCAGCCTAATGCAATCCAGATTTGACAGAGGACAGAGAAAAATTAGGTTGGGTGGAGCCTTGTAAACTTCATAACATAACAGTAGGGGGCTGTTTTTGGAGTAAGATTGTTTTATAGCCAAACAACAACAACAACAACAATTCTGAAGAAGCAATGGTATATATTCTGAGACTTGGCCTGAAAGACACCAAGCAATTCAGTTTCCTGACCAAAAATAGTTTCTGTTATTTCTTTACCACAAAAATCAGAACAGTCTGTAACATGCTTTTGGGAAATGAAAAGATACCAAAGTTCAAATTAGGAAAATATATGGAAATATGAGAAATGAAAGACTTGAACCAATTTGGCTTTATCTACATTTTATAATAAAGAGGTTTAAATCATTGGGATTTTTCTGACTATCAGGCTTAGAAACATTGTCATTAAAAATAAAACATGTGGTGGCCATATTAAAAATGAGAACAACTAGTTTCTTCATTCTTAAGAAAATGCATCATCAGGCTTGATTTTGCCTCTGAACTCTGAAATATGGAATGAAAAAGAAAACCCATGAAAGAACTAAACTTGGGCTTATTTTGTTTTGAAATTATTATTCTCTTTGGAAAAAAAGAACAAAAAAAATCATGTTCCTCCTTATTAGTAAATTAGAAGACTCTTAAGAATTTTCTGAGAAACTTCTGTAAGTCTGCCCAATAATACTCTGAAGAATGTTTGCAAACTATTCTCACTTAAGATTACAGGTTATCCTGGCAAAATATATTTTTTCTTGGTCACAATAAGTAGGTTTGATTCTCAGCTACCTCACCTCTTATGTCATTGTGGAGAAATTACTTAATCTCTCTAAGGCTCAGTGTCATCATCTGTAGTAAGGTGACAACAGTTTTAAAGATTAAACATGATAAAGAGTATAAAGTACTAAGCACAATACTAGGTACATGTAGGGTCAATAATAAAAATAATAATATAAAATGTATATTAATAATATATAAATATATATTATTATGTCTATAAATGTTAATTATATTCAACTAGTAATTATAAATGTACAATATATTTATAATATAGTATAACTTTATAAAAATATAATATAATAATATTAGTAGTATCATTGTTTTTGTTATTTGAAGTCAAACTGTTCAGTTGTAAATCATCCCAACTCTGCACTTTATTAGTTATGGCATCTAGAACAAGTGAGAATCATTTTGTGACTTAGATGTTCATCTGTAAAATGGGAATAACAGTAGCACTTACCTCTTAAAATTGCTTTTAAAGATTTATTGAGTTAGGGTATGAAAAATATTCACATACAAAGAACTTGCACACAGACACAGCCAGCTACCTAAGAGCCAGTGTTATTATTTTTTCCTTCTTTCCTCCTTCCCTTCCCTCGCCTCCCCTCCCCTCCCCTCCTCTCCCCTCCTCTCTCCTTTCCGTTCCTTTCCTATTTTTTTTCTCTTTTTTCAAGACAAGGTCTCACTCTGCTGTCGTCCAGGCTGGAGTGCAGTGGTGCCATCATAGCTCACTGTATCCTCAACATCCCAGGCTCAAGTGATTCTCCTGCCTCAGCCTCCTGAGTAGCTGGGACTACAGGCACGTGCGACCATGTTTGGCTAATTTTTTTTTTTTTAACTATTATACTTTAAGTTTTAGGGTATATGTGCACAATGTGCAGGTTAGTTACATATGTATACATGTGCCGCTGGTGCACTGCACCCACTAACTCGTCATCTAGCATTAGATATATCTCCCATTGCTATCCCTCCCCCCTCCCCCCACCCCACAACAGTCCCCAGAGTGTGATATTCCCCTTCCTGTGTCCATGTGTTCTCATTGTTCAGTTCCCACCTATGAGTGAGAATATGCGGTGTTTGGTTTTTTGTTCTTGCGATAGTGTACTGAGAATGATGATTTCCAATTTCATCCATGTCCCTACAAAGGACATGAACTCATCATTTTTTATGGCTGCATAGTATTCCATGGTGTATATGTGCCACATTTTCTTAATCCAGTCTATCATTGTTGGACATTTGGGTTGGTTCCAAGTCTTTGCTATTGTGAATAATGCCGCAATAAACATACGTGTGCATGTGTTTTTATAGCAGCATGATTTATAGTCCTTTGGGTATATACCCAGTAATGGGATGACTGGGTCAAATGGTATTTCTAGTTCTAGATCCCTGAGGAATCGCCACACTGACTTCCACAATGGTTGAACTAGTTTACAGTCCCACCAACAGTGTAAAAGTGTTCCTATTTCTCCACATCCTCTCCAGCACCTGTTGTTTCCTGACTTTTTAATGATCGCCATTCTAACTGGTGTGAGATGGTATCTCATTGTGGTTTTGATTTGCATTTCTCTGATGGCCAGTGATGGTGAGCATTTTTTCATGTGTTTTTTGGCTGCATAAATGTCTTCTTTTGAGAAGTGTCTGTTCATGTCCTTCGCCCACTTTTTGATGGGGTTGTTTGTTTTTTTCTTGTAAATTTGTTTGAGTTCATTGTGGATTCTGGATATTAGCCCTTTGTCGGATGAGTAGGTTGTGAAAATTTTCTCCCATTTTGTAGACTGCCTGTTCACTCTGATGGTAGTTTCTTTTGCTGTGCAGAAGCTCTTTAGTTTAATTAGATCCCATTTGTCAATTTTGGCTTTTGTTGCCATTGCTTTTGGTGTTTTAGACATGAAGTCTTTGTCCATGCCTATGTCCTGAATGGTAAAGCCTAGGTTTTCTTCTAGGGTTTTTATGGTTTTAGGTCTAACATTTAAGTCTTTAATCCATCTTGAATTGATTTTTGTATAAGGTGTAAGGAAGGGATCCAGTTTCAGCTTTCTACCTGTGGCTAGCCAGTTTTCCCAGCACCATTTATTAAATAGGGAATCCTTTCCCCATTGCTTGTTTTTCTCAGGTTTGTCAAAGATCAGATAGGTGTAGATATGCGACGTTATTCCTGAGGGCTCTGTTCCGTTCCATTGATCTATATCTCTGTTTTGGTACCAGTACCATGCTGTTTTGGTTACTGTAGCCTTGTAGTATAGTTTGAAGTCAGGTAGTGTGATGCCTCCAGGTTTGTTCTTTTGACTTAGGATTGACTTGGCGATGCGGGCTCTTTTTTGGTTCCATATGAACTTTAAAGTAGTTTTTTCCAATTCTGTGAAGAAAGTCATTGGTAGCTTGATGGGGATGGCATTGAATCTGTAAATTACCTTGGGTAGTATGGCCATTTTCACAATATTGATTCTTCCTACCCATGAGCATGGAATGTTCTTCCATTTGTTTGTATCCTCTTTTATTTCCTTGAGCAGTGGTTTGTAGTTCTCCTTGAAGAGGTCCTTCACATCCCTTGTAAGTTGGATTCCTAGGTATTTTATTCTCTTTGAAGCAATTGTGAATGGGAGTTCACTCATGATTTGGCTCTCTGTTTGTCTGTTGTTGGTGTATAAGAATGCTTGTGATTTTTGTACATTGATTTTATATCCTGAGACTTTGCTGAAGTTGCTTATCAGCTTAAGGAGATTTTGGGCTGAGACAATGGGGTTTTCTAGATATACAATCATGTCATCTGCAAACAGGGACAATTTGACTTCCTCTTTTCCTAATTGAATACCCTTTATTTCCTTCTCCTGCCTAATTACCCTGGCCAGAACTTCCAACACTATGTTGAATAGGAGTGGCGAGAGAGGGCATCCCTGTCTTGTGCCAGTTTTCAAAGGGAAAGCTTCCAGTTTTTGCCCATTCAGTATGATATTGGCTGTGGGTTTGTCATAGATAGCTCTTATTATTTTGAGATACACCCCATCAATACCTAATTTATTGAGAGTTTTTAGCATGAAGGGTTGTTGAATATTGTCAAAGGCCTTTTCTGCATCTATTGAGATAATCATGTGGTTTTTGTCTTTGGTTCTGTTTATATGCTGGATTACATTTATTGATTTGCGTATATTGAACCAGCCTTGCATCCCAGGGATGAAGCCCACTTGATCATGATGGATAAGCTTTTTGATGTGCTGCTGGATTAGGTTTGCCAGTATTTTATTGAGGATTTTTGCATCAGTGTTCATCAAGGGTATTGGTCTAAAATTCTCTTTTTTGGTTGTGTCTCTGCCCGGCTTTGGTATCAGGAAGATGCTAATTTTTTGTATTTTTTGTAGAGGTGGGGTTGGTATCCCTACGTTGCCTGTGCTGGTCTCGAACTCCTGGGCTCAAGTGATCCACTGGCCTTGGCCTCCCAAATTGCTGGGATTACAGGTGTGAGCCACCATGCCTGGCCTATCTTCTGTTCACTACAGATAATTGCTTTTTGTGTTTTTCATCTTTCCCTACCAAGTTGGAATCTGTGGCAGTGCCAAAGAAAGCATTAGTGGATGAAAAAATTGAGCATATTATCTTCTACCTACGTATAAGTGAATATTTTTGTTTTTTCTCTTAAAGAGAAAGCTATTTTCTGCATCCAGGGCTTTGCCATGATTTCCTGTTTGTCCAGTGGCTGTATTTTACTCCTCTCTTGGTTCTTTGTAGTCATCCTTCAGGTCTCCATGTAGACAACTACACTAGAAAGCCTTCCCTGAACCTCCTCTAAGAGTGGACTCTCATGTACTCCAGTGATGTACTGTATTTTATTCCCCATATCACACCACCACATTGACTTACAATTGCCTGTGCAATCACTACCTTTTCTTGCAAAACAATAACCTCCTTGATGGTAGGGCCCATATTCATTTTTTCATCATTATATCCTCAGCAATATAATCAGTTGTCTGGTATGGCATAATATATTGTCTTCGTATTTATTAGTTTAATTAACAAGCAGATGAATCTGCACAGACCAGCATGTAACATTGCATGGCTTGGGGCAAAAGTGTAAATTGAAGCCCAAATTAACAGATGTCCAAGGCCGGGCGCGGTGGCTCACGCCTGTAATCCCAGCACTTTGGGAGGCCGAGGCGGGCGGATCACGAGGTCAGGAGATCGAGACCATCCCGGCTAAAACGGTGAAACCCCGTCTCTACTAAAAATACAAAAAAATTAGCCGGGCGTAGTGGCGGGCGCCTGTAGTCCCAGCTACTTGGGAGGCTGAGGCAGGAGAATGGCGTGAACCCGGGAGGCAGAGCTTGCAGTGAGCCGAGATCCCGCCACTGCACTCCAGCCTGGGCGACAGAGCGAGACTCCGTCTCAAAAAAAAAAAAAAAAAAAAAAAAAAAAAAAAAAAAAAAAAAAAAAAACAGATGTCCAAATATTTAAAAGTTATATGCCACTTTAACGAGTTTTTTTTTGTATAAATTTAAGGGGTACAACTGCAATTTAGTTACATCGATAAAGTGCATAGTGGCGAAGTCTAGGCTTTCAGTGTATCCATCACCCAAAAAATGTACGTTGTACCTGTTAAGTAATTTCTCATCATCCAACCCCCTGATCCCAATGTTCTTTTGAGCCTTCATTGTCTATCATTATACACCCTATGTCCATGTATACATATTTTGCTCCCATTGTACCTGAAAACATGCAGTATTTTTGTTTCTGTTTCTCAGTTGTTTCACTTAAGAAAATGTCCTCCAATTCCATCCATGTTTCTACAAAATACATGATGGTATTCATTTTATGGATGATTTGTATTCCATCCTGTATATATACCAAATTTTCTTTATTCAATCATCTGTTGATGGACAGTTAGGTTGCTTCCAAATCTTTGCTATTGTGAATAGTGCTACAATAAACATACAAATGCAGGTATCTTTTGGATAATGATGATTTTTTTTCCTTTGCATAGATTCTCAGTAGTGGAATTGTTGGATTGAATGGTAGGTAGTACCATAGTGTTTTCCATAAGGATTATACTAATTTACAACCCCACAAACAGTAGGAAATGTAAATCTCCATACTGTTTTCCATAAAGATTATACTAATTTACATTCCCACAAACAGTGTATAAGTGTTCCCTTTTCCCTCCATCCTTACCAACAACATCTGTTATTTTTTGTCTTTTTAATAATAGCCATTCTGACTGGTATGATAGCTCATTGTGGTTTTAATTTGCATTTCTCTGATGATTAGTGATGCTGAACATTTTTACCATGTGTTTATTGGCCAATTTTATTTCTTCTTTTGAAAAATGTTTATTCATGTTGTTTGCCCACTTTTTAAGGGGTTATTTCTTGTTGTTGTTGTTGTTGTTGTTGAGTTGTTTTACTTCCTTGTTTATTTCAGATATTGGTACCCTGTCAGATGCACAGTTTGAAAATATTTCTCCCATTTTGCAAGTTGTCTGTTCCCTTTGTTGATTATTTGTTTTGCTGTGCAGTAGCTTTTTAGTTTAACTGAGTCCAGCTTGTCTATTTTTGGTTTTGTGACATGTGCTTTTGATGTCTTAGTCATAAATTATTTACCCAGACCAATGTCCAGAAGTTTTTCTAGGTTTTCTCTTAGGATTGTATAGTGTCAGGTCTATCATCTAAGTATTTAATTCACCTTAAGTTGATTTTTTTTTTTTTACATGGTGAGAGATAGGGGATCCACTTGCGTTCTTCTGCAGATGACAATCTTATTTTCCCAGCAACATTTATTTAAAAGGCTGCACTTTCCTTAATGTATGTTTTTGTCGACTTTGTCCAAGATCTTTTTGCTAAAGATATGTGGCTTTATTTGTGGGTTCCTTATTCTGTCCTATTAATCTATATGTCTATTTTTATTGTGTTACCTTATTGTGTTGGTTACTATAGGTTTGTAGTATAATTTGATGTCAAGTAGTGTGATGCCCCCAGCTTTCTTATTGGTGCTTAGGATTGCTTTGGCTATTCAACTTCCTTTTTTGATTCCATATGAATTTTAGGGATTTTTTTTTCCCTAATTCTGTGAAAAATGATGTTGGTATTTTGACAGGGTTTGCATTGTATCTGTAGATTGCTTTGGACAGTATGGTCATTTAAACAATATTAATTATTCTTATCCATGGCCCTGAGATGTTTTTCAGTTTGTTTGTTTCATCTACAATTTACTTCATCAGTGTTTTGTAGTTTTTCATGTAGAGATCTTTCACCTTTTTTGTTTACATATATTCCTGGGTATTTTAATTTTTTACAGCCTTTGCAAATGGAATTGAATCTTTTATTTTTTTTATTCTTCATTTGATTCTCTGATAGATCATTATTGGTGTATAGAAATGCAACTGATTCTTGTATATTGATTTTGTATTCCAAAACTATACTGAATTTATTTATCAAATCTGAGTTTTTTTTTGTAGAATTGTTAGGGTTTTCTAAATATAAGATTATGTCATCAGTGGGAGAGATAATTTGTCTTCCTCTCTTCCAATTTGAGTGCCTTTTTTTTTCCTCTTTCCTGATTGCTCTGGCTATCATTTCATGTACTATGTTGAAATGTGAAAGTGGGCATCCTTTCCTTGTTCCAGTTCTTACAGGGAATATTTTTAACTTTTTCCCATTCAGTATAATGTTGGCTGTAGGTTTGTTGTATATGGCCTTTATCAGGTTGAGATATTTTCCTTCCATGCCTAGTTTGTTGAGGATTTTTATCATGAAAGAATGCTAAATTTTATCAAATGCTTTTTCTGCATTTATTAAGATGATCCTATGATTTTTGTACTTAATTGTGTTTTTGTGATGAATCAAATATACTGATTTGTATATATGAACCATTCTTTCACCCCTGGTATAAAATTCACTTGATCATGTTGTATTATTGATGTGCTGTTGGATTTTATTTGCTAGTATTTTCTTGAAGATTTTTGCATGTACCTTTATCAGGGATATTGGTGTGTACTTTTACTTTTTGTTGAGTTTTGTCTGGTTTTGGTATCAGGGTGGTACTGGCTTTGTAGAATAAGTTAAGGAGAATTATCTTCCCTTATTTTGGGGGGAACAGTTTTGGGAGGATTTGTATCAGTTCATCATTGTTTGTTTAGTAGAATTTGGCTGTGAATTCATCTGGTTCTATGTGTTTTCCATTGAGAGATACTTTTTTTTGTTTTATTACTGCTTCAGTCACACCACTCACTACTGGTAGTATCTATTCTCTTATTTTGATATGCTTAAGGCTATGATTTTTATATAATTAAAATTTAGTAAACATGTTAAAAATGAATTAAATTATTGCAAGTGTCTGGGAGTTCTACTGATGGTCTGGAGATATTTGGAAGAGTAATTTTTAAAGGAGTGGAAATATATGATATGGTTTTGCTGTGTCCCCATCCAAATCTCATCTTGAATTCCCACATGGTATGAGAGGGAACTGCTGGGAGGTAATTGAATTATGGGGGCAGCTCGTTCCCATGATGTTCTCATGGTAGTGAATAAGTATCATGAGATCTGATCAAGCTCTCTTTGCCTGCTGCCATCCATGTAAGGTGTGACTAGCTCCTCCTTGACTTCCACCATGATTGTGAGGCCTCCTCAGCCACTTGGAATTGTAAATCCATTAAACCTCTTTCTTCTGTAAATTGCCCAGTCTCAGGTATGTATTTATCAGCAGTGTGAAAATGAACTAAATAAATATATATGTATATAATGTCTCATAATTTTGTTCTTGAAAAATTGTTATGTAGTAAAATTAAGATATTCATATGTTTATTCAAATAATGATAATCAAATGAATTAAAGTAAAATGTAATTGCATTAAAACTATTCACAATCTGAATATACATTCACAAAATAAAGAGCAGCTTAAAATAAAACATGATTTCACGTTTTTCAAAACATAGTTTTCTTCTCGAATATTAAATAACTTTAAAATTAAAAACTAAGTAAAAATAATAAATTAATAGTAATTTTTAAATTTAATAAAACAAGGTTGACATTTCATTTAATTTTTAATTCAAAATAATTTGCAATATAGTATTTTATATTCTATTGCACCTAATATAGATGTAATATGGTGATGTTAACATTATATTATGTACTATATATGTATATATTTTAATGCATGAACCACACATTGGAACCCTAGAACTATATAAGAAATTGGACATATTTTGATATGTAAGAATATATTGTTTCCATGCTACCTCAGATAAGGAAACTGACAATTTGGCCAAGTTGTCTTTGCTTTTATTTATGCACTGCACTGTCAAATTCTTTCTCAACTCCAAAGTAGCCTTCTTCTCCAACATCAGAAGCAGAGCAACCACAAACATTTACAGAACTCAGATGCACTTGCCTTTTGTTTCAAGGACATAGGCACAGAGAAGTAGAGAAATACTTCTCTGAGGCCTGAACAGTATCAGTCATGAGATCACATATTTAAGGTTACTGGTTTATGCTGCAATACGAATGAACACTGTACCTCAAGTCACAGAGGCATCCATGAATTGTTTAATACATTTGTTCACTTTTTCCCTGTGAAGTCCTCTAAAGCAAGGGACTGTGGGAAAAGACCCTTCTTACCTTCATGATACAAATCTGCATCACTGTGCATATTGTAAAAGTCTTTATGAATTGCCTGAATGCTTAATTCCAAACAAAAATCAGCCCATTGAAGGCAGAGACTGTAATTTTTCATTTTTATTAAGTAACAAATGCAGTGCCAGCTACAAGAACTCAATTAATGCAAACGCTTTAAAAAATGAATGAATAATTGAATGAATAGGTTAATATTATTGTGGTAAGTACCATCTAACTTCCATAGAGGCTTAGAAAGCTTTCTTCTAGGACTTTAAATCATCTAACTTCCATAGAGCCTTAGAAAGCTTTCTTCTAGGACTTTAAATCGCTAAAGCATCATATTTTTCCTATTTAGTTCCCAGTGGTTATAGTTTACATCATTGACATTCAAAAGTAAAAATGTGATTTTTTTTATACATCTTCACTCAGTAATGACAAGAAAAAAATATTTTCTTGGTTTGGGCTAGGACATCATTTACATTCTATTTCCATCCATAAATATTAAGACATTCACCTTGATCTACATATATATAATTTTATTGCTTAAAATCTGTTTACTATTTTATTTAAAAATATTGTTTTTGATTTTTTTATGTTTACAGCTCAAACATATACTGCAAGACTACTAGAGGGCTTGCGATTTTAATTTAAGATGGATGTGGGAACTACTGCAATATCTATCTCAATGACTTTTTGAAATTTTTTGAAAAAGAACAGTGATTTTCTATGCAAATGTATATGAAACACACAAATACACAAGTCCCTATGATGAAGAAATACTAGGAATATTCATAATGGAAAGCCTTTTTGTGTATGTCTGTGAATGTCCTGTATTATCAATAGGGCTTTTCAAGATAATTAAATGATACCAGGCAAATTTTGTCTGCACTTAGAAAAGTTTTCTTCTTAGATATTCAAAGAAAGCAGTTGTCAAATGTCCTCTTGCAAGTTCACCTAATGTATTGTTTCCACATGTGTTAAACTTATAGCTCACTGCTAACTTGGAGACGAGGGTATCTGGTTGTCAAAGCTTTCAATAATAGGCTGTTTAATTCATTTTACTATGGTGATGTTTGGGAAACATTTTCATTCAACAAATTATAAAAGGTCACTTTACGCAAACTTGTAGTTTAACATTAGAGAAACTTTCCACTAAATAAAATCTAGATGTTTCATGTCTGTGCTTGAGATGAAATTTTAGAGCACACTCTTTATCTTCATTTCTCAGTAAAATTTACAGACTTGTACATCTTTCAGTTTGGTCACAGACAAAAATCTAGATGAATACACACAGCATAAAATCCAGTACATGTTTATGTGTTGCCTACTCAGTGAAAAGATTTTACTGTTTAGTTCATCACCTGTATTAGTCAGGGTTCTCTAGAGGGACAGATCTAATAGGATACACGTATATATAAAGGGGAGTTTATCAGGATAATTGACTCACACGATCACAAGGTGAAGTCCCCACAATAGGCCATCTGCAAGTTGAGAAGCCAGGAAGCCAGTACGAGTCCCCAAATCTCAAAAGTAGGGAAGCCAATAGGGCAGTCTTTAGTCTGTGTCCAAAGGCCCAAAAGCCCCTGGCAAATTACTAGTGTAAGTCCAGGAATCCAAAAGCTGAAGAACTTGGATTCTATTGTTCAAGGACAGGAAGCATCCAGCACAGGAGAAAGATGGAGGCCAGAAGGCTTAGCCAATCTAGTCTTTCCATGTTCTTCTGCCTGCTTTTATTCTGGCTGTACTAGCAGCTGGTTAGATTGTGCCTACCCAGATTGAGGGTGAGTCTGCCTTTCCCAGTCCACTGACTCAAGTGTTAATCTCCTTTGGTAACATCCCCACGGACACACCCAGGAATAATACTTTGCATCCTTCAATCCAATCAAGTTGACAACATTGACCATCACAAGTCTACCCTGTGTCAACCTGAACCCATAAACATCTTCTCAAAAAATTGGTTTTTCTTTTCTAACGTATTGTCAGGCTGCAAATTTTCTGAACTTTTATGCTCTGCTTCCCTTTTAAACATAAGGTCCAATTCCCAACCACATTGTTGTGAAAACACAAAACGTAATGCTTTTAACAGCACCCAAGTCATCTCTTGAATGTTTTGCTGCTTAAAAATTCCTTCCACCAGATACTCTAAATCATCTCTCTCAAGTTCAAAGTTCCACAGATCACTAGGGCAGGGGCAAAATGCTGCCAGTCTTCTTGCTAAAGCATGATAAGAGTCACCTTTGCTCCAGTTCCCAACAAGTTCCTCATCTCCATCTGAGACCACCTCAACCTGGACTTCATTGTCCATGTCACAATCAGCATTTTGGTAAAAGCCATTCAACAAGTCTCTAGGAAGTTTCCCACATTTTCCTGTTTTCTGAGCCCTCCAAACTCTTCCAACCTCTACCTGTTACCCAGTTCCAAAGTCACTTCCACATTTTCAGGTATCTTTACAGCAGCACCAAATCCTGGTTCCAATTTACTGTATTAGTCTGTTCTCACACTGCTAATAAAGACATACTTGAGACTGGGTAATTTACAATGGAGACAATGTTTAATGGACTCACAGTTCCACATGGATGGGGAGGTCTCACAATCATGGTGGAAGGCAAAGGAAGAGCAAGGCATGTCTTCCATGGTGGCAGGCAAGAGAGCATGTGCAGGGGAACTCCCCTTTATAATATCTTCAGGTCTCATGAGACTCATTCACTGTCACAAGAACAGCATGGGAAAAACTCGCCCCATGATTCAAGTACATCCCACTGGGTGCCTCCCACAACACATGGGGATTATTACAATTCAAGTTGAGATTTGGTCTTGGACATAGAGTCACCCTTGATACTTTGTATCTGATGATACAAAAAGTTTACATATTTTAAACCAAAAAATTGTCCGCATATATATGCACTTGTCATTGTGGTACCTGCTTGTCATTAAAAAAAAAAAATGGTCTGTAGATATAGCCAAAAGATGTCTTATGCATTCTTATGTTTCTCTTCCTCTCTCTCTCTCTCTCTCTCTCTCTTTCTTTCTCTCTCTTTCTCCTTTAACTTGACAAATTTTTCAATGTTAAGTATGTGCTAGGTGCTATTGTAGACTTCAAATGGTGGGGTTTGAATAAGAAACAAGGCAGAGATCCTTATATAATGGATTTTATATTTGAAAGGCCAACAAGCTGTGCTATTAAGTAAGAAAATTTGTAGGAAAAATAAAGAAAGAGAATGATAGGTGTTAGGAAAATGACTCAAGAGAGTAGAGAATGGAAAGTTTCTTCAGAGATGTGATGATGTCAGGTGGGTAAACAGGAGGGGATTCTCTCTGAAGTGACAGAAGGGATGGGCAGCTTCCTGTCTAAAACTGACCCTTCTACCAGTTCTCCAAATCTCATCCAGTTTTCTTGGAAATCTTCTTCTATTAATTTATTATTTCTCTAACTGGTATCTTCAACTCCTCCTCTATACTGAACACCAGTGTATTTTTGCTTTTAAGCCCCCTTTTTCCCTTTTACTGGAAACATCAACCATTCTAAAGAGAACAATTCCTCCACCATCTCTAATTGTTTCAATGGCATTCTAAGTCATAGTTTTCCACCCCTCTGGATTGTAGTAGGATGGTGCCTACTACGATCCTGGCCAATTATATTTTATAGTCCTCTACTCATAGCTAATGTCTCAGAGATGGACAGATGAACCTAATCTGATCAAAGTTCTCTAAGATTATATGTGTGCTGATGCTGTGAGAGCGATATTTTCTTATTTCTATGGAATGTGAAACAACATCATTTGGAGCCCTGGATTCTCAGTCAGTCCCATTCCTGAATATCACTGATTTCTGATTTAGTACCTATTCTTTAATTATTTGATATAAGTCTCTGCAACCAGAAGAGTCCTGAATATGTGTCCACTGCTTTGGTTCTTCTTTCCATTATGTAGATATGCTCAATCCTTTCCTCTTAAAAGCAAAATAAATTGCCTATTCTCATACGATGTTCTTATCTAGATACTGTTTCTCTTATTCTCTCTCTCTCCCTTTCTCTTCTTTTACACTAAGTACTTAATAAAGTTGTATGACTTAATGTATCTATTCCCTTACTTCACCATTTTATTCCTTATTTTATTAACTAGTCATTTTTCAGTTTGATTTCTGTTCCCACCACAGAACTCTGAAATTATTTGTAACAAAATTATTACTAATGACCTTGTTGAAAAATTGAATGAACATTGCTCAGATCTTGCTCCACTTGATGTGAAATACAGAAATATTTTGTGCTATTGCTGGTGAAGGCATCAGTCCTGACTTGGTTTTCCACTTACCTCTCTACTGACTCTCTCTCCTGATTATTGTTCACATTTATGTCTCTTACATATTTGGTGTTTCCTGTGGTGCTCTCTTTGTATCTCTTCTCTTGTGGTTCCTTCTCTATAGACTGTCTCAAGCTTTCTTAGGGTTCCAATTGCCACATATTCTTCATGAATACAAAATCAACATTTCCTGCCACTAACCTGAATTCAAAGATCCAGACACACGTAGATATTAAGGCTTTAAATATTTTCTATACTTCAACAGGACCTTAAATGCAATAGGTGCAAAACTGAGCTCATCATATTATTTCTGTATCTCCATCCTGAGTTCCCCATCTCATTAAAGAGCACTACAGACCACCTGTGTTTCAAGCCAGACACTGGCATCTAAAAGGCAATTTAACTTAAGGGCTATTCTGAGACCTAAATAACATAGAAATTACCTAACGGTTATCCTAGCCTAACATGCTCAATTAAGAGCATGAATGCAAAAAACATGCTCTAAAACAATAAAGAGAATATTACACATTTTAATAAATAAGGCTTCTTACTGTCACTCTCAGTATAAACATCCATTTTAAGAACAGACCTATTTTAAGAAATTGTGACATGGATAATATTCACCTTTCACACAGATAAATAGGATCAAGGTCATTCCATCTCATTTATGTAGTGTTTCATTAAAAGAAAATCTCCACTTCCTCAGCACAAAGCCCTTTCTACTTCCTAACACAGGCTGTAGCCGTGTTTGAAAAATCCCTGCTCATTCTTAAGATTGCATGCCAACCATTGCTTTCTCAGAGAAGCCTCTGAACATTGATTCCTTCCCACTGAGGGCTCCCCCAGCTTCTGGTGCATTCTCCTGTAAGAACATTTATCATGTTCTACAGCCATTGTTTGTTTATGAGTGAGTCCCCTGCTGTATGCTTGGAACTTCTTGAACATGAGGGCTTTGTCTTCACCAACACTACATCTCTAAATTTAAATTGATGAGAACTTTCTGTGAAACATGCACATTTTACATGGACTGTAAAATCCTCCCTTTCCTAATTACAAACTTGTGAGTTGTGAGACATTCCCAGAAAAGCAGAGTGACTGACTACAGCAGTCAAAGAGATGCTTCCCTTATATTTCACAGTTGTATAGTAAATCAACATTTTTTCCTGTGTACCTCCGGCCATATAAGACATATATGTAAAATGGCATTTATCAATTGGGTCTTCATTTTGAATACCCACAAAGCTGTACATGGGATTGTCCTGACCATCGTCTTAGATTTAGAAAGTTTGTTGTGAAGAACATTTGCTTATCTCAGCTGTCTTTGATTTACTCTGTAGCTTGACTTTCAAATGGAATCTTCTGATTTGAGTTTATTTCATGACTAATGCTGTAAAATGCTGATTGCTTGAATTAAATCCTCTTTGCTCCTACAGCCGCTTAAACACGCAATCACTAACAAAAAGAACAAAACAATGTGAGCTTTCCAAGATTCAAAAGCACTCTGTGCAGTGTTTCCAGGTAGGCTAAATAAGAAATGACGGAAAGTGGTGGTAGAAAGGTGCTTAATCTCAGCATGCATCCATGAAGGGTGACTTCTAGGTCTTGGTTCATATTTTTGAAAGTCTTTTATAAAATTATCAAAAATGTGTGATTCAAGAAATCCAGTCTATCCTTACAGCTCAATGACCTTCAATACATTTATAAAAATATCTGTATGTTTCCTATAGATAGCATAAAAATTACTATAAATTTATTATCTTAACAACACAAATGTTTTGCATCATAGTTCTAGAGGTCAGAAGTCCAACAATGGTCTCCCTAAGCTTAAATCAAGATGTCAGAAGTGATGGATTCCTTACTACAGGTTCGAGGGGAGAATTCATTTTCTGGCCTCTTCCAGCTTCTAGAGGCCAGTCACTTCCTTGGCTCACAGCACCCTCCTCCATCTTCAAAGCCCGCAATGTTGGGCTGAGTGCTTCTTACACCACCATCTCTCTAGTTCACTCTTCTGCCTCCATCTCTCACTTAAAAATCTCTGGTGATCACACTGGGCCCACCTAGATTATCCGGGGTAATCTTCCCATGTCAGCATCAGTGCAGTAGCAAACTTGATTTAATCTGCAACATTATTTTCCTTTGCTATGTAACCTAGGTTCTGAAGGTTAAGACATCAGCATCTTTCAGGGCTATTATTCTGCCTACCATAACATATGAGAAACATCTTGGTTGAAAGCTACCAGACACAGGATACTCAAATAAATTTGATTTTCTGATAAATAGTATTTTCAGTGTAATTATGTCCAATGTAGTATTAGTAGATCTTAGATATATGTGAATATGAAAAAATTATTTGTCATTTATCTAAAATTCAAATTTAACTGGGTGTTTTGTATTTTTACTAATTTTAGCAATTGTACCAGGAATAAGTGAAGTAATCTTGGACTATATTCCAGACACAAAAGGACCTAAAATAGTTTCTTGACTGCTTTTGATACTTACTACACTGTTATATTTAAATGTAAAATTTATAAATCCAACCCTGTGGGGATCGTTAATAAAATGTAAAATATCTTTTTCATGAAATAATATATGCCCAAAATGTTATTTTATTAATTCTGTTAGTTTACAGAAAAAATTCATTTCACTTAAGGTTATGAGAAAGCAGGATACACAATTACACGCAAAGTATAATTTTTTTTTTTTTTTTTTTTTTTTTTTTTTGAGACAGAGTCTCACTCTGTCACCAGGCTGGGGTGCAGCGGCGCAATCTCAGCTCCCTGCAACCTCCGCCTCCTGGGCTTCAAGCAATTCTCCTGCCTCAGCCTCCCGAGTAGCTGGGACTACAGGTGCCCACCACCATGCCCGGCTAATGTTTGTATTTTTAGTAGAGACGAGGTTTCACCATATTGGCCAGGCTGGTCTCAAACTCCTGACCTTGTGATCTGCCCGCCTCAGCCTCCCAAAGTGCTTGGATTACAGGCATGAGCCATCCCTCCCAGCATAGTATAATTATAGCAACATAAACAAAAGAGGTTAGGCCCATAAAGATAATAGAAGCAAATCGGCGAGGTGTGGTGGCTCATGCCTGTAATCACAGCACTTTGGAGGCCGAGCTGGGCAGATCACCTAAGGTTAGGAGTTCAAGAGCAGCCTGAGCAACATGGAGAAACCCTGTCTCTACTAAAAATACAAAATTAGCCGGGCGTGGTGGCACATGCCTGTAATCCCAGCTACTCAGTAGGCTGAGGCAGGAGAATCACTTGAACTCAGGAGGTTGAGGTTGCTGTGAACTGAGATCGTGCATTGCAATCTAGCCTGGGCAACAAGAGTGAAACTCCATCTCTGAAAAAATAAAAAATAAAAAATAATAATTATAATAGAAGCAAATACTTCAAAATGTTGAGAGGTTGGTCTTTCTTGATGGGAATGGGGCGATTATTTTAAAATTTCTTTTTTTAATGTTACATAATAATTGCACATATTTATGGGAACATGGAAAATACTGATAAAAACATACATGTGTAACGATCAAATCAAGGTAATTGGGATATTAATTCCCTTTTTTGTATTTTTCCCTTAATTTCTTTAATGTATAGCATTCATTGTCTAAAAATATAATAAGATATCCTATGAGTAGATAATAGTAGCGTTTATCCTGCTTCTCAGAGTAATATTATTTTTATGGCAGAGCTAGTTAGCCTACATTGGATTAATAAAAGAAAAATTAGCATATGCTCCATTTATTCACCATTTGTGAAAGGAAAATATTATGTATTATGTATTGCCGTCATTTCACAAGTATTTTACACTCGATTCTGTCCAAAAGTAAAGAGTAAAAATGTAGATTTTGTTTCCTTTAAAGTAAATGTATTGAAATTTGAAATGCCTATTGGTTTAATAATACTTGAGAAAACACATCACATTGTGGGTATTTAAAGTTGTGATACAATCATGCAGATAACAGTGGCAGGAATCAGTGTCATACAACTTCAATGCCTTTGCTAATTAGCAACGTTTTTGAGAACCTGGTCATTTCCAGAAACTTGCTCTTTTGATTAATGCCTTGAAACTAAAGCCAGCTGTTAATTATGTTAACAACCAATTCCTTGGGAGTCATCATAATCCATTTTAATGGACTGACAATTATTATTAATAAAATCCAGAGACCTGAAGTGTCACAAACTTGAAAATTCAGCTTTGTTGTGCATTGGGGTATATAAGATGTGTGTGAATGCAAAGAATAACAAAATTGTCCTTATTTATTTTTTTAACGAAGAAAGTAGGTTTTTTCCTAAATCTGTGAGTAGTTCTTACATTGTACTGTTTAATTAAGCTTCCTTACATGATGCATAACAGCCAGCTACAGAGTGGAAAAAGTAATTCAAAATTAGTTGCTTGGCGTATTTCAGAAAAGAAAAGGGATGTTAGACTTCAGTGAGAAACATAAAACAAACAAAATCTGACATTGTGAGCATAAATTCGAGAGAAAGTTCATTGAAAGAGGAAAGAAACTAGAAGAGTCTTAGAAGAGGGTGTAGGAGAACTTGGTGTTTCTCTTTCTTCCCTCGCCTTTCCACACCTTCTGTCATTTGCCACTTCTAGTTATTTGTTTTTTGTAAATGTATCAAGGGCCCAATGACATGCAAACCACCGATATCATGGACAATGTCACATGCATTAGTTCCTTTTCGCTGAAACTACTGGTTTTAATTATAATTATTTTCATACATTTGAAAAAGATTGAAGTAACATAATTAATTTATCCCATTTTGCATTTCTAGTTAACAGATCTATATCAATGGCATTAAATCATCCATTTATTCATTCATTCATGTATTTTTTAAATTTTAGACTGTGTCTCATTCTGTGGCCCAGGCTGGAATGCAGTGGGGCAATCTCGGCTCACTGCAATCTCCACCTCCTGGGTTCAAGTGATTCTTCTGTCTCAGCCTTCCAACTAACTGGGATTACAGGCGTGCGCCACCACGCCCCAGCTAATTTTTGTAGTTTTAGTAGAGATGGGGTTTCCTCATGTTAGTCAGGCTGGTCTTGAACTCCTGACCTCAGATAATCCACCCACCTTGGCCTCCCAAAGTGCTGGGTTTACAGGCGTGAGCCACTGCCCCTGGCCTCGTTCATGTGTTTATTAACTCCTTTGTTTATCTGACATTAATTATTGAACTCCTACAAAGGTGCTGTTGTAAGTGCTACAAATACAGAGATGTCAAGAATGTCAAGAAAGATACAGCCTTGGCTTTAGGGAGCTTATGGCGTGCTGAGTGGGGGATAGCAGACATGAAAGTAAGTGAATACACACATAATTCAGGTAATGCTAATTTGGTGGTAAGAATTGCAAAGGGAAAAAAGGACAATGTGATAGAGAATCAAGAGGGGATGGGAAAGGAATGATAATTTAGATGGGATAAACAGTGGAAGATTCTCTGAGGATGTCACATTTGTACAGAAACCTGAATAACTAGAAGGAATCAGCCGGGCAAAATCCTGGCAGAACAACATTCTGGGCAGAGGGTGCTAGCACACCGCCTCTAGTGTGGAAAGGCATTTAAGTTGTTTGAGGGACGAAAAGAGACCTGTGGGCTCCGCTTATAGTGAGCAACAAAGTGGAGAATGACAAAATTGGAGCTGTAGATCAAAGACCAGATGTCAACGGGCCTCATAGGCCATAGAGAGGGTTTGTTGAGATTGCAGTGGAAAGTGATTGACCTGTTAAACAGGTCAATGGCATCTGAAATTAACACATTCCTAAGAGCAAAGATTTTTCAAATGGATAATGGCAGAAATAATTGATGGAATATACACAGGAGTAGGTTTTGAAAGCAAATCAAATGTTTTCCTCATCTTTGTTTTTCAACAAAACACCTCTAACATCCAACAAAAAAGGATTTTGATATTGCATTAATATGCATATAATTTGTCTAATACTCTTTTTTTGTGAAGCTCATTGATTATTCAAAAATGTCTCTTCAATTACAGACACTCAGTCATATACTGTATTAATCATCTATCCTAACCAGTCTGTCTCTGATAAAAAAGGGAAGTTTCCCAGTATGGATCTTCAAGGCTGTCAATACAAATGGGGTGTTAGAATATGGCAAAGATCAGGGGTTTTCAGATATTAGGCAAAAACTGTGCCTAAAGTCTCACTATAGATTTATTTTCTATTTATACTGTGTCCTTGATGAGTTTGGCCTCCAACCTTACTTGCTGTCTTTGCATCACTTTTTTAACATTCGAAGGCTTTTGATAAGCATCCAGCTATTAGAAAGAGCCCCGGCCAGGCGTGGTGGCTCACGCCTGTAATCCCAGCACTTTGGGAGGCCTAGGCGGGTGGATCACGAGGTCAGGAGATCAAGACCATCCTGGCTAACACGGTGAAACCCCGTCTCTACTAAAAATCCAAAAAAAATTAGCCGGGCATGGTGGCGGGCACCTGTAGTCCCAGCTACTCGGGAGGCTGAGACAGGAGAACGGCGTGAACCCGGGAGGCGGAGCTTGCAGTGAGCCAAGATCGCACCACTGCACTCCAGCCTGGGCGACAGAGCCAGACTTCGTCTCGAAAAAAAAAAAAAAAAAAAAGAAGAAGAAAGAATGAAAAAGCCCCGTGGGAGTTTTGGGTATATTATTAGGAGTTAAAAAATAACTTCCCATGAAATCCTTTATTGAACACATGAAACAGGAACATAACTAGAACCCAAGTTCTCTATTTCTTATAGCACGTACTTTCCATTACACCAAGAGGTCTATCTTGCTTTGTATTTATGGAAACCCAGGCACATCCACTTGTCAGAGCTTGGCACAGACAAGTGGCACATTGCCTTTTCTTATTAATGTGAAGAATGAGCCAAATGGCTTCCTTAGCCTATGTATCCTTAGCTATGTATAGCCTATCTATCCAGATCTAAAACAGGCATAAAATACTATAACTTTTGTAGCTCTAAAGAGCTTAGGAAAACATTTTGTGTAGTATACACACAGACACACACACATACATATATTCAATGCTATATATGAATTAGAGTTTTGAAATATTTCAATGAATTTGTCATAGATCATTGTTTCATAGAAAAATAAATAAAAAGGATAAGAATCTTAGATAAATTCTGGAAAAATTGTTGACCCCAATTAATAAATGATATGCTGTTATATTTGATATATGGCTATTCTTTTGCCATGGTTAGAACAAAAGTAGACTTCAATTCGATATTTGAATAATATGTAAGTATTGGGGCAAGATTTTCTTCAATGCTATTTGTGATAAGTGTGGTGTAGGTGAGAGTAAGACCAATGTCTTGCTTTTGCAGGAAAAAAGAAAAACACACTGACTGGGATATAGCAGTCCTGAATGCCAATTTGAGACAAATTCCAGCAAGCAATGTGATCTAGGTGAAAATATTGGATAGCTGTAAGTCCTCAGTTATCCTTCTGTATAATGAAGCAGTAATAGGAAAGTCTTTCTAAAATCCCTTTCTGTAATTCCATGATGTTTCAGAAGTAGGAAGAGCCACAGATTGTCAAGCTGGCCCTAATTGTGCCACCAACTAATTGTGTGACTTTATTCCCTAACTCCTCCCTTTCTGATCTCAAGTCATTTTCTCTATACACATGAAGGACTATGACTTGCAATTTCCCTTGCAGATTAAAATTCCATTTAATGACCAGAAAAAGGATAAGGCTTTCTGCATTACATTGTTTGTATACTGGCAAGATTACTTTGTGCTGCCTGTTTTCTCAGACCTCTTGCCCATCAGATGTGTGGGTTTATAGCTTGAGCATCTGGCATTTGCCTCGTGCATGATTACGTAAGAAAAGATATCATACTCAGGAGAGTGTATAGACAATATGAAGGGGATGGATGTATATTGTTTTAGGTTTGAAAAAATTTCCTGAAAAGATTTAAATCACGCAATGATACCAATGCATTTCAAATTGTATAGCATTGTCTAAGTATAAAAAAGTTTATAAGTGTTCTCTACTCACAAAAATAATAAATTATTTTTTTACAGATTTTTGAAACTACAAAAACCACAAGTATAACTCACTTCTAATTCTATGATCTGTGACAATCTGTATTATATTGGTACACTTCTGTTCCGTATTTTTATATTTGCATATACTTTGGATTACAATATAAATGTTTAGTATCAAATTCAGCTAAAATATTTTAAATATTTTTGGCACATGAATGCTCTTTTAAATATATTTTTAAATATCTTTGTCAGCATTAAAGAAACTTACCCTTACATCATTGTTTTTTCCTAATTTGTTTTCTATGATTCTAAATTATCACCTTATTATTTCTAAATTCCTTTTCATTATATTCTATTTTAGCATTGCCATATTATATTATACGCAATTTATTTCTGCATCAGACATTTACTAGGCACTTTCTAGCTTTCAGTGTTCCTGATAGTGTTAGGTTCTGGGATGCCCAATGATGAGTATATAGTAGCTGTGTTTGAAGAATTTACACCTTAGCTAGAGGAAAAACATGCAAAGAATATAACAGATATAATTGTAAAAATAATAAAAATAGAGGCCTAGGAGAACAGAAAATAGAGAGAACTTATATCTATCCAGTAATGTTTGAGGAAGCAAGAAAAGAAAGTTAGAACTCCATCTGAAATAAAAAGTGGGAGTTGATCAGACCAAATTTGTGGAAAACGCATATATGCAAATACATAAGGGAAAGCCCATTATGACCAGGGAAATGTCTAGAAATACCCAGACCAGCTCAACCAAAGGCTTAGGAGGAGATAACTAGCAATGAGCTAATAAAATAAACTAGAACCAACCAGAGGCCACAGGTATCATGGGAATGATTTTGAAAAAAAATCTAATCATAAAGTTAATGACTAAGATAACATTTACAGCATGTTTCCTTTGGGCCAAATACTGTGCTTACCACTTAATCTTCTGAGATCACCACTATTACTATACTCCTCTTAAACATGAAGAAACGGAGTCATAGAGAGAATGATTAACTCAGCAGTACACAGGTAACAGTGATGCTGGAGCTTAACCTCAGTTCCACCTGACACCATCGCGGCGTTCTTAGCAATCCACTTAGCTACAGCTCCTTGACGCCTCTCCATAGGTCACAGCACAGTATCAAAGAAGTATAAAAGTAGAAGTGCAAACCCATGATTTACAGAGATTTCTTTATTAGGAGGAAAATGCTTGTTTCTTCATCTGGCAATCTCCCATGCCTCCAATACTGTAGCATCTTTGAATTACAATAAAGATAACTCTTTTGATTTATATTTAGCTGAATTTACTTCCCAGAACACGACTGAAGAAAGTTTCCTACAATTGTTTAAAGCTTTAGTTTTTGACCACAGGCCAAGAAAAGTGCTTTTCTTATCAACTTCTCTCATCATTTTTTCACTGGATCATCAAACAGATACCCTCATTTTTCCTGTGATATTAATTTATTTATACTAACACTACTGTTCAGTGGCTTCATCTACGGATATCACGGAATATTTAAATGATGTTGAGCAGGGTTTGAATGCCGTAATTTCAGGGCCAAGCCTATTTTTACTTGAGGACCTTGACTAGTTACAGGAGCCACTGGGAAATTCATTAGCACTCAGTGACATGGCTTCCATGGTAGGCAGGCAGGAAATGAGCTCTGGGTGAGTTTCTTGGAATCTTTAGCTAATCATGTATTTATCAGAGACCAGGATATGTGGGTAAAGCTTTGTAAATCTTCTTAAACTTAACCTCAACTTTAAGTCTTCTTACTCTTCGTCTGTTTTAACCTACTGGATTATTTCAAAAGCACTTGGGGGATTTGTTACACTTGGTGGACCCTGTAGCTTATTGTAGATATAGACATCTGAATAACCTGGAAAATGCCCAAGAGAAGGCAATGGAATTGATTTAAGAGTTGGGAAGTAGATCATAAAGGAAAACTAGAGAAGCCAAGGAGAAATGAAGAGGAAAGGGTGCTTAACATATCTTGATGTTCTGGAGGGATGTTTTACAGATGGAGGCAATGAATTTGTTTCCTTCCTTCTCATTTAGACCAAGGGAAAATGAGCCATGCTAATGTAGAAGTATAAGGCATTAAGATGTGAGTTTACAGATATGTACATAAAGCAAATATTATAATCAAAGCACAAAGAAAACATGTTCTAGTATCTTTCCCTGAAGTTTGTTTTTTCTTAACATGGTAATTTATTAGATTTAATTAATACAGCATCAAATATATGCCTCAAGAACTCAAGTACCATGAAGATAGAGATAAATAAGCCATTCAGTAGTTTGTAGAAAATAGTAGAGGGAAATATGTATAGGAATAGTAGAGGAAAATATGTGTAGGAATGTGTATAGGAATAGTAGAGGAAAATATGCTTTGGATAGTGCTAAAATAGAGATAACTAGAAGACAAGATGGCAGCACCAATATATCCAGTACACAGTTGGAAACTGAAGGTTAGAATTGTCATCTAAAAATAAATATGTGTCAATCATCAGATTAGAGGTGATATTTTGAGGAAATCGCCAAAGAATAGTCAATAAGCACCAAATCTAGTTTTAGTGATGTTAATCATATGATCAGACACTAATTTGTGATTATAAAAATATTTTTCCCAGCAAATCCATATATGTAAATATTGTAGATATGTATTTTATTTTTAATGTATGTTGTCTCAGTTTTTTGTGCATTAATAGGTATTGAAAAGGAAAAAAACAGTGTTGGTAATTCCAAGTAGGAGAAGCCAGGCAGTGCATGTTGAGATCCTTCTAAAGTTGAGCCCATATAACAGGTGAAACCATAATGAAGAGTGTAAGGTGAAATTCTTTCACTTCCAGGAGCTGATAATCCACCTGGGAGAGAACACAAACATTTATAAAGTTCAAAGTGATAAAAGACAGCTTATTTTAACACATGGCACCAGAATTCATAAGGTGGAAGGGACATATTATTTACATGGTTTTGAAAAAATGAAACATCTCTCTTTCAAATGTTGAGGAAGATGTTGCTACAGTAGAGTATTTGAGATCTGCAAGAAGAGAACTTTGCTTTTTTCTTTGAGGGAAAAATGTAGCGTGGGAGGATGTTGAGAATAGAGTTTCAAAAAAGGGATAGAAATTGTAGATAATCTATCTTAATAAAAAGAAAAGCCAAGTAATATGATGGTTATTGTTAATAATGAGATGCTTAGTCAATTCAAAATTATGTTTATAATTCCCACATCTTTCTTCCAACTAGAAAAACATAAGTATTCTCAATGTAATTTTCAAGCATTGTCAGTGACAAAATAGGAAATTCAGATTAAACCTCTTGTTGAGAATTTTTTTAGATAGGCAAATGAGTGTTTTTTCTGCTCAAAGACATCCAAAAGCTAAAAAGGCAGTAAGGATAACAGGGCCAGGATTCAGGAAAAGGTGGTTCTGTGCTTGTCCTAGTGGCACTTGCCAATTGCAGAAGAAAATACTGAGAGCCTAACAGAGATCTTGATAGTCTTATGAGCTGAGAGATCTAAAATGTGGGGTCCAAGGCCAACCATAGGTAGGTGCATGATAAAACCCACACACGTTAGGTTGGGGCCTTGAAAGACTATGCTTTTAAAGAAGGGGCTGGGCGCAGTGGCTCACACCTGTAATCCCAGCACTCTGGGAGGCTGAGACGGTCGGATCACGAGGTCAGGGGATCGAGACCATCATGGCTAACACGGTGAAACCCTGTCTCTACTAAAAATACAAAAAATTAGCCAGGTGTGGTGGCGGGGACCTGTAGTCCCAGCTACTCGGGAGGCTGAGGCAGAAGAATGGCGTGAACCCGGGAGGCGGAGCTTGCAGTGAGCCGAGATCGGGCCACTGCACTCCAGTCTGGGTGACAGAGCGAGACTCCATCTCAAAAAAACTAACTAAATAAATAAAATAAAATAAAAATGAAATAAGGAAGGGATGAACCGCAAGTAGAAAAATTCTAGCATAGATGAAACCAGCTTTAACTCTTACCAATCCCTAAAATAGGACTTAGGTCATATGGCATCACCAGTACCCCAGCATCCTTGCAGAAGACAGGGGAAATGCATCTATTCTGAAGAAATATAACATCATCTTAAGTTTCAAATTATTTGTACAATCTGTTCACATACAATGCACAGCAGTCAATGAAAAAATCACCAGACACATATAAACCCCAGAAAAATACAGGGACAGACAGGGATTCCAGATAATGGAATTATTTGGCATAGAGGTTAAAGTAACTGCTTAGTACATTAAGTAATAAAAGATAGGATGGATTATTTGGACATAGAACTGAAATTGTTTAAGGAATAAAAGAACCAAATAGCAATCCTGGAGCTGAAATATATAATATCAAAAATTAATAATTCAATGGACTGACTTAACGGAGTACTTGGCACTGAAGAAGTTACAATACATTAGGTAATAGGTAAGAAGAAAAATTCAGAAATGATGGAGAAATGCAAAAGAGAGACTAAAAGACATAGTGAATAAAGTAGAAAAAAATCACATGTTTAATTGGAGTCCTAGAAGGAGAGGAGAGAAAAAAATATGACAAAGAATATATTAAGAAATTATAACAGAAAAATTTACAAGCTTTCAAAGACCTCAAATCATAGGATGAAAAGACTGCTATAAAACTTCCTTCCAGCTTTGACATAATAAGCACATTCCAACATCATCATTTCACAAACAACAATAAAACCATAGACAATTTACTAAAACAACTCACCAAATGCTATAATAGTTGGAGCAAAGGAAGTCTACCTGGGAGTCGCAGGACTTGAGGAACAACACGATGGAATTTCTGTTCTGCAGCTACAGATGCTATGGGCAATACCCAGTCTTTATTGACAATTCTGCAATAACAAGGAAATGCACCCCCTCATAACAATAGAGTTGGGGGATGAATTCAGAGAGGATGAAGTTGCAGGAAAGGATTGTCAAACTCGGTATGAGCCTGAATTCCCCAGCAGACCTCTGAGTGACCCGAGCATAAAAATGACAAGAAACAGCAAAGCAAAAGAGTGGAGAACTGAGACCTCGTCTGGAACATCACCCAGGATTCAGGTAAGCCTCTGGCAAACACAAATGAGGCAGTCCGAATTAGCACTGCAAAGGCTTTGAAAACCAAACTGACATTTGGACCACAACCCACAAAAGTAGACAAGTGTATGTATTTTGGAGCTAAATAGGCTTACTGCCTGCTAAATAGAAGATGCAAATCGGAGCCAAAGTCTTGTAATATAATTATTATAATGTATAGTATAATTCAAAATTATTCATTTTAGCAAGAGCCAATATAATATTGATATCAACTTAAAAGACAATTAGTAGATACTAAAACTGAGATGACACAAATGTTAAAATTATTTGACAATGATATTAAAGCAATGTTGTGGACTTCATGATTGTGCCACACAAATTTGTTGGTTTAAGCCCTAACTAACCCCTAATGTGATGGTATTTGGAGATGGGGCCTTTGGGAGGTAATTAGCAACAGAATATATCATGAGAATGAGGTCTTGGTATGACAGAATTAGTGTCTTTATAAAAAGAGACACCAGAGAGCTTCTCTCTTTCTCTCTGCCCTGTGAGGATATAGCCAGAAGGTGGACACCTACAAGGGAGTAAGAAAGCCCTCATTAGAACCCAACCAGGCTGGGACCCTGATCTCAAACTCCCAGCATCTACCACCATGAAAAACACATTTCCATTGTTGAAGCCTTTCAGTCCATGGTGTTTTCTTATGGTAGCCCACTGTGACTAAGATAAGCAACTAGCTTAAAAATGTTCCAGAAAACAATTACAAACCCTCTTGCCACAAGCTTTTTAAAATAGGTAGTCTTGGTTAAAAAAAAATATAAGGTATAAGGTAGAACTAAATGAGAATTTTAAACTAAAAATACATTGAAAAACTACAAAAAAACTAACCTCACAATTGTGTTCAATAAAAGAATGGAGATGAGAGGAGAAAATGTAATAAATTGGAAAATCTATCAAAATAAATTGTCCAATCTGAAAAATAGAAGGTAGATGGAAACAAAAATTTACAAAACATTGCAGATAAGAGAGAGCTCAGGAACAATAACAAAGGAGCTGACATTAATGTAATCAAAGTCCCAGAAAGAAAAGAAAAAGTGTAGGATTAAAAAACTATCTGTGCGATATTGGCATAAGGAGAGATGTACAGAATAATAAAACAGAATAGATTCTACACATAGAGCACACATATAAAGTCAATTCATTTTTGTCAAAAGTACCAAAGTATTTTAATGAAGAAATAAAATTATTTTCAATAAATGGTACTGGAACTAGATAACCATATTTTTAAAAATTAGTAACCTTAATCTTTACCACCTACCAAATGAAAAAATTAATGTGAAATGAAACATAGAAACAAAAGCAAACATCAAAGGAAATCTTTATAATCATGTGGTGAGCAAAGTTTGTGTTTTTCTTTAAGACAGAGATTCTAAACCCATAACTGTAAAGAAAAAAAAAGTAAATTGTATTTCATCAAAATTTTAAAAAATTCTGCTTTTAAAGAAACACTATGAATAAAATGAAAAGACAAGCTTATAAGACACACACACTGGGTAAAAATATTTGTAAAACATTTTTCTAAGAATATACTTTATCCAGATTACATCATAAACAATTTATAATAAAAAGAGAAGAAAACACAGTTTTTAAAATGGGCAAAAATGTGAACACTCTAGCAAAAAAGAAACACAAATGGCTAATCAGCACATGAAAAAGTACTCAACATTAGTTATCAAAGAAATGAAAATTAAAACCACAGGATGCATCAATATTCACTAAAAGAGCTAAAATTTAAAAAAGACTGACACTAGCAAATTTTTCCAGAGATATAAAGACATGTAAATTATTATGTATTGCAAGGGAAGAATAAAATGTGAAAAAGACATTGGAGAACCTAAGAACTACTTTGGGTGTTTTTTATAAATTTAAACATACAACTTCAGAATGACAGAAATTTCCCTCCTGGATACCTATTAATAGAAATGCAAACATATATGGACACAAATATCTATACAACAATGGTTGTAGCAGCCTTTTTCATAATAGTTCCAGGTTGGAAACAACTCAATTGTCCATCAATAGGTGAATAGATAAACAAACTTGAATTTGTTCAATCAAATTACTAATGATCAAAAAAGAAACAGCACGTATGGATCTCAAAGGCTTTATGATGAGTGAATGCAGAAAGATACAAAAGGGGCCTGCTGTATTTTCCTATATACAGAAATATTAGAACAGGTTAAACTAATTGCTAGTGGTAAAAAGCAGATCTGTGTTTGCTTCATCTGTAACGAGATTATGGAGACTGATATAAAAGAGGACAAGAAACTCAATGGGATGATGAAATGTTGGTTCTCTTGATAATGGTGGTAGATACATTTTTCAAAATTCATCAACTTGTATGCTTAAGTGGATACATTTTATCGAATATAAATTATATCTCAACCAAGTTATACATGCATATTTATGTATATATATGTTTAAATATATATAATGCATATGACTTGATGTGTGTGTATGTGTGTGTATGTGTATAGTTTTCCAGAAAGAAAGAAATGAAAACTTTGTCAGTGTGCCCTGAAGAAAGATTTTTTTAGGAACAAATTATTCTAGAATGTCCAGTACTACAATTCACCACCCAAAATAAGGAAACTAAAAAATGCCCATAGAATTGAATACAATTAAAATCACAAAAATAATTATTGCATTACATTATTCTCAGTTATGCATTCTTTGGCCTCCATAACTTTTTGTCTTAAAACAAAATTATTAAATGCAGTCAGGAATACACTATTTAGGGGACTTTACAGTAGCAGTTGATGAAGTGGTGTTTTATTTTCTAAGGCAACCAATTTTCTCCTGATGTGACAATTTTGTAAAGCTGAATTGTTATTTTAAGGTGTTCTTAAAATTTAAATATATTTGTACGTGTCATAGACTCGTATGGAAATAATATATTTTATTTTCTTCTGCAGCCAGAAAGATGGTTATCAATGCTAATATCCTTTTGCTGAAAAAATAAATCAGAACAAGCTTCTAGATTTCATAAAGTTGTTGCTTCACTATTAACCTGCCTGTAATATTATTTAACAGGCACATTTTTACATCTTAATTGGCTATTAAATATTTGGGGAGAAATGAACTGCAAATTTGATGTAAATGATATTTGAGAAATGTGTCCTTTAGTGGCAATTAATTATTTCAGTCCTTGGTAATTTTCATAAGTCTCTAGAGAGAAGTGGGGAAAAGTCTATTTCCTTTTCTTCTTCTTTTTTTTTTTTTCTTTTAAACATCTGTGTTTGGGGTAATGTTCCCTTCTAAGTGAAATTGTATTGCTGATTTCACAATCCCCGAAGTTTTGATTTTTTTTTTTTAAGACGTGAATTTCAAAGATAATTTGAGATTTCCAGGTCATTACATTTCTGCCTTGTTTCCTTTGGTATAAATGGAGTAAATACCCTGAGAATATTAAATAACAAACACAAAATATGTACACAAAATTAAGCCGCATTTTTCGTTTGTAGCTAGCAATGGCATATACTCCACAACTCACATTTTTACTTCAAACAGATTTATTAACAAAATTTGAAGGGCTTAATAATTTTCAAAGAAAAATATTGCCTCTGGGAGTCAAGGGCCTTTTGAGTTGTGAGCCAAACCTGTCTTCTGTGTTCCAGATACCTCTCAACTTTCTGGTGGGAGTTTTGCAACATGCCTTTTTTATTAAGGATAAGAATTATTGGATCAAATGTGGACGTAAACCCAAATAAAAAAAATAATTAACAATACGAACTTGAAAAACATTTATTTTATTTCTCAAGTACCATTTGTTCTTTATTTGAACAGTTTTAAATTTCCTGCAGTTGTGCAGAGAGCAAATTCTATGCTGGTCACATAGACCAGCATAGAATCATGGTAGCATACCCATTGAGTTTAGCCAGTTGTACTGTGTTTGACACATACAAATCAGAATTCTTTGTTTTTCTTTTCCCCCAGTAACTCAGGAAAAAATCATAACAAAAGGTAAAAAAATGAATAAATTTATTCTTCCCCAACCCACATTCTTTCCTCACCTAAGGCAGCCCCATCACAAATGTCACAAATCTTAGCATATGTTGAATATCTTGGCCTTTTTCTAATTAAAGGCGGCTGCTCAATTCCCAAGGCAGTGCAAAAACCCTTCAGGTCCTAAAAAGAAATGACTTCCAAATCGAAAAGCTAGTAAATAAGTCAGTTTGGGACCCAAAGCAATTATCATTACAAGGAAGTATGGTGTTAAAAGTCTATCTTGAGTTAGCTAGTTTTGGTATTCTAGTAATTTGGAGGCAGACAGGCAGCAATTTCAGTCCCAAACATATACAAATGCGATTTCTCCATATTGTGATGATGTTTAGTTGAAAGTACTTGTGCTAGAAAGGCCTAAACAGCAGCTTGAATTCTTTACCTGCAAAAAATCTGAGGATAATGAAACAAATTTGTTCTAAACAGCATATAAGTAATTCTAATTATACTTGCATTGCCAGCCATTTTAACTGGTTATATAATACTATTCAATTGATGATCTGAGTGTTTATTAGATGCAAAGTACTGTGTTAAACTTCAGCAGGGAAAGTATTATCAAGGTGGTTAAAGTACACAGAACTTGAAATTTGCAAAAGAAGGAGACAAAATTCCAGAGCATAAGGCCTAAGAGAAATTCTCAGGCCTTATGCTCTGTGTGAAAGGCACAGGGCCTTGGGGATATTAGAAGGAGAAACAAGAGCATATGGAACCGGGGAAAGGGAGAGGTGATGAGGAAAGATTTCATGGAGAACATGATGTTCCAGAAGGTCTTTGTGAGCCAACATTATTTCCATAAGCAAAGTTGAGAAAACAGGGCTTTCTAGGAAGTAGAAGAGCATGGTTAAAAGCCTAGAGATGGAAGAGTTTGGGGGTATGTTGTGAAAGTATAAACCATACGGTTTCAAAGGAGGAGAGAAAATGAATAAGGTAAAAATAGACAATGTTTCTCCACTCAAACTGTGACGAATATGTGAAATTTCCTATTTTCAAGACCTGGGCAGCCAATAAAGTATTTTTAGCAGAGAATAATAGGAATATGTCTCCATGCAGAATAGTAGATTGAAGGTGGTAGGGGCAGAGGTAGGAGGAGTTGTGAATCACTAGTGGTGACTGAAGCAAGATAATTAGATAAAATGAATGACTGATTAACTCTCAAGCCCTTGGAATAGCAGAAGAGGAGTTATGTGAATTATTAAAATTCATATTTGAATTACATAAAAGGCATAATATGAAAAACTCACAAAATGCTTAAGATGGTAAAAGAGAGAGAAGAAGGAAATTCTTATAACTTAAAGTTTAAAAATTTGGCAAGATGCGACCTGAAGCAGGTTGGGATGTCGCCTCACCTGGGAAGTGCAAGTGGTTGGGGGAATTCCCTTTCCTAGCCAAGAGAAACCAAGAGAAACTGTACCAGGAGGAACGGTGCATTCCAGCCCAGATACTGTGCTTTTCACAGGGTCTTCACCACCAGCAAACCAGGAGGTTCTCTCTGGTGCCTGACTCGGCTGGCTCAGCGGGTCCCACCCCTACGGAGCCCAGCAAGCTAAGATCCACTGGCTTGAAATTCTCCCTGCTAGTACAGCAGTCTGAGGTAGACCTGGGAAGGTGTCAGGGGAGGGGCATCCGCCATTGCTAAGGCTTGAATAGGTGGTTTTACCTTCATAGGGTAAACAAAGACGCCAGGAAGTTGGAACTGGGTGGAGTCCATAGCAGCTCCCTGGGACAGAGCACATGTGGGAAGGGGCAGCTGATTTCAGCAGACTTAAATGTCCTTGCCTGACAGCTCTGAAGAGAGCAGTGGCTCTCCCAGCACAGTGTACAAGCTCTGATAAAGGCAGACTGCCTGCTTCCTCAAGTGGGTCCCTGACCCCCTTGTATCCTGACTGGGAGACACCTCCTGGCAGGGGTCAACAGACACCTCATACAGGAGAAGTCTGGTTGGCATCTGGCAGGTGCCCTTCTGGGACAAAGCTTCCAGAGGTAGGAACAGGCAGCAATCTTTGTTGTTCTGCAGCCTCTGCTGGTGATACCCAGGCACACAGGGTCTGGAGTGGACCTCCAGCAAACTCCAGCAGACCTGCATGACAGAGGCCTGACTGTTAGAAGGAAAACTAACAAACAGAAAGGAGTAGTATCAACATTACCAACATCAAAGACCAAAGGTAGATAAATCCATGAAGATGGGGAGAAACCAGCACAAAAAGCCTGAAAATTCCAAAAACCAGAGTGCCTCTTCTCCTCCAAAGGATCACAACTCTTCGCTAGCAAGGAAACAAAACTGGATGGAGAATGAGTTTGATGAATTGACAGAAGTAGCCTTCAGAAGGTGGATAACCATAAACTCCTCTGAGCTGCAGAAGGATGTTCTAACCCAATGAAAGGAAGTAAAAACCTGGAAAAAAGGTTTGACAAATTGCAAACTAGAATAACCAGCTTAGAGAAGAACATAAATGACCTGATGGAGCTGAAAAACGCAGCACAAGAACTTCGTGATGCATACACAAGTATCAATAGCCAAATCGATCAAGTGGAAGAAAGGATACCAGAGATTGAAGATAAACTCAATGAAATAAAGCAAGAAGACAAGATTAGAGAAAAAAGGGTAAAAAGAACAAAGCCTCCAAGAAGTATGGGACTATGTGAAAAGACCAGATCTACATTTGATTGGTGTACCTGAAAGTGACTGGGAGAATGGAATCAAGTTGGAAAACGCTCTTCAGGATATTATCCCGGAGAACTTCCCCAACCTAGCAAGGCAGGCCAACATTCAAATTCAGGAAATACAGAGAACACCACAAAGATATTCCTCGAGAAGAGCAACCCAAGACACATGATCGTCAGATACACCAAGGTTGAAATGAAGGAAAAATGTTAAGGGCAGCCAGAGAGAAAGGTCAGGTTACCCACAAAGGGAAGCCCATCAGACTAACAGCAGATCTCTAGGCAGGAACCCTACAAGCCAGAAGAGAGTGTGGGCCAATATTCAACATTCTTCAAGAAAAGAATTTTCATTATTTTCATATCTAGCCAAACTAAGCTTCATAAGCGAAGCTTAGTTTGGAATTTCATATCCAACCAAACTAAGCTTCATAAGCGAAGGAGAAATAAAACCCTTTACAGGCAAGCAAATGTGGAGAGATTTTGTCACCAGGAGGCCTACCTTACAAAAGCTCTTGAAGGAAGCATTGAACATGGAAAGGAACAACCGGTACTAGCCACTGCAAAAACATACCAAATTGTAAAGACCATTGAGGCTATGAAGAAACTGCATCAATTAACAAGCAAAATAACCAGCTAGCATCATAATGACAGGATCAAATTCACACATAACAATACGAAACTTAAATGTAAATGGGTTAAATGCCCCAAATTAAAAGACACAGATTTGCAAATTGGATAAAGAGTCAAGACCTCATCAGTGTGCTGTATTCAGGATACCCATCTCATGTGCAAAGACACGCACAGGCTCAACATAAAGGGATTGAGGAAGATTTACCAAGCAAATGTAAAGCAAAAAAATAAAAATAAAAATAAGCAGGGGTTGCAATCCTAGTCTCTGATAAAACAGACTTTAAACCAACAAGGATCAAGAGACAAAGAAAGGCATGCCATAATGGTAAAAGGATCAATGCAACAAAAAGAGCTAACTATCCTAAATATATATGCACCCAATACAGGTGGACCCAGATTCATAAAGCAAGCTCTTAAAGACCTACAAAGAGACATAGACTCCCACACAATAATAGTGGGAGACTTTAACACCACATTGTCAATATTAGACAGCTAATTCCTGTATACCAATAATAGACAAACAGGGAGCCAAATCATGAGTGAACTCCCATTCACAATTGCTACAAAGAGAATACATTACCTATGAATACAACTTACAAGGGATGTGAAAGAATTCTTCAAGGAGAACTACAAACCACTGCTCAAGGAAGTAAAGACAGGACACAAACAAATGGAAAAACATTCCATGCTCATGAATAGGAAGAATCAATATCGTGAAAATGGCTATACTGCCCAAAGTAATTTATAGATTCAATGCCTTCCCCATCAAACTACCATTGACTTTCTTCACAGAAGTAGAAAAAAACCTACTTTAAATTTCACATTGAACCAAAAAAGAGCCTGCATAGCCAAGATAATCCTAAACAAAAAGAGCAGAGCTGGAGGCATCATGTTACCTGACTTCAAACCATACTACAAGTCTACAGTAAACAAAACAGCATGGTACTGGTACCAAAACAGAGATATAGACCAATGGAACAGAACAGAGGCCTCAGAAAAAACACCACACATGTACAACCATCTGATCTTTGACAAACCTGACAAAAATAAGCAATGGGGAAAGGATTCCCTATTTAATAAACGGTGTTGGGAAAACTGGCCAGCCATATGCAGAAAGCTAAAACTGGATCCCTTCCTTATACCTTATACAAAAATTAAATCAAGATGGATTAAAGACTTAAACGTAAGACCTAAAACCATAAAAACCCTAGAAGAAAACCTAGACAATACCATTCAGGACATAGGCATGGGCAAAGACTTCATGAGTAAACCTCCAAAGCAATGGCAACAAAAGCCAAAATAGATAAGTGGGACCTAATTAAACTAAAGAGCAGATGCACAGCAAAAGAAACTATCAGAGTGAAGAGGCAACCTACAGAATGGGAGGAATCTTTTTCAATCTATCCATCTGACAAAGGGCTATTATCCAACATCTACAAGGAACTTAAACAAACGTACTAGAAAAAAACAAACAACCCCACCAAAAAGTGGGCAAAGGATATGAACAGACACTTCTCAAAACAAGACATTTATGCAGCCAACAAACATATGAAAAAATGCTCGTCATTGGTCATTAGAGAAATGCAAATCAAAACCACAATTAGATACCATCTCACGCCAGTTAGAATGGCAATCATTAAAAAGTCAGGAAACAACAGATGCTGGAGAGGATGTGGAGAATTAGCAATGATTTTACACTGTTGGTGGGAGCGTAAATGAGTTCAACCATTGTGGAAGACAGTGTGGCGATTCCTCAAGGATCTAGAACTAGAAATACTATTTGACCCAGCAATCCCATTACTGTGTATATACCCAAAGGATTATAAATCATTCTACTATAAAGACACATTCACATGTATGTTTATTGCAGCACTGTTCACAATAGCAAACATGTGGAACCAACGCAAATGCCCATCAATGATAGACTGGATAAAGAAAATGTGGCACACATACACAGTGGAAATACTATGCAGCCATAAAAAAGGATGAGTTCACATCCTTTGCAAGAACATGGATGAAGCTGGAAACCATCATTCTCAGCAAACTAACACGAGAACAGAAAACCAAATACCACATGTTCTCACTCATAAATGGGAACTGAACAATGAGAACACGTGGACACAGGGATGGGAATATCACACACTAGGGCCTGTCAAGGGTTGGGGGAAGGGGGAAGGGGGAAGGATAGCATTAGGAGAAATACCTAATGTAGATGACAGGTTGATGGGTGCAACAAACCACTATGGCACATGTATACCTATGTAACAAACCTGCAAGTTCTGGACATGTATCCCAGAACTTAAAATATAATAAAAAATAAATATATAAATATAAAAAGTATTTACAATAAAAAATAGTTACAATTTCAAAAAAAGTTAGCAAGATGATTTGGATAAAAAACAAGTGTAGCTAATTCATTTGGGGTTATATTTTAAATGGAGAGCAAATAGGGAGAAATAAGTAAGAATTTCTCTCATTCTTTCACAGTCAGCCATCACTGCTGTGAGGACAAAAATAACATGAATACATATGTTCATTCAAAAAATATTTATTCTAAAACAGAGAGTGTTTTGAAAGTTTTGAATTGACTGTTACATGTACTTAAAACATTATAAATAATAGCTAATATATACTTAAGACCTATGCAGGAATCATTCTCAATGATATAATCATTTAATCTTCACAATTATATTATCTTCATTTGATAGTTAGAAGATCAAGGTATAGAGAGAGGGGTTGGAAAAATTACCCAAGAACACAAAGCTAATATATATAACAAGCTTGACTAAAATCAAGGTTTACTTGTTTCCAAAACACATTCTTTATTCTACATTATGCTATGTAAATTGCTGTTGAAGCCCAAGGGATAACTGTTGGTAAAATGACAGCAAGAAGCTTCCTTAGAAGATATTGACCATGTAGCTGAGTCTTGAAGAAGAAAATGGAGGTGGCTAAATTTAAGATAGAGTGGGAGAGAATGCCAGGGGAGAAGTGGTTTTCCAGGCAGTGGAAGCTGCCTATGAAAAGCCTGGAGGTGAGAAGCAAGGCACATTTGGGGAATAGCAATTCATCATGAACCTTATTATACTGTCATAAGCAGTGCCTCTGGGGAAGTGGGCACTGTTATGTCACACGTCATTACTCTTTGAAAATATCAGAAAGTTATTAAATTAGATCTCAATTAAGCAGAGACTTCAATTAGTCAGATTGTGTCTCCCAAAATATTATTTTTAATAAGAAAAGTAAAATGACAAGCATTCAACTCTCAGTCAGTCTCTTGGGCTGAGGCAGAACAGAGCCTGAATCTCTCTTGTGTTAAGTGAGGTTTGATGAGAACATCTCTGAGGTCCATCAACAAAGAAGAAAAAATGAATGGTATTTTCTAGGTTATCATGCAGAGTTTTTATAGTTTTAGGTTTTTCATTTAAGTCTTTACTTCATCCTGAATTGATTTTTGTATCACTCTAAGGAAAGGTCCAGTTTCAATCTTCTGCATATGGCTAGCCAGTTATTCCAGCATCATTTGTTGAATAAGGAGTCCTTTCCCAATTGTTTGTTTTTGTCAGCTTCCTCGGAGATCAAATTGTCATAGGGAACATTTATACGCTACTGGTGAAAATGTGAATTAGGTCAGCCATTGTGAAAAGCAGTTCGGTTATTTTATTTTATTTATTTTATTTTATTTTATTTTGAGATGGAGTCTCACTCTGTCATCAGGCTGGAGTGCAGTGGCGTGATCTTGACTCACTGCACCCTTTGCCTCCCAGGTTCAAGCGATTCTCCTGCCTCAGCCTCCGGAGTTGCCAGGATTACCAGCACATGCCACCACACCCAGCTAATTTTTGTATTTTTAGTGGAGATGGGGTTTCAACATGTTGGCCAGGATGGTCTCTATTTCCTGACCTCATGATCTGCCCACCTCAGCCTCCCAAAGTGCCGGCTGCATTACAGGCTTGAGCCACCACGCCCAGCTGCAATTTGGTCATTTTTCAAATAAATTAAGACAGATTTACCATTTGACCCAGCAACCCTATTAATGGGTATATACCCAAAGGAATATAAAATCACGCTACCATAAAGACACATACACACATATGTTCATTGCAGCACTATTCACAATAGCAAATACATGAAATCAACCTGAATGCCCATCAATACTAGACTAGATAAAGAAAATGTGGTACATATATACTATGGGATACTATATAACCATAAGAAAGAATGAGATCATGTTGTTTTGCAGCAACTTGGATAAAGCTGGAAGCCATCATCCTAAGTGAACTGACATAGGAACAGAAGACAAAACACCATATGTTGTCACCTGTAAGTAGTAGCTAAACATTGAGAATACATGGACACAGGAAAGGGAAAAAACAGACACTGGAACCTACTTGAAGGTCGATGGAGGGAGGAGAGAGAGGATCAAAAAACTACCTATTGGGGGCCGGGCGTGGTGGCTCAAGCCTGTAATCCCAGCACTTTTGGAGGCCGAAGACAAGAAATGCCATTTCTTTTATTTATTTATTTATTTTATTCCTAAAGATCCGTAAAACCTAGTTGTGGAACTATGAAGGTCATGGCTTCCTGTGATATCAGGGTTACTTTGGGATGGGGATAGTAATGGTAGGTTTGTGGTCTGTGACACTGTGTCATCAAGAGAGACAACAGGAGGTACTGGGTAAAATCATTGACTTTGCAGAACACTGCTTGGGCTTGGGCTTGGGTCCTGGTTCCTGTGTAACCTTTGGCAAATGCATTTGTTATCTATTGCTATGTAACAAATTATCCTGAAGTTGGCAGCTTAAAACAACAAACATTTATCACACATCACATCTGAAAGTGAGGAATCTAGGAGAGGCTTAGCTAGCTGGTTTTGGCTCAGGATCAGGCCTGAGAATCCAAGCTAACTGCTGTGGCTGTTGGCAGGAGGTTTCAGTTCCTCACTGCGTAGTTGTTTTTGTAGAGCTGCTTACAGACATAGTAGCTGGCTTTTTCTGCTGCAAGGGACCTGAGAAAGAGAGAGAAAGGCAGAGAGAAATGGAGAGAGGGTGCTCAAGATAAAAGCCATTATGTTTTTACAACTTAGTCTTAAGAAGTATGACTATCGCCTCTGCCCTATATCATTCATTAGAATTTAATTATTATGTCCAGCCCAAAATCAAGGAGAGGAATTAAGCTTGACCTCTTCAGAAGAATGTCAAAGAATCTTTGAACATACATTTAAACCACCAAAGAAAAATTATTTAACTTCTTAGTGTGTGTTTCTCTATCTTTAAAATGAAGATATCAATAGTAACTACAACATAGGGTTAGTATTAGAGTTCTCCAGAGAAACAGAACCAACAGAATGTGTTGTGTGTGTTTGTGTATACGTATATGCACAAGATTTATTATAAGGAATTGCCTTACATTATTAGAATTGCCTGAGATCGGCAATCACCAAGCTAAAAACCCAGGAGATCCAATGTGTAGTACCAGTTTGAGTTTGAAGGCCTGAGAACCAGAAAAGACAATGGTGTGAGTTCCAGTCCAAAAGTCAGCAGGCTTGAAAGTCAAGAAGAGTGGATGTTTCAATCCTAGTCAGAAGGCTGAAAAATACAAATGTCCCAGCTCAAGGCAGTTAAGCAGAAAAAAATTCCACCTCATTCAGCCTTTAGTATCCAGGTCTTGAAGTCCTGGATTAGGTCCACTCTCATGAAGGACTGCAATCTGCTTTATTCAGTCTACTGATTCAAATGTTAATCTCATCCAGAAACACCCTCACAGACACACCCAGAATAATGTTTGGTCAAATGTCTGGGCACCCTGTGGCTCAGTCAAGTTGACACATTAATTGTTATAGGGTTGTAACATAAACTTAATTACTTCATAATTGATAAATGCTTAGAACAGTGCATAATAAGGATTTGTTAAAGTTAATATTATTTTCAGATGAAATTGATATCTAGAGAAATAAAATGATTTTTTATTTAGTAATAACATATGAACTATCAGATCTGTATTTTTCTTTATATTGTCATTCTCTTTAATGTGACTTTGGGGACAGCCAGAAAACTACCATCCCCTCACTCTAAAATCAAAATACCTCCTGCATCCATCAATGGTGATATCACATGTTGACTATTTTTATGCTTTTCTGTGTTAAATATTATATTCCCCAGGTAATTTCCTTATAAAATGAAAATTTCCCTATTAAAATTTTTTCTTATAAAACTCATTACATTAATTTAATAAATAACAACAATGTTAAAGTATTTCAATAAATGAGGCTGGCAGCCTGGGAGGGAAACATAGTAGATGACGTTCACCATAGACTGTATCAACTTCATTGGGTTATTTTTTTTTTTCTTAAAAGCACTGAGATTTTCAGAGAGAGGAAGCAGAAAATAATATAGGGATACAGAGAAAGAAGATGCTGCACAAAAGTTCTTCAATTTATTTCCCCCAAATCAACTGTCTATCAGAGAATATGGGGAAACGACTGTGACATAAACTAAAGAAACACTTGCAGCTCAGCTCAGATGTTCTAACCACTGCTCTGAAGTCTTCCTCTCAGAAAAATTTGTGTTGGACCAATTAAAGGAACATGAAGGATCTACTCCAATAGCTTCCTATTGCACAGCTGTTTCTAAATGCCTTGTTTCTGGTCTCTGAAGAAGATATAATCAAGGGAATGTTCCTCCAAATACATAAAATTTCCCCAAATCCCAAAGTGCAGGTCCTTCTTGCTTTTGGCAAGCAGTAAGATGTTTCAGCTTTCAAGCTAGAATTGCCTCTTCAAGGTTTCCAGGTTATTGTGGGATTGCAGTTAAACAAAGACATGCTTTTCATGGAGAGTTTTCAATAAGACCTTCTTATTCACAAGGAAAATGAATCAACATATTAGCCTCCATTGTCTTCTCTGGCACTTTATTGAAGGAAAAAGACAATGAAATAAAATAAGGGAGAGGAAAAAGAAAATAGATCTTTGAAAACAAAGTTATCTTCTAGGTCTGAAGAGCAACATCAGAATATTCCTTTTTAAAATATTTTTAAAATGTGTCATGTCATTTGTAAAGAGCAGAGCCACATAATAAATAGAGAGCTAAGAAAAAAATTAAGTATAATGTTTGGTACATAATATGTGTTCAGAAAATGTCTGGTGAATGAAATTGTTAACCAATGAAAGACGAAGCCATGTACAGTTACCATTTGCATAAATCAGACTTTCCTTAAATCTTCTTATCATCTCAGACCCAAACTCTGCACCTGAAGTTACCTTTGAAAAACTGCTGGCCTAAATTATACTAACCTCAGAAAGGCATGATGGTGTGGCTGGCTACAATACTAGTCCTCTGTGACTTGCATATAACTAGGAGCAGGACTTCTTAAAACACAGATTGCTCGGTCACATCCTCAGAGTTCTTGATTCGTTAGGTCTGGGTGGGGCCAGATAATTCACATTTCTGATAATTTGCATTTCTAATAAGTTCTCAAGAGATACCAGTGCTGCTGGTCCAGGGAACACACTTGAAGAATCACTGTTGTAAGGGGCAAAACAATGATCTGAAAGTTCTGAGAGGTGTTTTGTTGTTATTTCTTTTACATAGAAGTTCTACTTTGGATACCTCACCCTTTAAAAATTACTTGAAAGTAATAATCTATATAAATCTACCAGATATAATTGTACAATCTTTTGCAATTAATATTTTCCATATGTCTTAACAGATTGGATTTTTATGATAACTCAAATTAGAAAGAACAGTGATTATTATAATGATATTTTAATAGGTAATAAATTAAACTTAGATGGTGTAAAAATAAATATCTTGAAGACAGTGATCATGTCTCACTTATATTAGTATCCTTGAAACTTAACAATGTAAACAAAATGTACACAGCGTTTAAGAAATATTTAATTAGTTAATTTTGCACAAGGACATTACTTGTAAGTGATTGAACCAGGGATCAAATAGTCATATGACTCCAAATTCAGTGTGCTCTGTCCAATTCTCCATAATACTCTCATAACAGAGTACTCTGGTCCCTAATTTTCCTTCCATATGTATGGAAAGGGGTAAATTGAGAGCAACATAGAATTAGCATAAAACAATAAGCTACTTAGATAAAGAAACAATGGCATCTCCATTTCCGGTTGCATAGGATGATGCCTGACACATAGGAGACACATCACCCATATTTGTGGGATTGACTTGCGTGTTTATCTTCATCCCCACCTACGTAACCGTGACTGTATGTATATGTCATCCCAGAATTGTTAGCAGGCCTCAGGCTTGGGGAATAAAGTTGAGGGAAACCACAAGCCACAGAGGAGAGCCACCTGGGTTTTGGGCTATATGGTTCTGACTTCCTCATGAGAGGGAAGCAGCCTCCTTAGACCAAAAAGCTTCGGATGGGTGACTGCCAATTCTGTTAACTGGCAGCTCCAGACTCTAACCCTTGAGCTTGCTCTGCTCTGCTTCCAAATCCTCAAATGTGTTCCAATCAAGGGAATGCTGCTGAATTGAAATGGATTTACCTATGGCTGCAAGGAAACACGGCAAGCCTTAACTTAGACTTCTAAGCAGAGTCCCAGAGGGAGGATGACTAATTAGACCAAGGACCAAACTCCTTCATGCCCTGCCAGAGAGGCCCACTGAGTTTCTGTGGAATGATGGCGACAGAATCTGTTTTCTGCTCATAGTGCCCTGGCTTCCCACAGTGTGGGGGAAAATCTTTTTTTTTTTTTTTTGAGATGGAGTCTCGCTCTGTCTCCCAGGCTAGAGTGCAGTGGCGTGATCTTGGCTCACTGCAACGTCTGCCTCCCAGGTTCAAGCGATTCTCCTGCCTCAGCCTCCCTAGTAACTGGGACTACAGGCACCCACCACCACGCCTGGCTAATTTTTTGTATTTTTAGTAGAGACAGGTTTCATCGTGTTAGCCAAGATGGTCTTGATCTCCTGGCTTCGTGATCTACCTGCCTCAGCCTCCCAAAGTGCTGGGATTACAGGTATGAGCCACTGAGCCCAGCCCTGTGGAGGGGAGCGGATATCTTAACGCATATTGTATTATCCAAAGAATTTATAATGTTAGAAGATGTTTGCTAAAGCATTAATGAACTAAACTTTGTATTTCTGGCAATTTCACAAAAAGAAACAGCTCTCATAAATCGCCCCATTAATTACATCTATGCACTTCATTTTGTTGTTGTTGTTGTTATTTATTTATTATACTTTAAGTTCTGGGATACATGTGCAGAACATGCAGGTTTGTTATATAGGCATACATGTACCATGGTGGTTGGCTGCACCCATCAACTGGTCATCTACATTAGGTATTTCTCCTAATGCTATCCCTCCCCCTTCCCCCCACCCCCAACAAGCCCCAGTGTGTGATGTTCCCCTCCCTGTGTCCATGTGTTCTCATTGTTCAACTCCCACTTATGAGTGAGAACATGTGGTGTTTGGTTTTCTGTTCTTGTGTTAATTTTCTTATCCAGTCTATCATTGATGGGCATTTGGGTTGGTTCCAAGGCTTTGCTATTGTGAGCAGTGCTGCAAAAAACATATGTGTGCAGGTGTCTTTATAGTAGAATGATTTATAATCCTTTGGGTATGTACCCAGTAATGGGATTGCTAGGTCAAATGGTATTTGTGGTTCTAGATCCTTGAGGAATCGTCACACTGTTTTCAACAATGGTTGAACTCATTTACACTCCCACCGACAGTGTAAAAGTGTTCCTATTTCTCCACAGCCTCGCCAACATCTGTTGCTTCCTGAGTTCATTTCGTTATTTGAATAATTACATGAGAAATAAAAATTAGACTTTCTTTACAAATTTTGAGCAACTTTAAAACCACTTTCATAAAATCTACATCATTTTTCTTTGTTTTCAAAATTAACTTTAAAATTAATATGAACCACAATTACTACAAAAACTGAGTTTACCGAAAACATTTAAAAACCAAGAATCAGATTGTGCTTCCTTAAAGAACTCATTTTAAGTGGATGTATTATTTTTTGTTAAATAGGTGACATAACTGCACAAATATTTTCTTTCTGGTGCTCTTAGTAACTAAACAGTATTTTTAAAAATCAAAAGATCACACTTGAGTGTTCTGTATTTTTATTATTAAACCCCACACAATAGTGCCAGGAGGTTCATCTTTATATCCTATCAAACTTATAAGATACCAGTTGACAAGAGAAGGGACGATGATCCTGGGGAAGCCCGCTAGGGCCAGGTGCATTGAGCCATCAGGAGAATAAGCAAGAGAGAATACTAGAAGTGAAGGTTAGAGGTGATTTGTAAAGGCTAGCTATAGCTGATACAACAGCAAACTATGAGAAACTAGAAAAAAATAATTTACCAAGGGAACAGGAAGAGACAGAAGCCAGATGAGAGAAAGGCAGCAGGTTGGGACAAGGGATAAGACTAGCGTCAGGGTGCTCAAGTGCTGTCTGACAGAGTGACAAATTTTAACTGCTACATCTTTTTTTGTGGTCTCATCTCCACTGATACAAAGAGACAGTAACCATAGGCTATTTCCTGACATCTACATAGTTTCTAAAAATCTGTCTTATAAGAGAAGTCTAATTTATGCAATGAATATTTATTAAGCATTAATATATACCAGATGACATACTACATGCTATTTATACATTGTGTTTGCACTCTTGAAACTCACAACTCAGTGGGAGAGGCAAACATTTCACATTATTTGAATTCAGGTAAACGTTTTCTGAATTATTGATAAAATGTGTGTGTGCATGCACACATGTAGATGCAACAATTAAAGAAACCTATAATTGGAATTATTTTAAAGAAACATCCTGCAATAACTAATACCAGATTAAATATTTAGCAAAATAGGTCAACCACCAAAATACCTCTAACTTGCCTAAGAAGCAAACCAGGCAGTATCAGATTAGTGTCTAAGAGTGACTAAGACTTTGAGGTAATGGAGTTTATGGCTATCTTGTTGCTATTACTTACTAGTAGAATCACCTATGGAAAATTTTTGTTCTACTTGAAATCTCAGCTTTGTCTCACATCACTGAATTGTAGATATTAAACAGAAATGTGTTGCACGTAGAAAATACTTGTCAAACGCTCACTATTTCTATAAGAAGGAGATGCCAATACCATTGTATGAGATGACCAACTGCCTTGCCCATTTTCAATGATGAGAGTGAAAGGATTTTCTCCTATGTTATCATCTAGGAGTTTTATAGTTTCGTATTTTAAGTTCAGGTCTATGATTCACTTGAGATAATTTTGTGAAAGGTGTAAAGTCTGCCTAGACTCATTTGTTTGTGTGTGGATGTCCAATTGTGCCAGCACCTTTTATTGAAGAGACTATCCTTTCTCCATTGGATTGCCTTTGCTCCTGTGTCAAAGACCAGTTTACTATGTTCCCGTGAGTCTATATCTGGGCTGTCCATTTTGTTCCACTGATTTCTGCATTTATTTTTCACAAACACCATACTTTTTTGATAATTGTAGCCTCATAGGAAGTCTCGAAGTCGAGTAGAATCAGCCTTCTGATTTTCTTCTTCTCTTTCAATATTGTGGTTGGCTGTTCTGGGTCTTTTACCTTTCCACACAAACTTCAAACTCGGTTTGTCAATATCTGCAAAATAACTTGCTGGGATTTTGATCATGATTGCATTGAATCTATAGGTAAAGTTAATCTTTTCATTGCCTGGACCTAGCACAGTAAATAGCAAATTTTAGGAGCCTCTTTAATTTTTATGAAGCAGCTATTCATTGAGACAAATTAAAGGTGGGGAATTTTCTATTACTCCAAAACCTTAGTAGGTTTGAATTAGCAGTGCATATTAACTCCCTCCTTCCTTTATCATAAGAATTTGGGAGGAGGAAGAGGGGACAACGAGGATGGATCACAGAATATGCTTCATTAAGACAAGAAACTTTTTCCTCTGCTTTGCTGATGATTGTACCCCAAACACCTGGAGCACTTCCTGCCATATCAAACAAATTTTTTGTTTCTTTGAGAGGGTCTTTCACTCTGTCACCCAGGCTGGAGGGCAGTGCTATCTCGGCTCACTACAGCCTCTTCCTCCCGGGTTCAAGCAATTCTTATGCCTCAGCCTCCCCAGTAGCTGGGATTATAGGCATGCTCCACTACGCCTGGCTAATTTTTGTATTTTTAGTAGAGATGTGGCTTCGCCATGTTGGCCAGGCTGATCTTGAACTCCTGGCCTCAAGTGATCCACCTGCCTCGGCCTCCCAAAGTGCTGGGATTACAGGAGTGAGCCACTGCACCTGGCCTCCCCAAAATTTTGTAATGTAAATTATTATTATTATTATTATTATTATTATTGGCTGGAGACCAATATGCTGAAGGAACTTCACTTGCAAATACACAGTGATGTCTTTGCACCTAGGTCTTTGCCTGCCTTTCCTGAACTATTTGCCTCTGCCTGCAACTCTCTTCTTACTTCTACACTTTCAACTTAACTAACTACTATTGCAGGTACCTCAGATACCTGTTTACACATTGCTACTTCTTTGTGTCTCCATGTGCTTTGTTTCCTATTCCATTTCCAAGAACCAGAACACTTTGGCATGCATGAGGTACTCAATACATAATTGCTGTTTAAAATAACATATTTCACCCTGTTCATGGACCCACTCAAGACTGTAAAAACACACACTTGTGAATAATTCCTGAGTGAATTATTCATACACAGAGGCCAAAATCTACACTCTAGATTAAGGTCTACAGTATATCTTTGGATGTAGTATTGCACTTTTAAAACTATTTGGCATTTTCCTCTCCTGCCTTGTGGTGTAAACAGAATGGTCACTCTGGATTCAAGTTCTCTCTCTCATTAGAAAAATTGCCTCCAATATAGGAAGCCATCTTGCATCTCATCACCTTCAAGACAGCTGTTATCCATTTCCTGAGTGTTCCAGTCGCAGCTTCTGGTCTTCTGCTGAAAGATTTCGTTCCATTATTTATGATTCAACTTATTAAATGTTGATGGGAAGATTCCCTGGAAAGGTGTGTTACTGTGGTTACCAGAAGCTTCTCTCATTCCAGGAAGAATCTGCTTTCTGGGCTATAGAACGGGCTTTAAAATCAGCAGGAACCAGACATGTTGAAGCAGAGACGAGTGAGGGGCACAAAGAACCTATGATTATTTTCAAAGCATCCTGGGAAATTCCAGGAAAGATTCTGGAGTTTTCTTTCAAAATGATAACTTACGGACAGTTTGAGGAAAAGCTATGGAAATTAAATGATTTGATTTTCCTGCCATAGATAGAACAGTCACTTTTTATTCTACAGCTATCCTCCCCCACCTCAAAAAATGCATTTTTTATGAGAAAGTCAAACTGGCCTTGTCTCACAGGCAAACACTCCTCACAGAACAGATGAGCCTTTTTTGTTAAATTACAGAAACAGTGAAAGATTTATGATTCTGCTAGACAAAATCCTTTTGTTTTAAATAGTTGCCACTTTTCCATGAAGAAATCAGACACCTTGTTGGTGTTTTCTTATAGTAAACATAAGGTCACTGAAAGGAAACAGGCTAGATGAAAGATCACCACGGTATTAAATTACTTCCATCTGCAAACACTGTAAATCCCGTCGACATAAAAAGAGAAGTTATGGTTATAGCTCTGAAGTGTCATGTTTTTGGACTTGAAAAAAGTCCTTCTGCTGAGGACTTTATTCTATTGCCAAGAGTAAGAAACATGAAGTCGTGACGCAGTAACTGGACCATGTCAAAAGCATTCTACAGTAGACATCGCGTTTACTCTCTTTTTCTCAGCCCCTTTTCGGTCGGTTCACTTCTAACATTATCTAACGTTCAAGTTTATATTGGGAGAAATTTCTATGAATTAGAGTCAAAGTCCCGTAGTATTAGTTTTCAATAGATTGTCAAGAATTCATTCAAATCATTCAATTATTCTCTACAGTTTTTATTAATTAATTTATTTATTTATTTATTTTAATGATTATGAATTGTTCATGCTGAGGGTAGAATTCAAAATGGTATCTTTTAGAAGCAAAGTCATTTACATTTGTAGTCAATTAATGGTGTCCACAGTTGCAATTTTCCTAAATTGCATGGTAGGCTTTAAGTAGAACTTAGATTTTTTCATCCAAGGTTATTGGGTGGTTACTGTAAGAGAGAGCAGTGACTATTTTACGGGGGGCTGCTAAGCATTTGAACTCAATTCCTAGTTTTGAGAAATTTATTACTGGTGAGTCTTACCATCAAAGGCCAGAGACTGGCTTTCTAACTTCCTCAAAGATAGGACATGGACATGAGACATGGTAGGACCCTATAGATACAGCCAGGACATGAATCTGGAACGAGTGATACAAAATAATGTGCTAGTTTATAAGCATTTTTCTGACAGTGCACAGCACTCAATGTCCAGTGCCGGCAATAGCAATTGTGGGAGAAACACTATATGGTGGCTAGTGGAGGCAGCAGCAACTCCCTAAGAAGAATGTTCCTGTGGTATGACCTTGAATGCTGTTCCATTTCCACCATTTAGTATTTTAATATATCTTTGGATAAAAGCTTCAATGACTTTTCCTCAGTTTCTTTATGTGTAAAGTAGGGATAATTATAGGCATTATCTCATAATGCTTGTTTAAGGATAGATGAGTTCATGTGCATAAAACATTGTCTGACAAAGGGAGGGAGGTCTTCATTGGCATTGCCTTGGATGAGCCACTATTACCTTCGCATGTATGTGCACATAGATAGACCCAACCACATTCCTCAGCATTTTTGTTGATGAATTTTTACAATATTTTCTTCTTAAGTTTACCAGTTAAGAAAAAAGTTTTGTTTCTAAATAATAACCAGAATAATTTTCTGCTGAATACAACCAAGAGTCCTTGCTGAAGTCTACCTCATTTTCCACAATAAAACACTCACATTAGAGACACATTTTAAGTTCAGAAGTAGAATGTTTGGGAGAAAATCATTTTTTCTAGATAGTGCTCTATTTGTATTATGTGATCATATAACATAATGCATATTATAAATGTATCATATAGCATAAATTCTGTGTTAAACTTTGACAACAACCATCCTGGCAACATTGGCGTATTATCTGTTCTCACGCTGCTAATAAAGACATACCCAAGACTAGGTAATTTATAAAAGAAAGATATTTAATGGACTCACAGTTCCACATGGCTGGGGAGGCCTCTCAATCATGGTAGAAGGCAAAGGAGAAGCAAAGGCACATCTTGCGTGGCAGCAGACAAGAAAGCATGTGCAGGGGAACTGCCCTTTATAAAACCATTAGCTCACCTGAGACTTATTCACTACCAGGAGAACAGTATGGGGGAACTGCCCCCATGATTCAATGATCTCCACCTGGCCCTGACCTTGACACATGAGAATTATTACAATGCAAGGTGAGATTTCAGTGGGGACGGAGCCAGATCATATCATTTGGCATATTTATATGTTGTCATGTGATATAATTGAAGGGTGATCCACAGTCTGCTGCTAGAACTTCTGAAGTTCTGTTAGAGTAGAATCAGTGTTAGAGTTCTGCTGAAAGTAGGGAAGGAGAGGTAGTTTGTGTATTTGTTTTAACCTGTATGTCCTCATATTTGTCTGAGAGGAAGAAGAGCAAATAATACTTATAAATTCACAAGGACGACTGGATCTTCACCTCCTGAAAACACAGGGCAAAGGTGGAAGCTCTGTCTGGCTGTCGTCGACATAGCCTGACGATATTATGGAGAGGCTGTCAGGTAGAAAACACCAGTGCAAACCACATCATGACTGTCAAGAATCTGGCTCCATGTTTAAGAAATCCAGAAAGTTGCCTGGGAAAGAGTAATACCAGAAGCTTCCTTGGATTATTTATTTGATAAGATCTCTTCTCAGTGCTTCTGAAGAGAAAGAGAGAGACAAAAGATGGTATTGACAAAAAGTTCTAGCTGTTTCAAAGGAAATCCATGTGGTTTGCATGCCTTATATAGCTCTTCCTAAAAAAGGAAGACAGCTGTTTGCTGAAGGAAGGCCCAGACTACTGTGGCCAGGAGCTTCAGGCCACTAATTACAGTTTCAGAGGCATCAGAGAAGCCAAATTCTTTAAAATTTGTCTCACATCCTTCAAAATCTCTAATTTCTTCTAAGTGTGGACTGCTTCTCATGACCTCAGATAGACCTAGAAGGATCCGATATGTCACTACCTTTCCATGGAGTCATTATTATCCTTTTTACTAATGGGAAGTCAAATGCAGTGCTCTTGATGAGTGCTTGGTGAGTTTTTCACCCCAAATAGAGCTCCAAGCAAATGTTACACACATTTTGGTAGTCAGTTAACTGGAAGAACCTTTCTCCATTAGCAATGACATGTTGGCACTGGAGAGTGTGGTTAAGCTGGACAGCACAAGAATAGGACTCGGAACACTTCAGCTCTTCTTCTCACTCAAGTATTAATTGCCTGTGTGATCTTGAAAGGGGTCCCACACCTATATTATCATTAGGCTTTTTTTTTTCTACATAAGAAGAGTTGACTGAGATCACTTCCAAGGCAACTGCCAAGTATAAATTACATAATTTTTAATTTTAGAGATAACTTTTTTGCAGTGAAAAACACCAATAGCAATAATTCATAACATTCAAGTAGGCCACATATGCCAGAATGGAATACCCATGGTCATGGTTATAATTCTTTATAATATGAATACATATATGTTGACCTATATTTTGGTAAATATTTTACATATAAAATGATAGCAAATAGTTTATGAATAACATTTAGTTGTTAAATATTGAACCATTTCTAAATATCCTATAATACAATTATAACAATAATGATGATGGTAGGTAGTATTTATTGAGCACTTCTTATATGCCGCCACTGGCAAAATGCTTGAGATACAGTCACTCATGTATTCCTCAAACCGTCCTCGATGTTAAAAAAATTATAACTCTCATTTTACAAATTAGAAAATTGAGTCAAGACTATACAGCTGAAATGTGGCAGAGTTAGAATTTAAGCCAAGGCAAGCTGGCTCCATATTCAGTGCTCTTAAACACTCTACATTTTAACACTGAAGTTATACTTGGAGAGCAAGATAGCCCAACAATTTATTTTATAATATTATAATGAAAAAAAAATACCAAGTAAAATGAGCTCAAATTCTAATTGTGTCATTTATTACTTCTTTAATCTTGGAAAATGTTTAATCCTCTTAGTATTCAGTTTTTTCACCTGTAAAATGGGGATAATATTCAGAATCATCAAATGGGTTTGATGAAATAAAAATTTATGTTTTAGCAAATATATACTGGTAAGAGGTATCCAGTAGTAAACAGAACAAAGTTTATGCCATCATGGAGCTGGAAAAATTGTAGGGAGATAGACATTTTTTAAAACATACAAGTAACAGGATAATTACAAAGAATGATCAGTGAGTGAATGCTTTCCTTATCTGTTGCTGTGTAACAATACAACAATAAATAAAGGGATTCTGAAAAGGCACAGTGAAGATGGTTCTTTGCTCAATGGAATGATTTGAGTACCTGAAGGGTAGAACAACTGGGGCTGGAGAATGGGTTTCCAAGAGAGCTTCATTGCCTACATATAGAGTACCAGGACTGGGATGGCTCAAACTCACCCCGGCTCAGTGAGAATGTGAACATGTGGCATCTCCAACATGTCAAGATATCTGTAGAATTAAAATAGGAGATGTGAAGATACGGAGTGACTAGCAGATTAATTTGGAGAGTGTTCAAGGAAGCGTCTCTGAAGAATTAATGAAGAGCTGAAGAGGGAAAAGGATCCAGTCAAATAAAGATGATGAAGGATAATTCCAGGCAGAGCTAGTGCAAATGTTCTGTGGAGAAAATACGAAGCCTGGTAGGATGGGGAATGAGATAAAGCCAATGATTTGTACAGAGGCCAGATTAAGTGGTGTTATGCCAGGTTAGAGTTAGGAGCTTATTATAGTTCCGATGGGAAGCCATTCGAAGGTTTTGAGTAGGAGAATGACAGAATCTTAAACTAAAAGAAATAAATGAAAAGAAAACAAGGAACACAAGAAAACAAACAACAGGAAAATGGAATCCATCCTCAATTTCTTCTGACTACATCTGCTATAATCCAACTTCAGTATCTTCACAGCAGATGCTACTTACCAATTATCTTCATCTTCTATGCTGATAATTTATGAAATAAAATATTTGCCTTTAATCTCCAAATAATATGTGTACACCATGTTTACAAGATTAGTATACATCTAAAATGGGAATGAAATATTTGGGAGTTGCTGAATCTCATAAACTAATACTGATTTAACTCCAAAAATAGACAAAAGCATTTCATTCATGTGTCATTCATTCAAGCATCCATTCACTAAGCGATTTTTCCATTGATCTCCAGATATCAATAAACCAGTATCATAAAAATGAGTGTGACAGTTTCTGCTTGCATGGCATTCCTATGACACACAGTAATTTCCCTTTCTTTCTTTCCTTCTTTCTTTCTTTCCTTCTTTCTTTCTTTCTTTCTTTCTTTCTTTCTTTCTTTCTTTCTTTCTTTCTTTCTTTCTTTCTCTTTCTCTCTCTCTTTCTCTTTCTCTCTTTCTTTCTCTTTCTCTCTTTCTCTCTCTTTCCCTCCCTTCCTCCCTTCCTTTCCTCCTCCCTTCCTCCCTTCCTTCCCTCCCTTCCTTCCTTCCTTGCTTCATTCCTTCCTTCCTTTCTTTCTTCCTTTCCATCTGATATTCCAAAGCAGAAAACACTGAAGATTTTTTGGAAAACTATATGTCCTGTAAAAAATACACTTAAACTAATTAAAATGAAATTGGTTTCAAGTCTTTGTATTTTGACCCAAAAAGGTTTTGCCATAGTCATAGAAAAAGATCTGCATTTGGTGCTTCTAACAAGTGTGATTTCAGCAAACTGAAAATGGAAGTATTCCTTATGGTCTTTCTGTGCAGAGTATTTGTCCATTGTCAACAGTCCTCAGGAACTGGATTCCTTCCATGTGAAAGAAATTCCAAAATGCAATACATTCCTTAGCTTCCAAAGCAGAACCAAAAGTCTAGACAATCGTTCTCGGTGAATGACACATACACACACAATTTGCAGAGAGGACTGGTGACAAATGTCTTAGCAATTTTTTTTCCAGTTTGTTGTTATCTCTCATTCTGTACCTCATTGGAAAATAACTACAGACTTTTCAAGGCAAATATATTCGTCCAGATTTAAAAGCTAATCATTTAAAGTCTAATATTGGCCAAAGTGAATAATTGGTTCTTTGTAATCTATGGATGGCTTTCCAAATGAAACTGATCCTTTCATTATCATATCAACCATAAAGTTATTTGTGATGTCAGAGTCTCAAAACCAATATTATTGGAAGTCAATTTTTTATTTTTGTTTTTTTCTGAACCATACATTTAAATATTTGAAGCTAAGTTTTTTTCTATGCTATCTTGACTAAAATCATGAATGCAGAATTTATATCAGTGACCATTCCCCCCACAACTTTCCTCCCAAAATTCATGCAAGCACCCAGACTCACATTAAACCTTCCATGCACAGCCATAATAACCATGTTATTCTACTTCCTGTCTGTATTGCTATATTAACTAGTGGTTTAGGATATGATGTCTAGAGTAAAATAGCTGGGGCCCATTTCTGTCTGCACCTCTTATTTTCTGTGTGACCTTAACTTCTGTGTCTCAGTATTCTCATGGAGACATGATGCCAACATTATGTTATTATGATAATTAATTTAGTTAGTATATGTAAAGTACTTAGAAGTGCCTGGAACACCATTAATATTTAACCAATGCAATATTCCTAGGAATTCAGTTAGATTTTTTTTTCTGTTGTTTTGTTTTGTTTTCTGGGTTCTCATTTTCCTTCTTAGTGTCCCTGTCTGCTTTCTTGTTTCCAAAACTAGGATTACAACCTCTCATTCTTAATAACATACATAATATGGTGTATTATTATTATGTATGTTCTCTTATTTTGCTCCTTTGTTAAAGGCCACTGATAGCTTCACACCGAAGTTCAACTATTTCCTGCATATGAGGGAGACTGAGGAGCAAAGAGAGTGTTGGAATCACCAGCATTAGAGGTGCAGGGGGCTTTCCAGAGGACAAAGAACTCTGGGATGTAATCCATGGATTATTGTCATAGAGGTATCTGACTAGGTATCAAAAAGACTTTCAAACAGTCTGTTCGTAGATCCATCAATTCAACATGAGGGTCAGAGCAATGTGAGATATCAAAACATAAAATATAATTCTCTTGACTCTAACAAGCTTTTAGATGACTGTGTATATATGAGGGGGAGAGGAGAGAATGATAAATCAACTATCTAAAAATTACATTGTGTTATTAGTTTTACGTCCTTCAAGAAATACTGAAAGAATGACAGAGGCAGGAACAAAATTTGTTCACCTAAAATAGGTGAAAGTAGGAGCAAGGAAAGGACATTGAAAATATCTGAAGATTAAAGAAATGTTATGGACCAATATGGGTATAGAGGAATAGCAGAAAATATATTAGATGAAGAGATATTGTAGTTTGGGATGGGAATGAATGAGGTCTCAAAAGTGCAATTGGTGTCCGCATTAGGAAGGTCAACAGATTAGAAGGCCAGGTATTTCTTAGCTATATGTCCAAATATATTTGATAAATACTGTAGACAAAGACCAGGCTCTCTTAGCTATGTCATTATGGTGAGGATTGTTTTTGAGAACACAAAGCCAGAACCTGTCATTCTAGTGACAGCTACTCTGACCTTACTCAAGAGTGCAGAAAAGTCTAGCCACTCCATTTCAAATCAGTTTTAGCCCTTACACTTTGGCAGCCAAAGCAGTATGGCATGGCAAAATACAATATTTTCCACAGTGATGCTGACCAGGATAAAAATCAATTTGGCTGGAAAGAATACACATTTTTCTAGTTCTCATAACATAATTAGAAATTGATCACAGAATAATACATGTAGCACAAATTTTGAGCACAAATTCCCCCAAAGCTTGTGCTCATCAATGAAGATGCAAGGATTAAGGATGCAGTCACACATTTGGGTGGCCTGAAGTCAGATAATCTCTCTCATCACAATTTTCCTGCCTATAGTATTGAAACTGATCAACAGTGCATCAACAAAACATCCTACTTCTGTTTCTGTGTCCTCTAGACAGAGTCTTCTATTGTAACTACAGATTGGACCAAGAGGTGGGATGCTAGATCATGTAGGCACTTGATTTATCTTTGCACCTCCAATACTCAACATGATAAAAGCAGAGATAAGATATTCAATGGAGTTTTGTTGAATTAGTGACTGAGTTAATAAATTAATGTATAAATTGATTGTTGAAAAGATAGAAAAATGAATGATTAAATGAATAAGTGAAAAACAAATCGTGGGTTCTTCTAAGATTTTTAATGAGATAATGAATAAATGAGTTAATGAATCAAGCATTATTTCCCCTAATTACTCTTCCTAGTAGATACTGTGACATGGAGAAAAAAATCTATGTTTTTTACAGTTAAGTCAGGTGCAGTGAGCTGGCTACTTTTGTTAAGTATGCTTGGGGTTCTGCATATTTTTCTGCCTCATTGAAGACAGGTTTGTTGTAAATGTTACCTTTATACTGATCCTTGAAGAAGGCCATCCAAAAATAGCCCAGCATGACAAGTTCATCATGCTGTTTCCTTCACTTCCCTAGGCTACTCCCCTATGAAAAATATTTTGATTTAGTTGGTTCATTTCACATGATGGCAGAATGAATTGTCATTTTATAGTGGACATCAGCAAAAGGATAAGAATTTACCATTAAAACAGAGTGAAACTGAAACTATTTTCGCCTCCCTCTGCTATCCTTGAAGATAAATGATTATGATGTCCGTGCAATTTGAAAGAATATTAAATCAGAAGCTGAAAACACCTAGCAGTTCCAACTCCCTCATATCACAAGGCTCGTATTTTCACAGACTTGAAAAACTAAGATGATTCTTTCATTCTCATTATCATTCTCAAAAAAACAAATAGCTTGTTTGCAGCTAGTTACTTGACACATTGAGTGGAAAAAATTCCTCTTCGTTCATCATGGTCTTACACTTACAATTGGCTACATAATTTGATTTTCTTCCAGATGCTTTTCAAACATAATTGAGATAAATAAAACACCAGGCCTTAAACACTCACCAAAGAAGGAAACAAATCCATACCATAAGTATAATATTTCTGCTTTCTTATAGCTTTTAAAACTTGTTCATGTTAATCTTAATACCTTCACCATTTATTTTTTTTTTACCTCTGAGAAGAGTGATCAGATGATGATATATTGAGCAAAAGAGCAAATGAGTCCATGTTACTCTAATCCTGATAGGAGAAGAGTAAAGAAGAGCTGAAATTTGTTTCATGCCTTTTTGTACTAAAACCTGCAATATATGCATAATGACCCCCTCAAAGATGTCCACATCCTAATCCCTGGAAACTGTAAATGCATTACCTTTCATGGAAAGTATATTACCTTATATGGCATCCTAATTCCTACAAATTGTGAATATGTTATCTTATATGATAAATGAGCATATGTGGTATATGTGATTAAGTTAATGATATTGAATTGGGTGGGTTATCGTGATAGACCCTATATAATTACAAGGGTTCTTATAAGAGGGAGGTAGGATAATAGAGAGGAAAGAAGGCAATGTGATGACAGAAGCACAGATTGGAATGATGTATCCACAAGCTTTGGAGAGTTGCTTCTTTGTCTGCCACAAGGAATGATGAACAACAGCCCTTCAAAGCTGGGAGAGGCAAAGAATCAACTCTCTCTTGGAGTGTCTAGAAGGAAAAATCTCTGCTGACCCCTTAATTATAGCCCTGTAAGACTCATTGCAGGAATTCTGACTGCCAGATTTGTAAGAAATTAAATTTGTGTTTGTGATAATTTGTTACAGCAGCAATAAGAAAATAAGGAAGCATCTTTGTCTTGCCTCATGAAGGATTCATAACAGTATGAAGGAGAAGTAATGTCTCCATTTTACAGTGGCACCCAATGTTTGGTGAGGCCCACCCGAGTGCACACTGTCAAGTAATAGTGGAAGTAGGCCTTAAATAAAGATTTGTCAGACAACAAAGACCATGATTTTTTTCACAGGGCTATGCAACCAATAATATCATCTAAATTTCTCCGTTACCATCGATGTCAAACTGATAGCTTGCTCGTGCTTCTGTGTTATCTAGGAGTCCATTCTGCTCCATAGACCATTGTTTTCATACATAGATTGTGTGGATTACCCAGAATACTTTAATTTACAAATTTTTCTTCACTCAACTACAAATTTGGAAGTTATCTGCTTTGCAAGAGAAGGCAGGGACATAGAGCAGAAAGGGGAAGAAAGTAAGAAAGTGAAAGCCAAGACAGGCCTCCTTTATGAATCGTGTCCAGGAGTCTTTTGTCCAGCAGTGTTAGAGTCTTGTGGAATGAGTGCAGGGCTTTTATTTCTCCTTTATAACTTCAACAGGAAGTTACTACAACACATGACACTTTCTGCCAAAACAGCTGACTTTGGGGATGTTCATGAAAACGATTGAAATGGATGCCTTCTCCCTGAGCTACCAGGGAGCTGTACCTAATATCTTTAAGGGCAGCTTGGCCTTCTTCCAGCAGAGATACTATCTGATTTACTGCAGTGCCTACTGTGATGCCTGCACAGCCCAACTTCCCACCTGACCAGTGGGAAACAGCTGCAGGAACATACCCTCCCCCTCCCCTTCGCCTCACTCCAGCAGGAAGGAGGAGGCCAGCTCAACATCTGTCTTTCTTATCTGTTTCTGATGTGCACAAAATTTCACATTTTCGGGTTGTCGTTTGTCAAAGAAGCTTTCAGGCATGTAAGTCGTCCCTCCTCTACTTCTTGTTTAGATCTTTCTGCAACTCATTTGGGATCCTCAAAAAATAAAAATAATCCCTCCTTCACAGAGCTCAACTAGGGGATGTTAATGCAGAGACGTATTTTATGTATCAGTTTCTCTTAATAGATTTCCACTGTTTTCATTATAAAAATAAAGTCCTAAGGAATAGGAAAGATGAAACATGTGACTATGCTGCATTTTAGTCACCATCAAATTGGTAATGACACTTACCGGTCCTGGCAAATGTGAACCCAAGGTGCTAAGAAGTACAACAGTAATTTGTGTTTCCTTTAGATTTTTCTCCATTAGTTTTTCTAGTCCCCTCTCCCCTCATCAAAAGCTTTCATTCTGAGAGTGAATAAAGCATTCTTCAGCAACTGTTGTAGCTTACTCCTAGACAGTTTGATTAGTTCTAAACTTGGCGCGCTTCGTGCTATCCTGTTGTTCTGATCTGTGCATGTGAAAGAGGAAGCAGGGACTAGTGTGGAACTGGAAAAGCTGACAAACAATACAGAGTGCCTCATGCATTTCTATAAAACCCATTATTTACAGTTAGGGTTTTTGGAAAGGAAAAAAAGCAAAGCAAAACTCTAGAATAACTATTTTAGCCTAATGCTATTTGGTCATTTGTGATGTTTGAGTTAGCCAACAAATGGGGAGGGCAGCAAAAAGGAGAAACTGTAACGTGTGCGTTTTTTTTTAAATTTAGATAAATATTTTAAATATATACCGGGAAGTTGGGGAGGAAATGCTGGTGGGAAACATACAGATAGCAGAACATCTGATAGAGAACATCAGATAAACATATAGATAATATATAGTATGATTTTAAAGTACCATTAATTATTTTGATTCCTAATTTTTAACATGTGTGGGGGGAAAATTTTAGAAGTTAGGTTGATGAAAATAGATATGCTTATTTGTATTCTAACACAAATGTTTCTTGTCTGAAAAGATGTGCAAATTGGAAATTGTTGCTGATTTCCAGAGCAGAGGAATCCAGTGAGGTGTTTATTAGAAAATGATTCTGAAACATTGTTTGAAATAAAACTACACCTTTTTTTTTTTTTTCTTTGTTGCCCAGGCTGGAGTGCAGTGGTGCGATCTCAGCTCACCACAACCTCCACCTCCTGGGTTCAAGCGATTCTCCTGCCTCAGCTCGATACTCCTGCCCGAGTAGCTGGGATTACAGGCATGTGCCACCAGGCCTGGCTAATTTTGTACTTTTAGTAGAGACAGGGTTTCTCCATGTTGGTCAGGTTGGTCTCGAAGGCCCAACTGCAGGTGATCCACCCGCCTCGGCCTCCCAAAGTGCTGGGATTACAGGCGTGAGCCACCACGCCCAGCCACTTATTTTTTAATCATCATTGAAGAAGATGATAATATATAACTTTGAGTGAGACTTGGAGAACATGCCATAGATCAGCTTATACTTTGAAACTTAATCGTTTTCACCCTTTCATTGATTTCTTAATAAACCAGAACAAGTTTTATCTGCCTTAACATCACACTGATTCCTCGATTTCAGTCCTACGTGGCTACTCTTAGGTGCCCAAGTAGACCCCACAGTTTCACCTGCACTCCCTGTTGCATTCTTATCTGATGAATCTTGATCCACTTTTTCAGCCCCCACTCTCCTTCTTCCATATAGACAGCTCTCCTTTCTTAAAAACTCAATACAAACTACAACAATGAATTTCAAGGATGGCACTTAAAAAAATTAACACAAATAATATTTATCTACACATATATATATATATACTTTCTGTTGGTTTTCAAACTCCTCAAAAAGATGGATTGTGTCATTTTTATCTTGTATTATCTCAAGTAAATCCTACAGTGCCTAGAGCACAAATGATAAAAAATAAATATTTATTGAAAACTAGTAAGTTTGTAGATTTTGGTTTTGATTTTCCTTGATGCAATTACATATTTATTTATAATCATAAAATACCTGATAGAAAAAGAGAAACTATTGGTAACTGTCACTTTTTATTGAATCCACTATCTTCAAGGCTCAATGGCAATCTCTTTATTCATATTACCTCATCTAATTCTTACAACAATTTTTCATGCTTTGAAGAAAAGTTTGAATATTTACTACATGCAAATCTAAGTACACATTTATGTTTATTTTGCTTATGAGGAAAATGATGCTTAGAAAATTAAAGGTCACAGAGCTAATAAATAGAAGAACCAGTATTCAAATTTAGTTATATTTTGATGCCAACATCCCAACTTTTTAATTAAAGGGCATAATTTGAAACAAACTATTAAAAACTGACACTCTCCTTTCTATTTTCTCCATCTAATAGTCCACAGTGACTATTGTTCCCATGTTTATATCCATGTGTGCTTAATGTTTAGCTCCCACTTATAAATGAGAAAACGTGGTATTTGATTTCCCATTCCTGTGTTAATTCGCTTAGAATAATGGCCTCCAGCTTCATCAATTTTGCTGCAAAGAACAAGATTGCTTTCTTTTTAATGAATGCATTGTATTCCATAGTGTATATGTACCACATTCTCTTTATCCAATCCACCATTAATGGGTACCTCAGTTGATTCCATGCCTTTGCTATTGCAAATAGCATGGCAACAAACATACAAGTACATATGTTTTTTTGGTATAATATTCTACTTTTCTTTCAGTATATATCCAGTAATGGGATTGCTGGATTGAATGGTAGCTGTTTTAAGTTCTTTGAGAAATCTTCAAAGTGCTTTCATAATAGCTGAAATAATTTACATTTCCACCAACAGTGTATAAGAGTTCCCTTTTCTCCATAGCCTTGCCAGCGTCTGTTGTTCTTTGACTTTTTAAAATAAAAGCCATTCTGACTGGTGTGAAATGGTATCACATTTTGTTATTGATTTGCATTTCTCTGATGATTATTTATAATGAGAATTTTCTCATATGTTTGTTGGCCACTTACGTGTCTTCTTTTCAGAAGTGCCTGTTCATGTTCTTTGTCCATTTTTTAAATGGTATTATTTGCTCTTTGCCTGTTGATTTAAGTTCCTTGTAGATACTGGATATTAGACCTTTGTTGGAGGCATAGATTGCAAATATTTTTCTCTCATTTTGTAGGTTGTCTTTTTACTCTTTTGATAGTTTCTTTCACTGTGCAGAAACTCATTAATTTAGTAAGGTCCCATATGTCAAATTTTGTTCTTATTGCAATTGTTTTTGGGGACATAGCCAAAAATTCTTTGTGAAAGTGGATGTCAAGAAGAACATTTCGTAGGTTTTCTTCTAGGATTTTCATAGTTTGAGGTCTTATATTTAAATCTTTAATACATCTTGAGTTAATTTTTGTATATTGTGAAAGGTAAGGATCCAATTTCATTCTTCTGCATATGTCTAGTCAGTTATCCCAGCACTATTTATTGAAATCCTTTCCCAATTGCTTGCTTTTGCTCAGCCTTGCCAAAGATCAGGTGACTGTAGGTGTGCAGCTTTATCTCTGAGTTTTCTGTTCTATTCCATTGGCCCATGTTTTTCTTACTCTACCACTGGTGCCATGCTGTTTTGATTATTGTAGCCTTATATTATAGTTTGGAGTTGAGTAATGTGATGCCTCCAAGAAGATCCAAGAAAATACAATCAGAAATGACAAAGATGATATTACAACTGACCTCACAGGAATACAAAAGATCCACAGAGAATACTATGAACCACTCTATGCACACAAATTAGAAAAAATGAGTTAGAAGAAATGAATAAATTCCTGGAAACAGACAATCTTCCAAGATTGAATAAGGAAGATATTGAAACCCTGAGTAGACCAACGTTGAGAGACCAACCAGCTCTGAAATCAAATCAGTAGTAGAAAACCTAACAACCAGAAAAAGCCCTGGGCCAGAAGGATTCACAGCCAAACTCTACCAGGTATATAAAGAAAAACGTGTGCCAGTCTTATTGAAACTATTCCAAAAAAACTGGGGAGGAGTGACTCCTCCCTCTTATTCTGTGAAGCCAGCATACCCTAATACCAAAATCTGGCAGAGACACAATGAAAAAAAAACCTCACGCCAGTATCCCTGATGAAGATAGATGCAAAAAACTTTAACAGAATACTAGCAAACCAAATATAGAAGCACAGTGAGAAGTTAATTCACCACAATCAAGCAGGCTTTATCCCTAGGATGCAAGGTTGGTTTAATACGTACAAATCAATAATTGTGATTCACCGCGTAAACAGAATTAAAAGCAAAAACCATATGATCATCTCAACAGATGTAGAAGAAGCTTTTGATAAAATGCAACATCCTGTCACGATAAAAACCTTCAATACACTAGGCATTGAAGAAACATACCTCAAAATAATAACAGCCATCTCTGATAAACCCATAGCCAACATTATACTGAATGAGCAAAAAGCCCTTGAGAACTGAAACAAGAAAAGAATGCTTGCTGTCACCACTCCTGTTAAATATAGAACCAGAAGTCCTAGCCAGAGCAATCAGGCAAGATAAAGAAATAAAAGGCATCCAAATAGAAAGAGAAGAAGTCATACTATCTCTGTTCACTGATGACATGATTCTATATCTAGAAATTCCTAAAGACTCCACAAAAATGCTTCTGGGACTGAAAAATGACTTAAGTAAAGTTGCAAGATACAAAATCAGTGTACACAAATCAGTAGCATTTCTATAAACCAAGAATGTCCAGGCTGACGGTCAAATCAAGAACACCATTCCATTTACAACAGCCACAAAGAAAATGAAATACCTAGAAATACAGCTAACCAAAGAGGTGAAAGATCTCTACCAGAAGAATTACAAAACACTGCTGAAAGAAATCAGAGATGACACAAATAAATGGAAAAATATTCCATGCTCATGGATTGGAAGAATCAATATTGTTAAAATGGTTATACTGCCCAAAGCAATTTACAGATTCAATGCTATTCCTATCAAACTACCAATGTCATTCTTCACAGAATTAGAAAAAATCTATTGTAAAATTCATATAGAACCAAAAGGGAGTCCAAGTAGCCAAAGCAATCCTTAGCAAAAAGAAATGAACTGTTCTTGACTGTAACAAAGCAATGAGAAGATATCTTCTAAATGTATTCTTAGTTCATCATAAGCAGATTGATTTGTATTTATTTTCCAAGGCATTAAGGAAAAACTCTTCTAAAATGTCATTCAAAAATGTTTCTAATTTTGTTCAGTTGCTGAATTTTGCCTTGCATACAATGACTTTCAAATTTTTAGTAAGCTATTATTCAATCTCTTCTTGCAACTAAGAAAGATTTGCTCACTATTCTCCCTGTGGTCAATGTTGTTCAACATTCATCTTTTGTTTCAGTTCTCTTTTATTTACAAATAACAGAAAATCACTTCTAACTGTCTAAGTAAAATAATAAAATAATAAAGAAAAAAGGTGCTTTATTAGCTTATGGAACTAAAAACAAATCTGAGGTAAATTGGTTTCAGGCACTGCTAAAACAAGGAGTTCAAATGTACCAAGTCTTAGTCCTCTTGTTTCTTAATCATATTTTCTTCCTCCCTCTGTGTCTTCCTCTGTTCATTTCTATCTTTCTATTTATATCTTAACTTTGCTTTCCTCTACGTTCGTTGCATTTTCAAACAGGCTTTCTCTGAATTTAGCAAGATGGCTACTCACAACTCTAGAGTTAAATCTAATACAATCAGCAACACATTTGAGAGAAAAAGACCCCTATCCAGTTAGCTCAAACAAAGTCCGTGGAAGTACAGTCAGTTCTCTTTATTCATGTTAGTTATATTCTAGAAAGTTGCCATAAATGCTTAGTTAGAAAATACTGAACCATTGCCCCAAGGTAAAATACAAGAATATGGAGCTAGGTCGCTGTGAATCTGAGCCTAATCAAACCATTCTCATCAATCATTACATAATCTTGTTTTATGTGGGCTTTCATTTAAAAACCATTTATGGAAAAACACATAAAACAAGATTATGTATTTTATATATATACTATATATATAGTTAATATATAAAACTGCGTATATGACACTATATATATGTAGTTTATATATACACATATATATATGCACACACATGTAAAGTTATATAGTTGATTTATTTACATTAAACTCATGACCAACAGCACTGTAGCTCATGCTTGAACAAAGCTTATATAACATGCATATTTTATCCAAAATGTACATCAAAGCCTCCTTGCTCTTTGGAACAGTAGACAGCACTTTTTAGCACTATTCTTGCAGTCATTTTAAACAGTAAAATCACACACACACACACCAAAAAAAAAACCCTACAAAAATGTGAAAAACATGGCCCAGAATAGACTTCAAAAAGAACATGTTTACTGTATGAGAGCTGAAACAAAAAGTCAGACCTTCACCTTGTTCAGCCTCGGCTGGAAACATACACATGGGGTGACCCAAATTTTTTCTGCTCTGTTTGTGTCTTTGAATAATCAGGATTTGGGGATTACAAATACATTTTAGAAGAATTTATATCAGTACCCATTCACAAATATAAAAGCCATGATTAATGAAGATGTACTGGAAGTCTTTTGGCTGTGATTTACCAAGTTCTGAGTCACCTACTCACTCTTCGACACAAAGGGACTGATGTCAGTTCCCTGTGAGGAACATGGACGATTCAGTCAATTCAGGATGGCTCCCTAAGGGAAATAGATGCAATTATTAGTAGCAGGGGAAGGAGAGATTGGAAGTGGTCAGGAAAAGAAAATTACTAAGTATTATTGACATCTTGTTTCAGCCTACTCCTTCCTGAGTAAAAGACATTTATTTCTTAAGACTTTTACTTTTTAAAATTCTCTCCCATTAGCATATAGCTTTCCTGCTATTTATACAAAGACTCATGCAGAAAATGTATACTCTATATAGTAATTATTAATTAGTGTAAAACCATCAAACTATCCTGAATAATCTTACCTATTATATACAACTTTATCTAGTATTTTCTTTAAATTAAATTTAATTTGTGATAATTCTGTTCTCATTTTCTTTCTTGAGGCTGATCACTAGTGAAATAACAAGAGTAAAGTTTTCTTATTAACTGGGAAAAAGTGATCATACTATACTTATGCCAAGCCCAGTTTGTTTTTATTTCTTAAAAGACAGGGAAATACTGCTTATTTCACTTTCCTATGGATAGGCTTCTTGCCTTTACAGATGGTGTCTTTTATCATCAAAAATGTTTCTTCTGAGAAAACATAATGGAAGCACAGTTTGGTTACATAATTTCACCCATTGATGTACAAATTCAGTTAGCACTTATTATTTTCTCTGTGCTTGGCATTGCAGACTCAATTATCTGAAAGACAGGTAAATAGAGGGTTACTTAGCACATTCATTCAAGAAATAAATAATTCTTAAAGATGTCTTCATGCCAAAATTGGATTGGTTTGGGGAGATGGGGAGAGGGGTAGGCCCTGTCTTTACAGAGTGTGCAGTCAAGTGAGACACTTAACTCAGTACAAGAGGACCCATTAGAGGTGAGCATGGTTTACCTGGATACCACACATGTGGAAGCAGAGATGAGGATAGGTGACATTTTAATGACACCTTAAAGGATGAGTCAGTGTATCTGAGCTGATTGAGAGATTTGGAAGTCTCTAGGGAAGTTTACTAATATTTGGTTGACTGTAGTCCTTTGGGAACTCATAGGACTGTGTTTCCCACTGGTGAGCTCCAGTCTTGTGAAATATGAGAAGTGACACATGGAAATAAAATCTTTAGGACCCAGCATTCTGGGGGAACATCCAGTGTTGCCATTCACCGAGATTAGGAATTCACATAGTAATACAGGGGTTCCCAACTACTGTTCATTGGAATAATAGTTACCTGTGATATTAAGTAGTATTTTGGGCAAAAGAATTCTTAGACCAAATAAATGCCCAAATTACTGTGTCAAAGAGGTCGAATGTGTACCTCTACTAAACTATTTCCTAGTACTCTTAGATTTTTTTTTTTTTTTTTTTTGATGGATTCTCACACTGTCGCCCAGGCTGGAGTGCAGTGTCGCAATCTCGGCTCACTGCAAGCTCCGCCTCCCAGGTTCAACTCCTGCCTCAGCCTCTCAAGCAGCTGAGACTACAGGAACCTGCCACCATGTCCAGATACATATATATTTTTTTCTTGTATTTTTAGTAGAGATGGGGTTTCACCATGTTAGCCAGGATGATCTCAACCTCCTGACCTTGTGATCCACCCATCTCGGCCTCCCAAAATGCTGGGATTACAGGCATGAGCCACCATGCCCGGCCTAGTACTCTTAGAATTCTAATAAAACTTGTGAAGTTACAGAAGGAAGATATGTATATAGCATTCCTGATAATTATTTTACCCACAGGTCACTAAATCCAACATATATTTTTCAGTCCTTGTATTGTTTGACTGCTTTGGGTTATTTGACAATGTTGACCTCCTTTCCTAAGGCATCTTATTTCATCCCTTCACCTGAGTATGTGTTAATTATTCCAGTTACTATTTATGAATCACATCACATGTGTTAGGCCTGTGTAGTCACTTAGGAAATAAAACAGTGAGCACAAACAGACACGATTCACCATTTCACAGAGCCTAAGTGGGCTGAATGAGCTTGACTTTAGCTCAGCAAAAGGATGCTTCAGTTCGAGATAAGTAAAAACCTTATAACCAAGGAGGCTGGTCTATCCAGTGGAAGAGGGAAAACTAGGTGCTTGTGTCAATCCTGAAAGATGAGGAGGAGTTACCGAAGCTAAGGAGGCAGGGACCACAAGGCAAAGGAACAAGCATTTCAAATGATTTGCCATGTGTAGGCAAACAGCAATACAAGGCCAAAGAAATGTTAGTAAGTCTAGTGTGGCTCAAGAACAGAAAAAGTAATTAACGGCGATAACTACCCAGTCATGAAGACCTGATGCCGGTGTGTTAGGCTTCAGTACTTTCTTTATCCTAAGCAAATTGACAATTCATTGAAGGAATTCAAGCTAGAAAGAAGCATGCCAGAGAAGGGAGTGCCCCTCTTTTTTGGCACCTTTCATGGTTGATCATTATACATGTTTATATATGATTATTTTATTTACATAGTATTTATGACTCAGAAGAATAGAGACTACCTGTAATCGTTCACCATGGTGTTCCTGGAGTCCAGCAGAATGACTAGTCCATAGCATTCTGTAAGTTTTTATTAAATGATTGAAAGAATTCATTATATGATATTTTTCATCTATCATCTGTCATCTCTCCCATAGATTTTCCACAATTTGAAAAGCAACACTCTAATTCAGTAATTTTCAAACTTTAATGTGAATATGAATCGCCTGAGAATCTTTTTTAAACTGCAGCAGTCTAAGGTGGAGTTTAAAATCCTTCAACTCTAATAACTCCAAATGAGGATGATACTGGTGGCCCATGGAATACGCTTACAGTAGCATTGAGTCCTAAGCCCTGAATCGAAACCTAGGTGCAAAGAATAGAGTGAATTCAGCATATTCCTTCCTGTACCAGTGAGTCTCATATTCTCATAATTGGATGCCCATAGAAATAATCTGGAAAGTTGTCTCTCTCTCTCTCTCTCTCTCTCAATATATTTAGATATATATCTTTTTTACACTCTCTGGGCCTCATCACTAGAGATTTTGAATCAGCTGATCTGGAGTAGAGTTGCAAGCATTGGAAATCTGAAATAACTATCCTTGATAGCCTAATGAACACCCATGGCTGAGATTCAGCGTTTTATATAAAGGCCCACCTCTGGGTTGCTTGGAGTTAAATCCAACTCTTTTGCCTTCTCTCCTCATTCCTCCAGTCCCTGGCCTGCCCCTACTCACTTCGCTCATTAGTCTAGCTCCTGCACAGATGGTGTTTGTGGGCATGCTGATGACTTCCATCACCATCAGGGTGCTCAATGCCAGAGGGTGCAGCAAATAAATTGACTGTGCAGGTGTAATGGGGAAAGGAGGATTGATGCTCAGAGGAATGTCTTCTTTTGTGATACATTCTATCAAAATCAAAATCCCCCTGGCTGACTTGCCAGGAAGTATACTTCGTCATGTTAATATGAAAAAGAGCTAATGACACTACATATATTTACTTTTCTTTCTTCTTCTTCTTCTTTTTAAACCATCCAGATGTTCAGAAGCTAGGCATTTAATATCCCGTGTTTGACCTTATAGCCCTCTGCCATCTGCTACACAGGATGTTTCAGCAAGCTAATGTGAAAAGGCATTTGATAACAAATTAACTAGATTGTAACACATTTTGATGATCCCAATTCAAGGTAAAAATTTTCATGCTAATAATTAATTAGATGAGGACTCTCATGGATCTTCCTCAAATTTTCTGATGCCTTAAGTTTCCTGCAACTGTGTGAAGACAGGACTACATCCCAGCATAGCCTGCTGTCTTCCTTAAACTACAGTTTTATCTCTTTTCCCTGATAACTGGGATAATCTCATCTAATTTGGAAACATAACTTTATTTGGCCTTTAAAGAGTTAACAAATTCCCAGAAAATACTGTATCAGTGAGAGTAATAACAAAATACTAATTATATCCATGTATATATTAGTTACTTAGTCAATCCATAAAGGTACGATGTGAACAACTTCATATTTTAGGTGAAAAAACACCCCAAGAACAAGAAGAGTACTGGGTCTGCCTGTGAGAATTGTACTTGAGCCCATTTATCCATAGCACCTATATAGAACAAACAATCTCAATGATAATTCATTGTTAGCATTCTCATATTGATATAATGCTTTTTTTCCTTTATCTTTTGGTCAAAACATCCTTCTTTTATCTTTTTAAAGAGTAATTTTAGATTCACAGTAAAATTGAGCAGAAAGTACAGAGTTCACACACACTCCACCGACTCACACACACAGCCTCCCCCACCAACATTCCACATCTCTGTGATATATTTGCTACAGTTGGTGTACCAACATTCACATATAATTATCAACTGAAGTCCAAGTTTACATAAGGTTTCATTCTTTGTGTTGTACATTCTCTGGATTTTGACAAATGTATGACAGGTATCTAACACTGCAATACCATATAGAATAGCCACATGCTGTGAAAATCTCCCCTGCTCCGTTTATCCTGTTCATCCTTCTCATCCTTACTCCCCATAATGCCTGGCGACAACTGATCTTTTTCTGTCTCTTTAGTTTTGCCTTTTCCAGAAGGTCAAATAGTTGGAATTGAATGGTATATGCCCTTCTTCAGACTGACTTCTTTTATTTAGTAATATGCATATACATTTTCTCTGTGCCTTTTCATGGCTTAATAGCTCTTTTTTGATGCTGAATAAAATACTATTGTCTGTATATGCCATAGTTTGTTTATCCACTCACCTGTTGAAGAACATTTTACTTGCTTCCAAGTTAAATACAATTATGGGTAAAGAGACTATAAACCTTTGTGTATAGATTTTCCTATGGACATAAGTTTTCAACTCCTTTAGGCAAATACCAAGAGTGCAATTGCTGGGTTGTATGGTAAGAATATATTTAGTTTTGTAAGAAGCCACCAAAATGACTTCAGAAGTGGCTTTACTATTTTGCATTCTCACCAGGAGCAAATGACAGTGCCTGTTTTCCACATCCTCACCAGCATTTGGTGTTGTTAGTGTTCTGAATTTTTGCCATTCTAACAGATATATAGTTATATCATTATTGTTTCAGTTTTCATATCCTGATGACATATGACAGAGGGCATCTTTTCATATGCTTATTTGTTACCTGTATATCCTCTTTGGTGTGGTTTCTGATAAGGTATTTGGTCCATTTTTTAATCTGGTTGTTTGTTTTCTCGTCAGTGAGTTTTAAGTGGTTTTGTACAGATACTCCTCAACTTAAGATGTGGTTACATCTTGTAAAACCCATTGTAAGTTGATAATATCATAAGTCAAAAATGTGTTTAATACACCTAACCTATAGAACACCATGGCTTAGCCTAACCTACCTTTCCTGTACTTAGAACACTTACATTCACCTACACTTTGGGAAGTGATGTATTGAATACAGTACATGATAGAGTACTGTGTCAGTTATTTACCCTCATGAACATGTGGCTGATTAGGAACTGTGGCTTATTGCCACTGTCCAGCATCACAAGAGAATATCCTATCTCATATGGCTAGTCCTAGAAAAGATTCCAATTTTGGACTGAAAATATGGTTTTTACAGAATGTGTCTAGCTTTTGCACCAGGGTAAAGTAAAAAGAAAAATAAATAAGTCAAGCCATCATTATGTTGGTGACCCATCTGCATGTTTTGGATGGAAGTCTTTTATCAGATAGATATCTCTTTTGCAAATATTTTCTCCAGTCTGCAGCTTTTCTTTTTATTCTCTTGACAGTGTTTTTCACAGAGCAGAAATTATTAATTTTAATTAAGTCCTGCTTATCAATTCTTTCTTCTTTGAATTTTGCCTTTGCTGTTGTATCTAAAAAGTCATTGACAGACCCAAGGTTATATAGATTTTCTCCTATGTTATCTTCCATAGGTTTTATAGTTTTGTGTTTTACATTTAGGTCTGTGAATCATTGTGGGTTACTTTTTGTGAAGGGTGTAAGGTCTGTGTCTAGACTTTTTTTCCCCTGAGGATGTCCTGTTGTTCTAAGAGGTTTTCAATTCTCTATTTATTCTTCACTCCCCCTAATTCTTCATTCTGAGCAAACTCAGAATAAGAGAATAAGAGAAATCTCACGAGGATTATTGTTTTCTATTCACCAATATGTAGATCACCTTCATTTTTACTTGGATGCTAATATAATTCTTTCCCCCATATTTGGATTGAGGACAGTTGCAATTCCAATACATGTTTTTCTGGATACAAAAGGAATTTAACCGGTGCAAAGGTGGTGTGTGTGGGGTATGTACAATTGAATATCCAGCCCATTCGATGTGAGGAGCACAATTTATGAGAGTGGATCTTTAAGGACCTTCTATAGCTTTTGCGCAGCAAGACAAACAATCATAAAATGAGAAGATAAGCAAGAGATTGGGAGAAAATATTTGCAAACTATAAATCTGATGTATGTTATTATCCAAAATACATAAGAAACTTCCGCAACTCAATAGGAAAAACAAAACAAAACAAAAAGAAATAATCCAATTTAAAAATGGGCAAAGGACATGAGTAGGGATTTTCTCAAAGAGACATATAAATGGCCAACAGGTATATGAAAAGGTTTTCAGTATGACTACTAATCAAGAAAATGCCCATCAAAATCACAACAAAACTTCACACCTGTTAGATGGCTACTATCAAAAAGACAAGAGATAACAAGTGTTGGTGAGGGTGAAGAAAAAGGATCCCTGATATACTGTTGGTGGGGATGTTACTTGGTATAGCCATTATGAAAAACAGCACGGAAGTTTCTAAAAAAATTAAAAATAGAACTACTGTATGTCCCAGCAATGCCTCTGCTGGTTATATATCCAAAGGAAATGAAATCATCACCTCCTAGAGATATCTGCACTCTTATGTTCATTGCAGCATCACTCACAATGGCCAAGATATGAAAACAACCTCACTGTTCCTTTATGGATAAGTAAAGACATAGTGATATAGTGATATCATTCAGCCTTGAAAAAAAAACCCCAGAAATTCTGCCATTTGTGACAACAAGGTTGAAGCTGGAGAATATTATGCTAAGTGAAATAAGCCAGACATGAAAAGACAAATACTCCATAAACTCACTTGTGCATGAAATCTAAACAAAGAGCAGAATACACAGAAACAGAATAGAATGGCGATCATTATGGGCAAGAAGGAGGGGGAAATAGGTCAAAGTGTGCAAACTTGCAGTTGTGTAGAGTGAATAATTCTAGAGATCTAATGTTCGGCATGAGGACAATAGTTAATAATATTGTATACTGAAATTTTACAAAGAGAACACATTTTAGGGGCTCTTACCCCAAAATGTATGGAAGATAGTGAATAGCTTAATCTGCTTGACTATAGTAGTAATTTCATTATGTGTATGTATACGAAAACATCAGGTTCTACATCTTAAATATGTCCAAAATACTTTTAAATAAAGGTATTTTGTAGTGCAGTTGGATGGAAGTGGTAATAAAATAATTTTCAAGTTGGCTCAGGAATAAGATCTTTCAGTTCAGGGTGTGCCAATGAGATGGGTAGATGCCTTTTTTTCTCCTCTCAGTTTTATTCTATTAGAGAATTTAAACCTGAGATGAAGACTGATAGTTACTGAGTGATGCTGGATGAATTCCTCATGAAATCTTCAGGGAGGAAGATGTATTCTATAATATGTGTAGAAAAATAGTACATAATATTATTAACTAAATGCTTAAACTACTTTTCTCAAAAGTGAAATAACAAGACAGATATAAATAGATTGATATATGCATACATACATGCATAAGTAGAAAAAAAATGTGTGCATGCTTGTCTCTGCATGCCCAAATTATATTTATTTTTCTTGTTCCACAGTTCAGGATCTGCCAACTTTTCCTCAGTTGGCTAAATTACTTTCATAACCAGTAAACATATGTTATTTAAGACAGAAAAAAGCTATTTGATAGATTTACTCATTGTATTTTAAAAATGTATTTTAATTTTATAGCACCTCTATAAGAATCAGTACACCTCCACCTGGAAGCTAGGACAAATATCTCAAGTATCAGGGCTCTGGGTGGAAACCCCACCAAACACCCAAAGTAGCGGGCCTCTTCTACACACACCCTTTCTTCTCCTAAATAGGTAAGAACCGTCTAGCCTGATGAAAATTACCTTATTCCCTTCAGAGAATTTCAAATTCACCAGCTATTATTAATCTTTATTTACCCTCCGTAAGTGTTCTAAATCAAATCGATAAGTCACATTCTTTTAGGACATACCATCCTGGACATTCATAATTCCAATTTTTTTTTTTTTTTTTTTTTTTTTTTTTTTTTTTATGGAATCGCACTCTGTCACCCAGGTCAGAGTACAGTGGCACAATCTCTGCCCACTTCAACCTCCACCTCCCAGGTTCAAGTGATTCTCCTGTCTCAGCCTTCTGAGTAGCTGGGACTACAGGCAGATGCCACCACACCGGCTAATGGTATTTTTAGTAGAGACGGAGTTTCATCATATTGGCCAGCCTTGTCTCTTGAACTCCTGATCTCATGATCCACCCACCTTGGCCTCCCAAAGTGCTGGGATTACAGGCCAAAATTTTGTCGATCCAGGTTTTCCACAAATCAAAAAGTCTAAGCCTTCTTTGCTGTTCTAAATACTTTCTGGGCATCCTATGCGTTTAGTTCTATGCTCTGAGAGTCCTTGCAATTCCTAAGCTTATTTGCTCCATTCTTTCCCTATTATTCCAACTCCTGTCTTTGAGAGAGGACCATGTCATGGATAACAAAAGAGAATATGACTAAGGCACCACTGCCCTATCAAAGTTGCCAAAACTGGTGGTGCCTTGCATCCCCAAGGTATCTCCAAGATTGCTGAGGCAAGATTCTTTTATTAGAAACCACTGTAAACAAGTTGGCTCAGGGGCTCATTTAAATGCTGGTCAATTTGCAGTTCTCAGAACCCCTGTCTAAATCTGACCCACAAGTTTTAGAACTTTTTTATACTTCTTGATTTTCTCTTTTTAAAGAACAGCTGATTCCTTGGGAGCTTCTTAACACCTCTTCTACACAGTTTTCTCACTGCCACCTTCCCCATCACCAATCCTGCCCAGCTAGCATACTAGACATTTCTGATTACTAGTGAGCCTCTAGCATATATCCCTTATAGATGTTCCTAAAATTAAGCCATGGTTGCATAAATTAGAAGTAATCAAATGTCCAGCTATCAGTAAAATCTTGAACTGCATCAATGTAATTTGAGTGCTAAAATGCACAGATATGAGTGATGTAGTGTAGCTATTTATTAATTCTGATGCAGAGTACAAGAAAGAATGTTGAACTGAAAATCAAGAGATGGATTAGGCCCTTCCTGTTTATTTCAGAATTAGCTTTATAAGCTTCCAAAATTCTCACAATTCCTAGCTTATTTAAAACTTAGAGGGTTGAACTCAGTCTCTAAATTTTCTTCCAAGGTGCTATGGATTAAATGTTTTTGACCCCCCAAATCCATATGTTGAAACCTAATCCCCCATGTGAGGGTATTTGGAAGTGGGTCCTCTGAGATGTAATTAGGTCATGATAGTGGAGCCCTCATGAATAGGATTAGTGCCTTTATAAAAGAGGCTCCAGAGAGCGCTCTCATCCCATCTGCCATGTGAGGACATAGTGAGAAGACAGATACCTAAACACTAGAAAGCATGTCCTCATCAGGTACTGAATCTTCCAGAGCCTTGATTTTGAGTTTCCTGGCATCCAGAACTGTGAGACATACATATCTGTTGTTTATAAGCTACCCACTTTTTTATTGCAGCTTGAACAGACTAAAACACAAGGTTCCTTTCAGTTCTAAATGAAAACATTTTAAGGGGACCCTGTTTTGGGGGAACAACAGTGAGAAGGAGCCTATCAACAGAATGTAGGTTCTGTAGTTTAACACTGATGCATCCATTTGCATGATCTGTGTGAGAATAGTGAAAAAGAGGAACCTTGTCAGCCCGACCTCAGACAATACACTTTAAAATTTTTTATTTCAAGGCTTGTAGGTAGAAAAAAGATTTATCATTGCTTTCAAGTTATATTTCTATCTACACAAGAGAAAATAGGTCTTTGAAATAATACCAAAGTCTGGGAACTGTCACAGTGCAATTTAGGAAGGATTGTAAGTAAAACTATTTAAGGATACAATATAATGCAAAGAGTCAAATTCAAAGAAGAGAAAGACATTTATAAGTTTAGTAAGAACCCTCAGCCACTCTTTTTTCAATGAACATAAATCTTTTGGAAAAAAATTCCTACTGAGATTCAAATTACATAAACAGAGAAGAAGAGAGAATATATGAGTTATTTATGGCAGTGTTACTAAGGTAAATGCAAATGCCACTGCAAAATGGCTGTGCTCGTAATGGTAAAATGTAGGTTATACACATATTTTCCCTAGCATCTTACTAGTGGATTTGAAAGTAAAACTACAATTGCAATTCAACTTGAAGAATGAGAAATGTTCCTGCCTGGGAAGAAGATTAATCTCTCTTTAATTGACTCTTTGATCAGAATAAAGATTTATAAGATGAAAATGCAATATGCCTCTGATAAGGAATTAGAGATGATGAATGGAGAAGCCATTAGCATTATGGGGATTCTAGGAAGGCATGTGTTTCAAGACAAAGTAACCTTTATTGAAGCAAGGTAATTTAAGAAGTGAACTTTTTGGTTAGATTCAAATTTATCTGCAAAGTACTTTCTAAACTTTCTAGTGACAAAATCCCAATTCTTGCATTGTTACAATGGCAGTTTAGAACAAGTTCTTCTGCCTTTATTACGTACTTGACAAAAACACGGACTAGCCTATAAAGTGCCATAAAAGCAAGGAGAATGTTGTTTATATTTTCCATAAAGGTCTCAGCTCACTATGAATGCTAAGTGGATGCTAAATGTGAGTCATGAAAATGCCTCTCTAATGAGTAGTAAAGAATTCCCAGAATAAGATCATGTCTTTGTAACCAGTGTCAAAAATCAACCTTCCTCCCTTTGTATCAAAATGGTTCCCAGAAACTCTGCCCATAATCCTTTATTATCCACAAACCAGGTACTCAGGCAATGTCGATTAAATTAATTTGAGAGTTTTGTTGAAATAAAATGCCTCAGTAAAAAGGTTTAGTACAACCGATATTTCCAGCTCTATTACCATATTGGAAAAGATGTTTTTGTTTGTTTGTTTGTTTGTTTTGTTTCAATGCTATAACACTATCACTATACTAGTAAAATTCCAGATTCAGTTTCGGGGACACTCATGAAAACCGTTCTCCTGCCTACGGTCTCAATTTTTTTCTCTTTTCTTTCTTCATCCCACTCACTTTTCAATGCCAGCCCTGGTTAAATTCTACTTTGCATCTATACCCACACAGCTAAAAATGGTTGGAGACCAGAGCTATGCCAGCTGGTCTCATTTTGAATTCAAGATCACCCAATCACAAGTAGGCCCTGAATGCTCTCCAGCCACCAGAACTTATTCTCCTATTCTAATTAGTTTCTCTGGCTCCTAGACAACAACTACACCATCTTTCTTTTCTCTCTTCAAGCATCTAGCCTCTCTACTTCCATTCTCCATTTCTGCTGATGACCTTGTTTCCTATTTCACTTAAAAAATAGAAATCATTTCACTATCTCACATCTCCTCACATAATGGTATCAGTTAAACACGTTCTATCTTCTCTCCTAATGCCTTTGATGAATTTCCCTGCAAAAACATTGACCCAGCAATTTTCTCTCCACTGAATCACTCCCAGCAGCACACAGACATGCTGTTACTTTTCCCAACCGAATAAACAAAATTGACAAACAAAAGGAAAACAAAAATCTCTCTAAATCTCTTAACCTATTCCTTCAACTGCAGCTTCTCTTTGTCTTATAATAGCAAAATTCTTAACAAATGTTGCCTACATTTGCAACTCTATTTATCTTCTCCATCTGCTTTTGAACCTAGCTCAAGTAAGATTTTGCTCCCCACCCCTCCACCGAGGTTACTGGGTCAAGGTCACCATGAGTTTCATATTGTTTAGTCTGCAGATCAATTCTGTCCTCATCTAACTGTACCTGTCTGCATCATTTGAGAGTCAATTCCTCTTTCCTCTTTTGTTCACCTTGTTTTTCTGACTTTACTTTCTTTGTATCACTTCTTTTGGCTTTTCTGATTTAATCTCCTTTTCTGGTTTGTTCTTTTCTCTCCAATCACTTCAATTTTAGGTAGGAGTATACCAGAGATACATTCCCTGGCTTCTTCTCTTACTTATCTATGACTTTCTCTTGGTGATCTCATCTGGTCACTGATGACTACAGAATGCCCATCTTTGGCATCATGTTCTCTCCTAATTCCAGACCACATTATATAATACCTGCCCATTTAATATTTCTATGTAGATATGTAATCAACATCTCAAAATTAGTACCCCCAAACAACCATCTAAAAATATACCATTCCTGCCAGGTGCCAAACTTGCTTTTTCAGTTTCTTGGACAAAAATTCTGGGACCATCCTTGAATTTTCTATTTCCCAGATACACTGCAGTTAATTCACTAACAAATTGTGTTATCTGTGCCTTAAAAACATGCCCAAGGCCGGGCGTGTTGGCTCACGCCTCTAATCCTAGCACTTTGGGAGGCAGAGGCAGGTGGATCACAAGTTCAGGAGTTCAAGACCAGCCTGGCTTACACGGTGAAACCCCGTCTCTATTAAAAATACAAAAATTAGCTGGGCATGTTGGCGGTCACCTGTAATCCCCGGTACTCGGGAGGCTGAGGCAGAGAATTGCTTGTACCTAGGAGGCGGAGGTTGCAGTGAGCTGAGATTGTGCCACTGCACTCCAGCCTGGGCGACAGAGTGAGACTCCATCTCAACAACAACAACAACAAAAATTCCCACAATCTGACTCCTTGATACTAATACTTTCACATTCACCCCACTGGTCCAAGCTGCTTTACTGTCCCACCAGCATTATTATAGTAGCCTCCTAACTAGTCTCTCCTCTTCTACTCTTATCAAACACAATCTATTCTTAATAAAGCAAGAACATAAATCCTCTTAAAACTTAAATCATGATTCCAATCAGAAACCTGCAAGAAATACTGTTATGGCTATCTATTGCTGCATAAAAAATCATGCTAAAACATAATAGTTTTAAAGAAGTTATTATATCTCTCTGTGTTGACTTGGTGTCAGCTGAGTGGCTCTAGCTTGAGGCCTCTCATGTGGATTTTGGATGCTAACAGATAGTGACTGGGACTGGAGTCATCTAAAGGGTTGACTAGAAGGATGTCCTAGATAACTCATCCTCATGGCTGGCAGTAGGTGCTGACATTTGACTGGAAGCTCAGCTAGCTGTCAGATTGTCTATGCTTCTCTCCATGTGAGTTGGGTTTCTAAGAGCGTGATAACTGAGTTTCAAGAATAAGTCTTTCACATAACAGGAAGTAGAAGATGACATTCTACAAACTGGGACTCAGAAACTGGCACAGTGCTGCTTCTTTTGCATTCTGTTGGTCAAAGCAGGCACAAAATCTACTAAAGTTCAAGGAAAGGAGACATACCCTGCCTCTCAATGGAAGAAATGTCAAACCTTTTGAGACCATGCTTAATCTGCCATAGTTTCCATATTATTCATAGTAGAAGGCAACATTCTTGCAGTGATCTTCAAAGCCCATTATATAATAAGAACTCAAGATACCTCTCTGATCTCATCTTCTACTAACTTCCCCTTTCTTACTTCATTCTAGCTACTCCTCAAAGCTCCAAAGCCTTAAAGTTGGTTATTTTCTCTTTCTAGAATCCCTTTCCTTTGGTATTTATATATCCATATGGCTTGATCCTTCTTTTAATGTCTGTTTAAATGTAACCTTCTCAGGGAAGCATTCTCTGACAACCCAATATATATATTTGTTGTCTGACTCTTATCAATAAAAAGAAAGATGCAAAGTGCAGCAGGGAATTCTCACAATTTTATTTACTGCTGCATTTGTGGTGTCTAGAATAGTTCTTGGAACATTAAAGAAGCTCAATAAATACACTTTTTGAACGAAGAAACATAGTGTGTTTCTTTAATTCCTAGCAGTAGATTTATTCCATTTAACTGCAACAATTAAGGATTTTTCCCACTTGAATCACTTTGAGTTCACAAAAAAAAAAAAAGAAAAAAATCTATTTGTGGAAGAGATGCTTATTGCCCAAATACTTGATCACACTCAGAGAACAACTCCAGATACATCCAGCATTAGAAGAGTGATCTTCTAAATCTTAAGACAGACAACTGAACTATTAACCCTGGCAAAGATGGTATCTCATTAGGGAGGAAATGTGGCAGCAGAAGATCAATTAACTCTTTGACACCACCTTGGAATTTGGAGAATCCAAATAACTAAAGTAACTACTTTATAATATGCTAAGGTTTTGAGGTTTACAAACATATTTCCTAAGCTTTTTATGTACATAGATGTAAATCACGCTAAATTCAATGAATATTATAAGCTTAGAAGCCATCCACTGAATCCTTTTTGTTTCTCTTGACCTTTAGTTCAGTTCTCTATCCATCCAACCATTTTGCTCCCAGGAAACACACAGAGCATTTACAGGTAAGCATTCACTCTAGTCCTTCATGTATGAAGCCCTCCTAAGATTTCTCACCAGAAGCTCAGTTTTATTTAAAACTACAAGATATAAGGAAATTCTTGAACTTTCAAATATACTGTTTTTATCATGAGTATGAGTCATTATTAAACATTATGGAGTTCACAATTAATTAATTCACATTTTATTGTGGTTGTTTCTGATTATTTTTCAGGACTATGCTCTCCACACACCATCGTTTGAAACATTAGGAAAAATACTGTTGGTATAGCCTGTGTATGAAACACAATGAAGTTTTCCAAAGACACTTTCGCCTGAACAAAATTTGACCCCTGTCAGTGAGATGTCAGCACTATATGTCAAATGAACTACAGGGGAAGCTTCTAATATAAATATGTTATTGAAGACAAAGTCACTGGGCTCTTTGCAGCAGGGTCAGCTGAACCCAGGAAATATGTCCTACATTTTATCTGAAGATCAGCATAGAACGGCAGCCCCTGCTCCATCTGTGAAAGGTTAAAGTGATGTTCTTGCAGATGCAAAGAGGCAGAGTGCAAGTTTGGCAGGAAGAAGGGTGACACTGCAAAAAATGTCATTTAAAATGGGGTTGAAGGATGTCCAGTAACTTCTAGACAGTTGCTTCTCCTGGTATTAGGAGATGATTATTCACTTTGCAGCAGATTCCAACTGTTTCATATTCAGTAGATCAGCATGCTTCAGAATCCTGCATTGATTATAATAATTCCAATTCTGTTAGCTTTTTTCGAGGGCTTACTCTGTGCTATAACAATCAGCTGAATGAGGCATTATGTCACTAATCCTAAAACAGCACCAGGAGACCCTTTAATTTTTTTTCTAATGCATATTAATCTACCCACGTTAGTCCATCTCTGCTAAAAACACCAGCCAGCATTGTCTCTCTCTTAAAGTATTTCAGTAACATCAAGGTAGCTCTCCTTGTTTTCATTCTTATACCTTAATCATTTCTCTATACAGCAAAGAGATGGATATTTTTATGGTCATGATATATCCTTGTGTGATCTGTGCCCTGCCTACTCTATCAGCTTAATTTCATATCACTCTCCCCTCAATTTCTGTGTTCTAGTTGTATTAGTCTTTTTCTTTTTGTAGTTTCTTGACTATTTCTTGTCTCTTCATCACTTACACATATTTTCCTACAGAAGAAAGATTTCTATACCTATCTCTTCTCCCTGCCCCTGGAAAACTCTATTCTTCTTTGTCCCAAATCTCATTAGACACTTTTTAAAACCATATGCTCCTTCTTACTCGCATTTAGAATAACTGCATTTCAACAGTCCTTGGACAATTAATTTGTTTTCATCTCTGATGCACAAGAATGCAAGCTTTGAAAGGGCAGAGAACACATCTTTTTGTTAATTTCTTACTTCCTTAGCAAGCCATTGTATCACCTACACATAATTAGCACTAAATATAAGTATTCAAATAAATGAAAGGCCCTTTATGCTTATAATATTAGGAAAAATTGACGTTTTGAATGAGAAGGATCACTTTTACAGAGAAGATAACACATAAAAACAGGTAAAAGATAGTCTTTGGAGGAACATCATCATAATTTTTGGGCCAATACTAGGTAATAATAATGACTCCCAGAGAGGGTGACCATGGAAAGTAGCAGGAACTTACAAGCAGAACTGAGAGTCATTATATATATGTATACACATATATATGTGTGTATATATATACACACATATGTGTGTGTGTGTGTGTATATATATATATACACATTCAGTTGCAGCATCAGTTCACTTTTAAAAGAAGAAATGTTTTTCTCTACTCCAAAAAACATTGACAGAAGCGATGAAGATTAATGATTGTCCATGCTGATTTGACGTTTGTGAGGTGCTTGGTTCAGGAGCCTGCTCACTTTCCCATAATGTGTTTTCCTTCCTTAGCTGAATATGCTACTCTCTTCTCTTGCTCTTGGACTTGTTTCCCTGATATTTCCTTCTCTGTCCCCTCTTTAATGCTCTGGGTTTTTCCAGTGTTCTATCGTAAGCCTTCTCTCTCTTCATATTTTCTTTTTTTTTCTTTTATTATTATACTTTAAGTTTTAGGGTACATGTGCACATTGTGCAGGTTAGTTACATATGTATACATGTGCCACGCTGGTGCGCTGCACCCACTAACTCGTCATCTAGCATTAGGTATATCTCCCACTGCTATCCCTCCCCGCTCCCCCCACCCCACAACAGTCCTCAGAGTGTGATGTTCCCCTTCCTGTGTCCATGTGATCTCATTGTTCAATTCCCACCTATGAGTGAGAATATGCGGTGTTTGGTTTTTTGTTCTTGCAATAGTTTACTGAGAATGATGATTTCCAATTTCATCCATGTCCCTACAAAGGACATGAACTCATCATTTTTTATGGCTGTATAGTATTCCACGGTGTATATGTGCCACATTTTCTTAATCCAGTCTATCATTGTTGGACATTTGGGTTGGTTCCAAGTCTTTGCTATTGTGAATAGTGCCGCAATAAACATACGTGTGCATGTGACTTTATAGCAGCATGATTTATAGTCCTTTGGGTATATACCCAGTAATGGGATGGTTGGGTCAAATGATATTTCTAGTTCTAGATCCCTGAGGAATCGCCACACTGACTTCCACAATGGTTGAACTAGTTTACAGTCCCACCAGCAGTGTAAAAGTGTTCCTATTTCTCCACATCCTCTCCAGCACCTGTTGTTTCCTGACTTTTTAATGATCGCCATTCTAACTGGTGTGAGATGGTATCTCATTGTGGTTTTGATTTGCATTTCTCTGATGGCCAGTGATGGTGAGCATTTTTTATGTGTTTTTTGGCTGCATAAATGTCTTCTTTTGAGAAGTGTCTGTTCATGTCCCTATTTAATAAATGGTGCTGGGAAAACTGGCTAGCCATATGTAGAAAGCTGAAACTGGATCCCTTCCTTACACCTTATACAAAAATCAATTCAAGATGGATTAGAGACTTAAACGTTAGACCTAAAACCATAAAAACCCTAGAAGAAAACCTAGGCAATACCATTCAGGACATAGGCATGGGCAAGGACTTCATGTCTAAAACACCAAAAGCAATGGCAACAAAAGACAAAATTGACAAATGGGATCTAATTAAACTAAAGAGCTTCTGTCCAGCAAAAGAAACTACTATCAGAGTGAACAGGCAACCTACAAAATGGGAGAAAATTTTTGCAACCTACTCATCCGACAAAGGGCTAATATCCAGAATCTACAATGAACTCAAACAAATTTACAAGAAAAAAACAAACAACCCCATCCGAAAGTGGGCAAAGGACATGAACAGACACTTCTCATATTTTCTACTTACCTTATCTGATCTTCTCCATTGACTGGCCTTTAATCACTAAAATTTAAAACAAACAAAAATCATAGTTTCTTCTTTATTTCATGTTGGCTTCTCAGATACATCACTTCCTACTCAAAGTATCTGTTGAATGTTTATTATGAGCTAATGCGTTATCCATTGAGTTGGCAATCTGGAACAAAATGGGGAAGATCTGTGCCCTCACTGAATTTATGAATGCAGAAGAGACCATAAGCCAATACATATAAATAAATTAATAAAAATCAGATAGGTTATGATTCTGAAGAAAAATCTAGACTATGTTATATAAGAGAAAAGCACAGGAGACATAAATTTGAGGGGATCTAGAATGAGCTTTCTGATATAGAGGACTTACAGCTGATTTCTGAGGGCTGAAATATTTTAGACAGGCCAATTATATGAAGAAGAGAAATCCAGCCCAAAGACAAGAACGAAGCTATGTGTTTCAGGTGGGACAGGAGTTGTGTTAAAAAGACAATCTGTAACCCACCTCTGGTTCACAAAATATCCAATCATCAGAAAATTAAATCAGTGTATCTGAGCTGGTAATTGAAGAAACCATGTTGCTTTATGATTAGGGAAGGGAATGACCCTCCAAGACGTGTTTGGATCTTCAGGATACAAAAGAACATGGGGGTTTCTGGATATGCAAAAACCCAATACCTTGGAGGTGGCAGGAACTTCATTGGGTGCCTGTGTGGACCAGGTACTAATTCTTACAACGTTGGAAGATTTGATGATGCTTCCTGTAGTCCAGCTCGACATTGAGTTAAGGCTATTGAAAGGACTTCCCAGATGATTTCCAGAAAGGGACTCGCTAGAGCAATGGTCAGCAAACTGTGGTCCATGAACTGAATGCCTATCTTTACGTATAGTTTTTGCAAACACAGCTACATTCATTTGTATTACCTGCCACTGCCTTCATATGACAACGGAAGATGTGAATAGTTACCCACAAAGCCTAAAATATTTTCTGTCTGTATTTTTTTTTCAGAAAAAGTTTCCTAATCACTACTGTGACCCTTACTTTGTTTCTTCCATCTAGGTTGCCCTTAATGTCATCTTTTGACTGACAGAACCCCTAACTAATCAAGTCACAGCCCATGTCACTGGGCTGAGAAGACTTTAAAGAGTCCCTTTCTACCATCACCCCACAGAGCTGATCACTCCTATCCTATCCTGCACTGCACTTATCATAGTATCTCAATTGCAACATTTCTTCTTCTTCTAATAGACTCTGGGTATTTTGAGGCCAAGCCCTGTGTCTCACTCACTTCTGTATATCTCACATACTTTGCAGTGTATCTTGCATATAGCAGGGCAAATTAAGATTCAACTGGGCAAGGAAAGGCATCAATGTGAAATAGATTGGAGATTCCTCACTTGAAATATGCATTTCTGCTCTTTGGATATGTCAGAATTTAATTGTAAGTTAACATTATTCTGCAATCACAGGTCTCATCAAGAATGTCAAGATTGTTTTATACTAGTTTACTAGCTTCAGAGACCATAACAGTCAACTGACTCTATTAACACAAATGACCAGGGTGATTTTCAAATGAAAGATTTGTTTTTGCCAGTTCTGTGAATTAAATTATTTGGATATTTTGCATTTCCATAAAATGCTAATAGAATCACTAATGTAATCCAGCAGCCCTCCTCTAGATATGCAATTAAAGTCCACTCCCATCTCAGCCACCATTTATCAGAAACTTGCTGGCCCTGAAGGTCATCAGAATTTAGCACCAACCGAGTACAGAGAGAGCAGATGTCCTTTTGTAGAGAATTACCCAAATAAATTTTTTCTGAACAAAGAATTAATACAAAGCATTATAATAACTCACAAATATTTCTCAGGTGGAAGGTGGTTTTCAGGATAACTATTAAGAAAAAAACAATTTCAATCATAAATGTTCACAAAATTTTATATTGATTTTAAATAGCAAATGAGTTGGAACTGCTATTCCCTGATCAACTTGTGCCAAAATCATCAGGAAATAGTTACTGCAGTTTCATATTTGGCAGAATTTTATTTTGATTTCTTAGCAAATGCTTTGTCTCATTAGACATTGAGATATTTCTCATAATAATTGTAGAAAAGTGGTAAAAGAGACAGTACCTATAGATTTCCTCCCAAAAAGGCTAAGCCTCTCTAGATAACAATAAAGAGTCTGTAACAATGACCTTAATTTAAGATTTAGTGGTCAAGGCCCAACTAAATGATCAGAATTCTTTTGTAGGAGTACATTCCAAATGATAAATTCTGTTATCTGTTTTCCTTAAAATGTTTCTATACTATAAGTACTTGTGAAATAAACAAGCAAAAATATAGAACAAAAGAGAAAAGACTCAAAATGCCCTGGAGGTAAATTTTTTATAAAAGTTCATGTAGCCATACTTAAACAATAATTCATACACAGCTTTAATCACTTGAAGTCTTACATAGCCATTTTCCTTCACTCCAGAGGCTGGCTGGAAGGAAAGTCTTGGTCTCAATGCTCATTCTCCTCCTTGTCTCTCTTCTTGTCTTCAGTTCACTGGAATTCCCTTAGCTAGGGGGACTTTCAGACTCAGTCTTTGCCCAAAGACAGATCAGAGTAAAAGCCTTGTTATCCAGACCACAATCTTCCCTCTCCCACTGTGGCTGCTGCTCCTCTGTTTATCTGCTCTCTGTGAAGTGTGCAACAGCATGGCACCACTTTAAACCAAACTTCCTCCCTGTGCTGTCCTCTAGAACTTCTCTCAGGATAGCATTTCTCCTTTGATCATCAACCTCAACAAGAAGTTTGAGACTTTCTAATCTGGTAAAGAATCTCACTCTTGGTGAGATATTTTCATTTATCTCATTGATGGCATATTTCTGTAGTATTGCTGATTACACTGACTACCTTGTGTGCAACACTCAACTCTAACATCTTGCTGTGGTCTGTCTTTCCATCCACTATTATACCTATTATTCTCTATTTTTAATACATACTCTGGTGGTATCATGATATTACAAAATGGAGATTATTAGTTTCACATCCTCAGTGCAGAATCTTAGGCTGAGAGAGTTTAAGTTGAATGTCCAAAGTCACCAGTTAGCTGCCAAAGTCAGTATCTGAACTCAGATATAATTTTAAAATATGAATGAGCCACAATATTAAAAATCAACAGTCTCTGTATGAAAATCTGGAGCTTTTGTTGAATTATCAGATGTTCACAGTATCTCATGAACTTGCAACAGCCAATCAACCAGTGTAAAGTACCGTGGCATAAATCCACAGTGGCCAGGTCTGTGCCAGCTACTTTGAGGTTATAGAGAATTTTCATAACATATAGAAGCTGGCCTTGGGAAGCTAAGAATCTTATTGAAGAGAATGAACAATGATACAAGAAACATTTTCAGAATTGTAGATCATTATCTGGTGCTAAAATAATTGGAAGGAAAAATGCATTAGTGACTCTCAACAACACAATTGGAGGAAGAAATAAATATGGGCCAGAATATCAATGAAAGTCACATGAATGAGGTGACTCAGAGGAGGTACGTTAGTCTGGGGATAGTAAGTCTGGGTTAATCTATTATTAAATTATTAGCCTGGGTCTCCTTGGAAGCAGACAGTGAGACAAGGACTTGACTTCAAATGGTTTATTTGAGATATAATCCCAGAATATAATGATTAAAAAGTACAAAAAGGAGACAGGGAAGGAAGAGAACCAGGAAAAGAAAAAAAAAGTGGCAAGCCATTTAATATGTGGAAAACTAAGCATGTTACTACTGTAGACAATTGGAGTTTCATACCACTGGGAATTCTGGCAGACCATATACAATATACATCAGAGTTGCCCCAGCTAAGGGATGAGAAAGATGAATCTTCCATTGACTAAGAGCTGCTCAAAGTGATATTAACTCTTCATTGCTGCTGGTCACCTATACACAGATGGAATTTGCTCTGCTAGACAGAGAAGATTTTAACGTGGCTGTGTTTTTCATTCAGAGATGCAGAGATGAGTGCTATGAGGATGTGAGTGGGTCACTGATAGTCAGCAATAGGTGGGACCAAAAAAAAAACAGAGAGAGAGAGAGAGAAAGAGAGAGAGATTTTGGAAAAAGAAGAGGAAAAGAGAGTTATTTTTATATGATAGAAATTTAAGTATGCACATGAAGGTGAAGTGAGTCCAAATAATCACCCCTAATGTATATCATTTTATAATGTATAAATTGCTTTCACATATGAAATATTAAATCGAGTACTTTATATGCTATTGTGAGAGGACTAATAGAGGAGACCAAATCTCAGAGGGCTTATTGAAGAGTGATGAAAACTAAAATTGAGTAAGTCTGTGTTCTAGATACCCCACAAAGTAGATAAAAAGATTAGTCCTTCTCATGGCACAGAAAAGAAGGAGCACCGGTGGATTTGAATAGGGAAGGGCTATGATAAATGCAGCATTTCAGAAGGATTTTTGACAACTATGTAGCCATTCATTCATTTGTTGTAGAAATATTTGTTAGTTACCCTCTATGTGCCAGATGCTGAGAAAGAATTAAACTGTGAATAAGATGCAAGAGATGCACATGCAGACAAATAATAGCAAGACTAAGGGTTCGTGAAAAAGAAGGAAAACTGTGACACAAATAGGGACATTCATTGGTGGCAGGAGAAACTGGAATTCAGAGAATAGACAGAGAGTATTTTTTGTAGTAAATCCATTGGCGGTTCTGTGACTTCCTAAAAAAGGAAAAGTATCAGGGCAATTGTAGAGAAAATGACGGAGAATGTAGCAGGCATTGTTAGTTGCCTAAACCAGTAGGCTTGCTAACAAAATTCCAGTTTATTTGGGATTGCAATGGGGCCAGCCCCAGAGATGAAAATATGATACACGTGACACAACCAATCAAGACAATCATTTTCTTTGCCTGATATATCCAGCCTCTCTTGAAGCTAGAAGAAACTGTGTGGAGCTATATATGGCCAAAGATATTTTCAGAAATACGATGGGGATGGAGATATGAATGTAGTTCTCTCTGATAAAAATAAATATCATTTGTTCCTACCTTGTATATTGAAGCATAGCCCAAGAACATGATTCTTAGACCTTTTCTTGTGGCTGGGTGTAGTGACTTGAATAAAGAAAAAGAGGCAGTATGATCACAATAGCTGAGCAAAACAATGGGGAAACCCTGGAACTTTATTGCCTAACTAAGCTCCTGAACAAGCCCTGTAATTACAGGCCACTGTTTTGTTTTGTTTTGTTTTGTTTTTCTTTTACTTTAAGTTCTGGGGTACATGTGCAGAACACGCAGGTTTGTTACATAGGTATACATTGGCACGGTGGTTTGCCACACCTATCAATCCGTCATCTAGGTTTTAAGCTCTGCATGCATTAGGTATTTGTCCTAATGCTCTCCCTCCTCAGCCCCCCACTCCCCCGACAGGCCAGTGTGCGATATTCCCTTCCCTGTGTCCATGTGTTCTCATTGTTCAGCTCTCACTCATGAGTGAGAACATGCAGCGTTTGGTTTTCTGTTCCTGTATTAGTTTGCTGAGGATGATGGTTTCCAGCTTCATCCATATCCCTGCAAAGGACTTGAACTCATATTTTTATGGCTGCATAGTATTCCATGGTGTATATGTGCCACATTTTCTTTATCTGGTCTATCATTGATGAGCATTTGGGTTGGTTCCAAGTCTTTGCTATTGTAAATAGTGCTGCAATAAACATACGTGTTCATGTGTCTTTATAGTACAGTGATTTATAATCCTTTGGGTATATACCCAGTAATAGGATTCTGGGTCAAATGGTATTTCTGTTTCTAGATTGTTGAGGAATCACCACACTGTCTTCCACAATGGTTGAAGTAATTTACACTCCCACTGCACTGTTTTGTTTTAAGTTTATGATTATTTGGATTTTTCTAGGCACTCTTATTCAATATTCTACTACATGTAGCTACAATCTTTCCTGTTACAATAAGTGTAACACTGTATAAAAGCACTGTCCTAAAAGAAACAGAAATGGCAAGTGGCAATGGGTTTAGCTGGTGACATATTTAAATTTTTTTATTATACATATTTAAATTAAAGGAGTAGTTCTAAAAGTGAATATGATATAAATGGTTCGAAAATACCACATGGAAGAGTCATTCTAAGTTGGCCGATAAGGTTTGAGTAATGTTTCATGTACAACAGGAAAGGAGATTTCTAAGAGAATGCCTAAGATAATTTGCTGTTGACCTTGTTTTTGTCAACATTTCCTTCTAAGCTTTTTGGTTAAAGACAAAGAAAACATACATACTATATTGCAAGTGAATCACATATTAGATAGTTGATACCTTGCTTCAAATAATTGAGACTCTAAAAATATTTCGGCTAGAAAAATAACCTAAAATATAGCAGATGAAACAAAATATTGGAAAAAATATAAGCTTTTAGAATTAGATCCCTTAAACAAGCACTTAAACAATGCAGCTAAATGTTACAATTCAATAGCAGTTGATGTGAAAATGACATATGTTATTTGGCTACTTTAAAACTCAATGTAAGTCAAATGTATATTCATTCATTCATTCATTCATTCATTTATCCGAGCCTCATGTTAGATAATGGACATAGGCACACTCAGAAAACAAGACATCCAAAGAGCTTAAAATGTGTTGAAAGGATTAATAAGTAAATTACTGATCACAATACGGTTGATAAATGTTTTAGTGATACTATACTTTAAAGGTATATATGTAGAACCTTTCCTTTTGTAGGTAAAATACACCCTAGCAAACATACTAGCTATTAATAACATCATGAAAGTTCCTAAATATCAAACCTTTATTCATGTATTCCCCAAATAATTATTAAACACCAACTATGTGTAAGGCTCTGTCTTCCTTGGGGCATTTTAATATTTAGGTGAAGAATAATAGAAGGAGTAGCCAGCAAGTTAGGAGTAACATTCTTTCAGCAAAGAGGGATGTTTCAGAAGTCAATGAAGGAGTAACTCAAGATGAGAAGCTTTATCAACTAGGATTTACATTCATGTGAGAGATGGATAAAGAAAAGGAATAAGAATTGACCATTGGATCTGGGGGGATGGCAGTAGTTGGGAACTTTGTGGATTCAGTAGATGGATGTGGATTAAATAATAACTGAACATAACTGGGGGTAAGCAATTGAAGGAAGCAAGCACAGAAAAATAATGTTAAAAGTTTGTATGTACAGTCCAATGAGAAATGAAGTTGTAGCTGGAGAGGCAACTTGTCTGAGGAGGATTTTAAAAATAGACAATATCGTAGCTCAATGTGTAATGCGAAATCCCATGGAGAAGGTGATTTGATGATAAAAGAGGAAAAAGGGATTAGTGTAAAGAATTAAGATATGGAATAAGGCAGAGAACATGAAATTATAGTTCTTCTTTACACATGTAATGATAGCTCTCCCATTTTAATAGAAAATAATACAGAACATATGAGTATTTTTGAAGGTGGGTTTGTGGAATTAGTGATCTTCTAAGTGCTACTGTTTTCTCAATGAAATAAGAAGCAGGCCATCTTTTGAGGCTAGGAAGTGGAAAATTTGATAAGAAAGAAGAGATTTAATACAATATTTTGTTAATCAGGATACACCATGTGATGCTAAAGTAACAAAACAAGTTTCAGTGGCTTAATACATAATGTATTTCTCAGTCATGTTAAATGTCCAGCATATGTTAGCAAGGAGATCCTTCTTACTGTAGTCATTCAAAGACCAAGGTCTACAGAGAATCCATCTTAACACATTACTGCAAACACACTGACACAGTGAGAAGAATGTGTTCACTGTGCACTGACTTTTAAATCTTCTGCCTGTGCTAATTGTTATGTGGGTTACAAAATAAGTAGAGTTATGTAATATATTATGCATATCTAACACACAAATTAAGCCATGTGTTCTTCGTTGGAAGTCACTTAAGAATAGGAATTACATTATATAGCAATCATACAATAGATACATTCAACGCATTTTAGCAAACCTATGACAAGTCATTTTAAGACCTTTTCCTGATTCTTAATAATGTTTGTGAGTTATAGATAATGTACGTCACTTTCAATGGAAATTTTGGATTAAGTTGTCTCTCTAAACATTCATTTTAGAATCTATTTCTGAGGTAAGATGCAAGTGAAAACTAAGACTTTCCGGCTGTGCATGGTGGCTCAGCACTTTTGGAGGCGGAGGCAGGTGGATCACTTGAGGTCAGGAGTTCAAGAATAGCCTGGCCAACATGGTGAAACCCCATCGCTACTAAAAATACAAAAAAATTAGCCACATGTGGTGGCGTGCACTTGTAGTCCTAGCTACTTGGGAGACTGAGGCAAGAGAATCACTTGAACCCGAGTGGCAGAGGTTGGCAGTGAGCCGAGATGGCACCACTGCACTCCAGCCTGGGCGACAGAGTGAGACTGTGTCAAAAAACAAACAAACAAACAAAACTAAGACTTTCCACCTCAAGCCACTTATAATTTAAATCACAATCTTATTTGATAAGAAATATTTAGCTTAGCAAATCTTCGAAAGAACCTTAGTGAGAAGTGGTTAATTTGAAAGATAGAATTCATCCTCACTAATAGTCCATTTGTTCATTTCTACATCCAAATTCTTACCACTGGGCAAGCTGCTCATTGGGCTCCTTATAGATTTTAAATTTCATTAGAGTAGCAAAAATTAAGTTGTATTTCTAGTAAAGAGTACATAACTCCACAGCATACGGTCACTTACTACAGCAATTCAAGTCAGACTTAAAAGCCTATTGTAAGAAATGGAGTATTTCTACTAAAGTAAGTTTGGAGAACTGTGTTATTAAGTCAGAAAGAAGCCAAACAATAACAACTGGAATATCTTCAGGAATTGACTTCCAAATAGAGAAAGAGCTAGGTATACATAGCTTGTAAGCCAATGAGGAAGGAGAATAAGAAAACCACCTAACATCATCTGAAGTGTATGATATGTAAATATCACAGGAGAGAAGTTAAAAGGTATTATTCATGAATACTGAACACACACATATTATGAAAACATTTCTTGCAAAAAAAGAATCACTGAGCACAGAGATTAATCTCTTCTGGAAAACATTGGAAACCCAGTTGCCTGAACCAATTAAAATTGAATTGACCACAGTAACATTTTACATCAGCTAACAAACAGGGCTCAGGTAGGAAGAAGTATCCAATGGATTATTTCCCTACTCAAATATCAATGTTTTTGTGAAATGAATCTGCAGAGAATAAAACATTACAATCTCAAATATAATCTACTCATTTATTTTAAGTAAAAGATTGTTTCCTTCACCCTCTCCATATGGGAAAATATCATGTGAACATAAACAGAGAAGGGTAGTAATTACAGAAAGAAGTGTTTGTAACAAAACAGAGCAGGAGAAAATTCAGTGTCTGAATAGACTTTCAAGTAATGGGTAGAAGGAGAACATAGTTGGGTTAGATGACTGGTGAAAAATGAAATTTAGAAGCTAAATATATGTCCCTGAATTCACTCCATTCATCCAGGAAATCTCATATTATAAAGTCAAGATAAAAAACAAATTAAAGAAATAAACATCTCCCATTTAATTTTATCAATACAAGCATCAAATCTGGCAATAGTTATTGGGAAGCTAGGAACACTCGATTAGAATATCTGCATTGATCATTATAATCAATGATGGCTTCACTACCCAGCCCTATGTTACTAAAGGTAGAAAAATGCCCAAGGAAAATCTCAGTTCTTTAAACAGCAAGAGTCAGAAGTATTTATGGTATCATTCTTCTTGTCTAATATATGTGGTGAGCTACCCAGAAGTCGGAGTGAAAAATATTTCAGGAAATTTGATTCCCTAAGTACTCTGACCAATCTCACAGCTCACATCTATCTATGTTTGTTTAAAGCCAGCCCTGATCTTCACTTTGCTAAAAATCAGTTGAATGTTAATCTACTGAAGAAAGAAATCATGAGAGAACTTGAGCAGAAAGTTCTAAATTCCATAAACATGATGGCTAATACCTTCAGATTCTACTTTTGAAGAAACTTCTGTAAATGTTTGGGCTCCACCTTTTTCTCTGTTGCCACCATAATGCAGGTTAAATAAAAAGCAAGTAAAAGCAAAAGGGTAAATAAATTTAAATAATAAAAATACAAGTATAGGCCGGGCATGGTGGCTCACGCCTGTAATCCCAGCACTTTGGGAGACCGAGGCAGGCAGATCACGAGGTCAAGAGATGGAGACCATCCTGGCCAACATGGTGAAAACCTGTCTCTACTAAAATTACAAAGATTAGGTGGGCATGGTGGTACCAGCTGTAGTCCCAGCTACTTGGGAGGCTGAGGCAGGAGAATGGCTTGGACCCGGGGGGCAGAGGTTGCAGTGAGCCGAGATTGTGCCACTGCATGCCAGACTGGTGACAGACTGAGACTCCATCTCAAAAAAATGAAATAAAATAAAAATAAAAATAAAATAGGATAAAAAAGTATAGTAGGTTGCCGCTTCATGCAACCTAAAATTACAAGTGGAATGGCATCACCTTTACTACTTTGGATATATGTTATTTTTCTACATTTTGAAGGCAATCATGCATTGCAGCGCACTATCCTGAGAAAAAGTATATTGATAATCTATTGGTTTCAGGCATAGTGTTTCAATGCAAAGTATAAATAGTGTATAAAGCAGATCTAGGATGAAAGAGGAGATAAGTGGATGTAGTCTGTAGTCTATGGTGTTAGATAAGGATAAAAAGTGCTTATCCTAGTTCCTGTGAGAGAAAAGCAACGGGAAAAAAGGGCTGTCATTAGTCATCAACTGAAACTCAATCTTAAAAGTTTGGCCTTTCCAAAAATCTGATTTGCTATTTCCCATAGTGATATGAGGTTTGAAAATGAGATGATTTTGCCTGGAGAGGAAGTGGGTGTGGGTTTTGTGGCTTCCAGACAGCGGAAGCAAAAATCATTGTGTCTCAAGCCAGGGTCATGTTTTCCCAGGCTTGGGGATGTTGATGGGACTTAGGCAAAGGCAAGAAGACAACCTGGTCGCTGGCCTTTTATTTTTCCTCCCTCATGTCAGCCGCAAGCAATTTGGTATGAAGAAAGACAGAAAGAAAAGTAAACGAGACCCATCTTTTAACCTCTCAAAGCCGGGTTCAAGATGTCATAAATGCAGCTGCCAGAAATAAAGAGAAAGGAAGTGTATCAGAGTCTAAGAAAAGCAGAAGAGGAAGAGAGGCTTTGAAAAGCCACCATAGTAATCAGTAATCTGTTTGACATCTGGCAAAGAGATACATCTGCAGGGGGCAACTGGGATGAGTAATTGAACTTTGATTTTTACATTTTCACTGAATGTCTATGTTTAGCACCTAAATTTTAAACACAGAACGATTTTTGGAAATACGCTCTTCTCTGAGAGGTTGTTTCATGGGATACAGGAAACATCTGGAGTTAGATCAAGTAAGTTTCATGGCTGCCCAGACAACTGGTGTGTTTGTACTGTTTTGTTATGGTCCTATAATGGGTAGTTACAATTCATTTGAGGGTCCTCCTAAATGTATATGGCTATGCCAGCATTTCTCAGAATCCAGCCAGAAACAAGACAAAAGCTACCTCAAAACACATGTCAGACAAGGGAATAGAACCTAAATTGAGCACCTGCAATAGAGGACTAAATTATTTAAAGTTAAAGGACACCTTCCATGTATTAGAATTACTAAAGAACAAGAAATAATTTGTTTCAATATATCTTATGATACTATGAGTAATACTTCTGTAGATTGAACTTAGTCTATTTTCTTATTCCCTAGCTTCAGATAACCTACAACAAATTGAATCAGAAGTCAAGATAATTTGCCTAAATTGCCTTAAAATGATCCTTTTAAGGTCCTTATTTTAATCCTGTATGAGGCAAATTTGCTGGTTTGTAATTAGGTCCCCCAATTTTGTTTGACAATAAACCCAGAAGTGTATGCAAGGGTAGAAATGAGGTAACAATGGAAATAACAAATATTTATTAAGTACATATTTTAATAATGGTTACATTGGCATTATAGATTAGGAGCCTTAAAATAACTCATATCCCTTTGCTTAGTTTGTCCAAAATGAATTATACACAAAGTTATTTGTCACAACATTACTAATAACAAAGAAAAACTATAGTCATCTTAAATATCCCAATAGAAATTGTTCAAATCATTTTTAGGATTGATATGATGAAATGTTACATAGCTAATATAAATTATATCTTCAGAAACTAGGTAAAATAAACAGAATACTTATAATGTTAACAATAATTTCCCTTCAGGGGGATATAAAACTGTGTATAAAATAATTTTGATATTGTATGTGTGAATACATATGTGGAGGGGAGCTATGTTTACAAAAGCAGGAAGATTCTTCTCATAGAATGTTACCAGTATAGGGTCTTTTTAATATAGCCTGGTGGATGTAATGAGTAATGAGAGGGGCTATGGCAAAGAAAGGAGACATTTATGGATGGACAAAGAAGAAGGAAATAAATCTTTTCAGGAGAATATAACTCAGGAATAAATAGACAGATTCGTTTATGCAGCATAAAATTTGCAAAAACCTACAGATAAAAAAATGTTGTGTGTTTAAGTGCAACAAATTCCAACCAGACATTCAGATTCATACTAGTTAGCTAGGGTATTTGAATAAGAAGAGATTCATTAAGAGAACTCAAAATTTGCATTAATTAGGAAGCATTTTTTATTATTTGGTTTATTGTAAATAACAATATAGAAATAACAGGAGCAAAAATGCTAATAGCTAAACTTCCAACAGGTGAGGCCAAGTCTCAGTGTAAGTGCTTTGAATGAATTAACTTATTTAAACCTTAAAGCAACCATATGATTGTACAGAAAAGTAAATGGATAACTCTCAGTTAAAAATGCATTGATCCAGTACCATGCTGTTTTGGTTACTGTAGCCTTGTAGTATAGTTTGAAGTCAGGTAGCATGATACCTCCAGCTTTGTTCTTTTGGCTTAGAATTGACTTGGCATTGTGGGCTCTTTTTTGGTTCCATATGAACTTTAAAGTAGTTTTTTCCAATTCTGTAAAGAAAGTCATTGGTAGCTTGATGGGTATGGCATTGAATCTATAAATTACCTTAGGCAGTATGGCCATTTTCACGATATTGATTCTTCCTACCCATGAGCATGGAATGTTCTTCCATTTGTTTGTATCCTCTTTTATTTCATTGAGCAGTGGTCTGTAGTTCTCCTTGAAGAGGTCCTTCACGTCCCTTGTAAGTTGGATTCCTAGGTATTTTATTCTCTTTGAAGCAATTGTGAATGGGAGTTCAGTCATGATTTGGCTCTCTGTTTGTCTGCTATTGGTGTATAAGAATGCTTGTGATTTTTGTACATTGATTTTGTATCCTGAGACTTTGCTGAAATTGCCTATCAGCTTAAGGAGATTTTGGGCTGAGATGATGGGGTTTCTTAGATATACAATCATGTCATCTGCAAACAGGGACAATTTGACTTCCTCTTTTCCTAATTGAATACCCTTTATTTCCTTCTCCTGCCTGATTGCCCTGGCCAGAACTTCCAACACTGTGTTGAATAGGAGTGGTGAGAGAGGGCATCCCTGTCTTGTGCCAGTTTTCAAAGGGAATGCTTCCAGTTTTTGCCCATTCAGTATGATATTGGCTGTGGGTTTGTCATATATAGCTCTTATTATTTAACAGAGATATAGACCAATGGAACAGAACACAGCTGTCAGAAATAATACCACACATCTACAACCATCTGATCTTTGACAAACCTGACAAAAACAAGAAATGGGGAAACAATTCCCTATTTAATAGATGGTGCTGGGAAAACTGGCTAGCCATATGTAGAAACCTGAAACTGGATCCCTTCCTTACACCTTATACAAAAATTAATTCAAGATGGATTAAAGACTTAAATGTTAGACCTAAAACCATAAAAACCCTAGAAGAAAACCTAGGCAATACCATTCAGGACATAGGCATGGGCAAGGACTTCATGTCTAAAACAACAGAAGCAATGGCAACAAAAGCCAAAATTGATTGACAAATGGGATCTAATTAAACTAAAGAGCTTCTGCACAGCAAAAGAAACTACCATCAGAGTGAACAGGCAACCTACAGAATGGGAGAAGATTTTTGCAATCTACTCATCTGACAAAGAGCTAATATCCAGAAAATGATCTCCAACAAATTTAGAAGAAAAAAACAACCCCATCAAAAAGTGGGGAAAGGATATGAACAGACACTTCTCAAAAGAGACGTTTATGCAGCCAAAAGACACATGAAAAAATGTTTATCATCACTGGCCATCAGAGAAATGCAAATCAAAACCACAATGAGATACCATCTCACACCAGTTACAATGGCGATCATTAAAAAGTCAGGAAACAACAGGTGCTGGAGAGGATGTGGAGAAATAGGAACACTTCTACACTGTTGGTGGGACTGTAAACTAGTTCAACCATTGTGGAAGTCAGTGTGGCGATTCCTCAGGGATCTAGAACTAGAAATACCATTTGACCCAGCCATCCCATTACTGGGTATATACCCAAAGGATTATAAATCATGCTGCTATAAAGACACATGTGCACGTATGTTTATTGCGGCACTATTCACAATAGCAAAGACTTGGAACCAACCCAAATGTCCAACAATGATAGACTGGATTAAGAAAATGTGGCACATATACACCATGGAATACTATGCAGCCACAAAAAGGATGAGTTCCTGTCCTTTGTAGGGACATGGATGAAGCTGGAAACCATCATTCTCAGCAAACTATCACAAGGACAAAAAACCAAACACTGCATGTTCTCACTCATAGGTGGGAATTGAACAATGAGAACACATGGACACAGGAAGGGGAACATCACACACCGGGGCTTGTTGTGGGGTGGGGGGAAGGGGGAGGGATAGCATTTGGAGATATACCTAATGTTAAATGACAAGTTACTGGGTTCAGCACACCAACATGGCACATGTATACATATGTAACTCACCTGCACAATGTGCACATGTACCCTAAAACTTAAAGTATAATAAAAAAGGAAAAAAATGTATTGCTCCATAGATAGATAGATAGATGCATGTGTGCATGCATATGCATGTGGTAGCATTCAGCTAGTAGGAAAGAGAGTTGAGATCTAGTCAATCTGACTTCAGTTGCCTACTCGTCATCATTGACAGTTATACTATATGTATTAGTCCGTTCTCATGCTGCTAATGAAGACATCCCCATGATGGGGTGATTTATAAAGGAAGGAGGTTTAATTGACTCACAGTTCAGCATAGCTGGGAAGGCCCCAGAAATTTACAGTCATGGTGGAAGGTAAAGGGGAAGCAAGGCACCTTCTTCACAAGGTGACAGGAAGGAGAAGAGCAAGCAGGAGAAATGCCAGACGCTTATGAAACCATCCGATCTCTTGACACTCACTTTTTATCACCAGAAAAGCATGGGGGAAACCAATCCCATGATTCAATTACTTCCACCTGGTCCTTCCCTTGACAAGTAGGGTATATAGGGATTACAATTCAAGGTGAGATTTGGGTGGGGACACAGAGCCAGACCATATCACTACACTAACCCTTCATAGTTGGAAGTATTTTTTTCTAATTAAAGATATAAATAGCATTTTTAAATCTGAATGACTAATATAAAATATGCCCATACTTGCTAAATGAAGGAGGTTTTCTTATTGATTGAAATATCAAAATAAGATTTTAAAAATAAAATGAAATAAAAAAGGGAGAATATAAGAGACTCACCATTGACTTTGAGTCTCTTCCTTCATGTAACTCACAGGCTCCCAAAGCTCTTATCCAAGATAGGGGTGAGTTACCCATCGGGACTGGAGAGGAAAAGGAGAAAGTGAAAGGAGATATGTAATAAGATAGAAGGGGATTCAGGAACTTTGCATAATATTTTAGATAACTAACTATATGTTTTTGCATGCTGTAAATATCAGTGACCTGGGGCAAACTCATGTTCACTTTAGCTTTGTTGTTAAATTGGTTTGTGACATTTTGATAGCTGCCTGGCTTATTAGTGCTTCTGTTATTCTTGTTATCCAGTCACACAGAGTCTGATGCAATTGACCCTGTTGTAATTCTCAGACTTAAACCAGAGTACACAGTTTTGTTTTACTCTTATTCTTATTAGGGAGAAAAATAAGTCAAGGAAAATAAAGAACTGACATGGTATAAATAAAAGACACTATTCCTTATTTCATAAATTGTTAATGATTAAAAAATAACAAATAGAGAAGTGTCAAGTGTCATTATATCACCATAGGATTTCAATAAATTCAAGATTTTATCTTCCTCTCTGATCTTTATTAGATCCACTTCAAAATTTATTCAATTATTTTCCTCCATTCTACCTATCAAGTACCTAATCTGATAAAATAATTCAAAGAGCTTGAGGTGTGGCATGCTCGTTAATTCACTAAGTATTTACAGAGAATCTGCTATGTGCCAGACACTGGAAAAATCCTAGGGCATACAGTTGTGAAACAAACAAATCTGTTTTTATTTTCATTGGATGATAACCTAAGTTTTTGGATATGAGAAGGAAGCAGAAAAATTGAGTGTTTAAGAACTCAAGCTCTGAAATCAGCCTGCCTAGTTCAAATCCAATCTCCAACTTTTACCAACATTATACTTTAGGTAACCTACTTAGCCTCTCTATAAATATTCTATGTATTCATTAAGTAGGAATAATATTAGCTAACTCACTGGGTTGTCTAAGAATACAATTTGAGGCCAGGCACAGTGGCTCATGCCTGTAATCCCAGCACTTTGGGAGGCCGAGGCAGGAGGATCACTTGAGGCTAGAAGTTTGAGACCAGCCTGGCAACATGGTGAAACTCCAAGAACCTGTCTACTAAAAGTACAAAAATTAGCCAGGTGTGGTGATGCATGCCTGTAATCTCAGCTACTTGGGACGCTGAGGCATGAGAATCACTTGAACCTGGGAGGCAGAGGTTGCAGTGAGCCAAGTTTGCACCACTGCACTCCAGCCTAGGTGACACAGCACAGTGAGACTGTCTCCAAAAAATTAAAAAAACAAAAAGAAAAAAACAGGCCTGGAATGGTGGCTCACACCTGTAATTCTAGCACTTTGGGAGGCTGAGGTGAGCAGACCCCTTGAGCCCAACAGTTCTAGATTAGCCTGGGCAACACGATGAAAACCTGTGATATGATTTGGCTGTGTCCCTACCCAAATCTTGAATTGTAGCTCCCATAATTCCTACGTGTTCTGGGAAGGACCCGGTGAGAGGTAATTGATTCATGGGGGCGGATCTTTCCTGTACTGTCCTAGTGATAATGAATACATCTCACTAGATCTGATGGTTTTATAAAGGGGAGTTCTCCTACACAAGCTCTCTCACCTGCTGCCATGTAAGACGTGACTTGGCTCCTCAATTTGCCTTCAGCCATGATTGTGAGGCCCCCCAAGCCATGTAGAACTGTGAGTAAATTGAACTTCTTTTCTTTATAAATTACCAAGTCTCAGGTAGGTCTTTATTAGAAGTGTAAGAACGAACTAATACACCCTGTCTCTACTAAAAAATAAAAGATTTAGCTAGGTGTGGTGGTGCATGTCTGTAGTCCTAGCTACTCAGGAGGCTAAGGAGGGAGGATCACTTAAGCCTGGGAGGTAGAGGCTACAGTGAGCCTTGATGGCACCACTGCACTCCAGCCTGAGTGACAGAATGAGACCTTATCTCAAAAAAAAAAGTTAGATTAAGAAAGTTTGCACATGTAAAATACTTAGAATCATGCTTTAGTATTGTGCAAATAGTAAATGATCCGTAAATGTTAGTTTTATAACTTATTACAGTGAACATTTTTACCAGGGCCTCCAACTTAGTCATTAGAGGAGATAATTTGGAATAAAGACCCTTTGCTAGTCCTCCGCAAAGCTGTCTTTATAAAAAAAACAAAACAAAACCAAAAAACCCTGGATCCTGTGATTGGAGGCAAGAAGTCCTGTTGATGTGTGGATCTGAATAGAGATTTTCAGAAAAAGATTGTTATCTTGTGATGCCTGCTAGTAATACTCATCTGGACATTGCAGAATTGTGGAGAGAAATACAAATTATGGATCACAGACAGAGATTTTAGCCAAGCTCTAAAGAACAGCTTACCATTATCAACTGCTTAGTTTGAAATAGTTACTCTTAAAAGCACTTCATGGCAATTAAATTGTTTCATACTCACAATATGGCCCTGGTAGTTTTAGTATTTTAAACATTTTGTGGAAGTTGTCAGAGTCAAAATAAATTCACTTGTGTTAACAGCAATACAAAACAAAAACCCAAAAAACAGAGCCAGAGAAGGCCATGAAGGATTATCATGCATGAATGCCTAGTAACAAAAACAATCACAAAAGACTACAAAAACCACAACCTTGCACAAAGGCCATCACTACCTTACACACCAAAAAACTGCTCAGCAACTGCTAGTCCAACTTTGGACTGATGCCACCTTTTTTTTTGTTCCTTGCCACCAAGGATAATTATCTCAAAACAATTAGGTAATACTCTATTTTTCCTGAAAAAACCTTTGTTTTCCTTTACCTCCCTGAATACACACATAGTTTACTATGACACCAGTGTTCCCATTGTAACACCTATTCCCAAATAAACAACATTTTCTTTGAGAAATTCTCGCTCTTCATTATTTAGATCAATGATTTCATAAATTAGAGAATGCAGGCATAAAGAAGTAAAAGGAATTACTTAAGTTCTCACAGATAGAGGCAGAACCAGGCTTCTAACTTAGAGAGATGGAACCAGGCTTTAACACCTAGATTCTGCTGCTTCTCTTTGCTTGCCAGTCCAATTAAAATCAATAAAAATCCAGAAAAATGTATGTACCATCATGCTCTCATAGAGATGTTAGATGCTGAAAAATATGAATCACATTCCTTATGTAGAAAACATAAAACTGCTATTCTGAAAAGAAAGCTAAGACATTATAATACATTTATGCAATATCCAGAAGAAAAATTTGAGAACAGGAGAAAGACATTTCACATTCTGAAGAGATAAATTCCAAATTGTTAACAGATAATAGGTAATCACAAATGAAAAGGTATGAGAATAAGTGCTCACTAAATGAAATACTGATATTGCATTGCTACAGTGTGGATCACTTTGGTTGTTTCACTGATAGAAAACTGGATTTTAGAACTCTCTTGGATTTTTAGGCTAATCATTTATCTAAAGTACAGACATAGTCTGGATTGATAATTAAAAAACAGAGACATTCGAACTTTAATATAAGCAAGAACTATATAATGACCATATTTATCCAAATCCTGGTTAGTGTCTGGGAGTTAATGAGCCAAAGTTTCTAAGAGTATGCAAGCTAGGCTAGATGACCCTTTGATAAGAGTATTACAGACCTAGAGGTGGATAGACTGTTTAGCCAACTAACCTGTAGATTGCCTTATAAACCAGAAAGTCAGGGAAATAATTAATTTCCTCATTCATCAAACCTCTATTGAGTATCTATGTATTCAGTTCTATATTTTCCTTAGTAGAAAAATAAGACGTGGCCCTTTTTGGAAGATCATGCCATCATTATAAATACAATATCTAGTGACACTAAAATTTTTCTCCCTGATTTGTGCATACCCTTAAACATCTAACAAAAACAAATAAATTATTGTGTTAACTTTTGTTTTTAGCAGAGTTAGGTGGGAGGAGATAAGTTTCACAGAAATTAAATGAGTCTAGTTCAAAATAGAAAAAAAAAACTATGAATCCTTAAAGATATGAACTCAATGCCAGCGGAAAAAGAGAAGAAAATGTATTAAGAATGTGACATCCACAATTCTGCTGCCAAACACGTGTGTGCATGAAGGAGGGCACAGACACTCTCACCTGGGCCTGAGGACTGAGGCTGCTATCTAAAACAGGGATCCATCTGCCTGTGAACAATGTCATCCCACTGTGTTTCTCTGACACTTCATTGACTGTGTAATGGCATTTGATATCGCTAAAACCTGGTTGTTGTGGAAGCACTGGTGCATTACAGCAGAGAGATGCATTGTGTATGATGAGTCATGCCCCACAAATTTGTGCTCAGTCTCTGTACGGTAAGAAAAAACATAACAAGATCAAGTAACAGAGAACTGGGGAGGGAGAAAGTTCTCATTGCAGGCACAAGTACACCGCCACTTTGTGCAAGGTAAAGAGGGCTTACACACACTCAGTTTTCCACAGAGTTCTAGTAACTTTCAATAGTACAAATCCTGGATCCGATGTTAGTCGAATAATAATTCCAATGGAGGAAAAAATACTTTTCATCTGTGAGTCGCTTTTCAGAAGGGATAATGTCTAAACCTTGTTAGCCTCTTCCTGGTTACCCTGAGGTTTGGATGTTTGCCAAGAAGGAAGTAGAAGAATAAACATGACCAAGGCAAAGAGTTCGATGAGAAACCCTCAGAATTTTTGGAGAGAGAAGAGGAAAAACAATCTGAAACATGAGTATATCCAGAAAATCAGTTCATTTATGTAACCCAAGATGATTGGCAGATATTTTCTGGCTTTCATGAGTCAATCCTCAAACAAGAAAATGGACACACCTCAAGGGAAAAAAAAATCCTTGAAAGAAAATGTATATGTGACCTTCTTTACCCTCCCATTATTTTTAAAGGGAAAAACCATTACCTGAGACCACTGTCATGGTTTGACAAAGCAAATCTGCTTAACACTCTTCAAATTCTGTTTTCTATAGAGTGAGATACCAGCATCTTTCCAGGACATCTGTGAATCCTCTAAGATCTGGCCCCAGCCTCTTTTCCGTACTTCTTTCCTTCCAAAATTTCCTTCCATCTCCCCTACACTTCAGCCATATCCCTCTATGCAGGGTGCTCAAAGGAGCCTTTTCACATTTTCTCCTTTGGCACATGCTCACCTCTGAATGGCATGCCTTCCACACCTCACCCACTTGGCAAAATCTTCTCTTCTCTCAAAGCACAACTCGAATAGTCCCTCTTTATGGAAAGACATCCATGGGCAGCACCTACTCCATTTCACTTTATCGCGCACTCCACTTTTTTCACCATTTAATAAAAGCAAAGCTTTTTTTGCATTTACTTTGGACCAGTCAAAATTACAAGACCCTTTTAATATATTAACTCACTTAATCCTAGCAACAACCCTATGGAGGAGGTACTAACAGTATCTCCATTTTACAGGTAAGGAGACTGAGGCACAGAGAGTATAAATAATTTTCCAAAAATTGCATCACATGTACAAAATAGAGCTGGAATTTGAACTCAGTATATGCTGACTAACTAGTTCTTTGGTTTATATCCCAGTCATATATTCCATCATACTTGATTTCAAATATTTGTTGACTATTGTCTGTAGTTAAGTGTGAGTGTCTTGAGGGCAGGGTCTGAGCTACATTATGTGTATGTTGAACATCTTTTGCAGAGACTGCAGATAGCAGGTACTGGATAATAAATAATCAGTAAACCAGCAAAGCAAGCAAGAGTAGAAGGAGTATTATATAGGTTTTGAAGTAAATAATTAAAGATGACAAATCACCCTAGAAATAGCATTTTCTGATTTGAAAACTGTTCCAATTTTGGGTTTGTGCATGCATTTTTCCCAAGTAAGGCAGAGGGCATGGTAAATGACATAACAGAATTAAGGAGGGAGCAAAGAGAAATGGAAAATAGTGATGATCTAAGAAGAGTAGGGAGAGACTCCCAGATTCAGAGAAAGACTGAATTCAGAACACACTGCTAGCCTGGAGAAGACAGAGAGTATCCCAGCGCTGGCTACAAGCTCATCTCTGTCTGATGTTAGGCTCTGATAACCACAGGTTTCAGGCAAAGGGAAGTACTGGGAGGGTTTTGTTTGAATGAGCTGATTTGCAGGTAGTCCATAGTCGTTTGGATTGAAGGAGAAGACCAATGATTCTCTCCCTTGGGGGAGGCAAGGAAACCTTGATGACTACGTCAGGCCTCTGCCTGGCCATGAGGACTAGATCCAAGCCATAAGGAGAGGAGGCTCCAATAGTCCTTTTACAGAGGACACTTTAAGATACTTAATACAAATATATGCTGCTTCAGGGCAGGGGTGATAACCACTCAAATGGACAGAAGACTATTCTCCCCATTTAGTTGAAAATTAGAGTTTTACATCTGCCATTTAAGACCTGCAGGACATTGGCAATGTGTGCATTGGAGGCACTGGCAACGTCCTCGTGTTTCCCTGAAGAAGAACCTTTCAGCAGCAATTGTACCCTCTGTAGGAAGGGATATTTCAAGAGTGTCTCTGTTTCTTCATCACCCCCTTTCTTGCAAGTCTTCCTTATTAAAAGGCTGTTATCTGCTGGATAGGAATGGTGAGAGCCTGGCATCACTTGGTTTGTGTTTACCACTATGTACAATTTCTATACCACAAACGCAGTGGGCCACACCTTCCTGTGTATTCTTTGTTTTTCCGTGTGTGTGTGTGTGTGTGTGTGTGTGTGTGTGTGTCTTGAACTGCACATTCTTAGTGAAAAATGTGGTCATTTTGAAGTCATTTTCCATGTGTTAAGCAGACTGACCATGGCTTCCTGCTGGTCTGCTCTCTCTGTTCAAACTTCTCCACTTAAAGTTCAATGCATAATAACATCAGTCTTTCATTGGGGGATCCAGTATTTTAAATAACAGAATGATGGATGGGACCACCGCTTCAGCCTTGCGTGAAAACTGCATGTTTCAATCAAAGTATTAACAAGTTCATGATGTGTTTCCTGTTTGGCCCCTCATGGGTATTCTCCCTGTAGAATAGAACCTGGAAGGAGGGAGGGTGGTCCCGTGGCATATGGGAAGCCACAAGGAACATCAGCCGAGAGCACGTCTGTAACAGTGTGCTGGGCCTTCACATCCACACTGCAGTGAGTGTTCACAAGGGAGCTGCAGCAAGGAAGGGAACTAAGTACAGAAACTCTGGGAGGTGCGCCTGATGACAGACACGTTCACAAGCTCATGAACTGGACTCTCAAACACAAGTGAGAAGACTTTGCTGGGAACTATGTGAGCAAGCAAGGGCCAAAGTCAGCAATATATGGGTTCAGTACTGAAATTAATATCTCATAAATAGCCAAAGACTGGTCAGGCCTGGAGAAATGCAGAGTACGTGAAAGTCAGAAGCGAGCTGAGAACAGAGTTCATGGCTAGTACTCTAAGCTGTTCTATTCCTTCAGTGTGATTAACTTGCTATGCGAAAAGGGGGCCCTGTGTAAAGTGACCTTGAGGTCTCTTGGAAAGAGTGTGGATTTTGGAGACAGAGCTCTGACTTTAAATAGCATGTCTCCTATTAAAAGTGATGTGATCAGACGTAAATCCCTTAAATTCTCTGAGCCTCTCTTTCCTAGAGAGTATTTGAGCTGCGTCATCACTCTCTGCCTTCAATGACCATGCTAGTAAACATGATAAAGGTAAACACTTTTTGATAAGAAATTATAATAAATAGAAAATCTACTAAACTTGAATCTTTATTTTGATTCTCTTAGAAATCATTTCAATATCACATAATACTACTAGCTCAGATCACAGACTTCAGGGAAAACATTAACAAAAAATCCTGAATGAAGGAAAAATGATTTGGGGAGAATTACCGCTGGGCTACTTTTAAGTTATGAAACTGGGGTGAAGTTAGACAAACTCTCTGAAACTCAGTTCTCTCATCTGTAACATCAGACAAATAATGCATATATTAAAATCTTGAATTTCATGACCTAGCCTCATCTCAGCAAAAAATTAGCAATAACTTTGTGTAGCTCAAGCCTTAATTTCTGCTTCTGAATGAAGGGGATAGAAATATCCAAAGGCAACATCTAGTTATAGCATTTGATAGGATCAAGAATAAAGATTTTTCTTTTCTGCAAGTGATTTAATCTGGTTTACCCAGTGGGAAAGCTCTAAAGGCTATCATTTTGTTTTCCTTAGTTGAAGCTATTAACTGTAATTGCTTTTGTTAATAATACTTTACTTATTATAATCAAAGTTCAATTTTTGCACTTATACCCTGGGGCCAGTTTGCAGAGGCACAATTTATAAATGGATGAAAAACAATTAATAACAACAAGAAAAACCATTAATGATCCTATCAACAAAGTGCTACGTAATCTCCAATTGCAAAATCTTGCACAACATATAAAATAGAACACACAACCTCAGCTAGTGCTGTGGGCTTTCCCAGTAATGACCAGAGTATTTCAATAGCAGAAAAATAATGCCTCTGAGGGCACGCTCCTCCTGGGCTTAACAGGGGATGTTTCTATTAATCTACTGAAGGTCAGATGCAGCCTATTATAGTTCCTGTGGGGTGTGAGCCTTCAAAGAGCTAAACTACAATAATTTAAAAAGAAAAATATTCCATCATCTCTCCTCCAAAGCAATCCCCTGCTATAACCACCAAGACATTATATGATCAGGCTACTACCTCCCTCTCACACCAGCCCAGCCCCTTGCCCCTTAAATGCCCCCTTAACTCTAAACTCCAGCTTTATTCCTGAAAAAAGCTGAATGTTTTTTGCCTAGAGCATTTTATTGACTTTCCCCTTTGCTGGGAATAACTTCCATGGATGCCTTCTTCTTATATTTAAATCTCAGCCCTAAGATAGGTCTCAGGTCTCCCACTAACCCCACTTCGAATGTTGCTGTCAAAAGCCCCAGTCTTTTTTTGTTGTTGTTGTTGTTGTTTGTTGTTGCTGTTGTTTGTTTGATTTTTAATTATACTTTAAGGTTTAGGGTTTGTTTATCATATCACTATTTGAAATTAATGGATTCAGTGTCTGGTTTGTCTTGCTCACTACTGTATTCCCAGTACCTTGAACAGGGTCAGAATCATAGTAAGTTCTCAATAAATATGTGTTGAATGAGTGGTCTAGTTGATGAATTAATGAATTCCCACTGGCTGCTGGACAAAACAAATAATTAGTTACTCATGCCATTTTTCTCTCTGAACAGCAGTTACCAATGACTCCTTCCTCTCTCCTCCTCTCATTCCTTCCATCCCTTCTTCTCCCTCTCCCCATAATTTAATTGCTAAAAGCACAGGCTCAAATGTCCAGCAGCCTGTGTTTGAATTTAGACTTCATTTACATGTAGGTCCATGAAGGCAATCATCGTCATTTTTTGTTCACAATATATTCCTGGGACTAGCAGAGACTAGCATCTGGTCAATAATTCTTCATTAGCAAATGAGAAAAAAAAATTGAATGAATGAATAAGTGCTTTCTACTTTTCTTCTTTCTAGCTGAGTGATGTCAGATAAGTTACTTAACCTCTTTAACTACATTTTTCATCAGGAGCAATTAAAAAATACTATTTGCCACATGGTTTTATTGCAAGGATCAAATGAGGCCAGATAGGCCCAGGGAGAGTAAGCTTTCAATAAATAGTTAAGGATTTATTATCAAAATGTTCTCCATTCATACTTGTAAGTACAAGCTTTGGTCCAATCATTCTGCTTGGATGTTTTTTAACCCTGCGGTCAACTATGGCCTTGCTTCCAAGGCATCATGCTTCACTGCCACAAAACTGAAGCTAGAACTCTGCAACCTCAGCCCATGAAAACAAGGCTTGGAATGTCACTCTCCCTGGGCTCTCCAATTCACTTCCCAAGACCCTAGGTATCCCCCACTCAACACGGCCACCTTTTTGATAATGGAGATTCTTGCTTTGAATTTCTGAATTGGCATTCTCATCACATAAGATTTCTTCTTTGATGCTATGTCAGTTGGAACGAGTTTTATTGAATATCTGACTGGAAAGAAGTCATTAATTTATCTACTTGCTTTTCTCATAAACCCAGATGAGGAACAAGTATCCAAAAATAAGACCAAGTATGACTTCATGTTACAATATCAACATGGGTCACTGGTGCTGAGCTGTTTGTGACTGTACACCCCATCCCATCATAGACCCGCTTACTTATACTTCAAGCCTTAGCTTAGGCATTAATCCCTTTGTGAAATTTTTAAGGTCTCACATATTATAAGCCAAGTAGAACCCTATTCTACATATCCAGAACTTCTTATACATTATTTCATTCAACAAACTTTTTTTTTCAGAACCTACATGTACTGGGGTGCTCTGGTGTTTGTTTGTTTGTTTGTTTGTTTTGAGACAGAGTCTTACTCTGTCACCAGGATGGAATGCAGTGGTGCGTTCTCGGCTTACTGCAATCTCCACCTCCTGGGTTCAAGCAATTGCCTGCCACAGCCTCCTGAATAGCTGGGATTACGGGTGCGCACCACCACATCCAGCTAATTTTTTTGTATTTTAGTAGAGATGGGGTTTCACCATGTTGGCCAGGATGGTCTTGATCTTCTGACCTTGTGATCTGCCTGCCTTGGCCTCCCAAAGTGCTGGGATTACAGGCATGAGCCACTGTGCCTGGCCTCTGGGGTGGTCTTTTAGACATCAGTTACATGGTAATGAAGCACAACAACAGGGATCAAAACAGGCAAAAATTTTTATCTTCAGAAATCTACATTATGATAGGAGAAAAAGACAATAAAGTAGAAAGATAAATAAGATAAAAAATGTTTTGCATAGTTTCTGAGCAGAAAGGTAAAACAAGGTACAGAGATAGATGTCCCAGGGAGATATAATTTTATTTAGAGTGTCCTGGAAGGTCTCAGTGATTAAGGTGGCATTACAGTAAAGACCAGAAGGCAGTGAAGGGTGGGCGCTGCATATCCCTGTCTTATCACCAACTACGTCACAGTAATGTCACAAAAGGAATAATGCCTAAGCTAAGGCTTGAAGTGTAAGTAAGTGGGTCTATGATGGGATGGCATGTACAGTCACAAGCAGCCCAGCACCAGTGACCCATGGTGATATTGTAACATGAAGTCATACTTGGTCCTATTTTTGGATACTTGTTCCACATCTGGGTTTATGACAAAAGCAAGTAGATAAATTAATGACTTCTTTCCAGTCAGATACTCAATAAAATATTGAAAGAAGAAGAAGAAGAAAGGCCTTCCTGGTTCTTTTTCCACAATCATTTAAGTTCAACTTAAGTTCTCCAAAGGAGAGGGTCGTATCTACTCATAATGTTATCCCTGGAGCTTAGCTTAGGGTAGAGAATGTACTTTGTGTTCAACACATATTTGCGAACTCCTCTGCTGTTCTGCTGGTCACAGCCATATTACCCTTCAGGGGCCAGGCCCTGTCTCATATTTGTGTACTGTGGAAGTTGCATACACCAGAGTAAAGTCACATTTTTTCAGACCCAGCCAAAATAGGGCAAGGAAAGCTGGAAGGAGAGGAGGTCCTTATTTACATGTAGGAGATATGAACTGTTTCCAAGGACTTTCTAAAAACCCTTCATGCATCTCCTGCTTTGATAAATTTTATCATTAGACATTCTTAGGACAGCACTGATTCAGATCAGAAGTTTTCAGAACACTTGCCCAGTAAGGGCGTCTCCACCAATAAACAGGTCACAACTCTGGCTTTGAACCTCTGATGAACTCTGTTTCTAAGCCACTTATGTAAATTGCTATTTTAAAATTAAACTCCCCTTTACCCTTTTCTCGCTGAATACACTAGTGGTTTGCAATCCCATGCATTCCAGATTATAATCCTTATTTCTTTTCCAGAATAAACCCAACATATTTAGAGATAATTTTCTCTAGTGTCTTTTTTTTCAAGGCTGACAGTAATTTCCAGCTATGCCCACTGCCAGCGTTTCTCATCTCTTGCCGAACACATCTGGATTCCTCATCACTGAGTTCCACTCACTTTCTTGAGACAACTATCCAGAACAGCATTAAGGAATTGAATAGCCAGGTTGCCAATCTATAATGGGGTACAAAAAATGTCTGAAAATGTAACTTGATAGAGAAAATCTCCAATTCATTTTCATTTGTATGGTAAGGCAGATGAATTTTATAAGCTGTAAAGAGGTGAGGGTTATATCCTCAACGGTCATACTTCCTAATGCTTGATCATCATCATACCACGTATTAGTCCATTTGGGCTTTTATAACAAAAGATCATAAACTGGGTGGCTTAAGCAATAGGCTTTTATTTCTCACAGTCTGGAAGGTGGAAAGTCCAAGATCATGGCTCTGGCAGGTCTCTGTATCTGGTGAAGGCTTTCTTTCTCTCTTGGAGACTACTAGCTTCTCCCTGTATCCTGAAATGGCTGAAGGGAGAGAGAGAGAGACTCTATTTTCTCTTCTTCTTTTTATAAGAACACTAATCTCATTATGAGAGCCCAACTCTCATGACTTTATTTAAACATAATTATCTTCCAAAGGCCCTATCTCCAAATACCATTACCTTGGGGGCTAGGGCTTGAACTACATATAGATTCTGAGCAGGTGCAAACATTCAATTCCTAATAAACTTCCTTGTGCACAGAAGTGTAAATGAGAATAATTATAAGATGCATCACTTCTAAACTTTCCTGAATGTAAAATGAGCAAAAATTAAATATGTAAAACTCGTAGCATGGCTCAACTGGGCAATATTTATTACCCAATTCTGAGGCTTTGAACTCAAGGCTTTATTTATTATTTACTTTAGACAGTAAAAGAAGTCTCACACAGGTGGACTCACACGGAAAATAATGTTCATCAGTCATTATTGTCATAATAATGCTGCTTTACCAACTACTATCAAATATTAAAGGCATTCACAATAAGCAGTGATTTCTCATTCACACATCAGTGGTCAGTTGGAGTTCAGTTAATCTAAACTGGTCTTCACTGCACTTGACTCTGACTGTGGGTCATAACAGTGGTTATCCTAGGTATGTTCACAGGAAAAAGCAGGAGCACATGAGGGTAAGGGCATTTCAAGTTCTGCCAACACGTCTGCCATTATCCAATCCTTTGTGAAATTGTGAATTGTCCAAATCAGTTGATTCCAAAGAAAGGGGCAGGGAGGTAAACTCTACTCATTGAAAAACCATTGCAAGGGTATGCATATGTAATAATACTCCAGGAAAATGAAGAACTGGGATTTATAATCCAACCTACCACACATTCCATTGCATTTGAAAGCGTTATTCGAAGAGCTGCAATGCTTATGTTCAATAGTTAAGGACTATTAAAAACTAAATATAATTCATAACAGTGAATTTTGTAAATCCTAGGTGTCTGTAATTTGCTTATAAGAAACAAAGGTATAGCCTTATTTTTATTTTTTTTTAGCATGGCTTAATATATTTGAACCTTTGTTTTTGAACTTTTATGTTTATTATGGAAGCAATATGTTTCTGTGGGAAGAATGTTAGTGGGATTTCAAATACCCAGATTCTAGTCCTAGATTTACCACTAATTAACTCTGAGACAATCAGCCAATTATCTCAACTTATCTTGGCCATGTTCTCCTCTTCCGGAAGGGTTTGGGCTGGTTAGTTGCATTTCCTTCCATCACTACAACTCCATGAGCTTGTGTTTACTGACATGGAAGTGGGCCAGTAGGCCTTGCTTCATCTCCTTCTTTTTATTCCAAGAAGAAAATTATTGTTGCATCATATTAAGAGTTCCCAGTACCAAAAGTACATGTGTGAACAAAAGCCAGAATCTTATCTAAAGTCATGGACAGCACTTAAATGTTTTTCAGATGAACCAGAGTTAAGCGGGCCCTCCATTTCCTGGCCACACATTGTCAATGTGGAAGATCTCTGGCCATGAGTTAAAGGTCACCCACGATACCAAATTGCAAATTGTGTTGAGAATGGAGAGCATTTGCAAAGCTGGAATGAATACACAAAACATGTTTATTTACATCACTCAGGTTTGTATGGAAACCCAAAGTACAGTTTGCAAATATGATGGTATTCATCTTCCTGAAATTGGCACAAATTACAAATGTTTGTTTGAGAAGTTAATAATTTCACATATGCTTTTGACAGTGACATATCAGCAAACAATTTTTATAGAGCATTGCACATACTTCTAACACACCACAGCTGAGGTCTGATTCAAGCTAAAACCCCAAGTGACTATAAACCAAACAATTATTTTTTTTAGCCCTAATGTGTTTGCTTCCTAATGACCCACAGCCTTAAACTCACACTGAGCGGGACAGCATAAACTTTCTTTTTTTATGCTCCAGGCCCCAACAGGGCAAGGCACATTCTGGAAGACTACTTGTGGGTGACCAAAGTGCACTTTAAAACATCAGCAGCCTTTGATCAGGGCAGCTTGCTTACTTTTAATTGTTTCCAGAGTGCTTGTTTGGAAATTTGTTAGATTACACATCACATGCAATGGGAATTGATGGCTGAATTCCCTGCCTTAATCCTTGGCTCAGAAAGGAGTTATGCTTACTTCAGTTACACTTAGGAGACTGAGCTTTTGACCCAGCAACATAAAGGTGATTTCAGTTGCTGTCTCTTTTCACCCATACCCAAAATAACAAGAAATGAACTGAGAGATCATTTAGGAAAGTGTGAGGTAATTGGTTGCTGGCTATTTTTTTTTTCTGGCTGCACTAACTTTAATCAAAGATTCTTTTTTTTACTTCTTCATGGGTATTAGTGGATACGAGATTTTATAAGGTTTTTTCCTTAAAAAAATAAGAGATAGAGCACAATTAGTATCAAAGAAAACTTCCTTAAAACCAGATATGTCAAATTCTTTCAATGCTTAGAGGTGCAAATCAATATCACTGGACACTAAGTTAATGAGTGAGAGAATCCTTTCCTTAGCAACCCCAAGCTCAGCACTTTTCCTATCTAACCCTCATAACCTCCTTGGTTGATCTGACAGAAGTCAACAATGACTTTTGTGCAGATAACGTTTAAAGTTGCATCCACACTTCTGACTACCAACTGTATATAAATCATTGACTAGATGGTGGTGACACATGCATCCCAATTTTCATGTGGCCAATAATAAGTTGATTGTCCTGACTCACTCCCATCCCATACCCAATCCCATTTCTTTCTCATTTTTAATTTTGTAAATGGTCCCACCATTCTACTATTCCAATCACAGCTGATAACTTATGAATTCTTTCAACTGCTTCTTGTCTCCTGTATCCTACATTCAGATACCAGGTTCTTTTTATTCTGTACCCCCACCCCTATGGTTTTCCCAAATTCACCCTACCTTTCTCCTCACAATATACCAAACACAGATTCCTAACAGCTCACAATGCACCAAAAACAGATTCCAAACATGACCCTGAGTCTTCTAAATTGCCTATTACTAATCCATCCTATATTTTAATATCAGGATTATTTTCCTTAAACCCATCTGATTATGTCAGTTTCAAATTAAAGTTAATTAATATTGTCTATACCACAAATGTTAAATTCCTAAACTCCTAAGACCATCATTCTCCAGTTTTACACTGTATCCTCAACTGTGCTCTCTGCCAATGTGGTTAATCCTGGGTTCCAGTGATAAATTATTTGCACAGCATATGACATGCTCCTCAATTCTTGATGCTTAGCACCTGCTCCTTACTTTGCCTCCTTCAAATCCATCTTCCAAGACTCAATTGAGACGTGACATCTTTTCTGAATCCTTAAACCCAGACTAAAAGTATGCTCCTCTTCTATGCTTTTGAGGAATCTAGTAAAAGCATGTATTATTAAGGTAACCAACCATCCCTGTTTGCAGGATGCTTTCTCTGTTTTATGATCCTAAGTCCTGTAACCAGGAAATCATGTAGGCCGAAGCAAACCAGGAAGGTCAGCAGTCACCCTTGACACAATATACGGTTACTGCATGTCTGTTTCATCCACCAGACTGCGAGATGCTTAAAGTCTCTTAGAAGTTTAATTTATCTTTGTAGCCCTAAAATTTATTTCAATGTTTGCAAAATAGTGAACTAGTCAATATAATATTGTAATAACGTTTTGCTCTTTTCTGTTGAATCCTCAAAATCTTTGGAGGATGTCAACATTAACTTGAATATTTTTTATCCATGAAGAGAATACATCCAAGAGAAACTTAGTAATCTGCCTAAACAACCAGACTACACACAGATGTTTTTCTGATTACTAAACTATGCTTATTTCATCATGAAAACTGAGTAAATCATTGGCTAGAATATTCTGTGATGTGTTAGATTGAGTATTTTTCTACACACAAATTGATTTAGGGAGGAAAATGATTAAAATCAGATAAGCAGTTAATTACCAGCCCTTCCACTCAATTAAATTTTGGAATAGCTATTTGTTTGAATTAGACATCTTCAAACAAGATTGACTGCCTAGATATAACTAGTACAACCAAAACAACAGAAAATTAAAATAAATGTTATTTTCTCAGGAACTAAATGAGATAATTTAGAAAATGAGACTATTGAGATTTTCTAGTTAACATATTTATAAATCACAACCACACACCTATTGTTTAATCCAGTGGTTCCCAATGGGGATAATTTTGCAATAGGTGTCAGTTGACAATGTCTAGAGACAGTTTTAGCTGTCACAAGTGGAGGGGTAGAGATCAGGGATGGTGCTGAATATCCTACAATGCACAGAACAGCACATCCACTATAAAAAGTCATCCAGCCCAAGGTGTCAGTAGTATGAAGGTTAAGAAACTCTAATTTAAACTGAAAAGTAGGTAAAGGAAATGTTATCACATACATATTTTAATTAACTCTATTCCAAGAAGAGAAATGTTAACAGAAAATTCCACAAATGCATTTTTAAAATATATGTAGATTTTATGCACATAAATGTATGTATGTCCATATATTATACATATGGATAAACCAAAGCATATAGTATGTGAGTTTTTTTTTTTTTTTCTGAGACGGAGTCTTGCTCTGTAGCCCAGGCTGAAGTGCTCTGGTGCAATCTCGGCTCATTGCAACTTCTGCCTCCTGGATTTAAGTGATTCTCCTACCTCAGCCTCTCAAGTAGCTTGAATTACAGGCACCCGCCACCACGCCCAGCTAATTTTTGTATTTTTGGTAGAGACAGGGTCTCTCCATGTTGGCCAGGCTGGCCTTGAACTCCTGACCTCAAGTAATCTGCCGGCATCGGCCTTCCAAAGTGTTGGGATTACAGGTATGAGCCACCGTGCCCAGGCAGTATGTATTTTTTAATGGTGTAAGTAAAGGTGATATTTATACAGTTCTGCTGTATCAGCAGACAAAACTTTTTATTTCTTTAAAAAAATGTCTTTTTTCTTGTTCTTATAATGAAAAAAACAGGCTTAGTACAGACATCATTACTCAAAAAGAAAACACTTTTTAAATTCTATAATCCAACCATTGAAAAAGAATGAAAGCATTTTAGCTTATTTGCTTTACTCTGTAATTTGCAGAATTAAAAAAATTATACTTACAAAAACAGTTTTGAATCATGCTTTCTTTACTTAACATTATATCATGAAATAGCCTTCTAAAAATGTCATTTTACTATTGAACAAATTCCATCACATGAATACACCATAATTTATTTAATAAATCTTCTAAAGTTGGATATTTGAAATTTTTTCTCTATGTTTTGCTATAATAAATAACACCATGATGAACATTCCTGTACATAAATCTTTAGTCCCTTCTCTGATTATTTACTTGGGATAGATTCCATGAACTAAAATGTTGGGGTCAAAATGAAGCCATTTAAGGTTTAGGATTTCAGTGATATAATCCATAAAACAGAAATAATAAACTATGGCCTCTCCCTAGTCCACAGTATAAAAGGGTCACGGAACAGTGATTTATTAACATAAACCAGAGACTAGGCATCCAACTGTGAAGTTATCTCTACATGTGCAAATATAGGTGGGGGGCAGAGAATACACAAAGGCCCTGTTACAGAAATAGACCTGTTCATGTTTATTTTTTATTTGGTTCACAATCTATCAGTCAGAAAACCCTCTTTTCAGGTAGAATGTGACAGAATGTGCCAAAGAGAGCTATGTGAGTGATTCCCACTTCCCACAAAGGTATAGCAAAAGAAAATTTCAATTTCAGCTTATATTTACTGCAACATACATATATACCATTCAGTATTCATTTAGTGAAAATTTACTGTATCCTCCTCGACACTGTGCTATCTTTGCCTCTTTGTCATACGTTTTGTTTCTAGCCCTTATAAAAGTTCTAAAGTATTATCTCCATTGCATAGATAAGGATGCTGAGCATCTGAGAGTATTAGGTAAATTGACTATGTAAACAGATTACTAAGTAAAGAATCTTATTTAAACACTCATTTGTATGATCCCTAACCAATTGTTCCTAAACTCAACACTGCCCTTCATGTTTATAATATTTCTAATCCCACATATAAGAGCCTACTGAATGGAATTATATAGATAAAAGAATTAATACCTTCTTTCACTCTAATATGCTTCCAAGTGTGACTACTAATTCATCATCGTAGTCCATCAAGCTACATTAGATCTCCTTTATAGGCCTGGCAATGCAGATATCACCCAATCTCATTTATAGTGACTCAGAGACCTAAGTAAATGCACGTGAATTCTCACTTTGAAAACTTCACGCTGGAGAGGGATTTGAAGTATGGCATTCATTTTAGGCTACAGCCTTGGAGACGTGGAGCTGTCTTTCATTTTCCTCATGTGTAAGGAAACCATTCTCAATAACACGGGATTAGTTGTCCCGAGAATAAGAAACCACCACCATTCTGCGAGAGCATTGTTAGGTACAGATTTTGTACAAGCTGCCAAATGCAGAGAAACTATGTGGGTCTGAGCTCTGTCTGTTTTTTGTTGTTGTTGTTGTTGTTGTTGTTTTTAATTGGTTGAACTTCAGAATTTTCTTTCTTCTGAATTTGTCTTTCAGATTCTTTCTCTTGGCCAAATACATAAGAAGTGGGTTTTTTCTTCTTGTTCCTTCACTGTTTCTCTTCTCCATCATGATAGAGCTATATTTCCCAGCTCCCTCTCTCCCACCTACCCACCTATTTATCACCTGGGGTTGAGGGGTGGGTTGCCTTTCTGTTTTTGACTGAGTTATTCAGGCACACCCCATGAATGACACTCACATACAATTTGTGAATACAGTTTTTATACACATCTCCTGTCTTAATATGCACCTTCTCTCCTTTAGTAACCAATTTTCACAATCTCCTTTATGCCTAGGTTTCACTTCATATCTTTAGATTCTTTCATAAGTCATTCCCTTCCATCTTCCTCCTTCCCATGGATATCTGTGTTTCCAAATTATTTACTGAATATCATAATTTGGTGTATTATAGATGAAATATGAATGCTTTATAAGTGCTATATTTCAAAGTCATTGAATAGATCCAATATCCATTAGCATGCAGTAAGTGAATATAAATGTATCTGTGTAAGCATTCACCTACACCCTTATAATAGATATTCACATTGTAAATGTTAATTTCAATTGTATATTTTGTTAATGCTTACCATATGTGAGGAAATGTGCTCGGCATTGACCATGCAAACATCCACAAATGAAGAATGACATTCAGTGAGATGAAGTGATGTGCCCACAGTCATGACAGCGAGGGCTTTGTAGATGTGGTCTCACATCTCATTCAGGATTTCAGAAACATCCACTGCAATCACTTTCATACCTGTAGTACATTCGTTATCTCTGTGTCTCTGCCACTTAATCTTCACAGTGAAATCCTTGAAAGTGCAACTCAAACATCACCTCTCTTTGAAGCTTTCTTCTACCATTATCCCTGCACATCGAGACCAAGTAGCCACATCTTTCTCTCTTTAACATAGTGTGTCATGCTAGCAGAGTAGTCACTGCATTACATTCGGCAGCGTTTGGTCTCTGTCATGCTTTTTGATCAGTCTTTACCTTGCTCATCTTGTACCCAACTTCTCTGGCAGAGTGATGCCCAACAGATATTTGCCTGGATGAATTACCAGTTAAACAGTCCTCTGAATTTGAAACCTACCAAAGAAAGACATTACAGTTAGAGTCTCTGCCTTTGGGATTTAGCATAAGACCTGTGTGACCAAAAAAACATCATACTCCAGGTACTGAGTTCACTCTTTGAGTTGTATACCATACTTCTCTATTCAGTCAAAACAGTTAAATCGACTATTCTAGTTGGTGTTTCTTTCTGATGGCTTATAAACACTGTTTGAAAACCCATTTCTTTTACTTTTTAGTAAAAGTAAAAAGAAAAAAAAATTTTTAAGAAGTAAAAGCAAGCTGATGAGTTTCATAAATAAGGCCATGAAGTCAAACATTCTAGGGTAGAAGCTGATGGCACAATCCCAGACAAAATAAATGGCCTGCTTCAGTTTCTTCACCTATGAAACAGGGTTAATATTGCCCACATGCAAAGTTTTTGAATGTCTCACATATGAGAATAAGTTTTAAAACAAGCAACACCCCCATTGTGTAGAGCAGAATAATGGCCCCTCCAAGATGTCTACATGCCAATCTCTAGAACCTGTGAATTTGTTGCCTCCACAAAAGGGACTTTACTGATATGAGTATGGTTAAGAACCTTCCAATAGGATGAAGATCCTCGATTATCTGGGTGGCTCTGATCTAATTACAGAAGTTCTTAAAAGAGGACATCCTTTTTGGCTATGGTAAAAAAAAGATGTAGTAACAGCAGAATGGCCAGAGAAACGTCACATTGCAGGCTTTAATGATGGAGGAAATGTGACCTCTAGAAGCTGGAAAAGGCAAAGATGCTGATTCTCCCCTAGATCCTCCAGAAAAAAAGTACAGTCCTGCTGATGTCTTGATTTCAGCCTGGTGAGATGCCTATTGGATTCTGACTGTAAGATAAAGTATTTGTGTTGTTTTAAGCTACTGATTTGTGGTTAATAAATGTTTATTCTGGTCTTATGTAAATGCTGCTTAATCATATGGACAAAACAATGAGGTCAAGCACTTAAAGCTCACAAAAGGTTCATTAACTATATTTTTATATAGTTTGACTCTTCAAATGAACAATTGCTTGAGTTCTTGGAAGGAAGACTTGCTAACTAACCATTTCAAGTTCTTTCTCTTATGGTGTGCATTAGCGATTGATTGCAAAATTAGTAAATTCTAAAGAACTGTGTTATGCAATAGCTTACATAATGTGTATTAAACTATAATTATTTGCATTATTCATTCCCTTACCATTCCACAAATATTGGTTGGGAATTTCCCAAAGAAAGAAAATATTCAAAATGGAAAAATGTACTTAATAAACTCCTTCTGCCCAGATGAGACACTCAAGCCAGCAAAAGAAAATAACCAAAATATAACACCCAAGAGCCTTAAGTTCTGAACTCTACCTTAACTGACTATAGCAACTCCAGGTCTCAGCACAGTCCCTGGCATACAGTACGTCCACACAAAGAAACTGGGAACTTTGTTGAATCGACTGCTGTATTTGTAATAATTTAATAACTTACAGAAGGGATGATCAGCAAAAGCTTCATAGAAGAGATACCATTGTCAAAGACCAAGAAAGAGTATGCTTAAAAACTGTTTATAATTGAATTTGAAAAACAGTATTGTGTACGAAAACTGCAATAATAAAATATAGGGCCAAAGAGTGGGTTGCAGAGAGATAACAAGAATTCTGATTTCTAAAACTGGGTTTCAGCACTAGAAATCTCAATGAAATTTGTAAGTAGCAACAATAAATCATTCTTTATTCACATAAATTTGAATGGATTAAACAAAGTTAAGCAGGTCTTTTCAGTGTAGGATTTTTTAGGCTTCACTAGGCTAATGAACCTTAAGCTTTTTAAGTAAAGGATAACATGTCTATCTCAGTTACCTATTGCTCAATAACGACCTATTTCAAAACAATGGCTTTAAATAACACTGTACTACTTCTCATAACTCTGTGTGCTGGCTGCTGTTCTGGGCTTAACTCATGCACCTGCTTTTGGATGGTGGATGGGCTGGAGGCTGAGCTCACCTAGATGCCTGGGTTTCTTTCCGCAAGTAGGGTTTTTTGTTTGTTTTTGTTTTCTTTTCCACATGTAGGGTTTCTTTGTTTGTTTTTGTTTTCTTCTTGTTGTTGCTGTTCTTGTGTTTTCCTTTTGTTTGTTTGATTTATTAGATTTCTTCACATGATGGCAGAAGTATTCCAAAACAAATGAGAGTAGAAGGCCCATGGTTTCTTGAGATCCAGGCCCTGATGTCACATGGCATCACTTCTGCCACACTGTATTGGTCAAAATAAGTCACAAGGTCAGCCCCAATTGGAGTGGCAACTTTAATTGTAGACAAGCAAGTATACAAGGATGAGAGGAACTTGCAGCCACATTTTGTAATCTGTTAATTTAGTTAGATTAGTTAGTTCCAAAACTAATGTAATCATTAAACTTTTCTCTTTTATATATACCACCTTGTAATGTGCAATTTATTAATGCTGATGTAAGGCTTTGAATTATACATTAAGTAGTTTTATAACTAGGGACTACTGGAGTCTTTAATTAAGCATTCGACTTTAAAAGGGACACATTTTATAACATATAGCTTTCTATTTTGCAAAAGGCACATATGAGAGTATTTACGTGAGGAATAGAGCAAAGTAATTTAATAACAGATTATCGGTGTAGCTCAGATGAGTGCAAAAGAGATCTTTATTCAGGTTAAGTGATAATGAGATGAGAAAGGAGAAAGTAAAGGTATATTATATTCCACAGATAGAATCTGTATAATTTGATCGGCCACTTATGCTACAGTTGGGCACAGAGCAGGGCAGGGTTTAGTGAAAAGACAAAAAAATCAAGGTCCTCCCCACAGATTTGAACTTTTGGTAATTAGCCCAACAGTGAAATCATAAAGAAAAATAAAGGACTTAAGAAAAGAAATATCAGATAAACAATAGTAAATTTATGATGTGTATTTTAGGTTTGGAATGTTAGTTAAGCTACCATGCAGACATATTTAGTAGGTTTTTTTAGTTGCAGGACTGAGATTCTGGAAATGTATCAGTTTTGAGGAATTATATATAACAAATTGATTTATTATTGATTCAACAAATATCTCTACATATATTCCCTACATGATACAATGTAAAATGTAACAAATATAGATCTTGCCATCTCAGAGCTTATAAATAACTACCTAAGCAATTAAAATGCCTGTCATAAATATTAAGACTTGGCTGAGCATGGTGGCTCATGCCTGTAGTCCCAGCACTTTGAGAGGCCGAGGCAGGTGGATCACCTGAGGTCAGGAGTTCGAGGACAGTCTGACCAACATGGAGAAACACTGTCTCTACTAAAAAGCAGACGCACAAAAATTAGCCAAGCATGGTGGCACATGCCTGTAATCCCAGCTACTCGGGAGGCTGAGGCTGGAGAATCGCTTGAACCCGTGAGGCGGAGCTTGCGGTGAGCCAAGATCACACCACTGCACTCCAGCCTGGGCAACAAGAGCAAAACTCTGTCTCAAAAAAAAAAAAAAAAAAAAAGAACTTAATATACAAAATGCTATTGGTAGAAGCCCCCTTCAAACTATGCATTTGAGTGTGTTGGTGGGGGGAGGGAGGCATGAGATATATAAGACAGAAAGTGTTCTTTGTAGGAACTAACCTGTAAAAGCAAATGTATGGAAAAATTAGGCACCTCTTTTTGCCTGCCCTTTCTCAATAGACTTACTTAATAGGCAAATTTCACTCTTTGAATCACAATCCTGCAACGAATGGTTCCTTATTTTGCCTAAAACAACACCTTCACGTGTCCTAAAAGATTATACATGATTTTTTCCCCGTGGTACTCTGACCTCATCTCTCACCACTTTCCCTTTGTTTTCTGTCCCTTCCAGCCACAGTGGCCTTTTTGCTGTTCCTCAGACTCTCCAGGCACACTAGCCTTAGATTATCCATAGCAACCCTCCCCACTGCCTGGAATATCTTTCTTCACCTGTCTGTTTGGCTACCTCTCTCACTTTCATTAGGTTTTTGCTCAAATATTACATTTTTAAGGCAGTTCATGCGACCATTCTATTAAACTTTACAACTGGAACCCCCACTGGCTCTCCCTATCCTGCCCAGTGTGCTCTATTTTTTTCCCTATGGCACTTATCCTTTCTAAAATATATTTTTCTTTGTTGTGCATGCACATTGTTCTTTAACTTTTTGTCTCTTTTCGCTAGAATATAAGATCCATGAGGACAGATACTTTTGGGATTTGCACATTGATGCATCCTGAGCAACAAGAATATGCCTGGCTCATAAATAATATTCAATTTTCAATTAATATGTGTTGACCAAATACATTTTATAGCGCTTTTTGGCATGGGAAAAAGCCACATTGCATCCGGACATCAGAATCCTCAGTGAAGCACTGTACTTACAGAATTCAAGACCAGTTCTTCAATTTGACATTTAAGATTCTAATGCCAGGCACAGTGGCTCATGCTTGTAATCCCAACACTTAGGTGGGAGGATCACTTGAGTCTAAGAGTTTGAGACCAGCCTGGACAACATAGTGAGACCTCATCTCTACAAAAAGAATCAAAAAACTTATCCAGGTGTGTTGATTCATGCCTGTGATCCTAGCTACTCAGAAGGCTGAGGTGGGAGGATTATTCGCAGGAGATTGAGTATGCGGTGAGCCATGATCATGCCACTGCACTCCAGCCTAGATGAAAAAGCAAGACCCTGTAGAAAAAAAAAAAAAAAAGACCTTCTACCACTTGGCACGATTTGGAGAAATTTCTGTATCTATACCTTGGTTTCCTCATCTAGAACAAGTAGCTACTTACTGGCCTGCAAGTGTTATGGGTCATGTTCAGTAATAAAATATAAAGCACTAAAAATCATGGAACCAACCCAAATGTCCATCAATGATAGGGTGGATAAAGAAAATGTGGTGTATATACACCATGGAATACTATGTAGCCATAAAAAGGAATTAGATCATGTCATTTGCAGGGACATGGATGAAGCTGGAAACCATCATTCTCAGCAGACTAACACAGGAACAGAAAACCAAACACCACATGTTCTCACGCATAAGTGGGAGTTAAACAATGAGAACACATGGACACAGGGAGGGGAACAACATACACCAGAGCCTGTTGGGGGTTGGGGGTGAGGGGAGGGAACTTAGAAAAATAAATAAATAAATAAAAAGTTGGTTTAAGACTTTTACACTGCCGGTATTCCAGATTTGGTGAAATTAATACTTTTTTAAAGGGTCCACATAAAATAATTTTCTAATGTATAAATACATAATATATATGATATATATATCATATATAGATATATATATCATACATATCGTATATATAATATATCTATATATGATATATATATATATATATATAATATATATGGCACGAATCAAAAGGCCTTGAACACAGTGAGTGCTTAAGACATGATCGGTTTTATTATTTCCATTGAATTTATTACCATTCATTATTATTATTGTTGTTAGTGTAGTGGGAGTAGTACTATTATGTTAGATTTCACTGTGTCTCCTCACATAGCTGATCTAACTCCCTGATAAACCAGAGTAACTGCTTCTTTCTCAAAGCAGTCTATTTTCTGACCTCTAAGCTTCATTCATCCTGTTCTTACAATAGTCAATAGAGAGTATCAAACTCTCTCCTTTTATCATCTACTTAGGTACAAAATTTCTCCATAATTAAATTTTCCTGACATGCCTCATGATATTTCTGCTGAATACCCACTCACCCCCTAAATCTAGAAGTGACTTCTCCTTCTCCTGTGTTCCCATGCATGTTGTCTATGTCTAACTTGCTGGGGTACATGCCTTTTCTCCCCTAGAAGACTTTAAACCTCTTGAAGGTAGATTCAAGTCACTTAAACTCTGCATCCAGTGGATGCTTGGTGAATACACACCTTTATCCACCCACCCAAGTATAACAATCACTGACTCTACTAGTCAAAGGCATAGTTAATATGAAGATCATGTCCTCTAAATCTACTCAAATCAAAATCTGATAGGAAAAATAACTTCAGAAGGTATATAAAATAATGCATTATTAGTTCAGTGGAATTAAGAATAGAATAAAGAGAGTTAGGGTTAAAGGCACAAAGCCTTGGTGTTATGAGTAAAGAGTGCATTATTATTAAATAATTCACATTTAGATAATTTAATGAGAAACCAAAAAGATTTGCATATGGTTAGCTTAGACACCACTTACATGCTGTAACAAAAAGAGAATTAACTGTTTTTATCAAAACACCTCACTTCACAGGCAATTTACTCAATGCAATTTGCATAATTTCTAGAAATATGCAAAATGAATTTAATATGCATTATTCATCATGATCTCAAAAAGAGTTTTTGGCAATTTGCTACACTGATATTCTTTCTCATTTGTAATCCTCATCTGCAAAAAAATTAATATTCAGCAGCCATAAGATTCTAAGATTTGGTGATAGCAAATTTTCAAGGAATATGGATTTTAGAGTCATCAAATATTTTCCTAAAGGAGATGCACATAATGCACCTCATCCTTTAAATCCATCTGGTTAATTAAAATAAAATCATTGAGGTGACTTTGATAGAAATAAAACAGGCTCAGGAGAGGAAAAAGAGAAATAAAGATATCAAGAACTCAAGCAGCATGAGATATGGAAAGTGAAGACTGGAAGCCAGAGGCTTGGGTGCCCCTTCTGTCTCTATTGATAACCTTCAGCTTAGCAAACCGAAGATGTTGAGACAGTTTTATTCATAAAAATGTTTTGTTCAGTTCAATGATACTTAATTCAGTAAAAATATGGAACCACTTATATGAAATGAATTAGATACCTTTTTAAATATATCTACTTAACAGAAGACCTTTCAAAGATGTTTTAGTTGGATTATTTTTTTCTTTTACCACCTCACCCCTTAATTGGATTACTTTTGCTTTTGAGTTCTGTGAATTCCTTGTATATTCTGGATTCTAAGCCATTGTCAAATAAATCATTTGCAAATTTTTTTGCATCCTGTAGGTTGTCTCTTCACTCTATTGAATTTTTGCTTTGCTGTGCAGAAGCTTTTAGTTTGCTTTAATCCAATGTGTCTATTTTTGCTTTTGTTGCTTGTGCTTTTGACATCTTATCCATAAAACCTTTCCCAAACCAATGTCCTGAAACATTTCTCCAGTGTGTTCTCCAATGTTTCTCCTGAAACATTTCTCCAACGTGTCTCACATTAGGTATTTAATCCATTTTGACTTGACTGTTTTATATGGTGAGAGATACATGTCTAGTTTCCTTCTTCTGTTTATGTATATACAGTTTTTCCCAGCATCATTAATTAAAAAGTTTGTTCTTTCCCCAATGTATGTTTTTGGTACCTCTGTCAAAAATTAGTTGCCTGTAAATATTTGGATATATTTCTGTGTTCTCTATTCTATTCCACTAGTTTATGTGACTGTTTTTATGCCAACACTATGCTGTTTTGGTTACTATAGCTTTCTAGTATATTTGATGCCAGGTAGTGTGATGACTCCAGGTTTTCTCCTTTTGCTCATCATTGCTTTGGCTATTCTGGGGTCTTTTGTGGTTCCATACAAATTTTAAGATTTTTTTTCTGTTTCTGAAAAGCATGTCTTTGGTATTTTGATAGGGGATACATTGAATCTACAGATTGCTTTGAGTACTATGGTCATTTTAACAATATTAGTTCTTGAAATAAATGAACATAATGTGTCTTTCATTTTTTGTGCACTCTAATGTTTTTCATCAGATTTTTTTTTTTTTTTTTTGAGACAGAGTTTCACTGTTTTTGCTCGGGCTGGAGTGCACTGGCACGATCTCGGCTCACTGCAACCTCCGACTCCCGGGTTCAAGAGATTCTCCTGTCTCAGCCTCTGGAGTAGCTGGGATTGATTATAGGCACACACCACCATGCCCAAGTAATTTTGTATTTTAAGTAGAGATGGGGTTTCAGCATGTTGGACAGGCTGGTCTCAAACACCTGACCTCAGGTCATCTGCTTGCCTCAGCCTCACAAAATGCTGGGATTACAGGGGTGAGCCGCCAACGCCCAGCTGTGATCAGATTTTTATAATTTTCATTTAGAGATATTTTACCTTATTAGTTAAATTTATTCCCAGGTATTTTGTATTTTTGTGGCTATTGTAAATGAGATTACTTTCTTGATTTCTTTTCCAACAAGTTCATCAATGGTATATAGAAATGCTAGAGATTTTCATATGTTTATTTCTATCTTGTTACTTCACTGCTTTCATTTATCAGTTCTAAATATTTTTAGTTGGAGTCTTTCGATTTGACTACATATAAAATTATGTCATCTGCAAGCAGGGGCAATTTGACTTTCTCTTTTCCAATATGAATGCCTTAAATTTCTTTCTCTTGTCTAATTGCTCTGGCTAGCACATCCAGTAATAAGTTGAATGAGTGTGGAAAAGTGATCATCTTTTTCTTGTTCCATTTCTTAGACAAAAAAATATTTCTGCCTTTTCCTGCTCAGTATGATGTTAGTTATGGGTTTGCCTTTATTGTGTTTAGGCACATTTCCTTCTATACCTATTTTGTTGTGAGTTTTTATCATTAAAACATGTTGAATTTTATCAAATGCGTTTTTTTTTCCATCTATACAAATGAATACATGTTTTTTTTTTCCTTCGTTCTGTCGATGTGATTTATCACTTTCATTGATTTAGGTATGTTGAACCATCCTTATATCTATGGAATGAATCTCACTTGATAATGAAATATAGTCTTTTTGATGTGCTATGGGATCAGGTTTGCTAGCATTTTGTTGAGGATTTTTGTGTCTATATTCAGCAAGGATATTGGCCTAAAGTTTTCTTTTTTCATTGTGTTCTTGTCTGTTTTTAGCATCAGTGTAACGCTAGTTTAGTAGAATGAGTGTGGAAGAATTCACTCCTATTTAATTTTTTTGAATAGTTTGAGAAGAATTGGTGTTAGTTATTCTTAAAATGCTTGGTAGAATTCAGCAGTGAAGCTATTCAGTCCTGGGCTTTTCTTGGCTGGGCCACATTTTATTATTGTTTCAATCTCACTACTCATCACTGGTCTGTTCAGGTTTTCTATTGATTCCAGGTTTAATCTTGGAAGCTTGTGTGTGTCTAGGAATTTATCCATTTCCTCTAGGTTCTCTCCGTTTTCCATTTTGTTAATGTATATCTGTTGTTCACAATAGTCTCTAATTATCCTTTGTATTTTTGTGGTGGTATCAGTTGTAATGTGTCTTTTTTTGTTTTTTTATTTTATTTATTTTGGGCTTCTTCCTACTTTTTTGAGTTAGTATAGCTAGTGATTTCTCAGTTTTGTTTATCTTTTCACAAAGCAACTTTTATTTTTCTTAATCTTTTATATTTTTTAGTTTATTTTAAAACTTTACGTTTTCATCTTGATTAATTTTTTCCTTCTACTAATTGTGTTTGGTTTGTTCTTCTTTTTCTAGTTCTGTGAGGTACACTGATTACTTGTTTATTTGAAAACTTTCTCCTTTTTTGATGTGGGCATGTGTTTACATAAAGTCCCCTCTTTGTATTATTTTTACTGTGGCCCATAAGTTTTGATATGTTGTGTTTCTATTTATATTTCAAAAATGTTTTAAATTTTCTTCTTAATTTCCTCATTCCAATTCCAGATTTCCATGTGTTTGCACAGTTCCAATATGTTTGTACAGTTAATTTCCATGTGTTTGTACAGTTCCAGTGTTCCTCTTATTATTGATTTCTAGGTTTATTCCATTGTAGTTAGAAAAGATACTTTATATTTTGATTTTTAAAAATTTGTTGAGACTTGTTTTGTGGCATAACATGTGGTCTATCTTGGAGAATGTTTCATGTGCTAATGAGAAGAATGTGTATTCTAAAGCTGTTGGATGAGATGTTCTATAAATGTCTGTTAGGTCCATTTAGTCTACAGTGCAGTTTCTTTGTTGATCTTCTGTCCAGATGATCTGTCCAATGTTGAGAGTGGGCTGCTAAAGTCTTCAACTATTATTGTATTGGAATCTGTCTCCTACTTTAGACGTAATATTTCCTTTATATATTGGGTTGCTCCAGTGTTAAGTGCATATATCTTAGCTATTGTATCTTTTTGCTGTATTGATCCGTTTATAGTTACATAATTATATTCTTTGTGTATTTTTATAGTTTTTAACTTAAAGTCTATTTCATTTTATATAAATATAAATATAGCTACTCCTGCCTGTATTTGGTTTCCATTTGCGTAGAATATCTTTTTTCCTTTTTTCACTTTCAGTCTATGTGTGACTTTACAGGTGAAGTGAGTTTCTTAAAGGCAGTATATAGCTAGGCCTTTGGTTTTTGTTTGTTTTAATCCATGTATCCAGCCTATAGCTTTTATTTGAGTAAATTATTTTCTTTACATTCAAGGTTATTAATAGGTGAGGATTTACTTATGTCATTTTGTTATTGTTTTCTGTTTGTTTTGCAAATCCTTTTTTTCCTTTCTTTTTTATTGTTTATCTTTTGTGGTTTAGTGGTTTTCTGAAGCAATAAGTCTTGATCCCTTTCTCATTTTATTTCTGTATGTTTCCTACCAGTGAGTATTATGCTTTCATGTGTTTTCATGAGGGCAGTTATTGTCTTTTCACTTCCAGATGTGGCAATTTCTTAAGCACTTCTTGTAAGGTTAGTCTACTGCTGATGAATTTTCTATTTTTGCTTGTCTGGAAAATACTTTTTCTTCCTTCAGTAATGAAGGATAGCTTTGCTGGGTATAGTAATCTTGATTAGCAGGTGTTTTTATTTCAGCACTTTAAATTTATCATCCATTTCTCTACTGGCTGGTAAGGTCTCTGCTGAGAAAGCTGCTATTAGTGTAATGGGGATTCCATTATTTGTAACTTGCCTCTTTTTTCATGTTGTTTTTAGGATTCTCTTTGTCTTCAAATTTTGACAGTTTCACTTTAATGTTCTTTAAAGAGGATCATTTTAGGTGAATCTATTTGAAAACTTTTTTTAATTTTTTTTTTTTTTTTTTTTGAGATAGAGTCTCACTCTGTCACCCAGGCTGGAGGGCAGTGGTGCCATCTTGGCTCATTGCAAGCTCTGCCTCCCAAGTTCATGCCATTCTCCTGCCTCATCCTCCTGAGTAGCTGGGACTAAAGGCACCTGCCACTACGCCCAGCTAATTTTTTGTGTTTTTAGTGGAGATGGGGTTTCACCGTGTTAGCCAGGATGGTCTCAATCTCCTGACCTCATGATCCACCTGCCTTAGCCTCCCAAAGTGCTGTGATTACAGGTGTGAGCCATCAAGCCAGGCCTATTTGGAAACTTTTGAGCTTCCTGCATATGTATGTTCATATGTTTCCTAAGAAATAGGGAGTTTTCAGCTATCATTTTATTAAATATATTTTATGTGATTTTTTTCCTGTCTCTTCTCTGGAATTTTCATAATGTGAATTTTTATTTACTTAATAGTCTTCCATAATTCCTGTAGGTTTTCTTCATTCTTTTGGTTTTTCTTTTATTTTTTGGTCTGATTGAGTTATTATTTAAAAATTTGCCTTTACATTCAGAAATCCTATCTTCTGCTTGATGTAGTCTGTTGTTATATATTATGTTTTATTTAATTCATTCAATTTTTCAGCTCCAAGATTTCTGGGATTTGTTTTGTTTTTGTTTTTGTTTTTGTTTTTGTTTTTGTTTGTTGAGACAGAGTCTCACTCTGTTGCCCAGGCTGGAGTGCAGTGGCATCATCTCAGCTCACTGCAGCCTCAACCTCCTGGGCTCAGTTGATCCTCCCACCTCAGCCTCCCAAGTAGCTGGGATTATAGGCGCACTCCACTAAGAGCAGCTAACTTTTTGTAGAGACAGGATTACACCATGTTGCCCAGACTGGTCTTGAACTCCTGGGCTCAACTAAGCCTCCTGCATCAGCCTGCCAAAGTGCTAAGATTACAGTGACGTGTTTCCTTGTTGTTTCATGTGGCTTATGTTCCTACATTAATGTCTGCACATTTGATGAAACAATCATCTCTTCTTATTTTATAGAGTAGCTTTCACGTGGAAAGATTTTTTTGCAGAAGTGTTCTATGGTGTCCATTGAGTAGGGTGCTTTGGCTTAGGTTCTGAGTAGGCATAATAGCGTAGTCTGGGCCGGGCATGGTGGCTCAAGCCTATAATCCCAGCACTATGGGAGGCCGAGGCGGGTGGATTGCAAGGTCAGGAGATTGAGACCATCCTGGCTAACATGGTGAAACCCCGTCTCTACTAAAAAATACAAAAAACTGGCCGGGCGTGGTGGCAGGTGCCTGTAGTCCCAGCTACTTGGGAGGCTGAGGCAGGACAATGCTGTGAACCTGGGAGGCGGAGCTTGCAGTGAGCCGAGATTGCACCACTGCACTCCAGCCTGGGCGACAGAGCGAGACTCTGTCTCAAAAAAAAAAAAAATATGTATATATATATATATATATATATATGTGTGTGTGTGTGTGTGTAGTGTAATCTGTATGTAATTACCATCAGCACTGTCTGTGAGTCCCTTAGTGGCCTACACTGTAGGTGTTTGTGGAAGTAGTGGCATATCTTTCTGATGGGTGGATGCTACCGGGGGCGGGGGGATCAGTTTTTAGTCCCTGAAGGGCTTCACCTAGCACAGTGGCTCTGCCAGTAGTGAGGATAGTGCTTTAGGTTACAGCAGGCTGGTCTTAAGTATTCACTGGGCAAAGGGAGTGTACACGACAAACGGCACCTTTGCAACTAAAGGGGACAAGGTCGCCAAAGGAGGCAGGTGCACGCAGGTGGCTCTTGGTCCAGGAGGGTACATGTGATGCACATCAGCTCTGCTGCTGGAGGAGGTGGGATCACCAGTGTCACTGGGTGCTAGGCAGCCATTTCTAGGACCGTAGAGTATACATGTTGCTCCCCACATTCCTGAAAGCAGCTTTCCCACTGCACTGGACAACCTGTTTAGGGTACTATGTGGGCTCAAGTGCTGATGTGGACTTGAATGCTGGTGTCACAGCTGTACCACTGGTCTGTCTGAAATCACGACACTGCAGCTTTCTGGGTGCGCATGGTGAGATGACAGTAGGGTCACAGGGATGTGGAAATGCAGGGGCTGTTTTACTCCAGGGCAGGATGTACTCTAGCAGTGGCTCTGTTCCCAAAATGGTTCCATGTAGTAGAAGTTTGGGTCTGGAGAATTTAGGGGGACTCAGTTTTTGTTTCTTCTCTGGAGCAATGCAGTGGTATGAACACCAGGTAGTTCACTGTTCTTGCTCAGGGCCTGTGAGAGCTGTGGGGCTCTCCTGTAGCCAAGATTGCAGGCATCCTTCATAGTAATAAGAGCTGTTGGGATCTTCCCTTACATTTTCCCTTCAATTGTGAGTCCCTCTTGTCTCTGAGCTGATACTGGCTAGGTGTTTTGCTTTCCTCTCTATGCTACCATGCTTTAAGTCATTTTCTTGCTACATTCCAATTTTCTTCTTTGGTCATACTGTACTTGAAGTGCAGTTATTTATTTGCTGTTTTAGTCCTTCTTGGTGGAAGAGACAAGTGTTGGGGACCTCCAGTCGGCTACATTTATGATGTCACCTCCAACAAAAATTGTAATAATTGTTCTATTTGAGTAGTGGAAACATTGTAGTGGTCCCTTATGTATAGGAGATACATTCCAAGACCACCATGGATGCTGAAACCACAAGCAGTACCAAACCCAATTTCCGTCAATTGGAACACATTTCTGTTCATATCTTCCACACACAAATTTAAGGCATTTTCCATCTTAACTAAGCACTTATTACAAACTGTGGCCATAATTTTTAAAGATTGATGTTTGGCAACAAAATTAACAAAAATTTCTCTTTTCAACTTCACAATTTCATGGATAGAAGATTGGTTCTTACCAGAGATCTTAGCAACCTCAGTATACAGTGATTTTTTATTACTAAGTCAAGAACTTTCACCTTTTTATTTGAAGTAAGCACTTTATGGCTTCTCTTTCTCACATTCAAATTTTTAATATCACCTTTGTGGCCATATTAAGTGAAATAAAAGTTGCTTAAACACAACAAGCACTCTGATCCCATGACAGCTACCAAGTGCCTGATGGATGGGTGATATATAGAGGCATGGGTATGCTGGGAAAAAAGTTAAGTCATGTTGCTGGTGAACAGAGCTGGATACTGCAAGATTTCTTCATATTATTCAGAATGGCACACAATTTAAAACTTATGAATTGCTTATTTCTGGAATTTTCCATTTAATATTTTTACACTGTTGTTGACCACAGGTAACTAAAACCACAGAAAATGAAACCATGAATAAGGGAACACTACTGTACTAGTATTTTCTCCTTTTATTTTTCTGTGTTTTATATTTTTTTCCTAAATAAGGATGTGTTACTTTCTCAGCAGAAATTTTATACAATGAAATTTTTACATGAAGACTGATAAACAATTATTAAATATAAGCTTGGTTTATTATTAGAAGTATCTTGAAATTCTCAAGAGAAAACTTACATTTTAATTTAATATATTAGTTATTTTACTCTACTTAATTTTTTTCAATTTTAGGTTGAGGTGTTATTTGACTATTGAACCAAATAAATTGTGATGATGTATTAGAATTTCTAGAAGGCCAAGGCAACACAGAAAATATATTTGAAAAATGACCAGCAAAACAAGGGGCTCCTTAGGTGCCAAATGTTTTCACTTGACCTCCTTCCCCTTAGTAATTTCTGGAGGTCTCATCTAGCTGCATCACTTTTAACTTCATCAGATCTTGTGATTAAATATTTCTCAGTTGTTGCTTGGAAAAATACAAAAGGATAACTATAATACCAATAGGACAGTTTTATTCATAACAAATATTTTTTAAGTGGAAAACATTACTTCAGTGTTCAACTTTTTTAAAAAACCAATTTGAAACTTTCCTATGTAAAAGTTAGTTAAATCTAACCAAAGTGTCCTGTTTTCAGTACTACTTGAGTTGTTTTCTGACTTAGTGACTCAAGGTGGGTCACTCAACCTCTTCTAAATTTCATTTTCACATCTCTTTAAGGAGCTAGAAAGATGTATTGTAAAGGACCATGATATGACATAAATGAAATAAAGTAATGTGTCTGAGACAATAACAATAATAGCTTACTTTTTATTAGATTGTATAAGATAATTATGAACTAATCACAATATTTTTGCTATATTTACTTAAATTTTTTGTTTGTTTGTTTCCTAAGTGGAGCTGCTGAGATTATGTGGAGCTCCCCTTTTAGGACTTCTTTCCTTCCTATCCCTTTGTGTGACTGTCTCTTCCTTTTTTTCTCCCCTTTGTTTGTTACTCTTTATCTTTCTCCATCCTCTACTTTGATCTCTTTATAAAAACACACACAAACACACAAACACAAACACTCATCAGTATTGTCTACTCTCTCTGACTCAAATATGCTCTATCTTCCCATGTTCTATGTCCCCCTATTGCCCCACCCCACAGACACACATATTCACACAGTTGAATAGAGAGACAAGGGTAAAAATGATAGCTGCAGCTTAGTCTTGGTCTGTCCCTCAGCTGGCAGAAATAATGTTTTGATTCCAAGCTCATAACAATGTGTATAAACAAACCTATATGAGTTTCAAGTGAGGAAGGAAATTTAGACCCTCTGCCTTCTAACATTCAACAGTTAAGATGGTCTATTTATTATGAATCAGGAGCATTTGCATCATGTGTACATTTTTTGAGAATACAAATTCTCAAACTCCACCCCAGACCTACTGAGAGGTGAAGCCAGCTGGGCTTCTGGGTTGGGTGGGTACTTGGAGAACTTTTCTGTCTAGCTAGAGGATTGTAAACACACCAATCAGCACTCTGTGTCTAGCTAAAGGACTGTAAATGCACCAACCAGCATTCTGTAAAAATGCACCAATCAGCACTCTGTGTCTAGCTAAAAGATTGTAAATGCACCAATCAGCACTCTGTAAAAATGCACCAATCAGTGCTCTGTGTCTAGCTAAAGGACTGTAAACACACCAATCGGCACTCTGTAAAAACGCACCAATCAGTGCCCTGTGTCTAGCTAAAGGATTGTAAATAGACCAGTCAGCATTCTGTAAAATGAACCTATCAGCACTCTGTAAAATGGACCAATCAGCAGGATATGGGCGGGGCCAAATAAGGGAATAAAAGCTGGCCACCCCAGCCAGCAGAGGCAACCTGCTTGGGTTCCCTTCCACGCTGTGAAAGCTTTGTTCTTTCGCTCTTCACAATAAATCTTGCTGCTGCTCACTCTTTGGGTCCGCACTAACTTTATGAGCTGTAACACTCACCACGAGGGTATGCAGCTTCATTCCTGAAGTCAGCAAGACCATGAACCCACGGGGATGAACAAATAACTTTGGATACATCACCTTTAAGAGCTGTAATGCTCACTGCAAAGGTCTGCAGCTTCACTCCTGAAGTCAACCAGACCATGATCCCACGGAACGGAAGAAACTCCGGACACATCTGAACATCTGAAGGAACAAACTCCGCACACACCATCTTTAAGAGCTGTAACACCCACCGCGAGGGTCCACAGCTTCATTCTTGAAGTCAGCAAGACCAAGAACCCACAAGAAGGAATAAATTCCGGACACACTGCTAAATCAGAAACTGCAGGTTGGCTGCAACAATCTGTACTTCAGTCCTCCATGTGAATGTGAACATGCTAATCTGGAGAAGTTCTGGGCTTGAGAAAAGCACCATTTTCTCCATGCCCTTTCCTTAAGGTTGCCAAGGCAGATCATTTCTTAATGGCTTATCTTGTCTTGTTGAAAAATAGATTGCCAAAATGGTGACCATAATCTGTGATTTATTAATTATGGAATGCAGCCCTTCTTAGTTGCAAGTTTCTGTGGAAAATTGATGAAGAGTATACTATGTTTGTTTCACCAAAATATGTAGTATATTTAGGAGAAATTCAAGTAGAGGTCTGTACTTACCCAGACTTCTGGGAAGGAAAAATAACATAAAACAAACAAATAGTGTATAAGTCTTTAAGTGAATTACTTGATTATTTATTTTAGCATTGTAAACCAGGAAAACAATCAAAATAGCAAAAAACTCTTAATCCTCATTTACGTATTAAGTGGATTCCAACCTGTGCAATCATCTTTAAAATCTCCAGTAATGCCTGGGCGCGGTTGCTCACGCCTGTAATCCCAGCACTTTGGGAGGCTGAGGCGGGTGGATCACTTGAGGTCAGGAGTTAAGACCAGCCTGGCTAACATGGTGAACCCCACCTCTACTAAAAATACAAAAATTAGCCAGGTGTGGTGGGGTATGCCTGTAGTCCCAGCTACTCGGGAGGCTGAGGCAGGAAAATTGCTTGAACCTGGGAGGCAAATGCTGCAGTGAGCCAAGATTGTGCCACTGTACCCCAGCCTGGGCGACAGAGTGAGATTAGTCTCAAAAAAAAAAAAAAAAAAAAAAAGAAAAGAAAAAGAAAAAGAAAACTCCAGTAATATAATGAGATTTATTTTGTAAAAGAGTCTGTTTCTTTTTAGTTGAGCTATAGTTAGTAATACTCTTCCCAGTAAGAATAGATGGTTCGAATTTTTCATATCTGCTTGATTCATCAAAGAAATATAGAAAGTAAGTCCCAAGAAAGCAAAGAAAAAATTTTTTCTTTTCCACTAATGTATCCTAAGCACCTGAAACTATGTTTGGCATATTTTAGGTGTTTAATAACTATTAATTAAATGAACAGTTGAGTAAAAACAATATTTATAGAAACTGTTCTTATCTCTTGTTTCTTTACTATACAGAGAGCTGGTTTCATGGGTATTTCATCAGTACAGTTGCACAAGGCCTGATGCTTAGAACGGCCCCCCTTTTGCTTTAATGCTGTAATATTACTATCTTAATGTTCTTAATAATTTTATCTTTGAAAGTATGTTTGTAAATGAAGTACTATGGGACAATAGAGAGTGTGCATGAGCAGAGGATATACATGAATATAACTGTCCACCACTACTTGCCAGTTCACTTGAACATAGTGCTTGCCATGCACCCTCACAACCATGAGCACAGAATTCCCATGGACCCATGATGTCGGGGCACTCAAGTCTCAAAGCAAATATGAGGTAAGAGTGTTACTTTTATACTGAGTAAATGGGGCACTGACAGCCCAAAGAGGCCATGTTGTTTCTTCAAACCAGAACTCTCTTCTAGCAGAAAGAAAGCAATGGCATTCCAAGAAACACAAAGTACCAAGAAATTATCATATTCTTTCTTATGCCATTCCTTCCTCACACTAGCCAACCACTTATGATGAAAATTATGACATAAAGAGAAACGAAAACACAGGGCACCCATAGTTCCTTTTTTTGAAAGTCTTTATCAGTGTGCTGAAGGTAGAGAGTGTTGGTAGAATGTGTATTTGTCAAAAAGTAAAATAAAAACAGTTGCATTAGTTTCGTGTAGCATTTCTACTGTTCTGATAAAAATGACATATATATGCATGTATGACCTACAAAATATATATTATGCAATATCAGTGATTCCACATGTGAAGTAAATGTTATTATATTTCAGTTAACACTGGCACTATATACTATAATTGACAAAAAATCTATGCTAATATTTTAAAATGTATTTTTTCTTTATTTAGAATGACAATAAGTCGCAAATAAAATACTATACATGTTGAGAGGGATATTGTGGAAAAAAGAAAAACGTTCTATATTCTAATACTTTTAGCTAAACTTTTTCTGCTGTTTAAACAAAGGATGTTGTGTTATTACTTACCCAATTATATAACTGACCCTAACTAGCCGTAAGTACTACCGAAAGACTCATACAATCAATACAACCCTCCAGATATGCTGGTCCTCTCTCTAGTGCTTTATCTTCGCATCTGTCATTCCTGCTTTCTCAAGGCCAACACTCAATTTTGAAATCAGACTAACTTGATTTATATGCTGCCTTCTATTTTTAAGTGTGTGACTTAACCTCTACATTTTCTTAGTTTTTACCTCCACATTTGTGAATGGGGCTTGCTAATACCTACTTTTTAGAGTACTGATGAGAATACAATATTTTCTAGGAAGTTAAAATAATATAATATGTGTAAAACTCCTGCTATAAATGGCTTCAGGGCCAGGCAGGTAGTAGAATGGTTTGGCACTTTAGCATCAGCCAGTACGTAATGTTGAGAATAAATAGAAAAGAAAAACGAAAGAAAGAAATAAAGAAAGAGTGAACGGACAAATGAACAAAAGAAAAAGGAAGGGGTAAAGGAAGGAAGGAAAAAAGGAAGAAAGGAAGGAAGGAAGGAAGGAAGGAAACAGGGAAAAAATACTGTAGTGGTAAGCCATGAGCAATGGAATACAAGCTTAAAAAAATACTTAAAGCATTGTGTTTAACCAAATATTTCTATCACAATGGCTACAATGTAAAAGACTGACAAGACCACAAGACCAAGGGTGGGCAACAGTGTGGACTGAACAGAACTCTCATACACCACTGTTGAAAATTATATAACTACACTGCAAAACAGTTTCTGGAAAAAAATTAAGAAATATGTTCATACAAAAGAAATGACAACATACGTCCACACAAGACTTGTGCACAATATTCATGTTAGCTTTATTATAGTAGACAATACCTACAGGCAACTCCAATGTGGTAGTGGAAAAATTTCCTCCATGAAAATGGGAATTAACGGCTGATATAGGCACAACCTGAATAAATCTTAAAAAACATTATACTGACTGATTAAAACTAGACATAAATTATGGCATGCTACATGATTCCATTTACGTAAAATTATAGAACTATCACTATAGAACTACATATGAAATACTTCATCTAGAAGTATATAGAATCATACAAAGCAGGAACAAAAAGGAATTTCAGTGGTTTCCAGGGGCCAGGGTTGGAGGGCAGGAGTAACCCCCTGGAGAATATGGGAATGTCCTGTCTCTTAGTCACTCTGTCAATTCTAAACAAATTTTAACTTTCAATTGCTGAAGTTTATTTTATGCACATTATATCTTAAGTTGATTCTAAAGTAAATAATTGGGTGAGAAAATAAAGGCCAGAGAGAGAACTCATGGACTTAGCCACACAGCAGACCAGCAGAGGGGCTGGAACAAATTCCCAACCGTCCTGCAATCCTCAGAATAAACAACAAAAACATTTTGTGGTGTTGTTGGTGGTCAAACAAACTATATTTTCAGAGGGTTCATCTCACAGGCTGGCAGTATGCAGTCTATGGTGTAGATAGTAAATGAATGCTTGGATCCCTTTTCCTACTCATCACAATTCCACTTCTACTACAACATCTTTATGTGAAAAATGGTTTATTTACAAGCCCCACTAGAACATTCACATCTTTGGTCAAAACTTCTTCGCCTTTTCCAGGTGGTTGGCCTACTTCTCTGGGATCCTGAAGTACTGGACTCATGCTGTTATTTGAGCTTTTATCACTGATACTGGAATTAGAAATGTAGAGTCTGAAGTTTGGCTGTACTACTTATTATTGTGTGACCTTGAATGAGTCATTGACACTTTGGATTTCATTTTTTTCTCTATCAAATGAAGAAAATAGGCTGGGCACGGTGGCTCATGTCTGTAATTCCAGTACTTTGGGAGGCCGAGGCAGGCAGATCATGAGGCCAGGAGATCAAGACCATCCTGGCTAACATGGTGAAACCCTGTATCTACTAAAAATACAAAAAATTAGCTGGGCATGGTGGCACACACCTGTAGTCCCAGCTACCCAGGAGGCGGAGGCAGGAGAATCACTCGAACCCGGGAGGCAGAGGTTGCAGTGAGACGAGATCGCGCCACTGCACTCCAGCCTGGGCGACAGAGTGAGATTCCGTCTCAAAAAAAGAAAAAAGAAAAGAAAATAATAACAATAATAATGATGCCACATTAGTTCTTGAGAGGTGACATTAGATATGAAAAGTGCTAGGAACAGTTCCCGGCACTTGGTAAACAGAAATCAGTACGTGTTACTTTTTTCATTTTCATCATAAGCATTGTTATTTTGGGCTGCATCTCCTCATGCCTATCTTTCCCATTATTCTAAAAGTCGCTCCTGGGACGTGAGGATGCCTTGCTCTTTCCATCCCCAGCACCTGAGCTGAAGTGGTCTGTAAGTGCATAATGAATAAGCGGGTGGGTGAGTCAGAAGCTGGGCATCTATTCACAGTTCCTTGTTACTTGATAGTGACTAATGTGAACCTAGTCACGCTGACCTTCACAAGTACTGAGGAAATATCTTTCTTCTTTTCTTTGGAAGCAGTGAAGCTTAACCTTCATTTGTTAGGCTCTCCGCCAAGAAGAAGGCACAAAAGAGTACTTTATCCAATTTATGAAGGCATAGTAAAAATAAAGGCTCCACAGAGTTCCTGAGGGCACGAGGCTCCTGCCGCTGAGGCGGTGGATAACCAACCTGGTAGATGCTCCACGACTCTACTCAATGCGTCACACCAAAGCACAGCATTAATGCAGAGAGAAACAGAGTGTGTGGATTCTGCATTCACCCTTTTCAAAGAACAGAATGAATCAGGAAAAAGCTATAGTTCATGCAGTGCCATTTTCAAAACATAGCAAATCCAGGTTAGGTTAGGAGAATAATGGATCCTAAGGGAAGTAGCAGTAAGTGATGTGTACCTGGAGGGGGAATAGTCTAAAGGAAAGTTGCTGCATTTCTCATCGTACATCCAAAGGATGTTCAAGATTTCAGTATTGCTTTGCTTGGAGGTTTATGCCTTTTCATTAATTTGTTCAATGACTTTATATTTTTTAAATATTAAAAAAACTATACCTATTGTAAAATGTGGAAAATATGTTATCAGAAATATAGATTACCCCAATTTAAAAATAAACACTTTAAATTTTGCTTTATATTCCTAAAGTTTCTGGTAAATTGATACTTATGTGGCAAGAAAAACATTAATCAAGGAATTCTCAGACTTCACATTTTCCTTTCCTGTTAAAAAGAATTCTGCCTGGGAGCACACATTTCTCTTCCATTTCTTGTGTTCAGCCTTCCAGAGAAAGTCCTTCTATCTCTAGATGAGCCCATTGGGCCTTAGGTTTTACTAATTAGGAAAAGTGGTAGGGCTAACAGAAGAAGCTTTGGTTTGGAGAAGGATAGATGTTGAAGAGAATATTCTGGAAGATGGATGTGAGAGAAAGCTGAGGAATGTGCAGAAAGAAAATGAAAGTGAAAGGGAGCTTTCAAAAAAGCATTGTTAGGTGGAATGACATATCTGTATGGTATTTGAGAAAAATATGGAAAGTATTGTCCATAAGAGTCATTGTAAATTATTTTTTGGTTGCCAGATTATGTTTTATTGACAAATAGTTTGGATTCATAACCCTTGCTGCGACAGAACTGGATCTCAGAGGTAACAACTTTTTAATGATATAAAAGAAGATATCAATGTGTATATAGAAAAAAACAGCATAAGTACAGGCACCGGTATAAATATAGATGGTATTGAGCTAGATATATATTCACTTAAGTATCAACTTCAATACAAGGAGATCTTGGATAGAATTAGAGGAGGAAATAAAAAGACAGAAAAGGAAACTTGACACCACATCATATTATTTTAAAAGACCTTTTCTCAGAGAATATAAAATAAACATGATTTTATATTAATAAATCTTTCAGCTATGATTTTTTTCATAAAATGATCAGACAGCCACACAAACCAGTTCAACTGAACAGAACTTCATTGTATTAACACACATAAGAAAATAAAAGAGGAGGCTGGGAGCGGTGGCTCACGCCTGTAATCCCAGCACTTTGGGAGTCTGAGGCGGGCAGATCAAGAGGTCAAGAGATCCAGACCATCCTGGCCAACATGGTGAAACCCTGTCTCTACTAAAAATACAAAAATAAGCTGGGTGTGGTGGTGCACACCTGTAGTCCCAGCTATTCAGGAGGCTGAGACAGGAGAATTGCTTGAACCTGGGAGGTGGAGGTTGCAGTGAGCCGAGATCACGCCACTGAACTCCAGACTGGCGACAGAGCAAGACTCTGAAAAAAAAAAAAAGAAAAAAGAAAAGAAAAGAGCAAAAACTCAACAATATATTTTTAAAGGAAGTCCAGTCCTCATTCATGGAGATTGAAAGTGGAGAGTCGTTGAGATTCTCAGCAGCTCTGGAATGTTAGCACACAGGCTCTGTGATATGGCACAAAAATACCCAGATAAGAGCTAATTATAAACCCACTGTCTTTTTTCTTTTCTTTCTTCCAATCAGCTGTGAAATCCTTCCATGTTCCTAGCTTGCATTTCTAAGAGAGGAAGAAACTGAATAATCTATAGATCTCATTGTTTTAGATGTTAACTATTACTTCAATTTGAGAACAGAGTGTCACACAAATTCATGACATGCGTAGCTGGCTAGCATGAGGATAAGTCATTGCTCTGGGCTGAGAGAACAAGGTTACAAGATAGTTGTATTATTTACATATCATACCTTTATTGCAACTGAAATTAGACAAAAGAAAGAGAAAGTTTTATTGGCTCATATAACTTGAGAGTTCATGGATAGTCAAGGTGCAGGTATGGCTAAATAAATGTGGTCAAATTATATTATTAGGAATATGTTTATCTTCATTTCCCAGTTCTGACTTTATTTGCTTTGCCATTATTCCCAATTAGGTTTTTCCCATGTAATAACAAAAATATCCATCATTTCTAAGAGTTTTTTGTTGGAGTCTTTAGGTTTTTCTATACATAACATTATGCCTGCAACAGAGATAATTTGACTTCCTTTTTTCCAATGCATATGCCCTTTATTTTCTTCTTTTGTCTAATTGTTCTAAAACTTCCAATTCTATGTTGAATAAGAGTGTTGAAAGCAAGCTTCCTTGCATTATTCCAGGTCTTAGAGGAAAAACATTCAACTTTTCTCCTTTCAGTATGATGTTAGCAGTGGGTTTATCATATATGCCCTGTATCGTGTTGAGGCACATTCATTCTATACAGTAAGTGCTTAACATCATTGAAAGGTTCTTGAAACTGCAACTTCAAGTGAAATGACATACAGCAGGTCCTCAAATTATGTAATTTTATTCAACATTGTTATAACATTCCTAAGAAAACTATTGGTTTCCCTATATGTCATTTCACCTAAAGTCACAGTTTCTAAGAACCAGTAAATGATGTTAAGTGAGAACTTGCTATATCTAATGTGATAGTTTTTATCAAGAAGTGATGTTAAATTTTATCAAATGCTTTCTCTGCATCTATTGAGACAATCATATGTTTTTTGTCCTTCATTATGTCGTTGTGAGGTATCATGTTTATTGATTTGCATATGTTGAACCATCCTTTCATCCCTGAAATTAATTACACTTGATTATGTTGTATAATCTTGTAAATGTATTATTGGATTCCATTTACTAGTTAAAGATTTTTGCATCTGTGTTCATCAGAGACATTCGCCTGTAGTTTTGTTGTTGTTGTGTCCTTGTCTTGTTTTGGTATCAGGATGATGCTGGCCTCATACTGTGAGTTTGGAAGAATTCTCTCCTATTCAGTTTTTTGGAATAGTTTGAGAAGAATTTGTATTAGTTTTTCTTTAAAGGTTTGGTAGAATTCAGAAATGAAGCCATTTGGTCCTAGGTTTTTCTTGGTTGGGAGATTTGTTCTTACTGACTCAACCTCGTGGCTCATTGGTCTATTCTGGTGTTCTAACTATTCTTGGTTCAATCTTGGAAGGATATATGTATCCATGAATTTATTTCTTCTAGATTTTCCATTTTGTTTTGTTTTGTTTCCATTTTGTTCCATTTTCCATTTTGTTGATAATAGTCTTTAATAATATTTTATATTTCTATAGTATTAGTTGTAATGTGTTCTCTTTCATTTCTGATTTCACTTATTTGGGTCTTCTTTCATTTTTTATTATAATTTAAGTTCTGGGGTACATGTGCAGAAAGTGCAGGTTTGTTACATAGTTATACACTTGTCATGGTGGTTTGCTGTACGCATCAACCCATCATTTACATTAGGTATTTCTCCTAATGCTATCCCTCTCCTAGCCCCCGAACTCCCGACAGGCCCTGGTGTGTGATATTCCCCTCCCTGTGCCAGAACACTTGGCTTCAGCCCCATTTCCAGGGGAGTGAATGGTTCTGTCTCAGTGGTGTTCCAGGTGCCACTGGGGTATGAAAAATAAACTCCTGCAGCTGGCTTGGTGTCTGCCCAAACATCCACCCAGTTTTGTGCTGGAAACCCAGGGCCCTGGTGGTGTAGGCACCAGAGGGAATCTCCTGGTCTGTGGGTTGCAAAGACCGTGGGAAAAGCACAGTATCTGGGCCAGAGTGCACGGTACCGTCCCTAATGACTTCCTTTGATTAGGAGAGGGAGTTCCCCGACCCCTTGTGCTTCCTGAGTGAGGCGATGCCACACTCTGCTTCGGCTCACCCCCCTTGGGCTGCACCCACTTTCCAACCAGTCCCAGTGAGATGAACTGGGTACCTCAGTTGGAAATGCAGAAATCACTTGCCGTCTGTGTTGATCTCCCTGGGAGCTGCAGACCAGAGCTGTTCCTATTCGGCCATCTTGCCTCTTCACTGGGTCGTCTTTATTGTGCTCAGAGAAGTAGAGAGTAGAGTACTTGTCACCAGAGGATGGGAAATGGATGGAGCAGGGGGAATAGGGAAAGAACGACTCATGGATACAAAATTATACCTAGATAGGAGGAATAAATTTTCATTTTCTATAGTATTATAGAGTGACTACAGTTAACAATAATTTAGTATATATTTTCAAACAGTTAGAAGAGATTATTTTGCAACTTCCCAACACAAAGAAATAATAAATGTTTGAGGCGATGGATATGTTAATTTCTCTGAATTGATATTTACATATTGAATACCTATATCACTCTCTACTTCATAAATATATACAAGTGTTATACGTCAGTTAAAAAATTAAAAAGCCAAAAAAAAGGGCCACCGTGTTAAGCAATCCATGTACCAGGAGAAAGATCAACCTCCATGGAAAGAGACTGTGTCTTTTCCTTTAACTACAACAGGATTCCTGTGCTTGCTTCTGACTCACCCAGCTTGATAAGTTATAGGCCTACTTCTGAGTCTGTCAATGTAGTTTGGAGGAAAAAGTAATCGTACTGGCCAAACTGGGGATCTAGGAATGTGTCAGCCTCACCTAAGCCATATGGGGTCAAAGTCAGAGAAGTAAAGTTAATGAATATTGGACAGGGATAATCAACAGAAAGGAAACAGAGATATATACCAGTTGAGTCAGTGAAATTTGATCAATGACTATTGGGAAAGCTGTGGTCAGTAATTAGGAAGAATTATAAAGAATGGTGCCATGTTTCAGAGATTTTCTCAGAGGTACATTACCACTTTTAGGCCCACAGAGGCCAAAAATGAAGCAATTCTGGAATCCAGGGAGAGATCTATATAGAAAGGGATGCTTGAGAAGAGGAGACAGTCAACCAATTTTAATAGAGGGGCACAGTCAACCAATGATGACATGACAGGGCAGTAAATGTTGAAATAAATTCTCTAAACTCACTCTTCCTATTTCCTTTGAGTGCCACCCATCCCAACTGCAAGCCACAGAGCAAGAAAGCTGATTGTTGATTACTTTTACTTATTTTGTATATAAAATAAGACAAGATCATCTCTGTAGATAAACACTTTTAAGAATTTCATGTGCAAACCTTCAAATTCCTCTGTTTCTACAAAGCACAGAACCATAAGCACATATATGTATATATTCACATATTTATGTGTTTTATTAAAAAATATACATATATACAGAATCACATACATGAATACATAATTATTTGTATGTGTATGTCTCACAAAACAGTCAACTCTGTAAGTTGCTATTAATATAATAAATTGTAGATATCTTTCTAAGTTAATGTATTTATATTTCTAATTATTTTATTGGATACACAAAATTCTTTATAAGTTTTTATAATTTTTAAGCCATTATCCTCTTGAGAGACTTTTAGGTTGTTTCTGAGTTTGGCTATTACATACATAGCTATTATATATTCCCATTTACATATCATTATGAATGTTGGGGTACCTGAGTCATGCTTATACAGATTTTTATGGTACTATCCTTCATAATTATTCTCCAATATTAAATTTTGTACATTTAAACATGAAATATAGTATTCTTTCAACTTTGCAAAATCTGCATCTTTCCCATCTGTGTTAGTTTCTTGTGCTGCCCTAACAAATTACAGCAAACCTGTTTCCTTAAACAAAAGAAATGCATGCCCTCACTATTCTGGAGGCCACAAGTCTGCAATCAAAATGTCAATGGGACAGGTACTTTCTAGAAGTTCTGAGAGAGAAGGTGTTTCATGCCTCCCTTCTAGCTTCTGGTGGCTGTGGGCAATCCTGGGCATATCTTGAATTATAGCTTCATCATTCCAACCTCTGCCTCTGCCTTCACATGAATTTCTTCCTTTGTGTCTATGTCTTTTCCTTTTCTGTCTTTTATTAGGATATCTGCCATGTCATTAGGCTTAGTGTAGGCCCTAAATCCAGGATGATCTCATCTCAAGATCCTTAAATTAATTATATCTGCAGAAATTCTAGTTCTAAATAAGGTCACATTCACAGTACTAGGGGTTAAAATTTGAACATATTTTTTTGGGAACAGTTCAATCCCCTACAAAAGCTAATATTTTATTTCACCAGTATATGACAATCCTCTCTTTATTATTTCTTTATTTTGTCTTTCTTTCATAGTTATGGAGTGTTAGTGCATTAGCCTATTCTCATACTACTATAAGAACTGCCCAACACTGGGTAATTTATAAAGAAAAGGAGTTTAATTGACTCATAGTTCTGCATGGCTTGGGAAGCCTCAGGAAACTTACAATCATGGAAGAAGGTGAAGCAAAGACATCCTTCACAAGGCAGTCAGAGTGAGAAGTGCACAGTGATGGAGGAAGAGCCCCTTGGAAAACCATCAGACCTCGTGAGAACTCACTATCATGAGAACAGCTTTGGGGAACCACATCCATGATCCAGTCACCTCCCAGGAGGTCCCTTCCTGCAAACCTGGGGATTACAATTTGAATAACTCAAGAGGAGATTTGGGTGGGGACACAGGACTAGACCATATCATTACACCCCTGGCCCCTCCCAAATCTCATGTCTTTTCACATTTCAAAACCAATCATGCTTTCCCAAGAGTCTCCCAATGCCTTAACTCATTTCAGCATCAACTAAAAAGTCCACAGTCAAAATCTCATCTTAGACAAGGCAAGTACCCTCCACCTATGAGCCTGTAAAATCAAATGCAAGTTAGTAACTTCTTAGATCTAATAAGGATACAGTCACTGGGTAAATGCTCCCATTCAAATTGGGAGAAATTGGCCAAAACAATGGAGCTACAGAACCCATGGAAGTCCAAAATCCAATAGGGCAGTCATTAAAGTTCCAAAATGATCTGCTTTGAGTCCGTGTCTCACATCCAGGTTATGCTGATGCAAGAGGTGGGCTCCCATGGTCTTGGGCAGATTTATCCCTGTGACTTTGCAGAGTGCAGTCCCCCTCCTGACTGCTTTCACAGGCTGGCATGGAGTGTCTGTAGCTTTTCCAGGTGCAGAGTGCAAGCTGTCAGTGGATCTACCATTCTGGGGCCTAGCAGATGATGGGACTCTTCTCACAGCTCCACTAGGCAGTGCCCCAGGGAAGACTCTGTGTGGGGGCTCCAACCCCATATTTCCCTTCTGCACTGCACGAGCAGAGGTTCTCCATGAGGGCTTTGCCCCTGCAGCAAACTTCTGCCTGGACATCCAGGCATTCTTATACATCCTCTGAAATCTAGACCAAGATTCTCAAAACTCAATTCTTGATTTCTGTGCACCTGCACTCCCAACACCATGTATAAGCTGCTAAAGCTTGGGGCTCACGCCCTCTGAAGCAATGGCCTGAACTATATGTGGTCCCCTTTTAGCCATGGCTGAGACAGACAGCCCCAAGTCCCAAGATTGCACGAAGCCACAAGGCCCTGGGCCTGGCCCATGAAGCCATTTTTTCCTCCTATGCCTCTAGGCCTGTGATGAGAGGGGCTGCCATGAGGCCCTCTGACATGTCCTAGAGACATTTTCCCCATTGTCTTGGTGATTAACATTTGACTCCTTGTTACTTATGCAAACTTTTGCAGCTGGCTTGAATTTCTCCCCAGAAAATGGTTTTCTCATTTCTACCACGTAGTCAGGGTACAAATTTCCAAGTTTTTATGCTCTGTTTCTCTTTTAAACATAGGTTCCAATTCCAAACCATCTCTTTGTGAATGCATAAAAGTGAATGCTTTTGAGAGCACCCAAGTCACATCCTGAATGCTTTGCTGCTTAGAAATTTCTTCATCCAGACACCCCAAATTATCTCTCTCAAGTTCAAAGTTCCACAGATCTCAGGGCAGGGGTGAAATGCTACCAGTCTCTTTGCTAAAGCATAGCAAGAATCACCTTTATTCCAATTCCCAAAAAGTTACTCATCTCCATCTGAGACCACCTCTGCCTGGGCTTTATTGTCCATATCATTTTCTGTATTTTGGTCAAAGCCATTCAACAATTCTCTAGGGAGTTCCAAACTTTCCCACATCTTCCTGTCTTATTATGAGCCCGCCAAACTGTTCCAACCTCTGCCTGTTACCCAGTTCCAAAGTTGCTTTCACATTTTCTGTTATCTTTATATCAGTGCCTCACTACCTCGGTACCAATTTACTATATCAGCCCATTATCACACTGCTGTAAAGAACTGCCTGAGCCTAGGCAGTTTAAAGAAAAGTGGTTTAATTGACTCACAGTTCTGCCTGGCTGAGGAGGCTTCAGAAAACCTACAATTATGGCAGAAGGGGAAGCAAACAGGCAGCAGGAGAGAGAAGTACCAAGCAATGGAGAAAAAATGCCTTATAAAACCATCAGTTTTTGTGAGAACTCACTCACTATCATGAGAATAGCATGGGGGAATCATGCCCATGATCCAATCACCTCCCACGAGTTTCCTCCCCCAACATATAGGGATTAAAAGTTGGATTACAATTGAAGATGAGATTTTGGTGGGGACACAGAGCCAGACCATATCAGTTAGTTTCTTTTCATGTTTGTTAGGTTATTCTTATGCTAATTGTCTGGGTTTTTTCATTTGTATTTCTTTATTAGTTGCAGATTTAAAATATATTATCAATAATAGATCTATGTTGTGTGATACATTGGAAGTATATTTTATCATTTAAATTTTTTTTGGGGGGGTATAAACTTATATTAAACTTATATTATTTCCTGCCATGCAAAATACCTACTTTTTGCTTTGTCAAAACAGTTAATCAGTTTTTTTTTTTTTTTTTTTGAGATGGAGTCTCACACTGTTGCCCAGGCTGCAATGCAGTAGCATGATCTCTGCTCACTGCAACCTCCACCTCCTGGATTCAAGCAATTTTCCTGCCTTAGCCTCCCGAGTAGCTGGGATTACAGGCACCCACCACCATGCCTGGCTGATTTTTTGTATTTTTAGTAGAGACAGGGTTTCACTATGTTGGCCAGGCTGGTCTTGAACTCCTAAATTCATGATCCACCCACCTCGGCCTCCCAAAGTGCTGAGATTACAGGCGTGAGCCACTGTTCCTGGCCAACTATTAATCATTTTTGTGAAAAATTTTGGAACCTACCTCATGCTTAAAAAAGATAAAACTTATAAAAATACTTTCCTATAGCTCATGCTAAATTTTTACCCTTTTAAGTAAACTTTGAGAGCCTTAATTTAGTTAAAATTAATTTTTTGTACATGCTGTGTGGAAGACAGCTGTCATTTTCCTCAATAGGTATAGCAGTTTCTCCCAGAATAACTTATTAAATATCCTATTATTTATCCACTTTAATAAAATGTTTTTATCTTTCAAAATATTCATATACTTTGCTATGTTTTTGGATTATTAAATTTACTTTCTACAATTTATTTTTCTAAACTTTTCTGTACTTATCTATTACTGTTTTCTTGATAATGTTTTATAAATTATGGTTATTGTTATTGTATAAGTTTGGCTTCATTTGTCATAATTTTACATATTTACGTGAGCACTCTCTTACATTTATTCTTCCAGCTGAAATGTGAAATTTCTTGCAAAATTATCAAAAAATAGAGTTACAATTTAAAATGAATTATAATTTATTTATTATTTAAGATGGAGAGACATCATCCCATCTAGATAATTGTGCAGTTATTAAAAACTTATCTAAAATACTTTATTAACATTTTATAGATTTTTCAATATTGTCTTATATAGGTGTACATTAAATACGTATCTTCATATTTTATAATTTTATCTTTGATTTTTACTTTGTTTTGTATTTTTTAGATTTGATTTGTTTTTCCTACATATATTCTAATTAGCCATTGCCAACATAAATGAAACAACATGAATTCATGTATTTATTTTTTCTAACATGTCATCTGATTGACTATCATTAATTTTTGGTTGAAATTAAAAAATAAAATGATAGCTATGATGGAGATGATAATGGCTAATATGGCTAATAGTCATTATCAATTAAAATTTTTCAAGTGTCTGATACTTTGCTAATCACCTTACTGGTGTTATTAGATTACATCGTCATAACATTCATGAGAGAGTGGTCAATATCTTTCTCCACAGATGAGGAAATGGAAGCTTAGTAGAGTTAAATAATTGCCCACAGTCTTTCAGGTAACAAATGTCTATTCCAAAATAAAGTCTGTTACTGACTTCTGAGATCTATCATCAACCATAAGGACATGTAATATTTCCTCTTTTTTAGCTAGATAGTCTAGAGTAATGCTAAACAGTAGTGATATAGTGATGAGACCCAGCATTTCTTTTTGATTTTGAGTTTACTAGACTGTCTCAATACATTTACCATGGTATTTGTTGATGTCTAAAACCCTTTCTAAATTTTTTAGACAAATTTTATTTTACTTATATTTATTTAAACTTTTATAATTAGTAACAAATGTTGAATATTATTAACGTTTTTCTATTTATATCATAATATGCTAAATCACTAGAGTCTATTACATGGTTTCCTAAAGTTACTACCTTGCACTTTGAGATAAGCTCTACTTCTATGTTATATTTATAGTTCCCTAATTGCTATTTTCTTATTTCATAGTTTTAAATTTATATAAGTATTACTTCTTCAAAGTTTAACTTTTTAGTGGCATCTTTATCATATTTTGGAATGAAGCTATGTAACCTTAGGAAGATATCTATCTTTGTCTATGCTATGAAATGATTTTATAACATATATATTGTCTATTACCAAAAGATCTGATAACATTTACCTGAAAATTCACATGAGATAATAAATTTTTAGGTTTAGGCCTTGAAACCATTTATATATCTTCTATGACAATCTATGCTCTATAATATCTTTGAATTTATTTTGAAAGTTTATATTATCCTAAAATATTGCTCCCCTTATTAAATTATTTCTATTTACTTTTATAAATGTTTACATAAAATTGTTTATAATATCTTAGTGGGATTTCATGTCTCTTTATTTTTACTGTTGCAAATATTTCTCTCTTTTTGCAAAATTATAATTATCTACTTGATTTGACCAGGTTTTAATTTTATTAACGTTTCTTTCATAATAATTTTTGCTGTTATTTACAGAAATATTTAGATATCCCTATTATTTTTTCCTTTCTTACATTTAAATTGTTTTTAGTTCAATGTCAACTTATTATCTATTAGTCTTTCTTATTTATTAATAAAATAATTCAAAGCTTTCATTTCTTTTCTGACTATGGTTTTAGATGCATGTCATATGCTTATTTTATGATGTGAACTAATTTTTCCTAAACTTTAAGCAATTTGGAGCAATTTGGAATTACAATTTTATTTTATACTTATTTTATTCATTTAAATTAATTTTTATTGTAGACCATTTACATGTGGTTTATTATTTTACAGGACTCTGCTTTTTGAATTGTAGCAAAGAAAAAAGTCTTCTAAATTTTCAACACTTGGGAATTTATTGAAATGGTTATTTTATAGCCAGTTACATGTTGTTATTTATTTACTTATCATTTTGGGGTACCTGATCGTTTCTGGGTCACTGAGAAAATATGCATTTTTATAGGGTACAAATTCCCATGAATAGAAATTAAGTCACCCTTGTCAATTTTATAATGTAACCTTGTATATCTTTATGGTTTTACAATCTATCTGATCTGTCAAATTCTAATTTTTATTGCTTGTATTATTCATGGATTATCCTCTTTTCTTTATATTTTTCCAATGAAAAATATGCTTCTCTATTTTGACCAAAGTCTTAAATTTTGTGTTATTTAATATTACCATTGCTTCTTATATTTTATTTCTGTGCTTTCATCTTGCTAATATATCATCTTGTAGATTTTTTTTACTTGCAAGATTTATGTGACAATTCATTTCAGATGGGTCTGTTGTAAACAGTGCATAGGTAGATTTTTTAACCTAATTTAAGTATATTCACCAATTTATCGATATAAAATCCTCAATTCTTTAACTTTTACCTTATAATTTAAGCCTAAGCAAGTCATGAAGCATAAGGAGTCTTTGCAGATAATATTAAAACAGTTCTTATAACTCTCAATCTTTTCTTTATTGTTTTTATATTTTGATTATCTTTGGCAAGCTTGCATCAAATAAATAAAGACCCATGAAGTAATAAAAGGTAGTATATATAGATACCTACAATCTTTTGCTTGTGTCTTTACAATCTGTGTCCACAGAACTATTTATTTTCTAATAGAAAAAAAACAGTAAAATATTTATATTATCCTTAATGAACCACTTAAATACATAGCCAGCTTCAAAAATGAACTAGAGTTATAAATGTTAAAAAAGAAATGCCTGCCGATTTTCTGAGTCTTTCCCTTCAGCTTTGTTTCTTGCTATGCTGAAATGTCCTTCAGCAAAATTGTCATTTTCCCTAACTTTGTCAAAATCAGATTGCAAGAGAAAAACAAAGTGATGTGAATGAGAAGAAGAAATTGCCAACATAGCAGGAAAATAAATCCAGTAAGGGCTCAGGGTAATCCTTGGTAACACCTATAGCAACTCTGTAATCATACTGATGTAGAAATTAAGTTTCTCTGAGGTTAGACAGATTGCCTGAAGTTACACTGTTTCAGGAAGATCATTAAAACCATAACCAAGAATTTCTTTCTAAAAGAGACAACTTGGCATAGAAAAAAAGATTATAGGTTTTTAATCAGTCAGGCTGGGAATATATCCTGACTTTACCCATGGTAGCACAAAGACAGACAAACTTGGCATCAAACCCTGTGTCTTCATTTATTAATGCTGAAAATTTATAACGTTCCTTAACTTCTAAGCCGGAATTTTCTCTGAAAATGAGTAGGATATGATCTATTATGGAGCACAAACATTGCTCTAAGGAATAGATTAGACTGCACATGGAAAGCGCCTAGCACTGTGCCCAGCACCTAATTACTCCCCAACAAGTATTAGCTTCCTTCCCCACTCCTTGATTAAACCAGTGCACAGTGGCTCTTTAGGAGTCAGATTATTTATAGGAATAATGCCTCCATGCCACTATTTGAATGCAAGACAATGCTGGTTGAGATAGATCTGGAACCCAGCTAAACAGACAATATAATCTCGGAAAGCAGGTGGGCCAGGATGGAAGGGACATGGGAAAATTAGGGGATTCTATTCTCCTTCTTAACCAATGTCTAGGAAACGCTCTTCTTTTTCTCCTCAGGCATAAAGCTTGAACATGACTTTTCATTTTTTATAATTTCAAGAAAAACCTAGTGGGTCCCAGTGGGAACTATCAAAAGGAATTAAATTGTTATGTTTTCCAGAGTTAGAAAATAAATGGAGAGTAGGTGTATATAAAGATCTTTTTTTTGATATTTTTGTTTTTTCCATGTGATTAGTATATATTATGTAATTCTGCTACAGCATCATTTTCAAACATTCACTTAATGTCTCATTAGCAAGGCCTGGGAATGTATTTGGCTCCTTCTGGCATTGCCTGAGCCTAACCTTCAGGTTAGGCACCCATTGATTTTAGCTTCCATTGCTCTGTGAAACACATCTGGGTCCTTAATTAACAATTCTCTAAGTTGGAGACAAATTTGCTATTGCTTGAACATGTCTGATTGAAAGCACAGACATAATGCTTACAAAATGTTGGGGGGAAAAAGTAATTGAAAGTAAGATTATAAATTACTCTTGGCTTTAGGCTTCCCTGAAGCTATGGAAAACAAAAAGCAATTATTTATATTTGGAAATGGAATTAGTCTTTTTTTTCCTGTTATCTAATCAATGCTTATATATTCTCTCAGCCTGGTTCTCTAGTTGGTTAGGGAGCTTGAACGGAGACCCCACTTTTCTCATGCAATCTTTCCCACTTTTCTTCATTTCTTTCTCGTTGGAAATTTTTCCAAAAATGACACTTGTTTAGCACACAAAAGCCTTCAATATGTCAGGCAAAACAGTTCAATACCTGTAATTAGTGACCTTGTTTTATTCAAGTCTCCATCACAAAAGAAATTTGATTGTATTAACCCTCTTTTTTGGTAAATGCAGAATATGAAGCATCTGCATCAGGCGTTTTTAAGTACATCCTGAAAATTCAGAGAGGTCTACGCTTAATCACATGTAAGCACACATGCAGTTGGTTTTCTGTATTTTGCAATAATGTTTGAGGTTTTACCTCTGTGATATGAATGTACCTTTGTCTTGTGTATATTGTTTGGTTTTCAGTAATTCACTTGGACACTAGCAGCATAGATACAATACTGCAGATTCAAAACACTTCAAAGTATTTCATTTCATATGTAAGATTAGGTTGCATACATTTTCTGCCATGATTAGGGTAGTTTCCACAAATCGGCATCTCTCTATTTTAACTCTACACAGCAGGCAAACTCTCTAAACCCAAAGGGGAAAAAAAAGCTCTTTCTTCCACTCTTTACATATTCTTCTCCATTATCATCTCTGGCCATCTACAACCCAGAAGCTGAGATTTAGTCAAAGTTGGCATCCCAGGAACTGTGTGACACAAGTCACTTAACATTCCTTGGTTTCAGAATCTTCATTGTTAAAATGAAGAGGCTAAACCAGCCATAACATGGGGTTTCCTTGCTTATCCTCCAGCATGGGGGTCCTCAACTCCCTGGGCTGTGGACCAGTACCAGTCCATGGAATATTAAAGGAACCGGGCCGCACAGAGGTGAGTGACAGGCCAGCAAGCATTACTGCCTGAGCTGAACTCCACCTCCTGTCAGATCAGCTGCAGCATTAGATTCTCACAAGAGCTCAAACACTGTTGCGACCTGTGCACACAGGGGACCTAGGTTGCATGCTCCTTATGAGAATCTAATGCCTGAAGATCTGAGGTGGAACAGTTTTATCCTGTATCCATTCCCCCAACCCCAAAAGTGTCTTCCACGAAACCAGTCCCTGGTGCCAAAAACGTTGAGGACTGCTGCTCCAGCACACTCCTCTAATCATGCTAATCACGCTGCTTTTGAAAAAAAAGTCCCTTTCTGTTCTCCTCACTGGACTGAGGATTGAGGGACAACGGGTAGACCTTTCCAGTGATTATTTTATTCTATATACATCCAGCTCACCTCTGCCTCTAGTGGCCTCAACATCATCCTCCTGCCCCAGTGCCCTTCATCAGTTGCAGCATTTGAAACCTCAGGAAACACACAATAAATGTTTGTGAAATGAATGGTTTCAGATAACTCTTCCTCATGCAGAGATTCAATTATTGGGGTGTTTCTAGGAGGTCAATGTCCCCCCTTCAGACACCCAGAGAAAGACTAGTGCAACACCGAGGACAAGTTTGGCAGGACTTCATTTCCTTTTATTGTTTTGTTTTGTTTTGTTTCCTGAATATTACAAATATCTTCACCTCTCTCTCTACTCTTTCCCCAGTTTTGGCCAAATGCCAAAAAATGCTATGTATCATGGCCTGTAAAATGCTAATACAAAGTCATTTTTCCCAAGGGAAAGTTAGGAGGAGATAGTATTCTTTCACTTCCATATGATAAGGCACTGAGGACAGCCTTTATGATTAACAACAGACCAGTTTCTTTACCCACCCCGGTCTCTTTACCCAAAGATCAGTTTCCAACTCCTCAAGTTGTTATTTTTAGTCCAGCACAAGTTTCACCAGTTCAGAAATTGCAGGAAGGGGGCAATATAAAAATCCCAGTAGTGCCAAACATCTCAGATTTCTTCCTTCAAAAAAAAGAACATCAGGAGTCGGATGCTTGCCTCAATTGTTTTCTTGTTCTAGACTACGGTATCCATAGATGCTGTCAAAACTCTCTTGTAATTAAGAGGCTATCTCTGCAAAGACCAGAAGGACCCACTCGTCCTGCTATTCCTTTATATGAGTAAAACCACTCTGCACACAGCCTCCTTAGTATTGGGAAGGGAGTTAAAAAAGGAAAAACATGAAAACTGCCAGAGTTTGAAGGACTCAAAAATTTACTCCTTTATTTTTTCTTATGTAAACTACAGAATCAATTGAGAAATAGGTTTAGAAGTTAGATATTAAATTGTTAGGTCTGCGGAGAAATGGGATTCCATTCTTTGAGTGGACTCTCAAACTGAAGTTCTGTGCCATGGTAGGAAGAGCTGGACCATAAAAGTTCTTCTTCACTTGGACCTGACACTACAACTGAAGCATGGATGAGGGGAGAAAGTGTGCTCCCTGCAAGTAGGCACTTCCTACCAAGAAAGAGTGATTATTGGTATTTCTCAGACCCCTGGAAGGAAACAGAATCTACTCCAAATAGCTCACACATAAGGATTTTAATGATAGAACTGTTTGTAGAGGTGAGATTAGTGTTTGGGAAACAAAAGATGGGAGGTGACAGGAAGACTAGCAAAAGTGGGAAGCTGTTACCACCATAAGGGCTTAAGGGACAAGCAGAAAATTATGTGTCTGGCACACAGTAAAGACCAGGGCCTTAGAAGAAGAGCCACCTGTGGAAGATACATCTGTAGATAAAACACAGCTACTTCCAGAGAAATGGGATCAAGGTGGGTGGGAAGGAGGTGAGAAACAGTCAAAGAAAATAAATACTGAGACACACTGTCTCTTGTGCTCCAATCTCCTGTTGTGGGTGTCATTGGTCAAAGCCAACAAGAAGCCAGAGCATCATGCCATCCACAGGGCTCATTTGCCTGCCTTGTCTTCACCCACATTGGCACACCGCAGGGTAGAGGAGGGTGAAGAATGGATCTAGCAAGAGCAAATAATGGCTTATTAGAACATCGACCAATAAGAAAGTATACATCCACTGGAAGAAATGGATAAAGAAGAAAAAAATGGGAGGGAGTGCAGGAATTTTAATGGACTTTTGTTTTTCCCACTTGGAAAGATAAGGATCAAGGTGACTTTACAGATATTTCCAATGCTTCAGTTTTCTCCAGACAACCCAACTTGCCCAGCCAATCATGACATCCCCCAGGATCTTTCACTGATCCAGGCAGTTCTGCAGACCTTCTTTGTGCATCCCTAGTCCCAGTACTTGAACAGCTCACTTTTATTTCATTCCTTTGCCTTACACAATTTGAAGCAGGCTTAATTGCTAAGTGCCACCAAGAGTCTCTTTCCTTTTGGCTCATGCAGGTTGTTTCTCCATACTTGCTTTTCTCTAGCAGACCTCAAAATTCACTGCTTCTGTCATTATGCAGTATAATGTAGTGGTGAGGAAATGGAAAATGATGTCAGATGCACATGCTTCCTATAATGTAACTATTGGGTTTGCAGTCATCTAACCCTTCTGAGGCGGGTATCTACTACTCAGGAATAACCCCTCTGTGTTAAGGTTGTTGTATGAAGTCAATGAGATAATTACAAGATAATATATCAATTTGTTGGGATGGGTACAGGCATACAGTAAAGTCCTTGTGATTGTTCATACTGAGTGTGAACTTGATTGGATTGAAGGATGGAAAGTATTGTTCCTGGGTTTGTCTGTTAGGGTGTTGCCAAAAGAGATTAACATTTGAGTCAGTGCACTGGGAAAGGCAGACCCACCCTCAGTCTGAATGGGCACCTTCTAATCAGCTGCCAGCACAGCTGGAATAATGCAGGCAGAAGAAGATGGAAAAGTAGACTTCTGGTCTCTCTCTTTCTCCCATGCTGGATGCTTCCTGCCCTGAAACTTTGGACCCCAAGTTCTTCAGCTTTTGGACTCTTGGACTTACATCAGTGGTTTGCCAGGGGCTCTAGGGCCTTTGGCCAGAGACTGAAGGCTGCAATTTCAGTTTCCCTACTTTTGAGGTTTTGGGACTCAGACTGATCCACCACTCACTGCCTTGCTCCTCAACTTGCAGATGGCCTATCATGGGACTTTACCTTGTGATCATGTGAGTCAATTCTCCTTAATAAACTCCCTTTCATATATATGTATATCTTTTCATATATACCTTTTGTCCCTGTACAGATCCCTGACTAATACAGCTCTCAATCTTTATTGTCCCTCACCAACCTTTTCTTGTGGTGTGCCCTTTTCCTGCAGCCAAACCTTCTTCTCTCTATGTCCAGTTATTGTTTGAGAAGTGGACACAGGATCGGGGGTTCGTTACATTAACTTTACATCAGTCTCAATGCTGTGTTACTTTCTTTATATAGAGAGATGGAAATACTAACAGTACTATGCTAGTATTTTGTATCCTTACATTGAAAACCAGCTTAAAGTTCCACCCAAATTTACTTACCTTGCTTCTCTATTAATCTTTGACAAATTGCAAACCCCAGAGTTTCTATGGGTGTAAAAGAGGCCAGCCAGGCCATTACCCAGGCCTGTTAAAATATGGCCTTACAAGCAGATTCCTGTGTGCATTCACCCCAGCCAGAAATTCTTTTGATATAACTTATCTTGCATTATTTATGTTACTCTCAACTTCTAATGCAAAATTATGGAATATAATGGAAACATCCTATACATCGCAGTATTCCCCTATCATTCTATGTCTGCCACAAAAAAACTTGCAAAATTACTTCTGTGGAATAACCCTATATACACTATTATAGCTCAGCCATAATTCCTGGGAACATTTTAATTCTTGGCTTTTCCTTCATGCAGCAGATTTTACTTCCTTTTTCACTGTCTAAAGTATCAATTGTCCTTTTGATCACAGCATACTTATAAGAACAATTCTCCCTCGAAGCAGGAAAGGTAAGGTAGACTACAAGCTTCCATTAATGTAGTCAAGGCAATTTTGTGGGGAGGGATAGGTGAGCTGAGAAACTTCAAAGAATTTTGCCCATGTGCCTCTTAGATCTGTAAATTTTCTTCAGACTTTATGTTGGTTTGGTTTTCTTTCATTCCGACCATGATAGCCTTGTGACATAAAGAAAGAATATGGAAAAACTGATTGGAAGTATATCCAACCAGTAATCTTAATATTTTGATTCAGCAATCACAAGACCATACAACCCAGTTTAAGACTTATCTCAATCTCTAAATTTAGAGATTGAGGATAGGATTTAAGCAGGAAGTGATCTAAGTGACATTACATTTTATACAATTTATTTTTCTCCTATGTAGTATTTTATCAGGTGACCATCAGTCAAAGAGGGAGTCAAAAGGACCCATGAGGAGAGACTCATTAGTTCTGCATCAAGGCAGAAATAATCTTTATACAGTCATGTAATCTGTTCCTTCTACACAGAGCATGTGAATTATTGATGACTCTATTCAACATTTTATTTCTTTGTGGCACCCAACTAGGTCTTCCTAGTTACTTGCTTTTGTTGGCATTAAAATAAAACGCATTTCTCCTACTGAGGACATGTAAAAGCAAATGGGAAATTAATATGTTTTCTAAAGTATATAAGCAAGGCCTCATATGTCAAAAGAGTAAGCATTGGTAAGCCTAGCTGAAAAGATCCTTTACAATAAAACTTCATATAGCATGGAAAATACAGCTCTCATTTTTCTTTCTTCATGCCCTTCAGGGATTTACTTTTCCTCTTCACCATTTTCTTTTTGAAAATAAAACTTTATTGTTTTCTGTTTGCTTCTTTATGACTTCTCAACTCTTGACCTTGAGGGTAAATTGTAATGTCAGAAAAATCAGCCTTTATGCTTCCCACCTCTCACAGGTTCATATCTGGTTCTTGGGTAGCTTTTCTTCTATATATACAAACTCTCAGGTTTTCTTGTATCTTATGCCTGCTCATATCTGCTTGGAGAGTATGTAAAAAATGAGGAGGTATTCATTTTTTGTAATAATAATTATAACAACTTATATCACGATTTCTCATGGGCTAATACCAACCTTATGAGATATAGTAGCAAAATGTTATTATTGTGATTTTAAATGAAAGAAATTGAGCAGAGATCTTTATTTTTCTCTTTTCTTTCTTTCTTCTTTTCCTTTTGTTATATTTGTCTAGTTTTTAATGCAGTCCTGGCATGAAGATGTTAACCTACCAATTAGAGACTTGATGAAGACCAGACAACATAGTGTTGATTGCTGGTGGGATAACTGGAAAAGAGTTCTACATTCTGGGCTTAAGAATCCTTCTAAATGCCATTTTATCTATTAAAAAAAAATCTGTCCCAAACCTAATTCACTGAAATGCAATGGTTAGAATCACATTTTTAACAGGCTAGATTTTAGTCAGAATGACATATTTAGACTTTTTTGGTGTTTGAAGTGACCTGTGAATCATCTCTTTCAACATGTATTTACTGTGCACATATTACAGGCCAGGCTCTGTGTTAATAACCAGGGATAATGAAGGCAATTCAATAATGACCCTTTTCAAAAGATGTTACAGTGATGATGGTAATTAAAGACTGACCAGCTCTTGAACTGGATTGTTGAAACAAGGAGAACCTCACTTATGGAAGTTGGGAATATGGTGTTTCTGAGGAGAAGGAGGACATGTCAGGCAAAGAGAAGGCTTATGCAAAGTATGTAAAACAGAAAATAGCATGAGAGTTACAAGCAACTAACTGACTCAAGTAATTCAGTATAGCAAGAGCAAAACTCCATAATAGAAATGACAGAGGAAGTGACCCACATGCACAATGTGCTTGGTCTGCCAACAGTGATGTGACCAGATTTATGAGATTCATGGTTAATGGACTGAATTAGGTGGTGGAAGAGTGAGAAAAAGAGCATAAGGCTAAAGATAATAAAACAAAATAAGACGCTGATGAGCTGAAACACGGGCCAGCCAATTTTTATGTCATACTTTCATGGCAGGAAGGTATTGCTTCTTTTCATTTGTCAACTCAAACCCACCTCCATTGTCCCACTACCAGTCTTTCTTGAAGAAATATTTTATGCAGAGTTGGACAGATCACCTTCTGGGATTCCACAGAATATGTCAATAGTCAGTATTCAATAGCTTATCCTCCATAACAATTCTAAAGCCTTAGTGGCTGTGTTAATTCTTGGGTGGTACATATACACCATGAAATACTATGCAGCCATAAAAAGGAATGAGATCATGTCCTTTGCAGGGAGATGGATGAAGCTGGAAGCCATCATTCTCAGCAAACTAACACAGGAACAGAAAACCAAATACCACATGTTCTCACTCATAAGTGGGAGTTGAACATTGACAACACATGGACACAGAGAGGGAAACAACACACACCAGTGCCTGTTGGGCGGTTGGGGGGTCAGGGGACAAAACTTAGAGGACAGGTCGATAGGTGCAGCAAACCACCATGGTACACGTATACCTAGTAACAAACCTGCACGTTCTGCATATGTATCCCCCCGCCCCCTTATTTATTTATTTTTTTTTAGAAAAAAATAATAAAAAAAGAAGTACCTGAGGCTGTGTAATTCATAAAGAAAAGAGGTTTAATTGGCTTACAGTTCTGCAGGGTGTACAGGAAGCATCGTGCTGGTGTCTGCTTCTGGTGAGGTCTTACACAGCTTCCAATTGTGTTAGAAGGCAAAGAGGGAGCTGGTGTATTACACAGCAAAAGTAGGAGCAAGAGAGAAAGAAGGGAGGTGTCACAAACTTTTAAACAAACTGTTATCCCATGAGAACTGAGTGAGCACTCACTCATCACCAAGAGATAGTACTAAGCTATTCAGAAGGGATGTGTCCCCATGATCCAATAACCTACCACCAGATCCCACCTCCAACACTGAGGATTACATTTCAACCTGAGATTTGGAGGGGACAAACATCCAAACCATATCAGTGGCTTTCAACAACAACTAGTTGTTCTCATATAACAAGTTGACTTATTATTCCTGAATCTCAGATTCAAGCAGGCAATTAGTTTGGAGTTTGCCTCGTATATCTTTATTCTTGGATCCAGGATTAAGGTACAGCCCTGATCTGGAAAAGGAACATTCTCATGAAAGAGGGAAGAGTGAGAGAAGTCAAGCTTCTGCTCAGATGTAGCCCATGTCATTTTGCATTGGCTGTGACAATTGGCAAACCTAACGATGAGGAGGGGATGTATAATCATCTATTGTGAAGGTGAGAGTACCACATTTTATTTTATTTTATTACATTTTTGAGATGGAGATTTGCTCTTGTTGCCCAGACTGGACTGCAATGGCACTGTCTCGGCTCACCGCAACCTCTGCCTCCTTGGTTCAAGTGATTCTCCTGCCTCAGCCTTCCAAGTAGCTGGGATTACAGCCATGTGCCACCATGCCTGGCTAATTTTTGTATTTTTAATAGAGACTAGATTTCATCATGTTGAGCAGGCTGGTCTCGAATTCCCGACCTCAGATGATCCACCCGCTTCAGCCTCCCAAAGTGCTGGGATTACAGGCGTGAGCCACTGTGCCTGGCCACCACATTTATTTTAATAGCTACCATTTGCTGAACCTTTATATACTGGGTGTCACTCTGGAGTATGATTTGCTTACTTTGTACTTAATAATCACCAGAAATTTTGAGAAAGTGACTATTTAATGCTGTTCTACAAATAGAAAAACTAAGAGCCCAGAAAAGCTCAAGACCATGGAGCTGTAATTAGAAATTTTACTTATTCATTGGCTCACTCATTAATTCACCTGTTATGTGTTATACACTCTTGTAGAAATACTACAGTGAAAAAAAACAGACAGGGTCCTTGTTCTCATAAAGACTTTACATTAGTGGAAGAAAGGAGCCCATAAACTAATAAACATAGAAAAATATTAGTTTGTTATAACTACTCTGGAGACAGTTAGAATAAGGTAATATTCTAGGCATCGGCCATAAGAAATAAAGTTCAGGGATCACAGTGACTCCACATCATTTTCAATATGATGCTGCCATATTTACCTTGTGATCTATCTTACATTACTTTTCAGAACTTTTGTTTTTATTATAATTAACATTTTCTATTTTCACATTTTGCCTCCCCAACTGAATTGTCATCAAAACACAGAAAGATGCTATTTAATTAGATATTTGTAATGAGATGTTTTGTTTATTACATTCCATTGATTAATATAATATGTGGTATAATTAATAAGGTAATTTCCTAGATAATCCTTAAACAAATACATCATCCAATACATAATTAAAATATTCAGGAAAAGCAACACACTTTTAACTTGTTTTTGTTAGCTGACAGCAGTTAATGTATTAGTGATGATGGAGCAAAATATTCTCTTATGGCTTAGTACGTGCCTTTCCATGTCTAGTGTTCTGATCTTGCTTCTTTGATGAGAGAACATCTTTGAAGATGAGCAGATATAGTCGTGTTCTTAATTAATTTTATAATTTACAAATTTGTAAAAACAGAAGGATATGAAAAGGACTATTTATCATTTATGCATTAAGAGTGTATTACAAATGTAAAGGAGGAATATCTCCTCCTTTTTCAATTTTCTAGTTATCTCTTGGAAAAGGGAAAAGACTATGCTAACTGCAGTGTGATGTAGTAGAAAAAGATTTAGTTTTTGAATTAGAAGACTTAGTTATGACCATGAATTTCATTTCTGATTTTGCCTATCTACATGACAGAGGGTGAATTACTTAATCTCTCTGAGTCTTTGTGTCTCTGTCTATAAAATAGCACTAATAATGACCAGATAGTCATAGCTTACAGGGCTACTGAGTTAAGAGGATTTAAAATAGAGTCATGTGTTTAAAGGCTCATTAGATAATTTTAGTAATAGCAGCAGCAGGAGTAACAGCAGCAGTAACAACAGTAGTAACAGCAGTCATCCAACTTAATATAATAACGGTGTAACTACTGTAAGGCTCCAAGCAATGTGCCTGTCCGCAGAATGACAGAAAATACACAGTGCTATCTTCACCACAGTACAGTGATCCCTTTCAGAGTAGATGAGTATGGATGCTGGATATGATCCTTCTGGGGACCACATGTTACATAGCAATCACATGGAAGAAGACTCCTTTTTAAAAAACAAACATGACTACCCTCTTGCTCACAAGCTAAGTAAAACTTGTCCCCCAGAGAATGTGCCCACTGCCTGGGTTAAGAATCACTGTCGGAGTTAATATACTGCTACTGATGGAGAAGGTCGTATCTTTAACTGAAAGGCACTATTCTAGATGTTGCTTAAAGGGTTTGTGTTGTAGAAGGAAGTAATGAGCTTTATGTGGGATGTATGATCGCCACAGCACTTTCGTTTATTTATTTGTTCATTGGTTATCTAAAATTCAAATTTATGTGGGTATCCTCTACTTTTCTTTACTAAATCTGGCTACTCTAGAAGCAAGGGAAGAGAGATAAATATTGTGATACCAGACTTATAGTAGTCTTCACTTCTTTTAGGTCCTTGTAATGTAGCTAAAACCTATTACCAAGCACACCTGAAAGGAACTTTATCCATCATTACAGAGAATCATGTATGTGACAAGTTCCTGCCTCCCATTGCAATGCTACGCAATCCCCTCTCGTGTTAATCCTACTACTCTCACCATATCACACCTTACCCAATTGTGAGGAGCAGGGACATTTACAAAATAACAGGAGGAGAAGACTTCCAAATGGATTTGTCGTCCATTTAGAAATGTATATTCAGCTATTCTCTCAGAACATACTCAGCAAATTTCGTTACTACTACCTTATTTTGATCCTAATTTTATTCCTACTGCCTGCTTTGCAACTGCAAATACATGTGAAATGAATGAGTGGGTGAATAAATGATGGATTCAACAAGATGCCTCAAGCATATCAACTAAGGAAATGGAGTAAAGAGAACATTTTAAAGCAAAGGTAACACAGATTATAACTAGGTAGCTCTGTTCAGGAGCAATGCCACTCACCTGTTAATTAAGTCACTTAAGATTCCTGTGGCCAAAAACAAGTACACTTTTCTTTGGAGAGTTTACTCATTTGAAATAGATTCCACATCTACAAATGAATTTAATAATTAATATAATATGTTACATGAAACATAATCTTAGTCTTGAATTTCAAACCATTTGGGTAACACTAACACAAGGATTTATTTATAAAAATATCCCTTTCTCCTAAAAGTCAAACCTATTTCCCCATGTTTCACCACATTGTGAAAGAAGGGAAATCATTTAGCACTTGTCAAGAGCTTGCTATGCCCCACACACCAGATTAAACCATCCTGGTACAACAGTGGTTAAAAAGTCTACATTAGTCGTGCATACATGAATCCTCCATAGCTGTGACCACTCTCACCCATAAAAAAGTTAATAACCCAAGTGTCCAGGTTGTTACCTAGCTCATCCTTTTCCATTCTTAGCTTTTAGAATTTCCTCGCACTATGAAAATCCAGTATACCTGGGAGCAATATATGGCGCAGACGTTACATTATAAAAAATCCACTACTGCTTGATTGGTCTAGATGCCACACTAACAAACTTTATTCTCTACTCTTGTTTCTACAACTAAACTTTTTATAAATGTACGAAGTTTGTCATTACCATTATTTCTTCCTAAACTACCTCTATGCTTAAATTTATTGTTCCATAAATCTAAAGGTTGTAGTCTTGTCCTGATTCATGAATTGTCTCTATGAATGATTGCCATCATTACTAGCAGAATTTATCAACAAATTGTCCTGTGATTCACAACATGATATATTATAATATATTAGGCAGACGTATTGTCATCAAATACCAAATTTATCTTGAAAAATGATAGCAGTACAACATAATGGTAATTATCTGGCTCCATAGATAAAAAATAAAGAATGCTTAGTAAAGTACTTGTAAAACCTGCCTCTACATAAAATAGAAGAACATGTGCAAATCATACCTGAAAGAATTTGGAGTTCAAATTCTTAAAACAACTACATTTAAGTGATGCTTTTGTAAAAAATTTAAAAAAAAAACTTAAAAAATACTTTAAAACAAAGAGATCACAGATTGTCACTAGGTAGTTTTGTTCAGTAGCAATACAACTCATCAAAGTAACTGGCATATACTTTATACGTATCCAGAAGCATAGAACAAATAAGAACTATACTTTTCATATATATTTGAGTTGAAAAACTGATACAGCTCTGTGCACAATTGTGAAGCAGGCAGTGATATATTGTACTCACTATGAGAATGTCAATGGCTTTCATTGACATTCTATCATCACCCTACTGAAAATAAGTTTACACTTTCTAGCAGTGCTGCTTGAGTATTATTAAAGGTGGGAGTCAGGTCATTTGAAGAAACAACAAAAAATGTTTTCCAATTCAAATGTAAAAAAAAAAAAGTTTCCCATTCAAATGTATGACTTACTCTAAGAATCCATTTGTTAGCAGCCAACTCACATTTTTTCAGACATTTTAGAATTTGATTATTCCAAACCATAACCCATGAGCATGGACTGTGTTTTTTTATTATTATTATTCTCTTTAGCTGTTGTTACAAAGCACTACACAGAGTAGGCATTTAATTATTTATTGAACTGAGAACACTGAGGCTATTTTATAAGTTTAATCACAGGTTGTGAAAGAACTAGTGAATCTCAATCATGTCTTATTATATTACTTTGCTAGAGCTGCTATAAAAAAGTACCACAAACTGCATGGCTTAAACCACAGAAATTTACTGCTCACAGTTCTGGATGTTAGAAGTCTAATATCAAGGTATCAGCAGGGTTAGTTCTTTCTGAGGGGTATGAATACAAGTTTTATTTCAAGCCTCTCTCCTTTAGTTTTGGATAGCCATCATCTCCCTATGTCTCTTCATGTCATCTCCACATGCATGTGTGTCTCTGTGACCACATTTCCCCGTTTGTATGTGGACATCAGCCACGCTGGATTAGGCTCCACTCTAATGACCTCATCTTAACTTAATTACCTCTGTGAGGACCCTATCTCCAAACAAAGCCACATTGTGAGCTACTGGGGGTTAGGATTTCAACATATGAATTTGGTAGCAGGGACACAATTCAACTCATATCAGTCTGATCTGTGACTCCCCTAAAAGTCATGTCCTTCTTATATGCAAAATATATTCACTTGTAAGGTCAAACATCTTAACACATTCCAGCATCATCTCTAAGTCTAAAGTCTCCTCCAAACATTATCTAACTCAGTTATGGGTAAGACACAAGGTAGGGTTCATCCTGGGGCAAAATTTCTCTTCATCTCTGAGCCTGTGACACCAGACAAGTTATTGTGCTTTCAAAATACAATGGTAGGACAGGCATAGGAGAGACATTCACATTCCAAAAGGATGAAATCATATAGTAAAAAGAGGTTGCAGTTCCCAAGCAAATCTGAAAATTTTCAGGGCAAATTCCATTAGATATTAAGGCTTAAAAAAACACCCTTTTTGGCTTGATGCTCTGCCTCTAGGCCCAGCCTGAACAACAGGTGGCAGCCTGAACAACAGCTCGGAAGGTGGGACTCTTTGTAGAACCTAAGAGATGGTTCTGTTCTTCCGTAGCCAGGAGGAGATGCTCTGTCCCTTGGGACTATGCCCTCTGGGTTTATGGTGACAGTAAGAGTCCTCCTTGTCTCTGTATCTGTGGCACTGTTCACAAAGTCCTGTGTTCTTCATTCCATCCTATTTCTACCCTTTTCAATCCAGGTTGACAGTAATTTTGCTCATATACAGTTCTCAAAATCCTTGTTCCTGACATGGATGTCAAGAAAGAATTCATGGAAGTCAAGGCCATCAGAGAGAGAGTCCTTAACAGATCTCTCATAGATAAATGCATCTCCATTTCTGCCTTCTGCTGAGATAATTTATTGGAACCATGAATCACATGTCTAGTCTGTCTAGTGAACAACTGTTCATCCACACACTTGGTCCTGTTTCCAGAACACACTATCTCAGTAGGCTGAGAGTCTTCCCAGTCATCAAGTTATGTTCTTTGCTTAACAGTTTCTTCTTTGGTTCACCTCCTTCCTCTTGATTTTACTGTAATCAGCAAGGAGAACCAGGCTGTGCCTTCAACCCTGCTTAGATATTGCCTCAGTTAAATATTCAAGTTCATCATTATTTAAAAGTTCTGCTTTCCACAAAACACTAGAAAACAACTGGGCCAAGTTCTCTGCCAGTGTTCTTTTTAATGAAGACTTTCAAATTTATATTTACTGTATTTCAGTGTTATATTTTTCTTTGAGGCTCTCTGAGGTCAATGGACTCCTCTCCTATAACACTCTAAAGGAAACAAGTCATAAAAGACTTCTAGATGGCTTCAGGTTCTGAGAAGAGGAAGGCAATTTTCAAATATCCATACGGATCTCTGTGGAGGTGAAAGGGAGAATGTCCTATTGCCTGGTCTGCCAGCCAGACTGTCTAAAGGCACGAGGAAATCAACAAGGATGATGTTCAGCTCAGCTCAGTTCAGCTGTCTTTAAATCAGGGTGGCCCAGAGATATACTCACTGATTTTCCCAGAATAGCCCCTACTTTGACCATAGAGTAGACAGTCAAAACAATTAGAATGAGGTTTTTTTTTTTTCATAATCCACAGTGGATGTGCATTTCTTTGGAGAGCTGTGTGAGCGGAGATGTGCATTTCTTTTGAGAGCAGCTGTGAATGACCTGGCTTTCTTGGAATTCTCCAGTTCTCTTGTGGAGCAGGTCTCCTAGTGAGATACCTATATGGTGTGGTTTGGCTGTGTCCACACCCAAATCTCATCTTGAATTTTAGTTCCTGTAATCCCCACGTGTTGAGGAAAGGACCCAGTGAGAGGTAATCGAATCATGGGGGCAGTTACCCTCATGCTGTTCTCATGATAGTGATTGAGTTCTTACAAGATATGATAGTTTTATAAGGGGCTTTTCACTCTCTTCACTCGGCACTTCTGTCTCCTGCCCCCATGTGAAGAAGGATGTCTGCTTCCCCTTCCACCATGATTGTAAGTTTCCTGAGGCCACCCCAGCCATGCAGACCTGTGAGTCAATGAAACCGCTTTCCTTTATAAATTACCCAGTCCTTTATAAATTACCCAGCATGAGAATGGACTAATATACCGTAACAAACAGACTTCTCAGTGTATCCTTTTAATTTTTCCTCAGTGGAGAACTGTATTAGTCAGTTGAGGCTGCCATAACAAAATACTCCCTGATTGGGTGGCTTGGACAACAGAAATTTATTTTTTCACAGTTCTGGATCCTGGAAGTTCAAACTCAGGTTTTCAGCATTGTCAAATTTAAAGGATTTTACCTTGAGCGGCAGAAGCCACCATCTCACTGCGTGTTCACATGATCTCTTCTTTGTGCTTTTATGGAGAGAGCCAGCAAGCTCTTAGGTGTATTTTTTCATGAGGGTAGCAGTCCCATCATGAAGACCCACCCTCATGAGCTCACCTAACCCTGGTTACTTTCCAAAAGCCTCATCTCCAAATATCACGCTGGAGGTAAAGACTTCAACATATAAATTTGGGGGAAACAAAATTCAGCCAACGGCAAGTGCCAGTGTCCCTTGATTATTTGAAATCACTGTTTTATTAGCAGTGACGTTCTTGAGGATACCTGAGAACTGATTAGCACACCTGGTCTTTATCCCTGCCATCAAATGATTAGATGACATCTGTATCTGCATTAATCAGACACGAAATGGTTAAGCATTATTTTCTCTAGCAGTTGGTTTAAATATGAATTTGGTGTATTAAAAGAGTTTGCAGGTGGTCTTCAGCACAAATAATATACATTTTTGTGTATCAATAACTTGGTTTTCTAGCATATTAGGAAAACAGAGCACTGGAATAAATACTAAGCTAGGAGACAGAGAAGTTGAGGGTATAGGTGGTGATGCCTATAAGCTAAGTGTGTCTCTCTTGCCTGCCATCAGAGTGTAATATTGCAACATATTTTCTAAGCCCTAAGCCTTCCAATGCATTCTACGGGCCAAGGGAGAAAAATCTGTTTGGAAAATAAGTTATAACATATGGTAATGCTTATGCTAATTGCATTAATCTTGAAATAAACATACTATATGTTACACTTGGCTATAAATATATAAACTATGAATTATTATCAATATGGAAAATAGAATTAAAATATATGAGACTCACTACTTTTTTCATAACTGTTATCACTGCATAGTTTCTCTTCCAAATATTTTTCCTTGTTTTTTTTATATTTTTACTCTGTATTTGGGTATGAGATAGCAGAAATTTATATTTAAAAGGAATTAATTGATCTGGAGTTCTATATAGTTTCTTTTTTGCTCTTCCTCATATTTTCTATAAATGAACTAAATGTTAGTTATTAGCGTATAAAATATTTTCTTCTTGAATAGGCTCTATGTGGTGGGAATCTGTCTTGAAGTTATTACTTTGTAAAATAGTAGATGAAACTGCAAGTATTTTACCCCTCTGCTCTCATTCAGTGCATGTTTCCTAACAAGACAATATATGGCAAGTATTTTAAGAGCTAATGGTAATGTGAGATGTGTAAAGACCTTGGCTTCAGCATTTATCGTATATGTACAATGTAAAGAGTCTATAGGAGACAACATCAATCCCAAATGCCTTGGTCTGGAATGGAATAAGGAAATAACTTTATCCAATCCACTACATGGTCAGAATAAGGTGTAAGGTATAAATCCTCCTTGGAGAGGTAATATAGTGCCTTATCAATTAACATAGCTTTTACAAAGGCCTTATACCTGCTGGTTCTTCTGCCTTGAGTGCTCTGTCCTAATGTCTGGCTTCTTTTGGTCATTCGGACTCAGCTCAAATGCCACTCCTTGAGAGAGCTCTTGTCTATGCATTTCTAGAAGCCAGTGATATTTGCTGTAGCATTCTTAAGTAACCACAAAGAAAAAAAGGAGAAGGAAATAGAAAAAAACTCTAAAACATTTAACAAGGGGTTTATTTAAAAAATTATGACACAGCCATATGATAGTATATTATGCAATTAATTATAAATGTGATATTCTAGGAAAATATTTCATAACCTGCATAAACAAACATGACAAAAGATAATAAACAGAATATACATGTACAGTAGAATATGCATATCCAGTAGACTCTCGAGAAAAACACAATGTAATGTTATATCTATCTATATAGATATAGACATATTTATAAGCAAAAAGAAAGCATTGAAAGGACACATCAAAACAGCCATTGTTTTTACAGTTCTCCATATTTTCTGAATCATCAATATGTATATGTAATACATTCTTGATTGGAAAAACAATAAAGGACATGAGAAAAATATCAGTATTAGGGCTTTCTGGCTGCTAAAGTATCATGTACTTCAGCTCTGACAATACTTTTTTTTTTTTTAAATCATTGCTTTTCAGTTAGCCGTTCTGTTGTCACAGAGATGCCCTTCAGTTGCTGTGGCAACAAATGAATAATAATCCACACTTGTGTAACACTTCACAGCTCACACATTCCTTTCTCATGCAGCACCTCATTTATGATCAACAAAAAGTCAGGAAAGGTTCTGAGGGAAGCAGATCTAGTATCCTCCTCAGTTAACAGATGAGATATTAGAAACCCAAGAGGTTGACAAAGTTACCTACGGTTACACTGTTAATAACTTAAAGAGTCAGTGGAAAAATCTAAGCTCTCCAGAATTCATAATGCATTTTGAAATAGGTTTCATTTATTTGTCTATGTATCCGTCTATTTATTTATATATTCATATAATTCAAATAATATCTTTTATACAGCCAAGGACATAACAAAGTAAATTTGGTCAAGTTTCATCAGAGGTGAAGGACAAGGTCCTATGGCCACTGTCCCATCCTCGAGTGCTCATAATTATTACTCCTCTCACAGAGGCACAGAAAGTGGTAGCTTCAACAGTTTCACACTCCAACAGTGCTCTTCTAAACTGATTCTAAATGTGTGTCTGTGTATCTGTGCATGTGTGTGTATGTGTGTCTTTATGCTCTCAATGCCTGAGAAATGTGAAGCCCCACTGAGAGCTAGAACAATTGTCTCACATATATATGATCCACAGAAATAAGACCACTGGACATGTGGAACAATCCAGAGTATTACTATCCAATATAGAAACCACTATCCACATGCCTCTGTTTAACTCTAAGTTAATTTAAAATAAACGCAATTAAAAACTCACTTTCTCTGTTAAACTAGGCATATATTGAGTACTCAATAGCAACAATATATTAGTGGATATCATACTGAATATTTCACATGAAGAATATTTTATCACTGCAGAAAGTTCTAGTGAGCAATGCTAAATTGTAGTTACTAAAACTAAGGTGTTAGGTTTAGACACAAATGGTTTAATGCCAGATCTTTCCTGACTCCCTGAATTCTTCAGACTCTTCATCTGTAAAGAAAGCGTTGGTGATATTATTCACAGGGTTGTTGTAAAGATTAACTGATATACATGGAATGAATGTAATAAGTTAAATCTGATGAAAGTGCAAATAGGATTTAATTTTATCATTTTCCCATCATGCCACCCATCTATACTATGTTGGGTTTCCCTCCCCTATCCCAAAGTCATAAATGGGGCTGATATCTTGGCTCTCATAATTTGGTTACAAAAAAACCAGAGATAAGTGAAAATGTTATTATTCAATTTTTTGAATTTAGAATTTTGTCCTAGGTTTTTATCTGTACTTCAATTTCACATATAATTAATTATTCTCCTTGTTCTGCAACTGAAGTGTAATCTTTCCTACTAATGAAATACACACTGGCTGTTGTGTGGTCTTTCACTCTTAGGGTCAGTGGAGGGGATTATTTTAGAAGAAAATGAGCACAAATCTCACATCCTGTTGTTACAATCATTTTTTCTTGGCCATTATGTTTTCATTAGAGAGGGCCTCCGAGTCCAGGCTCTATGATAAGTTTTCATAGTCACTGCACAATTCCTTTCCTTCAGATTCTGCTTTCTGGCCATTGCAGTATGATCCTGGTAACTGCCTGCCTTCAAAGTTACGTATGCAAGAAACAAAATATTCATCTTTGGTCACACGTGTCCCCAAACTCCAGAAGACATAAGTCAAGTTCTTCCAAGAACTTTCTTGTCATATTTTCCCTTGCCTGTTGGCAGAAAGAGTGCCCTAGTTTTCATAGCTCTGCGCATATTCAGCTAGTACCCACTAAATCTTCAGGAATGCATTTCTCAGAACCCTCTTCTCCTGCCTGGAGGTAAGTTAGAATGACATTTTCTCTTCCCCCAAGACTGGATGTGCAAGGGAAACACCAAATCTTTCTCTCCTAAGTCAAAAACGTCCTCACTCTTTGATTCTCTATCTAAAATTGCAGATTTCTAAATGTGTCTTTAAAGATTGGCAGTGAGTAATGGGCTGATAATGTCTGTACCAGTTTTGCTATCTTGGAAAGCCTAGATGTGGCTCTCTATTACCTTTTGTCTGCAGCTAACAGGCCTTAGCAAAAATTCAGAGACAACTGAAAACATTCCTTTCCAGACCTGGTAAGAGGCTTTTTAAACAACGAAATGTAACATAGTTTATAGTGTGACTATATAATGTGTTTATGTACTATAAACACAGTAGCTATTATTACCTCCAAAACTGTCAGAAAATGTTTTATTAGTAGCCTCACTGGTAAATAAATCTCTGGTCTAAGATGTATATATGAAATTACTGTGATATGACATCTATATAGATAGATATAATTCCAAAAATTTGTGGTAGAATGTTCAAAAGAGACAACTACCATTTTTCTAGGATTTTTCTTGAGCACTTAGAACTGAATAAACTTTAAAAAATGTGGGGGTCTGGAATATAGCAGTAAATATCATCGACCTTCCAATGATCTGACTAAAAAGCTTGCTGAAATTGTTCAGTGAAGAGAGCCCTAGGTTCCCTGGCTAAGTGACCTCACACAAATCTCTTATCTCCCCTAAACCTCTGAGAAAATGACTGACTTAGATAAGATCTGCTTTCAGACAAACTCATTCAAAATATCAAGTGTAACACATGAGTAATTTGCTCAAATATAAGGAGCTCTTGGCAAACAAGAAAAAAATGGTTGTAGAAAAATAACTTGTTTCATTTATTTGAAGTCTAATATTTCAGCCAGCATCTATGTAAAGGCAACCAGTTTTGCTCAACTATGATAGATGGTCATTTAATAATTCCACATCAAATAAGACTATTTTCTTTGTCATGTAAATGGAAAGCTCCCATTAACATTCATGGAATTATTAACAACAGACATCTCTAGGTGAGAAATATTGCCAAGTACCTCTTGCAGAGGATAGTTGTATCTTTGATCTTGCTAATCTATGGAGCTATTTCTGCAGAATTTCAATTTTTGAGCAGCTACATTACTAATGCATTTTTACTTTTCTAAGATATGTGATCCAAAGTAACCATTATTTCCAGACTTCTTAAAATATGCAATAGTATTCAAGGAAAATACAGATCATAAGCAGCCTAAACACTGAATGACTTATTTGGGTGGCAGGAGAAGCATCCCCAGAGAAAACCGTTATTAATAATTGTAATTAATTTTGGTGTGGCAATATCCACAAAGATATGCAACACTGAGCTAAGTAATTTCTTTCCAGATAATTCTTTCTGACAAATAATTCATTTGGTTTTCTAAGATATGTTAATGAGTTAAATAAAGTGCCCTAGATAGATTTCTCAACTGGTATAGAAAATTAAAAATGGCTGCCCCTAACTAATCCCTGTGTTTATATTCACAAACTTTTAATCACTTCTCGGTTCCCCTATAATATTTAGTTCTTAGTTAGTAAGGGTTTTGGTTGTCTTTTTTTTACATGTCTTAACTGATCTAAAGAACTGTGTGGAAACACTAGCTCCTAATTTGCTGCAATGTCCATTTAATAACAATCTGCTTCAGTTCTATCCCTCTGTTTGCATTTGAAAACAACACGTTGAGTGATGTATTGGAAATATGCCTAAAGTGTTGACAAGCACCAAGAAGCAGCATCCAGTGTTCCTTCTGCAGAGGAGAGGACATTTTCTGCTGCATTATGAAGGATGAATTTCATGGAGGCAGCACTATGTTAGGAATCAGTAAATTTATGTTTCAGTTTAACATCTTCCACCAACTTAACACCCAGCTTTGGGTAAATTTAATGTGATCTCAAAATGCAGAGTGTGGCTTCCATAAAACGCAACTACTTGCATTTTCCCTGCCTCAACTACTTGCAAAACTTCTATCAGGATAGAAGGTGTTTATAGATGTAAATCATAATGCAAATATTTCAAAAATATTGTTATTTTTACAATACACAACATAGATAAGCATCATACTTTTAAAATTAAGTATTTATATTATAGTTGTAGTATTAAGTTAGCAGCTTGTCCTATTATTTCACAGTGCTGGGCAGAATAAGCAATGATTAGTGATTAATAAGCAATGATTTCATAATGAATGAACTCTGTCAATTTTGATGATTTGGTAACTTTATCAGTTGACCCAAGTATATATTTATTTGTGCTGCAGAGATTTCAAGATGCTTGCTAAGTAATTCCCTATTGGTTTTCTTTGATATTACACATTAGCTTTGCTTTGATTCAAGAAAATCATTATCTGAGTGTTAGAATTTGAGAAATCCAAACAATATACCAAGTTCATAACATCATCCTTCCATCTTGATGTGTGTTAATTTTTCTTATGTAGATTATCTTTTCTCTCTTTGTGAGCCTGGTTGTAATTCCTTCTCCTTTGATATTATTTTCAGTAACTTACTAAATTGTTTAAGCAAACTCAGGAAACTAAAGGCCACCACGATCTTGAAATTTAGTTTGTGTAATGAATGAAGGATCTAGGAAGGGATTTATTCTTCATTGTCACCTATGCAATAGGTGTAAATGCCTAGTCAGGCATTTCATTTTTGAAAATTACTGACATCCTCTATGCCAAAGCACCCTTCACAGTACCTCGCAGATAGCTGTCACTCAGTTTAGATGGAGCTCTTTCCTTTTGAGGTACTTGATCTTTAGTATGTTCATTTATGCTTATTAAATTTTGAAATAGCTCTTTCTTTTGAATTATTTTCCTAGCACTGTAGTTTCTTAAGGATTGCAAAATCAAATTCTCTTCAACACCATCCACTTCCCTGAAAATCTGTGTCTATTTCAACATAAAAGTCAAGGATATGACTATTTATATCTGATATTCAGTCTGAATGTGTATTCTCTAGAAATCTTTAAATTTTTTTCTCTTGATGAATCCTAAATCATCTCTGAAATTTCAACTTTCTTTTGTGTTCTACTGTCATGTTCTTATTTCATTTGTGAATATAAACACTATTTCTCCACAAACTAAACACTTTTAATGTTTTATGTAAAAGTTTATTCACTCTTTAAGAGAATTATAATTGACAGTCAATGTGTACTTAAATTTTTCTATGCTCTCATTGTATTGGTTGGATAAATTGACCTTGTAGAGATATATCTGGAAGGATAATTCTCAATAAATCCTCCACTTCACTAGTCAAAATAATTTTCTGCTTGGGCACTGATGTTTCTAATGGTGTTCATTTTTTTTCCAAGACTGAGTGATTATAGTCATTTGGACATGGATTTCACAGTTTGTTACAATGGGACAGTTTATAAACAAGTAAATAAGATATCATATGCATCACAAGTGTCAGATGAAGTCAAGCAGTGGAATTGCAATTAATATAAAGAGATTCAGTAATGGAGAAATGCCAAACAATATCAGAAAGAAGCCAAATGAAATAAATTCATTTCCACTATACAAATGAACACAGCTCCAGTCTAGGATTTTACTCTATTCTGTATGTGTACCCAATCTAGATTTTCTAACCATAAAAGAGCCATAATTAAATGCAAATTTGTGATTGGTGTCAGTGTGCCAGGAGAGCTACTTTCTTACCTTTACCTTTGCTGAAGTCAAAGATCTGCTTAATCTTTATGACCAATTATATGCTATTCTAGTACCATGTCTTGAATTGTTTCTAGGTCAAGTAACCAAACATTTTTTTCTGCACACCTTCATGTTTCCCCAGAGACCATTCTGGCACATTAATAGTGATTCTTGATACCCACTTCTATCCATTTCTTTCAGAAGCTGTATATCAACTGATTTTAATACTGCACTATACCAGCATAAAACATGCACAAAATTACCCAGCTTGTATCAGGAAAACTTTCATTTATAATAAGAACTTTGCAATCTGATGTATTTATTTGTGACAAATACTTGGTAGTGATGGATACAAATTATATTTATATATTTAATTTTTTAAAGTAATATTTGGGGATCAGGGCAACCAGAATCAGAACCGAAATACAAAGCATTGTGTGGAACCCAAGAACATATTTGATGAATCTATATCCATAAGCATGAAGCAAGTGGAGGCTAATACTCTCCCCAAGTGAGAAGAAGGCCTTGAAAGGTTTGTTGCTGGAAACCAGAGGCTGGAGTAGCATTCTTGAGCGGCTGTTTAAGCAACCAGTAATTCGCCAAAATGACGAACACAAAGGGAAAGAGGAGAGGCACGCGATATATGTTCTCTAGGCCTTTTAGAAAACATGGAGTTGTTCCTTTGGCCACGTGTATGTGAATCTATAAGAAAGGTGATATTGTAGACATCAAGGGAATGGGTACTGTTCAAAAAGGAATGCCCCACAAGTGTTACCATGGCAAAACTGGAAGAGTCTACAGTGTTACCCAGCATGCTGTTGGCATTGTTGTGAACAAACAAGTTAAGGGCAAGATTCTTGCCAAGAGAATTAATGTGTGTATTGAGCACATTAAGCACTCTAAGAGCTGAGATAGCTTCCTGAAACGTGTGAAGGAAAATGATCAGAAAAAGAAAGAAGCCAAAGAGAAAGGTACCTGGGTTCAACTAAAGCGCCAGCCTGCTCCACCCAGAGAGGCACACTTTGTGAGAACCAATGGGAAGGAGCCTGAGCTGCTGGAACCTATTCCCTATGAATTCATGGCATAATAGGTGTTAAAAATAAATAAATAAAGGACCTCTGGGCTGTAAAAAAAAAAAAAAAAAAGAAAGAAAGAAAGAAACTATTTCAGGCCAGGCACAGTGGCTCATGCCTATAATCCCAGCACTTTGGGAGGTCGAGGCAGGCAGATCACTAGGTCAGGAGATCGATACCATCCTAGCTAACATGGTGTAACCCAGCCAAGCGCAGTGACATGTATCTGTAATCCCAGCTACTTGGTAGGCTGAGGCAGGAGAATCACTTGAACCTGGAGGCGGAGGTTGCAGTGAGCCAAGATCGTGCCACTGGACTCCAGCCCAGGTGACAGAGCGAGACTCTGTCTCAATAAAACCAAAAAAAACAAAAAACACAAAAACAAACAAACAATAAAACACTTCCATCCCTTGATTGTTGACTATAGGTACAAAGCTGAAGCTGTACATAGCAAGAAAAATTTAGACACATCTACCCACTATGTTGATGTCCCCATACCAATTTTGAGCAGGACCTGTGACTCAACATTACAGATCTTGCAAAACCAAGAGATAATTGTTATAACCATTGTCCAAGGTGGGGCCCCAATCTGCCTCCTGGTGTTCATGTCCTTGTTTACTCTCCTCATATATTGATTAGGACTGCCTTCTATCACCAATGAGGTGCTGTGGAAACGAGAGTGACATCATACAAAATACATGACATCCATCTTACTCTCTTTTGCATCACTCACACTAGGGAAGCCAGTTGCCATGTTAGAGGATACTCAAGAAGCCCTATGGAGAGGTCAATTTGCTGATAAAAGGAAGCCTTCTACCAATAGCCGCATGAATGAGCTATCCTTGAAAAGAATCCTACAGTTCTAGTCAAGCCTTCAGATGAATATAAATATGGCTGATACTTTGATTACAAGTTCATAGGAAACCATAAACAAGAGCCACCTAGCTAAGCTTCTCCAGAATTTATGACCCACAGACACTGTGCGACAATGAATGTTTACTATTTTAAATCTCTATTTGAATAAAGTATTAGTTCATTTTCACACTGCTGATAAAGAAAGACATACTAAAGACTGGGCAATTTACAAAAGAAAGAGGTTTATTGGACTTACAGTTCCACATGGCAGGGGAGGCCTCACAATCATGGTGGAAGGTAAAAGGGACTTCTCATGTGGTGGTGACAAGAGAGAGAATAAGAGCCAAGAGAAACAGGTTTCCTATTATCAAACCATCAGTCCTTGTGAGACTTACTCACTACCATGAGAACAGTATGGGGGAAACTGCCCCCATGATTCAATTATCTCCCACTGGGTCCCTCCCACAACACATGGGAATTATGGGAGCTACAATTAAAGATGAGATTTGGGTGAGGGCACAGAGCCAAACCATATCAAATAATTTTATTAAAATTATCATTAGGAAACAGACACCACAATTAATTATTAAGTTAAGAATACAGTTTAGTGAAACTTTTTTTTTTTTAGAATGTGCTGACAAGGGTTTTGAGATAAGTATGTTTAGGTTACTCAAAAAAATAAGTAAGGGAAAAACATCCATATAAAGAAAACTTCAAAAGCAAATGAAAAAGAACAGCCAGACAAGGAAAAGAACGAGTTAGACACCTTAAAATGTTAAAGACAGTCACTGATTTAATCTTTTAATTCAACATAAATGATAGAACACACCTGTATTTAATAAATTAGAAAATCCATTTACATAATAACAGATATCAGTTGTCCATATAATATGTTTTGTGTGACTTGCTTTGAACCAATAGAAATAGCAAAGGGAATGGAAGGTACAAGATTATGGTTACCTGATTACATTGTGTTAGATTGTAGCACCTGTCTGGCTGAAGTCTCTCTCACCCTCTTTCTCTCTCCCCCTACCCCACTGGCTTCAAGAAGGCGGAACCCACACTAGGAAATGAAATGTCCCAAGAAAATGCAGGTGGTCTCCAGGAGATGAGGATGGCATTTGACTAAAAGCCAAGATAAAACTGAAATCTTCAATCCTACAGCTGTAAGAAACTAAATTGTGCTAACTACCTGAAAAAATGTAGAAGCAGATCTTTCCCTAGTTATTCCTCAGATAGGACTGCAAAATCCTGACCTGCAAAACCTGTGAGATAATAAATGTGTGTTGCTTTATGACCGGTACACATGTCACACTCAGCATTGATATTTAACTCCAGAGACACTGGGATTAGTGAGGGTCCTCCCTGAGACCCAGTTGTCTTTATTCTCAGCATTTAATGGAGTAATCTTTCGTGCCTTTCAGACCTTGGGCCCATTTGTACACTTCATTCCTGGTTTTCAGAGATTTCTACAACCAAGACCTCAATTCTTTTTCAGAGAATATTGCTGCTTATATGCTATCCATCTTCAGGGATTTACTTTCCACTAGTGACCCTGTTCAACTTGATTCAATAAGGGCAAGAATATTTTCTTCAGGCTGCATTCAAACTCACCTTTTTTTTCTCTGCAGCTGTAAGAACTCCCAGCTCCTTGGAGACTTTTAAGAACAAACTGAAAATGCTCTTATTTGTCTAGGCTTAGCTGTCGGCTAATATGCTAAGAGTGTATTTTATATTGTATTTTCATCATAGCCCTTTGAAATGCTTTGCATAAAAGACCCTTTATAACTGTCTCTGCCCTTCCTCTCTTGCCTATAGAAGTGAGTTCTGCACTAGGGAGAAGGACTATTTATTTCACCTCCTCCTGTTCTCACCCCCCTCCCCATTTACTACTTCTCCATTTTTGGTGAAAGGCACTTGATTGAAGGAAACTTGCCAGCAGCACTCTCTTTTAACTCCTTCATGCCTGCCTCCTGCCAGCTCTCTGGGCATTTAGAAAGAGCTAGCCAAGATGAATACCCTTCTTGGTTATAAAGGTGCCATATGAATGTACAGTCTTTGGGCACATAATTCTACCATTCACCTATGACAAATATAAAAAGCCAGCATCATATTTAAAAAGAGGTGCTGCTTTCCTTGGGACAAACAAATAGAGTCTAGAACATTATTGAAATTGCTCATTCAATTATTGTGATGCTCATATAGAAAGTATTACATGATGCAGAAATAAAAGAGATGAAAAACAACTTATTAGGTGTCTAAGTGGTTTTAGACTTTGTATATTTGACACATCATTTGATCATCAAAGTAAGCTAAAATTGATATTTTTGTTTTTACAGATGAGAAAACAAAGCCTGAGTTTGGTCAATTGTCTCCAAATAATTGTAATTAGCAAATCCAAGATCTGTATAACTTCCTTTTCATTCCAAACCCTTGGTTCCAACACTAATTGTTTTATCTTTGGTCAAATAAATTATCTGTGCTTGAATTTTTAAATTATTTGCCTCATCTATTGCTGTATAACAAATTGCCACAAGCTTAAGAGCTTAAAACAACCCACGTTTCTTAAAAGAACTCAGATTAGAACTCTGGGTATGGCTTAGCTGAGTCCTCTACTTCAAGTCTCCCAGGTTGGAATCAAAGTGGCCTGATCTGCATTCTCATCTGAGAAATGACCAGGGAATGAACTGCATCTACCCTTGTTCAGGGAGTTAGCAGAATTTAGTTTCTTGCAGCTGTTGGACCAAAGATCTGTTTTATCCTAACTTCTAGCTAGAGAACACCCTCATATCTTAGAAGCCACCTGTAGTTTTTTTACACACGAGGCTTTCCAGTGTGGGTTAAACCTCTTTGAGGGCAGCAAGAGAGAGAGAGGCACTGGGACTCTAGGAAGAAAGATGCTACAATCTAATACAATATAATCACATATCCCTAATCTTGTACATCCCATTCCCTTTGCTACTTCAATTGGTTCAAAGCAAGTCACACCTAACTACACCCAAGAAGAGGGGATCACATGAACTCCATGAGGCAGAGATCATGGGACTACCTTAAGAGTCTGTTGACCACAAAAGTAAGAAGGGTTATCAGTAATTCATTATGTTGTTGTAACATTATTGTGATATTATCAAACCCTAAGTAAGTGCTCAAGGAATATGATGTACCTATTAAAGTTCAGGCATTTTTTTCTTACAAAAAGTATATAAAAATAGAAGCACTATAAGAAATAAACAAAGGTTCACCTCTTCATCACAATAAAGAAACAAAATATCTTGCCTTCACAATTACTTCCTCTTAAGCAACTGACTTACTTCTTCACTACCAACCAACAATTCATTATGTTGTTGTAACATTATTGTGATATTATCAAACTCAAAATAAGTGCTCAAGGAATATGATGTACCTATTAAAGCTCAGGCATTTTTTTTCTTACAAAAAGTATATAAAAATAGAAGGACTATAAGAAATAAACAAAGGTTCACCTCTTCATCACAATAAAGAAACAAAAAAATCTTGCGTTCACAATTACTTCCTCCTAAAGCAACTGACTTACTTCACTACCAACCTTGAAAGAATAACCACTATTCATTGACATCACCTGTTCATATTTCACTCAAGAAGTTTCAATCTGATTTCTTCCCACTGACAAAGATGCCAATAAAATAGTAAAAGTCAAATTCAACAGCCTTTATTCTGCTCTCCCCTATCATATCGGATAACATTGAAAATATCTCTTAACACTGTTCACCAATCACTGTATGTTTCATTGCAGTATTTTCTTTTTATCTTCTCCTCCTTATGACTCTTGGACTTCCATTATTTGTCTGTTTTTTGTCCTTTCATATTAGCATTTATGTTTCATATGAACAAAAAGTTTTTTATATACATATTGCTGTGTTTACAGAGTTAGAACAAAGCCTGGCTATTGCAATCATCTGATACTTGATTGTGGAATGCATTAATAAATGAATGAAAGAAAAATACTCGCCCCCCAATACTATTGGTAAACCCAGTGGGGAGGTAAGGATGCCATCTACTATCATGATTCATTGTGGCCATTCATTCATTCACATATAATGTGACCTCCTTATCACAACAAGGTGGAATTTAAGAATAGTTTAAATTCTTATGTTCTTTAGTAATTTTTAGTATTTTGAACAGGTTATATCTTCATTCATATCGGAATGAGTTTCAAAAGTATAAAAGCATTTATAGTAGAGGGTCTTCCTCTCGTGAAGCTGCCACTGATACCAATTTCTTTGTTACCACGTATATTCTTTCAGAGATAATTCACATACATATATGTTTCTAGCTCTCCCACATAAAGGCAGCTGCTATGCATACTGTACTGGACCTATGGGTTTCACACTCAATATATTATGGAGATTTTTTTTATCCATACATTGTGAATTCCCTTATTCATTTTTAATAGCTGCATAACATTCTCTTGTAAATATATATCATAACTTAATCAGCCATCCTAAATAAATCTAATTTATTTATATTGTTCCATAAATCAATTTACTTACTAAAAACAAAGGTGCTACAGGAATAAATTCTTATTTTTTAAATTAGTATAAACTTTGTGTTTTGAAATCCCTTTCTGTCAATCAAATGATGTGGATAGGAGTCATTCATTTCCAATGAATCCATCCAGCTAAAATGTTTGCTGAAGGGAGGAAAAAGAGGGAGAGAGAGAGCATCTTGTTTAATGTTTGAATATTTCAGCTAGAAAAAAGATAGTACTATAATAAAAAATTTATTGTTTCTAAGTTACTATCTCAAAACATTTATAATATGGTGGGTTTTTTTTTGTAATTCAACTATTAGTATGAACCATGTATGACATCACTTATTTTAAAACTTTCACACAATAAAGACCTGGGAGCTAAATTACTGGAAGATCTACATACGTCATGAAAATTAGTTTTGCATATTAAATTAGATTAACTTACTTCAAATTAACCCTCCTTGGTAGTGTAGAAAAGGCATTTTTGTGATCAATAAATATAAATTTCCTTCTTCACATTTCTCAAACTTCTTTGCAGTTATTTTGGGGCCATGTGACTAATTCTAGCCAAAGAGCCACAGAAATGTGAATCGAATCAGTAAGTGTTACTTTAAGTCTGAGGCATTTAAGATTTGGTGTACCACTTCTATGCCATCTGTTCCCATCTTAAAGCCACTACAGAGTCCTCATGTTCCATGTCACAAAGCTATAAAAGTATGGGGCTTCCATCAGCCTTAGTCTCTGAGTGATTACATGGAGCAGATTCCCCTGTTCAACCAAACTTCCACCCAAAAAAAGACTCTTTTTTGATATGCAACATAAGCAAAAAATACACTTTTTTCTTATTGTGAACACATTAATACTCATTGGCTTATTTGTTCCTATAGCATAGCTTACCTTATCCTGACTAATATAAATATTCATGGGAAAATCTAATTTTGGAATATATTTCTTCTTTTGTTCTGTAGCTTGAAAAGCCCTGAAAAATTCAATTTGAATACTGCAATTTTCAAAATACAGATATATCTATTGCCAGCAAGAAATATTCACGAACATGGCAGGATTTTTTTTTTACATTGATGCTTAAATTGAAGTGAAATCACTGAAAATGTAAATGTAAAGGAGTCCTTTATTGCTTGAATGTGGAATTGAAAATAAACACAGTATGGAAGAGTTGAATGTACACATCTGAACCACACACAAATAGTATAGAGCCTAAAAAGTATATGGTAGTTATACTATTTGTGTGTGTGGTTCAAATGTGTACATTCAATGAAACAACAGGTGCTGGAGAGGATGTGGAGAAATAGGAACACTTTTACACTGTTGGTGGGACTGTAAACTAGTTCAACCATTGTGGAAGTCAGTGCGGCGATTCCTCAGGGATCTAGAACTAGAAATATCATTTGACCCAGCAATCCCATTACTGGGTATATACCCAAAGGAGTATAAATCATGCTGCTATAAAGACACGTGCACACATATGTTTATTGCGGCACTATTCACGATAGCAAAGACTTGGAACCAACCCAAATGTCCAACAATGATAGACTGGATTAAGAAAATGTGGCACATATACACCATGGAATACTATGCAGACATAAAAAATGATGAGTTCATGTCCTTTGTAGGGACATGGATGAAGCTGGAAACCATCATTCTCAGCAAACTATCACAAGGACAAAAAACCAAACACTGCATGTTCTCATTCATAGGTGGGAATTGAACAATGAGAACACTTGGACACAGGAAGGGGAACATCACACACCAGGGCCTGTTGTGGGGTGGGGGGAGGGGGGAGGGATAGCATTAGGAGATATACCTAATGTAAATGACGATTTAATGGGTGCAGCACACCAACATGGCACATGTATACATATGTAACAAACCTGCACGTTGTGCACATGTACCCTAGAACTTAAAGTATAATTTAAAAAAAAAAGAAAAGAAAAGAAAAAAAGAAAAAAAAACTATATGGTAGTAGAAAAGAATGGGATAAGTCTAACTTTTGTATTCTCTGTTGACTCAGCTCATGGATACCATGAGCCTAAAAAGGCTTTATATTCAATGACTTCTGTTAGGTTGCTGCTGTATTATCAGTAAAAAATAATAACCAGATCATTCGTTAGGGCAGAATTTCAGAATCATGAATGTATACAATGTTTTCAATGCCCCAAGAGGTGGAGATATTTCATATTTCTTTTAAGATTCCAGAAAATTTCAAATGCAAAGATAAGGAACAATTTTGGGGTGGCATGATGGTTAATATTAGGTGTTAAGTTGACTGGAATGAGGAATACCTAGATAGCTGGTATAGTATTGTTCCTGTGTGTGTCTGGAAGGGTGTTGCCAGGGGAGATTAATGTTTTTGTCAGTGGACTGGGAGAGGAAGACCCACCCTCAATGTGGATGGGCACCATCCATTTGGCTGCCAGCATGGCTAGAACAAAGCAGGAGAAGACGGTGGGATAAGCTGGCTTACTGAGACTTCTCTCTTTCATTTTCCTCCCTTGCTAAATGCCTCCTTCTGTTTCTCCTGCCCTTGGACATCAGACTACAGGTTCTTCAGCCACTTGACTCTTGGCCTTACACCAGTGGTTTGCTGGTGGCTCTTGGGCCTTCTGCCACAGACCAAAGTCTGTGCTGTTGGCTTCCCTACTTTGAAAGCTTTTGGAATCAGACTGAGCCACTGTTTTCAGGACATTTTTAAATCCTGCAAATAAATGGATGGATTCCAAGAAATACTCCACCCATCCAAGTTCATACTGCATTAAAAAAATAAAATGCTAACTACGTGCAATTCTTCTAATACAAAGCTCTATACATTTATACCTAACATATCCTTGTCCTGAAAGATCATCCTCTCTTCCTATATTAAACTTGCCAAACAGAATTTGACTTTTTTCTTCCCCAGCTTGCAGGCAGCCTATCAGGGGACTTTGCCTTGTGATCCTGTGAGCCATTTCTCCCTAGTAAACTCCCTTTCATATATACATATATCCTATTAGTTCTTTCCCTCTGGAGAAACCTAATACAGGATTATTGTATTAAATGGGGCTGACTGCCAACTGGAAATAATATCAGGGAGAATGCGCATACATGGACACATAAAATCTTATTATCTAAATTTCAGCTATATCACTAATTATTTGTAATACCCTAAAAAACTTTAGAAAACTTTTAAGAGAAAAAGATGAAAATGAATTCCTGCAGGTTTGGAATCAGGCATTAACCAGCTTGTGCCAATGTTCTAGGTGTTGGGGATGCAGGACCAAATACAACACTTCAGGTCTTTCAGGGAGCTTATATGTAAATTTGAGCTGCTTATATAGGAATGTGACTCTCAAGGTTGCAAATCTTCCACTTGAATATATATCTTCTCCTAGAAGAAGAGAGCTAATAGCCTCACTCTGGGACTAAGAGTAGAAGCAGTGAACAAAAAACTTGTCATCAATGGAAAATAATTTCTCATGCACAGCATGGTTGATTTTATTAATCTGCTTTGGACAACCTCACCTTCTTTTTTTCTTCATTTATTTATTCAGTAAATGTTTATTGAGCAAATGCATTGTGGTAAGCACTACAGCAGGAGCTGGAAATGTATGCATTTTTTCTTAATCTAATATGAACAAAAATCTGCTCATGGACAATATAATGTAATCAGATAATTGTTAATAGAACTTATCATAAGATGCTATTGAAATGCTAAAAAAGAAATATTTAAATGTCTGAATATTGAGGAGATGGGGTAGGTAGTGGTAGTAAGAGAAGACATCACAAAGGTTATAATAAACTATTTTGGAAGAAAATGTTAAATTCTATTTGCACATTTAATATCTAGAGAGACGATGATCTTTCAGGACAGGGGTATATTAGGTGTAAATAAATAGAGCTACATGCAGAAGAATTGCATGTAGTTAGCTTTTTTTTTTTAATGGAGTATGAACTTGGATGGTGGATTATTTCCTGAAACCCAGCCATTCATTTGCCAGGTTTTAAAAATGTCCTGAAAACAGCTAACCTAAAAATATTAGCAAAAGAAAAAGGAGGTGTCTTTCGTTTTTCATTCTTATTTAAAATTCAAATTGAAGGTTGATTTTCTAGGTTATATTTAGACATTTTAAGGTAATGGAGAGAGAGGGCTTATCATCTCAGCACATTGGCATGCAACTTGGGTTTGTACTTTTTAAAGTAATTACAGGGAAATGTGTGTATTTATAGTTGACTTTGACTTTCTTACAATTATTTAATAAGGCAGGCTCGCTATATTACTCTCATGATCTAAGAGCCTGTAATCTCTCTGGAGTCTAATTATCTCCCGATAACCTTGCCCCTTGACGACATTTGTATTACTATTATAAAACATGTTTATTTTGGGAAAGGACATATATTTTGTGGTGTAATAGCATTAAACTGTCAGACCTGAGTGTTAACAGCAATTTGCCCTAAGAGCTTTCAGAAAAGATTAGCTCAGGCATTATATGGGGCTTATCAGACAATCTAAGGGGCTCAAAAGACATTTTTATTACAACTATTTTTTTCTTGGAAAAGAAAGTCTTGCAGCTCTAGAACTTGGCTTTAATATCTTCAAAAGGGCTATTTACACTTTTACCTGTTAAAACTTTTACTGAAGATTGCAGGAAATTAGGAGGAAACGCAAAAGAAATGTAACTGGCATAAAAAAGGAATTGAGGTCATGTCAAGAATAATGATGCTGAAATTTAAGCATATGGTTCTAGAATCAGAAACCTTTTGTTTCAAGTCCAAGTTCTGTCCTTATTACCAGTGTTAGTTTATAAAAATTATTATTTAATTTATCTTAGCCTTCATTTTCTCATATGTAAAATGGGGATTACAATGAGGGGATTGGTAAAAATATTCAACTTACATTATTATACGAGGAATTAAAGTAAGTATTAGTTAAAATATTTTAAGGGTGATAACAACCCATTAAGAAACATATATATATATTTTGTTTGTTTGTTTTGTTTTGTTTTGTTTTGTTTTGTTTGAGACGGAGTCTCGCTCTGTCGCCAGACTGCAGTGCAGTGGCGCAATCTCGGCTCACTGCAATCTCCGTCTCCCAGGTTCAAGTGACTCTCCTGCCTCAGTCTCCTGAGTAGCTAGAATTACAGGCACATGCCACCACACCCAGCTAATTTTTATATTTTTAGTAGACATGGGGTTTCACCATGTTAGTCAGGATGGTCTTGATCTGACCTCATGATCCGCCTGCCTCAGCCTTCCAAAGTGCTGGTATTACAGGCGTGAGCCACCAGGCCCAGCCAACTACTGCTAATCATCATTATCCATTCATTACCAACAAATAGGTATTGTTCTTCAGCTTTGTGCTACTCACAGCTATAAAGTAGTTATGAAAGGGTAACCCAAAGTTGTTTCCTGCCATCACAAAGCTAAAATACATATGTTTGATTATTATTCTAAAACATTTCATCTTTGAATATTCAATAGAAATTGCCCTCCCTGTCTGTCATCTGGGTTGAAATAGGAAAAACAACCACTGAGCCCTGAGTTTGGGGATGCCCATCACAGTAGGTTACAGCCAGAGTCCCTCAGACTGAGCCTGCTTTAAATGTGAAGAAGGAAGGTCAATGTACTGGGCACTGTACAAGTGATCTCATAATATGTCCTATGGGCCAGGCACAGTGTTCCAGCACTTTGGGAGGCCAAGGCAAGAGGATCACTTGAGCCCAGGAGTTCAAGACCAGCCTGGGCAACATGAGGAGACCCCATGTCTCCAAAAATAAAAAGCTAGCCTGGTGTGGTGGTGCGTGCCTGTAGTCCCAGCTACTTGGGAGGCTGAGGCAGGAGAATCCCTGGAGCTCAGGAAGCTGAGGCTGCAGTGAGCCTTGATCAAGCCATTGAGATTCAGCCTGAATAGAGTCACACACTGTCTCAAAAGTATATTATTACTATGTTTGGAACACCTTTGAAGCAGATATTCATTAAATTTTACTCGAGCACCTATTTGTGCCAGCCGCTCTGAAGATAAAGAAGTCAATATGAAACCACATTGTAGTTGAAGGAGATAAAAATAAATAGTAACAAAAATAATAAGTAAAATATATATTTAGCAAGCAAGATAGTGGTGAGTCCAGTAGAGAAAAATAAAGTGAGAAAGATGGATAGAGGTTGCAAGGGCAGGTGCTGTCTTTGAAAGTGATCAAGAAAAGCTTCAATAAGCAGAGATGCTAATGATGCAGAGGCTTCAATAAACAGAGGAGAAGGGATGTCTTAATTGAAGCAACTGATGCTAAGAAAGATTGTTTCATTTATTATATAATTGTGTATTTACTTTTGCCCTTTCTGTAATTCAAAATTGATTTTAGGTGGCTTAAAAAAAGTCACAGAAGATAAAAAGGGACCAAGAAATTCCAAGCAAAGGGCAACAATGTAGAGAAGTAAAATAAACAAAGATTCAGATTCATATACAAAATTTGCTTTCCAAATAAGAGAAGTAAACTCAAAATTTTATTTTTGAGCATTCTACTAGCCTTTGCAAAGAGAAACTAGCCAATGGCAATATTGAAAATAAATCCCTTACACAAAAATGCCACTGATAATTCAGGAGGGCCCGAGGTATTGCTGGTATTGACACCAGAGAGGAAAATGTAAACAAGGCACTTGCCAATATCACTACAGTAGATACATCAGCGATGTCCTCACTTCATTTATTATAGCGTTCCTACAATGTAAACAAAAAGCCAAAGGCCAAAGTCCAATTCCATTAATAGTGTTCCCCCAAAGCAAAATCAACACAATCCAGTTACTTACTTCTCTGAGGACCTGGATGAAACTCAGCATAGATTTTAGGTTATCTCAAAAATTGTTAAAGAAATTTTCTTCAAAAAATATCATTTTAGTCAACTAAGAGAAACTTTACGTTGTCCCAATTATGCTACTATTCTAAGAATGCAATGATATGACTTTATAAAATCTAGGAACTTAACAAAGAAGTTTTCTAAAGAATTGACTGCTGCATTAAAACCGTGAGGTGAATCAGCTTACAAAAGACTACTGTACATCTAGGGCATGGAAGAGTCAGGTTTCAAATCTTAGTAAATCTGACTTTTACATTCACTTCCCAATTGAAAATACGTCTCCATATGTATTTAAATTATGTTTAAATGATTATTAATTTTATTATATAAGTGGTAGATACACAGGAATAAAACAACATTCAATATAATACAGTAAAGATAAGTGAAATAATGTGTAAATAATAAATTAATAAAAATAAATAGAAATATATAAATTTTAAAAAATAATAATTCTACATCAAATTTGCATGTTACCAGTCATTAAGAGTTTTTGTTCCTTTTTTTTTTCTGAAGGTAAGTGAAATAATTGTAAACTCATTTAAAATACTTCAGGTATGAGACTGGCCAATAGAAGTATGAATGAAAAAAGTTGTGAGGGAGCTAATGCTAAATAAGATAACTTACCCTAAAGCTATTTTAATCAATTGGTACAGAAAGGACAAATACATCAGTAGAAAAGAAGACAATATAAGGGCAGATTGAAATATATACGTGAACGTCACAAAGACCAATTACTGCCATTTCAATTCAATGAGGAAATAATGATGTATTTAATAAATAGTGCTAGAATGCTGCATTATCTGTCTAGGATGAAAAAAAAAAAGGAAAAGTCCCTATTTCACACCATACGCAATACGTACAAATGAGTTAGCAACTTTTTAAGTGATATAAAGAAGTTTCAGAAATCCTGCTGATTCTACTGGAATTCATTGTCCTGCTATATCTGACCGAATAAGGTGAGAAACTAGAAAGAGATCATGTCCTTTCAACAATGTCCCTGATATGGTTTGGCTCTGTGTCCCCCACCCAAATCTCATCTTGAATTGTAATAATCCCCACGTGTCAAAGCAGGACAAGTTGGAGATAATCAAATCATGGGAGCAGTTTCCCCCATACTGTTCTCATGATAAGTGAGTGAGTTCTTACAAGGGCTAATGGTTTTACAAGGGACTTCCCCCTTCTCTTGCTCTCAATTCTCTCACCTGCCATCATGTAAGACACACCTATTTTGCCTTCCACCATAATTGTAAATTTTCTGAGGCCTCCCTAGCCATGTGAAACTGTGAGTCAATTAAACCTCTTTTCTTTATAAATTACTTAGTCTCAGGAATTTCTTCATAGCAGCATGAAAATGGACTAATACAGGAAATCAGTACTGCAGAGAGTGGGGCGCTGCTGTAAAGATAGCCAAAAATATGAAAGTGACTTTGGAAATGGGTAACAAGCAGAGCTTGTAACAGTTTGGAGGGCTCAGAAGAAGATGGGCAAATGTAGGAAAGTTTGAAACTTCCTAGAGACTTAGAGGGCTCAGAAGACAGGAAGATATGGAAAAGTTTGGAACTTCCTAGAGACCTGTTGAATGGTTTTGACTGAAATGCTGATAGTGATATGGACAATGAATTCCATGCTGAGGTTTTCTCAGATGGCAGTAAGGAACTTGTTGGGGCCTGGAATAAAGGTCACTCTTGCTATGCAAAGAGACTGGCACCGTTTTGTCCCTGCCCTAGAGATTTGTGGAATTTTGAATCTGAGAGAGATGATTTAGGGTATCTGGAGGAAGAAATTTCTAAGTGGCAAAGTGTTCAAGAGGAAGCAGAGCATAAAAATTTGGAAAATTTGCAGCCTGACAATGAGATAGAAAATAAAAACTCATTTTCTGGGGAGAAATTCAAGCCAGCTGCAGAAATTTGCATAAGTAATGAGGAGCCAAATGTTAATCACCGAAACAATGGGGAAAATGTCTCCAGGGCATGTCAGAGACCTTCATGGAAGCCCCATTCATCACAGATCTGGAGGCCTAGAAGGGAAAAATGGTTTTGTCTGCCAGGCCCAGGGCCCCCCTACTCTGTGCAGCCTTGGGACATGGTACCCTGCATTCAGCCATGGGTAAAAGGGGTCAAGGTACAGTTCAGTCTGTTGCTTCAGAGGGTGCAAGTCCCAAGCCTTGGCAGTTTCCACGTGGTGTTGGGCCTACAGGTATATAGAAGACAAGAATTGAGGTTTGGGAATCTCTGCCTAGAATTTAGAGGCTGTAAGGAAACATCCTTTAGGCAGAAGTCTACTGCAGGGGTAGAGTCCTGATGAAGAACCTCTGCTAGTGCAGTGTGGAAGGGAAATGTGGGGTCAGAGCCCCCATACAGAGTCCCCTCTGGGGCACTGCCTAGTGGAGCTGTGAGAAGAGGACCACCATCCTCCAGACCCCAAAATGGTAAATCCACTGACAGCTTGCACCATGTGCCGAAAAGCCACAGACACTCAACACCAGCCCATGAAAGCAGCTGGGAGGGAGGCTGTGTCCTGAAAAGCCACAGGGGTATAGCTGCCCAAAGCTGTGGGAGCCCACCTTTTGCATCAGTGTGACCTGGCTGTGAGACAGGGAGTCAAAGGAGATCATTTCAGACCTTTAAGATTGTGGACTTTAAGATTTTAGAGCTTTAAGATTTTTGACCCACTGGATTTTGGACTTGCGTGTCTCTGGTTGTGGGCTTTCTTCGGTGCATAGTTATTTTTTCTATTACATCTCATTAAGTGGAGGTTTCTCTCACAGGAATCGCATTTTTTCCCGGTTTCTGGAGACATTCTTAAGAAGTGCTTATACATTTGTCTGTGAAAAGTCTCTACAGTAATTTCTATTTTTAGGCCAGTTTTAGATGAGTTTTCAGGCTTGAGGTTTTCACACTGCATGAATGATTTGGAGTTCCACATACATGAGGTTTTGCTGGATGCTGTGATTTCTCCTGGGAATGAGGGGTATGGCTTACTACCAGGCCAGAACCCAAGGCTGGTAAGTGGAGATTTTTGGATTCTAATGAGAAAGGAGATCACATTCTCCTAGATTTTAGGTGTATGTAAAGATTTCATGTGAAACTCCCTACATACCTGAGGCTGGGTCCTCAACACTCTGGCTTTCTTCAAATGAAAATTTAGTAAGGAATATCCAAAGTTGACAGTTAACCAGTACACAGTATTTGTTATAATATTCCTATACCTTTAGCCATCCCAGTCATCTCAGCCCTTCACTGGGAAATAGATTCTCAGACTCTTCTAGAAAATATACTGACTTTCCAAGACTTAGCTTCCATAGTAAGACTGGCACCCAGTTTGGTGCTATACCAGTTGTTAAATATTAGCAATCTTACTTCTGATCCTAATCAACCACAACTCTCCATGAATATTATGATTTATATTCCTCTTCCATTTTGACTATCATTTCTTTTTGTTTCTAGCCTCTAATCTCCTTTCTGTCTTCAAAATTCCATGACTGTCTTTAGATCCTTTATAATAGACATACTGTGTTCACTTGAGATGTGGCATCCATACTCAGCATTGCAAATCAAGCTTAAAAACTCTAGTTGAAATACACGTTTTCTTTTATTTGTGGCCAGATATAAATAACATCACACTTTGATAAAGCAATCTGAATATTTTAAAATCTCATTTTCCAAAAACAAGAAAATTATGTTAGTTTAGCAACTTATAGTATCACATCTTAAATGGTTGGTGGTGATTTTGAAGTTTTATCAAAACCAAATTCAAATAATATTTGTGGAAAGCCTACTCAATTCACTTTATCACTCATAATAAAAATGCATGACCTTCTTGCTATGTATTCTCATTCTATTTTAATAATTATAGGAAAGATTAATCATATAGTTATTTCTATGCTTTATTTATATATTTTCTAAAAGTACCTTAATTATATCATGATGTAGGCAATAATGATGTGTAGTTTACTATCACTAAGTCCCCTGGATTCTCTTGCTGTTAAAGCTTAGTTTACTATTTTGGAGATTCCTGAGTTCTCTCACTTTCTGTAGGTAAGGTGAAAAAAAAATGGGGGCAACTTTTGATTTCCTGTGACTTTCCTTATAACTCCTGACCCTCCATTATGTTGTTGAAATAATATAAAATCTTAACTTTTCACTTTGGATACATTTGCGGGAAAAGCTTTTGCTTAGATAGGACTGGAATTTAGATATAGGCTGAGGGCAATGAGAAGCCACTGAAGGGTTTTAAGTGGAGAAGTGATTTGATTTATAGTTTTAAATATTACTCTGTTAGTAGAATAAATTAAATATTACAGAGGGAAAATATTCAGCAAAGGAAACTACTTTGGCTGTAGGAATCTTATCATGAGATGATGGTGACTCCTCTAAAATGGGGTAATGGGAATGGATTCTAAGGATTTAAGAGTACAGTTGACAGTACCTAGTGATTGGATATTGGTAGCTAAGGACAGGCAGGGGTCAAGGACAGTTTCTGGACTGGCCCCCAAGATAGACAGTAACACCAGTTACTAAGTGGGTTGAGACCAGAAGAGATGACACCAGTCATTACGATTGGTCGTATTGCTGGGAGCAGGTTTTGCAGAAGGAATGATGCACAAGTTATTAGCACTTGTGCTAACACCTTATCACAAGTTAACATTTATTTTGATCAGAAATAAATATTTTTAAAGTTATTTTCTTGCAATTGTGTGTATGTCTGTGTGTTTTAATTTTAATATGTGATTACAAGACTTTGTAAGTCCTGTAATCCTATATTTTGGCAATAACAATTGCTTTAACCCTCATCTACATAATGGAAACAAATTACAAAGTTGAATGACTTAAAAAATAATTTGGAAACATACACCTTTCAAAACTGCGTAATAACAAGAATAATCTCAAACCAGAGTTAGCTGCCCTCACATGAGTCTGATATTACTGGATACCTTTTGGAAAGTTACAGTCACAATTAAGAAAAATCAGGTTTTTTTGAACACTAATACCCTGGTACTACTCTAGATATTTCATATGCATTTCATCATTAATCCTCAGAAAAACATAAGTTAGAAAAGGTTATGCCAATTTTACAAATAAGAAAACTGAGATTCCAAGAGTTTAAATAACTGACTCAAGGCCATATGACTTGTATTTAGCTACACTAGGATTTGAACTGAGGTTATGAGGACTTCAAAACCAAAACATGTCCTCTTTCAATTACATTCAACTGCCTATAAATTAGGTATCAAATCTACTTATCTCTGAGCACATTTCACTTTTATGAGAAATTCTGTCCTATCCACTCCTTTTTCTGGGAGGAATAGTCTCATTTCCTCACTACCTACTTGATAGTCTATTGAGAACAGGAAATCAATCCTTTTGACTTTGGACCTAGTAACCACATATTATTCCCATGATCCACTAATTTAAATAGGGTGTGTATTAGGTTTTCAAAATTTCCACATAAATCATTCTATCCTGGCACATACCTCCTGCCTTCACTGATTGGACAGGCTCTTTCTTGCAAGATTCTTATTACAACTTTTTCCCTGCGGTCCATGGTTTCCGATGCATTTGACATGTTTTCTTTAATGTGATCAGAACTTCTTGGAATCTACACTGGCTTATTATGACTGACACTATTTCTTTCACGGACTGCTTTTCTTCTGCACAATTGCAACTTGCCATCTATTTTAGGGCTTTTAACCAAAAGCCAGGGTTACTCACGTTTAGATCATTCAGATTAGTGTAAACTATCACAATGAGGAATAACATGCTCACATACTCTCTCCAGCAGACAACACTAGCTCTATCTAAATTCACCAGTCCTGATCACTTATATGTTTAGCTGTTTCAGAAAAATAACAGACTGAAAACTTATCTCTATTTTGGGGCACTATAGGTATCTTTGTCCATCAGTTTACATGTACTGAGAACCTAAGGTGTGTTGGGTACTATGATATATACTAGGCATACAAAAGCATGCTTCCTGTCCTCAAAAGATGGAATTCTAGTCAAGAAAATGAATAAATGTATACAGAATTCTAATGAATGTTAAATGTCAAAAATAGTTGTCCCAACATCATTTTTCTCAAGATTTCCTTGCACCTCTTTGTCCACTAACCAGTTTATTTTGCTGGCTTCTCTTCGCTTGCCATTCCTGTAACTCTGGCATGACTCAGAGCTCTGTACTCAGCCAGATTCTCCTCACACCCTTTACACGGTTTTTGACAGCTTATTCTCACTCTAGTCTCTTAATGAATGAATTCCAAATGAAGTTCCCTTGGCACTTCCAACTTCATGTTCCATAGACCTCTCACACTGAACAAAAGCAAAATGGAGCTCATCATCCTTCTTCAAAACCTGCTACCAGCAATACGACCAATCCTGGTGACCAGCATCATCTCTTCAGATCTCCTCCTTCTCAGTAATTGGTGTTACTGTCCATCAGGGAAGTCAATCCAGAAACCATCCTTTATCCCTTCCTGTCCTTAGCTACCAATATCCAATCACTAGTTACTGTACATTGTACTTCTAAATCCTTAAAGTACATTTCCACTGTCCCATTTTAAAGGAGTCACCATCATCTCATGATAAGATCCTTACAACAACCAAAGTAGTCTTTCTTCATGAGTATTTTCCTGCTTTAATCTATATTCTACTAACAGAGTCATATTTAAAACTGTAAATCAAATAACTTCTCCACTTAAAACCCTTCAGTGGGGCTGGGTGCGGTCCCCTATAATCCCAGCACTTTGGGAGGCTGGGGCAAGTGGATCATGAGGTCAGGAGTTTGAGACCAGCCTGACCAACATGGTGAAACCCCAACTCAACTAAAAATACAAAAATTAGCCAGCCATGGTGGTGTGCACCTATAATCCCAGGTACTCAGGAGGCTGAGGCAGGAGAATCGCTTGAGCCCGGGAGGTGGAGGTTGCAGTGAGCCGAAATCGCGCCACTGCACTCCAGCCTGGGTGACAGAGTGAGACTCCATCTCAAAAAAAAAAACAAAAAAAAAAACAACAAAAAAAACAACCTTCAGTGGCCTCTTCTTGCTCACAGCCTATACCCAAACTCTCCTGAACATAGGATTGACAGAGCTTTGTATATGGCCTCAGATTACCACTCCAGAGTTTGTTCACCATTCTCACGTTTCTTCTCTGTCCTACAAAACACAAGACTCTTTTTAGTTCTCTCTGTATATTTTTCCCCCAACCTATAATTCATGCTCCTGATAATTCTGGGACACTCTCCCCACTCTTCCCATTTATTAACCCCTTTCTGCTGGGGCAGATTTCAGATTTCAGGTTAGGTACCTCTGATACCCTTTAAGAAGCCTTCTGTGAACTCCCAAACTTTAAATTACCCTCCCAAGTATTCTTCCCATTGCACTCCATTCTTATATCTAAAGATAGCACTAAAATTAGCGAATTGTAATTGCCACTTCTCTATATTCCCCAGCAGACTCTTGCTGATTGAGATAGTAATCACGTTTTTGTTCATGCTTTTCTTCCAGAATATTGCTATGAGCATTGCAAGCATTCTGATAGTAGATGAGAAAACTAATGGACTGATGGACTGATGGATGGATGGATGGATGGATGGATGGACGGATGGATGATGAATCTTCTATCTGAGCAGTAAAGTTGATAAAAGTGAGCAGGAATCAGAGGAATGAAGAATGAAGTTGTCCTCAGGAAATAAAAGGGGAACCAAGGCTTGCCAGCAAGAAAATAAGAGGAGACCTGGCAGTGAATGAATGATACATTTGATTAAGAATAAAAATTTCAGTGTTACTGGGGGATTTTCTTCACTCATTTAAGTGAAATAAATAACTAGGAGTTAGAATGTGACCAGACAATAGATGGTCTTAAATATACCAATAAGATTAGGCCTTGTGTTCAAAATATATTTAGCATAGACAGTATTTTGAGGCATCATAATTATTTAATAGTAATAACAAAGTTTATGGAGCATTTACTGTATGTCAGGCCCTCTTCTAACTACTTTAGATGTTAATCCAGTTTAACCTCCCCAGCATCCAAGTAGCAACATACCACAGGCCAGCCAGTGATGTCTGTCTGCCCTTTTACGTAGGCAATAAGAAGTTGCATTTTTCTGTCAAAAATTTAAAAACAATTGTAAAACTATTGTTATCCCCATGTAACCAATATTGGTAACTCTTTAAAATGTCAATGATAAAATAGTAGTTCCTGAAACAAATAATTTGTTGGCTTAAATCCTATAATTGCTGATACTGTGAGTTTTGAGTGGCTTTTATTCTGTCATTGTGTATGGTCAGTTGAAGTTTTTATTAGTTTAAAATTTCAAACAATGAAATAGTGAGAAATGCATGATGGGCTATTGTGCCTGGTACAGAAAATAGTTTACTGCATTTTAATAATATCCTTAGAATTAAAATGCCTTATTCTATTTAATTGTTACTTAATTCTTCATTTTTGTGACCGACTAATACATAGGTATATATACTCTCCCTTTTATCAAAAAATCAATGTAATTTAAAAATATTAATTTATTACTCTATTATAATTATGTTTAATTTGCTGGCATAATTATATATATACAAAATTCAATAAAATAAAATGATCACTGTGTTTTTTTTCTGGGTATTATTACTATTCACCTTATTTTATGGTTATTAATGAAACTACTTTTGTAATATTTAATAATATTGTTACAAAATGCTTCACTCTGGGTGCCAGATAATGACAGTAGTGTGATTGATATTGTTTGGCAGTGTCCCCACCCAAATCTCACCCTGAATTGTAGTAATCCCCGTGTGTCAAGGGTGGGACCAGGTGGAGTTAATAGAATCATGGGGGTGGTTTCCCCCATACTGTTCTCTTGGTAGTGAATAAGTCTCACCAGATTTCATGATTTTATAAATGGGAGCTCCCCTGCACAAGTTTTTTTGCCTGCCACCATGGAAGATGTGACTTTGCTCCTCATTTGCCTTCTGCCATGATTCTGAGGCCTCCCCAGGCATGTGGAACTGTGAGTCAATTAGATATTTTCCTTTATAAATTAGAACAGATTAATACAGTCACTGACAATACTTATAAAATAGGTACAGATATTATCTCTAATTTTATAGGTAAGAAAACCTGATTGTAATCTGGCAAGTAGTGGCAGATGTGTATGCAAAGTAGATGATTGTGGTTGAGGGCATAAGGCAGACAGGAAGCAGGGAGAGAGTTAGAAGACAGTTTTGAAAGCCTGCGCTGGTGGCCATATGTAGAAGGGATGTTTGCTTTGAAGGGACTCTGCAGCTTCTGCATGAAGAAATGACCTGCAGGTTGTTCTATGTACCAGTTCTTGCTGATGTTTACATACAGGTGTGAAAAGGTCTCGAGTTTGCTGTTCCCTGTAGAATATGGTTGATGAAAGATCTAATCTCCGGGGAAAAATGCTTGCAGTGATTATGAGGCCAAAGTTATAAAACTGAAATATTGTAATTTCATAGTCACAACACTGGTTTTCTAACTGCAAACTCATTCCTTATTTGATATAAATTTAATGAGACAACTTTCAGAGCATAATATGATATGCAGGAAAATATTAGTAGTCACTGTGCTGACCTATGCTGTACCATTAAGGGAAAAGGCTCCATTTTAAGTCAACGATAACATATTTTGCCACCTTCTGCAGGATAGTTACTGGCGAAACATGAAATGACCAGTTAAGGTGTTTTCCATTCTAACATAGTATCACCCTGCATCATGAGGCCTTTGTAACCTCCATTCATCACTATTATTATCCAAACAGCAGGTTTTTGTAGGGTGATTCAACAGCACCCCAGCACCTCTCCCTGAAGCTGGATAGGGGTAAGGTGAGCAAAAGATGGGGCTTAACTGTTTAAGGGGCTTAACTCAGCCAATGTGAAAACTCTGCCTTATTTCTGATTCCATCATGTTCGTTTCCCTTATCCCTAAAGCAACACATTATGCAGCTTTTTCCTTGCATTCTCCATTGTTATACATGTAAGGGGCAAAGCCAGATGAGTTATTTTATATCTCACTCACAAAGTATGTGTTTCTCTTGAACCTTTAAATAAATAAAGGATTGGCTGACAGGTTCAGGGAGGAAATTAATCTTCCATTGACAGAAAAGATATCGTCCAGACTACAGAAGCCCAAGAATGGCTGAACATTTACCCAAAACCATTGCTCGTTGGCATGCCTTAGGCCTTTCAGTCCATTCAACATTAGAATTTCCTGCTGAAAATAGAGAACCAAATACAAATCAGGGCCTATTGCGAAGCTGAATCTTGTGTAAGGTAGGACCTCACCAAGTTCCTGAGACCATCAAATTATTTATTTTTAATTTTTATAAACCACTTTATTCAGGTAAAACTGACATACAAAAAGCTTTGTGTATTTAATGTATACAACTTGATAAGTATAGAGATAAATATTTGCCCATGCAACTATCACTGCAATTTATACCATAAATATATCCAACATCCGTGCCTTTAAAATGAAGAAGAAATTCTTTAATGAGGTCTGTAAAGCCTTCTTGATTCAATCCCTCTTGCTTTTCCGACCTCATCTTGGACCACTCTTCCCTGTCTCTCCTCTCCAGCCATGCTGGGTTTCTCTAGGAGTCTTTAAAAAGCCATGCTCTCTGCCTCCTCTAGTCTTGCGAATCCTTCTCATCACCTAGCTAAATCTAACCAACATGTCCACTTAAACATCAGTTTCTCAGGGAAGCCGATTTTGTCAAGATTAGATTCTCTAGTCAAGGTGAGGTTCCCTCTTGTTTTACATTCCTATAGGTCCTTCTATTTCTCCCTCATAGTAGTTTACATACTTGTAACTGTTTACATAATTATTTATGACCATTTTTAATACCTGTCTTCAGAGTAGTCTATAAGCTCCATGAGTACACAGATCATGTTTGCTTTATTGAGCTCTTTCTACTAATATCCAGTGCAGTGCCTGGCACATATAGATGTTTAACATTTATTGAGTAAATGATTTAGGTTTATTCTTTATAAATATAGAAAATACCTTAAAAATATATACAGCTGACTTATCATCTAAAATACAAATAGAATCTTAATCCTCAGCCCTTACTATCTTTTAATTGCCCTCATTCCAAAAGCCTAAAAGCTAACTCCTTAGTCTGGCATAGAAAACCTTAACTGCCTTTCCAATGTCACCCCTCCCTACTTTCTTAGATGGAATTACTTATATTTCTCCAAAGTTCTTATGCAATTTGATGTTTCCTTCTCTTCACTCTTCTTAAAATGTCCATCACATTCTTTATCAATTTGTGAAATTCCCAATTCCAGAATCAACTCAAAATAATCATTAATCTTCCTCAGGATTCTCACATGAGCAAAACTGAATGCTGTCACTTCCATAGTTCCAGAACAAAATACTTACATATTCCTGTATTTTAGCATAAGACTACTAATTTAAAAATCCTTTTCATCCTTTCAGTATTCCACAAAGACAGAGACATGGTCTGTTTCTACATTCCTGGAACATGTACAAAATCAATAAAAGTCATCCGAATCACTGGATGAGTGAATGAAACGTATTATCCCTGCACCTACCTAAACTCTTGTCCAAAAAAAAAAAAAACAGTGTATGGTGTTAGAATATTAACTAAGAAATTTTCTTTTCTATATAAGATACTTTTAAAATCTACTGCTAGGAAAAAGTCATGTCTGCTAAAGAGTTGGTGGATTTGCTTGAATTTTTTTTTAAATAAGGGAAACTATGTAAATTATTCTGATTCCCAAGGTGCCCTGGGATATTCAATTCTAATGACATGGATGATTTTCTTTTAAAATATATTCTTCTCCTTCCATAGTTCTGATTGCTTTCTCTGTACTTTAGTTTTATCAACCTCTCATATATATACTTTTTGTTATGGCAATTTCTAATTATCTTGAAAAGGCGAAGAATAACAAATAAAAGACTAGTATCACTGAAGTTCTTTCACATTCTGTTATTGTATGATGTTAAGGAAATTAAAAGTTTTATTCACAAATAAGCTAAAAATGACATTTACAACGAAAAAATATATTTCCTTAAGACAAAGTTCTCTTAGACATACATATTATTTAGATGATGTGTTCATAGTCTATCTACTTCTAAACAAATTGAAAATTTATACTACCCTCCCTAACTTTATACTCACTGGTTTATACAAATGCTCATCTTCTGTTTTTCCCTTTACCAATCTCCCCTTTTCACCTAAAGTCTTCACTAAGTAAATACTGCAAAAGGCTTTCAGGTCACAAAAATGTAAAGAAAATACATATGACATACATACAGGCTATGTTTTGTATTTTTGTAGTTGTGTGATCTTGGACAAGTTATTTTATCTATTTTAGCCTCAGTGTCCTCATATTTATAATATGAATATGTTAGTTATCCATTCTACTTCACAGGACTCAAGATAATCAGATGGGCCCTTCATAGAAGTATTATCTGTGAGTGTAAGCTTAAATGAATAATATGTTAAGGCTTAATTGCAATACTGTAACATTTTCAATTACTATCAATGGGTAAAACTCTTTCCACCAACAAGGTGAACATTGCCTCACACATTCAGTTTGTTTAGCTGCCCCCAGTCATTGTAAAAGTAACATTCTGGTAAACTCTAGTCATAAGTATGGTGATTCATTACTTTTATTAACCTCCTTTCATTATGCTTACGATATTAGTTCTGGGAGCCTACTGGTTTCTTCTTTGTCACTACTACCTAGGCTTTCTAGGTAAATTCATGTATTTATCCATTTATTTACTCATTCACAAGCTCCATGAGGTCAGGAATCTTAATTTTTTTCATGACTATAAGAGTATCTTTTAGGCCAGGCATGATGGCTCACACCTGTAATCCCAGCACTTTGGGAGGCCGAGGAGGGTGGATCAGCTGAGGTCAGGAGTTCCAGACCAGCCTGGCCAACATAACGAAACCCCATCTCCACTAAAAATACAAAAATTAGCCTGGCGTGGTTGCACATGCCTGTAGTCCCAGCTACTCGGGAGGCTGAGGCAGGAGAATCACTTGAACCTGGGAGGCAGAGGTTGCAGTGAGCCGAGGTGGTGCCACTGCACTCCAGCCTGGGTGACAGAGTCCTTCCCCACCTCCCCACAAAAAAGAGTATCTTTTCAAATGATTCTCCTGTCTCAGCTTCCCAAGTTGCTGGAACTACAGGCCTGCTCCACCACGTCTGGCTAATTTTCGTATTTTAGTAGAGACGGGGTTTCGCCATGTTGGCCAGGATGGTCTCGAACTCCTGACCTCAGGTTATCCACCTGCCTTGGCCTCCCAAGGTGCTGGGATTACAGGTGTGAGCCACCACACCCGGCCAAGAGTATCTTTTATACAGTAGGCACCCAATAAATGTTGGGTGAATAAACTGGAAAAATTAAATATTTATTGAACACCTACAATAAGCACTAAAAGTATTATCATGAAAAAGACTGTAAATAGGTTTGGTTTTCCAAAAATTTTACTCTTGGTTGAATTGGTGGAGGAAAATAGTTAACAAGCAAACAAATGAACAAAGGTTCTTATTTCAGATTATGAAAGCGGCGATGTCATAAATTGTCTGAAGATGGCAAAGTCAAATTAAATTCCATCGTCAAAAAAGGCTGCCAGCTGGTGTTTGAGTTGAAACCTTTTTGCCAAGAAGGAAGGCGCTATATTCCTTGTCCAGGAAGATGCTATGGCTCTGCTCTCACAAGTGGATTAATGCTGTTATCATGAGAGTGGGTTAGTTGCCACTAGAATGAGTTTCTGATAAAAGGGGTGAGTTTGCCTCCATCTTGCTCTCTTGGATGCTCTCCTGCCCTTTGGCCCTTCCACCCTGAGATGACGCAGCACAAAGACCCTCACCAGATGCCATCATCCTGATGTTGAACTTTGTGCCATCCAGTGAGAGTGCTAGAAATACATTTATTTCCTTATTAATTACCCAGTGTGATATTCTAGTATAGCAACATAAAGCACAGTAAGACAGGAGATAAAGGAGCACAGCCATCTTGGTAGAGGGAACAACAGGTGCAATCTTGACTGCTGGCTGACTTCCTGGTTAAGTTCTAAATGCCATTTTATGTCTAGGCTCTCCTCCACGGGTAACACAACTTCACAGATATATGGCCTCATAGTAATTCCCATGCTGGCACAGCTGAGGAATCTTTCCATCTGTGAATACTAACCTTGTGAGCTACTTCCTCTGGGCACAGCTCAACTATGCCGCAGATGACTATACTTGTGTATGCACGTGCAATTCTATGCACTTTAAAGAATGACCAACAAAACTCTCTCTATTCACCTCTCGTGTAAACTGATTCTTGTTATATGAGCCTTGCAGGATTTTGAAGCATCCTCAATCTCTATCCACTGTATTCCAGTAGCAATCCTCCTCCCACACTGCCCACCCCCCTGCACATACACGTACACATTTCTGTCAATCGAAAATGTCTCCAGATATCACTGTATATCCCCAGAGGGGCAAATTTGCCCCCTGTTGAGAATGACTGTTCCTGAGGATAAAATACTAGTATCATCTCCTGCCTTACAAAAGCTTTCTGAGTGATCTGGATGTAAAATATTTGCTTACCCAATTTTGCAGTGGTCACTTCTAACCTTTCCAGTCATCAGCAGTGCTGTGTACTTTTGACTACTCAGTATCTGAATTCCTCCCTTCTCCATGTCCAGGAGCTAATCCTTGCAAATCATATCCTATTTCTGGGAGTCTGCTATCTCATACATAAAACGAAAGGCAAAACTAAATTATGTCCAAGAAGCCACACATCTCAAATGTACAATGATTCTTGAAGACAGAATCCTACAGTCTTTAGTGTCATTGATATTCTCACAATTTGCACAATGTTATTTATTGGAATCTAAGGGACTTAGGTCACCGGAATGTGCATGGATTAGAGTTTGTGCTTTGTCCTTCTTTAATTATTGGATTCATTCATTTTTTTCCAATATTGTTTAGAGTAGATTATACTGTTTTTGTTTTATTTTTCTTTTAGCAGTTGTTTCAATCATTTTGCATTACAAGTTCAAAAATCTAGTAGTACAATATTTAAGACATCATTTATGGGTTTTTTTCCTACCACATAATATTTTAAAAAGTACCTTTTCAAGTGGGGGTAAATATTAAATAGGTTTCTTTCTTCTTTCATTAAGTAATCCAGTTATGCAATACATATTATTGTTGAGTGCTTAGATCCAGGAAATGGATGGCATGGGAGTACAGAAACGTACTGGTCCTGCTCTTAAGAAGCTAACAATTTAATTGTGAAATAGGCATTGGCAATACAAATTGATAAGTGCTACAGAACAGGAACATGCAGAGTGGTAAGGAACAGAAAGAAGAAATATCTACCTAAACCTGGAGGGATAGATTTAATGAAAACATACTGTCAATTTTAGCACACATGTATATACCTACACACACACACACACAATGTACACATACTATGTGTGTCTGTTTCTATACACATGTACATATACATGTATCATATCCATATAAATATCTATATATTATACATAATACCTATTTGCATATATATTTTTGTATATATAGAGATATCTATTCATATTATTCATAAATGCATATAATTATTCATAAGTATACATATTTATTTGGACCCAAAGATCCTAACCATTTTATAAACAGATTCCAAAGCCAGATGTGAACAATGGTCAAGTTAAAATTTGGGATAGAAATGTGAATATGCACCTAACATCTTTACATATAATATTTGGTGTTCTTATTTAAACACTTTTGCTGGACCATAGGTTCTCCACAGCATTCAGGTAAAAGTAAAGAAAGAAAGAATGGCAACAACAAAAAGCTTAGAAGTAACCTTATTTGTACTGTGATACACATCAGGGAATTTGGAAGCATGGAGCTCAATAAAGTAGTTTTTCAATTTGCCAGGAGCAGCAGGAGGGAGACCAAAATCAGAACAAAGAGATCTGGGTGTCAGTAAATCTGTGAAACACTTTAATGTGGAATTATATTTCCTGACAACATACGCATTCAATAAAGTAAAGATATTTGATTGCAATTTGCACAGCATCTATTTGAAAGTTAATAATTAGCCATCAGGAAAAATGATGCTTTTCAAAATTATAATAAAATGTGTCATACTAAAACCTTTAAGGAGTGAGTAAGTGGTTTCATTTTGTTTCAGGGTCACAATTGGCTTCAATGTATAGCCTCGCCAAGCATTACAGCAGAGAAGCTTTTGTGCAAAGTGAGCGGAGCACCAGGTCAGCACCACTCAATCACTGTTCAATAGACTTCCTTCAGATAATACAATGGGCCTCAAAATAATCCAAGAAAAACAGTGTGAGGCCATTTCAGCTGAAGGATTATCCCATTGAGAGCTTAAATTTCACTTCTTTCTACAATCATTTTCACATTTTAATTTACAGTTCATTTATAGATTCCCCCAAATAATGATTTAGCTATTGGGTAATGTTGCTCAAGACCTTTTCACTTCATATAATATCCCCTTTGTATTTTAAAAGGTCCATCTCCTCTCAAGCTAGTAGTGTTCAACTTTGTAGAATACAACTCAATTGAACTAAAGACTTGGTAAGTCCCAGTACATCAGTTAGTCATTAATTGTGTCATTCAGTCAAAGGGTCAGTGAACAGTATTTGTGCAGAACCATAGTATGTTGTACCCAAACACATTTTCTAATGGGATATAAATAGAAATGGAAGTTTACCAAAATATGTAGCATTGGTGAGGGTGAAATCAAAGTCACACTGACAAACACTGACATGGAAATCATGGGTATTATTATTATTGATTTCTGTACCCCCAGTCCATCCTAAGTAACTGATCAGGTCAATTATGGTCATCCAGCTTCCCTTAGAGGGAGTGGTTGGGGATGGACACATGGTCAATCTGACCAATAACCAGAGAAGTCTGTGGAGGCTTCTTTGAATAACTTTCTTGTTTGTATAAAAGTGGTGCTGGGCCTTGCTGTGTCCGGATGGAACATTTGGAACTCTCACAGCCACCTTGCTATTTGCCTGAGTATGATGACAACACCAAGAAAGACAGGTGGATGAGATGGAAAGAAGATAGGTTCTTAATGATTTTGTGCTTACTCAGTCAACACTGAAGTCTTCCCTACCCTTGGAGTATCTAATACTTTCTTCTTGTTATTTAAGCCAGTTTGATAATTGTGTTTTACTTGCAATTTGGAACACCATAATCAAAGTGGTGTAATATGGTATTCTTTTCCTGTAACACAAATTGTTCATGTATGAAGAATCTTAAAATATTTGTATATTTTGGCACACATAAATAGTATCCAATGAATATTATCTGACTAAATAACCAAAAATGCATATCAAGTTTTAAACATGGAAATTTGACATTGTCTTTTATGATGGTTAAAAATTCAAAGCAACATAAATGACAAAAAACTGGAGAATTACTTAAATTAACATGTGATTCAATAAAGAAAACTATTAGACATTCATTAAATATTATGTTTTCTAAGAATAGTCAGTGATATAGGAGAATGTTTATGCTAAAATACCAGGTGATTACAAAATAGAAATCATACAAAATGATATACTAATGCTAGATCTATCAGCTGGCTTCTATAGCATTCTGGCCACTTTCCAGCCACAAGGCAGATTGTCTTAAGTACATCATCTCACATAATTTTCCAAGCAGATAAAAGAGGTAGGTTCTTTTATTATTCCAGTGTTACAGATGAGCAGGCAGGTTTTGGAGAGTACATAACTTGTCAACGATCATATAGCTACGAGGTGTGAGCTGGGCTTTGAACACTGAGATTTACCTTTCTTTAATATATTTAGGATGAATAGGGTCTGGATCCTGTCCACCTTTGGGTTAGCTTGTTGTGTGGCCAGCTTTCCTTGGTCACTGGGTTCCTCCCAGGACTCTGAGAGATTCCCAGCATCTCCTTTCTCTTCACTGTGGATTACCATCTATGCCCTTCACCAATGTCTGATGATATAGCAAGGCCTCGCTTCTTGCCTCATTCCAATCATTTAATTTCCCACAGTTCTGAATATAGAATGTTTAATGAAATGTTCTGAAAAAATTACATCACTGAGATTGAAATGTATAAATTACAGCTAAACATTTCTGTTTCTCAGAGTCCCTTACCATTACTGCCATAGGGAATTCCCCACTGGCTGCCTCTTTCCCTCCAACTGGGCGTCCTGCCACATTGCTTGAGCTTTTCCTCTCTCCACCTCCTGTCTCCCCAGCTGTCAACTTCCAACCGTATCTGAGTCTCTGTTAGCTGTCTATGCTAAACATCCCAGACTAGGTTCTTGTATATTTTTGCATATTACAAACTTCTTAAGATACTGTTGAATTTTTTAGAAGAGGGCAGTGTCTTCTTGTACAAACACTTAGAATACCAGAACTACAAATTATTTTATACACATTTCAGGTAGCGCTTTCTACTTTCTAGATTTCCAAAGTTAAGACTTACCTTTGAAATAAAAAGTAATTTATTTATAAAAAATAAAATAAATTATTTTTTATGAAATACTTTTGTGTATTTTAATAATGCTTTTGCTAAAGGAGTAAGATTATTATTCCATATGTGCACTTACCAGCTGCACAACTTAGGAGAATTCCTTTTACCTGTTTTGCTCTCAGTCTTCTCCTCTATAAGAAGAAGGGTTGTCTCTGTCTTTTCCATACCTTTTCCCCTTGTTCATCAACCTTTCTGTTTTCTGCTCAGGAAATCCTATAATGAAGCCTCAGCCTGCCGAAGTGACCATATTTCCTAACTGTCACACCCAAATCTCCAATGAAAAATCCCTTATTAATAGGATTACCATATAATTTATCATCCAAATTGAGACAATTTTGAGAGTGTAAAGCAATGTTATTAATAATTATACCTCATAAACCAGAACAGTCTAGGCGACTGGAGACCTATGGTCAACCTTTATCAGGAGAAGTTCATGCTTTGGGGCTTCCCAGTTTAAGAAAAATAAAGGGGTTTTAGATGTTGAACATTTAAATTTTATCCAGAGGCCACTATGCTTTGTGAGAGTTGTATATTTGGCACAATATGCTGTGTTAGATGTATTGTATAGATCACCTCTGTTTCTAATAAGAAGCTTCCAAAGTAGGACTATGATATGGTTCGGCTGTGTCCCCACCCAAATCTTTAGAATTGTAGATCCCATTAACCCTACATGTCATGGAAGGGAACCGGTGGGAGGTGATTGAATCATGGAAGTGGGTTCTTCCCGTGATGTTCTCATGAAAGTGAATAAGTCTCAATGAGATCTGATGGTTTTATAAACGGCAGTTCCTTTGCACACACTCTCTTGCCTGCCACTACTTAAAACGTGCCTTTGCTTCTCCTTCACCTTCCACCATGATTGTGAGGCCTCCCCACTCATGTGGAACTGTGAGTCAATTAAAACTCTTTTTCTTTATAAATTACCCTGTCTCAGGTACTTCTTCATAGCACTATGAAATGGACTAATACAGGCTATCGCCATTTGAACAATGGCTTCATTCACAAAGAGAAATGTAAGGACACAAGAATTTTTCACTATCTGCCCCATCAAATCCTATTGCCAGCCATTGACCCTGTCCAGAAGCAACCAATGCCTGTCCTTTAAATTCACACTTACTCTCACCTTAAATACTTTATCTACTGTGGTAAAATCTTCAGTGTCTTTGATGTAAAGCTTTCTGTCCTAATTTATATTTAATGTTTCAGAAGCTTGCTTCTGAAAGCATATTAAATATATGAGTGAATCAAATGCAAGTAGCACATACAAATTCTGTTTTCTCTTTATGTAGCAATTCTTTTTGCCTATATTTGATTCCTTGTAAAGGATGAGAAGTAAAGGAGGATTTGCTTCATTGTTTTTGGTAATTCCCAATTTACAAGAGGAGTTTGTTTTTCTTGAAAAATTCATTAAGTAAAGGTGTCCATTACCCATAACTGCAGCAGCAGTAAGTGGCTGTTATTCACCAACGGAAAAAAACTTTGGTCCAAATGGAAGAACCTGAGGGACTCACAGTAGTTCACTTGTTTTCTTTAGCTTTTTCATTTTGTATTTCAATTAATTTTCCCTCTGACAAAAATCTAACAAGGAAACAGAATGGTAAGGCCATTTTGTTTAAAGAAATGTATCTAGGGAGAAAACAGTACAGATGTAAAAGTGAGCAGACTGTATATTTAATTAATATTATAAAAATATAACGTGCTTCAACTGGAGCATGGAAATCTTATCCCTAGGCAGAAAAAAACAATCTGGTATTAGGAATCCCAGAATAAAAGCACTATACACACTCACATATACATAGATACAGTCATTGCTATAAGCTAAGTGCAATTTTAGCTTAAAGAGGGACAGTGTTTTTGCCTCAACCATGCACACATATATCAATTATTTAATATACATTTATTAAGTGCCTACCATGTGCTATACACAGTGAGAAGTTCCATTATGTTATATATTTATATATAATATAAATCAAATTTTACTGCCTAAAAATTTAAATTTTAGTGGAAATCACAGATACATAGCCGTTGATTTCAATCCATTTCTGGTTAAATAATTGGTTATGTATAGATAAATCTTACACAAAGAATGGTTTAACTTGTCTTCATTAAACTACATTCCTAAGAAAAACCTGGCAAGTTTTATTGCAAGCATACAAAAATATTTTGAAAATGCATTCCTTATTTCTTTAAAATACATTTTATCTACAATACATACATGTTTATTACCCCCTGGGAACTTTTATTAGGCTTTAGAAGATGTGCAAAACATATTTAGGAATAAATGGACCAGAAATATTAAACCATTAAAGAATTCACCTAAATTACATAATTATACAGCAACAATATAATCTAAATTTAGTATATGTCAAAAAATTTAAGTAGTTTATACGAAATTATGAACAAAAGTGTTACAGTTCTACCAGTCTGTGAAATTGAATGATGCAAAATATTAGAAGTGTTAGCAGTTTTAGTAGCATTCATTAAATCTTCAGTGTTTATGATGCATATTGCTATAGCCTTTTAGGTATTTAATGCAGGTATTTTGCATTCTGAAAAAAATTCAAGTGTCATTTTGCACCATCTCAAAATGTAATAAGCATTTTCAATAATGAATGAAAAAAAATTCACAGTTCTGTATATTCTAAAAATTACTTCACTTCTTTTATGAGTTTTAGAAAGATATGTATAGCAAATATTGATTAAGTAAGGAATTAAGAAATTATTGCTGTGCTTTTAAAGTTTGTGAAAATTAAGAATCTGCCATCTTTTGTCAGGGATTGAATGGATTTTTTCCTTCCAATATCAGTAGTGACTACAATCTACCTCGTAACTATTGTTGAATTGAACCAAGGAAGTAATTGCTATGTCTATATTAAGGATACATGAATTGCATTGCCTCTTACAGCACAGAAAGTCCTCTCTATTCCCTTCTTCTGATCGCAATTATTCTTCTCCTTATAACAATTATTTTGTTTTTATTTGATAGATATTTTGAATTGTATATCTGACTAGGATTCCCTGAACGCACTAGCTGCAAGAAAGCACCTAACCTTAAGGCCTACTATGAGGAATTGGAGTAGGGTTTGGGTGCAAGGAGCATTAATTGGTTGCCTGAGGGATTTAATTTGTTCTATAAATGTGTTTTGTTTGGTTTGTTTTTGTAAATTATGTTTGAACAATCAGAAATTTTACAAATACACACACACAGGTTTAGAAATAGGTAAAGAAGCACACGTGCATAGAATTCTAGCAACAACATGAGGAATTTTAAAGGAAGTAAATGACCAAAGTCTCCACCACTCACATGACCTCATACTGGCCTCCTTCACTAATGTATAGCATGTGCCTGTTTCCCGTTAATTATTTGGTTTTGTATCATTTGGTTTTTGTAACATATTTCCCTTATTTATGGCTTCATTTCATGTTATTTTTCTTGCTTATTTTCTTTTTCCCTTTCACCATTATCTAACTTATAATATTGGTTTTGTATTTTAGTAGTTTTTATTCCTAACGTAGTTAAGGTATAAATAAAAGAAACAAAGGTTGATTAAATTTGACTTAGTGTATTAGTTAAGTATTTATATCTCATCCTTTTATATTGTATTTTCACTTATCATTTTGTAGCTACTTTAAATCTCTTATGAAATGAGTTAGGGACTGTTATAAAGCCAATCTTAACTTTTTGAAAATCAAATTTTTACCAATGATTTCTTCAAACATTCCCACAATATCCACCAGATGAGCCTATTTGGCTGAAACATGGTCAGAGAAAAGTAGACAAATGTATGAGTGTCAATTTCCAGATAGCACAAAGAATCATCTGGTTGTGACAGGACTCCAGAAATCTCATTCTTCTATTTTGAAGTGCTCTGACATCTGCAGTGAGTGCTGCTGGATTTCTCCTTGAGCACCTGATTCTGTGTTTCACAATGTTTTTTCAATGTTACTATTTTTTGAGCCCTTTCTATGTTTTGGGGAATAGACTAGATACTTAAAATATGTTATTTCATTTAGCCTGTTCTACAGCCCTGGGAATTTGGTATTATTGTATTCCTTAAAAAATGAGTCCACTGAGATTAGAGAGGCTAAATAACTTGCCCAAGGCCACGTGAGTGAGAAGTGGCTCAGCTAGTACTGATCCTGGGTCGAGTTACTCCAAGGAGTTACTCCCAATGTGTTTGTTACCCTTGGGACAGGAGAGTTATCAACCAAAGGAGCTGGCAAGAACAGATGGCACCTCTAAGACTCTTACCTGCAATTAGAAACTGCCAAGGCAGCTGCTCTTATCATAACATTGTAGTAGAAAAGAGGTGGTAGGAGAAGAGTAGGCAAAAAACAAAAGGAATTCTTATGTTCTCCTAGAAAAGAAAAGAAGAATACAGTTATTTGACACTCCTGAGTTAATATGCACTTTTTAAAAATAGCAACAGCCTCTTGAACAAAATCTAAACTTAACAATCCATCATAACTTGGTGTGAATTCCACACACTCTCTACCGTTGCTTCTTACTATATTTGAGCTATAGTAGCAAATTTTCTGCTCCTAAAAACATGCCCTGCCCCAGGACCTTGTTATTCGCTGTGTTGTTAGACTTGCCCCTGGCTGATTTCATGATTGGCATCTCCTCCTTCAGGACTCAAATACCAAGGAAATTAAGGCAGCTTGCCCTATCCATCTTATCTAAACTACCTTACTCTCTCAATTATTTTCTGTTCTATCACTCAATTTTTTTTCTCATAATATTTAACATTTTGAAGTAATTTTTAAAATTAATTTATTTTTAGGGATTTTTGGTAACTGATGCTTTTTGTTTGTTTACATCTATTTCCTACTATTCTAGTAATTGTTTCATGAATCATGATTTTAGATAATTATTGGCCACCTTTTAATTTTTTTATTTTATTTATTTATTTATTTATTTTAGAAGGAGTATCGCTCTGTGGCCAGGCTGGAGTGCAGTAGCACCAACTTGGCTCACTGCAAGCTCTGCCTCCCCGGTTCAAGTGATTCTCCTGCCTCAGCCTCCTGAGTAGCTGGGACTACAGGTGCGTGCCACTACGCCAGGCTAACTTTTTTTTTTTCTTTGTACTTTTAGTAGAGACTGGGTTTCACCATGTTGGCCAGGATGGTCTTGATCTCTTGACCTCGTGATCCGCCAGCGTCGGCCTCCCAAAGTGCTGGAATTACAGGCATGAGCCACCGCGCCTAGCCTTTTTTTTTTTCTTTTTCTTTTTTGACTGTCTTGGTGGGACCTTCCTTTAAGGCACCTTAGCCAAAAGGCTGAAATATCATCCAGCTCGCTTAGATTACCTCTTCCTGGATTTGAGTGTCAATCAAAGTATTTAAGGACTGAAATGTTTGGAGTCCATTTATCCCAATTGTTCCACACCGAAGACATTCCCTGTTACTTTGTTATATAGATACTTAGAGCAGCCATAGTTTCTATACAAATTTAAGTCTTTAGTTATTTTTTGTTTGTTTTACGTTAAGTTAACCCATATTCTCTCAATACGTTATTTTACTTTCTCTTATAAGTTAAACAAAATCAGAAAGCATGGTTATCCTTTTCTGGATCTGCAAACCAAAATATAAGCCCCATGAGGTCAGAAAATCTGTTTGGTACATTAAACATCTGCAATAGTGTGTGATAGCTAGTGTGCATCTAATAATTGTTTTTAAATATAAAATGAATGAATACAATCTGCCGAGTGTCCTGAAAGGGGTCTTTAAAGCAGAGATAATTGGATTCAAGAGAGATGTCTGTTTCTAGCTTTAGCTCCTCTTCAGTGAGTTTGTTCCCACATCATATGAACTTGTTTTCCCCCAATAGTAAAGGCTTCTCACTCTTCTGTGGTCTGTTGTCACTTTTTGTGGAAGATGATATGCTCTGATTTACTGACTTGATCAGACTCAATTTACTAAACCATGTGACCTTTGGGCAAGTTTCTTAAGCACTCTCTAAATCTTAGTTTCCTTCTCTGCAAAGCGGATAACAATACGTGCTGTTTCATGGGTAATACCATGAACTCACCAGGCGCTGTTTGGTCTTTTGTTTCTAAGCACTCAGAGAGGTTCCTTTCTCAGGTTTTGCGAGTGAGTCAGGGCTATATGACTAAGTGAAAATGATGCATGCTACTTTGAGGCCTGACCCTTAAAAGCTTAGACTCAATCCATTTCACATTCACTTTTCCCCGGTCTATTGGCCACTGCCATCCAGTGGAGAATACTAAGGACCCAATGGTCCAGGATAGTCAGTCTGGATGGCCTCCAAATGACTGCATTTTACCTTCATGTGAGTAAGCAGTAAACTGTAGTTTATTTAAGCCACTAATATTTGGAATGTTGTAGTTGTTTTTATTGTTGTTACATCAGGTAACATAACTTGATTAAGTAGATCTATAATTACAATAATTCAAGTAAGGATTACTTAGGATGGAACTAGTACAAAGCATCACTCACAAAAGAAGTTCAAAAAAATATTATTCACATATTTCTCCATTGGTTTTTACCCCTGTCCAACATATCTTCACCAGTCCACTTTTACTCCCTTCTTATCTCTTAAATAAAAATGTCTTTCTATTGGATTATAAATACTATGTAATTTTTTATTCTAATCTATGGAACTTGGTCCATTACTTTCACTGATTTCTTCGAAATTTCTTTTGAAACTTTCTTTCTCCAATGGTTCATCTCTACCTATGAATACATTCCCATTTGATGCATCCATGAGGAACAATGCTTCACCTCTTCTATGGCCTTAATCTATAGTCATTTCCCTTGTATGTTACAGAAAAAAAAAATTCTACTAAAAAAGTAATTTGGATCCTTTGGATCTTCTTTTTCACTACTCTTTTACTCGTAAAACGTTTCATTCAATTTTTCATCTCCTTCATTCTACATAAGTATTTTCTCAGAGATCGCTCATGTTGAAATGGTCAAAATAAATTTGCATTTTTTGACTGCTCTTTAGCACTAGAATTGTAGCTCGCCAGTCTTTCTTCCCATAACAGTTCATGTCCCAGCATCTTATTCCCATGATCTCTTGGGAAGTTAGCCACATTCAGGGTTTCTACCTCTCTCAGTGGATGCCTTTCTGTGTCTGGTCTTACTCTGTCTATTGAGATTGCCTGGACCTTTCTAATGGTCTGTTAGACATAACTAACTGTTAAAATTTATTTTAACACATAAACCTTTTCTTCCTTTTAAACTATTCTAAATGTGTCTAAAAACAACCTCCTTATTCCCATATGGGCCCTCTCTTCCTTTTAAACATGCTAACTGTCATAATTTTTTCAAACCACCTGCATTTGGAAATATAAGGCACCAGTTAGTTATCATTCTTCCCCATGTTTAACTCTCAATTAGTTGAACAATTTTCTCTACAAATTATCTTGAATACCACTTTTCCTTTTCCTCTTGGCTCGTTGAATGATACCTCCAACCACTCAGTTGCTCAAGTCAGAGAGGCCCATCTTTAATTTGGCAATTGGACTTGTTTAATTTAACACTCCCTTAACCTCCAAATTCCAGCAACCCACCCATTTCTACAACTTCTAAGTATAAAATAGTATTCAAATTATTTTTCATTCATTCATCCCCATGGCCAGTATTTTGGATTAGCCTCCCAGGATCTGTCATTTCTATCACCAAGAAATTCTGTCATAGCCATTCTTCTGTCTCACTCAAATCCCCAAAATCCACTATTTACAGTTCAACCACAGTGATATTTCTAATGTCAAATCTAACTTTTACTGTGCTTCAAAGGTTCTCCATTGTATTAAGATAAAGGGCAGAGTCTTTAAGTAAGCTTGTGTAGTTTCCATTTGTGAAGCCCAATTAAGTACTTATCCTCATCTTTACTTTTCAATCACACTGTACATTCAATTAACAGTAATTATTTATTAGTAGTATACTCAACATATTATATTTTCTTCTGTCTGAAGATCTACATGCATGACATTTACTGTTGTCAAAAAATTCTTTACCTCTGGCCATTTATCTGGATAACTGCAAGTCATCCCTATTTTCACTTAGAGAAAGGGTGACCGCATAATTTATTGTTCAAGATGAGATTATTTTGAGAGTAGCAAGAGTATTAGTAATAATTACACCAAGAGAACAGACATACACAGTAACTATTCTGGGATAACTAGGATATATGGTCATGCAAATTAGGTACACTTATCAGAAAAATGTTCTCATCATCAACCCCGTGTTATTTATTTTTCATTACTCTTACATAGAATTCTATTTCTCCTATAAAATAATGTATTACATTTTATCAGCAGGCAGTTGATCCCCTTACAGTAGCCACAATTAGAGCTGACTAGTCCCCATTCCACAACCATTCCAGGTTAGACTGGAATCAGACTTTTAGAGTGAGAAAGCTGATCTGCCAGCAGCAACAGCAGTAGCAAAACTTTCTGCCTTCCTACCCTCCACCAAATAGCATAGGAAGAGGCAGGCTCAGCAGCTTATAATTCGCTTCCCACTTAAAGATCACTCAGTGTATTAGTCCGTTCTCACACTGCTATAAAGAAATACTTGCAACTGGGTAATTTATAAAGAAAAGAGGGTTAATTGGCTCATGGTTCTGCAGGCTGTACAGAAAGTATAGTGGCTTCTGCTTCTTGGGAGGCCTCAGGAAGCTTCCAGTCATGGCAGAAGGCAAGGCGGGAGCAAGGCATCTTACGTGGTGGGAGCAGGAGCAAGAGAGAGCAAGGGGGGAAGTACTGCGTATTTTTAAACAACAGTATCCCATGAGAACTCACCCATGATCACAAGTACAGTATCGGGGAGATGGTGTAAACCAGTCACGAGAAATCTGCCCTCATGATCCAATCACCTCCCACCAGGCCCCACCTCCAAAATTAGGGACTAAAATTCAACATAAGATTTGGTGGAGATACAGATCCAGACCATATCATTCTGCTCCTGGCCCCTCCTAAATCACATGTCCTTTTCACATTGCAAAACAAAAACATGCCTTCTCAACAATCCTCAAAGTTTAAAATCACTCCAACATTAACTCAAAAGTCCAAAGTCTCATTGGAGACAAGCCTAGTCCCTTCTGCTTATGAGACTATAAAATAAAAAAACAAGTTAGTTACTTCCAATCTACACTGGGGGTATAGTCATTGGGTAAATATTTCCATTCCAGAAGGGAGAAATTGGCCAAAAGAAAGGGACACCAGGCCCCATGCAAGTTCCAAAACCAGCAGGGCAGTCATTAAATCTTAAAGCTCCAAAATAATCTTCTTTAACTCCATGTCAGACATCCAGGACACACTGATACAAGGGATGGTCTCCCGAGGTCTTGAGCATCTCTGCCCCTATAGCTTTCCAGGGTTTAGCCAGCACGGCTGCTCTCCAAGGCTGACAGTGAGTGCCTGCAGACTTTTCAGGTACAGGGTGCAAACTGTTTGTGGATCTATTATTCTGCGGTTTACAGGATGGCGGCCCTCTTCTCACAGCTCCACTAGCAGTGTTCCAGTGAGGACTCTGTAGGGGCTCCAACCCCAAATTTCCCCTCTGCACTGCCCTAGTAGAGTTTCTCCATGAGAGCTCCAACCCTGCAGCAAGGTTCTCTCTGGATATCCAGGCTTTTCCATACATCCTTGAAATTTAAGCAGAGGCTCCCAAACCTCAATTCTTGGATTCTGTGCATCCACAGGCTTAACACCACATGGAATCTGCCAAGGCTTATGGATTGCACCCTCTGAAGCAGCAGCCTGAACTGTACCTGGGCTCCTTTGAGCCATGGCTGGAGCTAGAGCTACTGGGATCTGGGGAAGAGTGTCCCAAGGTTTCACAGGGAAGTGGGGCACGGGATCTGGCCTATAAAACCATTCTCTCATCCTAGGCTTCTGGGTCTGTTATGGGAGGGGCTGCCAAGAAGTTCTCTGAAGTGCCTTTGAGGCCTTTTCTGCAGTGTCTTGGGTATTAGCACTTGGCTCTTTCTTACATATGCAAATTTCTGCACCCTGCTTTGAAGTCCTCCCATGAAAATGGACTTTTCTTTGCTACATCATGGCCAGGCTGCAAATTTTTCAAATGTTTACTCTCTGCTTCCCCTATAAATCTAAGTTCCAACTTTAGGTCATTTATTTGCTAACTCATATGAGCATAGGTTGTTGGAAGCAGCCAGGGCACCCCTGAATGCTTTGCTGCTTAGAAGTTTCTTGCACCAGATATCCTAAATCATCACTCTGAAGTTCAAAGTTCCATGGATCCTTAGGGCATGGGCACAATGCAGTCAAGCTCTTTGCTAAGCATAACAAAAGTGACCTTTCCTCCAGTTCCCAATAAGCTCCTAATTTCCACCTGAGACCTCATCAGCCTTGCCTTCACTGGCCATATCACTACCATCATTTTGGTCATAACCATTCAACCCGTCTTTAGGAAACTCCAAACTTTCCCTCATCTTCATATGTTCTTCTAAGTCCTCTACAGTTTTTCAACCTTTGCCCATAACCTGGTTCCAAAGTTGCATCCACATTTTCATGTATCCTTACAGCAATGTACCACTTCTGAAACCAATGTTCTGTATTAGTCCATTCTTGCTTTGCTATAAAGAAATACCTGAGACTGGGTAATTTATAAAGAAAAGTGGTTTAATTGGTTCATGATTCTGTAGGCTGTGCAGGAAGCATAGTGGCTTCTACCTCTGGGGAGGCCTCAGTAAAGTTGTAATCATGGTGGAAGGCAAAGAGAGAGGAAAGCATCTCACATGGTGGGAGCAGGAGCAAAAGAAAGTGGGGAAGCGCTACACACTTTTAAACAACCAGATCTCATGAAAACTCCCTCACAATTGCAAGAATGGTACAAAAGGGATAGTGCTAAACCATTTATTTGAAATCCACTCCCCATGATCCAATCACCTCTCACCAGGCCCCATCTCCAGCACTGGGGATTACAATTCAACGTGATATTTGGTGGGGAGGAAGACCCAAACCACATCAATTAGCAATAGCAGGCAATTTCAGAAGATACCTTCTACATCACCAGAAAGGATTGAGCTGGGGCCCCAGCAGTGCAAGAACAAAGAAAACAAGATAAGTAAACTTACATTGGAACTAAAGTCCACAAAAGTCCACCAGAACCTATACACTAAAGTTAAACAGGTTGACTGCAAGCTAAAGTAGAAGCTCCTTGTGTAATACCTACCCTTTGAGTATGGGTTGGTTTTAGTTATTTGCTTCCAGAGAATAGAAATTTCTTCCATGATTCAGTGCATAATATTTTGACTTGTCTTTCTTGCTAGTAGACTTTCATGCTCTCACTCTCTCTCTCTCCCTCTCTCTCTGTCTCTCTCACTGGCAGAAGAAATCTTAAAAGTTTGAGAAGAAAATATGGTAAATAACTAAGAGAAATCTCTGGTCAATACTCAACAAGTCCTTCAGTCCAACAATATTCCATACATGAAATCCTGCCAAAAACCAGGTAAGTAACCATAGAAGCATATAATTCCCCTGTTGAACTTTCACAACCCAGCTTGTGACCTTCATTGCAGGTTAAAGAGAGATCATCAATCAGAGGACCCAATTAAGCTGTGACCAGAGTCCTGGCCCATTGCAACTGTGAACAAAGTGCATGTTGTTTAGGCTGCTAAACTTGTGGTTATTTGTTTCACAATAGTAAGTAACTTATAAAAATGCTCTATACTCGTGATCCTCATTATCAATGAAACATCTCATTATTCATGTAAGGACATTGAATTCCTTAAAAATTGAGGTAAACTATCTTGAAAACAAAGCCCAAGGGGTTAATGCATTTTCATATACCCTCCTTCACCTGCTAGAGATCAAGTTAAAGAAGTCACAATCACTATTACTGTTGTAGAAAAGGTACTCCTTTTCCTTTATTCAGGCTCTTACTTGTGCTTAGAATAAATGTTTGTGGCTTCTATGGTTAACTAGCTGAAACATAAAGGCTTTGGTTATTGTATGTTCCCTTCGAAGGCCATTTGTAGTATTGATTTAACCCACAAGCACTTTGGACGTTGTTTTTGCCTCAATCATTCAAGCAGGTGGTTCTGTACAATGTAGAACACAGCTTAAAGGGAAAAACATAGAAAGACATCAACTCTACAAGCAGCTCCTGTAGTAGCTCTGGAAACATTGTGAAGTAACTCTATGCACAATATTATTGATACCTATTTGGAATTTTCCTATAATGGGACAAATTTGATATACAATCTATTTACATTATAGAATCTTTCCTAATGCACCTGTGTCTCACTGACAGGTTTTTCTTTCCCTATCTGCTGAACTTGTATGTTTTATCTAATGGAAGTTGATATTAAGCAATGATGGAAGAATCTGCATACAAGGCAATAAAACCTCCTATATGGTATTATTGTTGTTAGGGAAATTAATAGTAGCTTCCACAGCAAACAAAACTACTCTTATTGTCTGAACACAACAAAAGTCTATTTCTTGCTATGTCAAATCTAACGCAGATGTTCCTTGATGGTTGGAGAACTGCCTATGGTTTTTCAGAGATCCACACTATACATCTTGTAGTTCTGCTATTCTCTAGGGCTGCAGAGATGTATACTTGATCCTTTGCTTTCAGCTGCTAGTCAGGAGAAAGGCAGAAGATCATGTGAGAAAGAATTTTCTGGGCCAGTTCCAGAAATGGTTTACACAGTCCACTAGACAAAAGCGAGTCCAACAGCCACATCTAACTGCAAAGGAAGCTGGGAAATGTAGTCTAATTTTGTGCCCAGGAAGAAAATGAGAACTGGTAAATATAGACTGTCTGGGGGTAGATTAAAAGAATGCAAATATTAGTACAAATAGATTAAAGACTGCAGAAATATGGCACACGATTTATGCAACTTAATTCCAACATAGATCAGTATTTATAATAGAAAACTTATTTTAAAGAATTTTATACTATATAAATAATAAAAAAGAATTTTATACTATATAAATAATAAAATTAATGTAATAATGCAACAGTGTGTTCTAACTGTGGTTTTATTGTAATTTCACCTTTTGATAATAATCATCTTACCTATTTCCTGATTAGCTCTGTCAAGTTATTTTCCTTTTCCCCATTTTCTGTTCGTTTCTCCTTGGTAGGTTATATTCCCTTCTCATCTTCTTAAGGGAAGCTTGCATTTTGTACTATACCATATTGCATGAAATAATTCATTCTGCATAAAACATGTTTGGATACACTTTCTAGACTGGGTTAGGTTTTCCAAGGATTTTTATTGGAACTAAACACATTCTACAATCCTGTACCATACTAGAAATAGAAGTTGCATATGCTGCCTCTTGGGAAGTAGAGCAGTTAAGTGGTATCCTGGAGTTCAATAGCTGCAAGAATGAAGTAAATGACCAAGAGATGAAGGAAAATGGGGGGAAAAATCTAGCCCTTGCTACCAACTTCAACAAGTAGTATTTAGTGGCTGCTCATGTTGTCTCAGTGGACAGAGAGCATCTGTCCACTGAGCATCTGAAGGCATGAATCTTTTACTACCCCAGTAAAGGTCACATATTTTTATGCTCTAGCCTAAGCTGAAAGATCTCATGGTCATGACCTTGACAAATTTCCTAGGCTATTGGTGTCAGGATGCACCCTTGATCTGCAATGTTTTATATTGTTCTCTGGGTTTGTTTCCTGAGAAGCAGGTCATGCTGGACCTGCAGTTCAGAGTGACTTAAGTAACCCTGACATTGTAATTGGCATTGTCTGCTCGAAAAGCTGTTATTAAAAATAAGTGTTTGAGGAGAAATTGTTGTTCTTATTCTGTTCCATTATCTCATATGGAACGTGAAAGTTTATTTCCGTATTTGTCTTCTCTTAGCTAGTTTATATGCCTCTGAAATATTAGATATTTTGTAAAATAAACTTAAATGCTAAGTTACATAGAAGTATCATTGTATAGAATTGGTTATACCTAAAAGACCAGAAATCACTTGAATTAAAACAGTGAAAGCTACAGAGAACACACCATAAAACTTTGTTCTGCTTCTCCTTTCTCTGCTTCTACCCCACTGATAGTTCTCAGTGGCATTTTATAGACCCAAAGAAAGAGAAAACAGGTATTTTCTAGTTTCTTTTGTTCTTTTTATAAAAAATACTTCAAGTATAAAATGCACAATATATTACTTATACATACATACATATATTTTTATAAAATGAACACATATCTTATTAACATACTAGCCACTTCTTTTAAAGTCAATATTTACACTTAGAGTGAAAGTTAATTTAAAAATAAAATCTCTTTTTCCCAACTTTTATTTTAAGTTCAGGGGTACATGTGCTGCGTGTGCCGGTTTCTAACAAAGGTAAAAAATGTGTGTGCCATGGTGGTTTGCTGCACAGATAATCCCATCACCTAGGTATTAAGCCCAGCATCCATTAACTATTCTCCCAGATGCTCTCCCTCCTCCCACCCACACCCTCAGACAGGCCACAGTGTGTGTTGTTCCCCCAACCCACGCGTCCATGTGTTCTCTTTATTCAGCTCCCAAAGTCTTATCCTAACTATACTTTGATAGTGTGTGAATGGGCATGTGTGTATATTTTACCATATACACATGAACCTTTAAATATCATCAGTCTCTGGGTCTGAACTGTGACTGTTTGCCATCAAGGAAGTGGGCATTATCTGAAGGAATTTGTTTTCTGAGTTTCAGAGAGAGAATAGCAAGAGTTCGATTAGCAACAGATTTATCAGAAAATACTTCTCATCTGAATCTATTTGGTTTCTGATATACCATATTTGGGATAAATAACTAATTTATCCCAAATTAGTTATTTATCCCAAATACTGTATGCTTCAAGTTTTTGTATTATTATTATACTTTAAGTTCTGGGATACATGAGCAGAATGTGCAGGTTCATTACATAGGTATACACGTGCCATCATGGTTTGCTGCACCCATCAACCCGTCGTCTACATTAGGTATTTCTTCTAATGCTATCCCTCCCCTACCCCCGCCACCCACCGACAGGCCCCGGTGTGTGATGTTCCCCTCCCTGTGTCCATGTGTTCTCAATTGTCCAGTTCCCACTTATGAGTGAGAACATGCGCTGTTTGGTTTTCTGTTCCTGTGTTAGTTTCCTAAGAATGATGGTTTCCAGCTTCATCCATGTCCCTGCAAAGTACATGAACTCATCCTTTTTTATGACTGCATAGTATTCCATGGTGTATATGTGCCACTTTTTCTTTATCCAGTATATCATTGATGGGCATTTGGGTTGGTTCCAAGTCTTTGCTATTGTGAATAGTGCTGCAATAAACATACGTGTGCATGTGTCTTTATAGTAGAATGATTTATAATCCTTTGGGTAAATACCCAGTACTGGGATTGTCATCTTCCAGTGTTAAGTGACAGAATCCATATTAATTGACACCAAACAATATTTTCCCACATAATACAACATCCATAACTAGCTATTTAACACACTTGGTTTGGCAGTTTGATAATGCCAGAAATTATGAAACTATTTTCAGTAAATTTTTGGCTTTCTCTTATGGTTGAAACATGACTACACTACTTCCAAGTTCCATATCTTTATACGATAACACCAAAACCACAATGATAAAATAGGAAATGGTCATATTTGATTAGATAGAAAAACCTTTCCCAGAAACTTCCTCACAGATTTCAATTAGATCTTGATATAATTTGGATATTTGTCCTTGACCAAATCTCACGTTGAATTTTAATCCCCAATGTTGGAGGTGGGGCCTGGTGAGAGGTGTTTGGGTCATGTGGGTGGATCCCTCATGGCTTGGTGTTGTCTTCACAATAGTGAGTTAGCTTTTATGAGATATATTTGTTTAAAAGTGCATTATACCTCCCTACCCTCTCTCTTGCTCTCACTATGGCCATGTGATGTGTCTGTTCCTGCTTTGCCTTCCACCATTAATAAAAGCTTCCTGAGGTCTCCCCAGAAGCTGAGCTGATGCTGGCACCATGCTTGTACAACCTGCAGAACCATGAACTAATTAAAATGAGTTTTTTTATAAATTACCCAGTCTCAGCTATTTCTTTTTTTTTTTTTTTTTTTAGACAGAGTCTTACTCTGTCCTCCAGGCTGGAGTGCAGTGGTGTGATCTTGGCTCACTGCAACCTCTGCTTCCTGGATACAAGCAATTCTCCTGCCTCAGCCTCCCGAGTAGCTGGGATTTCAGGCATGGGCAACCAAGCCCAGCTAATTTTTATATTTTTAGTAGAGACAGGGTTTCACCATGTTGGCCAGGCTGATCTCGTAATCTTGACCTCAGGTGATCCACTCACCTGCCTCGGCCTCCCAAAGTGCTGGGATTACAGGCATGAGCCACTGCGACCCACCCAGGTATTTATAGCAATGAAAGAACAGCCTAACACAAAAAGGTCTTATTGACTAAGATTGGTTTGTGTTCCCACAATCTTGCCAAAAAGGAAATTGACTTTTTGGCATTTGCAGACTCTGTCACAAGAAGCAGACTATGCCAACCAGGAGAGGGGAAAGAAAATGACTATTGAGTGGGCATCCAGCAGTATATATCACCGCATGTGTGATATACATTGTTTTATGTAAATATGCTCTATTAGTCAGGGTTAACTAGATTATTATCTAGTAACTAATAATCCTGAAGGCTCATGCTTGATGTTCATTTTATTTGGGTTGTTGGTGGGGATCCCGATGAGTATAAACCTCATTCGGGAATTCAGGCTGAAGCTTCACTGGTTGCCATAACAGGAGGAAAAAGAGATGAATTGTGCTTCAATTCCTAAAGACTTTAATCTACAAGTGATATTGTCATTACTGCTCACATTTTATTGTTCAATGCAAGTCACATGGCCACTCCTTGCTTCACGTAAAGTTAGGACATATCATTTTTATCTGATTGACCTATGTCCATCTGAAACTTCTTTCACTATGGAAGAAGGGGGAGAATGGATATTAGAAGAAAATAAATAATACCTGTCACAACTGTTTAACAGGCTTATTGTAGTAGACAGATTAACGGCCCCCAAAGATGTATACATTCTAGATCTGGGAACATGAAAATATGTTACTTTCCATGGGGAAAGGTACTTTGCAGATATGATTAAATTAAGGATCATGAGATGAGAGTTATCCTAAATTATACAGCTGGTCCTGATGCAATCACAAGGGCCTTTATAAGAGAGAATCAGAAGGCCAAAGTTAATGTAGGAACTGTGGTGGCAGAAGCAAGATTTTAAGCATCCCGGTGGGTATGAAGTGTTTGTTATCTCATTGTGGTTTTGATTTGCCTTTCCATGATGACCCAATGATGTCAAGCATCATTTATGTACTTATTGGCTATTTGTATATCTTCCTGGGACAAATCCCTGTTTATTTATATCACTCGCCCATTTTGAAAATGGGGTTTCTTTTATTATTGAATTGTAAGATTTTTTTTTTTACATATTCTAGATACAAGTTCCTTATGTGGCTTACAAATTTCTTCCCATTCTTTGTGTTATCTTTTCACTTTCATGATAGTTTCCCCTAAATGGTAAAGGTTTTTAATTATGATGAAGTCTAATTTACCTATTTTTATCTTCTTCATGCTTTAGTGTCATATCTAAGAACATTTTGCCAAATCTAAGATACTGAAATGTAGTCCATGGTCTCTTCTAAGAGTTTTATAGGTTCAGCTCTTGCATTTTGGTATTGAATGTATTTCTATTTAATTTTGCATATGGTGAGACATAATGTCCAACTTCATTATTCTGCAATATGGTTATCCAGTTGTCCAAGAGTCATTTGTTTAAAAGAATATCATTTCGCATTGAATGTTCTTCATGCCCCTTTCAAAAATCTGTCGACTCTGAATACATGGGTTTATTTCTGGACTTTCCATTATTTTTTATTTTTTTAATTATACTTTAAGTTCTAGGGTACATGTGCACAATGTGCAGGTTTGTTACATATGTATACATGTGCCATGTTGGTGTGCTGCACCCACTAACTCGTCATTTACAGTGGGTATATCTCCTAATGCTATCCCTCCCCCCTCCCCCTGCCCCAGGACAGGCCCTGGTGTGTGATGTTTCCCTCCCTGTGTCCAAGTGTTCTTATTGTTCAATTCCCTCATATGAGTGAGAACATGCGGTATTTGGTTTTCTGTCCTTCTGATAGTTTGCTGAGAATGATGGTTTCCAGCTTCATCCATGTCCCTACAAAGGACATGAACTCATCATTTTTTATGGCTGCATAGTATTCCATGATGTGTATGTGCCACATTTTCTTAATCCAGTCTATCATTGATGGACATTTAGGTTGGTTCCAAGTCTTTGCTATTGTGAATAGTGCCGCAATGAACATACGTGTGCATGTGTCTTTATAGTAGCATGATTTGTGATCCTTTGGGTATATGCCCAGTAATGGGATTGCTGGGTCAAATGGTATTTCTAGCTTTAGATCTCTGAGGAATTGCCACACTGTCTTCCACAATGGTTGAAATAGTTTACACTCCCACCAACAGTGTAAAAGAGTTCCTATTTCTCCACATCCTCTCCAGCATCTGTTGTTTCCTGACTTTTTAATTATCGTCATTCTAACTGGTGTGAGATGCTATTTAATTGTGGTTTTGATTTACATTTCTCTGATAGCCAGTGATGATGAGCATTTTTTCATGTGTCTGTTGGCTGCATAAATGTCTTCTTTTGAGAAGTGTCTGCTCATATCCTTTGCCCACTTTTTGATGGTGTTGTTTGATTTTTTTCCTGAAAATTTGTTTGAGTTCATTGTAGATTCTGGATATTAGCCCTTTGTCAGATGGGTAGATTGTAAAAATTTTCTCCCATTCTGTAGGTTGCTTGTTCATTCTGATGGTAGTTTCTTTTGCTGTGCAGAAGCTCTTTAGTTTAATTAGATCCCATTTGTCAATTTTGGCTTTTGTTGCCATTGCTTTTGGTGTTTTCGTCACGAAGTCCTTGCCCATGCCTATGTGCTGAATGGTATTGCCTAGGTATTATTCTAGGATTTTTATGGTTTCAGGTCTAACATTTAAGTCTTTAACCCATCTTGAATTAATTTTTGTATAAGGTGTAAAGAAGGGATCCAGTTTCAGCTTTCTACATATGGCTAGCCAGTTTTCCCAGCACCATTTATTAAATAGGGAGTCCTTTCTCCAATTCTTGTTTTTGTCAGGTTTGTCAAAGATCAGATGGTTGTAGACGTATGTTTGTTATTTCTAAGGCCTGTGTTCTGTTCCATTGATCTATATCTCTGTTTTGGTACCAGTACCATGCTGTTTTGGTTACTGTAGCCTTCTAGTATAGTTTGAAGTCAGGTAGCATGATGCCTCCAGCTTTGTTCTTTTTGCTTAGGATTGTCTTGGCAATGCTGGCTCTTTTTTGGTTCCATATGAACTTTAAAGTAGTTTTTTTTTCCAATTCTGTGAAGAAAGTCATTGGTAGCTTGATGGGGATGGCATTGAAACTATAAATTACCTTAGGCAGGATGGCCATTTTCACGATATTGACTCTTCCTATCCATGAGCATGGAGGGTTCTTCCATTTGTTTGTGTCTTCTTTTGGTTTGTTGAGCAGTGGTTTGTAGTTGTCCTTGAAGAAGTCCTTCACATCCCTCGTAAGTTTTATTCCTATTTTATTCTCTTTGTAGCAATTGTGAATGAGAGCTCACTCATAATTTGGCTGTCTGTTATTGGTGTATAGGAATGCTTGTGATTTTTGCACATTGATTTTGTATCCTGAGAATTTGCTGAAGTTGCTTATCAGCTTAAGGAGATTTTGGGCTGAGATGATGTCTAAATATACAATCATGTCGTCTGCAAACAGAGTCAGTTTGATTTCCTCTTTTCCTAATTGAATACCCTTTATTTATTTCTCTTGCCTGATTGCCCTGGCCAGAACGTCCAATACTATGTTGAATAGGAGTGGTGAGACAGGGCATCCTTGTCTTGTGCCAGTTTTGAAAGGGAATGCTTCCAGTTTTTGCCCATTCAGTTTGATATTCACTGTGGGTTTGTCATAAGTAGCTCTTATTATTTTGAGGTAGGTTCCATCAATGCCTAGTTTATTGAGAGTTTTTAGCATGAAGGGCTGTTGAATTACGTCAAAGGCCTTTTCTGCATCTATTGAGATAGTCATGTGGTTTTTGTCATTGGTTCTGTTTATGTGATGGATTATGTTTATTGATTTGCCTATGTTGAACCAGCCTTGCATCCCAGGGATGAAGCCCACTTGATCCTGGTGGATAGTTTTTTGATGTGCTACTGGATTTGGTTTGCCAGTATTTTATTAAGGATTTTTGCATCAATGTTCATCAGGGATATTGGTCTAAAATTCTCATTTTTTGTTGTGGCTCTGCCAGGCTTTGGTATCAGGATGATGCTGGCCTCATAAAATGAGTTAGGGAGGATTCCCTCTTCTTTTATTGATTGGAATAGTTTCAGAAGGAATGCTACCAGCTTCTCCTTGTACCTCTGGTAGAACTCAGCTATGAGTCCGTCTGGTCAGTAGGCTATTAATTATTATTAGCCTATATTAATTAATAGCCTATATTAATTAATAGCCTATATTAATTATCTCAAGTTCAGAGCTTGTTATTGGTTTATTCAGAGACTCCACTTCTTCCTGGTTTAGTCTTGGGAGGTGTATGTGTCCAGAAATTCATTCATTTCTTCTAGATTTTCTAGTTTATTTGCGTAGAGGTGTTTATAGTATTCTCTGATGGTAGTTTGTATTTCTGTGGGATCAGTGGTGATATCTTTATCATTTTTTATTGCGTCTATTTGATTCTTCTCTCTTTTCTTTTTGTTAGTCTTGCTAGCGGTCTATCAATTTTGTTGATCTTTTCAAAAAACCAGCTCCTGGATTCATTGATTTTTTGAAGGGTTTTTTGTGTCTCTATCTCTTTCAGTTCTTCTCTGATCTTAGTTATTTCTTGACTTCTGCTAGCTTTTGAATGTGTTTGCTCTTGCTTCTGTAGTTCTTTTAATTGTGCTGTTATGGTGTCAATTTTAGATCTTTCCTGCTTTCTCTTGTGGGGATTTAGTGCTATAAATTTCCCTCTACACACGGCTTTAAATGTGTCCCAGAGATTCTGGTACCTTGTGTCTTTGTTCTCATTGGTTTCAAAGAACATCTTTATTTCTGCCTACATTTCGTTACCTCCCCAGTAGTCATTCAGGAGCAGATTGTTCAGTTTCCATGCAGTTGTGTGGTTTTGAGTGAGTTTCTTAATCCTGAGTTCTAATTTGATTGCACTGTGGTCTGAGAGACAGTTTGTTGCTATTTCTGTTCTTTTACATTTGCTGAGGAGTGCTTTACTTCCAACTATGTGGTCAATTTTGGAATAAGTGTGATGCGGTGCTGAGAAGAATGTATATTCTGTTGATTTGTGGTGGAGAGTTTTGTAGATGTCTATTAGATCCGCTTGGTGCAGCTGAGTTTAATTCCTGGATATCCTTGTTAACCTTCTGTCTCATTGATCTGTCTAATATTGACAGTGGGGTGTTAAAGTCTCCCATTATTATTGTGTGGGAGTCTAAGTCTCTTTGTAGGTCTCTTGCTTTATGAATCTGGGTGCTCCTGTATTGGGTGCATATATATTTAGGATAGTTAGCTCTTCTTGTTGAATTGATCCCTTTACCATTATGTAACGACTTTCTTTGTCTCTTTTGATCTTTGTTGCTTTAAATTCTGTTTTATCACAGACTGGGATTGCAATCCCTGTCTTTTTTGCTTTCCCTTTGCTTGGTAGATCTTCCTCCATCCCTTTATTTTGAGCCTATGTGTGCCTGTGCACATGAGATGGGTCTCCTGAATACAGCACACTGATGTGTCTTGACTCTTCATCCAATTTGCCAGTCTGTATCTTTTAATTGGGGCATTTAGCCAATTTACATTTAAGGTGAATATTGTTATGTGTGAATTCGATCCTGTCATTATGATGTTAGCTGGTTATTTTGCCTGTTAATTGATGCAGTTTCTTCATAGTATCAATGGTCTTTACAATTTGGCATGTTTTTGCAGTGGCTCATACCGGTTGTTCCTTTCCATGTTTAGTGCTTCCTTCAGGAGCTCTTGTAAGGCAGGCCTGGTGTTGACATAATCTCTCAGCATTTGCTTGTCTGTAAAGGATTTTATTTCTCCTTCACTTATGAAGCTTAGTTTGGCTGGATATGAAACTCTGGGTTGAAAATTCTTTTCTTTGAGAATGTTGAATGTTGGCCCTCATTCTCTTCTGGCTTGTAGAGTTTTTGCCTAGAGATCTGCTGCTAGTTTGATGGGCTTCACTTTGTGGGTAATCTAACCTTTTTCTCTGGCTGCCCTTAACATTTTTTCCTTCATTTCAACCTTGGTGAATCTGACGATTATTTGTCTTGGGGTTGCTCTTCTCGAGGAATATCTTTCTGGTGTTCTGTGTTTTTCCTGAATATGAATGTTGGCCTGCCTTGCTAGGTTGGGGAAGTTCTCCTGGATAATATCCTGAAGAGTGTTTTCCAACTTGATTTCATTCTCCCCATCACCTTCAGGTACACCAATCAGACGTAGATTTGGTTTTTTCACATAGTCCCATATTTCTTGGAGGATTTGTTCATTTCTTTTTACTCTTTTTTCTTTAAACTTCTCTTCTTGTTTTATTTCATTAATTTGATCTTCAGTCACTGATACCCTTTCTTCCACTTGATCAAATCGGCTACTAAAGCTTGTGAATGCATCACGTAGTTCTTGTGCCATGGTTTTCAGCTCCATCAAGTCATTTAAGGTCTTCTCCAAACTGTTTATTCTAGTTAGCCATTCATCTAATCTTTTTTCAAGATTTTTAGCTTCCTTGCGATGGGTTCGAACATCCTTCTTTAGCTCGCAGAAGTTCATTATTACAAACCTTCTGAAGCCTACTTCTGTCGACTTGTCAGTCATTCTCCAACCAGTTTTGTTCTCTTGCTGGTGAGCAGCTGCGATCCTTTGGAAAAGAGGCACTCTTATTTTTAGAATTTTCTGCTTTTCTGCTCTAGTTTCTCCCCATCTTTGTTGTTTTATCTCCCGTTGGTCTTTGATGTTGGTGACCTACAGATGGGGTTTTTGTGTGGATGCCTTTTTTGTTGATGTTGATGCTATTCCTTTCTGTTTGTTAGTTTTCCTTCTAACAGTCAGGTCCCTCAGCTGCAGGTCTGTTGGCATTTGCTATAGTCCACTCCAGACCTGTTTGCCTGGGTATAACCAGCAGAGGCTGCAGAACAGCAAATATTGCAGAACAGCAAATTTGGCTGCCTGATCCTTCCTCTGGAAGCTTTGTCCCAGAGGGTCACCTGCCTGTGTGAGGTGTCAGTCAGCCCCCACTGGGAAGTGTCTGCCAGTTAGGCTATACAGGGGTCAGGGACCCACTTGAGGAGGCAGTCTGTCTGTTCTCAGAGCTCAAACACTGTGCTGGAGGAACCACTGCTCTCTTCAGAGCTGTCAGATAGGGACATTTAAGTCTGCAGAAGTTTCTACTGTCTTTTGTTCAGCTATGCTCTGCCCCCAGAGGAGGAGTCTATAGAGGCAGGAAGCCTTGCAGCACTACAGTGGGCTCCGACCAGATCGAGCTTCCCAGCCACTTTGTCTACCTACTCAATCCTCAGCAATAGCGAATACCCCTCCACCTGCCAGGCTGCTGCCTCACAGGTCTATCTCAGACTGTTGTGCTAGCAGGGAGTGAGAATCCTTGGGTGTGGGACCTGCCAAGCCACGCATGGGATATAATCTCCTGGTGCACTGTTTGCTAAGACCTTTGGAAAAGTGCAGTATTTAAGCGGGAGTGTCCCATTCTTCAAGGTACAGTCTGTCACAGCTTCCCTTGGCTAGGAAAGGGAAATCCCCTGACCCCTTGCCCCTCCCGGGTGAGGCAATGTCCCAACCTGCTTCGGCTCACCCTCCATGGGCTGCACCCACTATCCAACCAGTCCCAGTGAGATGAACCAGGTACCTCAGTTGGAAATGCAGAAATCACCCAGCTTCTGCATTGATCATGCTGGGAGCTGCAGACTGGAGCTGTTTCTATTCTGCCATCTTGGAACAGGACTCTTCTCCATTATTTTTTTATTCACCTATATGTTTATCCTTATACCCTACCACAATGTCTTGGTTACTGTTGCTTTGTAGTAAATTTTGAAGTTGAGAAGTGTCAGTGCTCCTACTTTTTTCTTCCTCAAGATTGTTTTGGCTATTCAGGGTTTTTATAATTTCATTTAAATTTTAGATTAAGCTTGTCAATTTCTACAGAAAATTTCTGGGATTCCTACAGTAAATTTGTGGAATCTCTAGATCAGTTTGAGGGATATTGTAATCTTAATAATGTTATTTTTTTCAGTCTATGTATAAGAAACAATTTTCCATTGATTTAGATCTTTTTAAATTTCCTTAAACACTGTTTTGTAGTTTTCAGAGTATAAGTTTTGCACTTCCTTTGTTAAATTTATTTTTGATTTTTTTATGCTATTTTAAAGGAAGTTGATTTGGTAATTTTGTTTTTGCATTGTTCATCCCAAGTGTATAAATATACAATGTATTTTTCTGTATTGATCTTATATCCTCCCACCTTCCTGAATTTGTTATTACTTCTAAGAGTTTTTTAGTGGATTCTTTGTCCATGTACAAGATCACACCACCTACAAACAGAAATAGTTTTACTTATTTTTATTGTTTTGGCTCTTCTTAATTTCTTTTACTTTCAGACCACCTTGCTTAGAACCTAGAGTGCACTGCTCAATAGAAGTGCTGATAGTAAAAATTATTGCCTTGTTCCTGATCTTAGGGAGAAAGGATTCAGTCTTTCACCATTAAGTATGATGTCAGCTTTACATTTTTGTAGCTACCGTTCATCAAGTGAAAAGTTGCAATCTATTCCTAGTTTATTGACTGTTTTTATCATAAAAGTTTTTTTGATTTTTCTTCATCTATTAAAATGACCATGTGTTGATTAAATTATTTGACATGATATATTACACCAATTGGTTGCATATATAATTGCTGCATGTAAATTTTAGGGTTGATATTTCTTTTCTTTTGCTGAAATATAAAAAGTATTATGTCACTTTCTTCTGATATCCGTGGTTTCAGATGAAAAATCTTGTGTCATTATCCCTTCTTTCCCTCACCCTAAATAAAAATAAAAAAGAAAACAGATAATGCACTAATTCCTACCCATCCTGCAATAACCAAATCAATTGTTTCTTCTTTTTACATCTTTGTATATTCTTTAAGGACCTTATTTTTATTTCCAAATGATTTTTTAATATGTAGTATTTTTGCTTATCCCTGCTAGTCTCTGAATTTCATGAAGACATTAACTCTATATAATGCAATTTTATACCTCAACATCTAGGACAGTGTATTATAAGTAGTAGATATTGGTTACTTACCAAATTAAGTAAAATTATTCTACAGTCTCTTCTCTCTGAGTGAAACATTAATTTGTTTTTAAGAGGCTTAATTTCATTTTAGGCTCAACATCTGTCCATATAAACACATTTCTTAAATTTCATTGGAATAAATAATCAGTTTTGAAATACAAATGTTCTCTCTTCACACTCCTTTAAGGAGCATGAAGTAAATAGCACAACTATATTTCTTTGCTATAAAATGAAGAATGCTGTTCTTGAAATTAGTAGCACCGTGAATTGCAATTTTCATTCAGAAATTATGAACAAATCTATTTTATTTTTTTAAAAGACAGTGTTTTCCCCAGAAAAACACAGATCCATGCTTTACTCTGTTTCATTCAAATATATGGCTGTAAATCAGGCATCAAGTGGAATGCGTGAAATCTTGGTGTGTAGAAGCACTTTTGCATAACCAAAAATTGAGATCAATGAAGCTAATCTGAAATCCCATTGACAAATCTGTTGTGCATTTAATAACTTTTTTCACCTAGAGAAGCAAAAATAAATCATAGGATTTATTATATGCTACAGAATGATACACATCTAAGTGTTGAATAAAACCTCCAGAGAGCCATCAGTTTATTTAAAGAGAACTTGGAAATGCAAGAGAGATCCCTCTGTCAAAGGAAGTTCTTAATATATGGTTCCTGCCAGTGTGCTGGGTTTGTTAACAAGCTTCTGTACCAATACACAAGGCTACAAGCTTTTCTTAGGACACTGCCTACAATGTTTGTTCAAGAACGTCTATTTTGAAGCAGCATACCACACTTTTTAAGCCTTCTTTTCTATACACACACACACACACACGCACAAACATAGACACACACAATCCTCTTTGTTTTAAAATTATGTTAACAACAAAAGTTTGTATTACATTCACAGTATGAGCCTCTTTATTCCAAAATTTTAAGAAATCTGGAACATTAATTATGCAGCATTTCAATACAGGGCATGTAATTCTGGGTGTGTGACAAATTCATTCACTTCATTGACCATCAGAGAGGGTTTTGAATGAATTTGTGTCAATATTTCTTTCTTTGGGAATTAAAGTTTGTGATTATGAATGTCAACTCCTAATATTTTCTTAAAGTCACTCAAAACCACTTTATTGAGTACACATCCTACATTATTAACTAGAGCAGTAGATCCTAGACCTGGAAACACATTGGAATTCTATGAGGAACTTTTTGAAAATGAACTCACTTCGAAACCACTGAATCAAAATCTCAGGGTGAAGGAAAGAATAAAATCAGGATTCTACCAGCCCTGCAAGTTTGGGAACCAGTGCACCAAGCACTCTGTCAAATCTATTAGAGGCTATGAAGTTGTATGAGTTAAAATTCTTCAAGTTAAAGGAAAACCTAATTCAAACTGAATTTCAAGTGAATGGAAACAATGGTTTAAAGCTGGCTCTTAAACTTGGAAGACATAATAAATGGTTATTTTTTAGCCATTGAATTTTGAGGTGGCTTCTAAGGAGCATCATTTGTGGCAAGAGATAATTGGTGCAACTATAGTCAGAATCGCTGCATGAAGCTGAGCCCTGCACAATCATAAATGAAGGCTGAACCTGTGGCTGGGGCAACCTGTGGCTGGCGCAATGTCATGGGCCAATTGGCTTAAGTCCATTTACTTGAAGTAAATACTGTGTTGATGAGGATAGTAATACTAGAACCAGCCGGGAACTTTCTCTGGAGCTGGGATGCTGCACAATGGGAGAGGGCAGGATGGGTTTAGGAAAGACTTTGGGTGATTCAAAAGGAGTGAAAAGCATGAAACTATCAATCCAGTTGCAAGGCTATACTAACATATATGGAATAAAATCTTACAATAATAGCATAAGAAACTAGATTGTGGTGAAATTGCACAATGTAGACTATAAATATAGTAGAAATTCAAAGATAAAGGAATAAATGAGAACTGGAGACATCAACACAGGTTTCACTGGGAAGGTAGAGTTATAATTATACTTTGAAAGATGGGCTAGGTGTGATAAAGTAGGAAGAGAAATTCTTAGTGATCTCTTTAGGACAAAGGCCAAAAGCTCTTTAACACTATGAATGGAAGATTGTTTCTGTATTTGAGGTCAGTGCATGCAGAAAGATTATTTAGGGTTACTACAATTTTTTAAATTAATATTCAATGTATTAAAGCTATAAATTCAAAGGCTTAGTTTTTATAAAGCATTTAGATTTAATTTACAAACATGTGATTCTATTTATAAATTCAGTAAATTAAGTATGACTTTTAAGAGAGATATTACAGCTTAGTTAATTAAATTTTGTTAAATATTTTAAACAGCATTTATACACTTAATATATTTGATTTTCTTTTATATGCAATTCAACTATCTGAATACCAAACGAATATGCCCCAAGAACTTAACTGATTCCTATAAACCTAATAAATTAGAGATATAAATACAGTAAATCTTAAATGATCTTACATATTCTAATATTATTTGCAAAACCTTGAAGAATTATTTTAACTTAAAATTATAAGCTTAAGACAATTATTCAAGTACATATTTTAAACTAGAATCATAAGATTTGTCTGGTAGATCAGTGCAATTGTTTGAATATGTTCCCCAAATTCATGTGTTGAAAACTAAATTGCAACTGCAACAAAGTAGAGAGGTGGGGTCTTTAAGTGGTGATTAGGTCATGAGGGCAGAACGCTCATGAATGGGTTAATGCCATTATTGAGGGAGTGGTTAAGTTATCTTGGAAATCAGCTCCTGAAAAATGATGAGTTAGGCCCTCTCTTTCCCTCTCATTCATGTGGTGCCTTCTGCCATATATGACTCAAGAAGGACCTCACCAAATGTAGCCCCTTGATTTTGGACTTCCCAGCCTCTGGAATCATGAATCAAATAAATTTTTTTTCATGATAAATTACCCAGTCTGTGTTATTCTGTTTTACCAGCACAACACAGACTAAGACAATCAACAATCATTAACTAGAGGTAGTATTTCTGCCTCCCTGGGGGTTGGGGGAGCTTTTGATGTGTGAGCAGGTACTTTGGTTGTCACAATGCCCAGGGACTACTATAGGCATTTAGAGGGTGGTGATTAAGAATGTTAACAGTCCTGCAATATATGAGAGCCAAAAGCATGCCCCTTGAGTATATTAGATAATGATGTAGTTTTGATTCTTCCAGAAGCTGACCCTGACATGATTCAAAAGTAAGTAATCTATGTGGGAATAAAGGAAACACTGATTGGTAAATGAGAAGCAAGACAGGAAAGGAAAAAGATCAATAAAGTGTGCTTTACCAAGCAAGTTACCACTGAGGGCAATAAGGACATAATGCAACTGAGGAAGCTTTAAGAGTAAATGTAAATTTATGTCAATGTCTGAGTTATCTTGCCATAGTTGTGAGAAAACTAGGGTAGTGATGCACCAATTTCCATCAGTAATTGACTGAGGACTGCTTCAGTGGGTAAGTCTCCTGCACTTTAGCCAAAGCAAAGAGGATCCTTGCAGCCAGAGAAATTCTCTAAGGCCAGAAAAAAAATAAATGTTTTCTACTTTCAGGGGGTGTTGCAAGCACACGGAACAGACATCAAATAACTTTAATTTGGGGATTTAATCAATTGACTCCTTAATTCCCCTTGAGTATAGGTATGAAAATCCAAAGGAGGCTGGTAATTTCAGCTTTGAGGCTTCAGAGAATCCGATCAGCAAGAATTTGATCCTCCTTTGCTTTCTGGAGGTAAACTATGGTTGCTTTGAACTACCGAATCCTAGAAAATTGGACAAAATAAGAATAGAAAGGCAATGTTGGTTTCAGTCTTCAAGAAGTCACTTCAACTCATTGGTAGCTGTCTTGTTGTGTTTGCTGGTGGATGGTGAGAGATTTCACACTCCTCATTCTCAAACAGTGCTTTGAAAAGACTCTAAGATTTGAGTCCCATGGGAAAGTCTATCAAAGGAAAAATGGAACTGAGTTGAAATTAAAAATGTTAAGCAATGTTTCCTAATGACTGTGCCCATGAAAGTATTTCATGGGGGTACATGAATAGTCTGAAATTATGTGTCAACTTTTGTGCATGTGTATATCTTCCTGGAGAGAGAATCCACAGCTTTCATTAGTTTCTCTAATGAGATATTGTCATTCATAGGAAAAGAATAAGCATTTATTTAATATGAGAAAACCAGTAGTAGAGGAGGAGAGAGTAGGAAGGTAGAGAAAATAACCAAGATTCATAAATATCAAGTATTAATTGAATCATAAAGCCTCATAAGAACACTGGTTTGATGACGAAGAGCTAAGACTTTGAAAGATTAGATTTTCATATTCAAGGACACAATGGGCAAGTGGTGCTGCTGACAGTCCAACTCCAATGCTCTTCTAACTCTAAAGCTTGTGCCATCTCTATCATGCATGCTGTTGTATCCAGAGGGTTCTGGAGTGAGGCCTTTGAATGTGTAATTACTTTTAATAGTCAGGAGAGAGAAGGAGCCCAATTTTACCTAAATTAAAATGATCCAGGTGAAACTTGAAATGCAGACTGTTTTAATATGGCTATCCCCTCTACAATCCACAAATGTCAGCCTCATGGCTTCAGTGACTACCGAGACTGTACCTGGAATGATGGATTCTGACATTAAGTTTCTTCATTGCCATGGAGAAAGAAGAAATGAAAGCTATAACCCATCCCTGGGCAATTAAACTAAACTCACTAGAATTACCCTGAAATTATCAACATATGGTAGTTTTTAAAATTTAAATTGAAGTTCATCTCAGTAGGGTAAGAAGTTTTAAAGTTCCAAATTGTTATATAGTAAGCTTAGAAATCTTACCTCCTCACAATCTTATTTTTTCCTTCATGATTCCCGTAATATTTTACCAGAGGGATATTAGAGATCTCCTCATTGCTAAATCTAATAACTCATGTTTCAAATATTTTAACTATTATTTTCTATACAGAAATACTACATTTTTATTGTAATCAATTTAGAAAACACAGATAAAGAAAATAAAAACCATACAGGCCACACAAATAATGCCAAATCCTGCCTTATAACACATAAACTGTGAGCCATTTGGTACCCAGAATACTTTATGTTGAGATGGCAGAGAAAGATACGATTTTTAAATAAATATTATAGAGACTAAAATATGCATATATCCGGGGAGTTCATAGGGTCCCCACCCCCACCATGTTGTCTCATGGAGATAATGCACAAAGAGGCAGAATAGGAGATACCAAAAGTGAGATTGGTTTCCATCAAGGAAGGGCAGAGAAGAAGACGTAGAAAAAGATTGAGTCCTGGAAGGCAGAAAAGGGAGACTAGCATAGGATGAATCATGGGGCAACTTTTCCAGGGTCTTGTAACTGAGACTAAAAATTAAAGAGTCTGTTTATACTTTCTTTCATTTCTTGTACCTTCAACAAATTTGAGTCTACTCTGCACCGTGCAAGGTCCCAGGGCAACAGAGATGGGAAAGACCTGCCCTCAGGATGCTGATAGCCTAATGAGAAACCTACATGCACGTCAACAAGCAATTCCAAAGTAGTGTGATATGTCCCTTGATAAGGGTAAGCATGGGATACCAGAGGGCAGAAGAACCCAATCTAGATTGGGTCCTGGGAGAGGTTAAGCTCAGAGGAAACTTTCTAAAGGTGCTCACAGGTAGCCAGGAACAGCAGGACAAATAGAAGTTAGTCAGACAAGGGGCACCAGGAAGACTTGTCAGTGGAAGAGGTTCTATTAAAAACAGCATGGTCTTACAAAAATGGCAAGTCAGTGGGCTCATATTTATACAAGATGCAGGAGCCTAAAGGAGACAGAAGCTTGGTAATATTTTCCTGCCCTCTTCACACAAACATACACATATAGTGTGAATATATATTACATATGGATGTCCAGATAACTATTCTCAATAACAATATGTTTAGTTCATCATAAACATATTGAAATATAATTACGACAAAAAGAAGCAAAGAGTAAAATTTAAAGCCAGGCAGATTTCAGGAGGCACACAAAAAAGAACTCTATTACTGCATTCTTGCATTACTATAAAGAAATGGCTGAGACTGGGTAATTTATAAATAAAATGGGTTTAATTGGCTTACAGTTTTGCAGGCTGTACAGAAAGCATGATGCTGGCATCCGATTCATTTATGGGGAAGCCTCAAGAAGCTTATAATCATGGTGAAAGATGAAGGGAGAGTAGGCATGTAACATTGTCAGAGCAGAAGCAAGACAGAGAAGCAGGAGGTGCCACACACTTTTAAATGACCGAATCTTGCAGGAACTCACTCACTATGGTGAGGACAGTACCAAAAGGATGGAACTAACCCAGTCCAATCGCCTCCCACCAGGTCACACCTCCAATATCAGGGATGACATTTGAACATGAGGTTTGGACAGGGAAAATATCCAAACTATATCAAGCACAATTCTACTAGGACAGTTATCAACAAACAAAAAAAATCAAAGAAAGGAAGAAAAGTGGGAGGGAGGAAGGGGAGAGAGGAACAGAAAGAGGGGAGAAGATGTACAACTTGAAAAAGCAAAGGGTTCTCAATCACTGGATGTATTTTAATGCAGGAAATTATTGCACTAGGCAACATTTACACTATGTAATGTTAAACATATCTTCCTTCCCAGCATTCTACGATTTTATGATTTAGGGTCAAATTAATGACAATAATATTTCTGGGATGTGGGATCTTTATTTTACAATTAAAAATACTATAAAATTATTTCAAAGCCTTTTCTTGCCTCCTAATTAAACATTTAAGACTACAATAAGTACAGAAAGATATATTAAAATATGCTACATTAAGAAACTCAAGTGATTACTCATTTTATGTTAATTATTATCCTTCATTTATTATTTCTGATGCAGTGCCTTGCACAGAGTAGGTTTTCAATAAATCTATTGACTTTTGATTTCTTCACAACAGGCTTTCTTACGTAAAAAGTACCCACATCCATTTTGGTAACTATTTTAAATGGATCCCTATTTGACAAAACATGTACCCAACAAAAAAATCACCATAAACAAAGGAAGAATGAAAGTTACAAATTGGAAAAACAAAAGTTTGTCCAAATTACAAAGAAATAGGATTGATATTCAGAATACTTCAAAATCTTATATAGATTGATGTTTAAAAATAGAAAGGCTGAGCAAAGAATATAAACAGAAATGCAAAAAAAAAATCACAAGAAGAACCTCATTTTCACTAGTAATCATGGAAAAACAAACAAAAATAATGAGATGGTAGATTTTTGGCCAACAGACTAGCAGGATCTTAAACATTCACATGAAAGAATTATATTATGTATACTGCAGCTTTTTGGAGACATTTTTGACAATATGTGTTAAATTGTTTGAATATGCTTTACTCAGATGCAGTCATCATTTCACCTGTTAGATTTTCTCCTCTAGAATTAATTGCATTTGTGCGCAAAGAGGATTTTCATTATAATTATTTTAAAAGACAAGAAATAATATAAATATCCTGCCATAGGTATAATGGTTAAATATATTATGGTACATTCATAAGACAGATGATATGCAGATATTAAAAATATAGTTTTATCATTTTTAAAAGAATATATTTACATTATAATTAATATAAAAGAAGCAAAAGCATTCACATTGAAATTGAGATTTGTTTCTTCAGGGGCTGAAACAGAGATAGGAAAACCCAGGGTAGGTCAAAAGAGAAATGTTTATTTGTATTATGTGATTCATTTTATCTTACATGGAAACCACGTCTTACGTGTGAAGTTAATCAATGTTTTAAATAAAAGAAAGGAAAAAAAGACTATGTTGTATCACCTCCTACAATTTTGGATGAAGGGAATAGAGATATCACTTAATTTAAACTCCCAAATTTAAGTATGTAGGACTTAGGCCCCAAAATTTGAAATTAAAAAAGGACATGCTCCTTGTGTCCTGTTGACTCAATTCTGCTGATTCAAATCCAGTGTTCTTCCATGCCCCTCAAATGCACTGAAAGTATTCTTTAATTTTAAGCACAGTATCAGTAATTTTTGTGATTTAGATGACGATGATCCCGAGGGTAGTAAGTCTTCAATAAGTATAAACAGATGGGTACATCCCCACTATAGGGAGCAGAATTGGGTAGAAATTAATTATAACCACATTGCTTCCCCTAGATTAATCGTAATGAGCTAGTTGTGATGCTTCTACATGTACTGCATGATAGTAGTCAATTGAAGAGTTTATGGTCTTAATTATTTATTATTAAAGGGGTCATTTTGAGGTACAGAGTAACATACAATTAGAAAAAAAAATAGAGTACATGCATTTGTTTAAACCAGAATTTACAAGGCAGAATGGCTGCAGACCCAACAAACATTCACAAGATTACCTCAAGAACTGGAATTTAGTGATGATTCTACCAGTGATAATATAAGACAATGTGAATTTTTAATTTTTAATTTTTGGGGTACATAGTAGGTGTATATATTTATAGGGCACATGAGATGTTTTGATACAGACATGCAATGTGAAATAAGCACATCATGGAGAATGAGGTATCCATCTCCTCAAGTATTTATCCTTTGAATTACAAATAATCTAATTACACTCTAGGTTCTTTTAAAATGTACAATTAAGTCATGATTGATTGGAGACACCATGAATTTGTGAATGTGGCTATTTGCTGTAAGCTTCTAAATAGTTCAATTAAGGAAAAAATCAACTCTGTCTGCAGATAATTCAACATTGCAATGTTGGGTGGGATCAACTGCTTTACCCCTATATCATTTCAGCAGAGAGGTTTTCTGCTGTTCACATTTACTAAAAGAGACCTGAATCTTTGATGTTCAACGTAAGGATCAAGTAACAACCAGGGACCACTTCAGTGCAGGAGGGAAAAGACAGCATTTGGCTCTAGGTCTAAATTCTACTCCATTGCTCATTTACCAAAACCAAAATTATAATAAAAACAAGATTATGGACTTTATATAGGCCTATAAAATAACTCTGGAAAACTGCGGATCCAGAAAAAAATCAAAAACTTCAGTATCAACTGTAAGACTTTCTAAAAATGAAACAATATAATAAAGAACAGAGGTAGAATTTGGCTCTGAATTGAGTTGCCCACCTGCAAGTTATTTTTAGGCGTCCCCAAGATGGAAAGGAAAACATAAAAAAAAACTTTCCACAAGTCCCCCTCACAAGTGCTCTGTGGTTGAATCTTCACTCTGAATCCAAACCAAGCCTCGGGGCAGCTATGCAAAGACTTTGAATAAACTAAGGTTAGAGGAAAACAAACAAAAGAAGATAAAAGGAAAGTCAAACTTGTTCATGTGTAGAAAGAAAGAAAACGATTTTAGCTAATTATTTTAAAGGTTTTTTTTTTAAATTTTCTCCTTATTCACGCTCGAAGATAATTATTATGCTCACTGACAAACAGGCCATGAGACAGGTTACTTGAGGGAAAGCTTTCTCTCTCTTTCTGGCTTCCAGAAAGTACCCAGATTGGGCAATAGAGATTTATTTTTCAAATTGGGTGGAAGAAAGAGAAGAAAAAAAAAGAACCCCGTGATGAGAGATGTCCTTTGTCTCTTCTAATACACTTTCTTTACAAACCCTAACTGTGGTATTAACGAAATGGCAATGAGATCAAAAAGAGAGTGCCCACTTATAATGATTCTTCTATTGGGAGGATGACACATCCTAAAATTGTCCAACAACAACAAAATATAGCCCGAAAACCATTATTAGTGGACCTGATTTCTTTCCCAGGAAATTCTAAAAACTGCACTTCATATTACAATAGGCTAACAATTCAACATATACCCCATTCCAAGACTAATTTTTGGGGTAAATGAAGTATATTCAGAAAGGTCCGGGTTAGGTTTAGGTACAATGTAGAGGCTTCAGGTTAATTAACGATGTGAGGAAACTGTGAACCTAGGAGTTTTCTCTGCAGCCCTCCCCAGTCTGGCTTCTGTCACCACCACCCCCATGGAACCATTCTTGGAAGGTCACCAACATCCCAAATGTTGTGGACACTTGTCAGCTCATCTCACGCAGCCTCTCAGCTGGCTGCCCCTGCCTTGATGTGGTCACACTCTGCTCCTTTTCCTCCTCCACTTCTGGCCGCTGCTTTTCTGTCTCTGTGTTGTGTCATCTGCTTCTATATCTTGCCTTCCGTCTACAGGCACGCAGGAGGCTTCAGTCCTCAGCCTCTTTGCTTCCTGGTCTTCACTCTCTTCCATTTAATCACAACTCTCAGAGCTTTTAATACCACCTCAAGCCTCTGCCTCACTTAAAAATCTGCCCTGAGCTTCATCCTCTTATATCCCAGTATCTGATTTCTCTAACAAAATAATGAATAATCATTAAAAACTTAATATGGTTCAGAAAATAACTCTATTTTTTTCTCTCAAAACCTGTTCCTTTCCTTCTCTTCTACTTTGTTAAATAACAATACAATAAAGACTTAAAAAGTCATTCTTAAATCCTCCTTTTTCCTGAGCCCTGACAGTCAATCCATAATGAATCATTTATGCCTGTCTCTGCAAACATACCTCAAATGCGTTCTCTTCTCTCCCATCTGCACCGCTACTCACTTGACCTCAGGTCCTCTTCACCTTCACCTGGAGTGTAGCAATTGCTTCCTAACTGCCCCCTCAGCCTCCGCTTCTGGAAATGCCCACCTTTAATCTGGTTTGCACACCAGATTAAAGCAGGTAGAGTAATTGTTTTAAAAGTGTAAATCGTGTCTTGCAATTGAACATGAGCAAATAAAATTTATCCTTTGGTTAACATTCTTTAATGGTTTTCTCCTGTAGCAAATCCAAAGTTCTCAATAGGATCTCAAAGGCCCAACCTTATTTTCCCTCTCCAATTCACATACTCCCTACCCATTATGCTTATAACCCTTTCTTTTCCTCAATAAAATCAAGCTCTTTACTTCCCCCGGGCCTTTGCACTTGCCAGACCCTGGCTCCTCACTCATCTTTAGAATACTGGCTCCTTCTCATCTTCAGGACTTAACTTTCCCCATCACTGTCCACAGTTTGTGTCTCCTGTATTAGATAGTTTACTTCCTGCAGAACCCTTATCACTGAAATAAACTTGGTTTTGTTGTTGTTGTTGTTTCTGTATTGCCTGTCTCCCTTACTGCTGATGAACAATCACTGCTGCTGTCAACCAGTGTCTAGCACTGTCACTGGTATCCTGTAGGCATTAAATATAGAAAGGTGAATGAATGATTGATTGAGTGAATAAATGAGTGTTGACAGCAGAAAGGGAAGGAGTAAAATATCACCTGCACAGTGGAACCCATAGTCCAGTGGTTGAGGTAGAAATGAACAATTATAACATATTAGTATAGGTGAAAGGAAAAATAAGAACAAGATGAGATGGGAACGCAGACAGGCTGTAACTTACCATTTTGGCAGGAAATGATTAAAGGTGATGTTTCTGAACCATTGTTTCCAGGGATGCTTATGGCACAAGGGTTTGCCTTCATGCCTGTGTTTACTGCACATAGTGCTTCTTCTTTTTTTTTTTTTTTTTTCATTTACCTCAGTAATTGTAAAAGGGCTTCAAGCCACATTTCCTACAAACATTCTTAAGTCTGGCATCATACAGTGAGGTTACAGAAATGAGAACTGTGGCAAGCCCTGGAACATCACTGTGGAAGAGCAGTAACATTTATGGAAATGAATTGATAACATTCATTAAGGCTATTTTATTTTTTGAGCACAAAAATAGTTTTGATGAGATAGGATGAGTGAGAGGCTTAGAAGGAATGACTCTGTGGCAAGAAACAAGCATTCAGCAAATACCAGGAACTTTCTCTCAAATGCACTGCTACCATCACTGCCTAGCAAATCCCTACTGATCCTTTAAGAACCAGTTCAAATGTCTTCCTCTCTATGAAGCCTTTGCATTTGAGCAGTCACTTCTTCTACTGGGCCCCTATGGACTTCTATCATGCCACTCACTACAATGGATGGTGATATGTAGTTGACACATTGTATTAGTTAGCTCAAGCTTCCAGAACAATATACCATAAACTAAGTGCCTTAAACAACAGATTATTTTTTCATAATTCTGGATCCTGGGAAGTTCAAGATCAAGTGTCAGCCAATTTTCTTTTTGATGACAACTCTCTTCCTGTCTTATAGGTGGCTGTCATGCCACTGTGTCCTCGCATGGTGGAGAGAAAGAGATCTGAGGTCCGCTCCTCTTCTTCTAAGGATACCAGTTCTATTGAAGTAGAACACCCCGCTTATGACCTGTTAACCTTATTCCCTCCTCACAGAACCTATCTCCATATATAGTCACATTGGGGATTAGGCCTTCAACATACCAATTTGTGAAAGGACACATTTAGTAATAACACATGTCTATTTAATAGGATCAAGTCCTGGCCATGTTTTAATCCTAGCACTTGCCACTGTACCTAGAACAGATTAAGTTCTCAAAAGACAAATTTTCAATGAATGAATGAATGAGTGAATGTATGAATGAAGAAATCCTAGATAAAGTTGATACTATTTTGGAATATAATTTGATTTTTATTTTGTTGTACGGTTATGCCATTTGATTATTTTTGATTTATCAGAATCAGCAGCTTGCAGTGGAGAATACCAGTAATGTAAAGTTCCAAGATTTAACAAAATGAGGCTGGCTGTGTGACACCCAACTAATTTATTCCTTTATTTTAGTCATTAGATTAAAGACAAGCTATTACATTTCAATACTCTAAGTAGCTTGAATTTCATGTATTGTAAAATTAAATGCATTTCTTAGGATGGAAGAATTAGAAAGAACATTTTAAACATTAGAAAATCAACTGCTTCTCTTATATCTCATTTTACACTCAGCCTTGACCATGATATTTGATTTAGAGCCAATAAATATTGAAAACCCTATTTCAGAGAAATAGAGTTCATGAGCTCTAACTTTCTTACTTGATGTTCTCAATAACTATTATCTTATTGCCTTAAGTTGCTCTCTTGAACACTCTGATAATTAAAAGAAATGAAAAATAATGCCCAATTTTGTGGTATTGCCCCATGAATTAACCCATTGTATTCATAAACTCAAACCTCAGTAAATTTCCATTTGCTAAATATAAGAAGAAAGCATCAAAAGTATACACAAATGCTATTGCAAGAAAGAAAGAAAAAAAAAGAGTCAACCCGTAGGCTTACCCAAGGAAAAAGGAAAATATTTATATTTCTTTCAACTATCTATATAGTATCATGGAAAATACGTTTTCTAAATTAGAAATTACATAAACCTGTTCACCTTCCATCTTAGGAAAAAGTATTTACATGAAATCAGATATGGATAAAAATATTAAATATACATTTAAAATAGATATATCAATTTTTTCTCATTCTGACCATTGCAATTTCATACCCACACTTTTTGTAACACCGCCACCCCATAGGCATTCTTCATCCCCAGCACTCTGCTCTACTTTTTTATTTTTTCCTCCAGCACTTACTGCCTTCTCACTAGGTAGCTGACTATGGGAATATAGTATGCTATGTAGTTGACTTCTTTATTATACTTATTTTTTAGTTTATGATTTGCTTATTGTAAAAATCCCTGCTGTACTAGGACATGGGTTTTTGTTTTGTTTACTGATGATTTCAAGCTCCTAGAACACTGCCTGGCACAGAGCAGGCACTGAATAAATATTCACTGAATTTTTAAAGTATTTAAAGTGGTTATTATTTTTAAATGATGAGTATCTCCTTAGTCATTCTTGATTTCATCATGCACAAATTAAATCCACTGTAATTTTGTCAACATTTATAAATAGATGCCTATTTAATGTTTACAAATTCCCTAGTTTCAAATGTTAACATTTTTTGTTTAAGTATGATCTAAGGGAGAAATAAGGTAATTAAACAAGCAAACCAGAAAGTAACTGACAACTTACTTTCAAAAATATTCTGATGATCTAAGCTATGTACATTTCAATTAGTGATTTCTCCCCTATTAATTTATTTACCTTTTTGTGTTCTACTTTTATATCTATTCATTTACTAGCGTATTTTCAATTAATTATTACTCTATTGGCTTCATTCATTTAGCTCACATCAACCTATACATTTCTTAGTTGCAGGATTTTCTACAGAATACAAGCAAAGCATCATTTGATCAGGCAGTATCAAAGCCCAGCAAAAGCAAATTTGAATAGTCTGTATTTTCTATGTCATTTTCTTCCTATCCATTGCCTTTCAGCAATTCTAAGGTCAGCTCTGCCCTGTGCTCCATCTTCACACATCTTCATTCTGTCACTCAGCTGTCTTCTCAATTCTTAGCACTCTCTGAAGACAATTCACACTGCTAAGTTGTGATACTTACAGGAGGTTCTTCACTGCTCAAAGAATTTCCAAAACCTTGAATGTGTATCTGTTTATGGTAACATGATTCTTCAGAGGATTGATGCTTCAGTCAGAGAATGAGACTTCTCTTGGATTTCATGGATGAAATGAAAATGGCATTTGGGCAGAAGTCCTGAGTGTAAGACCTGGCTTTAATACTTACCAGATACATGGCTTGGGTTAGATGCTCTTTAATAGCAATAGCCATGTCTACTCTCACAAGTAGTTATAAGATGCAATGCTCCTGAGAAAAGCTGTGCAAACTGTAAGCTGCCGTACCAGGGTGTTCCAAATTCTCTTCTAAAATACATTAGGAGTTCCTTAATATGTTAATAAATGTTCTATAAAATATGGCCAAATAAACTAGAATGGGCATCTGAGCCTTTAATTTGCTAATGTATATAATGAATCTCTAAAAGGAAAATGTAGTGTGCTTTACTTTCTCAATTGTATTTTCTTAAATATAAAAGCCTTTCTCAAGCTTTATCAGTTATTCTGCCCTGCAGAATAAAATATCCATTAAGTGCTGGGCCATAGAAGTGTTGATTATTTTGATACTATATAAGTAACTTATTAAATATTCAAACTGTTTAAAAGGCTGATCTACAGAAAACTGAAAGTTATTTGTTATGTATAGCTCTCTTTCTTTAAATACAACTTCCAATTTTGAAATTTTTGAGTATTCTTTATCAAAATATATTTATTCTATAATTCCTTTATAATAGCAATTAAAAGGATAAGATACTTATCTAACTTTAACAACAGAACTGCAAGAATGTTGCAGTGGAAATGATGAAATATTGTTGAGGGAAATTAAAGAAGATCTAAATAATCAGAGAAGAATTTCACATTTATGTGAAAGATTTATGTGGAATATCACATTTATGTGGAAGATTCAGTCTCTTACACATGGCAATTTATTTTCAACTGATCAATAGATTCAACACCAACCCTATCAAAATTCCAGGAGGCCTTTTCACAGAAAGTGAGAATTGGTCCTAAAATTTATATGGGACTGTTGATGTTTAATTTTATGTGTCAACATGACTGGGCTAAGGGATGCCCAGATAGCTGGTAAAATATTATTTCTGGGTATGCCTATGAGTATGTTCCTGGAAGTGATTTATTATTTGAATCAGTAGATTGAGTAAATAGGATCTGCCCTCACCAATGTGGATAGACATTATCTAATCTGTTGGGAGTTAAATACAGCAAAATGGCAGGAACAAGTGAATCCTCTCTGTTTTCTTGAGTTGGAACATCCAAATTTTCCTGCTCTCAGAAATTACAGCTCTTGGTTCTCAAGCCTTCCAATTCTGGGACTTACAGCAGTTCGCCCCTCTTCCACTCCCATTTCTCAGTCCTTCAAATTTGGGCTGAATTACACAACCAGCTTTCCCAGTTTTCCAGCTTGCAGATGGTATATTATAGGACTTCTCAGCCTCTATTATCTTGTGAGCCAATCCTTAGAATAAATCTTCTCTTACATAGTTACATATATCTTACTGATTCTGTTTCCTTGAAGAACCTTGACTAACATGAGATTGCAAAAAACCTAAAACAGCCAAAATAATTTTGAAAAAATAGAATGGAGCTGAGAGACTCTAACTTTACAATTTCAAAAGTATTGGAAAGCTACCGTAATCATGACAGTTTGATACCAGGATAAGAGTAAATATGCAGGTCAACTGAACAGGATTAAGACTTCAGAAATAAAGCCTTATATTTATAGTTAATTTACTTTTGACAAAGGTGTCAAGGAAAAGGATAGATATTCTATTGATGGTACTATGATAATTGTTCATCCATGATAATATGAACTTAGATTTTTACCTTTCACTAAGTAAAAATTAACTTAAAGATTATTATAATCTTACAAAAAGAGTTAGTTATGACAGTAAAACTTTTGGTAAATACCATAGGATGAAATCTTCTGAAATTTGGGTTAGGCAATGAAGTGTTAGCTATGACACCAAAGCAAAGTTAATGTAAGAAAGAAAAGGTGATAAAGTAGAGTTCATCAAAATTCAATACATCTGTACTTCAAAAGACATCATTAAGAAAATGAAAAAAAAAGTAACACTAAAATATCATATTTTGTAAAACACATATCTGATAAGGGCTTGTATCATGAATATACAGAGATTGCTTATAGGTCAATAATAAGAAAATGAGCACCTAAATAAAATAGGCGAAATATTTGAATGAACATTTTAATAAAGAAGATATAGAAATGGCTAACAAGCACAAAGAAAGAAGCTCAACGTAATTATTCATTAGGGAAATGTAAATTAATGCCACAATGAAGTACCATTTTAAATCTCTCAGAATGTCTATAATAAAAAAGACAGAAAATAGTAAATAAATTATAGAAATGGGATCCCTCATATATTGTCAACTGTGGCATACACTGGTGTTGCCACTTTGGAAATGCTTTGATAGTTAAAAATACATTCACCATATGACACAGGCTTTCCACTCTTAGGTGTAAGATTCTCCCCGGGGCCTGAAAGTTTAAAGAGATAAATAAGTCCTCCCTTCTCAGGCCAGTCCCAAGGTGCAAGGCTACTTGAGCCAGCAGCGTGCGCCAGCAAGATAGCAGAAGCAAGAAGAGAGCCAGCCAGAAGACAACTACCCTGAAGATCCAGAAAGAGGCCATTTGGATACAATGCAGTTCTGTCATACTAGGACACTTCCTGTTTCCAGGAGACTATAAAACCTTTGCCCCATCCTCCCTTGGGACTGATGCCATTTTAGGCCTTAGCCCACCTACACCCAGGCGCTCGCTAAAACAGCGTGTTGCTCCATACTGCCTTGTGTTGTCTGTTGGCGCACTCTCCGGGTTCAAACTGATACAAGAACCTTACATATGGTGCCAAAACCCAGGAGGGGCTCAGGTCTGCGTCCTCTGTGGACCTACCCCTCCACCCCAGAGAGCAGGCCACAGCAGCCAGAAAAAGGAAGCTTCTCAGCCTCCAGTCGCCTCTCTGTGCATGCACATTGGTCATTGATCTCACCTACTGGTAAATTTCCCCGGGAACCTGGTTAACAGGGGAAAAGCCGCACGGCCTCTCTTGGTTTCTCCAGTCCGAAAATCCAATGTTAGTCCAAAAAGGCTCTGGCATGTTCCAGGCACTCGCTGATCATCTGGTCTTAGGGGCATACCTCTAAGCCATTTGATACCGTTCTGGAAACAAAAAAGGCAATGGTGATAATCACTCCCTTTATCGTCTCCTTCCGTCCATCCAGGACGGTCTCCTTTTTCCCTGTTCTCCCATGCCTACCCTCTGTTATGGGAAACTCCTGGTCCTCCATTCCAAAAAAACAGCCCTCTAGGCTGCCTCATAAACAACCTGCAAACCTTAGGCCTCAGGCAACATATCCACTCTAAGTGCCTTGTCGTTTCTTGCAATTCAGTCTGGCCACAATACAAATTGGATAATGGGTCCAAATGGCCCACAAATGGAACATTCGACTTTACAGTTTTAACTGACTTAAGCAATTATTACCGATGACTGGAGAAATGGTGAGAAATTCCTTATGTCCAGGCCTTTTTGCACTCAGATCACAACCTGACCTCTGCGATTCTTGCTCACCTGTTCAAATCCTTCTCCTTCATTCTCACCGCCCTGATCGCCTTTCTCCTCCCGACCCTACCTCTTCTATCTGGTTCAATCCAGCTGACTGCTGCCCATCCCTCCCAGCCCCTACCTCTTCCTCTCAACCGTCTTCTTTAACCCCCCAAGCCTCCATGTTGTCTTCTCAGCCACCATCTTCCCAGCCACCATCTTCCCAGCTGGCATCACCTCCAAAAGTACCCACTTCTTTTCCTACGCTGTCCTCTCCTCAGGACAAGTCTAGTATTGTCTGTACTCATTCTCCTTCCTCCCCACCCTCTCCTGAAGCCTGTAAATCCATCCCACCACCTTACGCCCCTATCTATCCTCCACTGCCTATCAACTCAACCCCCTCAGCAGGAACCCTCAGCAGGAACCACTTCTGACTTCTTCCTTCTCTCCCACCCATACTCACTTGGGCGCCATATTTGGCCCATGCCCCACCCTTACTTCAGTGCCAGTGCTAGAGTGCCCCCTTCAGGAAGCAGCAGGAGCTGAAGGTATTGTTAGAGTTCATGTTCCCTTCTCCCCCACTGACCTCTCTCCAATTAACAAAAGACTGGGCTCATTTCCACAAGACCCTATCTTATATTGAGTGGTTTCAGTACCTTACCAAGTCTTATGAACTAACCTGGCATGACATCTATGTTATCCTGTCTTCCACCCTCACCCCAGAAGACCAGACAGTATCTGGACCCTAACTCAGACGCATGCTGATACAATTCATCACTACGCTCCTTCCCAGACTACTGGTGCAGAGCCAGTCCCCAATCAGGACCCCCACATGGATCATCAAGACGGGGCCTCTGGATGCCACCATCGAGACCACATAATTAAGTGTCTTCTTGCAGGACTCAAAAACAGTGCCCATAAAGCAGTAAACTATGAAAAACTTTCAAAAATCACCCAAGGTCCTGATGAAAACCCAGCCCTGTTTCTCTTTCATTTAACTGAAGCCATGAGAAAATATACCAGCCTAGATCCAGCCAGCCCAGAAGAAATCACTATCTTAAACCTTTGGTTCATCCCCCAATCCACTCCCAATATTCGGCACAACCTTCAGAAGCTTGATGATGACCCTCAAACACTACAACGAGACCTTCTTAATTTAGCCTTCAAAGTATTTAACAATTGTGATGAGGAAAGTAAAAGGCAAAAACAGGCAGAGTTTCAAACGCTTGCCTCCACCATCAGGGGCTCTGCAGGCCCTCGGGGCTGCAGCTCCTCACAGAAGCCTCCTAAAAATCCACCTCCACCTGGTGCCTGTTTCAAGTGTGGCAAGGAAGGCCACTGGACCAGACAATGCCCACACCCAGGTAAGCCCACCAGGCCATGACCCCTCTGCGGAGGACCCCAGTGGAAGCTGGACTGTGAACAGCCCCTGCAAGGACCGCCCTCATCCCTTCCTAAGCCAGCCACAACCTCCTACTCGGATCTCATTGGCCTTACCACTGAAGACTGACAGTGCCCTGGAACGGACACCACGGCAACTACCATGGGTTTATCTGAGCCAAGGGTAACCCTAATGGTGGCAGATAGGCCAGTATGTTTTTAAATTAATACCAGGGCAACCTACTCTGCTTTACTTAATTTTTCAGGAGCCACCCAGTCTTCCCAAGTCTCTGTTGTGGGAATTGATGGACAAGTCTCCAAATCCCGGGCCCCCCCTCCACTTTTCTGCTCCCTACACACCCTATCCTTCACTCACTCTTTCTTAGATCTGCCCTCATGCCCAACTCCACTCCTAGGCAGAGACATCCTTTCAAAACTCCACGCTACTCTCTACTTCCACGTTCCCCATAGTACCCAATGCATCGACCCAGACTGCTCTAGGGCTTCTAAGTTTCTTTTACTCCTCCAACCTCCCACCTTAAAACATGCAACCTTTCCTTATCCTCCACCCGTAGTTAACCCTGCTGTTTAGGATACTTACACACCCTCAGTCACAGAACACCACACCCCCGTCCGCATTACCCTTAAGGAGCCCACCCAGTTCCTATCACAGAAGCAGTATCCCATCACCCAAGCAACTCTCACAGGCCTAAAGCCTATCATTTCTCGCCTCCTCGCCAGTCACCTACTCCGCCCAACAAACTCCCCTTTTAACACATCAGTTCTACCTATTAAAAAGCCAGACGGAAGTTAACAGTTAGTCCAGGACCTCAGCTCATTAACCAAGCTGTACTCCTGTATGTCCAGTAGTTCCTAACCCATATAGTTTACTTTCCACAGTTCCCTCCAATACCACCCATTTTTCTGTTCTAAACCTAAAGGATGTTTTTTTTTTCCCACAATTCCTTTACACCCAAAACCTCTTTGCCTTTAAGTGGGAAAACCCCGACACCCACCTTTCATGTCAGCTCACCTGATGTGTACTACTTCAAGGTTTCAGAGACAGCCCCCACCTTTTTGGACAGGCCCTTGCTCACGACCTCTGTACCTTATCCCTAAAACTGTCCACTCCCCTTCAATGTGTTAATGATCTGCTCCTGTGAAGCCCCTCTCAAAGAGACTGCAATGCCTATACTATCTCTCTCTTTTAAACTTCTTGGCAGAACGGGGGTATTGTGTCTTCCCTAAGAAAGCACAAACATGCACCCCCTCAGTCACCTATCTAGGCCTAGCTCTTACCCCGCAAACCCGAGGGCTCACAGCCGACTGCCTACTTGCCAAACCGTTACACCAAGCTGCTAAAGGCCCTCTCTATGAGCCTTCGAACCTTGCACAGCCTATTACCCAACCTTTCCGTTTACTCCAGAAGGCTCTCATCTCAGCCCCAATCCTCACTCTCCCAGACCTCACCAAACCTTTCTCCCTCTATACTGATGAACGACGTGGAGTTGCACTAGGTATTCTAACCCAGTCTAAGGGACCCACCCTCTAGGTTATCATCTACCTCTCCAAACAACTTGAAACCACAGTTCACGGATGGCCTGCCTGCCTCCAAGCACTGGCGGCAGCTGCTGTCCTCAACTTTAGAAGCCTAAAACTATCTCCCCATGCCAACCTAACAGTTTATTCAACCCATAACATCAAAGATATGCTAGCTCACTGCAGTGTACTAAGTCTCATCTCTGCCCCATGGCTCCTCCAACTGTATACTCTATTCATAGAAACCCCCCCAAATCACCCTGCTAACCAGCTCCCATCTAAACCCGGCCATTCTCTTACCTGAAGCTACAACCGCCCAAGACCCTACACACTTCTGTGTGAACACTGTTCAAACTTTTTTTATCCTTTTCCAAACCTAACAGACCAACCCCTTCCAGGTACCTCCTTTATTTAGTTTGTAGATGGCAGCTCCTTCCTACATCAAGGACGCCAACATGCTGGCTATGCTATAGTGTCACCCCCCACCACACACACACTATTGAAGCCAATCCGCTCCCCCTAGGCACCACCTCCCAAAAAGCTGAACTCAGCACCCTCACTCAAGCTGTCACTCTAGCAGCCGGACAACAAATTAACATATATTCAGATTCTTGTTATGCGTTCCATATAGTACACTCACACTCGTCTATCTGGAAAGAATGAGGTTTCCTAACTGCAAAGAACACTCCTGTCATAAATGGCTCTCTCATCAGCAAGCTCCTTCAAGCTGCCATGCTCCCACAGAAAGTTGCCATCATTCATTGCAGGGGCCACCAAACCCCAGACAATCATATATCAGCTGGGAATGCTTTAGCAGATCAGGTAGCCAAACGAGTAGCCCTACAACCCATGCAAGGCCAGTTTCTGTCCCTGTCCTTGTTCTCTCCTCTTTACTCAGAAGGAGGTTTCCAAGCCCAAAACCTTCAAAAGCAAGGACCATGCTATGTCAAGGAAGGACGCTTCGTTCTTGCTCACTCTCAAAGCCTTCCTCACCTCCAAAGCCTCCACAACTCTTTCCATGTTAGTTACAAACCTCTCTTTCAACTTCTCTGCCCTATTCTCATTTGTCCTCGCCTTTCCAGTCGTGTTCAAAAAATCACCCAGTCCTGCTCTATCTGCCACTCAGTGTCACCCCAGAGCTCCCTCTGGTCGCTGTCTTTTCCTACCCACCAACCCCGGGGCCAGATGCTAGGGCAAAATTGGCAAGTAGACTTCACTCACATGCCGCCCAATAAACGGCTCCACTATCTTCCAGTCTTTGTCTGTACTTTCTCCGGGTAGGGAGAAGCATTCCCAACAACTTCAGAAAGTGCAAATATCATCACTCAAACTCTCATCATACATATAGTTCCCCGTTTCGGACTCCCAACATCATCCAGTCTGATAACGGGCCCGCCTTCATCAGCCAAATTACCCAAGGCGTCTCTACATCTTTAAAAATAAAGTAGGTTCTCTACACACCCTACATGCCTCAATCTTCAGGCAAAGTTAAAAAAATTAACTCTGTCCTTAAAGCCCAACTCACCAAGCTGGCTCTAGAAACCCACCAGTCTTGGACAAAAAAAAAAATCTCCCTTTTGCCCTCATGAGACTCCATGCAACACCAAAAGCACCCTCTTTTTATAATCCCTTTGAAATCATGTATGGCTAAACTTTTATCTTGGAGCCTCCATCCTTACCAGACTCTGAGCCACTTGGGATTTACCTCCCCTCCTTAATCCAGACACGATCTTTCATTTGTAAAGCAGCAGATGAGGCCGTGCCTCTCCCTGTTAACACCTCCTTGTCCTCTCAACATAACTGTCTTGCAGGTACAGACATGTTTATCTGCCAACCCGACCCTCACCCAAAAGCTACAACCAAAGTGGACAGGCCCCTACACTGTGATTGATACTCAGCATGCCAACTGCAGTGGGGGTCCAAGGACTCCCCCACTGGGTCCATTGCACCAGGGTCACGCTCACCCCTAAGGCTACTCCTTCCTCCAAAACATTAACAGTGGGCCACACCCTCGGAGACCCTGTATATAATAACCTAAACAAAGAAAAACGATCCTTAAAGGTAGGAGGAAGCCAAAGATGGCAAGGGAACAAATGGCCTCCGTAAGGGATCATTGAATATTACGGTCCTGCCACTTGGTCTGAGGATGGTTCATGGGGTTATCGCACTCCTATATATATGCTAAGTAGAATAATTAGACTACAGGCGGTTCTAGAGATAATCACTAACCAAACTGCCTCAGCCCTGGAAATGCTCACGCAATGACAAAACCAAATGCACGTGGCAATTTATCCAAACAGGCTAGCACTAGATTACTTATTAGCAGAAGAGGGTGGAGTCTGTGGTAAGTTTAATATCTCTAATTGCTGTCTTAACATAGATGATAATGAAAAAGCAGCTCTAGAAAGATTGCTTCAAACATCAGAAAAGTAGCCCATGTACCAGTCCAAACCTGGGAGGGATGGGATGCAACAAACCTTCTAGGAGGGTGGTTTTCTAATTTAGGAGGATTTAAAATGCTGGTAGGGCCAGTAATCTCCATCACTGGGCTCCTCCTGTTTCTCCCTTGTGTTATCCCACTGATAATAAAAGCCGTTAAAACTCTTGTTAAAACTACAGTTAACCACCAGACAATCCAAACGATGCTCCTGCTACAACACGATGGATACCAACCCATCCCTGAAGAATACACCCAAAATTAAGTTTTTCTTTTTCTAAGGTGCCCACACCACCCCTATGTCACGCCTGAAGTAGTTGTTGAGAAAGTCATCCCTTTTCCCTTTTCTGTAATGAAATAGACAAGAATGTAAGATTCTCCGCGGGGCCTGAAAGCTTAAGGAGATGAATAATTCCTCCCTTCTCAGGCCCATTCCCAAGGCACAAGGCTACTTGTGCCAGCAGCACGAGCCAGCAAGATAGCAGAAGCAGGAAGAGAGCCAGCCAGAAGACACTTACCCTGAAGATCGAGAAAGAGGCCATCCAGGTACAACCTAGCAGTTACTTCAGACTAGGACTCTTCCTGTTCCCAGGAGATTATAAAACCTTTGCCCCGTCCTCACTTGGGGCTGATGCCATTTTAGGCCTCAGCCTGCCTGCAACCAGACACTCATTAAAACAGCATGCTGCTCCACACTGCTGTGTTGTCTGTTGGCGTGCTTTCGGGGTTTGAACCAATACAAGAACCTTACATTAGGTAGCTGTCCCAGAGAAATAACAGCATATATACAGATAAACACATTGATTCAAGTGTTCTTAGCAGCTTTATTTAGAAAGCCAAAAATTAGAAACAGGCTAAATATTCCTAAACTGATAAATGGATTAAAGTGGTATATCTGTGCAATGGAATACTATTCAGCAATCAAAGGAAGCAAACCACTGATGTGTGTTACACCATGAGCAAACCTACAAAACACACCGAGTGAAAGCTACCAAACGCAAGACACCAGGTATTACACAATTCACTTGATGAGAAATGTCCAGAAAAGCCAAGTCTGCAGAGACAGGCAGAAGATTAAATGGTTTCCGATGTGGTAGAGAGTGAGAGAGGTTGGGCACAGAGTGTGACCCTTAGTGGATATGAAGGATCTTACTGGAGTAATGGAAATGTTCTAAACTGATTTACTGTGATGGTTGCACAGCTCATATATTTACTAAAACTCATTGAATTGCACATCTGCAAAGGGTGAATTATATGATATATAAAATATGCCTTGCTGAAGTTATATATAAATATGTATTTATTCTACATCAAAGACGTGGTTGTAAAACGTTCCTCGATCCTGACCCATGATTTTTCTCCTTCTCTGGTTTAAAACATTTCCATTTAGGGGAATAGCCCCAAAACCTATAAAAACTAGCTTTTAATTCCATAAAATCGAATTGGGAGAGCTTTTCGGAAATAATTCTGCTTTGGAAAGTGATATATAACTGTGAAGTTATCCATTTTGCAATCAGTTTATACAATTTACTGACTATCCAATGTTGACAACTCACCTACACATTTTCATTTCTTTTAGAATGAATTTTTATGATGAAGCTTTTATTTTAAAATAAATGGAACTAAATATTAAATGACATAAGAGCTTATTATCTGTCAAAGGGAAAATAAAATAGAAACAGGCTGAAAGCTTCATCCTGAAGTCTAACATGTCTTTCATGAGGTAATTTATCAAACAGCAAGGACAAAAAAAATAGGTACAATTTAAAGGGGATATTTATCTTTATAAATTTGGTAATTTTTGAAAGTTTTTCATTTAATTCTTATTGGATTATCACTAGTCACCTCAATGATTCTTTCAACAAGTCCCCTGCAGTTTGAATTTCTGACAAAATTGAAGATAAAGTGTATAATTTACTAACATTTCATACAATGAACAATTAAGCAAGGGATATGTTTGCAAAATCAAAATTTGGATATATTTTTATTATTTTCAAATAAAGAACATCTGGCATATATCCCAGACTCTACATCCATAACAGAAATTAAAGCAATTAAAGTATCATTGAGGATTACCAATAATAATATAACATAAACAATGGGCCTCACATTCTGTCTAGACTGGTTACCATAGTTGAAGAGACTAAAGTAAGTAGAGATTCCAAATTTCTTATTTTTCAGTTAATATTAGCAACATTTGCCAGGAGTTAAGCTAGGTTAGGGGTTAATCAAGAAATAAAGAATCCAGAAAAGAATGGATGATACAACCTCTCCTTTCTCTCTCTGATGTATAAAAACTGATCTACAGGGGACATAATATCTATAGGGAGCATCTTAGTGTCATTAAATCTATTACTCATGGGAAAAATTGAAACTGAAATCCATTAAAATGATTTCATAAACATATGATTGCTGTTTTGAAATGTCTGTAGACAATCTAATTTGGTAAGTAATTCACTAGACAAAAATTTGTATGAAAATTAAATAAATAAAAGCTACACAGTATCTTTGCCATTATTCTATCACTGTTGAAGAATAAACTAGTGGCCAAAATGTATGAAAAAAATGTTCAATATCACTCATCATCAGAGAAATGCAAATCAAAACCACAAGGAGATACTATATCACACCAGTCAGAATGGCTTTTATTAAAAAGTCAAAAGCAACAGATGCTCGAGAGGCTGCAGAGAAAAAGTAACACTTATACGTTGTTGGTGGGAGTGTAAATTAGTTCAGCCACTGTGGAGAGCAGTTTGGAGATTTCTCAATGAACTTAAAACAGAGCTACTATTTGACCCAACAATCCCATTACTGAGTGTATACCCAAGGGAAAATAGATCATTATAACAAAAAGATGCATGCACTCATATGTTTATCACCATGCTATTCACAATAGCAAAGACATGGAATCAAGCTAGATGCCCATTCATGGTGGATTGGATAAAGAAAATATGGCACATATACACCATGGAATACTATGCAGCCACTAAAGAGGATGAAATCATGTCCTCTGTAGCAACATAGTTGCAGCTGGAGGCCATAATCCTAAGTTAACTAATGCAGGAACAGAAAACCAAATACCACATATTCTCACTTATAATTGGAAGCTAAATGTTGAGCACACATGGACATTAACATGAGAACAATAGGCACTGCAGAGCAGGGAGTGAGGAAAGATGGTATGGTTTGAAAAACAACCTACTGGGTTACTATGCTCACTACCTGGGTGCAATATACCCATGTATCCAAAATGTAAGTTAAATTTTTTTAAAAGAATAAAATAGGTAAATTTATTATTCCATTATAGATTCTTAAGTATTTCAAATCAAAAACAGCAACTTTCCTAATAAAAATGTTTAGTATTAGTTAATAATTTTGAAATACACACTGCATTTTATAGTAACATTTTTTCCATAGCCCATTTCCAGTAGCCAATTACCTAAACATTTTTAAAAATTTTAAAAATTTAAAAAATTTTTAAAAATTTTTTATTGGTTTCAGATCTCACAATAAAATATATGCATATAGGGATGGCTCTTATTTTGGGAGAGGGTCATAAAATATCTACTTAACAGCCATCCTTAAAAGTCACTGCAATATTATGAAAATAAACACAAAATTATTATGAAAATCTACTTTAAAAGTGTATTTGTTCTACTGCTAGCTAAGTATCAAATCAAAGTAGACTGTTTTAGCCACAGAATGAATGCATCTGCTAAATCTGTATGTTAAAATAATAAATTTAATGGCTTCCTTTTCCCACTTGGGAAATCACATGTATGTAAAATATGCCCCCCATTACAGGTGTGTGTTCCCCCAATATTATAAATATCAACCATTCCAGCCGCAAATTCAGAAACAAGAGCCTCAATAAGGTAGACCGTCTTAATCTGGGCCCATTCTCTTTCAAAACTCATAATTTTCTTCTGGCTCCAAAAGAGTGGCTGCTGTGACTTGACACCTAATTTAATCTTTTGAAGACATGTTAATTTTTACCAACTCTTCCACCATTGAGATTGCTAACAACTAAATTAATGGAATTTAAAACTAAACATGCAGAAAGGCTAGGTTAATAATAATAAGTAATAATATTATAATATTAATGATAACAATAAGTAACAATAATATACTAATAATGATAACTGACGTAATAATATAATAATGATAACAATATCTAACAATAGTAGTAAATAATATATTAATAACATTAATGATAATAATAACTAAGCTTAGTTCCTACCTTATGAAATGGGTGGAGATGTGGTGTCATTAATGACATTTACAGAAGAGGAGCTCAGAGTTAGTGAAATTTCCTAACACATAGTCAGTGGCAGTGTTCTTTGTAGAAAGAGATCAATTGGTCTCTTGTTTTCTCTGAAGCTACATTTTCTTGCTGTTGATATTCCCTACCCTTTTGCCCTGGTTTGATTTTGAAGTTAAGACAAAGCGGGTAGAGACTCCAATACGTAGGAGGAAAATGTACCCACTTCTTTCCTCCAACCAGCTCAACTCCCTAAAAAGCTTCTACTCCATCTGCCAGACTGATACTTCCTTTCACTTGTTACTGAACTTAGTCCTGCCAGTGATCTCCAGGTTTTACCTGAACCCTTTCCACTGCAGCAGCCTTGGCCAACATCTCCTCCCTGTTTGGCACAGGAAGCTCCTGCTCTTGCCTGCCCTTTCCACAAGGCTTGCATTGTCTGCCACTTCCTCATTCCATTTTCCCCTCCCCATTGAAGCTCAGAATTCTTCGATACCCCAAAATAGTTGATTCTCAGAAAGAGTTTGAGAAATACTATTTCAAATAATCTGAGGAATCTTTTAAGTCAAATGTTGGTTTCTCCCCTCTTTTTTGCATATTTCTTTTATGTGTGATGTGTAATTGTGTTTAATTGACAAAAAACTCATTTTTGAGTAATTTTAAAAGATCATACTGTATGCTGCATTTAATGTACACTCTTAATTACTTAATAGTATTCTAATTCTTGGCTAATATGATTAACAAAGTGTCATTCTCATTTTTTATGTGTTTCTTATCTCTTCCCCTAATGCCAAATCCATTAATTAATTTAACATATTTATGCCTTCAACATATTCATGTTGTCCACAGAACACCTACTTCCCACTTCTCCTATTTCCAGGTGATGGGATCCCTACTAGAGAAATACATTTGGTGTCCCGCTCATCCTTACTACTTCCCAAAGAGAAGTGAGTTATTTGGCTGGCAGTTGGACCATTGGACCACATTTCTTGATTATTATAATGCATCTGTCACATATCTTTGAGCACTAGAAATTGGCTTCTTTTTTTCTGGCATCTTTCCCCCGGGACCTGAGGAAGATAGAAATCCTGGGAAAATGTATACTTTTCTTTAGATGGACCATTTCAAGATTTTGATAGGCCAGCAAGGGGCATATTAGTGAGTCCACTTGACTAAGACCTATGCTACACCTTCCGATATATGTGGTCAAGAATAAAGATGATATTTTAACCTCTATTTGCCTGACTGTATCTACCTGTAAAGTTGGTGAGAAAACAAGGCATCATTGCCCTCAAACTCCAATGAACCTCAATATATCATTCACTGTGCTCGGCACTGAAGACACAACTGTGACTAAGAAAAAGTCCCTGCTAGCAATTCTACCACTAAAATATTTGCTTTATTTTAGTCTTTCAACGAGAATATTTCCAGCTTGCTAACCTGTTTCTATCTTCCCATATCCTAATGCCAAAATGATTGCTTAAATTATATTAACGGCAAAATGGGGCTAGGTTTTGGCCAACTGTGGTAGCTGAGGACTTTTCCTTCCAAACCACCAAAATTACTCTCATGTCAACAATCTTATCATCAATGACTAAGGTTTACAAATGTATTTGGACCATTATAAAGGGCAATATTTGTGTGGTTCAATTCAGATGGGATCAGGAAGGAGGCAGAGAACAGAAACTTAGGTAGGAAAATATGCAGGCAACACTAAGCTATTGCTGGCAGGTAATCCACTGAGTGATGGGAAGGTCAACTAGATGTCTCCTCAGCACAACAGATATTCTATGTTTACTTTGTGAGCAAAGAAGTTTGAAGACATCAGCTTGTCTTTCATCATGTTCCCTGGAAATTGCAAGAGAAGATACTAGGCAGTCATCCTGCTGGTACTGAATTGGCTTTCAGCAGACCCCTCAGGTACAATTCCCTGTCCCAGGCCCAACAGGAACTTCTTAAAGACACATCCCAACCAGTTCTCCTCTGCTTTCCCACACAGCTCATGTGAAGTTGATCTTGCCTTCTGGGTATAAGCAATGCAGTCTTCCTTTATCATTACTCTAATATTTTGTGAAGGAATATGCTTTACATCCTGCTTTCTTCAGAGCCTTCTCTTATTGATTCTCAAGAGTCTTTCTTCTCCTAACAAAATCCTCCTCTTGGAAATGAAAAGTTATATTTTCTAAACTACTGTCTTAGTTGACTTTAAGATTATATTGTGAAAGCATTTGTGCCATAACAATTCTAATTATTCCTGAAGCAAAAGTGATGGCTCTGGCTGGCTAGGGCAAGAGTCTCATAGAGAAAAGTGCCAAATAGAAAGGACAGTCATAATTTTATGAGATATATTGTCACTATAATGATGTATTCATCAAATGATGACCACGTGTCAGGCATTACACCAAGAAGGCTCACTTGCTTTATTATAGTTAAACACCATGAGATAAACTTATATACTGTGTACTATTACACTTCCCATATTACAGATTCATAAACTAAGCTAAGATTATATTCCCAAGTCAATGTAGCTTAAGTGCACATTTGACTTCTATTTAAAGTCATTTAATGGCACTTATGTTCCTAAAGGACAAGTGAAAACCCGTTAGTGTAAAATATATGCCTCTGCATACCTCCACCAAACTTTGTTTTTAGCATCATCTCTCCTGCCCCCATGTGTCCTTAACGAATTTTCACTCTTCCCTACCCAGATGCACACGCATTTTAACTTTTACACAACTATATAATTTTGCAAACTTTAACATCATTTTTTCATGCCTCACATATCTCTCTTCATTTCTTCTTCAACTTGAGAAATCTTAGATTTGTGTCCTAACCCAAAGAGCTCCACCTTGATAAGAAGCTCACCAATTCTCCAAGCCAGAGCTGGGCATCTCTTCTTTGTGTTCATCTGTGACCATTTGTATCTCCCAGCACTAACCACACTGCAATTCTCTATCTCTCAACGTGTCTACCATATTAGAAATTGGGTTACCTTAGGAAAAGCAAAAGTAGAAAGAAGGAAAGATACAAATATGAAGCACCAGATGTATGTCAAACACACACTGGTAGATATATTCTCATACCTTCTATCCCATATTTTCACCTGCTATTTCATCCTTTAAAGTCTTGAAATATATGTCATTGTAGATATTTAATTTTTCAAAGGTACTAACTAGTAAGGTAAATTCAGGATGTATACACATGTCTCACCCAAGGTGTATGTCCTTTCTTCTAGATTCTGTTTTCTTCCTCTTGGCACCTTCAGCCCATTAAAAAATGCTTGACATGTAATCAGTGCTCAATAAATATTTGGCAGATAGAAGAATAAATAACATTTATAAATTTAACTAGCACTTTCAAATAATCATCAAATTGTGCTTCACAATGAGTCTGAATAAATTATGTTTATCTAAAAACCAATGTCTAATGTGAGGATTAGCAAGTTACTTAAGAAGTTGTCTTTTAAAAATATATGATACCATTTTATTCACATAAAGGTAAACTATATGAGTCCACTAAAATGAGGACTGTTGATCTCTGAAGAGTCTAGAGATGAAATTATTGAAGTCTAGGAACACATTAAATTTTGTATGAATTTTTTTTTTTTTTTTTTTGAGATGGAGTTTTGCTCTTGTTGCCAAGGCTGGAGTGTGATGGTGCAATCTCGGCTCACTGCAACTTCTGCCTCCGAGATTCAAGCAATCCTCCTGCCTCAGCCTCCTGAGTAGCTTGTATTATAGGCACACACCATCATGCCTGGCTAATTTTTGTATTTTTAGTAGAGATGGGATCTCGTCATGTTGGCCAGGCTGGTTTCAAACTTCTGACCTCAGGTCATCCACCTACCTCAGCCTCCCAAAGTGCTGGGATTAAAGGCGTGAGCCACCACACCCGGCCAATTTTGTATGAATTTTATACATTCTTCCAGGGAAATAACCTACAGATGTTATAAAATAATAATTTCAAAAGTTCTTTGACCCCCAAATGATTAAGAAATACAGACCATATTATTTCTATATTCATTTCCCTCTACAATTATGTAATAATAAATGAATAAAGTACTCAGATATATATAGTGTTTATTTCTGAGCCCTAAAATTTCATGAAACTGTAATGGAAATTAAACCAGAGAAAATATAATTAAAACACTCAGTTTTAAATCTGATGTAATCTACCAGTTCCAGCAATTTCTATCTTTATTAAGATAGCCAAATTAGACTGAACAGTTAGTTTTTATCGGTTTGTTTGTATGTTTGTTTTTGAAGGGGATGTGTAAGTGGAGGGGCTGGTGGTTTTTTGTTTTTTGGTTTTTATTTTCAGTTTCTGAGATCTTCCTGTTTGTAACAAGCTGACAAGTATGAAAAAATAAATAAATACAAACTTTTGTTTCATCACTTTCAAGTCAATTTGAAGTGCTTATATTGTACATATTAATAAGCAGCTCCTGGCTTTGGTACTGCTTAGACCACATCTAGTAAGAATGTATACAAAAACTATGTATCTTGAAGAAAGCATACTTATAACAATGCCCTTGTCTACAAGTCCAGGTATGTCCAAACCAGTATTAGATATTTGAAAAATAAAGGAAAGCCATCTAAATTAGAAAGGAAGAAAAATTTTCTCTGTTTGTAGACAACATAATCTTATATAGCGAAAACCCTAAAGTTTCCATAAAAAATTCCTATAACTAATTAATAAACAAATTCAGTAAAGTTTCAGGATACAAAATCAACATCAAGTAACTATCTGAAAAAGAAATTATTACAAATCACATTTATAATAGCTTAAAAAATAAAATAACTGGGAATACATTTACTCAGTGAAATGAAAGATCTGTACACAGAAAACTATAAAACCTAATGAAAGAAATAGAAGACATAAATAAATGGAAAAATATCTTGTGTTCATGGATTGTAAAAATTCATACTGTTACAATGTCCATTCTACCCAAAGCAATCTACAGATTCAATACAATCCCTACTAAGATCCTAATGCCATCTTTTTCAGAAACTGAGAAAAGCAATCTTAAAATTTTTATGAAATCACAGAAGATCCCAAACAGCTAAAACAGTTTTGAGCAAAAAGAACAAAGCTTGAGTATCATACTACCTGATGTCAAAATAGTATTAAGTTTTCATATTCTGTTCATATGGTGATTAAATTTTAAAATAATCGCAAGCTATTTTAAATTGTTTGGGCAATCTTTTTTCACTTATGAAAGTATACTGCTCCCTACATACCATCTACAATCACTAAATAAAGTTGGAACATACAAAAACTAGTAAAACATATATTAAATCCAATAAAATAAAGAAATACATATTTAAGATAATAAAACAGTCATTTTTCCCCAGAAAAGTAAGCATGTCATTGAATTAGACTGATTTCTCTACGTTAGAAGAAAATTCATTCAAAGACAAAAAAAATGAAATATTAAGCATTAAAATTTGCCTTCCAGTAGCAACTATAAGTTAATTTTAAACAATCCCAGTAAAGTACAGCACACAAATAAATAAATAAATCATAAAAGAAAAGCTGCAGTTGAGATTTATTGAAAGTGAGTTCCAATATTGCATGAATTCCAAATTAGGCTTGACTTGGAATATTCTGTTAGTTCCTAAGGGAAATCAATACTCTTTAGAAAATAAAAAAATATGTGTTTTCCTTTCCCTTTTTAACAAAAAACTGAACTCAAATATTTCTTTTAGAAGCTTAGAAGGCACACAATCCCAGAGTGACTTTAGATAGCTGTACAGAAACAAAACACACAAAGAGGAAGGAAAGTTGCCAGAAGTTAACTATATTCCCACTTGAAAGGGAAAGAAAATGAACCTTTCCACTTTGTCTGGATTCCTGGAGGAGCTCAATTTGATCATTTTTCTCCTTCTCTAAAAGCAGAAGCATGTATTTTGAAGTTGTTATCATTGTCTATAAAAGGAACACATTTCAATCAACAGAATAAGAAAAGAACACCACTTTACCAGTGAAATACATTTTGATGATCTTGAATGGTTTTGCCTTCCAATTCAAAAAAGTTTCAAGAGGAAATAACTTATATTTGCAAATTTAACAAAATTGCAAATGTATTTACATTGAAAGGGTCAGGAATTTAATAGCATTTCCAAGTGAACTCTGGGCAGGTGCATACTTAATGTTACCCAAAGTTCCTGTCACACAATGGGCTGGTTTGCCACAACCATTACCATTTGCGTGGCATCAAGTTAAAATAAGCTTTCAAAAGCCTGGAAGGAGAACAAAGACCCAAGAGGATCAGCTTCCAGTCTCAGGGGTCTTCCTAGATAGAACAAGAGAAAAGGTTTTCCATCACTGTGTGGTTGGAGTCACAGGAAGATGGGTAGCAAGAGGAACTGGGTCAAGTATTACCTGTGTGTTGATGAGTTTCAAATCAGTTTTAACCACAGCTAACCAAGATGCTCAGCTTCTCTTTCCTTCCTTCTTCCCTAGTCCAATTCACTGTGTATTCATTTTGTGAGGGACTCTGTCAATTCTTAGAACCTTGCAATTGCAACGTCCTTTGCCATGTTTCCAAAAGCCGAATCTGAATCCCTATTCTCTGGGCTTTTCCCAAAATCTCAGAGCTGCTGTGCCCATGTAGATTACAGGATGAAAATGCTGCAAAATTACACCCACCAGGGCGTGAATGGTGGGAGCTGGCATACAAATATCCCACTTCTTCCACTTATCAGTTAGGATAATTCTGAGGTATGCATTTCCACTGTTTCCACAATTTCCCTGAAGGATCAATCTCTTTTTATGTACGGTAGTGACAGGCTAAAAGCACCCTTTCTTGGTTTCTTTCAATCACTTTATCATTTGCTTATATGTATTTCCTTCCTATCTCAAAAAAAAACCTATTTGAATATGAATCCTTATCTCAGGGTCTGCTTAAGGGAAAACCTAAACAAAGAGACTTTAATTCTAAACACATTTACTGAGGATCTACTATATTACTTTTGTTAAGGCATGTCCAAGTACAAGGACTGACTACTCAAATACATTCAAGGGTGGAACAGTGTATTAGTCTGTTCTCATACTGCTAATGAAGACATACCTGGAACTGGGTAATTTACGAAGGAAAGAGGTTTTATGGACCTACAGTTCCAGATGGCTGGGGAGGCCTCACAGTCACGGCAGAAGATGAAGGAAGGAGCAAAGGGTGGTGGCAGGCAAGAGAGAGCATGTGCAGGGGATCTCCCCTTTATAAAATCATCAGATCTTGTGAGACTTATTCATTACAACGAGAACAGCACGGGACAGACCTGCCTCTATGATTCAATCACCTCCCACTAGGTCCCTTCCGTGACACATGGGAATTATGGGAGCTACAATTCAAGATGAGATTTGGGTGGTGGACACAGCCAAACCCATATCATCAGGAAATAAATTTAAAAATGAGAACAGATGTACAACATATGCCCCATTTAAGACAGGGTTTCACTATTAGGCTTCTGTCCATTTTTGCAATGCTGGAATGCCAGCCATTGCATATCAGTGTTCTGGCTTTTCAAGGAAAGCTGAAAAAATCTTGAAATTTGAATATTGTCAGTAATTCAAAAAGGATTCATTTTGCATATAATATTCTTCATGACAGCAAAACTTGTCTATGTACTGGACTTGACCCACAGAATGCTAGTTTGCAAACTGTACACTGGAGATTAAAAATGAATAATTCCGGGTTCATATATATTAAAGAAATTCGCAATTTACAAAGGGTAACAGACATGCAAGTAACTAGCTATGAAGTTGATTAAAATGATAAAAGACATATATATAATCAAATAATAATTTCAGAAGAAGAAAGAGACACTCTGATTGGGAATGATGGAGAAGGAACATTGGAATATATATATATATATATATATATATATATTATCAAATAATAATTTCAGAAGAAGAAAGAGACACTCTGATTGAGAATGATGGAGAAGTAACATTGGAATGAGTTCAGAATAGTAGTATATACCAAGAACAGCTTATAAGTGACTAGTTTCAGAAAGTATTGTTACAGAAAGCTCAAAATTAGAAAGCAAGACTCCACTCATTATCCACAAGAGTGTCATGTCACAATCCTAATCTAATTTGGGGAATTATCACATGCTATATCTGCCCCTAGGAGGCTCACAATGCACATTGGTGTGTTTAAAAACTCTGATAAGTCCCATAGGAGAGAATCATGGTTGCCTCTGTTTCCCCTGGCATTTTTTCACTGCTTTCAGAATCTTTCAATTCTATGTGGACAGTGTCAAGAACATTCTGAGAAATGATGTTGTAGGGATATCTCTGACTTTAAGGTAAGCACTGAAAAAAGGAGGAATGTACTAATTTATCTACTCAAGTGTAACCTAAAATAATTAATATATTCAGAGAACTTTATAAACCCTCAAATCTAAAAAGTTGGTGTATTACTCATGGTTTTCCAAAAATAAATATAATAAATACATATGCACACACATACATGTGTATATATACATGTATATATGTATTTATATACATATTTTAATTTTATATATAATATAGTATTAATAGGATACACATTTTTATAAAACATATTACTAATAGAATATATATACATTTATATAAAGTATATTACTAATAGGATATATATATTAATAGGATACATATACACATATAATTGTGTGTATATATTTTATTGGCTATAATTTAATGTATACAATTATATTAGTTAATATTCTAATATGTATATAAAATATATGACTAATAGGATATATATATACACATATACATGTATAGATACATGTATACATATATACATACATATATACGGATATGGATATCCTTATAAATGTATGTTTGTTTATTGATTGATTGATTGATTGAGACAGAATATTGCTCTGTAGCCCAGGCTGGAGTGCAGTGGCGTGATCTCAGCTCACTGCAACCTCTGCCTCCTGGGTTCAAGCGATTCTCCTGCCTCAGCCTCCTGAGTAGCTAGGATTACAGATGTGTGCCACTACCCCGGTTAATTCTTGTATTTTTTTAGTAGAGACTGGGCTTCACCATGTTGGCCAGGCAGGTCTCAAACTCCCGACCTCAAGTGATTCACCTGCCTTGGCCTCCCAAAGTGCTAGGATTACAGGCATGAGCCACCATGTCTGGCCTATATATGTGTATGTATATGTATATGAAAATACTATGGATATATATATGCATATGTATATATCTGTATACATATATGTGTATAAAATATACAACAAATATATATTTATTCATATACATATTTTAATATGTATATAGAATATATAATAGGATATATATACATACAGTTGTATATTTGTATATACATGGTCTGAATGCCATTATGCTTAAAACTACCCTGATTTCTCTCACCCACACAGTGTTCCTCAACCTCCTGTAATAGCATATGAGAATGGGCTCTTGTGAGAATGGCCTCCTCCAATGGCATGTGAGAATGGCCTCTTGGGAATAAAACAGCCAATATCCCAAGACTCTGAAGCCCTTAGACATGGGTGGGCAGTAGAAAAGGAAAGTCCTCTCTCCAAAGGTCCCCTCTGAAAAAAACACTTCAATGCCAGCACTGACAAGAAGAGTTGGCTAGACTTTGAGACTTAAATCAATTCCCTAGCAAATTCATGTGCCAGAAGATATATCAATGCCTGAATAAAACCAAATTACTACTTGGGCCCTAAAGCAGAAATAATCTTCAGAAATCTTCTAATAATTAGGGTTCTAAAAATCAGCGACAGGTTTACCTATTACTATGAAAACAAGCATCCTCAAGTTTACAAGATCACAGCGAGCCTGGAGGAATATATTTGAAGGCAAGGAAGCCCCCATATCATGACCATAGTGACTCCTATTATTATAGACTTCCCATTTGACTGGACAGTTAACAGTTCAAAATTTCAGATATGATATTGTCCTATGAGGAAATCAGTCTCCTAAGTGAACATCTCTATTGGTCTTCTCCAGAAGCAAAGCAGACAATACTTTGTTCTCATGGGCATAATTTTATATTTTTGATTTTAGATATTTTATATAATACTTACATGTACATATTATGTATACAATTAATTTATGTATATATAATTATATTAATTTTACATATATCAATGATTCTGGGTTTTAGCATGTGCTTTTCGACTATCACGTTTCTTCCAGACATTCAATGTGACGGATCAGTTAAATGCTTGCTATCAGTTTTGCACAAAGCATTGCCTCTAAGAGCTCATTTCCCTGTTAAATAGGTTATCTAAAGTTAATCTATCTAAAGTCATGTTCATTTGATATTCCAGAGGTGAGTTTATATAAGGGGAACAATTTAAGAGCTGCTTGCTGAACCTAGTCTTATCCCTTTGTGTTCTGGAAGAAAAGGATCTCTATGAAAACCTCATTTTTCCATTCTACCACTTTTGACCATTGGTGATATCTAACAACCATCAATTAGGCAATACACAATAGTGTAGGAAAAGGAAAAATGATAAAGCAAAATAGATTTTAAATAACATACACTTGTGGGATAAAGACTATATTTCCAAAAATTTTTATGAGGCTATATGTGGACTAAGAAATTATTTATGAGGCTATAGCTGAACTAAGAAATTGTTTATGAGGCTATAGTTGGACTAAGAAAAAAAGAGAAGATGCAAATAAAATCAGAGACACATTTCCTTTTTCACTACATGTTTCATGTATGTTCCCCTTGCCTTCAGTCAATCTCAGCATCACTGGGGTCTTTGCCTACCAGGCCATTCCAAACCTTCATTTCTAAGTTAGTATTTTAAAAGGAGTAATTTCAAATCTGGCCCCGTTTGAATATCCTTCTCATCTGCTGAAGCACTTTGTCCTTCCAATTAGCCTTTTCCGTTTCTGCACCAACATTTTTCTCCTCCAAACCCACCACTCTGCCCAACTCATCTTTCAGTGAATTATTTCTATCAGTGTGGTAAATATCTTCAAATTTTTCCACCTTAAAAATATAAACCTACTTGTTTCCTCATACATTCCTGCCCACAGAACCTTTGCACATGTCCTATGTATCAAAACTCCTCAGAAAAACAGTCTACACTGGCTGTTTCATCCTCCCTTGTACCTGTTACCATAAGGCTTACACAACATAGTGATGGCTAACTTTATGTCTTAATTTGACTGGGCCAAGGGGTGCTCAGCTTAAACATTGCTTCTTGGTGTGTCTCTGAGGGTGTTTCCAGATGATACCAGCATTTGAATCCCTAAACCAGATTATTCTTCCCAATGTAAGTTGTCATTATGTAATCCATTGAAGGCATGATTGGAACAAAAAGGAAGTGGAAAGTGAAATTTGCCTGTTTTGCTTCCAGGCTGCCTGTTTGAGCTGAGATGTTGGTCTTCTCCTTCCCTTGGACTGGAATTTACACCATCATCTTCCCTGTTTCTTTGGCCTTTGGTCTCATACTTGAATTACCACCAGTTTTTCTGGGTATATATGTATGTGTGTATGTGTGTGTGTGTGTGTGTGTGTGCCCTATTGGTTTTATTTTTTTGGAGAACTCTGATGCAAATGTCATATAGATTGTTAGTGGTTAGACTAAATTAGAAGACAGTTCTTCAGATTCCCATTGCCTAGCACTCCTTCCATACCGGGTTACAAGCAAATGTCATTTTATATCTGATATTAAATTTTGTATTGTATTAACTGAAATATTGTTTTCATAGTCATTGGGAGTAGGGCGCATATGGAGGGTTTGAAATAGTAATTTCATTTTGACTCTAAAGCAAAACATGTGTGTTGATACACCCAGTATAGAGCACGTTCTACATTGTCTGTTTGTGATTTGTGGGTTCTGGGCATTTTATCACAGCTAAGAAGTGTTGGACTTGATGAGAGATCATGAGATCAAGAGAAGGGAAAAGAGGAGATGAACATTCTTCACTAAGGAGAGGCTCAGAGTAATTTCATTTTGCATAAAAGTGGAAAATATGTGCATAAAAGATATCACATTTTTCAAATATTATTTTTCATAGGTCTTTATGATTTGTAATGGGTATAACTGGATCTTTTTTTACTCTTTTTGTATATTATATGCAAAGTTTTCTAATGTTCATTCTTATGAAAATTTGATCAGAAATATTTCCTCCAAAATAAAGTAGGAATAAATATGACATATTGAAAGTTTTTCTTTCGTCTCTGAAAAGTAATCATCTATCATCATACTCGAGATCTGCTGCATAAGATCAGATGCATATTCACCTCCCATTAGAAGTAAAATGGCTCCACTGTAAACTTACATTAAAATAAAAAAAAAAAACTTTCATTGAGATGTAAATATTTTATGACCAATGGCATACAGATACAAAATCATGTAGTAAGTAATCCTGATGAATGGCATTCCAGTTCCATCCCGACTTTACAAATGATGGAATTAAGATTCAGAGAGTTTAAGGGATTTGCTCAATGCTATCCTGGTGCTTAGTGGCTTCCTGAATCCCAGTACTCCCATTTTTCCATCAAATCAGTATGAACCTAGACTCAATAAACGTTTTGTTTTAAAAAATTGAGGCACCTTCCTGAAAGAGGTGAGTTGGGCTTTGGAGCAAACAAATTTTTGTAGACTTGTCTTCTTGTTACTGAACATGGATGATGTCAGAAGTCATTTTCAATGACTTTAAAATCATAGGATGGAGAATGTTATTATTTAATCAACAAGTATTATTTAGCTGCCTCTGTTTACCAGGCACTGTTTAAAAGGCACTGGGATTCTGACAATAAATTTATAAAAAATCTTTAATGATTTACTCCCTCACTTTGTGGAGTTTGAAATTTGGAATAAAATATAAATAACATAGTATTCAAATCCAGAACTTTTAAAAGCTCTTCCGTGGTGTATACACAGTATTACTCTTCTTGCTGATTTTTTTTGTAAATAAAGAATCTATTTTAGCGAAAGTGATTAATGTTTATTTTGAAAATATTAGTCAATACAGAAAGATACAAAGTACAAAAAAAACACTAAAAATCCCAGTACCTGGAAATAATTAGACAATATTTGATTTTGTAATTCCATATGGATGTATAAACAGGAACTATTTTTATGAAAATTGAAATATATATTTTTTCTTTTTTACATTCTAAAAATTTTTTCTTGAAATATAGCATACACATAGAAAAGTGTGAAAATTCCAAAGGCACAGCTTGATGAATTTTTACAACTTAAACACACTCAACAACATCATCTAGCTCAAAAAATAGAATCCCAGAAATCGTATGACTTCTACCACATCAATTTTTCTTGCCAATTTCAAAACTTTAGATAACTGGAATTATACAATATGTACTTCTTTGTACCCAACTTGGTCTTCAACATTATGCATGTGAGATTCTTCATTGTTGTTGCACATAGAAAGATTTTGTTCATCATCATCACTGTATTCTGTTGAATGCATGCAGCACAATTTATTTGGGTGGTTTCCAGTTCAATGTTATCACAAATATAGCTGCCAAACACATTTTCCTTTATGTCTTTCAGTAGATCTGTATTTCTGTTGGAGATCTACATATGCATCTATATTCATATCCACATCCATATCTCTAGTTAGATATGCCTACATACAAGCATATATTTTCTGGGTCATAATGTATGATTATATTCAGCTTTAGAAGATAATACCAAACAGCTTTAGAAACAGTTCGTAAAATATCCATTACTACTGGCAATGTATAAGAGTTCTTGTTACTCTATATTCTGGTGAAACTTTATTATTGCTATTCTTTTAAGTTGTAGCCATTTGGATGAGTTTGTAGTGATATCACATTGTGGTTTTAATTTTATAATGACTGATTAAATTGAACACCTTTTACTAAATTTTTTGAAAGATATACTCTTTAGTAAACCACCTATTCCAATCCTTTATTTCTTTCTGTTGGATTGATCGTCTTTTTTCTTAAGATCATATTCAGTAGATGGATAAAATGAGATCTTTGTTCTACAAGGTTATGTGGAAAGAACTGCAAAAGACAAACATTGTAATCCCGATTTTAGTCTCTAGTTTCAACTCAATGAGGAAGCGATGCTAAATCTTAATTGACGTAGTTGAATTATCCCCATGTTAAGAGGATCTTAATTCTCCTCTTACTGTTCGAGTTGCTTTGATTGGCCTAGAAATCCCTGCTCTTTTTTTCTGGCTCTTTTGTTACTAGCGTGGGCAGGCACCTAGTTTGCCTAAGACACTCCCAGTTTACATCTATGGTCTTGCTTGGTGCAATTATTAATATCTCCCCCTTTTGCTATCAAGAATGTCCTGGTTTACGGATGATTGTATGATCATTCTACTAATTATGTATAGGTTTTTGTTTTGTCAGTTTATCCCAAGAATGATACCTGAGGCTGCCATTCTATCCTGAATACTAAGCATGTACTTATTCTTTTTTCTTTTTTTTTTTTTGAGACGGAGTCTCCTTCTGTCACCCAGGCTGGAGTGCAGTGGCACGATCTCAGCTCACTGCAATCTCCGCCTCTCGAGTTCAAGCGATTCTCCTGCCTCAGCCTCCTGAGTAGCTGGGACTACAGGCACGTGCCACCTCACCCCGCTAATTTTTTGTATTTTTAGTAGAGACGGGGTTTCACTGTGTTAGCTGGGCTGGTCTTGATCTCCTGACCTCATGATCTGTCCACCCCGGCCTCCCAAAGTGCTGGAATTACAGGCGTGAGCCACCGCGCCTGGCCGCATGTACTAATTCTGATCTCAAGAGTCAGGGTTCTCTCCAGTGCATCCACCCAAAATTGTTATGGCACAGATTTCCTCGTTTTACCACTGAAATAATCACATTATAGTCATCAAGTGTCTGGAAGCACTCCAATGAAGAAGGGAGAATGACCAGCTCTAATCTGAACATTGCTCAGTTTATCTTGTAGATGGACTCAGTTAATCTAACCCAAAATATATTATCCAGTAAACCTGTAACATTATTAAACCCTTACAAATAAAACACTTTTCTCTAACCTAGTAATATAAGTCCAATGTCTGATCAATGGTATCTATGTCTGTATGTTAACCCTTTTCAGATTTAGCTTGCATCAGGATACAAATTACACCGTCCAAAATCAGTTCTAAGAAAAACCTGTGACCAATAAAATATTGTTGGAACCAGACAGAGATGGGGCAGGGAGTAGGAAGAATGTTCCTTAGAGTTGAGGACAAGAGACATTGTTGTGACCTCTCCTGACTGGGATCGTCTTTAGTGTATATGGTGTACTTTATCCAGCCATCATTCATTCAACATACACTTTGGGGAAAAGAATTACCCTGTTCTATGTATTAGGCTAAGCACATGAGAATCAAAAGGATGAATAATACATGCACTTTATTTTCAGTGAGTTTACAATCCAAGAGGTCAAAAACAGATATTTTAAAATTATGGTAATACATTGTGATAAATGTTATAGTAGGTATAAGTGTCAGGTAACTTGGGGATGCAAAAAAGTGATGTGGTTTCTACTGGAATTAAACAGAAAAGCCTTTACATAATAGCTAGTTGTTGATTTGGGTCCTTAAAAATGAGTAGAAATGTAGTAGGCAGACAAAGCAAGAAATGAAACACCAAGCAGAAGATACAATATACTCAAGACAAACAAATATTCAATAGAATAACATGGTTTGGAAATATCAGTAGTCTACTATAGCCAGGATTAAGGGTGCATGTAGGAAATAATTTTAAAAAATTAGGCTGAAGAATTAAGAACCAAATCATTGACTGCCTAGTACATCATGCTAAATAAAGGCCTTCAAGCTCATACTGTAGTTATTAAGATTAGTTTAATCTGAGGAGTGCCATGAACAGATTATGTATGTCATAATACAATGCCATATTTTATTTTAAATTACATTCTTTCTCCTTACTGCTGTGAGACACATAATAAATTTGAGGCATCTCCCTGAAAGTCCTAGTGTAAGCATAAGAGAGAACAAAGACTGTGGTGAGTAAATAACCTTGCCCCGCCCTACACATTGGTGCAGATGTAATCAGTAACTTACTTCCATCTCAAACCTGTTCCATTTGAAAATGCTGGAGGGTGGTGAATGTGTAAGTGGGCGAGATAACTTACTCACTAGAAAATCCTGCCTAAAAAAAACAATCAAAGAATTTAAAAACCCAGGGCTAGAAGTCAGAAGATGAGAATTCCAGACACAGCTCTGAAGATGGCCCTTCTCCATTTACAAAATGAGGGAGGGGTCTACATGAGTTTAGTGTGTATTGCTGCTCTAAACAATTTTACCCTTCCTAGACCTTTTGGTGGGGGATGGATAAACAGTGGCAGCAGTTGGTAAGATCTCAGGGATTAGAAGTAAATGCCAGATACCAGACCAGGGACTGGGTCTTCAACGTGGTCTCGCGGATGCACAAACACAAAACAGTGGAGGAAATATTACCTTTCCCACAATTCATGAAGGTCTACTTTACATTGAGGCTGATACATTTAACCACTAACTCAGAGTATTAGATATTTTAAAATTAGAGATGTTGTAAAATTAGGGTCAGCTTTCAAACTGAAGGGAATCTGGGGACAGCACAAGCTTCTCAATGTGCAAGGCGGGAAGCTGAAAGGAGCAAAGGGATCTTCCTGTGGTCATACAGCTGGTAAGGCAAATGCAGGATCAGAACCCAGAGCTCCACACTCACAATCCAGGACATGTGCATACTCATCTCTAGGCTTCCTCATGAATACCAAAAAGTAACTATCCAGGATCTTAAGGTTGCCTTCTCTTCAGAATGTCATCTACAACAGCAGGCATGGAAGCATATTAAAAGCAGAGGCAAGGAAGTCTGTGAAAAGCTGAGATGATTAAAGAAAACCAACCTGTGTCAAGACATGCTATGCTGAGCCGTGTGCTTTAGGTGGACCAGTACTTGAATCTTCACAACAAGTCAGTGGCTAGAAGGGGGATGGAAGGAGCATTTCTATGCCTAATTTTCTCTCTTCACCCTCAGAATAACTATAGTTGTTAACAATTATTGAGCAATCACTACTTGTCAGGCAGTGCGGTGACATTTATAATCTCCAATCCTAAGGTACAGAAACAAGCAGGTAAAAGTTAAATAACTTCCTATACTAGTTTCCTTAGCATACTAAATTCCTAATTCCTTGACACAACTAAGTACCAAAAACTGAGTGGATTAAAGCAACAGACATTCATTGTTTCTCAATTCTGAAGGCTGAAAGCCTGAAACTCAGATGTCTGCAGGGCAGTACTCTTCCTTGTGTTTTCCAGCTGCTGATATGTGCCAGCAATACACATATCGGCTCCCTTGGCTTGCAGACGCTTCACTCCAGTCACATGGCTGCCTTCTTTGTGTGTGTCTTCACATCTTTTTCCTCTGTGCATATTTGTCTCTGTGTCCAAAATTCACCTTACTGATAGACACCTGTCATATTGGATTAGGGCTCACACTAATTACTTCATTTTAAATTAGTTACTTCTATAAAGACCCTAAACTCAAATGAAGTCACATTCTGCTAACTTCTTTGGTGAGAATCCTTTCGTGCAATCCTTACCACTAGCCTAAGTATATAAAGCTACTCAGTATAAGATCGATAATGTAATCCAATCTGTCTCACTTGGAAAGATGCTTTAAAACTATAACATTTGGAATGCTCATGATTATTTTAACAAGTTACACTAGAAATCTGGAAGGGAAGGGGGAGGACTGATTCTTTGGTCCACAGTTCTCACTCATTCCAGATTTCCTCGATCCCAAAGACTTTTTCTTACATTTCTCATGTTTCCTAACTAAAGGGAGATGCAAAATGCTGTTTCTCAATATCTAGGTTTTTTTTAAATTATACTTTAAGTTCTAGGGTACATGTGCACAACGTGCAGATTTGTTACATATGTATACATGTGCCATGTTGGTGTGCTGCACCCAATAACTCGTCATTTACATTAGGTGTATCTCCTAATGCTATCCCTCCCCCGCCCCCCCACCCCATGACAGGCCCCGGTGTGTGATGTTCCCCTTCCTGTGTCCAAGTGTTCTCATTATTCAGTTCCCACCTATGAGTGAGAACATGCGGTGTTTGGTTTTCCGTCCTTGTGATAGTTTGCTGAGAATGATGGTACCTGGCTTCATCCATGTCCCTACAAAAGACATGAAATCACCCTTTTTTATGGCTGCATAGTATTCCATGGTGTATATGTGCCACATTTTCTTTATTCAGTCTATCATTGTTGGACATTTGGGTTGGTTCCAAGTCTTTGCTATTGTGAGTAGTGCCACAATGAACATACATGTGCATGTGTCTTTATAGCAGCATGATTTATAATCCTTTGGAGATATACCCAGCAATGGGATGGCTGGGTCAAATGGTATTTCTAGTTCTAGATCCTTGAGGAATCGCCACACTGTCTTCCACAATGGTTGAACTAGTTTACAGTCCCACCAACAGTGTAAAAGTGTTCCTATTTCTCCACATCCTCTCCAGCACCTGTTGTTTCCTGACTTTTTAATGATGACCATTCTAACTGGCGTGACATGGTATCTCATTGTGGTTTTGATTTGCATTTCTCTGATGGCCAGTGATGATGAGCATTTTTTCATGTGTCTGTTGGCTGCATAAATATCTTCTTTTGAGAAGTATCTGTTCATATCCTTTGCCCACTTTTTGATGGGGTTGTTTGTTTTTTTCTTGTAAATTTGTTTAAGTTCTTTGTAGATTCTGGATATTAGCCCTTTGTCAGATTAGTAGATTGCAAAAACTTTCTCCCATTCTGTAGGTTGCCTGTTCACTCTGATGGTAGTTTCTTTTGCTGTGCAGAAGCTCTTTAGTTTAATTAGATCCCGTTTGTCAATTTTGGCTTTGTTGCCATTGCTTTTGCTGTATTAGACATGAAGTCCTTGCCCATGCCTATGTCCTGAATGGTATTGCCTAGGTTTTCTTCTAGGGTTTTTATGGTTTTAGGTCTAACGTTTAGTCTTTAATCCATCTTGAATTAATTTTTGTATAAGGTGTAAGGAAGGGATCCAGTTTCAGCTTTCTACATATGGCTAGCCAGTTTTCCCAGCACCATTTATTAAATAGGGAATCCTTTCCCCATTTCTTGTTTTTGTCAGGTTTGTCAAAGATCAGATGGTTGTAGATGTGTGGTATTATTTCTGAAGGCTCTGTTCTGTTCCATTGGTCTATATCTCTGTTATGGTGTCAGTACCATGCTGTTCTGGTTACTGTAGCCTTGTAGTATAGTTTGAAGTCAGGTAGTGTGATATATCCAGTTTTATTCTTTTGGCTTAGTATTGTCTTGGCAATGCAGGCTCTGTTTTGGTGCCATATGAACTTTAAAGTAGTTTTTCCAATTCTATGAAGAAAGTCATTGGTAGCTTGATGGGGATGGCATTGAATCTATAAATTGTCTTGGGCAGTATAGCCATTTTCACGATATTGATTCTTCGTATCCATAAGCATGGAATGTTCTTCCATTTGTTTGTGTCCTCTTTTATTTTGTTGAGCAGTGGTTTGTAGTTCTTCTTGAAGGGGTCTTCACATCCCTTGTAAGTTGGATTTCCAGGTATTTCATTCTCTTTGAAGCAATTGTGAATGGGAGTTCACCCATGATTTGGCTCTCTGTTTGTCTGTTATTGATGTATAAGAATGCTTGTGATTTTTGCACATTGATTTTGTATCCTGAGATTTTGCTGAAGTTGCTTATCAGCTTAAGGAGATTTTGGGCTGAGATGATGGGGTTTTCTAAATATACAATCATGTCATCTGCAAAGAGGGACAATTTGATTTCCTCTTTTCCTAATTGAATACCCTTATTTCTTTCTCCTGCCTGATTGCCCTGGCCAGAACGTCCAATAGTATGTTGAATAGGAGTGGTGACAGAGGACATCTCTGTCTTGTGCCAGTTTTCAAAGGGAATGCTTCCAGGTTTTGCCCATTCAGTATGATATTGGCTGTGGATTTGTCATAGATAGCTCTTATTATTTTGAGATACGTCCCATCAATACCTAATTTATTGAGAGGTTTTAGCATGAAGGACTGTTGAATTTTGTCAAAGGCCTTTTCTGCATCTATTGAGATAACCATGTGGTTTTTGTCTTTGGTTCTGTTTATATGCTGGATTACGTTTATTGATTTTTGTAAGTTGAACCAGCCTTGCATCCCAGGGATGAAGCCCACTTGATCATGGTGGGTAAGCTTCCTGATGTGCTGCTGGATTTGGTTTGCCAGTATTTTATTGAGGATTTTTGCATCAATGTTCGTCAGGGATATTGGTCTAAAATTCTCTTTTTTTGTTGCGTCTCTGCCAGGCTTTGGTATCAGGATGATGCTGGCCTCATAAAATGAGTTAGGCAGGATTCCCTCTTTTTCTATTGATCGGAATAGTTTCAGAAGGAATGGTACCAGCTCCTCATTGTACCTCTGGTAGCATTTGGCTGTGAATCCGTCTGGTCCTGGGCTTTTTTTTGTTGGTAGGCAATTAATTATTGCCTCAATTTCAGAGCCTGTTATTGGTCTATTCAGGTATTGAACTTCTTCCTGGTTTAGTCTTGGGAGGGTGTATGTGCCCAGGAATTGATCCATTTCTTCTAGATTTTCTAGTTATTTGCATACAGGTTTTTATAGTAGTCTCTGATGGTAGTTTGTATTTCTGTGGGATCGGTGGTGATATTCCCTTTATCATTTTTTATTGCATCTATTTGATTCTTCTCTCTTTTTTTCTTTATTAGTCTTGCTAGCAGTCTATCAATTTTGTTGATCTTTTCAAAAATCCAACTCCTGGATTCAGTGATTTTTTGAAGGGTTTTTTGTGTCTCTATCTCCTTCAGTTCTGCTCTGATCTTAGTTATTTCTTGCCTTCTGCTAGCTTTTGAATGTGTTTGCTCTTGCTTCTGTAGTTCTTTTAATTGTGATGTTATGGTGTCAATTTTAGATCTTTCCTGCTTTCTCTTGTGGGCATTTAGTGCTATAAATTTCCCTCTACACACTGCTTTAAATGTGTCCCAGAGATTCTGGTATGTTGTGTCTTTGTTCTCATTGGGTTCAAAGAACATCTTTATTTCTGCATTCATTTCGTTACGTACCCAGTAGTCATTCAGGAGCAGGTTGTTCAGTTTCCATGTAGTTAAGCGGTTTTGAGTGAGTTTGTTAATCCTGAGTTCTAGTTTGATTGCACTGTGGTCTGGGAGTTTGTTATAATTTCTGTTCTTTTACATTTGCTGAGGAGTGCTTTACTTCCAACTATGTGGTCAGTTTTGGAATAAGTGTGATATGGTGCTGAGAAGAATGTATATTCTGTTGATTTGTGGTGGAGAGTTCTGTAGATGTCTATTAGGTCCACTTGGTGCAGAGCTGAGTTCAATTCCTGGATATCCTTGTTAACTTTCTGTCTCGTTGATCTGTCTAATGTTGACAGTAGAGTTTTAAAGTCTCCTGTTATTATTGTGTGGGAGTCTAAATCTCTTTGTAAGTCTCTAAGGACTTGCTTTATGAATCTGGGTGCTCCTGTATTGGGTGCATATATATTTAGGATAGTTAGCCCTTCTTATTGAATTGATACCTTTTCCATTATGTAATGGCCTTGTCTCTTTTGATCTTTGTTGATTGAAAGTCTGTTTTATCCAGGACTAGGATTGCAACCCCTTTTTTTGTTTTCCATTTGCTTGGTAGATCTTCCTCCATCCCTTTATTTTGAGCCTATGTGTGTCTCTGCACATGAGATGGGTCTCCTGAATACAGCACACTGATGGGCCTTGACTCTTTATCCAATTTGCCAGTCTGTGTCTTTTAATTGGAGCATCTAGCCCATTTACATTTAAAGTTAATATTGTTATGTGTGAATTTGATCCTGTCATTATGATGTTAGCTGGTTATTTTGCTCATTAGTTGACGCAGTTTCTTCCTAGCCTCGATGGTCTTTACAATTTGGCGTGTTTTTGCAGTGGCTCATACCGGTTGTTCCTTTCCATGTTTAGTGCTTCCTTCAGTAGCTCTTGTAGGGCAGGCCTGGTGGTGACAAAATCTCTCAGCATTTGCTTGTCTGTAAAGGATTTTATTTCTCCTTCACTTATGAAGCTTAGTTTGGCTGGATATGAAATTCTGGGTTGAAAATTCTTTTCTTTAAGAATGTTGAATATTGGCCCCCACTCTCTTCTGGCTTGTAGAATTTCTGCCAAGAGATCTGCTGTTAGTCTGATGGGCTTCCCTTTGTGGGTAACCCGACCTTTCTCTCTGGCTGCCCTTAACATTTTTTCCTGCATTTCAACTTTGGTGAATCTGACAATTATGTGTCTTGGTTCCAAGATGGCCAAATAGGAACAGCTGCAGTCTACAGCTTCCAGCATGAGCGACGCAGAAGATAGTTGATTTCTGCATTTCCAACTGAGGTACTGGGTGCATCTCACTGGGGCTTGTTGGACAGTGGGTGTAGGACAGTGGGTGCAGCCCACTGAGCATGAGCCAAAGCAGGGTGAGGCATCACCCCACCTAGGAAGTGCAAGGGGTCAGGGAATTCCATTTCCTAGCCAAGGGAAGCTGTGACAGATGGCACCTGGAAAATCGGGTCACTCCCACTCTAATACTGGGCTTTTCCAATGGTCTTAGCAAGCAGCACACCAGGAGATTATATCCCGTGCATGGCTTGGAGGGTCCCATGCCCACAGAGTCTCACTCATTGCTAGCACAGCAGTCTGAGATGAAACTGCAAGGTGTCAGTGAGGCTAGGGGACTGGCGCCCACCATTGCTGAGGCTTGAGTAGGCAAACAAAGCAGCCGGGAAGCTTGAACTTGGTGGAGCCCACTGCAGCTCAAGGAGGCCTGCCTGCCTCTGTAGATTCCACCTCTTGGGGCAGGACATTGCCAAACAAAAGGCAGCAGAAACCTCTGCAGACTTAAGTGTCCCTGTCTGACAGCTTTGAAGAGAGTAGTGGTTCTCCCAGCATGGAGTTTGAGATCTGAGAATGGTCAAACTGCCTCCTCAAGTGGGTCCCTGACCCCTGTGTAGCCTAACTGGGAGGCACCCCCCAGTAGGGGCAGACTGACACCTCACACGGCCGGGTACCTTTCTGAGATGAAGCTTCCAGAGGAACAATCAGGCAGCAACATTTGCTGTTCAGCAATATTCGCTGTTCTGCAGTCTCCACTGCTGATACCCAGGCAAACAGGGTCTGGAGTGGACCTCCCGCAAACTCCAACAGACCTGCTGCTGAGGGTCCTGACTGTTAGAAGGAAAACTAACAAACAGAAAGGACATCCACACCAAAACCCCATCTGTACGTCACCATCATCAAAGACCAAAGGTAGATAAAACCACAAAGATAGGGAAAAAACAGAGCAGAAAACCTGAAAATTCTAAAATTCAGAGTGCCTCTCCCCCTCCAAAGGAACACAGCTCCTCACCAGCAACAGAACGAAGCTGGATGGAGAATGACTTTGACGAGTTGAGAGAAGAAGGCTTCAGGCGATCAAACTTCTCCTAGCTAAAGGAGGAAGTTTAAACCCATCACAAAGAAGCTAAAAATCTTGAAAAAAGATTAGATGAATGCCTAAATAGAATAACCAGTGTAGAGAAGTCCTTAAATGACCTGATGGAGCTGAAAACCATGGCATGAGAACTACATGACAAATGCACAAGCTTCAGTAGCCGATTTGATCAACTGGAAGAAAGGGTATCAGTGATTGAAGATCAAATGAATGAAACGAAGCGAGAAGAGAAGTTCAGAGAAAAAAGAGTAAAAGGAAATGAACAAAGCCTCCAAGAAATATGGGACTATGGGAAAAGACCAAATCTACGTCTGATTGGTGTACCTGAAAATGACAGGGAGAATGGAACCAAGTTGGAAAACACTCTGCAGGATATTATCCAGGAGAACTTCCCTAACCTAGCAAAGCAGGCCAACATTCAAATTCAGGAAATACAGAGAATGCCACAAAGATACTCCTCAAGAAGAGCAACTCCATATCTATGTTTTTGAATGGTGTCCTGAGTTCCTTGAAAGAAATCTCTATTATAGGTTTCCTATAAATCTAATGTATTGATAAAAATATAAATAGAGGCTGGCCAAGGTCCAAGCCAGACCCAAACTAAGTGATGAGTGACACTAATGACTGTCCTCAGAGAAAAAGCATACCAGGGAGATAGTATAGTATAGTAGTTATCATAGACCTTCAGGATAGGATTGCCTGGGTTTATATCCCTACTAGTTTAGTTACAGGATATGTAAGTTTAGGCAATTAATTAACCTATGTGCCTCAGTTTTCTCATATGTAAAATATCAGTAACAATAGTACCCAATTTAGAGAACTTGAAAGGATTAAAAAGGTAATTCATTAAAAAGGATTCACTTCCTAGTGCATTATAATGGCTGAATAATTTTTAACGCTTATTATTATTCTGAGGGTGAGGAGATGAAACTTGAAATGGTTATGGCTTTTCTCTCTCATTCTTTTTCTAGCTACCTCCATCCTTACAAAACACAAGTCACATGCACAGGCACACACACAGAAACACGCACAGAGTATTTGCTGGCCTTATTGGTGAGATTTCTCTTCCCTACCATCTTCATCACCATCTCCAACTCTATTAGTAATTTGGGCTGGAATTAGTAATTTAACTATTGTAGAAGGAAATAAACGAGTAGTATGAAAACTCATGAGACCTCCTCGGTCACATCAAGTTCTCCATTAACATTTTGACCAGAAAGTGCCATTCTAAGATGTGGGATGCGTGCCTAGTTTTTTAAAAAACTGATACTTTTATTTCCTCTGTGACCATTATTTCTTGTATAGAATACATTCTTGCTCTAGCCACAAGGATCTTCTTTGTGCCTTGACGTGTCTTTGTTATTACCATTCATTGTAGCAACTCATTATTTGCAGGGTATTGGTCTATATTTTTCCAGCTAAAAATTAAAACTCCTGTGTTTCTAAAGCCCTCTAAGCTAAAACTAGATGCATTTTAAGGAACAAATCAGCTTCATATCTGATGTATAGGCCATACAAAGGTTCACTAAACCACACAATGTTATGACCAGAGACATTCAAACTGCAAACTAAAAAAAGAATTTGGATTTTTCATGCTGTAAATAGCTTTTTCCACCATGTCAGAACAAAATTCCATATTGTAATAAGACTCTTACCTCTCTTGATGTCTACATTTTCTATTTGACAACATAATGGTGCAATTAGAATTTTGCAATCAGTTTCTTCTTTTGATAACAAAACCTAACCTGAGAAATTTTTTAACATCCACTTTGATAAAAGAAAAACTTCAGCCGAGTTAAATTTAAAGGAGTTTAATTGAGCAATGAATGATTAGGGAATCCGGCAGCCCCCAGAATCAGAGACTCCAGCACAGCCATTTGGATCAAAGAAGATTTATAGACAAAAAAGGGAAATTGACATACAGAAATGGGAAGTGAGTTATAGAATGGCTGGATTGGTTACCGCTCAGCATATGCCTTATTTGAACACAGTTTGAACACTCAGCAGTGTATGAATGGTTGAAGTATGGCCACTGGGATTTCTCAAAACTTAGCTATTGTTACAGGCACGTACTGCTACGTTAGGTTTTCCATCTCATCTACTATTAAGCTAGGTTACAGTTCATCCACAAGGACTCAAATATAGAAGTACAGAGTCCTTCTCAGGCCATGTTTAGTTTGCTTTAACAACTTGTTAAATAAGAAAATGTTTGTGCCACTGCTAATACTACATTACCTGGATAAAATACTCTGGAAAAGTTGAGAATCATAAGTACTAATAAGAAAAAATAATAAGAAATAAAAATGAGAAAATAGGCCACATGTTTTCAACAGGTGTCACCTAAATCCCGAGGATCATTGATTTATTCAATTGCTTTACTTTAAGCCTAGGTTCATGGCCCAAAACCATTATGAAACCTGGAATTGACATATTACTATTAATTTTACTTTGTATTTTGTTTCTATTACTTGTTTAATTCTTGAAGAATACAGCTTCTAACAAAATAGTACTGGCCCAGCACATTCTGATGATAGCACAAGACCATGGAATGGCCAAAATGGAACTTAATAGTAGACTCAGGGCAGACTAAGCCTGAAAGCCACCCGCTTCAAACCTCCCCTGTTGCTCAAATGTGACTAAACAGTTTGACACTGACTCCTAGTTCCCAATCACTCTCCCAAATTGAGACTCGGTCAACAATTGGAGCACGTTCATCCTGGCACTGAGGAACATCAAAACCCAACTAGAAGATGACTGCTCAGTGATGCTTTTGAAGAAAGATCTTGATCAAAAAGGGGAAATGGGCTGGACGCGATGACGCATGGCTCCAATCCCGGGACTTTGGGAGGCCGAAGCGGGTGGATCACTTGAGGGCAGGAGTTTGAGACCAGCCCGGCCAACATGGTGAAACCAAGTCTCTACAAAAAAATACAAAAATTAGCCGGGTGTGGTGGTGCATGCCTGTAGTCCCAGCTACTTGGGAGGCTGAGGCAGGAGAATCACTTGAACCCAGGAAGTAGAGGTTGCAGTCAGCAGAGATCGTGCCACTACACTCCAGCCTGGATGACAGTGTGAGACTGTCTCAAAAAAAAGGGGAGAGGGAGATGTAAAAATTTTCAGGATGAAAATAAAGCCACTAATATTAAAAAAGAAAAAACCCTGACAAATAGAATAGAGCCAGAAAATGCCATGAAGAGAGGGTTCTCAGGCTTGTATAACAAAAATATCACAAACGACTCTGCAAATGCCACAACCTTGCACAAAGGCCATCACAACCTTACACAAAAAATACTTCTGCAAAGGCATTTGCCAGCAACTGCCTGTCCAACCTCGAACTGGCATCACCCTTACTATTGATCTTTCTAGCCAAGGATATTTCTTTCAAAACAATTATATAATCCTCCTCATTTTTTTTCCTTTAAAAACATTTGTCCTTTTCCTTCCTGAATAAAAACATGGTTTACTAAATCTGTTCCCTTGTTCTTTTAGAGAGTTTTTTTCTAGTTGCTATTTAGGTTGACAGATAAACATTACTTGTTTTATTTATAGCTGAGGAAATAAGACTCAGAGAATATATGTAACTTGCACCAAATCACACTGCAGGTAGGAAGTGGAGTAAGAAATGAAAGTGAAATCCATACAAAACCACAGTTCATATTCTTGGCACCATTCCACAGTGTTTCAACTGGACCATTAAATAATACATGAACACAAAATGCTCAGGCCTTAGAGAGAGTGTTACCATCATGGAAGCAGTAAGACTCATTAAAAAATTAGCGATTTGGCAGTTGGACTGCCTGGGTTCTAGTCACCAGCTAATTTTATGACTTAGGGTAACATATTTAGCCAAGTCTCATTTACATAAAATGAAGGTGATGATACCTGCCTTACAGGGTAAACATGAAGACTAAATGATAAATATGATGCATAGGGTTATGTGATGTTGTATATATATCTGTCTTTAATTTAAAACATAAATAGTAGATATAATCTCATTAGCTCTACAAATAAGAAAAACTATTTACTAAACATTTAGAGAAAATTCATATTTTAATAACACAGCTTGCTAGACTACTCTAACTTCTTACAGAATGAAAATGGGTATGTCACCTTTCACGCTTTTATACTAAAAGAACTTAACGAAACTAAAGAAAAAAAAGCTTGAGAATACTCTTTGTCTTTAATATAAAACCAGATATTAAAAATAACATTTATACCTTTAGCATCCTTTTGAAAAAATTGCAATCTAAATGTGTGAATGTAGCTGACAACAAAAAGTTGGCACTGGTGTTTCCATAAGTGGGTTATCTGAAACTGCCTGGAGATAAGAGATAAAAAGTCCATGTGTTTTACTGAGATAAATACAGAAGGTTTCCTAATTTACTGAACACAGATTTGAGATTATCAGGGTTCATGCTCTGCCATGAGAAAAAAAAAATGGTGCATGTGTTTTCTGTAAGGTTTTAATAGATGATTAGATTATCAAGCACATCATTTTCCACTCAGCAACTGGGTCCTGAACAGAATTTACTGAAAAGAGTAGTCTGTGTTTCAGTGGGAAAATATAATTTCAATGCTATGGTTTGAATAAGTACCTTTCACAATTCGGGTGTTTTCAAAGTGATTGTATTTAGAGGTGTGGTCTTTGGGAGGTGATTGGGTCATGAGGTCTCTGCCATCATGAAAGGGATTAGGTGCCCCTACAACAAAAGCTGGGCAGACAGAGTTCACCCCTTTTTATCCTTCTGCCTCCCACCACACAAGGACCCAGCTTTCCTCCCGGCAGGAGGATGCTGCATCAAGGCATCACCTTGAAAGCGAAGAGCAGCCTTCGCCACATGCTGGCCCCTTGATCTCGGACTTCCCAGCATACAAAACTGTGAGAAATAAATTTCTTTTCTTTATACATTTCTCACTCTGTGTTATTTGGTTATAGTAGTGCAAAGTAAGGCATCCATCATGTTAATAGGATGGAAAAGGTAGAGTAAATGTTACAGGCATTTTGGAATTATTTTTCTGGAGTAACCACTTGAACTACTGAGAGAAGATTGACAGAAAGGCTACACCAATGTTCCTTTTGTGTCAATGATCAAAAGAGATTGATATTCCATTGAACACATTATTTTATCCAAGAAGGTTAAAACTAAACCCAAAGGACTGCTATTTTTGACTAAGGAGAAATTCTTTCAGAAGGCAATTGATTCAATGTATATGGCCCTCTGAGCATATGGCACTTCCATATAACCCCTTCCTCAGAATATTTTTACCTGAACTGGTTCTATATGATTTTGTATCTATTTTCATTGTTTGAAATGATGACTCCATTCCAGTTGAAGTATGGCATATCTATTGTGTAGAAAGACAAGGAAGAAAATAATGTCTATAGCTACTAAAGCATTACTGATATTTCCTGAGAATGCAATACTTACAAAGGTTGAGAAATTCACAGGTTATAAACTACATACACTTTTATAGACCCATTGAAGAAAAGCTCAATTAATTGTAAACCTTGTTGCAACATTTCTTTGGGGGAAATGGATAGATTATGTTCATTTTGCTAAACTCATTCTGCTTAAAACATTATTTTGGGGAAATATCTGTGTTCTTGGTTTCACAAATGTGAACTCATTAGCCAAGTTCAGACATAGACTCACACATTTACCTTTATGCAATTTCTTTTTCCCCTAATTATGAGATTTTCTCTTGCTCTAGTAATTTTGACTGTGTGGAGAAAGTATGCTGGAAAATAAACTCTGAATTGAAAGTACAGGAACCTGATTTGAAGCAGTCATACTAATTCTCCTTTCTACCTCTTGTTTACTTTATCCAGATATCAAAACTTTTAAAGTCAGCTTTTACAAAATGAATGGTACAGTCTAAATTCTATGTTCCAGATCCCAGGGATATAGAATAATGTAAGGAGAGCAAGAGAAAGGGTCAATAGTTTTGGTTTTCAGTTGGAATATGTAGAGGGAGAGAATCATTTCCAAATGGTCTCAGTCTACAGGTCAAAACTGGAAAATTTTTCACGTCATTTCCCACTCCAAAATTCCATGAAATATATATCTATTGCATTGAAGAAGAAGTTGATCCCAGTTGATCTTTGAGTTAAGCTTTTCTTGTAAATGCTATATCTTAAATATGTTCTAAATGCACTTTATTTATTTACTTACTTATTAGAGATAGGCTCTTGCTGTGCCGCCCAGGCTGGAATGCAGCAGCATAATCATAGCTCACTGCAGCCCGGAAGCTCTGGACTCAAGTGATCCTCCCACCTCAGCCTCTTGAGTCACTGGGATTACTGGTGTGAGCCACTGCACCGAGCCACTTCACATTTTTGTGTTCAGAATCTTACCATAGATGACTGGAGGCAGAGTAGTCCCCACAATACAGACTACATCGTCTTAGGTGGCTACTTAAACACTGGTTTGTTGTCTCCAAGAGATGAAGGTCATTTAAATTTGAATATCAATTCTCATGCCATTTCAGATTTTTAGAATCCATCAGAAAGCAAATAATTATTTGCACAGACACTTATCAGACAGTCAGTCTTATTCATTGTCCCCTCACAAAAATATAGCCCATAATAAACAGACAATGTTGTTTATTTCCTCAGCCTGGTTTGCACAAGTCTTATAGTCCTTTAAGCAATCTTGATCCATATAATCACTGTGTGACTGCTATTCTCAGGAACACTCCTGAAATTCTGGTTTTCATCCAGCACAAACATCCAGTAAAAGCTTAGTGGAAAGTTCATATATCAACTATGATCTGTAAAATTTTCCTGGTACAAAATACAGCAGGTATGGAGGTGTGTTCTCAGAACTCTCTTCAAGAGAGCCTACTTTGAGTAGCATAGTTGAATGACAGCTTCCATGTATGGGCACTTTGATCATTCACTTCAAGGCCTCACATCCTCCTGGCTGCTCCCAGCTAATGACTGAGTATAGCAGGCTGCTAGTGCTGCCCCATTTGTTTCTGAAGTGGAAACATTTGTAACTTTGACTCAAAGACTCCAAATTAGACTTGTGGAGCCTTTCTCAGAACTTTATTGCAATCGGAGGCTCCTCTTACCCAATCTTACTTTCTTCCTCTCTCGTTTCTCTGGTGTGAGAACAGCATGGCAGTCCAAAGGCTCTACCTTCTAACTCTTTCTCCTTCTCCTGTTGTCATTCGCAGGAGTTGTCTAAATCTCGATCACTATTTACTGTTATTATTTGGTGATAAATCTCTTTTAATAAATCTCTCGCACACTTAATATGTCTTGGCATCTACATCTCAGAGGGCCCAAGCCAACACAGAAAGTGAGCATTGAGAGCTTTTATTCTATTCAGGAGAATTTCTTCGGTTCGACAATATTACATGACTAGTTGTAAATATAAAATACTCAAAAAATACGTGGTCTGAAGTTCAAGTGTCTTTCCTCAAGGAAAGCATTAAGAGTAAAGACATTCATTTATTCCCTCATGTATTAATCCATTCATTCAATCAATAAAATGGTCATTAAAACAGATGTGGCTCACACACAGCAGACGAAGTGCTGTACCAGAATAAGATGGTCTTAGTCATCATAAAGCTTACAGTCTAATGTAGCAAGTCTTAAATATTTTTTGTTGTTGTTTAGGGGCCTCTTGGGGTTTGATAAACGCTATGGACATGGTCCCCAGAAAATTCATATGCACATATGCATATAAGAACATTCTGAAGCTGGGCACAGTGGCTCATGCTTATAATCCCAGCACTTTGGGAGGCTGAGGCAGGAGGATCACTTGAAGCCAGGAGTTCAATACCAGCCTGGGCAACAAAGCAAGAGCACATTTGTACAAATCGTGTTTTAAAAAACAAGCCTGGTATAGCAGTGTGCACCTGTAGTCCCAGCTACTTAGGAGGCTGATGAGAGAGGATCACTTGAGCCAAGGACGTTGATGCTGCAGCGAGCTATGATCGTGGGAGTGCACTCCAGCCTGGGTGACACAGCGAGATCCTGTCTCAAGAAAAGAACATTCTGCGTAAATACTGGAGATTTCATGAACATAATTCTAACAGCTTGAGTTCCTCCTTTGTCCTGGCTCATGTGGGAATCTGGCTCTAGTAACTGCAATCCTGCCATGTTCTTCCATACTCAGGTTCCTACTTTCGGCACCTTTACTATAATCCAGATTCTCTCAATCGAGCATAGTCTTTTCTTCCTTCCTATAGAGACTGGAAAACAATCTCTGGAATAGAGTCTGGCTTCTCCAGAATTGTTAGTTTGCTTTCTGGGATTTCTCTTCATGACCGAAAGGCATCATTTTTCAACTGTGTAATTCCAGCAGCCTCCTAGCCCTTCTCTCCAATATCTCCTTATTCTGTTCTGTCATATTCTAAAACCAGATTCTCTTAATATTCATGAAGCACAGATTTGCAGATGACCCTTCTGTTATCAATCAGATTCTCCTGTCCTCTTGCCCATGGAAGAAGGCACATTGAACTCAATCATTATAAACATCCTCTACATAAACTCCATGTTCCAGAGAAAGTCTAGTCTTTGCTTGTCATTGAAGACAATGCTCATTTTCCTGCCTCAGTGGTTTCTGTCAACTAAAATGCTTTCTATCCCCTTTTCTGATTATCTCTGTCCAGGTGTTAAGGCCTGAATAAAATGCCCACTCTTCCATGGTATACAAGCAAGGGAAGTAATATGAGTTGAAATAAAAGTGGTTAAGAGGGAATGGAAAGTAAAGAATTCATGTAAGACCTATTTTAAAGGTAGAAGTAAATGTACTTAGTTTCTGATTTTAAATATGAGGATAATATTAAATATTAATAAAAACTACCAATTTGTAGCACTTACCCTGTATCTACCTCTACAAATTGTGTTCTACATGAATTAGTTATTTTATATAAATATCCTGGACAGGAAGTTGCTATTATTATCCTAGTATATAGATGAGAAAATAGATCCTTACAGATGTTAGTAAACTATTTAAGGTTTCACAGCTTCCAGAGTAAAGTTGACATTTTAATTCAGGTATGTCTAACCTATATTATGGTCTTAACCGTGAAGACATGACTTGGAGGCTTGTAGCCTGAGGGAACTGGTAAAAAATTGTGAGAGAAATAAGCAAAACAATTTTTCTTTTTAAAACATTTAACTTTGAAACATTTAAATAATATGTAGAAGGAGACATTCACCAGATAGTTGCAATCAGAGAAATGGAATTTGGAAAGGAATAATTAATACAGGTATTGATGGAGATTCCAAAAACAATTGAAACAAAAACAAAAATTGACAAATGGGACGTAATTATGGACCTTCTGCATAGAAAAAATCAACTATCAACAGAGTAAACAGGCAACCTACAGAATGGGAGAAAATATTTGCAAAATATGTATCTAACTAAGGTCTAACAGCCAGAATCTACAAGGGACATAAACAAATAAGCAAGCAAAGAAACAAAACAAACCAAAAAAATAAAAAATGGGCAGAGGATATGAACAGACGTTTCTCAAATGAAGATATATACACCATCAACAAGCATATGAGAAAATGTTCAATGTCACTCATCATTAGATAAATGTAAACCAAAACCACAATGAGATACCATCTTACACCAGTCGGAATGACTATTACTAAGTAGAAAATAACATTCTGGTGAGGCCGCAGAGAAAAGAGAGAGCTTATACACTGCAGGTGGGAATGTAAATTAGTTCAGCCACTGTGGGAAGCAGTTTGGAGATATCTCAAAGAACTTGAAACAGAACTACCATTCAACCCAAAAATCTCATTACTGGGTAAATACCCAAAAGAATATAAATCATTCTACCATAAAGGCACATGCACATGTATGTTCATTGCAGCACTATTCATAATAGCAGAGACATGGAGTCAACCTAGATGCCCATCAACAGTGGACTAGATAAAGAAGATGTGGTACAGATACACTATGGACTACTAGGAAGCCATAAAAAAAGAATGAAATTGTGTACTTTGCAGCAATGTGGATGGAAATGGAGGCCATTATCCCAAGCAAATTGGTGCAGGAACAGAAAACCAAATACTGCATGTTCTCACTTATAAGTGGGAGCTAATCATGGAGTACACATGAAACACAAAACAGGGCACACACAATAGACATCAAGGCCTGCTTGAGAGTGGAGGGTAGGAAAAAGTTGAGGTTAGAAAAACTACCAACAGGTACTATGCTCATCTCCTGAATGATGAAATAATCTGTACACCAAACCCCCATGACACACAATTTACCCATGTTACAAACCTGCACATGCATCCCCTGCACCTAAAATAAAAGTTGAAAAGAAAAAAAAAGTTATTTACTTGAAATGAAAGATAAAGTTTTAAGAGTAGGTGCAGTAACAAATGAGAGAACAATGAAGAAAAGAGAAGGAGGCCAAAGGCTAATATTCTGGAAAAACTTCCACGAATAATGATGAGGAAAAAATGGAAAAGGAAGACAGGAGAATTTCATGACAGATTCCAGGGCCAATAGTGTCATAATATGGAAGTATGTTGTAATACGGAAATGGTAATATGTTCCAATATGGAAAATAATTTGATGATCTAAGGTCAGAATATCTTGGAGGTCCCTGAACAAGAGTTACAGCGGAGCAGTAGCAGTTAAAGCCAGATGGGAAGAGATTAAGGAGTTATATACGGTAATACCTGGCTTGACGACGGGGATATGTTCTGAGAAAGGAGTCACTAGGTGATTTTGTCATTGTATGAGCATCACAGAGTATACTTACAGAAACCTGGGTGGTATAGCCTACTACACACTTAGGATACATGGTATAGCCTGTTGCTCCTAAGCTGCAAACAGACACAGCATGTTACTGTACTGAATACTGTAGGCAATTGTAACACAATGGTCAGTACTTTTGTAGCTAAACATATCTAAAAATAGAAAAGGTACAAGAAAAATACAAGATGAAAAATGTGCACCTGCATGTGGCACTTACCATGAACGGAGCTTGCAAGACTGGATGATGTTCTGAGTGAGTGAATGGTGAGCGACTGTGAGGCCTAGGACATTACTGTACACTATTGTAGATTTTATAATCACTGTACATTTAGGCTACACTACATTTACTTTAAAAATTTCTCTAATGATGCATTAACCTGCACTTACGGTAAATTTTTACCTTTATAAACTTTTTAAAACTTTTTTTGACTCTTTTGTAATAACAGTTAGCTTAAAACACAAATACAATGTACAGTTGTGAATGTGTTTTGTTCTTTATCTTCTTATTCTAGAAGCTCATTCTATTTTTACTTTTGATTTTTTTCTTTTCAAACTTTTTTGTTAAAAATTAAGACATAAACACACACGTTAGCCTCGGCCTATACAGGATCACGATCATCAATATATATGAAGACAATGCTTTCTTCCGGAATTCCTCCTGAAGGACCTGCCTGAGGCTGTTTTACAATTAATTTTTATAAGTAGAAGGAATAACCTCTAAAATAATGATAAAATATATAGTATAGTAAATACATAAATCAGTAACATACTCATTTATTATTATCAGGTACTTTTATATGACTGGCAGCATAGCAGGTGTGTTCACACCAGCACCGCCACAAACAAATGAGTAATGTATTAAACCATGCCATTACAATGACTACAATGTCACAGGGAAACAGGAATTTTTTAACATCATTATATTATCATGGGACCACCATTGTATGTGCAGTCTGTCATTGGCTGAAACGTGGTTATATGGAACATGACTGTAGATGATTTGACTTTTGTCAGAGAAGGAAGTTTTTGCTTCATGTGGACTGTTTATTGGAAAAAACGCCTCTTTATGTGTCTTTAAGTAATATCTACTCCCTCTCTGAACTGAGTCCCCCATTCTAAGAGAACTTTCCAGGTACTGGGATGCATCCATGTCTTCACAACCATCTTTCCTGCTCATTGAGTAAAACAGCACATTCTTCTGGGACAGGATTGATCTTTTCCAGTTGAATTACACAGGCTTGAAGTTGTCACTAGTTAGTGTCCAAATGACTATTATTCTACCGAAAAATGTTGTTCTACCACTATAATTTGGTAATTCCAGTACTTGAAGGTCATTGTGACTATATATACACTAGACTGCAAAGTTTTTGAGGATGGGGACAATGTAATATTGTCTCAATACCCATTAACCAGTATAACTGTCACAAACACAGACACACACACACACACACACACACACACACACACACACACACCCCTTCACCTCCAGTACCAAACAGAATACATCCACTAGGCATTAAACATCATTATTGAATGAATTTATAAATGAATAAGAAGATGAATGAATGAAGAACTTGCTAAGTGACAAAGATAAATAAATACATTTGTAGAGACATAAAGAGAAATTATATTTAATGTAGCAATGCCATCTAATTAGTAAATAGGCTAAAGGGATACCTAAAATAAAACAGGTTTTCTAAAGATGAACCCTCTATGGTGAAATATGCTACTTTATATAGTATAAGTATCCAAATAAAGTTTCCATCGGTATAGTGCAGTGCAGTCTTTCCTTGGCAGTACATTTATCTATACAATCTCTAAGCTACAAACTCTAACTTTACACACTTTTTAAAAATTATCTTTCACTGGATTAAAAATGGAAACTCTCTGAATTGATATATGTTCTTGACGTTATTCTCTTCTTTGGATAATAGCCTTTGTACATCTCATTTATGGTAACATCAATTTCACAAAGGATTATTGGGTTGTGTCAGCCAGAATAAGCTAGGTTAGGTTTTGGTAACAAACTCTAAATCTCAGTGGCCTAAAACAGCAAAGATTTGTTTCTCACTCACGTTACATGCCCATCTAGGGCTCTGCTCCTGTGGTCTTTAATAAAGAACATAGGCCAGTGGGCTCTATTATCAGGTACATCCCACTAATAGGAAAAGGCACACAGCAAGTCATCCAGGAGCTCTTCACCAGGAGGTGACATGTACTACCGCCACACAGGAATTTTTGACCAAAGCAAGGGTTATCTCATTAGGCATGAGATATTTCTGCTCATTTTATATTTTAGAACATTATATTAAAATGAGCTATTTAAAAACTGTCAGTCACCCAGCTGGTGTTCTTTGCTTCCTTAATGCAAGGAATATTTCTGGCAAAAAGTAATTTTTTTCTGGCAGCAGCAGGAAAAAAAAATCCCTCCTATACCTGTTCAGATAGCTAGTATAACATTTACAAAAACAAACAAACAAACAAACAAACAGAAAATAACAAGTTGGCAAGGATATGGAGAAATTATTACCCTTAGACCTTCTCGGTGGAAATGTAAAATGGTGCAGTCACTATGATAAAACGTATAGCGGTTTCTCAAAACCTTAAACATAGCATTACTAAATGATCCAGTAGTTCCACTTTTGGCACACACTACAAAGATTTTAAACCAGGGACTTAAACAGATATTTGTACATCAAAATTTATAGCAACATTATTCACAATAGCCAAAAAGGTAGAAATAACTCAAATGCCCATAATGGATGAGTGGATAAACAAAATGTGTTGTATACATACAATAGAAATCATTCAGTCTTAAAAAAGGAAGAAAATTCGGATGCATGTTACAACCTGGATGAACTCTGAAGATATTATGTTGAGCAAAATAAGTTGGACACAAAACAACAAATATTGTGTAATTCTGCTTATATGACATGAGTAGAATAGTCAAATTCATAGAGACAGAAACTAGAATAAAAATGATTACAAAGGCCTGGGGGAAGGAAGGGAATGAGGAGTTAGGATTTAATAGGTACAGAATTTCAGTTTGGAATAGTGAAAAATTTCTGGATACAGTTAGTGCTGTTGGTTGCACAACAATACGAAAATACTTAATGCCACTGAATTACACACTTTAAAAATGGTAAATTTTATGTTCTGTATATGTTATTGCAATAAAAGTGAAAAATTGAGGACAGGAATTTCTCCTGCTTTTTCTCTGGCCATTTTCTAGGGCCATTTGTAGAAATATTTTATTTCTACATGTATCTGAATTCTGGCCTCCAATAAATGAGGCAGACTCAAGAATTTGCTCCTTGGATACCATTAATAATTCATAGCATACGAAAGACCCGAGAGAGAGACTGGTTCTGGTTCATGCTAGCTGGAATAAATGAGATCCCAACATTAAAAAGATATGAGTTTATTCCCAAAATCATGAAACAGATCATACCATTTACACCAACTTACTCACGGAATGAGGGTTTTATTTCCCAAAGATTCTCCCTAAAACAACCTCACTATATATGATACATGATGTGTGTGTGTGTGTGTCTTTTACAAACTTTCAAAGTTAGACTGCAGAATTAGCAAATCTAGGACTACAGGCCTAGTGACCAAACATCTATGCATTGTTTACTCCATGCCAGACTCAGCACCAAACACACGAGATGAAACATAAGATGCATAAACACAACCCTTGCCTTTGAAGAAAATTTGCACTAATGGCAGAGATGGGTGAGTAAATAATTCATAATAAAAGATGTCTTTGGTGTTGTGGCAGGCCAATTAATTCTGCATGGAAGGGTCAGAAACAGCTACACTGATAACTTGAGGAATGTTTAAAAGGGCAAATGGGAATTGGTCAAATGAAAAATGGCAGATGAGAAGAAGTGAGTTGTGTTGGCATTACTAGCAGAGGGAACGGTACTAGGAAAGACTGGAAAACCTTGAAATGCACTGCATCCCTCCGAGACAACAAGTCTTCAGCTGTGATTATAAATGGAGAACCTGGTGAAGGTGGCCTGAGATCAATCCAAAGGCAAATCAAGGCCGCAGTGTGAAGGTCCTGGAGCAATATGGAATCCTTATGATAATCTAGTTTTTGAAATATCCGTGTTGTTCCTCATAAACATCAATGATCTCTGCTCTTTAGATGTATTAAAGATTTAGAAAAATATCCATAAATCTTCACGTGCTTATGATAGCTGAAATACAATACTCCCTGAGTTATTGCCAAAATATGTGAAAAATAAAAATAGGCTGTATTTATATGCCACATACATATATTTAAAATGTAAGCCATTTTCTTAAACAGAGAGATGTCTATTTTTCTTAAATATAGAGAGGCCACAAAAGTTTATGTGAAAAAAAAAATGTATGTAAATAATGAATTCAACACTTAAATTTCATTCTGTGAAGTCCAAAGGGAATGGCCTGGCAAGATCAAACTCAGATGACCCCAACTTACAAAAATAAGCCCTATGCTATATGGACCTAAAAATCTCCACCATCAGGAATTTACACGGTGGAAACTAAATCTCAAACTAAACCTCAACCCCAAATCATCCTCTCCTGAAGTTACCAAATTCCTGTCTCCTGACCACATTTACCACTGAGTTACTGTTGAGTCCAGTGCTGTTTCAGTTGCTAAGGTTACATTGCCTGGCTCTTAAAATATTAACTATAATCCTAAAAAAAAAAAAACAACGTCGTGATCAAAATAGCTGGCTGGCTCAACTGCTTTATATACAGTCTATTCTGCTAAGGAAACCTAAACTAGGTGTGATAAATTTATTGGAATAGTGGAAAAATTAAAAGAAATACTGGGTGATGCTGATCAGCAAAGGAGACATTCTGTAAACATTTTGTAATAGCAATCCACAAATTAATGGTTCTACTATGTCTTCCAAATATCCCAGCAACAAAATTTCCCTTTGAAATTAAATGTTAACAATAACAGCAATATTTTTAAATAAAAAGAAAATTTTAACATAAATTTGCTGCATTAAATGTCTTGTTTTATTAAAAAGCAGACATAAAATTTTATACATGTGATATTTATTTAGATATTTAGGTTCTTTGAAATATTTTTTCTTTAATAACCAAAAAGTGCCTGTGATTGAGAAATCAGATGTTAAGCACATTTCAAAGGGTGAAACTTACTGCCACTTATAAGGGCAGTACAAAGAAAAGTTTGCTTATAAGTAGCTTCTATAAAAATGTGTACCTGAATATTTCTCTCAAGGACTTGCAAATTATTACAATGGGATCTTTCAGCCATAATGTCTTATCTGACAATAAGTATTTCAAAAGTTTTTATCTAAGTGACATTGGAATGGAATTGCTATAACTTAGTTTTCTGTTTACAACAGGTGCTGTATGAGTGAGCTGTGGCTGCCATAGCAAGACATCATAGATTGGATGGCTTAAACAACAGAAATTTATTTTTTCACAGTTCTGGAGGCCAGAAATCCCCAATAAAGGTACTGACTGATTAGGTGAGGGCTTTATTTCTGCTGACAGACAACCACCTTCTTGTTGAGTTTTTATACGGTCTTTTCTCTGTGGCTCATAGAGAGAGACAGAGAGAGCTCTGGTGTTTTTTCCTCTTCTTATTAGGACACCAGTCCTGTATCACTAAGGCTCCATCCTGATGATTCCACTTAGCCAGTAACTATGGGAATTAGGGCTTCAACATACAAATTTAGAGAAATGTGATTCCGTTCATAACAGGTGCTTAACTAGAATTCTGTATGCACATTGTTTTATGAAAAAGCGACATGAAACCTAAGGATTTACTGTCTGTTGTAGAATTTCTCATATAAAGAAGAACCTGAGGCAAGTACAGAAATGTTACCTCCCTACCTTCTCATTGGAAAGCAGCTCACAGAGAATACAATAGTTCTACCCACTATGCCCGTATAATGCAATGATATATATCCGTCACTAAAATCTCCATGCTTGTCTCACCCAACGTCTCAAACTATGCTATAACTATTGGCGGATCTCACATAATTGAGCAATCTGAATGATGGAATTGTACACTAGTTGAATACAGGAGATACTATTTTACATAGCACAGCAAAGCTCTCCCATAACTCTACAAATAGGGCTGAAAAAATCAAATACGTAAAATGCAGCGTCATGTTATTGCATGGTTAATAAAATTACTGACTCTTCTCAGCTATCTGAGTGTTTTAGGTTCCTGAGAGCCAAGTCAGTCATGTCATTTCCGAATTTTGGTGATCAAAGGGTGGATGATCACAGTTTTACTCCATTTCAACTTGATTATTAGTTACATTAAAAAAAGGTTTTTCTATGTGTGCTGTGAGACTGATTCTCATTTAGTATGGTTTCATTAAAAATTAGGATCCCTTTTTCCCTCTTGGTTAAGCCAGTAAGATTGTAGATTGTCAGACTCTGCCTTGTTCTTTTCCTGAAATCCAAAGGTAAAATGCAGTAACGAGAGTAGGGATGCCAATAATGTGGAGGCAAGGAAAAAGCAGCTCCAGGGACAACATCGGGAAGCGCGATAGGATGTTGGCTAAAAAGCTTGCTTTTTCACGTTATGTCAGATTTCACATTCTAACTTCATCATTTCCTGGTTAAAGCATCTTGAACAAATCACTTTTTGAATCACTTAGCACCATGGCTTCTACATTTCAAGCCCCAAAGGGTAGGAATTATTATTATTAATGCTATTACCAAAGATGCTAACAAAGGAAAGGGTTTTCACTGTCCAACATGGTTCATGTTTATGAAATATTTATAAATGGTGCTCACATTCAAGAGCAAGCCTGTAGAGATCTTTGGGCAAATGCCTTGTTAAAGAGAATTAATCTAAATATTGTTTGTCATTTGCTCAAGTACACTAATTCTATTAGTCTCAACTATTCAAGGATAATCATTGAAGGCCTAACTCCACAGGAACTGGATTGAAGATAAGATTGGAGGACCACAATTTCACCAGTACGTTACTTAGAATAAGCAACTAGGTCCTCACAACAATCCCTATTTTCCAGATGAGAGTGTTGAGGCTCAGAGAGGTAAGCAAATTGTTTAACTTATTCCAGCTCTCAAGTACACACACTGAAATATAGCCAACACCTTTGTAAAGATTACAATCGAATATATTCTTGTTTTGGGGTTGGCAAACTTTTTAGGTAAAAGACCAGACGTTTTAGGTTTTGCAAGCCACCTGATCTTTGTCTTAAAGACTTTCAACTCTACCTCTTGAAGGCAGCTATTTACAAAATGTAAATGAATAAATGTGACTGTGTTCCCACAAGACTTTATTTATAAATATGAAGACTGGGCCGGGTGCGGTGGCTCACGCCTGTAATCCCAGCAATTTGGGAGGCCAAGGCGAGTGGATCACTTGAGGTCAGGAGCTGGAGATCAGCCTGGCCAACATGGTAAAACCCCATCTCTACCAAAAAATACAAAAATTAGCCAGGCCTGGTGGTGTTTGCCTGTAGTCCCAGCTACTTGGGAGGCTGAGGCTTGAGAATCGTTTGAACCTAGGAAGTGGAGGTTGCAGTGAGCCAAGATTGTGCCACTACACTCCATCCTGGGCAACAGAGTGAGAATCTGCCTCAAAAATAATATAAATAAATAAATAAATAAATAAATAAATAAGAGTGGACAAGATTTAACTCATGAACTGCAGTTTGCTGACCCCTGTTCTAGTTAGAGTTATAACTTAATTTTCACAATAGTTAAGCATTCAGGACAACTGTGTTCATTGTGTCTCCCCAACAGAATGTTTTGAATTTTAATTTCCTAATTCATAGAACTCATAGTAAAAGCCTCTTCCCATGGTCTATTAAAAATTATGTTTTACTGTTTATCTTTAGCCTAAGACATATATTTAGACACTCAAATATATTTTAGACAGATCATCACAGAAGATAACATATATTAAATGAACAAATGAATATATAACCAAAGAAATAAATTACTGGTGTATATGGAGGCAGAACATCTTTACCAAAATCTGCCTCCTGTTTAGATAAATGTGTCAGATATTTATCAAAGGTCTCCTATATGTGAGGTATTCTGCTAAGAAGTAGAGTTGTATGAAAGAATAAGACATAATCTTTCCTTCCAAATGACTTAACTCTGGGAGACAAATAAATGACACAAGTGTAAGTATTACAGTTATGAAAGTTATGTCAACTTTTTCAGAGTACTCATATATGGTAAATGGATTAGTCCAGAAATATTCTCAAATACAGCTTCCTACAGTACCAATCCATATGGTACTACTATTCAAGAAGTGCAAGAATCTATCCTCACACAGCAAAATCACAGTATGTCTACATTTAGCCTGGATTGAATTGATATCAGGATGGTCAAAATTAGAAACATGATTCCATATTGGATATTATTTTGCCATTTCCTTATTTTATTTTTTTAAACAAGTGATACTCTTCTCAAATTCAATATTGGTTCCTTAACCCCAAAATTATTTTGGAAGTGAGTTACATAAATTCTATCCTTTGTAGCCTCTATGCTTTATTCTTTATCCTCATGCTTAACTGGTTTTCTCCAAATGCCTTTTTACTTCCCTTTCCCTTCACAGCAGCCATGCAACCATAACAGAGTTGAGCATAAGTAGGCTTTTTTTTATTGTGTAAAATGCATGAGACACCATAAAAATTGCCAATGCTAAACTGATAACAATTCAAGGAAGATAAATCAAATGCTAAAATATGTGGGAGAACGTATCAATACATAAAAACAGGGTGGGGGAAGTCTGAAATTATCACAGCATGGCTTCAAAAGGAAAGATACTAAGAAAGAGTTTGGAAAATAGTAATATTATCTAGATGAGATGAGTGAGTTTCATTTGTCACAACCCCAGGATCTGAGTCTTGCAGATTATTGTGAATGATGCTTTAAGTGTTATAATAGAACTAAAAGATGTGGAAGCATTTGATTTAATGCAAAGACATCAGTTTTGTCTGCCAAATCCCAAGAAAGACATCTACAAGCCTATCAATCAACATTAGGATCTCTGTGTTGAGCAAATGACATCCAAATCATAAAGCTGTCATCATTTAAAATGTATTTTTAAATCACCTCTCCACTACCATTTATAACGGATACATTTTTAACTCTGATAATTAATCAACTCTGACACATTTCCTTCCTTTTTGCCTTTTTCTCCTCTGAAATCCTTCTTTTATAAGGAGCCATTTTTAATTTCCCATAGGCAGAAAACCAGCCAACATATTCAGGTCCCAAAGTTTCATCTATGATGAAGCTTTGGAAGTTTATGAATTAAGAAAGTTGAAAAGCAATCTTCACTGTAGATAGTATCTTGACATACATGTGTCATGATCAGAGTGACACTTCCCTTAGGAATAGAACCTCACTGGTCATGACTATCTAAGGAAGGCATTGCTTGAAAATTATGTACCTCAAGTTCATGGCCATATCACATTTCCCCACGTCTTCAAGCACCAGTCCATCAGATAATTTCTCTTACAGAGATTCCAGTACTGTAATTTGCCTCTGCTTTAATCAACAGTGAGATAATATAGAAGCCGCATTAAATGATTCAGAATCATTTCATCTGCAGGAAACCCATTAGTCTAACCATATTTTCCCATACTTCTCAGCACCATGTCCTGTCATCTGGAAATAATAGATACCATAAAAGCAAATTCTAAAAGCTTAAAAAAATGCTAGGGCAGAGCACATGGTGTTTATTTGGAGGTTGATATTACCACAAATTAATCAAAATGGGGAATTTTTTCCAGTATATTTGAATTCGATTTCCGTATGAAATAATGCTAAAATGTTACACTTAAACATGATATATTTACATATTTACTTTAATAGATTGGAATATGCCAGATGTGCAAGTGTAGAATCATACTAATGTGGATGTTTTCATTTCCTGTAAATCAATTCATAAAGGTAAAAAAAAAAAAAAAGGGAAACTGGCAGCTTCAGGGAGGGGTTCATGCATGTGAAACATTTTGAGTCAGTAGTCTCATGGTGCACCTCTGGTTATTTTTCATGTGCTGCCAGTCTTCAAGTACCCTAAATGCATTAGAAATTATAATTTAAAAACAAAATTATGAAAGTTTAATGCATGTATTTGGAAAGAGTCAAGGGCCTGGCAAGTGGAAATCTAAACATTTAAAATTTCATCATCCATGGGTGCTGAGTACCTGCTAGATAGGCTCTCCATAAATACTAATTGATAAAGGTTTTACTTTAAAAAAACAGATTCCATAGAACATTCTTCAATTCTCAGAGTGTGTCACCATAGCACTGTAAGTTATAACGAGGCTACTTTGTAGCCAGTAGAAGGAAGAGTTGGAAGAAATAAGGCCTCAAATGATAGGGTGATGGCAATAGCTGGAATGGATTCGACCTTTTTAAGTGAAGGAAAATTTCTAGTTATCAAGTTGCAGAAGGAGAAACTGGTAACATTATAATAATCAGTAGAAAATGCTAATCCTTAATGAGCGTTCCAAGTTCCTACCCCAAACTTCAAAGTTTACTAGGTCTTTGCAAGATGGGTGAAGAGAATGGTTATCAAGTAATAACAAATGCCTGTAGTGTTTTTAAATAGATAATGCAAATCAAATAAATAGTCTTAAGTGACTTAATTGATTGCTACACTATTTATGACAATACACTCAGCGAGGATTCATGTATTATTTTAGTGAAGTCAATAAAACTGCAATGGTTAAGAACTACTTTCCATTCCATATCTGTCTTTTAAACTCACTGTAAGTATCACAGGAGCTAATGAAGGTAAAATGGTTAATGCAATGTCTGGCTTTCAGTAAGTAAAAACATTAAACAATTCTTACCCTTATGGATGTGATGGTTAAAAAGGTAAACAAAGAATATAAGTAACTCGAGAATGGGAAAAAGAACCCAAGCCTTTTTGATCTATTAAAAACAAGAATCAACACTTTATGACCCTTATCACATGCGTGCATTAAATATTTTTGAAATATTAATTCATGTATTATTCACCATATTCTGATAATACAGATACCTTTATTCCCATTTTATGGATGAAAGAAATTTGAGCACACAGAGGTTATGTAATTTCCCCTAAGTCACAGACCTGGTATACAGCAGACCAGGAATTTTAATTTAACAGGCAAATTCCCACTATAGCTTATCTCCTAGACAATTGACTATGCAGCCTCCTCTTTTCATTTTTATTATAGCTATTAACAATGAAACTATTGACTCGTTTCTTATAACTATAAGCAATTTCAAAATAGCATATTTTGTGATAGCCTAGCAATTATGAGACCAAATATCACTGGGATCATTTTTCTCTTTATATTCAAGCCTAAACCAGAGCAGTATAAGTTTGTGCTAATTCTGCTTTATTATCTCCTCTGAGAATAAGCTGAAAGCTTTATACTATGAACAGGAAAGATGTCTGTCTTCATGAGAACTAAGATCCCATGCCAATAAAAATGATAAAGAATAAAAGTGTTTTGTTTTGAATTCATTGTTTGACTAAAGCACTTAAACCCCAAATGTATGATCCCAGAATTATCTAGGTGTCTATTATCCTTCATAATGTGAAAGACAATTTAAATTTGATTTTAAAGTATCCAAGGAAACAAAACTGGGTGAAAAATGGGATGAAAAGGAGAGAAAAGAGAAATATCGCAAATGCCTTTCAAAAATATTCTACCCACACTACAGTTTTGGGCAACATTGTCAGAAGAGAAACATTTAACACTCCCTTTATTTAAAGTCGGATTTGTTTAACTGGCCAGGGCTTAAGAAAATGTTATGCCTTTTCTGTGGGAACATTTTCTAAGAACGAATTTAACTTGGCTTCTATGAAAGTTGTTTTTGTTGTTTGGAGTTTTTTAATGTTAGTATTTGAAATGACTTTGTTTTCTTTGGGATGGAGGGAGCAACTTTTCATACAATTTAGTGGTTTCATGAAACCACCTCCACTGGACTCTCATATATTCCATGTACTATATATAATATATATTTCAGCTGGGTTTGTTTTCCCAAAATCCAAGAACTTTTACATAAAAGTTGCTCAATTTCAGAAATATTTAAACCACAGGGAAGATAATTCTAGATGACACTGAACTACAGGGGTTTCCTAAGCAAACTGCATATCATTTCACCTCCCTCAGCGGTCTTCAGTTTTGCATCTTAGGGCCTCAATTTAAAAGCTACCATATTCTGCTTCAATGTATGTCTGATTTAGAAGCCCAGACAATTTTGCTTCAATCAATGCAACACCCTGAAGCTCCTTCCTCCATCTCCACATTTCCTCACATTCAGCCCTGTCTCTCCTGACACATACACTCAATACAGGTAAATCTAAGAGTCCAAACATGGTTTTGGACTGTGCTTGGTTTCTCTTTCAACCACAAGAACATTATGCAACCTCAGAACAGCTCTAAGCCAGATTCCTGTTCAGGTGACACAAGACAGCCTGATTACTGTCTTTATTTACTACCTGGCACTTGGGGAGTTCCAAGGAGGGTTTGATGAGAAACTTTTTGTATTTTTTTAAATTAAAGTTAGGAATTAGGAGTCATGCATTTTTTTCCTTTTGATTATCATAGACAACCTGGAATAAGTTGTACAATAGATATGGCATAAAACCAGAATTTGTCTTTCAACCCAACTCAAACATGGAAAATTGGACTAGAGTGTTTTATACCATGTTCGAACAGTGATTTAGGAGAGTTTAATGATGAAACGCCTTACCAGAGTGTGAGAAAAGTGAAGAAAAATCAAAAAAGGAACAATAAGACACAGAGTGGTGCTTACTCTGGACCCAAAAAAGAAAGGGGAGTTTATTTACCATCAGACAGCAGCTATAGCTTCAGGAAAAAGATTGAGGTCACAGCAGGAGGACAATCACTGCCAACCCTCTCTTTCTGTTTGTTATCTGCTCCAGTCTCTCCTATTGCCAAAGCCAGCTGGAAGCCAGAGGGCAAGGGAATCCTCTCCTACAATCCAGGCAGGTCAGCCTCCCAGGGCACAGGGCCAAGTAAACTGGTGAATGGATCTGGACAGGCAAACGAAATATCCAGCAAAAACATACTACGGATTATGTTTAAAAAATGGTAGATTAATCAATTGATAGATTGAACAGAAGCAATTTATTTGGACCCTATTTAATTCAAATATGTTAAAATGTTGAATACCCTTTGTATCACATCCACTGTAAGTGAAGTCTGAAAACTTTCTCCTACCAAAGCCGAACTACGTTGAAACTATATAGGCACACCTCTATGAATAAAAACATTTATTAACCAAAGTATTGCTTTCTTTCAAAATAAATCACTTTATACTTTGGGGGAAAAAAAGATTGTAATTGGATCTTTCCCATTCTGTCTTTGCTCTGGGATTTTAAAAGGCATTCTGCAACATTTTCAATTCAGGTTTAAAAACCAAGATTATGAGATTCTGGGAATTGCAAAATGATCATTTTTCCAATAAAAATGGTTTTGAGTGATCACACTAGACTGTTTCTGTAAACTGAACTGAGGTCAGAGGATAAACATTTCTGTTCAGTAACTGTTGTTATAAAAAAGCATTGCCATATTAAGAAATGTTACAGTAGGTAGCTAGCCAGGCATAAGCAGGCAGGAGAGGGCTCCCCCAACCGACACCAAGAATGTCAGGTGACCATAGGATAATGGTCAGGAAGTTGTCACACTGCCTCTCTAAAATAACAATTGTTCACAGCCAGTGCCGGAGAAAAGCTGTTTCTCAATAGATAAAAACAACTGAAACTGGTGATCAGTTCCCAATAAGATCTTAGGAATTGGGAGAGTGGGCTCAAGCATGCATATTAAGAGGCAAAATGGTGGAGTTTAACTGGAATATGACCTTCTGGGGGCATTCCACTGGAAAAGGAAAGAACGCGTCTGGTAAGCATGAGTACGACTGCAGTAAATACACTGCAAGTGCTCCCCTTTCAAGCCCTGACAGGCCATTGTGCATGTGGACAACGTACCATAAGGGAAGAATCAGGGGAGAAGGGATACAAGACCTCAGAAGTATGCCAACATTCAAAACCCCAAGTCAAAAGGTCAAACCACACATTTGTGCTTCAAATGGCTCAGTTGGGTCTCTTCCAAGTGTACTTTCCTTCATGTGGTTCCTGCTCTAAAGCTTTTCAACAAACTTTCACTCCTGCTCTAAAACTATCCTTGGTGTCTTCTTCTGCCTTATGCCTCACAGTTGAATCATTTCCTCTGAGGAGGCAAGAATTGAAGTTTCTACAGATTTGCTGTACGGATTTGCTGCCAGTAACTTGCATAACTTCCACCAGTAACAGAAATAGTGGAGAAATAAAAAATAAAATAATTATAAAAAAGACCCAGCTGCAACCATCTACCCTGGGTGTTAATGAAGTTAGCTATTTAGCCAAGTAATTGGATGCCTTTTCTAGCCTTTGTTGACTCACAAGCAATAAAATAAAATGTGTAAATACTTCATTTCCCTTGTGCTAGGGTTCCACTGACAGATACCATGGGATTCTGACCTTGCAGCAGCTAGACACTTTTTCAAAAGGACCAGAGCCACTCCCTGGCCATGACGGATCAAGGACTGTATGAATTCTCATTGCCAAAAAATAATATTAACACAGTAATTGGGGCAATTAGAATCTGGTCCAGGTACCCACAAAAATAAACAGCGACTTTTTCAAGTTTCATACATAACCTACTTGACATCGAATTATTAAAAATTATCTAATACAAGATGCACACCTGCCACTACCTTGCTCTACAGGCCAATGTGAGAAAGACAAAGGAAAAGAGAGAGAAACAAGCACTTACACATAAGGAGCCTGTTTGAATTAAGCTCCACAACAAGTCCTAAGACTGGTGGATAATTAAGGGAAATATCTTTGTATTTACAAATGAAAAGGTGTTCACTCTTTCTCAGGCCATATCAGACACAGAAGAGTATAAGCCCAGTTATGCAGCCTGTTTGCTCACCCAGTTTCTGCCATACTGACAACCCTTAACTCCTCAAGCCAATAGCCCATTATTTCCCTTGCAACTTTTGCCCATTTGCTTTGTTCTGGTGGGGTATGCATTCCCTGTCTTGTTGCATGGCTCCTATTCAAACATGCCCCCTTCCCATTCTCTAACCCTGGAGGTGTGACCATTTCCTGCATTTCTCCCTCTAGATAGATGGTAAACCCTGTGAGGACAAGAACTGTGTCTGCGTGTCCTCTTCTCAGTACTTAACACAGTGCTTCACACATAGTAGATCCTTAATAAATATTTGTTCAATGCATGAATGAAATTCTCATCTAACTTTAATTATAGAACTATACAGTAACCTGCCAGAAGGCATGTTTTCTTTGTCTCTTCTTTTCTTTTTTAATATGGGAAACTATATCAAAACTTTCCCATAGCTTTTGTACTCATAATACTCTGAGTAGGTTTCTGGAATGTCATAAACAGCAATCCCTTGCCACATCATTGTAACAAAGAGTCCTGCTGCCAACAGAGCTGCAAACCGCAGTGCAGACAGAGCTGGGAATCTTGCATTCAGTTCATTCTGTGATTGTGTTTATGTAGACTTTCTCTTTACAAGAGCTCAAGAGAGAAGGTATTAACCCTCACAGTGTTTTGTGAAGATGTCTCTTCTCTCCTATTAATATATACTATGGAGATTAAAGTGACTAACACAGAAAACTACTGACATTGTTCACTTAGTACCAAGAAAACCTCCTGGTCTGGCAGGTGTGGCTTAGAACCCAGCATCACAGGAGAAATTCCAAAACTGGGGCTTAGCCTGGGTGGCCACATGGGTTCTTGGCTTTGTGCAGGAATGAATTCAAGTGAGCCCACATAGTAAAGTGAAGGCAAGTTTCCTAAGAAAGTAAAGTAATAAAAGGGTGGCTACTCCATAGGCAGAACAGCCTTGAGGGCTACTGAGTGGCTATTTGTACAGTTATTTATTGATTATATGCCAAACAAGGGGTGGATTACTTGTGAGTTTTCTGGGGAAGGTGTGGGGAAATTCCTGGAACTGACCATATGGGGTAACTTGTGGACATTGCCATGGCATCTCTAAACAGTCATGGTGCTGGTGGGAGTTTTATTTAATATGCTAATATATTATAATTAGAGTATAATGAGCAGTGAGGGTGACCAGAAGTTTCTTTTATCACCCTCTTGGTTTTGATGGGTTTTAGCTGTCTTCTTTATGGCATCCTGTTTTATCAACTGAGTCTTTGTGACCTGTACCTTGTGAAACCAGTCTTGCAGGATAGAACTCCTATCAAACTAGTAGTCAAAAGTTCCAAAGACTTAGGAGAGGGTGGCCACAGTACAGGATATGTTTTTCTGTTTTGCTGACTGGCAGAACTTTTTAACTTCTCTGAGGCTCATTGGATAACGCAGAACTTGCAGAGTCATTGTAAGAATAATAAAAATAATAAAATAATAAATATGATAAAAATAATAAAATCACACACTTATGTACACATACACACATAAATACACATACATATTTACGTATATACATATATATACACACACATGCCCATGATCACACACATGCACACATCCACACACACACACACACAAACACATATGCCTAGATCAGTATCTTGCACAAAGGAGGTATTAGATTATTAAAAGTTTATCACTTTTACTACTGTTACATCAAGATGTTGGAAGGATGGACAAAATATTTAGCTGCCAATTTTCATACCCAAGAACTCTACTTACAGAGAATTTCAAGATATACAGAACTATCAAACAACAAGAAATGTGTTAAGTAGAACATAGAGTATAACAGCAAAAAGGCTTTCCTGGAAAAACATAAACTACACTAAGTAAAATATTTAAAAAAGGGAAAAAAATAGAAAATGAACTTGAAATAACAAATTGAGGTGTTCTTTTTTTTTTTTTATTATACTTTAAGTTTTAGGGTACATGTGCACATTGGGCAGGTTAGTTACATATGTATACATGTGCCATGCTGGTGCGCTGCACCCACTAACTCGTCATCTAGCATTAGGTATATCTCCCAATGCTATCCCTCCCCCCTCCCCCCACCCCACCACAGTCCCCAGAATGTGATATTCCCCTTCCTGTGTCCATGTGATCTCATTGTTCAATTCCCACCTATGAGTGAGAATATGCGGTGTTTGGTTTTTTGTTCTTGCGATAGTTTACTGAGAATGATGGTTTCCAATTTCATCCATGTCCCTACAAAGGACATGAACTCATCATTTTTTATGGCTGCATAGTATTCCATGGTGTATATGTGCCACATTTTCTTCATCCAGTCTATCATTGTTGGACATTTGGGTTGGTTCCAAGTCTTTGCTATTGTGAATAATGCCGCAATAAACATACATGTGCATGTGTCTTTATAGCAGCATGATTTATAGTCATTTGGGTATATACCCAGTAATGGGATGGCTGGGTCAAATGGTATTTCTAGTTCTAGATCCCTGAGGAATCGCCACACTGACTTCCACAATGGTTGAACTAGTTTACAGTCCCACCAACAGTGTAAAAGTGTTCCTATTTCTCCACATCCTCTCCAGCACCTGTTGTTTCCTGACTTTTTAATGATTGCCATTCTAACTGGTGTGAGATGATATCTCATAGTGGTTTTGATTTGCATTTCTCTGATGGCCAGTGATGATGAGCATTTTTTCATGTGTTTTTTGGCTGCATAAATGTCTTCTTTTGAGAAGTGTCTGTTCATGTCCTTCGCCCACTTTTTGATGGGGTTGTTTGTTTTTTTCTTGTAAATTTGTTTGAGTTCATTGTAGATTCTGGATATTAGCCCTTTGTCAGATGAGTAGGTTGCGAAAATTTTCTCCCATTCTGTAGGTTGCCTGTTCACTCTGATGGTAGTTTCTTTTGCTGTGCAGAAGCTCTTTAGTTTAATTAGATCCCATTTGTCAATTTTGGCTTTTGTTGCCATTGCTTTTGGTGTTTTGGACATGAAGTCCTTGCCCACGCCTATGTCCTGAATGGTAATGCCTAGGTTTTCTTCTAGGGTTTTTATGGTTTTAGGTCTAATGTTTAAATCTTTAATCCATCTTGAATTGATTTTTGTATAATGTGTAAGGAAGGGATCCAGTTTCAGCTTTCTACATATGGCTAGCCAGTTTTCCCAGCACCATTTATTAAATAGGGAATCCTTTCCCCATTGCTTGTTTTTCTCAGGTTTGTCAAAGATCAGATAGTTGTAGGTATGCGGCGTTATTTCTGAGGGCTCCACAGAAATACAAACTACCATCAGAGAATACTACAAACACCTCTACGCAAATAAACTAGAAAATCTAGAAGAAATGGATACATTCCTCGACACATACACTCTCCCAAGACTAAACCAGGAAGAAGTTGAATCTCTGAATAGACCAATAACAGGAGCTGAAATTGTGGCAATAATCAATAGTTTACCAACCAAAAAGAGTCCAGGACCAGATGGATTCACAGCCGAATTCTACCAGAGGTACAAGGAGGAACTGGTACCATTCCTTCTGAAACTATTCCAATCAACAGAAAAAGAGGGAATCCTCCCTAACTCATTTTATGAGGCCAGCATCATTCTGATACCAAAGCCGGGCAGAACAACCAAAAAAGAGAATTTTAGACCAATATCCTTGATGAACATTGATGCAAAAATCCTCAATAAAATACTGGCAAACTGAATCCAGCAGCACGTCAAAAAGCTTATCCACCATGATCAAGTGGGCTTCATCCCTGGGATGCAAGACTGGTTCAATATACGCAAATCAATAAATGTAATCCAGCATATAAACAGAGCCAAAGACAAAAACCACATGATTATCTCAATAGATGCAGAAAAAGCCTTTGACAAAATTCAACAACCCTTCATGCTAAAAACTCTCAATAAACTAGGTATTGATGGGACGTATTTCAAAATAATAAGAGCTATCTATGACAAACCCACAGCCAATATCATACTGAATGGGCAAAAACTGGAAGCATTCCCTTTGAAAACTGGCACAAGACAGGGATGCCCTCTCTCACCGCTCCTATTCAACATAGTTTTGGAAGTTCTGGCCAGGGCAATCAGGCAGGAGAAGGAAATAAAGGGTATTCAATTAGGAAAAGAGGAAGTCAAATTGTCCCTGTTTGCAGATGACATGATTGTGTATCTAGAAAACCCCATCGTCTCAGCCCAAAATCTCCTTAAGCTGATAAGCAACTTCAGCAAAGTCTCAGGATACAAAATCAATGTACAAAAATCACAAGCATTCTTATACACCAACAACAGACAAACAGAGAGCCAAATCATGAGTGAACTCCCATTCACAATTGCTTCAAAGAGAATAAAATACCTAGGAATCCAACTTACAAGGGATGTGAAGGACCTCTTCAAGGAGAACTACAAACCACTGCTCAAGGAAATAAAAGAGGATACAAACAAATGGAAGAACATTCCATGCTCATGGGTAGGAAGAATCAATATCGTGAAAATGGCCATACTGCCCAAGGTAATTTATAGATTCAATGCCATCCCCATCAAGCTACCAATGACTTTCTTCACAGAATTGGAAAAAACTACTTTAAAGTTCATATGGAACCAAAAAAGAGCCCGCATCGCCAAGTCAATCCTAAGCCAAAAGAACAAAGCTGGAGGCATCACACTACCTGACTTCAAACTATACTACAAGGCTACAGTAACCAAAACAGCATGGTACTGGTACCAAAACAGAGATATAGATCAATGGAACAGAACAAACTGAGGTGTTCTTAAGGCACATTTTATCTCTGTATAAGATAAGAAGGGAAGGTCAACTGATAAATGTCTAAAACAGTCAAACGTTTTCAATATTTTTGTAATTTCTATTCTTACAAACATACAGACATGAACTGTATTTAATATGCATACTTTGGAACACAGCATTTATTCCCAGCAGAAGTCCCAGTGGGAGCCCTGGTTATAGGACCCAGCATTCAGATGCCCTTACCATGGTCTGGAGGGTCAGAGGGATAAACCTTCCTATGGTTGGTTTTGTACAAAGAACAAAGCAACCTCCTGGGAAAACATTTCTGCTGGTCAACAGGAAGTCTGGTCCTCCCCTTATGCTTGTGCTAATTATGCAGTGTTTATAACTATCTCACAAATAAGAGCAGTAGAAGATGAAATTTTGCCAAACCTCCCTTCATCAAGCTTTGTGCCAAGACACAAGGCTGGATACAACACAGAAGGGGCACTTTGTTTCATTTCAACCACAAAAAATCCCTAGCTTCAACATTGAGGGAGGTAAGGTAGTAAAGCTCAGTGTTGGAGAGAGGAAGAAAGCCGGGGTGCATGCTAGTAAATTTCTTCCTTACTTCACTCTTTTCTACCAGAGATTATAGCCAAATGAGGAAAAGTAAATGGTGAGAAATATCAAGAGAGAGGATAGTTCACAGACATTTCTACAAATTACCAAGTACCCACAGAAATAGTGGTGGGAATTGTGTAAAGAATAGAAAGAGAGTTTTCCTTGAGGCAACTTCTGTAGCCCTTGGGACATGAGATGAAGATGCTGGTCCCGGCTGTGGGAGTGCCAACCTAATGCTGTAAGGAAGAGGATGCATGGAAGACACTGATCACTGGGAAGAGCGGAAATCAGTAGAACATCACTGAGAGAGGCAGGCAAAGCGAAGAAGTAAGTGACAAAAGCCTTGCAGCAGCTGAGTGCATGCTCTTGAAAAATGGTAAATGTAGATGGAGAGAAATCCAGGGCAATTGCCATTCTGAGAATGAACTGCCTCAAAATTTACTAGGGAGCTTTGATAAATAAAATTCCTGGCCACACTCTGAGAGTTGGTAAATTTGAATTCACATCCTGGAAATCTGAATCTTTAAGATGTCTCCTAGGTACTACCCTGGATTTGAAAACAACGCATGTAGAGTGGGAACAGTAGATAATCCCTGGAGACCTTCATTTCTTGCTGAGGAATACTCAAGAATTGATCAGAAGGGTTGAAGTTTCTGCAGAGTAGAAATAGACAAAACAGAAAAATACATTTTTCTTACAGTTTGTATATCCATATCCTTTTAGTGACGATGTCAGAGTAGCTTAGCATCTTTTTGGTGTTTATGGAAGAACTAGGAAGCAAATTTCAATAGTAAAAATAAATATTTTTAAAGACACTTGCTTAATTGGCAAAGCAATCACAAGAAAAATGTGCATTAAATATCTACAGAACCAATAGTTGGTATGGATTATTTATTTGGTTTCAATATTTTCTTTCAATAATATTGAAAATTTATAGTAAGTAAGAAAAGTTTTAGGTATTTTGAGAGTTTGGGTACAGGAGCAATGAAATAAAATTCATATTTTAAATTCAATTTTAAATTCACATTTTAAGTTCACAAATTAAATTTACTGAAAATGCACACACCAATAAATTATCAATTTGTAAATTCCTAAAGCTAGGCATTACAGAGTTTCCAGCAAAACAATTTGGTTTTTAATAATTCGCTTTCTTTTGTGAACACAAGATAACTGAATAAGTGGAGGAAAAGAAATGAATAAAAACAGAAAATTAATAGATTCTCTATGGACCCCAATAGTCAACATTATACGAATGGAATATATTCCTTAAGTACACCAGAATTGCTTAAGTACACAATCTTAAGGTGTACAGTATCTATGTCCTCACAACTAGAAATAAAAGAATGTTAGAATTTAACATATGTATTTATCTGATTATTGAATTATAAAGTTGAAAAAACTGCAGATAACACTCTTTGGGAGAATAAAATTATTTTTTTCTTTATAGTCAACGTTTAACATTATTGAATGCAGGTAAACCTTAAAAAGTATAGCATCCACTTACAAAGAATCTTATCATTCAAATTTATAGCAGCCAGTCCTGTTTGCATCTTGGGCTAAAGATCTTCTTGCTCAAATAGGACTTTCCACCTGGAGCTGTATACCTATACCTGTTCCCACCACCGTGTTACTAAAAATTATCTGGTGAAAGCACCAGTGGCTACTCTACATCAGCATATCCTAAAATGTTTCTGATGTTTAATAATCAATATTTTTAATGAGTGAATCAATAACAAGTCAGAATTGACATGTGACCTTAGTTGTTCCAATGCACTGTTTGTGCATTGTGGTGTCTAGAAGATTCTCTATGCAACAACATAGACCTCTTTCCTATCTGCTGCACAGCTGTTATGAGATTAGGGCTTGATTTTAGTGTAGTTCCTATTTTCTTCTCCCCATTCATTGAAAATAGCTTTTCCTTTTTATGATTTTTCTCTAAAGCAATGATAACTATTCCACTTACCTGTCACTTAAAAAGGAGATTTCTTACTTTTAACTAAAAAGATCATTGTCACCATGGTGATGCTATTTATATCAGGTAAAATAGAGTTCCAGCTGGGATGGACTTCACAACCAGTCTCTCCAACCACCTTCCAATTCCTGCCATTGTTGTTGTAGGAATCCACTGTCCAGTTTCCCTGGTGCAGCATACACAGAGCACACCAAGTCTAATGCTCCCAAGGTACACTCAAGATCTTTTCTGTCTCTGACCCCAGTGTCTTCCACAGTGCTTTGCATTGGGTAAGTTTCATAGTTCCTGTAAAACTGGAAAGCTGTCACTCAGAATGGCCTCTTGCCTTGGTCAGTCCATGCACATGATACAATTGCTTCTGAAACTGCATCCAATTGGTTAGACTTCAGGAGCAACAGGGAAAGTGTAGCATTAGTTGCTGTTATTGCACAGCCAACTGGCCACACAATGTAGCATATGAGGTAGGGAAGAGAGGATGATTTCTTCCTTCCTATTCTTGATTCTTTGCTGAAAGGCCCACCTCAGATCTCTTTAGTCTGAGAATCAGGGTCATTCCTATGGTTTAAAAGGCCAAGAAGTACCAGAACAAGGAGCAAGGTAGTTGTATCAGCTTTTTTCTTGTATTAATTATTTTTTGAAATGGGCATTGTAGAGTAATAGTGATAGTAGTAGTTCTTTGTAACATAAATTTGTCTGTTGCTTTTCTTATCCAATGAGATATGAAGAAGTCTAGTCATCAGCTTAAATGCTTCTGGGTTTACACACTCTATGGCCTGGCCTAAGTGGAAACTTACCATACACACTGGATCCAGGTTTTGATAAGACAAATTTTATGTTAGTGTTCTCTGGTTTTATTCCTATTTCTAACAACAAAAGTTATGTTTTTATAAAACAGTTTAATAAACATATGAATATAAAAATGAGACAATGGCTAACAAAAAAGTGAGAAGATTTAGTTCTGCTAGCAAACAAATAAAACCAAATGTACCTAGAGTCAATAAAACGATGAAGAGAAAAAAAATGGATTTTATTCAGATTTAAACCCTATTCATGAAGTCAGCACACCTGAATATGTCAAATATGTGAAATACTTGATGAGTCATGGGTTTATTAACTTACTTTGTCCCAAAAAATATCTAAGGCAGATGTTCTTATCAAAAAAGCTCAGACCCTTATAAGACAGATTTCAATTTAATACAATTTTTAAAAATATTTATTAAACATCTGCTATATACGTCTCGGAAAGGATAAGAAAGATGACTCTAAGATCCATAAGACTAAGGAGTATATTATCAATCATATATATAACAGCCACAAGAAGATTAAACACCTAGGAATATATTTAACCAAGGAGGTGAAAGATCTCTGCAAGGAGAGCTACAAAACACTCATAAAAGAAATTACAGAGGACACAAACAAATGGAAAAAACATCCCATGCTCATGGATTGAAAAAGTTGATAGTGTTAAAATGTCCACACCGCCCAAAGCAATCTACAGAGGCAATGCAATTTCTGTCAAATTATCAGCATCATTTTTCACAGAATTAGGAAAAGCAATCCTAAATTTCATACGGAACAAAACTATAGCCCAAATATCCAAAGCAATCCTAAGCAAACGAAACAAACTTGAAAAATCACATTACCTGACTTAAAATTATTTAAGATTACAGTAACTAAAACAGCATGGTACTGGTACAAAAATAGACACATAGATCAATGGAACTGATTAGAGAACCCAGAAATCAAGCCACATACCTACAATGAACTGATCTTTGAGAAAGTCAACAAAAATAAACAATAGAGAAAGGAAGCAATATTCAATAAATGGTACTGGAAAAATTCGCTGCCCATATTCATAAAAAAACTGGACCCCATCTCTCACCATGTACAAAAATTAACTCAAGATGTGTCAAATACTTAAATATATTTAAGACCTGAAACTGTGAAAATCTTAGAAGAAAACCTAGGATAATCTATTCTGGACACTGGCATAGGCAAAGAATTTATTATAAAGACCTCAAAAGCAAATGCAACAAAAACAGAAATAGACAAATGGGACTTAATTAAACTAAAAAGCCTCTACACTGCAAAAGAAATAGTCAACAGAGTAAAGAGACAGCCTATAGAATGGGAGAAAATATTTGCAAATTATGCACCAAACAAAGTATTATTAATTCCAGACTCTATGGGAACTCAAACAACTCAACAAGCAAAACAACAAACAACCCCATTAAAAAGTGGGGAAAGGACATGAACAGACATTTTCCAAAAGCAGATATACAAGTGGCCAACTAACAGAAAAACATGCTCAACATCACTAGTTATCAGAGAAATGAAAATTAAAAACACGAGATATCATCTTACATCAGTCAGAATGGCTTTTTGTTTTTGTTTTTGTTTTGAGAAGAAGTCTCACTCTGTCACCTAAGCTGGAGTGCAGTGGCACAATCTCCACTCACTCCAACCTCTGCTTCCTGGGTTCAAGCAATTCTTCTGCCCCAGCCTCCCAAGTAGCAGGGACTTACAGGTGAGCGCCACCACACCTGACTAATTTTTGTATTTTTAGTAGAGATGGGGTTTTACCATATTGGCCAGGCTGGTCTCGAACTCCTGACTTCATGATCTGCCCGCCTCGGCCTCCCAAAGTGTCGGGATTACAGCCATGAGCCACCACACCTGGCCAGAATGGCTATTATTAGAAAGTCAAAAAACAACTGATGTTGGTTTGAAGGCAGAGAAAAGGGAACATTTATACACTATCGCTGGGAATGTAAATTAGTACAACTTCTATAAAAACAGTATGGGAATTTCTCAAAGAACTAAAAATAGTACTAACATTTGACCCAGTAATTCCACGACTGGATATCTACTCAAAGAAAAATAAATTGTTATATTAAAAGAACACCTGCACTTATATGTTTATCACAGCAGTACTATTCACAGTAGCAAAGTCAAGGAATCAACCTAAGCATCCATCAATGTTTGATTGGATTTAAAAAATGTGGTATGTATACATCATGGAATAATACGCAGCCACAAAATAAGAACAAAATCATGTCCCTTGCAAATGATTTTGGATGAAGCTGGAGGTCATTATCCTAAGTAAAATAATTCAGACAGAAAACCAAATACTGAATATTCTTACTTATAGGTGGAAGCTAAACAATGGGTAAACATGGATATAAAGATGGAAATAATAGACACTGCGGACTCCAAATGTAAAAAACCTGCATATGTACTCTCTGAATCTAAAACTTAAAATATATATTATTAAATGTTTACGTAATGGATATTGTAATTAACCTGATATGATCATCATACAATATATACAGGCACTACAATATCACACTGTACCCCATAAATATGTAAACTTACTGTGTATCAATTATAAATAAAAACTAATCACAAAATCTTTTAAAGGCTAAGAAGTGTATCATATCTGTTTTTCACTAGTTCCTAGCACAGTAACTGGCCTATAGTAAGCAATCAGTAAGTGCATATTTATATAAGGAATAAATTCATTCCCTTTCTTCCAGGGACAAAACCATAGCTTTCGTGATTGGATTGCTTTCCTAGTCCAGGAAATATTTTCACACACCTGTTTGTTCCACACACCCCTGGGAGATAGGCAGGAAAAAATATCATTTGTTTTGCCTGTCTGATGAAGCAACTAATTATTGGAGAGTTAAAGCAATTTACCCAAAGCCAGGAAGTTAAGAAGGAACAAAATTGGGAATACTCTTTCCCCTATACCAGGACACCTGGGTGTATTAGTCCATTTTCACACTGCTATGAAGACATGCCTGAGACTGGGTAATTTGTAAAGGAAAGAGGTTTAATAGATTCACAGTTCCACATGGCTGAGGAGGCCTCAAGAAACTTACACTCATGGTGGAAGGGGAAGCGTGCACATCTTACATAGTGGCAGGTGAGAGGAGTGAAGTGTGAGCACAGGAAAAACTGCCACTTTTAAAACCATCAGATCTCATGAGAACTCACTCACTATCACGAGAACAGCATAAGGGAAACTGCACCCATAATCCAATCACCTTCCATCAGGTTCCTCCCTTGACATATGGGGATTACAATTCAAAACGAGATTTGGATGGGGACACAGAGCCAAACCATATCACTGGAGCAACATAGTTAGGTCCTAAGCCATCTCCGTGGTTTACTTTTAAACTCACCTCATAGGGAGCATAATCATCAGAATGCTCCTCCCTTGGTCCATGTAAAGATATTTCATTCAGAAGGTAACCTTCAAACACCACCATGCTTTGCAGACAAGAACTGACATTTCTTGAGTTCTGATTATGTGACGGGCACAGTGCTACATTTTACACGTGTTAGCTTATTTAAACTCCCTAATTAGTGTCTAATATAGGTATCATTTCCCATTTGAGGCATCAGATATGGGAAAATTAAATAACTTGCCCAAGGTCAAAGTTGGTAAGTGAGAGAGCTAGGATTTCAACAATATTAGTCTTGTTTCAAAGCTCATTGTCTTTACTTTATTACACACTGATTCCAAGAAATGAAAATTAGCTACTCTTCACAAAATATCTGGGGACTCCTGCCCTAAGAAATAACTGAGCATGATTGCAGTGAACCTCTCTAATAAGAAGTAACCCTGGTTTCCTTTGATCGGAAAGAATGCTTCAGAACTGTGTGGTGTTTACAAAGCCTTTCTCCAGGAATTGCTTTCTTTCTCTGAGATGTGAAACCACAAACTAGTTGCTTTGGGTAATTAAAGGTTCTTTGCACCATCTGAATGTGTCAACAGCAAATATCCTGGGTAAATTTCAAGTAAGTAATTGCATTCTGCCAATCTGAAATGCCTTTCTAATTTCTTTCCTTAAAATATCCGCTTACTGTACCTTTTACTGTGGCTGTATATAATTTTAAAATAACCAAGACTATGCAATCAGTTGTGCCAAATAAGAGTAAGAATATAAACATTCATTTGGTGAATATGTCAAAGTCTTCTATGTCATTGGATAGGAGACAACCGTTAAGTTTTGGGAACCCACTTTTCTCCTTACATATCAGATTTCCAAGGATAATTAAAGCAACCAGAAATGAAAGTTGATTATTTCTTCTTTTTCGATTTCACCTTTACCTGTAGTAATGTGGGTAAATCAATTTATTCATATTATAAGAACTTTCTCTTTCAAGAAAAAATGTCTATTGAAATATTACATTTATAACTACAGACAACCTAATACACAGGATATTTTTAAAAGAGCTCCACTCTAGAAGATAAGGTGTCACCCTAAAATCCATCACACATGCTTTATTATAACAAGTCATATTATGCCCTAAAGGGGAAAAAAATCTCAACAGCAAGCCATAATTTGAAGGAGGCTTTACTCATAGGAGTTAGGAGGAAGGATTTCCCTACAGTAGATCACTTTAAAATGTTTTGGCAAATCAACTGGATAAGTAAATAGTACAAGTAGAAAATATACATATTTTATAAATTAATTTCCAGAGCAAAAGCCCTCACATAATTTGCTTTTAAAACTAATCCTTCCCACTCAAGGATTTGGTATATAATCAAGCAATTTACAAACTAATGGTCTAGCTAATAATTCTGTAATTGCTATGAAAGCAAATGAACCAATTGTTAATCCTACTAAAAGCATTTGAAGTGGTTTTATAAGAGATCTCCCATGCCCATGTAATACAACCACACTAAACACACACACACACACACACACACACACACACACATACAAACCCACACTCACACAGAGAGTTCATCTTACTTCCAAAAGTAGTTTTGTATTTATGCCTCAGCGTTTTGAGTCATATAAAGGCAGAAAAATTGGCATAGGAATATGTATCTATTCCATTTCCATAAAGACTGAATGTTTCTTATTTCTGTATTGCATGAAAATTATCCATTTTTCAAATTGTCAAAAAAGTCATTATGCAGGGTCACTAACTACAAAAAAATGGCTGTTTGCTTCAGGTCAACTTTACCAATGCCTCATGTTGGTCACCTAGAGCCCATAATTTTTATACATAGTAAAAGGTCCAGAGGCCACAGTTATATTCCAATGGAAAGAAAAGGGAAACTATTGGATTATGAGTTTGAAGCCATTCTTCGGGAATGGAAGGTGTCAAGTGACTGAAGAGCATCCTTAGCGTCAATCATGGAACCATTTTCAATCAAACTTAACTTTAATTCTCTGTCCCTTTCTAGAGGTTTCTAGTCCTGGAACTTGAAAACCATTATATCCAACTTCTAAAACTAAAATATCAGATGAATAGTTTAAGTTAGTGAAAAAGTTTAAGTGTGTGTGTATGTTAATTGGCTGGAAAGATACCAGGATTCTCAGCAGTCCTCAGACAACAGAAAAGATTAAATGCAAGTAAAAGATAATTAAGGCAGGGTTGATTCTAGAATGAAAGGCTATACACTCCCATGTTGGCTCTTTGTTCTACCCATGGTGCTATATAATGAATGATTTTCTTCTCCCAATTGTCTACAAAATATAAACTCTTGGGGTACAGACCTTATCTTCTAATATTAACTCTCTCAACAATATTTGTTTTGACCATAACCTGGCTTGAAAAAGATCCTCAATGAATGGTAATTGAATTGCTCTTGGTGCTTTGCGTAGTAAAGGAAACCATTTCTAACCTAACTTTCTCACATTACCTTTCATTGTTTCCCAACATTAACTCCACATATCTGTCCATGATGACATATTACAAAAAGAAATATGAAGCTCCCTCATCCTTTAGGAAATTAATTTTGTATTTTTGTATCCCTACAAATGAGGTAATGATGAATTTAAGAGGACTTATAAGAAACACTTGCTATGGGCTGAACCATCCTTTTGTTCCCTGGTCATTCTTTAGCTAAGCCGAGTTCATAATTTCTTGTTACTGTAAAGGTTTTGACAGCTACATAGTCACTGCAAAAATATGCTTCAGGCCCTGAAGTAATCCATCTCATTAGTGCCTGACCTTTGATCCACAAAAAAAGAGTAAGGAGTTAAATATTTTACATGCTTCTCATGGCAAAATGTTACTTCTCTGTAAAACAGCAATTCAGAAAAGAGACTGGAAGATATACAAAGTTTCATAGAGAGAAAAGAAAATCAGTCAATGTATGATAATCATGATGACTAAAGGTTACTAAAATATCTAATACATTTTCTCCACATGCTTTTAGATGGCCACACAATAGGAAGGAGAATTGAACTCACATGATATCTTGACGTTTTTTAATCAATGGAGCAGAAGCAATGATAAAGATAGATTAAAATTTGTTCCTAGCAGATACATCACTTTATTACAATTGGCTACCATCTTAGAAGTAATGGGGCAGCAGTAATCTTGGGTTACTCCTTATTGTAATAGAAAGCAAAGAGGAGGCACTAGCATGTAATAAATGCCTACTTAGTCCCACACATTCTTCATGTATTATTTCATGTAATCCTCACAAAAACTCTATTTGGTAAATATTGTTATTCTTATTTTACAAGGGATAATAGTGAGTGAAATTAAACATCTTGCTCAATGTCACACAAATAATAAATAAACAAATTAGAATATATGTCCGGTTCTACACACACCAACCTCTATGTAGAACTGTTTAAACACCTCAGAAATAACTAGAAAGAGAAGAATAAAAATGTTCTAGGATTTGCAGTGGAATATTTATTACATTAAATTCAAACACCTTTAGGAGGCTGAGGCAGGTGGATCACGAGGTCAGGAGATCGAGACCATCCTGGCTAACACGGTGAAACCGCGTCTCTACTAAAAATACAAAAAATTAGCTGGGCGCGGTGGCGGGCACCTGTAGTCCTAGCTACTCGGGCGGCTGAGGCAGGAGAATGGCATGAACCCGGGAAGCAGAGCTTGCAGTGATACAAGATCGCACCACTGCACTCCGGCCTGGGTGAAACATTGAGACTCCGTCTCAAAAAAAAAAAAAAAAAAAAAAAAAAAAAATTCAAACACCTTTATTGTATATTGTATTTCGATATTAGCACACTGTTGAAAAGTAGTACATACTACATACTTCTGGAAAAGTATTAGAGCATTTTCAAATTCAAGATTTCTAACTAATAATTGTATTTTAAGCTTTTATGCCAAAAATGATATTATTCTTTCTATTCTTTAGATCTTATACAGATGATCCTAGAATATTTTATTCTATAATTTAGAGACTTTATAATATAAACATATACAGAATTTAAGGTTCAGATATCTTCAAGTTACTTCATATCCAGTGACTTTGGAACCAAGAAAGATTATTCAAGTATAGTTTCATTAGATTTGGGGATGAAGAAGGCATATAGTAAATTTATTCCCGTGAAATCCCATTGCCAAAGAAGAGAAAATATTACTCAATTAAGAGAATAGGGAGGGTGGAGAATTTACACTGACACTTTGTAGTGTAATTGGTGTCAACATTTTTCTCAAAAAGAAGGATGGCATAGACTAGGTAAGTTTCCATTACTCGCTCACCCAGTGAATCTGGCTGATGAGTTTAATCAACAGATTGCAACATCTTTTTGCCTTAGTCCATTCAGGCTACTATAATAAAATATCATAAGCTAACTAACTTATAAATAATAGTGACATTTCTCACAATTCTGGTGGTTGGGAAGTCCAAGATTAAGGCATCAGCAGAAACAATGGCTGGTGAGAGCATGTTTCCTGGCTCAAAGATGATACCTTCTCACTGCATCCTCACATGGTGGAGGGTGAAATGCAGCTCTCTGGGGCTTCTTTTTTATGGGTATCAATCCCTTTCAAGAGACTCTGCCCTTGTGAACTTATTACTTCCCAAATGCTCCATTTCCTAATGCTGTGGGGTGAGAATTTCAACATATGAATTTTGAGGAAATATAAAACATTTAGTCCATTGCACTTTCCCAGTGAAAAACTACATGGCCTTTGAAATCTTATTAAATATTTTTACTCCTCTTAGCATTTCAAGCAAATACAACCAATCAATAATTTAAATTGGTTTCTATACCAGTTAGACCTTATGTTAACTGAATGTAGCAGAATCCTCAAATAACATTGGTTTATTATATCATATAAATGAAATCCAGGTGTAGACAGGCTAGGGATGTTATGTTGTGTCTACAAAGTACTTAGGACTTAGGATTTATTTAGCTTTCTATTCTGTGAACCTGAGCACTAAATTCTATATTTAATTTCACTTTATGGTTCATGTTTGATTCATCTTGTCAGCATGTAAAAGTTAGGGTTTTATTAGCAGTGCAAAACAACCATAAGGACATAAAGATATTTATTATAGGGATTAGACCTTGTACAATTGTGGGAACTTGTTGAGTTGCCCATGTTGCTGCTATGTCTGATCAGTCAGCAGGGATCACAGTCAAGGATATGGGAAAGCAAAGAAACATTTGAATGCATAAGGATAAGATTGAACCCATGAGGATGCACTGGACACTACATCAGTCTCTCAAACCCACAAGCATACAACTTTATTATGCAGGCCATCTGAGAAGACCTAGAAGACTCTGATACAGATCTGCACAAGGGCCTGAATATGTACACCAGGATTCAAAGACAATAAAGAAGATTCAGCTACTGTCCCACCAGGCACCTCATGGTGGCTGAAGTTTAAACCATCATATCAACATTCTAGCCAGTAATATGGAGAGTGTACTTTTCATCTGAATCAGTTCTTCTTTCTCTCTCTCTTACAAAATTTTCAGCATATGATACCCTATTGTTAACTATAAGCAAACTGGTACAGTATTTTTATAGAAATTTTACACCTTGCATGAAAAGTTCAATACCCAAGAAAAATAAAATCCTCATTTCTCCCTACACTCAGCCTCTGGCAACCACCAATCTATTTTCTTTCTATGATTATGCCTATTTTTGATACTTCATATAGGTGGAATCATGTAGTATTTGTTCTATAGTGGCTGGTTTAATGGAAGTAGCATAATGTCTTCAAGGTTCTTCTGTGTTGTATCATATGACAGAATTTTCTTCTTTTATTGTTGATTAATATTCCATTGTGTGATATGTGTGTGTATATATATATATGTGTGTGTGTGTATGCATATAGCACATTTTTAAATGTGCTATAAAAATGGGCAAAATCCATTTGCCCATTTGCCTTAATCTATTTTCTGTTGTTTATAACAGAATATTGAGACTGGGTAATTTATGAAGAAAAATAATTTATTTGTTATAGTTGCAGAAGCTGAGAATTCCTGGGTTTTGGTGCTGTACCTGGTGAGAGCTTTCTTGCTGGTGGGGAGTCTGAAAAGTCTTGAGGTGGCGCAGGGCAACACTTGGTGTGAAGGCTGAGCATGCTAGCTCAGGTCTCTCTTCCCCTTTGTTTAAAGTCACCAGTTCCACTCCCATGATAACCCATATATTCATTAACCCATTGGGCCTTCATGGTCCAATCACCTCTTAAAGGGCCTATCTCTCAATGCTGCCACTCTCCAAAGTTGGAGAGTGCAAATAGTCAAACCACAGCACCATTCATCCATCAAAGGACATTTCGATTGTTTTTATCCTCTTGGTTGCTGTGAATAAAGCTGCAGTGGAAATGGAAGTGCAACTATCTCTTTAAAATATGATTTTAATTCTTTTGGATGAATACCCAGAAGTGAAATTGCTATATCATATTATCATATGGCAGTAGCAGTTTTAAGTTTTTGAGTAAATTCTATGTTGTTTTCTACAGCAGCTGCACCATTTTATATTCCCATTAACAGTACAAAATGGATCAAATTTCTCCACAGCCTTGCCTTGCCAACATTTGCTATTTTATGTGTGTGTGTGTGTGTGTGTATGTGTGTGTGTATATGTATGTATGTATATATATAGTCATTCTAACAGACATGAGGTGATACCTTATTATGACTTTGATTTGCATTTTCCTAATGATTAGTGATATTAAGCATCTCTTCTTATACTTGGGCTTTTGTATGCCTTCTTTAGAGAAATGTCTAGTCAAGTCCTTTGCCTATTTTTGATCAAGTTATTTGTTTTTGTGCTATTGAATTATAGGAGTTCCTTATACATTTTGGAAATTAACTCCTTATCAGATGCATGCTGTATTAGCCTATTTTCATGCTTCTAATAAAGGCATCCCCAAGACTGGATAATTTATAAAGGAAAGATGTATAATTGACTCACAGTTCCACATGGCTGGGGAGGCCTCACAATTATGGCTGAAGGCAAATGAGGAGCAAAGTCACATCTTACATGGTGGCAAGCAAGAGAACTTGTGTAGGGGAACTCCCCTTTATAAAACCATCAGATCTCATGAGACTTATTCAGTATCATGAGAATGGCATGGGGAAGACATAACCCCATGATTCAATTACCTCCCAATGGATCCCCCCCATGACATGTGGGAATTATGGGAATGATGGTAGCTATAATTCAAGGCAAGATTTGGTTGGGGACACTGCCAAACCATATCATTACTCCCTGGCCCCTCCCAAATCCCATGTCCTAACATTTCAAAACCAATCATGCCTTCCCAACAGTCTCCCAAAGTATTAAATCATTTTAGCATTAACTCAAAAGTCCACAGTCCAAAGTCTCATCTGAGATAAAGCAAGTCCCTTCCACCTATGAGCCTGTAAAATCAAAAGCAAGTTAGTTACTTTCCATGTACAGGTATTGGGTAAACACAGCCATTCCAAATGGGAGAAGTTGGCCAAAATAAAGGGGCTACAGGATCCAGGAAGTCTGAAATCCAGAAGGGCAGTCAAATCTTCAAGCTCCAAAATTATCTCCTTTGCCTCCACGTCTCACATTCAGGTGATGCTGATGCAAAAGGTGGGTTCCCACAGTCTTGGGCAGCTCTGCCCCTGTGGCTGTGCAGGGTACAACCCCCCTCCCAGCTGCTTTCATGGGCTGGTGTTGAGTGTCTGCAGCTATTCCCAGCACATGTTGCAAGCTGTCGATGGATCTACCATTCTGGGGTTTGGAGGACTGGGGCTCTCTTCTCACAGCTCTACTATGCAGTGCCCCAGTGGGGACTCTGTGTGGGGGCTCTGACCTCACGTTTCCCTTTTGCACTGTCCTAACAGAGGGTCTCCATGAGGGCCCTACCCCTGTAGCAAACTTCTGCCTGGACATCTAGGCATTTCCATAATCAACTCTTGGTAACAATTTAGTGTATTGGTTCATTCTCACATTGCTATAAGGACATGCCTGAGACTGGGTAGTTCATAAAGAAAAGAGGCTTAATTGACTCACAGTCTTGCAGAGCTGGGGAGGCCTCAGGAAACTTACAATCATGGAAGAAGAGGAAACAAATAGTTCCTTCTTCTCATGGAGGTAGAAAAGGGAAGAGTGAGAGCCGAGCAAAGGGGGAAGCCCTTTATAAAACCATCAGATCTTGTGAGAACTTACTATCATGAGAATAGCATAGGGGAAACCACCCCTGTGATTCAATTACCTCCCACAGGGTCCCTCTCACAACACATGGGGATTACGGGAACTACAATTCAAGATGAGATTTCGGTGGGAACACATCCAAACCATATCACATGCTTTGCAAATATTTTCATCCATTCAATAGGTTTCCTTTTCACTCTGATTCTGTTTTATGTTTGTTTGTTTTGTTTTCCTTTTGCTTTGTAGAGGATTTATGGATTGATGTAGTCTTGAGTATGTTTGTTTTCTAGTCGTTGATATATTTAAGAAACTATTGCCAAGACCAGTTTATTGAAGGTTTTCTTCTCTATTTTATTTTAGCAGCTTTTAACTTTTGGGTCTTAAGTCTTTAATGCGTTTTGAGTTGGTTTTTGTGTGTGGTGTAAGATAAAGGTCAAATTTTATTATTTTGCATATGGCTGTCCAATTTTCCTAGCACCATTATTTCTTTCTTTCCAACTTGGATTCCTTTTATATCTTTTCTTGCCTAATTTATTTGACTAGTATTTTCAATACTATGTTGAATAAAAATAGTTAGAGTGGAGGCCGGGTGCAGTAGCTCATGCATGTAATCCCAGTACTCTGGGAGGCCAACGTGGGTGGATTATCTGAAGTCAGGAGTTTCAGGCCAGCCTGGCCAATATGGTGAAACCCTGTCTCCACTATAAATACAAAAATAGCCAGGCATGGTGGTGCATCCCTGTAATCTCAGCTACTCAGGAGACTGAGACATGAGAATTGCTTTAACCTGGGAAGTGGAGATTGCAGTGAGCTGAGATTGTGCCATAGCACTCCAGCCTGGGTGACAAAGTCAGACTGTCTCCAAAAAAAAAAAAAAAAAAAAATAGTGAGAGTGGGCATCCTTTAGTCTTCCCCGATCTTGGATAAAATGTTTTCAGTTTTTCAGTGTTCAGTAGGATGTTAGCTGTGAGCTTTTATATATGGGTTGTATTATGTTGAGATAATTTTCTTCTATTTCCAGTTCTTGACAGTTTTTTATCATGAAGGAGTGCTTAGTTTTGTCAAATGCTTTTTCTTCATCTATTGAGATGATCATGTGATTTTCATATTTCATTGTATTAATCTAGTGTATCACAATGATTGATTTTGGTACATTAAGTCATTTTTGCATTCAAGAAATGTAAATCACATTTTGTCATGGTATACAATCCTTTCAGATGCTGTTGGATTCTTTTTGGTAGTATTTTGTTAAATATTTTTGCATTTATATTTATCAGGGATATTTGGCTATATATATTTTTTTCTTCTAGCATCTTTGTCTGGCTTTCATATCAGGGTAATACTAGCATCATAAAATACATTTAAAATTGTTCCCCCACCTCTTTGATTTTTTTTTGGAGAAACTTAGAAGGATTGGCATTAATTCTTCTTTAACTGCTTCATAGAATTCTGCACTGAAGCCATCTGGTCCTAGGCTTTTCTTTTCTGAGAGTTTTTTGATTACTGATTCAATTTCTTTACTAGAAATAGATCTGTTTAGATTTTCTATTTCCTTGTGTTAGTCTTGGTAAGGTGTATGTTTCTAGAAAATTATCCATTTCTTCTTGGTTATTCAAGTTGCTGGCAAATAATTGTTCATAGTAATCTCTTACAAACCTTTTAATTTCTGTGGCATCAGTTATAATGTCTCTTCTTTCATTTCTGATTTCATTAATTTGAGTCTTGTCTTTACTCTTAATCTAGCTAAAGTTTTGTCAATTTTTTGATCTTTTCAAAACACCAAATTTTAGCTTTATTATTTTTTCTATTATTTTTCTATTCTGTATTTTTTAAATTACTTCCTAATCTTTACTGTTTTTTTTCTTCTGCAAATTTTAGGCTTATTGTGTCCTCTTTTTTTCTATTTTTTGCAAATGTAAAGTTTGGTTTTTATTTAAAGTCTTTCCTCCTTTTAATATAGATATTATTGTTATAAATTTTTGTCTATCTGTATGTCTTTCTTTTTCATTTTTAAGTATGATTTTGTCAGATGCAGTATTCTTGCTTGGCAATATCTTTTCTTTCAGCACTTTGAATATCACTCCATTCTCATCTGCAAGATATCTCCTGAGAAATTCGCTGTCAGTCTGATGGAAGATCCTTTGTATGTGATGAGTAACTTTTGATGCTTTCAAAATTCTCTTTATCTTTAGCTTTTGACAATTTGATTGTAATGTATCTTGTTGTGGATTTCCTGAAGTTCATTTTACCTGGAGTCCATCAGGCTTCTGAGTCTCTGTCTCTTCCACTTCTTGGATTGATAATGCATATTCTTATTGGCTTGATAACATTCCATAAGTCTTGCAGGCTTTCCTTATTCTTTTTTATTTTTATTTTTTTGTTATTGATGTGGTAACTCTGACAGAATAATTTCAAACGACTTGCTTTAGAGTTCATTGATTCGTTTTTTGTCCTTGATTAGGTCTGCTGCTGGTCTCCTCTAGTGAAACTTTCAGTTCAGTTACTGTATTCTTCAGCTACAAAATTTCTGTTTGGATTTTTTCTCTCTCTTTCTAACTCTGTCTTTGATAGAGATTTCCTATCTCTTAGTTGGCATTCTCATTTACCCTGAAAAGCATCCTTATGGAGATTAATTGCAATTATTTGTCAGATAATTCATATATAATTATGACTTCAGACTAGTTTCTGAAGATTTATTTTGTTCCTTTATTTGGGCCATGTTTCCCTGTTTCCCCATGTCTTATAACTTTGTACTATGATCAGCACATTTGAAAAAACAGCCATTCCCAGTCTTACATGCTGGCTTCATACAGGAGAATGCCCTCACAAATCAGGCCAGCTGGAGATTCTGGGGGCCTCTGAATCCTTTCATGGAAAGTATGCATCTTCTTTGGATGTGTGTGTGTGCAATTTCTCAATTAGAGGGGCATGTTTTTATCGGGAGCTTGTAATCTCCCACCCCCTCTGGTGTCTTTCTGCATCACTGCATGTTCTCTGGTTGTATAGCAGCATGCCACTCCACTCACCCTTCTTTTTAGTAGCCATAGTCATCCAAATTATGGAGACTCCTTATCAGCCCACCGAGTCAGGCAAAACAGATACCAGTCCCTTCATTATCCCTCTGAATACCCAGAATACCAGATGCACAATCCACTTCTCACTTTCTCCCAAGGAGAAATCTCAAGTTGTGTCTTCTCCTGATTTCATTGAGCCATGCTGGCCACATTAAGCCACTCTTTACTCTTCTTTGCTCTCAGCAGCCTGCAGGCATCCAAACTATGCCAGTTAAGACAACATTACAATTGAGGTGAGACAGAAACCAGTCCCTTTGAAAGACCTTCTAAAAGCCCGAAGAATTGGACATATACTACCCTTCTCTTTTTTCCCCAGAGGGAGAAATCAGAAACCAGGTCATTCTCTCTTATCACTATGCTCTGCTGTCTTGAAGGAAGAGCTGATGTGGGTAGAGTGAAATTACTCTTCTCACCTATTTAAATGAAGATGTCTTCAGCTTTGTTTTCACCTGGGGTACTATAACTTCCTAACTGGATCCAGAAATTCTTACAAAAAGTATTTGGGTCTATATATCATTATTAAATTGGTGTTTCTGTGAGGGAACAAGGGTTGAGGCTTTCTATTCCAACGTCTTGCTAACATCGTCTCTGAGCCAACACTTTTAAAGCAACCTCTCCAGAAGTTCTACCTAACACTTATTGAAAATTAAATATTTAATGACTTCATCACATGACAAGACTGCCACAAAAGCTGAGAAGTAGTCTTTATGTTTAGCAGCTATTTGCTCAACTAAAAATGTAGTTTCTGGTTTCAAGGAAGAAAGAAATAATAGATACATTTAATAACAACTGGCCCACGACATAGCACTTCCAAATGAAAAGGGTAGCCTGCTTCCTCAGCAGAATATATAGAAAACATTTACATATGTTACTATCATAGCACCTACACCTACCTGATGTATCTTGTTTATTGTCAGCCTCTCCTTGTAGGATGTGTTATTTACTGCTATAAACTCCAAAACCAACAATGGTACATGAAAAGTATGAATTCCCAATAAAAAAATTATAGGATTATATTTATTAAATACACGAATAGCTTTTGCCATCCCATTGAGCATGCCCATGTTTAATTATACCCAAGATGCAGGTCTTTGATACTTCCCAAGATATGACCACAAATCCCAACTATGTATCAAATTGCACCGTTGAAGAGCTTCTAGGAAAAGTTAATTTTAACCAAATTTAGAATGTCCTTCATAGGCCTGAAAACTATTCAATCCAGCTCCCATGCCTGAACTGACCATATCAGTTTAGGTTCCTCTATTATATAATCTTCTATTACCTTGTCCTCCTTTATAACATTTATTGCAACTGGAATCCATTAATTACCTTTATAACTCGACAGTTTTCTGCTAGATGTGAGGACAAAGAACTTGTCAGTTGTATTTATTGTCATGCCTCCATGTTCTATCAGAGCAGGTGCTGAATAAATATTAATTGAATTACTGAATTTACTCATTAATTAAATCTACAGCACCTGCTCTTTTTTTTAATCTTTACCTGTAACGTATCTAGCCAGGCTTAGAGTTTCACAATAAAGAATTTTAGAGTCATGACAAACCAAGTCATTTTATTATTGAAGAAAGAATTCTGGAGATTACTGGCAAACTGTCTAAAATTAAAATCAATGTGATAATGGCACTAGAACTGGGACCCATGCCTCCATTGTCTCAGTTCAACATTACTCATTGCACTCTACTGACCTTTATGCTGAGAGTCCTTCAGCAACCCCATCTTCAAAATCATTTTAGGAATCTTGAGCTATCAGAACCATATAATTTGTTTTTATGTAGGACTCCTAATTATGTAGAGCTTTGGAAAAAGATAAGAGAGAACTCTTACTACTGAAAGTCAGGCATCTAAGGTCACAAGAATGACACTTCCTTCTTTCAGCTGCCTTGAACTGCAATCCTGTCTTTCCTCCTTTCTTACTGGCAAGACTTCTCAATTTTTATTAACTTCACTTCATCTCTCTTTTTAAGCTCTGTTCTCCTCTCATTCTAGATACTTACAGGAGATCTTGTCCTTTCCCATGGTTTCAGTTATGTTGTGTAAGCTGCTGGTCCTAAAATATATGTCTATACAATAATGAATACTGCTAGTGACCTACTCAGACTGACTTGTATCCCTCTGTGTGCTTATCCTCTAGTTTCTGTGTGCTTTGCTGTCAACAGCTCCTACCTATGACTTGTAGAGGATTTCCCATGGCCACTAGAATTGACTCACTCACGTGGAATGCCAGAAGTACCTTGGAATTTTATGTATTCATTTCTCTACACTCCAGGGTATAAGACCTAGGTCCTTTGATTTCCTTGGGATGAACTCTCAGGTATGATTTATGCTGTAAAGATCTCTGCATATTGGGTAGAAGCTGCATAACAGAAATAACTCTAGTGCTTGGCTTATTTCTTTTCTCTGCCCTGCTTCATTCACTTCCTTAATAAATCATTTGCATCCAAATTTTTGGCTTACATTGTGTCCCAAAGAGAATTCCACCTATGCCACAAAGTTTATACCTACCTTCTAAACTCCAGACCTATACCTCTAATTGCCTGCTGAGCAACTTCACTTGGCTAGCTCACAGACCAACTTTACATGCCTACGACTGAACTCGTCTCCTTCCTTTCCAAACCTGCTTATACCCCTGCATTTTCTATCCTACTGATTACATTATCATCCCTATGGAGCTCAAGGTATCAACCTGGGATCGCTTTGTTGCTCTCTTTTTCTCTTTCCATCTTACCCTTGAACCCTGTTCAACCAATCACCAATTCCTGTTATGCCTCTTGCTGAAGTAACAGAGCTCTTCATAGCTGAAGCCACATGTCTTTCACTTGAATTTTTTCAACAATCACCGAATAAGGCTCCTCAGCTTGAGATACACTGCTGTCCATATATTTTCCACACTGCAACCAGAGCAATCTTTATAAAAATATAAATCTCATTATAATCCTTATCTTCTATGTAAAGAAAATGAAACAAATTCTCTCACCCTAAGTCCAGAGGAAACAGTCTGAAAAATTTACAAAATCTTCAATATCTGGGCCTTTGCTCACCTCCACAGTATCTGGGCTTCAGCTATTTGACATATCTTTAGATTGCCTGACAAATTGTGCTCTCCCACATTCAGACCCTTACCCAAAAAGCTTTCTCTTTTTGCATGTCCTATTCAACTCTAAATACTGCCTCCATCATCACTACTTTCAACACCTCCTTCTAGTATCTTTATATTTATTTACTCAGTCAACAAATGTCATTGAATCTGTATGATGTTCCACGCACTATTCCAGGTAGTGAAGTAGCTAGACCACTAAATTCATAATATTTCAATACTTGATTGGAAAGGCAGATATTAATCAATTAACTACACAAATGTGTAAAACTGCAACTGTGCTAAGAACTACTAAGGAGATATACACAGAGCTACCTATTCCTTTACTATACAGATTTTTTTCTAGACATGAAAGTCCTCTCTAAGAAACTGATAATGCTTCAGCTGAGATCTACAAAACTTACAGTAAATAAATGAAGAAGAGTAAAATAAGTATTCTCAACATAAGGAATAACCTAGAAAAGACCTTGCCACGGGAGAAAACACTGAGTGTCAGTGAGGTTAAAAATAGGCATTCAGCTTAATTATCATGGCCATAAGGAAGCTGCCTAACCACCCAAGCCCCATCTAGGAGGTTGGCTCAAGGCACCATTGTCATGCTACTCTGTATGTCTCCCTGTGCAGAGCTCTATTAGGACATTTACACCATACAGTGTAACTGTTTATTTATATACTCAACACATGCAATTCATTTAGGACCAACACTGTATCTCTAGAACACATTGCAAGGATGATATTTTAAAGAGGGAAGGAAGGAAGGAAGGAAGGAAGGAAGGAAGGAAGGAAGGAAGGAAGAAAGGAAGGAAGGAAGGAGGGAAGAGGGATGAGAGATGAAGGAAGGGAGAGAGACAATAATTAGTTTAATGGCAAATGAAGAGTAACCTAACCTCTTGGGAGGTGTGAGGCAATTCAGGATATACATAGGAAGGATTTATTTTAAAGTGTGAGAGTTGGATGCATGTGTCCATTCATGGGAACATATATATATATATTTTTTTTTTTTTTTTTTTTTTTTTTTTTTTTGAGACGGAGTCTCGCTCTGTCACCCAGGCTGGAGTGCAGTGGCATAATCTTGGCTCACTGAAACCTCTGCCTCCCAGGTTCAAGCGATTCTCCTGCCTCAGCCTCCTGAGTAGCTGGGATTACAGGCATGCACCACCATGCCTGGCTAATTTTTCTATTTTTAGTAGAGACGGGATTTCACCATGTTGGCCAGGCTGGTCTCAAACTCCTGACCTCGTGATCCACCTGCCTTGACTTCTTAAAGTACTGGGATTACAGGCATAAGCCACCACACCCAGCCCATGGGAATTAACTTAATGATGAGAGAAAATGATGCTTTTTGGTTCTCAGATATCCTGCAACACAGCCTCTAGGAATAAAGGATGAGTAATTGAGTTTGAGTTACTGTATGGGGTGGTAGTGGATAAATCCTCCAACCTAAGTCCTTCTCAAGAGATTTGAGCTCTGGGGACTAATTGTCCAAGAAAGACAAAGTTTAGCATGAGGCATTGTTTAGGGAGAGTACAAAACAGTAACCTAGGCAAGGTTGTTATGGCTGAAAATTGAACAAAACATTTTTTGTCTCAAACAATTTTTTTTCAAAATGACAGAAAACTTGAGAGAAAGAGGCTCATTTAAATAGCTGGGCAATATGAAATTGCCTTTATTCATCTTTTTTTGTATCTACAAAAATTGCGATTTCACATGGCCTAACTTAATACTAGGAAAAATTAAAAATAAATGAGTAATAACTTCCTGAATATTTTGGCTATCTCTAACTAATATACTTTTAAAGTATATTATGTTGTCTATGGTAAATAAATTTCTGTATGTTCACCAAATGATGGCATATATTGATCAGGAAAGAGAGAGTAAGTTTCAGAGAAGTATATTCATTTATTTAACAACTATTTCTTGTTCTCCTACCAGGTACTAGGCATTGTTGTAGGGCCAGGGCAATTAAAAAAAAAAAAAACAGCTACTAATGTGTAACAAAACATTTAACGAACACAAAAACACAAATATAAATTTTTATTTATATACTATAAATGGAATGAAAAGTATAGCACACTATGAGAAGGAACAATAGAGAGCATCATGAGTTGGAATGTGTTCCCTCAAATCTTATATGTTGTAGTTGTAACTCCCAGTATCTAATAGTGTAATTGCATTTGGGATTGGCACTTTAAAGAGGTAGTTAGGTTAAAATGAAATCATTATGGCGGACCCTAATCTAATATGATTGATATTCCTACCAAAGGGAAAATGAGTACATAGACATGCACAGAGGGCATGATATGGTTTGGATGTTTGATATGGTTTGGATGATTGTCCCCTCTAAATCTTAAGTTGTAATGTAATTCCAAATGTTGGAGGTGGGCCCTGGGGGGAGGGTGATTGGATCATAGGGGTGGATCCTTCATGAATGGCTTAGCACCATCCCCTTGGTGATGAATGTGTCCTCACTCTGGTAGTGCATGCAAGACTTGGTTGTTTAAAAGACTGTGTGTATTAGTCCATTTTCACATTGCTGATAAAGACATACCTGAGACTGGGCAATTTACAAAAGAAAGAGGTTTAATGGGCTTACAGTTCCACATGGCTGGGAAGGACTCACAATCATGGTGGAAAGTGAAAGGCACACCTTGCATGGCGGCAGACAAGAGAAGAGAGCTTGTGCAGGGAACCTCCCCTTTTTAAAACCATCAGCTCTCATAAGACTTATTCACTATCACAAGAACAGCATTGTGAAAGGCCCGCCACCATGTCTCAATCATGTCCCACTGGATACCTCCCACAACACGTGGGAATTATGGGAGCTACAAGATGAGATTTGGGTGGGGACACAGATCAAGCCATGTCATTCAACCCTGGCCCCTCCCAAATCTCATATCTTCACATTTCCAAACCAATCATGCATTCCTAACAGTCCCCCAAGTCTCAACTCATTTCAGCATTAACTCAAAAGTCCATGGCCTGAAGTCTTATCTGAGATGAGACAAGTCCCTTCCACCTATGAGCCAGTAAATTCAAAAGCAAGTTATTTAATTCCTAGACACAATGGGGGTACAGGCGCTGGATAAATACAGCCACTCCAAATGGGAGAAATTGGCCAAAACAAAGGGGTGACAGGCACTATGCTAGTTCAAAATCCAGCTGGGCAGCAAAATCTTAAAGCTTCAAAATGATCTTCTTTGACTCCATGCCTCACATCCAGGTCATGCTGATGCAAGAGATGGGCTCCACACCCTTGGGCAGCTCCAACTCTGTGGTTTTGCAGGATATAGCCCCATTCCTGGCTGCTTTCACAGGCTGGCATTGTGTCTGTGGCTTTTCCAGGCATATAGTGCAAGCTGTCAGTGGATCTACCATTCTGGGATCTGGAGGATGGTGGCCCTCTTCTCACAACTCCACTAGGCAGTGTCCCAGTAGGGACACTGTGTGGGGGCTCTGACCCCAGATTTCCCTTCTGCACTGCACTAGCAAAAGTACTCCATGAGGGCCCCACCCCTACAGCAAACTTCTGCTTGGGCACCCAGGCATTTCCATACATTTTCTGAAATCTAGCCAGAGGTTCCCAAACCTCAATTCTTGACTTCTGTGCACTCACAGGCTCAACACCACATGGAAGCTGCCAAGGCTTGAGGCTTTCACCCTCTGAAGCCACAGCCCTAGCTTTACATTGGCCCCTTTTGGCTACGGCTGGAGCAGTTGAGATGCAGGACACCAAGTCCCTAGGCTGCACACAGGATGAGGACCCTGGGCCTGGCCAACAAAACCACCTTTTCCTCCTAGGCCTCCAGGCCTGTGCTGCAATGTCTGTGACATGCCCTGCAGACAATTTCCCCATTGTCTTGGTGATTAACATTCGGCTCCTTGTTACTTAGGCAAATTTCTGCAACTGGTTGAATTTCACCTCAGAAAATGGGATTTTCTTTTTTATTGCATTGTCAAGCTGTGAATTTTCCTAACTTTTATGCTCTGTTTCCCTGTTGAAACTGAATGCCTTTTACAGCACTCAAGTCATTTCTTGAATACCTTGATTCTTAGAAATTTCTTCCCCCAGATAAACTGAATCATCTCTCTCAAATTCAAAGTTCCACAAATCTCTATGGCAGAGGCACAATGCCACAAGCCTCTTTGCTAAAGCATAACAAAAGTCACCTTTGCTCCAGTTCCCAACAAGTTCCTCATCTCTATCTGTGGCCATGTCAGCCTGAATTTCATTGTCTATATCATTATCAGCATTTTGGCCAAAGCCATTCAACAAGTCTCTAGGGAGTTCCAGACTTTCCCATGTTTGTCTTCTTCTGAGCCCTCCAAACTGTTCCACCTTCTGCTCCTTACCCTGTTCCAAAGTTGCTTCTGCATTTTTCATGATCTTTTCAGCAACAACCCTCTCTACTGGTACCAATTTACTCTATTAGTCCATTTTCACATTGCTGATAGAGACATACCTGAGACTAGGCAATTTACAAAAGAAAAAGGTTTCATGAACTTACAGTTCCACATGGCTAGAGAGGCTCCACAATCATGGTGGAAGGGGAAAGGCACATCTCACACAGCAGCAGAGGAGAAGAGAAGAGAAGAGAAAAGAGAACCTCCAATTTTTAAAAACCATCAGCTCTCATGAGACTTATTCACTATCACAAGAACATCATGGAAAAGACCCACTCCCATGATTCAATCATCTCCCACTGGGTCCATCCCACAACATGTGGGAATTAAGGAAGCTACAAGATGAGATTTGGGTGGGGACACAGAGCCAAACCATATCACTGTGGCACCCACCTTTCTCTCTTGTTGCCACTCTTGACATGTAACATGCCAGCTCCTCCTTTGCCTTTCACCATGCTCATAAGTTTCCTTAGGCTTTACTGGAAGCCAAGCAGTTTCTGGTGCTATGTTTTCTACACAGCTTGCAGAACTGTGAGTCAATTAAACCTATTTTCTGTATAGTTAGGCAAAAAATGGCCTAATACAGAAAACAGGTATTGAGGAGTGGCATATTGCTATAAAATTGCCCTCAGATGTGGAAGTGGCTTTGGAATTGGGTAAGAGGCAAAGGTTCTAAGAGTTTGGAGGGCTCAGAACAAGAAAAAAAAGAAAGTTTGGAACTTCTCAGAGACTTGTTAACTGGTTTTGACCAAAATACCGATAGAAATATGAGCAGTATAGGTCAGGCTGATGAGGTCTCCAATGGAAATGAGGAAGCTGTTGGGAACTGGAGTAAAGATTATTTGTAATATACCCTTCCAAAGAACTTGGCCACATTGTGTTTATGTCTTAGAGATCTGTGGAAGGTTAAACTAAAGAGTGATGACTTAGGGTATCTGGTGGAAGAAATTTCTAAGCAGCAGAATGTTCAAGATGTGGCCTAGCTGCTTCTAACAGCTTACAGTCAGATACAGGAACAAATAAATGACTTAAATTTGGAACTTATATTTAAAAGGGAAATAGAACATAAAAGTTCGGAAAATTTGCAGAGTAGTCCAGTGGTAGAGATAGAAGCTAAGCAGGCTGAGGAGGAACCATTTGGTAGAAAGATTAGCATGACTAAAAGGGAGCCAAGTGCTAGTATCCAAAACAATAGGGAAAAGGCCTTGAAAGTATTTCAGAAGTCTTTGAGATAGCCTCTCTCATCATAGGCCCAGAGACCTAGGAAGAAAGAATAGTTTTGGGGGCCTGGCCCAGGGTACAACTGCTCTGAATAGCTTAGGACACTGCTCCCCATATCCTGGCGACTCTGGCTCTGCTGTTAACTCAAGGGAGACAAGGTAGATCTTGGGCCACCACCCCAGAGGGTGCAAGCCATAAGCCTTGGTGGTTTCCACGTGGTGATAAGTCTGCAGATTGTTTGAATGCATGCTTGAAGGAGGCTTGGGGGCTTCTACTTAGATTTCAGAGGATGTATAGAAAAGCCTGGGTACCTAAGCAGAAGCCTCCCACAGGGGCAGAGCCCCAACAGAAAAACTGTACTAGGAGGAGAAATGTGGAGTTGGAGCACCCACACAGAGTCCCCACCAGGACACTGCTTATTGGAGCTGTGACAAGGAGCCCACCACTCTCCAGACCCCAGAATGATAGATTCACTAGCAGCTTAGACCCTCTTCTTGGAAAAACTCCAAACACTCAACTCCAACCTATGAGAGAAACCACGTGACCTGTACCCTGAGAGGCCACAGGAGCAGAGATGCTGAAGGTCTTTGGAGCTCACTCCACACACCAGGATGCAGAACATGGTGTGAAAGCTTATGTTGGAGCTTTAAGATTTGATGTCTGCCCTACAGGGTTTCAAAATTGTATGAGACCTATTACTGCCTTCTTTTGGTCAATGTTTTGCTTTTGGAATGGAAATGTATACCCAGTTCCTATACCACCATTGTATTTTTGGAGTAAACAGCTTATTTTTGATTGCACAACCTCGTAGATGGAAGGAATTTGCCTCCAGATGAGACTTTTGACTTGGGACTGTTGAGTTAATGCTGAAACAAATTAAGACTTTGCGGATCAATTGCAAAGGCATAATTTTATTTTGAAATGTGAGAAAGGCACGAGATGTGGAGGGCCAGGCATGGAATGATATGGTTTCGATGTTTGTTCCCTCCAAATCTAATGTTAAAATGTAATTCCCACTGTTGGAGGTGGGGCATGGTGGGAGGCGATTGGATCATGGGGGCAGATCCCTTATGAATGGCTTAGTTACATTCCCTTGGTGATGAATGAGTTCTCACTCTGGTACTTCATACAAGATCTAGTTGTTTAAGAGTATGAAATCTCCCCCATCTCTCTCTTGCTCCTGCTTTTTCTATGTGATACACCTGCTCCCCCTCTGCCTTCTGCCATAATTCTAAGATTCCTGAGGTTTCACCAGAAGCTGAGCCAATGCTGGCATCATGCTTTCTGTACAGCACATAGAACTGTATGCCAATTAAACCTCTTTATAAATTACTTAGCCTATGTTACTGCTTTCTAGTAATACAAAAACTAACACACTATGTGAGGACATGGAGGTGGCCATTTATAAGCCAAAGAAAGAGGCCTCAGAAGAAACCAACCCTACTGACACCTTGATCTGGGATTTCTAGCCTTCAGAACTGTGAGACAATTATTTTTGTTTTTATAAGCCCAACAGTCTCTGGTATTATACTTTGTTATGGCAGCTCTAGAAAGCTAATATGGGTGAAGTGGGAGGTGGCAGAATAGATTGAGCCCTCTCTATTGAGTAGAGGATTTGTAGGAAGGGTAAAGGGTTGGTAGGAATTAGGTGGAACATGATTAAAGGAAAGAGAAACACAGGCAAAGGAAGTAATGTATACCATGAAGCCAGAGACCTGAAAAGCTCTGTTCCCTCCAGGTAGTATTTGATTCATCTGCCTAAGCCATCAGCAAGACCAAAGAGTGAGGCTTCTATATGGATGGGATTTTCATTCATAGTTTCCCATTATACATATCTTCAAGGCCAGACTTTCAAGTTAGCTGGGTCATTTATTTTTTTCATATCATTAATGTTAATACTTAAAATACCTAACATTTATTGAGTAGTTATTTATTTTAAGCACTACTGTAAGTACTTTACTGTCATCAACATGTTCAAGACTCCAAGCAATTCTATGTGGTGTTTTTTATTAATATTTTTATAGATGTGTTAACTGAGACACAAGGAAACAGACAGGTGAATTCCTCAACAGCACAGAGCAAACATAAGAGAAGGAAAATGAATCTGATGAGTTGTTCTGACTCTAGAACCCATATTATGAACTCAATTGTAGTTATTTTGGAACCCTGCATGTAAATTTTCTTCAAAAATGTTCTAAGGTTTGTTTGTCGTTGTTGTGGCTTTTTTCTCATTTTAACAAATAGGTGTCCTGCCCTAAAATCAGATTATAATGAAAATATGGAGTCCATTTCAGCCCCTGATGACATTTTAAAATTATGAGTGAACCCTGAGCTCCAAACTTCTAGTTAAATAAACAATGTGTTCTCATGTTTTAAAATACTGTTCATCAGAGTTTTTGTTACTTGAAGCCAAAACTTTCTTGAAAAAATTTTAACATATAAGAAAAACAAAACGAAAATTCCCAGACATATCGTATTAGGAAAATGAAAGAACATATTGTCTGTACTTCCACTAAATATCCAAACTGTTAATGTTTTAATGTGTATGACATTACATATATTTTCTACACATAAATTACCAAAAAAGGATCATTTTTTAATATACATTTTATCCTAACATTATTTTATGAACATTTTTCTATTATACATCTTATATGTATGAAATATGCATGAAACAATGGCACTAAATATTCTTCTTAACAGGAATCAGCAAACTTTTAAATATAAAAGGTCAGATAATAAATATTTTAGGTTTGGAGGCCATATGGTATCTGCTGCAACCACTCAACTCTTCTATTGTAACATAAAAGTAGCCTTAGGTTATATATAACCAAATGGACAAAACCATGTTCTGTTAAAACTTTATTTACAAAATCAAGTGGGGGGCCAGATTTGACAAGTGGGCCAGTTTGCCAATCATTGTTTTAAAGCATTGTTTTGAATGGCTGTTTTGAATCCCTTTACTATATGTACTATGTTTCTTAAGCCTTTCTAAAGGCAGAAAAAAATGTATCTTATATAGTTGCTATAACCCATAGCACTAGAAACACAGATATGTTATAAATGTCAGTTTAATTAATAAATTAACAAATGCTGATAAAGTTTAGAATCAAGATTCAAGTTTTGAAATGTATAAGAAAGACACAAATTTGAAGAAAATAGGTAATCTATTCCAGTAAATAAAGAAGGAGAATTTGGGAAGCTTTTTATTCAGTGGGCTATGAGAAAGCAAATGAAATAGGAAAACCAGAAAAGATAAGGTTGAAATAGCTAATGGACAAATAGTAGAATCCAAAGAAGCATTCTTAGGAGGAAGGATATATAGCATTGAAGTAGAACAAAATCTGGATTGGGCTTTGGTGCTCAGACCAAGAGGACTTGGGTCATAATAATTTGAGGTTTAATTTGAGAGGAGCCACTTTACTGGAGGGAAAGTGTTTGGTTCTTTGCAAAATTAGAGTGTTAAGTTGATGATGTCCACCCAAATCTAGACAATTTTTGCATTAATCTTTGGTTACAGATGTTCTTTCTTCTGAAAAAAACAGTTTGGTTCTCACTAGGTTAACTTAAATATGAGCATTCATCAGATGGGAATATTAAATCACAAGATAAAAATATTTTGGTGACTTGGGACTGTACTATTCCACACCATAAAGCAAAAATTCAAATCATGGAAGCATGCATATTTGCAAGCATTGAGCTGGTTGTATTATTAAATGTTTCCCACAATTCCTCAAAATCTATAAAAGAAAGCTATGAAAAAACAAAGGAATTATTTGCCATCTGGCTAAACCTAATTAAATACCCCTCTAGAAAGTTGGTACATCTTTCCCTTAAGGATATTATAGCAATTTTCCATTAGATGTTGTGTTCCTCCTCAATAGTTCACAGAGGCGAAAAGATAATACTTCATTCAAACAGAGACTCCTGTTGGATTGTACAGTCCAGGCCCTGTAACCTGTGAACTAGGAAAAAAAGTGTGAGCAATCCCTACAGGTTTACCAGCGGATGCAGGGGTAAGTGCCTTATGTGGAACTATGGTGATAAATGGGAACGATTCAATTGCTCAGAAGTTTGAAGCTTCTATTTAGTGAGGCCTACATAATAATTTAACACACTCCATGAAGCACTTGGAAATGTGATTTCAAAAACCCTGTTTATTCCTGGCAACACTTAGGGTCAAAGCACTCATCTGTGACTCAGAGAATCATTGTTGATACGGATTGGTTAACATCTTTATCAGGAAGAATGTAGAGATTTATCACTTTAAGAGATCTTTCGAACAGAGACCTTGCATATTTTTGTAATGAAATGTTACTTTTCATTTTCCTAGAACCTTGGTATCATGAGTAGTTTGTACATAAATAGGTGAATATTAATTCTTAACTGCTGAGCAGAGTAGAGAAAGGTAAAATGCTAATGCTGGTAGTTTAAAGTCCATCGACAGAAGATGATGAGAAAAATATAGGTGTGTTAACCAGCTTGGATAATGATAATGTAGTATGTTTTTGACATCTGAGATATTGTTTTTATTCTAGCAATGACCGTGCTCTCCCTTAACACATTACTATTACTACTGACATTTCTCCTACTACCACCACTACTTACCATTTATGGAAAATGTACAATATGCTAGTCTTTAGTAAATTCATTCCAATAATATGTATCTAATCTTTAAAATATGCAGAACACTGTGGTAAATCCTAAGTACACACTGACGTGGCATTTCCTTTTCAGTTCTAAGCCCTTTCAGAAAGTTGTTTTATGTCCACATGTTAGGCCTGAAGACGTAACCATGGGTGATTTTTCAATATTTCCATTTAACAAGTGTTCTCATAGATGACAAATACTGGAATGTACAGAAAAACATTTACATGTGCTAATATATGGCAAAGAAATGCCAAGTGATTGGGAAAAAAGAATTGGAAAAGGCTTAGAAAACTGCATGAGATGAACAGAAATATCATATTCCTTCTGTTACATCCTGAGCAGAAGCACAGGAATAATCTTCAATAAGGTACAACCTTTAACAACTCAGTGTGTTTTGAGGACCTACTATGGGCTAAGTACATACTATGTGGTGTTTTAATTATAATTCTTATTCTGAGAAAATTTTAGAAAATGTATCACATGATATTATGAAATTATAGAGAGACAATAGGTATATTTTATCCAATTTTTCTCAGTGGTAGTATCTTTCAAGCCTATAGTGTAATATCACAACCAGATATTGACATCAACACAGTCAAGAGATAGAAAATTCCCATGACCACATGCATCCGTCCTATTGTCTCTTATAGCCATGATAAAAGGCTATACTTTTGTATGTCCACCCCCTTCTTAACACGTGACATCCACTAATCTGTTCTTTCATTTAATGAATGTTACACAAATAGAATTGTACACTATGTAACCTTTCAGGGACTGACTTTTCTTACTGAGCTTAATTCTCTGGAGACTCACGTAAGTTATATCGGGTATCAATTGCTCATTTCCTTGTATTAGTGAGTACCAAGTCCATGGCATAGATGTGCCCCAGTTTGTTTAACCTTTCCCCTGTTGAAGAATATTTGGTTGTTTTCAGTTTATAGCTATTACAATTAAAGGAGCTATAAACGTTCATGTATGGATTTTTTGCATAAACGTAAGTTTTCCTTTTTCTGGGATAAATACCTAGGAGTACAATTGTGGAGTAGTATAATAATTGCAGATTTAGATTTTTAAGAAAGTATCAATTTGTTTTCAATGTGGCTGCACCAATTTACCTTCTCACCCCAGGGTATGAATGATTCAGTTTTATCCACATACTGTCCAGCATTTGGTATTGTCACTATTTTGTTTTTTTGATTTTACCCATTCTGATATGAATGCAGTGTTACCTCATTGGAGTTTTATTTTGCATTTCTTAAGGGCTCATAATGAAAAATATATTTTCATGTGCTTATTTACCACCTATATATCCTCTTCAGTGTCATGTCCCTTAATGACTTTTGCGTATATGCTAATTAGATTGATTTTTTTTTCCTTACTGAGGGTTTTGAGAGTTCTTATGTATTCTAGATACTAGCCCTACGTTGGATGTATGGTTTGCAAATACTTTCTCCAACTGTGTAGTATATTTTTTCATTCACTTAACAACTCTTTTGCAGTGCAAACGTTTTCAATTCTGATGAAGTACAATTTATCCTTTTTCCCTTTTATAGATGTTTTTGGTATTAAGATTTTGCCTAGCCCTAGATCCAAAAAGATTTCCCCGTATTTTTTCCTAAGAGTTTTATAATTTTACATTTTATACTTACATCTCTATTTCATTTTGACTTAATTTTTTAATACAGTATAAGACATCGATCAGGTTTTTTTTTTATTTCTCTGTTTTGTTTTGTTTTTGTTTTTGTTTTGCCTATGGAAGTTCACCTGTTCTAGCATCGGTTTTTGAAAAGGCGATTTTTCCTCTGTTAAACTGATCTCGTTCCTTTGGCACAAGTCAATTGGGTATATATGTTTGGACCTATTTCTGGGGTTCTCTATTGTATTCCATTGACCTATGAGCCTAATTCTCTGCCAATACCATACAGACCTGGTTATGGTATCTATATAAAATAGGTCTTGAAAGTGGGTAAAGCAATTTTTCCCACTTTCTTCATCTTTTTCAAACTTGTTTAGCTATTCCACTTCCTTAGCCTTTCAGTGTAAGTTGTAAGATAACCCTGTCTATATCCACAAAAAAATGCCATGATTTTGATAAGAATTGCACTAGACATGTATATCCCTTTGGGTAGACTTGGCATCTTTGCTATGTGAGTCTCACAATCCATACGTAAAGTTCATGTCTCTTCATTTTTCACAGATCTTTGATTTTTTAAATCAGTGTTTTATAGTTTGAAGCATACAAGACCTGCAAATGTTTGGCTATATTTAAAGCTAAGTATTTAATTTTAAAAATGTTTGCAAATGGTATTTCATTTTACATTTTTGTTTCTATGTGCTAATTTTTTATATATAGTGTGTGTGTGTGCGTATATATACACAATTGATTTTTGTGTTTATTTTGTTCTATCAACTTGCTAACCTTATTTATATGTTCTAGGAGGCTTTTTTGATAGATTTTGTAGAATTTTTTCATGTAAGATGATCATGTTATCTGCAAATAAAGGTAAATTTATATCTTTCATTCTGATCTGCATTCCTTTTATTTCTTTTCCTCACCTTATTGTGTCTACTAGAGTTTCCAGTACTATGTGAAATAAGAGGGTTGAGAGTGGATGTCCTTGCCTTCACTCTGATTCTACAGGGAAAACATTTAGTCTTTCACCGTTAAGAATCACATTAGCTGTAAGAATTTTTTTTTAATCAAGTTGAGGAAGTTCCTCTCTATTCCTGATAAGGTTTAGCTCTGTGTCCCCACCCAAATCTCATCTTGTAGCTCCCATAATTCCCACGCATTGTGGGAGGGACACAGTGGGAGATGATTGAATCATGGGGGAGGATCTTTCCCATGCTGTTCTCGTGACAATAAATGGGTCTCACATGATCTGATGGTTTTTAAAAAGGGAGACTCCATACAGGAGCTCTCTTTGCCTGCTGCCATCCACGTAAGAGGTGACTTGCTCCTCCTTGCTTTCCACCATGATTGTGAGGCCTCCCCAGCCACGTGGAACTGTAAGCCCAGTTACACCTCTTTCTTTTGTAAATTGCCCAGTCCTGGGTATGTCTTTATCAGCCGGGTGAAAACGGACTAATACAATTCCCTTTTCCCTAAGAGTTTTTCCTTATGTGTGTTAAAGCTTGTCAAATATTTTTTCAGCATAAATTCATATGAACATGCGATTTTTATTCTTTAAACTGTTAATATGATAGGTTACATTGCTTTTTAAAATGTTGAACCAGCCATAAATCTCTGGAATAAATCCACTTGATTATGGTGTATATTTTTTACATATTAATGTACATATTAATGAATTCTGTTGACTAAAATTTTCTTAGGGAGTTTATTTATGCATTCATGAATACATCCAGGTATACTCGTATTTATATTTGTCAGCAGTTTTGTTTTTTATTATTTTTCCTGGTTGATCATGCATAGCACAGAGTGTTATTAGCTTCATAAAATGAAGTGCTCTCTCATCTATTTTCTGGAGAAGATTGTGTATAATTGCTGTCATTGTTCTTTAAACATTTGCTAGAATTCAAGACTGAAGTTATCTGGGCTTACTAGATTTTTAACAGTTTTCTTTCAGCTACAGATTCGATTACTTTAATAGTTAAAGGCTACTATTGTATATTTGATGAGTTGCGAGTTTATATTTTTCAAGTAATTGTCAATTTTTCACATATTTGTTCAAAATATTTCCTTATTAACTTTTTGATGTCTGCAAGGTTATAGTTATATCCCCTGCTTTATTTTTGATAGTGTTAATTTGTGTCTGCTTTTATCTTTTTCTTGCTAGAAGTTAGTTGGTTTTATTAATATTTCCACAGAACAAAGTTTTTGTTTTCTTGTCTCTATTTTTTTTCTGATCTTAATTTTATTAATCTATGCTTTTTTTTAGTATTTTTTTTCTCAATTCTTTGGGTTTATTTTGCTCTTTTCTCTCAGTTTTTGAGGTGGATCCTAGATTATTGATTTAAACTTTTTCCATTAACGTATGCCTTTATTGCTCTAAATATATATATATATACACACACACACACACACACATATATATACACATATATGTGTGTGGGTCTATGGATTATGTGTGTGTGTGTGTGTGTGTGTGTGTGTGTGTGTGTGTGTGTATAGTTGCTGTTTTGTTTTTTTTTTTCTGAGACAGGGTCTAACTCTGTTGCCCAGGCTGAGTGCAGTGATGCGATCACACTCACTGCAGCCTTGACCTCCTCAGCTCAAGCAATCCTCCCACCTCAGCCTTCCAAGTACCTGGGACTGCAGCCATGCACCACCACACCTGGCTAGATTATGCTTTTTGTAGAGATGAGGGTCTCACTAGATTGCTCAGGCTGGTCTCAAATTCCTGGATGCAAGTGATCCTCCCACCTCAGCCTGCCAAAGTGCTGGAATTACAGGCATGACCCACAGAGTCTGCCTGTATGTTTTTTTCTTTTTCATTCAGTTCAATATATGTTTGTATTCCCTTTAAACATCTTTGTTGATCCATGGAATATTTAGAAATGTGCTGTTTAGTGTGTAGTACTTAGGGAGTGTCCTGTTCTATTTTGTCATTGAATTTTAGTTTTACAAATCTGTAAATTGTATTTTTTCCAAATTTTGGAACTACTTAGACACTATTTTTTTAAATATCCTTTCACTCCACCTTCTTTCTCCTCTCCTAGGATTCAGATGACTCAGATGTTAAATATTTTCATATAATTCCACATGTGTCTCAGGCTCTGTTCATTTGGGTTTTTTGTTTTGTTTTCAGAAGTCTACTCTCTGTTGTTCAGAAAGGGGAATTTCCACTACTCCATCTTCAAAGTCACTGATTTATTCTTCTCTTGTCTCCATTTTGCTGTCTAGCCCACCCACTGATTTTGTTTTCATTTTGGCTATTTTCAAGTTCTAAAATTTTATTTGATTCTCCCTTCTATCTTCTCTTTCTTTGTTGATACTTTCTTTCATTTGTTTTACATATGGTCTCTCTTCTCCTTTCCACCTTTCCGAGTTTTATTTTTTACAGAATTTTCATCTGTACTATTTATGAATTTTTTTGGGAAGGGCTTTTATCTGTATTTAAAAAGAAGAATGGAGCAAAGAATGTCTATTCTACCTTTTTGGAAGTGGAAGTCCTCTATAAATGATGATTTTCTTTCTTTCATTTACTCAAGTATTTATTATCTACCAATTTCCAGTGACACAAAATGACTAAGATAGATACGGTTTCTACCCTCAAGGTTATTAAAGTCTTGTGATGAAGATGAATATTAAAAAATTAAAAAATTAGTCAATTAAAACTGAAGTAAATTGTACCACACAGAGTAGCATATTAGTAAATATAGGGGACCTAACTTAGTTTTATCCAATATTTCATACAATGCCTTATACATGTGTTAGTTGTAAATAATGTTAAAAAATTTGGAAGCTGAGGATATTTCTGAGCGGTACATTCCTCTGCATTTTTGTTTTTGTTTTGTTTTGTTTTTGACAGTCTCTTGCTCTGTCACCCAGGCTCCCATGCTGGATACAGTGGTGCAAACACAGTCACTGAAGCCTGAAACTCCTGGGCTCAAGCAGTCCTCCTACCCCAGCCCCCTAAGTAGCTGGCACCACAGGCACACACCACCATGCCCAGCTAACTTTTTTCAGAGAGGCAGTCTCACTTTTGTTGCCCAGGCTGGTCTCAAACTCCTGAATTCAAGAGATCCTCCCACCTTGGCCTCCCAAAATGCTGGGATTACAGGCATGAGAAACTGCTCCCAACACCGTTTCTATGCATTTGAGGCTTATTATGATGAATGATAACTCTACTCTCTTTCACACACAGATTCTCTCTTACTTCCACAAACAAGATAGAATTCCAGGTTAAGGGAATTTTAGTTATACTCCAGTACAGTGATTCTTAGGGTATTAGAGTGCCTAAAAATCTCTTCAGTGTCATAGCACTATTTCATTATGGAATGTTCAGCTACTTTATTTGTCTTCAGATTTGGCTGACTTCATTGTCTACTATCCTCCAAAGAACATGCTGACATTTTTAATTTGATGGACTGCTGAGAAACCACAGCAGGATATAGACCAACCCATCAAAAGTGAATTTAGGATTGCATTGATGTGTAGAACTAATTAGGTGACTATGGGGAGTGGGACCCTGATTGAAATCCATATGACTTTTCAATACTCACTCTGTAAGCTAGCTTCTGAAAGGAATAGTAAATTCAGGTGACTTGTTCTTTGCTGTCACCACAGTACTGCCTAGCCCTTCTCTGCTTCAAGTCAGCAGCAGAGGCCCTGACCCCTCCCGCAAAGCGAAGCATCCAAAAACAGGCAAGAATTTTCTTTGACTGATCTTGAAGTAGTTTTTAGTTTATCCTGAAAAGATGCTGAAAACCTACCTTCAGATCTTCTACCAAACATATCAACTCTGTCTTTGTACTCTCTCTAAAGCCCATCTTGAGCTTTAAATACTTTAAAAATAACACTGATCACTATATGTATATGTAGATATGAAGTATTTATATTTGTGTAATGAAAATTACATAAATATAAATATTTGTGTATGTTTGTTTAAATTTTGTATTTATAGTTTGTTTAAACTCCCTAGGGACAGATCAATCCCATGTAGTTATGGAAAAGATTGCTAAATTTAGAAGACCTGAGTTTGTATAGCTTTCATAACATGTGAGCAACTGACATATTGTCTTCTAAAGATTTTATAGGACAGTGCCAATTGCTCTTCTTCTTAAAGAAGCATTCACTAAATGTGTAAATCTAACATTTTTCTTTCTGATATCCATCATTTCTTTGAACTCTTTTATTTTTACTAAATCTGAGCTGTCTTTTGTGCACAATCAGCTTTTACCTACCTGGTAAGTCTCTCCCTTGGCTACCACACTACACTCAAATATGTGGTTTTGATTCATGCTCCTTAGGGTATGATATTCCTGAATCTCCACTCCAAATATGTATTTTAGATTTCTTTTTCAGAATGTCTGGTCCTTACCTCTGCTCTTACTGCTCGCATTCTTGACTGAACCAGCCCTGTTGTATCTCCACATCAAATCCTGCCATTTGTTCACAGTTAATTAAGATAATTTTAGGAAAGAGAAGTAACATTTTTCTTGGGTATTCATTAAGTGCCGGAAAAAAAAACATTGAATTGTGTATTTCATAGGCATTATCTCATTGAATTTCCACAACCTAGGTATTATTATATTCACTTTTCAAAATGCTTAATAGAATCACAAATAAACTAAGTAACTCATATAAAGTCATACAGCTGGAGAATGATTGGATTAGGACTCAAATCTTAGATTGTTTGACCTCAAAGTGTTTTGAGCTCTTATTCTCTATAACAGTGTTTCTTATAATCAAATGATGAATTGATCTGTTTAAATGAGGAAAATTATGGTGGGCACTGATTCATGGTTTAAATTATGATCTTCATCGTGGTACTTATTGAATACAAAAGTATAAGTTTTATACATGTAACTTTTGTGCAACTCCAACACTAAATACATCTCTGGGTATTGAAGAGACTTCTTAAACTTATTATTTGCAAAACTGATCTTTTGATATTCCCTTCTATTTCCACACTTGCTCCTTCTGCAGTTGTATCTATTTCAGTTAATGTCAACTGCATTCTTCCAATGTTGCAAGTCCAAAATAATAATGTTATCCTTTAATTTCCCTCTTTCTCTCACTCCCCACATCTAGCCCATCAGGAAATTATATATTCTTTATTTTCACCATAGATCCAGAATGCAAGCTCCTCTCACAACTCCCGCTACTCCCATCCTGGTTCAGGTCATCGTCACTTCCCTTATAGAGCAGCCTTTCAACTTATTTCCTTGCTTCGGTTCTTGACATCGTTAAGTTCATTCTAAACACAGCAGTCGGAAAAATCCTGGTTAAACATAAATCAGAGCACAATGTTTCTGTGCTACAATCTGCCCAATGGCTCACATTGGACTCAGAAGAAAAGCTAAAACCCTTCCACTGATTTACCAGGCCCTACATAGTCGGGTGCATGTTTTTACTTCCATAACATTCTCATTTTATTCTCTGCCTTATTTATATCTCTCCAGCAACATAGACCTGATCACTCTTGTCAACTACACAGACATGCTCTTGCCTTAGGGCATTTGCACCTGCTATTCCCTCTGCTGGAAATGCTGTTTCCCTGGTTATCTATATGGAAAGTTGCATCTTCTTGAAGATCTTCAGTGTAATTCCACCTACTCAGTGAGGCCTTTCTTAACCATAATACTAAAGCGTACTAAAAATTGCAACCCTCCTCATCCTCCTTAGTCTCCTTTACTATTTCATTTTTCTTCCTAATCATTAATCAGTATCTGACATGCTATATAGTCTACTTATTTATATTGGTATCTGCCTCTTTTATTATAATAAAAAGATGCATGAGGGCAAATATGTTTATCTATTAATTATCCTATTTCTAGTACCTAGATGACTGATTTGTACATAGAAAAGCTTAAATAATTATTCAATGAGAAAATAATTTAAAATTAATAAAATAACTATACAATTAATACAATTAAATCTGAAAATATTAGTTGAATGCAATAGATTAGTTTTATGATATATAATGTAAATTTTTTGAAACAAATTTTGCTCATATTGCATCCCATAACAGAAACATATTTGCATGTTTTTGATTTTTACTTGTTTTCAGATTAATTCCCTTGAATTTGACAATGCTAAGCCATCATTATCACTTCTCTTAATTTTCTTATTAACAATGAAATTGTTCTTTACTTTGTTGGGCCAATTAGTAGAATAGTGCCCCTGAAGCTACAATATAAAAAGAGAAAACATTTTCATTATTTGCATACTTACTACCACATTCATTGTCAATGAAGCATGGATAATTGGAATATAAAAGATGGAAAATGTCCTGCAAACATCAATTCACCATGTGAATATGGCAGATAGAGCATGAATTGTTCAGTGAGCCCAAATTTTATAATATACAGAAAACTTGCTTTTACCTATGACTCTTCCCTACTTGAAATATTATAAAACTTGTGTCTTACCAAGTGAATTCTTCTGTCCTTCACCTCTTGTGAAGGAGATTGTAAAGGAAAATTCATATATGGGAAATAAAATGCATCTCAATACTCAATTATGAGATTATTATACAGGTGACCCAGAATATGCATATATTTTTTAAGATTGTCATCAAGAGAAAAATACAAAAATTCATTAATTCTTATAGAAATTGAGACCATGTCTGCAAACTCACATGATCCACAAAGCACAGTTTAAGAAATATTCCTTATAGTACAAGGAGTTTGCATGGTAAAGTATGATAAATAGCATATGGCAATATTACACTAGATTGAATTGAAAGAGAAACATTCGATTTGTGAAAAAGGACAGTCTTATTTAAGGAAATGACATTTATACTAGGGCCAATTTAGGAAGGTAGAAACTGAAAGGGAAGTTAATTCAGCTGGAGAAAATTGCATGAGCAGAGAATCAGAAACCAAAAGGACCTTGATTTCTCAAGAAATTTCAAAACCATTAATTTACTGGAAAACAGTTTAAGAAGGAGATTAATGAAGATTAGCATGAAGAGATAGTCTGGATATTAGACACACTAAGAAATAATGGTAGCCTAAGGGTATACAGTGCCTTCTACACACGCAGGCACTCTCCTAAGTGCTTTACCCATAGTCCCTTGTTTCACCTGCACCATAACCCTTTGAAGTAGATGTTTTCATATTCTTCTCTCTACTAGGCTGAGAAAGGTTCAGCAACTTTTCCAAGGTCACACTAATTTGATAGATCTTAGAGTTCGATTCTGGAGCCCATGTTTAACACTCTGTTCTAGACCTCTAAATGTATAATTCAGTGCGTATGAAGAATTAGAACCCCCTCCAGGACATAATAAATTATTGACAGTTGATGTAGTAGGAAAAGTACAGAAGGTCCTCAGGAGCAAGAAGTAATATTTTGAAATAAGAATCTCCTAAAAGTTAATAAAAATACCATACAGACTCAGTTTTCTCATAAGGCCAGAGAAAGAGAAGAGTTTCTAGTGATCTTTTGTATTTTAACAAACCACATTTTAATAAAGTGTGTTTCTCATTTCCTTCTTTCTCTCACATCCCTCTCCCTCCCACAGCTTTGCAACAGTCACCTCATTGCAGCATTTCCTTTTCTTTCAAGCCCTATAACAGCTCTGACTGCTCATTTATCTTTTTTTTGGTACTAACTAAATATTTTAGTAGTTTGTGCCCCATGAATCTGATGTAAGAAATTGTCAGCCTTCAGTGATCTCATAAATGCTAAATCTGATCTGTGAAAACTTGGCAAAATCGCGTTATGATGTTTGTTTCTCATGTTCTCCACCCTCAAGTGTGAAGGGACCACTTAGCTAAAAATGTTTAAAATTTTCAAGAAACAAAAGTCAGGCAGAAGTGAAGTGGTTTTATTTTTCTCCTTAGTAAATCTTTAAGTTTCTATGTATGTTCTTTCATCTGCTCTCCAGAATGGTAAATGGAAGTCCTTGACACATAAATTAAAATTCATTTTAATCTTAATAAATATGGTATGGGCATTCTTTGTTTTTCTCTACACATTCCCTTTATTAAAACATGCAGTCTGGTGACTGATTAAAATATTATTTCCAGTTGACACAAAATACAACGACATTTCATATAACCATATAACAATAAATATCTGAATTAAGAGGCTTTTTCTCACTTTAAAATGTAAAGTAGAATCTACATTTACTTCTCTTTTTATGTTGTGGGGAAAAGGTGTGGGAAATCATAGCATGGTATCATTTATACGTTTATGATGGTAATATCGGATTCCCAGGAAAATTATGTTAAGTATTCTGTTTTACAAAAGCATACTTTTTAATGATTATCATTGGAATAGTTAAATATTTTTAATTATCAAATGAGGAATGAATGTTATTCATCAATAGCATCTGCAATAGACCTAATATTGGATCGATGTTGTGTTAGATTTTAAAGGCAGAAAAGCTAGGAATGGGAGAATTAGATGGATCATCAAATATAGGAATAACTCCATGCTTGGTGGGGAATCAATACAATAATATGTGGCCACTCCAAACTAAAAAGTGGCTATGCCATTGTACTCAATACTTTATTTAAAATATTTATTGAGTCCACTATATGCCACCCTATTTGGTGCTGCAATGAATTAAAAAGTCATTGCAAAGAGGTAGTCCCTGGCCTCATACAACTTTTTTTTTTTTTTTTGGTTGGGGGTGGGGTGGAGATCACACAGGTAATAAACAAGCATACAAATAAATAAATTATATTCAGGTTCTCAGTCCACTATGGGAGAAAATCCGGGAAACTAAAAAATCTAGGTTGTACTATAAGTATAGAGGAAAAAAGTATATGAAAACCTGGACAATATTAAACACTTGCTTCTGATAAACCTGGGAAGACATTTACACTCTATGCTTTTCTATCTTCATATCTAAGGTGAGAATATTCCACTGACAAGTCTTTTAAGCCCCCCTTCATGTTGTATAATTTTAAAATCCTTGTGTTGACTTCCTTGGCTGAGGAAAACAAAGGAAGACTTTCAAAAGGGCATAGATGGCCTTCGCACTCCAGTGACATCATGACCTCTATTAAGGTGCTCAATGTATATGTTCCATCTAAGTTGAAGAACACCCAATTATGACAATAGAATGAATTTCGAGATTTCCAGTCAAGATGACAGATTATAGTGTTCTCATTTACCTTTGCTCTTCTCCACCAGGCCCCATTAAAACAAAAACAGGCCGGGCACAGAGGCTCATGCCTGCAATCCCAGCACTTTGGGAGGCCGAGACGGGAGGATCACCTGAGGTCAGGAGTTCAAGACCAGCCTGGCCAACATGGCAAGACCCCATTTCTACTAAAAAATACAAAAATTAGCTGGGTGTAGTGGCATGTGCCTGTAATCCCAGCTACTCAGGAGGCTGAAGCAGGGAGAATTGCTTGAACCCCAGAGGTGGAGGTTGCAGCCTGGGCGACAGAGCGAGACTCCGTCTCGAAAAAAAAAAAAACAACCAAACAAAAAACCCCCACAAAAACAAAGTGATTTTTTGAAAGGTATCTATAAATTCAAAGAGAATGGAGGAGACAACACTATCCAATTTTTCTAAGCTGCAAAGTATGTGCCTTAGCCGATCAAGAAAGCTGACCTCTAAGTCAGCACTTGAAAAAGCCAATAAGCAACCTGCCTTATTGAAACATACACAGAAGACTCAAATTTCATCAGCAAGTATCTCTGTTCTGAGGATAAAATTGTGGCTAAAACCTGGAGTCCTGAGAAATTCCATTTCATAATCTGCAATACATCCCCTGTTTCAGAGCTTATTCTTCACTTTCAGCAGTCAGAAGATGACCTTACCATATTTTGGCCAAAAATTAGGGTTTATTTCCTGGAAAGGTGGAAAAAAAAAGAGACTCTGGAATAAGATCCCAAACAGAATTGAGAGCAAGTGTATGAAAGGAAAAGAAGGCAATTAATTATGAGCATAGTTACTGAATGTAGAGATTCCTAGACCCTTTCCTCCACTTTTCTAGGAAATTTGATTTCTTTTTTATAGAGAGTGGAAATAAATAAGGTACCTCAATTGGGGAATCATCAAGAAAACACCAGTCAGAGCACCGTACAAAAATGAACTTCAACAAATTACACCGCTCATACATACAATGATTCTAATCAGATTTTTCTTACCTCTCCTCAAAGCTAAGCATCCCATGATAAATTTAAGGATATTGTCAAATAGAAAGAGACCAAGGAATCAGGTTAAAAAATTAAATTATAGGAAAAATAAAATATTTCCGGAGGAGAAACTTGACAAAAATATCTTCAGAAGAATAAAATAAAATATTCATGAGGTAAGTGTAATAAACTGCAAAAAGAAAATACAGAGACCAACTAAGAGTTCTTGCACTTAAAATATTATTTAAAATATTTGAATATAATACACATTTAAAAATTAGAGATCCATTCCAGGAAGTCCAAAATTTGAATAATGGGAGTTTCAGAGACAGAGTGTATAGAGGAAAGAAAGGAGTGGCCAAGAAAGTAATTCAAGAAAACTTTCCTAATCTGAAGGCCCTGAGTTTCCATATTAAAATTTTCTCCAAAGAGACTACAAAAATCAAGAAAATAGACTCACCAAAGCACATCATCGTGAAAATTTAGAGCACTGAGAACAAAGAAAATTCTACAAAAGTTGAGAGAAAATAAGTTTATGTGGTGTATCAAAAATCATATTGGCGTTAGATTTTCTACAGTGACAAAGGAAGAATGCCTTCAAAATTCTAAGGGAAAATTGTTTCCATTTAAAATTTTCTTTCTAGGAAGCCATGAAAAAAGAGAATCTCTGGATCTGCAGTTTCCTCCACTATCTACATAGAGCTATTGGCATTTGAAATGTGGCTAGTGTGAATTGAGATGTAATATCAGTAAAAAATATACACTAGATGTCAAACACCTGTTACAGAAAAGAGTGCAAAATACTTCATTAATAATTTTTACACTTATTATATGTTAAAATGTTGATAGTTTTGATATGTTGAAATAAATGTATTATGGAAATTAATTATATATGTATCTTTGTTTGCTGTATCTATTAGAAAAAGTATGAGTAATATATGTGGCTCACATTGTATATCCATTGGACAATTCTTCTAAAAAGGATGGATAAATGAGAGCTCAAGCCAAGATCTCTGGAGCAGTCTTATAAACAAATTGCCTAAATTGGAGCAGATCAGAGGATCCAAAAAATCTTTTCCAAGTGATGAAACTAACAGATGAAATAGAATAGATTGAGAGAATATTTATACTACTTTGGAAGAATTTTCAGTTGAATTAGTAATAAGCACATAGAAAAAAAAACAAGCAATTAAGAAACAAGACAAATTTAAAGATAAAATAAAATATTATGTAGTGAAGGAAATATCAACATAGTATTACATGGCTCAGCTGTGAATATTATTTACACAGACATGATAAAAACAATGATTACTGACCTAAGCAAAGTTAGGATATGAAGAATTATATCCTAATTTGGTAGGATAAGACACAGGAAGTGTTCATGTGTGTAATGAGGGCTGCAGATTATGACACAGAGTCACTCATATTCCATGACGGCATGAAAAAATTGAGTACCTAAATTTAGACAACCAAAATTGACAATATAAGAATTTTATTCATAGAGATAGAGGTGGATATCAAAAAAATCAACAAAAAGAGTTACAAGTAATTTGTCCTTGGAAGTAGAAAATAAAAGAGAAGGGCAGATAGGCAACTACTATTTTTTACAACATACCATTTGGGTGTCTAAATTATGTGCAAGTTATAATTAGATTAAAATTTAACATATGTAAAACAAAAAATAAACAAAGAATAACAAGGTATTCATAGAAGAAAGTCAAAATATAAAGTAACATATTGAAAAAAATTCGAGGTTTTTAATTGAAATTGAAATGGTATAACTTTGAATCCATCAAATTCGTGAAAATTAAAGAGATTACTATCCAGTGCTCATTATTATGTGGATAAATAGGCTCTTACATGTGTTGCTAATGAAGGGTGAATTGCTGGAAATGGTTATGGAAAATAAACCTTGCGCTGTCTAATAAAATTACTTCTTCATCCAACAATCCCATTTTGAGGAATTGTTTTCACAAATATAAATGATAATAGAAAAGACTTATTAATAAGTATATTGCATCTATATTATGGAATATTAAGCATCTATTTAAAGAATTTATTAAATCTATATGCATCAAAGCAAGAAATAACCCTTTACAGATTTTAATTGAAAAAGTAATACTAAGCACAATGTCTTTAGTGTATTCACTTTGTTAGAAAAAGAAAAAGGTAGGAGAGAAAGAACAAAGTTCCTCCACAAACATGTATTTATATGTCGTTATGTGAATATGTAGAAAAACAGATTAATATGTTGCAAATTGTTGATTTCAGTACTATTAGCAGCCGTGGGACACAAATGTTTTTTCTGTACGTGTTACTTAGCAAAATCTTAATGATAAGCAACAGAAATTCTCACGTTCTTGTCATACCTTAATAAGACTTCAGTTTTCAACACCTATAAACTTAGATTGAATTTATGTTTACTCATCTATCTATCTGATAGTCTGTAAATTTGGTTTAACGATCTACGAAATTCTTCATGTTCTATCACTTTGATCCACAAAATGGCAATATCATATACTTCAACCTATTATTCACCTGTTTTTTTTTTGTTTGTTTTGCTTTTTTGTCTATTTCACCCTGGGAATATAGAAGTTCTCTGAGGGCAAAGGCTTTGTCTATTTGTTCACTTTACCCCTAGTGCTAAAATAGTACATGGCTCATAGTGAGAACTGGGTTAAAAGTTTGTTTAGATTATGTATGAATGAGTAAGGTAGCATGTCTCATTTTTCTGGCTTAAATAGAAAATATAAAATTTTCAAATATCAAATCTTTAAAATATCTAAATATATTTGTATTTCCTCTTTAAGCAAATAGTTGTTTACGATGTGAAATTGATGGTTCAACTGCAAAGTATTGTTATTCCCTAAATTTTTATATGTGATTTCCAGTTTTACTATGTCATCAAAAATGTGGACTGTGAATTTTCAGCTTTGGCAACTTTGGCCAAATTTATTATTGTTTATAAAATCTGATATCACTTAAGAAAACATGCAGGTTTTTCTTGTAGAGTACCCAATTCATACATATCTATTATTTCAAGTTTATTTAACTAAAATACTTGAATTTTTATTAATCATAAGCTAGTGATGATGCTTCATGCTATGGTTAATTCTTTTTAATCTCTCTTTGTAAATACTGTGCAAATGTTCATTATCTAAAGTTTACAGCTATTAAGTATCTAATATAAATTGTGGTATCTGTCAATAAGGAATGCCCCTTTTGGTCATCTGGTCTCAATGACCTTCATTCCAATAACATCTTTAAAAAAATAAAACAGGTTTCTAGTTATTAGACTATCTTCTTAAAATTTAAATGATAAAAACTACAAGGATCTAATAGGTCTTAAAAACTCTTGTATATATTTTTGTCCAAAAATGTATCTCTACTCTTTTTCCCAGTAACATTTTACTACAACAAAAATTACAATGTATGAAAGTGGAATGAAGTGGTACTGATTTATATGCAGTCAATGGCACAACTGAACTGCATAACTATTCTTATAAATTTTATATTTTACTTTGGGTACAAAACAAAACAAACAGAGCAATCCTTGATCTTTTTTGGTATTTGTCTGATTTAGTTCCAGGTCCTCAAAGTGTCAGCTGGCTTTCTTCCGCATCATTAATCCTTTAGAGAGAGGAAAAAAAAAGAGAGTGGAAAAGAAAATAATTTTCAAAAATAAATGTGTTTTTATATATGTAATAGACATGCATATATACATATACATATGTAATAGACATGCATATATACATATGTAATATATTTACATAAATATACATATGTAATAGACATTCATATATACATATGTAATGTACATACATAAATATACATATGTAATAGATATTCATATATACATATGCACATATATATGTAAACCCCGTGTGTGCGTGTATGTGTGTTTATGGAGAGAGAGAGACAGAGACAGAGAGACAAAGACAGAGAGAGCTTGAAATGCATTCTTCCTTCACTGGAAGACAGGCCACTCTGCTTATTTCCCAGGCTCTCCAGGCAAACATGGGTCATCTGTTTTTACTTGTATTCAGTTTTTGTGATGATTGTTGGAGAGATTAGGTGGAGTAAACCACACAGATGACATTATCTCCCTTGCAATTTTCTAAAATGTAATGTGATTTTCCTGTCAACCTTTCTGTGGACTTGTCTCTAAACTAAACTACGCTAACATATATATTAAGATATTAATAGATCTTTGTTATTGCCACAAATATTATTCCAACAACAAATTATCACACTTAAACAAGGCCTAAAACAAATCAAGTACACGAATGAGTGATTATCTAGAGCACTCAGTAAGGAGGCCAGAATTTGCTATTTTTGTTTACTGTGCATTTTTTTGTCATAGATTTCTCCATACACTGCTGAAAATTCATGCCTTCAAAACCAGAAAATCCTTTATCTTTTTCTTCACAGGTGGTAGAAGACTACATAATTTTTCTCTAAAGAAAGAAAATCACAGCACAGAAAATTAATTTCCAAGACCATTAACTAAAAAATGAAATTCTGCTGAGTTCACACCACAGGAACTAGACTATGCTGCTCTATATAGTATTAGTTCTTATAAGTCTCCCATCATAAAATAAGCTAATATGTCTCTCCATTCACTTAGTAGTACACAATGTGATATCAATCAACACTTTCATTCATTTAATGAAAGTTGATTAAGCACCTTAAATGTGCTGGGCATCACTCCAGCCACTGGAGATAAGAACGATAAACAAAACAGACAAACTCCTGCCTTCATGTGGCTTACTCTCTAGTGAGCAATTCAAATATGAAAAGTGTGTAAGTCACTGACAAGTGGTATGGAGAAAAGATAGCAGTAAAGGGGATGGTGGTGGGGGTGGTGAGTGCAATGTCAAATGGCTCCATCTGGGAAAGCATCAAGGGGAAGGGGCCATTTAAATAGAGATCTGAAGGAGATGAGGAAAGAAACCTTGTTAACATCTAGGGAGACACTTTCCAGGCAAAATGGGGGTATGCATAAATATTTGGGAAAAACTGTATATTTACTGATACAATTAGGCATCAATTATCAAAGTGTTTGCAACTAAAAAGTCCATTTAACAAATATATTTTAATATAGATTCCTAACTAAGGACACTCCAATTCAATACATTAAAGCAAGCTTTGTTGTGATTTCCTAGGCCTGTCTCTTTCGTTGGCACACTTTGATACCTTCCCTACCGACTATGCTTTTCTAATCACCCTCTTACAGAAACTCACTCTCAAGAATAAGTATGGGATAGGTTGATTTACACTAAAAGGCATAGTAACTGATAATCCTCCAAGATTTAGCTACCTGTCTCCAGGAACATTTGAATTTTGAAAGTGCACCAAAATTCAAACCAAATAAATCCATTTAGAGCAGTGGTGTTTCAAGATTTAGCAAGAGGTAATAATGCTACTAATACAAGGAACGCAGGAGTAAAACTCTGGACTTGAAGGTACAAGTCTTCAAGTTCACTTCTTACTAAATTGCTGAGGGTTCTTTGACAAATCACACAAACTCTCATAGCCTAATCTTTCTACTTATAAAATTAAGGCATTATGTGGAATAACTATCAGACATCTGCAGCTACTGTCCAATATATTTATCTCAATGAGATTTTATAGGAGCCTTTTAACAAAAGAAAACAACAAAGGAGGTGATATGATTTGGTTCTGTGTCCCCACCCAGATCTCAGCTTGTAGCTCCCATAATTCCCTCATTGTGGGAGATATCCAGTGGGGGATACCTGAATCATAGGGGTGGGTCTTTCCCTTGCTGTTCTCATGATAGTGAATAAATCTCACAAGATCTGATGGTTTTAAAAATGGGAGTTTCCCTGTGCAAACTCTCTTCTCTTGTCTGCCGCCATGTGAGATGTGCTTTTCACCTTTCGCCATTAGTGCAAGGCCTCCCCAACCACATGGAACTGTGAGTCCAATAAACCTCTTTCTTTTATAAATTACCCAATCTTGGATATGTCTTTATCAGCGATGTGAAAACAGACTAATACAGGAGGACTATCTTATTCTGCTATGTCAGAGACTGAATGTCTAATCCAATGCCCTCTGGCTCTTAAGTACCCATTAAATTATAACTCTAATTTCAAATGAGACAGCCCTGTAACTAGGGTGGGGTAGACTAAAAAGTCCCATGGCTTTTATGTATTAAAAGTAAAATAGATGATGGGAAATGTCTTATGGGACCCACGTTGAATACAGTATATATTTTCTCAGTCAGCCAATTGCCTCTAAATTTGCTATTTATAATTTACTCAGTCTTAATTAGCAGGCTGCTCCCCAAGTCAACCCTGCTGCAGGCAGAACATGAAGTAGAATATAAAAAAAACAAGTGTTTCTGGTTGCTGAAAGCAAGCCATACATATTCATGGTGAAAACAGAAAATCATTTGCCAAACTGTGGACGGTAAATACAAATTAACCCTGCAATAAAAAGTGTAATATTTGCATTTTCAAGCCTTAGATCTCTCTGGGATTAATTAGGTGATCAATCTGAATTAGAGTTATCAGGAACAAAATCTGGGCTTAGATTATGTGTGTTACTGTTTGGAGGAGGGGAGTTGTATTATTCATTATTTTTGCTTTCATTATAATTATTTGATCCCATCCTCAAAGACTGTTGTATAAACTGATTGATGAAATCCTTCTGTGAAAATATTTTACAAACTGTTCATGGCTACATAAATACAATGGGGTTTTATTGTTTCTATGTGTGCTCAACAGAATAACAATGAAGAGATATATTGATAATCTGGAAGATTCTCAAATTGTCTCTCTCCTGTCCATCCCCACTGTAACCTCCATGGCTTAGCTACTCAACATTTCCTTTCTAGGGGAATGCAACAGCTTCTCCATTACTCTCTGGCTCCTCGCTCAAGGTTTGCTTCATTCTGGTCCATTCCCACAGTGCTGCGAGAGCAAATTTTCTGAGACCCAAATATGAAGTTAGATCATTTATAAAGTTTTGCCATGCCTTTGGATAAAATTCAACTTTCTTAGCTTGCCACAGATGATCCCTGTCCTGCCTACCTCTCCAGACTCATCTCCTGGCACTCAATCTGTCAACAATTCTTGACCAAGAATCAATTTTGTGCCAGGCACAATTCCAAGCCCTGCACATTTCATTCTCCACATTTTAGCTTTATTAAATCATGTACATCCATTAAAAATATTGAGATCTCTAAGCCTTCTGTGCATTTTCACATTGTTGTTTCCCTGCGAAGAACACTCCCTTTTGCCTCTACATCTTGCTAAATTCTTATGGGTTAGGACTTGGATAGGAAATTCAATTCTATGGGAGGTCCTCTCTGACTTCACTTTGCCCACATTAGCGGTACTCCTCTCATGGCACTTACCAACCTGTATTATGTTTGTCAACTCTCTGGTTGTCTTTCTCCTTTCTTAAAATTCTTGCACCTTGAAAACAGAGACGGTGTCTGTTATTTCTGACTTGATAGTGCCCAGGAGAATCGCTGGCACACTGTAAATGGAAATAAATATGCAATCAATGGATGAATGCCAGAGGGGAAACTCTCAAAGGTCCAGGACACCAAAAGTAAGTCATCAGTGATATCCAACTTCATAAAATAAATTTTTATTAATTATGAAGATATTCTGGATAAAGGAAAACTTTTATGGTTTCTATTACTTATATCCTGTAAAATAACCTTGGCAATTTATTTCAAAATTTAATGTATCATTAGGAATCTATCCTTTGGTTTTAATTTACTAAAAACACTATCTTTGAAATCACAAACTTAAAAAGGAATTATTTACCTCAGGATTTATCCATTTGGAAAGACAATTGGGAAGTTTTCTGAGGGCACCCAAAAAGATAAAGTGAGGGCTTAGGTTGGTCGGCATGGGGTGAAAACAAATTATAGTGAGAGGTGACAGCGTGCTGGCACTCCTCACACCCCTCACTCGCTCTTGGCGCCTCCTCTGCCTGGGCTCCCACTTTGGTGGCACTTGAGGAGGCCTTCAGCCCACGGCTGCACTGTGAGAGCCCCTTTCTGGGCTGGCCAAGGCGGGAGCCGGCTCCCTCAGCTTGCAGGGAGGTGTGGAGAGGGGCGCGAGCGGGAACCGGGGCTGCGCGCGGCGCTTGCGGGCCAGCTGGAGTTCCAGGTGGGCGTGGGCTTGGCGGGCCCCGCACTCGGAGCAGCCGGCCGGCCCTGCCGGCCCCGGGCAATGAGGGGCTTAGCACCCGGGCCAGCGGCTGCGGAGGGTGTACTGGGTCCCCCAGCAGTGCCATCCCACCGGCGCTGCGCTCGATTTCTCGCCGGGCCTTAGCTGCCTTCCCGCGGGGCAGGGCTCGGGACCTGCAGCCCGCCATGCCTGAGCCTCCCTACTCCGCCTCCGTGGGCTCCTGTGCAGCCTGAGCCTCCCCGACAAGCGCCGCCTCCTGCTCCAGGGCGCCCAGTCCCATCGACCACCCAAGGGCTGAGGAGTGCGGGCGCACGGCCCGGGACTGGCAGGCAGCTCCACCTGCAGCCCCGGTGCGGGATCCACTGGGTGAAGCCAGCTGGGCTCCTGAGTCTGGTGGGGACGTGGAGAACCTTTGTGTCTGGCTCAGGGATTGTAAACGCACCAATCAGCGCCCTGTCAAAACAGACCACTCGGCTCTACCAATCAGTAGGATGTGGGTGGGGCCAGATAAGAGAATAAAAGGAGGCTGCCCCAGCCAACAGTGGCAACCCGCTCCGGTCACCTTCCACATTGTGGGAGGTTTGTTCTTTCACTATTTGCAATAAATCTTGCTATTGCTCACTCTTTGGGACCACACTGCTTTTATGAGCTGTAACGCTCACCGCGAAGGTCTGCAGCTTCACCCCTGAAGCCAGCGAGACCACGAGCCCACCGGGAGCAACGAACAACTCCTGACGCGCCACCTTAAGAGCTGTAACACTCACTGCGAAGGTCTGCAGCTTCACTCCTGAGCCAGCGAGACCACGAACCCACCAGAAGGAAGAAACTCCGAACACATCCGAACATCAGAAGGAATAAACTCCAGACGCGCCACCTTAAGAGCTGTAACATTCACCACGAGGGTCCGCGGCTTCATTCTTGAGGTCAGTGAGACCAAGAACCCACCAATTCCGGACACAATAGGAGCAAAGTTTGGAGAGATTCCAAATGGAAAAGCAAGTTAGGACTTGAAAACACTGGTCAAACTGTAGGCAACACTCTAAACCAACTATGGGCTATAGTCAACTGTGGCCCGTAGGTAAAATCCAGACTGCTATCTAATCTAAATATGTTTTTTACAAATTTTAAATTGTTCCATTTTTAATAGTTATCTAGGTATCTATATAACATCCATGTTTTTGCCTCTTTGTCTGCAAAGCATATAATATGTACTATCTGGCTGGTTACAGAATACATTTGCAAAGCCCTGGTGTACTAACAAAGGCCAAGAATGTGAGCGTGGAATAGGAGTGACACAGATCGGAAGAATGCAAGCAGAAGGTGGACATTTTTCTGAAGGGGCCCAATGAATTCAGACACACACTACACAGAAGCCCCTGGAATCACAATCATGTGTAAACAAGTTTCTTCACTTACATTGAAGAATATAGGAGATATCCACTCTTTATACATCTAATCAACCAACTGGTCTTAGGGAGAGTCTTATTTTAGAAGCCCACCAATAGTCCTGGAGATCCTGTAAGGGAGTTGGATGGGATAATCATAATATGAAATGAAGCAGAAAGAGAAAAGATCTTTTCAGTAAAAGAAGAAAGTCAAAGAAACTTCTAGTCTTGAATACTTCTTCCTAGACATGAATAAAAGTGGATGATTTATTTTTGGCTGAGTCCCCTTCTGAAAAACACTGTGACAAAGAATGAATGTTTGGTGGCCATGTGAACTAAGAGTTCAATTCACTTTGGTCTACAAATCAAATTGTCAAAAGCTCACCCTAATCTCATCCATCCTTCTCACTTATGATGTGTGCCCACTTAACTTAGGCTTTAAATTTATCTGCAATGATAACTTCTTGTCAACTTGATAAAATGTACAAAAAGACACCAGACTGAGTCAAAAATTGCTTTCACAAATGGCTTGAAAGTCATTGAGCTTTGTAAACATGAAAAACACATCTTGACTAAAGACATGTTCAGAACTCTGGAGTGACACAATAACAGTTTTAAATCCTACAGTGCATTCCTCTTTTGTTCTCAAGAAAATGGGAGTGTATATAATGGAGTATATAATTGAAGCAATTATGATGTGTTAAGTTCTAAGTGAAATATATGGAGATAATCTCTTTCTAATAGCCCTTAATTTAGGTGCCAGCACTATAATCTGCAAGTAACCCTTGTGGCTCTTAAAAAGTCATTTTTGACCTTGCATTTTTCTTCTCCTATTTAATTGTCTCTCCTCCACATCTTTATTTCTCAGAACAAAGCTGGGAGTGGTCCTCTAGGAGCAGCCCTCAGAGCTGCATCTAATTTAAAATATGGAATCTTTCATGCCATTATCCGAGGACTTACTACATATTAGACTGTGTATAAGCATTTCTTATAACAATTTGGCAAATTAGGGTTTCCAGCCCTCTGATGAGGAAACTGAAGCTCAGAGAGGTTAAGAAACATAACCATGTTGGTTTTGTGCTGTATCAGCATGGATAAAGCCGAAAATTGTGCTCCCCATAATTTCTTTTCTTGTATGGCTCCAGGTTAACATTGGTCAAAATGGTACTTGCACGAGATATAGAAGGTGGAAGCAAAACAACAGTCGTTCGTTTCCCCTAGAAGGTGGTTGCAATTAGATACCATGATAAACAGGAGAAGATTGCTTTTGCTCTCCTGTGCTCTAGGTATATCTCATCTTCCAGAAGGCTGACCTGCTGATCAATAACGACCCAGGCCCACCACCAGAGAGCTGGCTTCACACAGCAGAGGGAGAAACTACACAAATACAACAGCTCTCCATAGACCTCTCCACAAATCCCTTTTCTTTGGTCCCCAATAGGTATCTTGAATTGCTTGGCTTTTTATAATTCCCTGAAAACGCTGGCTTGCTGAACTATACCACTGCTTCAGGAAGAGTGGTGAGTGTTACTTTCTCTGACTTTTTGAACTCCTCTTCTAGACTTTTACTTCCCTAATGTTTCCCACATTGGCTCGAGGTCCAATTCCTATAATAATTCCTCACTCCCAAGTACTCACTGTGGCTTTACTCGCTTGTCTCAACTCTGACTGATACACACAACCAAGACCATGAAGCAGACCCTAGGACAGTCACAGCTAAAGTCCATGCTCTTCTTTTCTATGGATTATGGTTTTTGGCTATCTTTATGTTTAAGGGGTGGTTCCAGGCCTACTTCCAGCCCTTAAAAGAGGGATAGAAAATGTAATAGTCACAGATCGCCACAACACAAGGCAGGAGGAACTAAAATTCATAAGAAAAGTGCAGGCAGAGCATTAAGGGCCTTCAAAGATAGAAGAGAAGATCTGCTAAATGGAGCCTTTGGAGATGAATGCTCCCTCAGCATTCACAGTGAAGAGAGTAGAGGTCATCAGATGGAGAAGCACAGAGAATGAAGAAATTATGTAATAAGATGGCAATTTTTTTTCTAAAAAGCCAAATCTGGATTTCTATTGGGGAGAAAGCTAGATTAGTAGGAAAAAAATGCATATGTTACAAACTGAGCAAATAATGCTTCCCTCCCCTCAAGGGCTAGTGTGAAAAGTCTTAAAGAAAGGGGAAACTACTCTCATTATGAAGGCAGAGGAATTTGAAATGGGGTTTGGGTATGGATGTGAAGTGCAGAAAAATCAGGGAAAGGAGGAATGAGAAGGGGACAGAGGCAAGAAGAAAAGGAGAAGGAGGAAGAGGAAAAGGAGGAGGAGGCAAGAAAGTAAAGGACAGGAAAAAGGGGGAAGAACTTGAACAAAATAGGAAGGAAAGGAATAAAGAAGAAAAAAAAAAGCAAGTGGACAGAGAAGAGAAAATGATTCCCAGTGGCAGAAGGTTTTAATATGTAAATGCTCCTATATTAACCCCAAAGTTTACAAAATAATTTTTTAAACTAAGTACATCATACGAGCAAAGTCTTGGATGTGAACACACAAGAGTTTAACATCAAGGTACAGTATTGCCAAGGAAAACTGATATGTCCCACTGGAATGCAAGAGCTTGAGGGTACAGGGAAGCTTGAAACAAGATCCACAGACTTGGCTGAAATCATGGGAAAGATTTTGGAACATCACAAGTCATGGATTGGAGTTTCAGACAAGTTTAATGAGCTCTCTGGAGGGCAGGGGTACCCCATATGACATCTGTGTTATTATAATTAGTTACCATACATTGAACATTCTAAGTACATATGCCATTTAGCCATCTCCAAAACCATAAAGTGTATACTATTATTATCTTCATTTTACTAATAAGAAAACAGAGCAGTTGAATAACTTCATAAGATCACACAGCTTAAAAGGGTCAAAGATGATATTCAAACCAAGGTTTTTCTGATTCCAGAACCAGCAACTTAATCTTAATTCTCAATGACTTAGAAACAGTTGCATGCACTATAGTCTCCTTTATTCTCTCTGACTCTGCACTATGTTGAAACCAGAACACTACATAAAATGTAGAATCTGCTATCAATTTTTCCAGGGCCACTTCTTATTATTGTTTCTTCAAATGAGACAAAGCTGCAAAATCACTGTTTCTTTTCATTAGGCACTTGGTAAGGGACTGTTCAGCTATCACAATAAAGCTAACATGATCTCAACCATTCTTATTAAGACAAGTGTTTTAAATTAAAAATTAACATCTTTGACACGTTAGAATGGTATATATTAACTCGAAGTCAGGTTTCTAAATAGGAAAAATATGAGATTAGCATGATCTAATGGACAAGGGGAAAGAACACCTTCTCTCATTCCTATCTTCTAACATGGAAGGAAATACTTCCTGTGCTTTTGCTTAAAATCAAAAAGCAGGGTTAAAAGGTCAAGTAAAAACAGAATGCAGTTGACAATAAGTTTAACCATACATTATAGGTATATATTTTTAACAGGTGACTTGATATGAGATTCTTATAAATCAGAAAGGAAATCCCCAATCATGGTTCCTATTACTCTGTCTTTTAACCATTGAAGACTAGTTTCTATTGAAAGTCTCTTTTGTGTTATTTTTATATAATGTTAGTGTCTGGCTTAAAGACTAAGAAATAGGCTGGTGCACTCTAAAATAACTGTTGAAGTATGAGACACAGGATTCCCTGGATACTGGAGGTGCCTCATTTATCCTCCTTGTTAAATCACAGCCACCAAGTTGAAACTAAAAAAATAGAATTGCCCATTTCTTTGGCACATATGTCATAAAATAAACAATTGATTTTATGTTTACGTGTTTGTGTTTCTGTTTTCACAATTTTAAGTACATCGCTTTTTGAGGTTTCTTTTTTTGTTTTTTGGTTTTTTATGTGTTTGTTTTTAAGTTATTGAGTACAGATTGGAATGTTTGACTTAGATCAGGTGAGTCCCCTAAACTGGTAAATATTTACACACATTTAACCTATAAATAAGTTCAGGACAATTGTCTGAGTTTTTAATTACTTATATTTTTTAATGTGTGTATCTAAAGCTGAGCATGCATATCTTATAATTACCAGAAAAAACTTTCGATCCCCTTAGTTTTTGTTAAGATCTAGGGCAAGCTGTAGCCAACATTTTCTGTAAAGGTTCATATAGTAAGCATTGAAGGCCCAGAGTTATCAACCTCAGCGCTACTGACATTTTGTATGAGATAATTATTTACTGGGGAGAGCTGTATTGATCACTCTATGAATCTTAGCAGTATCCAAGTCTCTTCCCATAAGAGTACAGTAGTATTCACCTCTTATAGTTTCAACAACCAGAAATCTCTCCAGATTTTGTCAAACGTTCCTTAAGACCTAGAAGCAAATTTAGCCGTGGTTGAGAGCTATTGCTTTGTAATATACAGGTCATACAATCTCGGTTGCAACTATAAAAGTGTCCATAGATGATATGTAAACAAAAGAGCATGGATGTGTACCAATAAAAGATTATTAATGAAGACCAAATAGTGAACTTTATACAATTTTCCTGTGTCATAAGTTATTCTTCTTTTGTTTTATTGTTTTTCAACCATTTCAAACTTTCAAAACAATTTTTGGCTCATAGGGTAGACAAAATGACAGCAGACCATGGTATTCCAATTCCTAATCTAGGGGGTCAAATGATAAACAAGATGAGTCTCTGCTTCAAAACACTCCTGATCTACAATAACAAATGTTTCTTTACTTGGTAAATCCTTTCAAAAAGATATGTAAAGGTAGCACCAAGGGATTTGGTTTACAGAGAAGGCTGCACTGAGAAGGGACTAAATTATCCCAGTAGATGACCAGAAGTCCACCAGGGAGTCCATGTCAGGGGTGGTAGAGAGGCACATATTTTATACACCAAACTATCAATTATATATCATTTGATATTGATACAAATGTATATATGTATGTGTATATATTTTTATTTCTTTCAAAGAAGCAACATCCCAAAATTAGATAGATTAGAAAGCCTTCTTTCAACCACCTTTCTCCACATTTTTGATTGGTTGGTTGTTGTTGGTACTAGTTCTGTCTTGAATCCAGGGTTTGCATATATAACGATACGTTTTTTGGTGTTTTTTTTTTGTTTTGTTTTGTTTTTTGCGGAGAGTCTCGCTCTGTTGCCAGGCTTGAGTGCAGTGGAACGATCTTGGCTCACTGCAACCTCTGCCTCCCAGGTTCAAGCCATCATCCTGCCTCAGTTTCCCAAGTAGCTAGGACTATAGGTGCGCACCACCATGCCCAGTTAAATTTTGTATTTTTAGTAGAAATGGAGTTTCACCATGTTGGCCAGGATGGTCTCGATCTCTTGATTTCGTGATCTGCCCACCTTGGCCTCCCGAAGTGCTGGAATTACAGGAATGAGCCACCATGCATAGTCTTGAGACAAGTAGTTTTTCTGTGCTGGAGGAATGACAGCAAAAACAATCATAAATGCAGCAAGCTTATTTACGAACAAATTGATTTGAGGGAGTTGAAATCAGCAAATATTGGGATGGATTTATGTGAAGGACAAAATTCCTTGAGCTGTTCTTTCCAAATGTACCCAAAGAAGCTCTTTGTAATTTTTAAAGAATAAGCTGCATACATTGTGATGAAGTGAACTTAAGGAAATAAAATGCATTCAGTTTGGGGAAAACGGGTTTTTTTCCCCTTTATTTCCTTGAGTTTTATCTTCCCTATCAAGTTGCTGCCATCCTCAGAGCAGTGGTTTCTGTAACATGTACTGATATAGACAACCCAATATCAGAACTATATTTGCCGTGTAACTTTAATCCTCAACTTTGGCCACAACTATTCACAGTGATTAATACCAACTGAGCTATACAGTTGTCAGTTGTTCTCAAGAGAAGCATCAGTGTCTCTTGTGTGCATCTGTGGAAACCACTGAAATGGATAAAATTGAGGGTTAAGCTACCCTGTACTCTAACCATTTCCTTGTAAGCATCCAGTCTAAGAGTTATTCATCTGACCTCTTCACTAAATAGTACCCTTACACTGTTACCCCAGGAAATGAAATGTACTGTAACAGATCAGGGAACGACTCATGCTGATTAGTGAAACTTTCCAAACAACTAAAAATGTGCATCTTTAAGTGTAGATAGATGATAAACAGATACATACACACATGTGTGTATGTATAGTTATAGATGTACATACATATATATGCATAAGCATATATATGTGTGTATACATATTTCTTGTATGCCATGTATTCTCCTATCATCAATTTCATCTCCTTCTCTTTTGTATTTTAGTTGGTAATTGGTGTTTCTCCGTTACTATACCATCCCACAATGTGTTTGAGGGAAGCAATTATGGCTTGCTCATATCTGGAGACACTACAACACTTTATGCAATGCTTAAGCATGCAGTAAGTATTTGTTGCATTTCAACTCAACTACTAAAAAACTTAATAGTATTACTAAAAACACAATGATTGGTAAAGGGATATTTTAGAAACAATTATGGTATATGGGTCTTGTTTTAGAGAAATTATTCACCAAATATTACAGATAAATGCTCCAAAAATAATTGTATTTATTTTTGCTATTGTCATGCATCTAGTGAAAGATTGAGACTACTAAGTAGTGAAAACAGCCTAAAATATTTTAGTTTATCTCAGAAAATCACATGTAGCAATTATCAGATATTACCCACTCTGGTTTCTCAAGCCTCTGCTCTAGGGGAGGGAGTGTTTCCTTAAATTACTTTAAGAATAATGAATAAATAAACGAATGAAATTTGAAGAGACAAGACAACTCCTCTGTGGAGTGGCACTCACAAGAAAGAAAATCTAATAAAGGTACCTTCAAACTTCAATGTGCATCAAAATCGCCTGTGGGACTTGTTGAAACACAGATTACGAGGCTCCATACTCAGAGTTTTCTGCTTCCATAGGTCTGGGTAGATGCCCAGAAATGTGCATTTTTACTAAGTTCCAAGGTGATGCTGAAGTTGCTGATATGGAACCCTACTTTGAAAAACATAGATCTAATGTCATATTTCATGTATCCATCCTTACTATTTCTCTCACTGATTTAGGTAACTACGTTCTTTTATACATGATAAAATCGACAGTTGGAAATCCAGTTACAACTTCTCTTATCTCATTTGGATAGTGTTTCCATGGAGGATTTCCTTCTTCATATTTACTGGGAAATTTATGATTTTCTAAATCCTGAATCTCATGAAAAATCTTTCAACAAATCTGAGAAAAGTGTTATAAATCCCCTGTGAGAATTGAAGCATAACACGCACCATTGAAATGTGACTAATCTTACAGAAAACACTGACTTGAAAGCCAGGGCAGGGAACACCAACACACAGAGTCAAAGATTGAGGTCAACATTTCTGAGAAGCAGGACAGAACATTTAGAAGAGAAGGTGTCATGATAAATTGATCAGTATGACGTTTCGCTGCTCCCATGTTATCAGTTTGTGTACATGGCCCTGTCCATTGCTAATGGTGAGCCATTCCAACAAACAGAAATAAGCTTATATGTACTGTATACTTTATACCCACCCTATGAGTGTTGTTCTAAGAAATAACAAGTTTAGAAAGCAAAATACATTTTTAATTGCCAATTTCAAAGCATGATTTTCTTAACATTGATAGGAAATTGGAATCTTAACGTTATTTACATAGTGCTTATTAATGTTCAGTGGCATTTTTTCAGTGTTTGAATATTACCTAGGTTACAGTTCCTGGTAAACACTTTATCAGAATTAACGCAAGGAAAGAAAACCTGAATGTTGTTGTAGAAGACTCTGACATGAAATCAGAAACTGATTTAGAATCTGTTTTAATATTGCAAAGCAATAATAATTTCAACAGCAAATGAAAATTGGGGCAAGTGGACAAAACGTTTTTATTAATAAGGAATTAAATGTGTTCTAAAGCACTATACATCCTTACAGCTAACCTGGAGAAACTCAGGAATAAGCTTTCTAAAATATGACCAATTTCAATTCAGAAGGAAATAAATTTTTCTACATCTGAGATATTTGTCACAAAAAAGAGTATTTATATTGAATAGGGTATTTAATGTCTTGAGTGTTGTAAAATTTCATTTTAGAATGATAATTTATTAATATTAAGTAATTTATGTTGTCCTTTAGCTTTAAATTATTTTATTTGATACTTACTTTTGTGTTCATTCTCCTTCCTTTAGTTTTCCTATTATGAAATATATATATCAAGCTGAGAACATTTGTACATATTATTGAAATATAAATGTTGTCACAATATATTAATACTGGTAATAATAAACCATACACTTATTATTACATCCATTTTATTTTGCAAAAAAAAATTTATGAAATAATGTAAATCTACTGCTGAAAAAAGATTCACTGTTTATTTTTATAGTCACTTATTATTACTGAAAATGCATAAAGTGCTTTGAAAAAAATGTAAAAGAACCTGATTTTGAGAATTTCTACAAATTCCCAGGAATTCTAATTTCTTTTTTGTTGTTGTTGTTGTTTTATTTTTGAGACAGAGTCTCTGATATGGTTTGTCTCTTTTTCTCCACCCAAATCTCATCCTGAATTGTAATTCCCACATGTGAGGGAGGGAGGTGATTGGCTTACGGGGGCAGTTTCTCCCATGCTGTTTTCATGACAGTCAGTGAGTTCTCACGAGATCGGATGGTTTTATAAGTGTTTGGCAGTTCCTCCTACACTCTTCTCTTTCCCAACAACTTGTGACGAAGGTGCCTCCTTTCCCTTCTGCCATCATTGTAAGCTTCCTGAAGCCTCCCCAGCCATGCAGAACTTTGAGTCAATTAAACCAAATTCCTTTATAAATTACTCAGTCTCAGGTATTTCTTTACAGTGGTGCGAAAACAGACTAATAACGGAACAGGCTGGAGTGCAGTGGTACCATCTCCGCTCACTGCAACCTCCCCCTCCTGGCTTTAAGCAATTATTTTGCCTCAGCCTCCCGAGTAGCTGGGACTACAGGTGTGTGCCACCACTCCTGGCTATTATTATTACTATTATTATTATTATTTTTAGGAGAGACCGGGTTTCACCATGTTGGCCCGGCTGATCTCAAACTCCTGGCCTCAAGAGATCCACTGAACTCAGTGCCCAAAAGTGCTGCGATTACAGGCATGAGCCACCGAACCTGGCCAATTCTTATTTGTTGTTTCCAAATTCAAAGATTAATATCTATCAGAAATTTGGAAATGCTATGCTTGACAGAGGCAGGCATTTTCAATTTCCAAGTTTCACGAAGTAGCAAACACAAGTATTTTATTTCTATTTATTGATTTTTTTAAGCTTTTATTTTAGGTTCAGGGGTACATGTGCAGGTTTGTTGTATAGATAAATTGTGTCTTGCAGGAATTTGACATACAGATTATTTACCCAGGTAATAAGCTCAGTATCTGATAAGTAGTTTTTCAGTCCTCACCCTCCTCTTGGCCAGATCCTGTTTATTTATGAATAAATAAACAAATGAAATCTGAAGAGAGAAGACAACTCTCTCTGCCCAAATCTGCTCCTTCTGCAAACTTCTTCATCTCAATTTGTGACAAGTCCATTCTTACCAGCATTTAGGGTGAACACTTGGAACCTTACTTTTTTCTTTCCTTTTCCTCATGCCCCACGCCTAGTTTGGAAGAAAGCTGTGCTGGGTTTACCTTCCAAATACATCCAGAATCTGACCACCTCTCCACTACCCGAGGCCAAGCCACTGCATTGCACATTTGAGCCATGCAAAAGCTTCCTCGTCTGCCTTCCTACAGGTTATTCTCAACACAGCTGCCAAAGTCATCCCTTTAACATTTCTCTGGAGTACTTCTCCAGTTCAGAACAAAAGACAAAATTATTGCAGAAGCCTTATGTGCCCCTCCACGGTGTATCCTTGGTTACTCTCTGTCAACTCCTACTTTATCTCCTTTGCACACTCTGCTCCTTGAACGTACCAGGCTCACTCTCTTTTTAAGGCCACTGCTGTTTCCCCTGCCTAGAACATTTTTCCTAGATACCTTTCTTGTTCACTCAGATAATTGGTGAGAACAAGTCTCTTTAATAGCAAATCGACTGGAAAATACTAGGAAAGCACATGGATGTATGCGGAGAGGTGGATTTTTTTTCTGGCCTGTATTTTGTCCCTTTGCTACTAGTTATTTTAATTACCTCCTAGAAATAGGCCATGTTAGCCCACTCATCTTTCTTTTTCCCACAATTGAAGAAATATTTGTTACATTGCCTAGAGCCCAGAATCTCGTTGCTAGGGTAGAAGTTTCCAAGGGTTCTTTGGCATATGTCCCTGAACAAAAGATGTTTTAAAAAATCTTTTATATCATATTTTTACTGTTCCTGTTCTATATTTAGATCTGTTTAGATATATAATACATCCCACTATGTTACTCATGCCTACAATATTCAGTACAATCACATACTGTTTAGGTTTTTGGCCTAGGAGCAATAGGCCATACTGTATAGCCTAGGTATGTAGTAGGCTATATCGTCTAGGTTTATGTAAGTAAACACTATGGTGTTTGCACAACGATGAAATCACCTAACTGCACGTTTCTCAGAACTTAGCTCTGTGCTTAAGCAACAATGCATGACTGTAACTAAATTGGATACCATGGTGTAAAAAGTAAAGGTTTCCAGTAGCATCCTAAAAGACTCTTTTCCAGAAACCAGAATGTTTTTATATTTTCAGTAAGCAAGATCTGTTTTGCTTAAAAGAGTGGTTGTTAGTGCTCTGCCGTAAAAAGGTCCAGTTCTCCTTATGGAAATCTGAGATGGATGTATTTTCCTGCCTTACTTGAAGTCAGAGGCAGCCATGTGTCTCATATTGGCAATAGGATGTCAGCGGAAGTGATGTTTGTCATTTCTTTTCTTTTTTTTTTTTTTTTGAGACGGAGTCTTGCTCTTTTGCCCAGGCCAGAGTGCAGTGGTGGTGCTATCTTGGCTCACTGCAAGCTCCACCTCCCGGGTTCATGCCATTCTCCTGCCTCAGCCTCCCAAGTAGCTGGGACTACAGGCGCCCGCCACCACGCCCAGCTAATTTTTTGTATTTTTAGTAGAGATGGGGTTTCACCGTGTTCGCCAGGATGGTCTCGATCTCCTGACCTCGTGATCTGCCCGCCTCAGCCTCCCAAAGTGCTGGGATTACAGGCGTGAGGCACCGTGCCCGGCCTGATGTTTGTCATTTCTAAGCTAATGTTTCAAGAGTCAGTCTGTAGTTTGCCACATTTACTTTGGTCTGCTTTGGTGACTGTGCAGCATAAAGGTGAAGACTCCTGCATGCCGAGGTCCTGAGTGAAGGTGATCTAAACTGCAACTACCCAGCTGGCCTGCAATGGTCAGAGAGAATAAATATGAAATAAACTTAGGTCGTTTTAAGGCATTGAGATTAGGTGCTTTTTTGGTTTTGATTTGTTTTTCATTTTTTATATTGCAGAACAACTTAACCTATCCTGACTTATACACCTAATCTAAGGTATTTTTTATTTTCCAATTTTTGACTGTGTTTGAGTCATTTACGCAATTATTGTCATTTTTTTTATTTTTACAGGATTAAAACCAGTTTTTGAGTAAGAATTTCAAAAGTAATGAGTGGACTGCCTCCTGAACAAAGCATTCAGCACATTGCTTACAGTCCTCTTGCAATCATTTTGATGATTCTGAATACTCACTAGACACACAGATGCACAGAGCAATATTTGTGTAGAGTGATAGGAATTTCTGTGATGCTGCCAAAATGTTCATTTCTGCACATATAAATCCAACTCCCTTGCATTTATCATAGCTGAAAAATTCTTTGAGGTTTCTGTAACTGGCTTTTAACTGTCTCAGTGCCTGTTTTTTAGAGGGTTAGCATCCACTAGGAAAGCTTTCCCTGTCCCATTTCCTCAAAGCAAGGTGCTTCAAAAGACAGAACAGCTAGAAGTATTCCAGGGTATATTCATGATCCAAGCACCCACTCCTGAGAGGAGAGAGAAACAGAATTTAGAGGTAATCCCACCCAATTTTTGGACTTTTATGCAATTTGACTTAAAAAATCCACACCAATCTGGAGGCATATGGATTTATTTACTCATTTCCTTTGCAGAAGAGTACTTTAGGAATCATTTCTGCCTTTCCCCCACCTCCTGCCTTTCTCTGTCTCATCATTTGGAGGCTACAGGGGAAATAAATTTATCTTGAAGGAGTGTTATGAATATGATTGTGGCCATTATTTGATTAAATACTCAAAAGATATAATCCTACCCAGCGACCATGTCACATGAAGGAACCATGGTTACCATCAATTACTGTTCGTTTTCTGTAAACATGGACCTGAGCCAACTTTAGGGGGAAAATAAAAAGTTGGCAAATGATGTATTTGGCATCTTCCATCTGTCTTTTTTTTTTTCTCTACCCCTTCAGTTTTTGCTCTGGGTTTATTATTTTTCTTGGGGCACCAAAACTATTAGATCGGGGATTGTGTTTCTCGCCTACACTTCTTTAAATGTCTCCTGCTGTGGAAATGCTGTCCTCTGGCTCTTATTGTTATATAAGGACATCATTTTGAGCTACTGCCAGAGTGCTATGGAATCCCTATCTCTGAAATGGATTTCCAGGGAAAGTCTAGGGTAGGCTTTTGAGATGTTAAGCAAGTTCCTTAAGTTCATATAGCTGCCTGAAAGCAAACAAAGCATTGCATTTTAACAGGTTATCAATTATAAATGGATTTCAGGTATTAAAGAATGGTCAATTATAGATAAACGTTTGGGCTTAGGACTTTGACTAGAGCCCGTTTCTAGCTGACCTTGTGACTGACGCTGCCACATGGGCTCCACTTTGTTCACCTCGTGCTGCATTCAGGCATCTTGGAGAATTAACCTCAGTTCCAGAGGCAGGAGCTGCAGAATCTAAGCCAATCACAGTCATCCTGACTCTCATACCGTCGTGAATGTCTTAGGGATGGGCCAATCAGCATAGAGATTTATTCAGGAGCATGGAAGTGATGGCAACAGATGGGAGAAAACATTTCCTTAGGTCCTTTGGAGAATAAATTTCTTCCATTTTATGAAAAATATTTTAAGAATATTTAAGGGTCATTAAGAAATGACCCTTTTTCTCTTATCCAGGGAAGATGAGGAAGGAAGTAGGATAAGGACATGACACTTCTACCAGGGTTCACAAGGGGGTGCCAGCTTTACAAATACTTTGGCCTCTGAAAGCTGAAAATGATGTGAGGGAATTGGTCCTTGCTGACTTCATCATGCAACTGAAACAAACCTGCCCTGGAGTCCATGTTTGCTCTGCATTTCCTTCCAATTAAATGAGACCTGTAAATCTCCTTTTTTTTTTTTTTTTAACAATTTCAAGAGTTTTAAAATTTGCAACCAAAATATTCCTTCACTATTACACCCTCTAAGAATAATAGTCTCCAATAAACATATGTGTGCATGTGTCTTTATATTTATTGCAACGCTATTCACAATAGCAAAGACTTGAAACCAGCCCAAATGCCTATCAATGATAGACTGAAGAAAATCTGGCACATATACACCATGGAATACTATGCGGCCATAAAAAGGATGAGTTCATGTCCTTTGCAGGGACATGAATGAAGCTGGAAAACATCATTCTCAGCAAATTAACACAGCAACAGAAAACCTAACACCCCATGTTCTCACTCATAAGTGGGAGTAGAACAGCGAGAACACATGGACACAGGGAGGTGAACATCATACACCGGGGCCTGTTGGAGGGGTGGGGAGCTAGGGGAGGGACAGCATTAGGAGAAATACCTAATGTAGATGATGGGTTGATGGGTGCAGCAAACCACCATGGCACGTGTATAGCTATGTAACAAACCTGCAAGTTCTGCACAGGTATCCCAGAACTTAAAGTATAATAAAAAAAATAGAGAATAATAGTCTCTAACTTTCTAAAACATCCACATATGCCCAGTACCCAGGTGATTCATAATGCAGTCATGTATTGTTTAATGATGTGGATATCTTGTGAGAAAAGTGTTGTTAGAAAGATTTCCTATTTGTGCAAACATCATAGAGTACACTTATTACACAAACCTAGATGGTATAGTCTGCTACACACTTAAGTTATATGTTATAGTCTATTGCTTCTAGGCTACAAATCTGTACAGCTTGTTACTATACTGAATACTATAGGCAGTTGTAAAACAATGTTATATATTTCTGTATCTAAACAGATCTAAACATAGAACATGTACAGTAAAAATAAGGTATAAAAGATTGTCTAAACTTGCACACCTTTTATGGCACTTACCATGAATGGACCTTGCAGGACTACGGTTGTTCTGGGTGAGTCAGCGAGTGAATGGTGAGTGAGTGTGAAGGCCTATGATATTACTGTACACTACTTCAGATTTTATAAACGCTTAAACTTAGGCTACACTAAATTTATAAAATTAATATTATTTCTGTAATAATAAATAAACTTTAGCATACTGGAATAGTTTTCTTTATATGCTTTTAATTTTTTAACTTTTTGACTATTTTGTAATAACATTTAGCTTAAAACACACATTGTACAGCTGTCCAAAAATATTTTGTTTAATTCCTCTTTTATAAGCTTTTCCTATGGTTTTAAATTTTTTTTTGGCTTTTTAAATGACTGGCAGAGCAGCAGGTTTGTTTACACCAGCATTACCACAAACACATCAGCAATGTGTTGCCCTAGGCAGTTACAATGACTGTGATGTCACTAGGTGATACGAATTTTTCAACTTTTTTATAATCTTATGGGAGCACTGTCATATAGGCAGCTCATCATTGACTAATGCATCATGATGCAGTGCATGAATATATAATGTGTCTATAAAAATCAGATCTTTTGTCAGATAAATTTATGTTAAAAACATATTTGGGCTGGACACGGTGAATCACACTTGTAATCCCAGCTCTTTGGGAGGCTGAGGCAGGCAGATCACTTAAACTAAGGAGTTTGATACCATCCCGGGCAACATGATGAAACTCTGCTCTATAAAAATACAAAAATTTGCCAGGTGTGGTGGCGCATGTCTATAGTCCCAGCTACTTGAAGGGCTTAGGTGGGAGGATCCTCTTGAGATGGGGTGGTTGAAGCTGCAGTGAGCTGGGATTGAGCCACTGCACTCCAGTTTGGGAGAAACAGCAAGGTCCTATCTCAAAACACACACACAGACACACACAGACACACACACACACACACACATCCCTTTGAAGAGTCTCACTCCATGTTGAATAAGAGTAATGCTAATAACCATGATTAGACCTGCATATTCCTCAATAAAAATATTTTTGAATACCCCTATTATTTTTGCCCACAGAGAATGTACTGTATTTTGCTAGTAATGACAGACACTGCAGTTGTGTTTGGTTAATAATGCACAAATATGTTTAACAAAATGTGAATTTTTAAATTCTTCTTTGTTTCAGACATTTGTTTATGCCTAATAACATAACACAAATATCAATAGTTTTTATTTTCAAAGAATTAATCCATTAATTTGACATAAAATAACTTTTCTGGTTTTTATGAAGAGAAAAAATATGAGAGAGAAAAGAAAAACCTGAAGGCAATTATAGGTAAATGAAATTAACTATGAAATTCATTTACATAACTCCAGAATCTCTGTAACTGATATTTCCCTTCAATTTTAGTGACTGTATATCCTAGTCCCCTACGTGCATATAGTTGGCTGTTCTTTTCCTCCTCACCTTATTTATATCTTTTTTTTCTTTTTTTTTTAATTATACTTTAAGTTCTAGGGTACATGTGCACAACGTGCAGGTTTGTTACATATGTATACATGTGCCATGTTGGTGTGCTGCACTCATTAACTCGTCATTTACATTACGTATATCTCCTAATGCTATCCCTCCCCTCTCCCCCCACCCCACGACAGGCCCCGGTGTGCGATGTTCCCCTTCCTGTGTCCAAGTGTTCTCATTGTTCAATTCCCACCTATGAGTGAGAACACACAGTGTTTGGTTTTTTGTCCTTGCAATAGTTTGCTAAGAATGATGGTTTCCAGCTTCATCCATGTCCCTACAAAGGACATGAACTCATCATTTTTTATGGCTGCATATAAAAACCCTAGAAGAAAACCTAGGCGATACCATTCAGGACATAGGAATGGGCAAGGACTTCATGTCCAAAACACCAAAAGCAATGGCAACAAAAGCCAAAATTGACAAATCGGATCTAATTAAACAAAAGAGCTTTTGCACAGCAAAAGAAACTACCATCAGAGTGAACAGGCAACCTACAGAATGGGAGAACATTTTTGCAATCTATCTTTATTCATTTCTATTCTTAGCAGTTTTTCGCTTTGTGGGCTTTCCCTTCCTCAGTTCCCTCTTGTATAAAATAAGATTTTTGTTTTTAAATGCTTAAATGAGCCAATAGTGTAAAGTTCTTAGAACACTGCCTGGAACACAGTGTGCACTCATTGATTGCTTTGCCTTATTTATTAATGTTCCTAATCACCAACAGTGTTATATAACATACATGTAGCAAACACTTTTCAGTTGTTTTTATAAATGCAATTTTATTGGATACACAGTGCTCTGTGAAGAGTTTCTCATAATATAGTTTATTTTTTATTTGTGGTTGTTTAATAGTTACATTGTTTGTAGTTTGTGAGTTTTAATTTTTTTAGATGATTATTATAAGTAACCATGTAATGTATCCTTATTTATATATCTTTGATTAAAACTCTCTTATTTCCTTGGGATCCAGTCTCAGAATTGAAATCACTGGGTGAAGGAGTATACTGGTGTGACATATGTCTTCCAAATATTTCATGGAGTTCCCTACATGTAGCTTCCTTACTGCTGGTTGGGGCCTATTTCTGGCCAATGGGCACTGGCCAGTGGGGTGTAGACCTAAGTACGTTGTGTCACTTCCAGGATGAGCATTTAATTTCCAGAGAAAAAAGTTTGGATGTTTTCTCTGTCCATTCATGAGGGTCTTGTATTGAAAAATGGAGGCACCAAAAAGAAGCAGTTTATATCACTAAGTTGCTACATGAAGGACAACGTACCAGAGAGTTATGTGAATATAAAGCTACCCTACATGATCAAGAAGCAAACAGTTTTGGTGTTAAGTAGTGAGACTTGAGGTCTCTTTGTTATGGCACAAATAGGATGCTTCTGTGGTACAATGGCTTGCCTTTATCCACCCATGGTTTCACTTTCAGAGGTTTTAGTTACCTATGGTCAACTGGGGTGTGAAAATAGGTTAAGTACAGTACAATAAGATATTGAGAGAGAAAGATACCACATACACATAACATTTATTGCGGTACATTGTTATAATTGCTCTATTTTATTATTAGTTATTGTTGTTAATCTCTTACTACACCTAAGTGATAAATTAAACTTTATCATAAGTATGTATGTATAGGAAAAAACATAGTATATACAGGGTTTTGTACTATCTACATTTTCAGGCATCCAGTGGGGTCTTGGAACATATATCCCATGGATAAGGGGTGATATGGTTTGGCTGTGTCCCCACACAAATCTCATTTTGAATTCCCATGTGTTGTGGGAGGGACCCAGTGTGAGGTAATTGAATCATGGCGGCAGCTCTTTCCCTTGCTGTTCTTGTGATAGTGAATAAGTCTCATGAGATCTGATGGCTTTATAAAGAAGAGTTTCCCTGCACAAGCTCTCTCTCTTTGCCTGCCGCCATCCACGTAAGATGTGACTTCCTCCAACTTGCCTTCCACCATAATTGTGAGGCCTCCCTAGACATGTGGAACTGTAAATCATTAAACCTCTTTCTTTTGTAAATTGCCCAGTCTCAGGTATGTCTTTATCAGCAGCACAAAAACAAGCTAATATAAGGGGGAATTCCTATACTGACTTAGCAGTTGGATGTGAGGAGTTGAGGAAACTGAAATCAGAGTTTGGCAGGATACGGATTCATTTTATAGCACTGCCAAAGTAATTGACAAAATAGTGTCTTAGTCTATTCTTGCTGTTAATATAACAACTGTAGCTAGGTAATTTATAAATAATATAAATTTATTTCCTCACAGTTCTCGAGGCTGAGAAGTCCAAAATCAAGGCACCAGCAGGTTTGGTGTTTGGTGAGGGCCATGGTCTCTGCCCCCAGGATGAGGCAGGTTATTATGAAGGAAAGCTATGGTCTGAAACTGTCTCCCAAAATTTATAAGTTGAAACTTAATCAGCAATGTAATAGTATTAAAAAGTGGGGCCTTAAGTGTCATAGGATAGAGACCTCTTTGATGGGATTAGGACCCTTATAAAAAGTTTGGGTGTCCTCACATGGCAGAAGTATAGAATGCAGCAAACCTACTCCCTCAAAACTTTTCATAAAGGCCATAATCCCATCCATGAGGTCTCCACCCTCATGACACTTAATTATGTCCTAAGGCCCCACTTTTTAATACTATTACATTGGTGATTAAATTTCAACTTATAAATTTTGAGGGATGGTTTCAGACCATTGCTTTCCACCCCTGGCCCACAGAATGTTCTTCACACCTGCAACATACATTTATTTTATTCCAGTAGCCTCAAAGTCTCAACTAATTCTAGCATAACTCAAAAGTCTGAAGTTCAGAGTCTCATTCAAATCAAATATGGATGAGATTCGGTTAAGATGTGAACCTGTGAGATCAAACAAGTTATATACTTCCAAAACACAATGGTAGGACAGGCATTGAATAGACATTCCTATGCCAAAAAGGAGCAATAGGAAAGAAGAAGGGAATAACAGATCTCAAGTCCAAAACCCAACAAAGCAAACAATATTAAATCTTGAGGCTTCAGAATAAACTTTCGACTCCATATCCTGCCTTTTAGACACACTGAGGCAGGGCTCGGGACCCTAAAGCCCTTGGGGTCCCCACACCCACAGCTTTTCTGAACACAGCCCACACAGTAACTCACACAAGTTGAAATTGGGTTCCTGCACCTCTCTCAGGCTGGTGTTGCACACTGGTGGTTCGACAATTATGAGGTCTTGGGTATGACACTGACAAGGTTCTCAGAGGCATCCTTAGAAATCTAGGTAGAGGTACCAATGCTTCCATAGTTCTTGATGTCTTCATGGCTGCAGAGTTAGTAGCACATGGATACCACCATGATTTATGGCCTGTACCTTTCAGAGGGGCAGCTGAGCCACACCTGGGCCCATGAGCCACAGCTGGATGGTCAAGGAGCATTGCACTCTGGTGTAAGGAGCAGAGATGTGAGGTGCTACAAGGCAGCAAATGCTGAAGTCCTATGGGTGATTGGGTCTTTTTTTTTGTTTTTTTGTTTTGTTTTGTTTTGTTTGTTTTGGTTTTTTTGAGATGGAGTCTCGCTCTGTCACCCAGGCTGGAGTGCAGTGGCGTGATCTTGGCTCACTGTCACCTCTGCCTCCCGGGTTCAAGTGATTCTCCTGCCTCAGCCTCCTGAGTAGCTAGGATTTCACCAATCCCCAGAGACCCCAGAGATGGGGTTTCACCATGTTGGTCAGGCTGGTCTCGAACTCCTGACCTCGTGATTTGCCCACCTCATGATTTCCCTGCCTCAGCCACCCAAAGTGCTGGGATTAGTCCATGCCCACTTCTATGATAAAATACTTGTGACTTGGTAATTTATAAAGAGCAGAAATTTATTCTGGAGACTGAGAAGTCCAAGATCAAGAAGCCAGCAGGTTTTGTGTCTGCCAAGGTCCATGGTCTCTGCTTCCAAGATGGTGCCTTTAACACTGTTTCCTCACATGGCAGAAAAACAGAAGACAGCAAACCCACTCCGTCAAGCCCTTTTATAAGGGCCCTAATCCATCCATGACAGTTCCACATGACTTTAATCACCTCCTAAGGCCTCACTTCTTAATATTATCGCACTGATGATTACGTTTCAGCATGTGAATTTGGTGGAACACATTGATATCATAGCACTATTACCTATGGATCTGCGGACCTACGTGAAGGATTAGAAATTAGACACCTGTTGATTGAATGTCATTGAATGCTATTTACAATTTATTATAAGAAAAATAAATTCAGCAAAGAATTGGCCAACTTTCAAACATAATTGAAGGAAAAAGATAAAGTTCATTAATTCTGTAACTTGCCTGGTTGGAGAAAGTACCTGTTTATCAACTCCGAACAGTAGGAGTAAAGGTTATTAAGTCAAAAATGTCCAGTAAAACTTTCATCTGATTAAATACTCCCAGGACAAAGAGTAGACTAGAGTGTAATGCCTTTAAATATCATCAATAAAAATTATTAATAAGGTATTTTATATTTTTGTGCAAATACTAAAATTCACATCTCAACACAGACTGGCCACATTTCAATTAGCCATAACTGCATGTGTCTAGTGGCTACTGTGTTAGACAGTATAAACCTACCTACTTTAATAATATAGCTCCATATTATAAACTGGTACTTTCAACAACAAGAAGGACCACCACCTTCCTGATGCCTAAGTTAGAAAGTGTGATGGTTAAATGTATATGTCAACTTGAAGGGTGTTTTTGAAAGAGATTAAGATTTAAATTGGTGAACTTCCAGTAAGCACATTGCCCTCCATAATGTGTGTGAGCATCATCCAATTAGATGAAGGCCTGATTAGAACCAATAGACCAGCCTCCTTGAGCAAAGGGTAATATATCAGCAGACTGCCTTCAGACTTAATCTACATGTTTGTTTCTCCCAGGTCTTCAGGCTGTTGTCATTTGAACTAGAACACAACCATGAGCCCTCCTGGGTCTCCAGCCTGTTGGCCAACACAGCAGATTTTGGACTTGCCAGTCTCCATTATCATGTGAGTCGATTTACATATAAAGATTTAGATATACATATAGATACACATATAGATATATTGATTTATATCCAATTGTTTCTGGTTTTCTGGAGAACCTAATACAGAGAGCAATTACTTAAATGAAAGTCACTAATTTCAACCTTTTGTTCTATTGTCCACATCTGTCATAAAGTTTGGAAGTTAAAAACTACATTTTTCAGAATGATTATAGCTAAGGTCTTAGATGCAATTCAGATTCCACTAATGAGTTGCAGTTGCAAGATTTTTGGAAGATACAAGCGAGGAAAAATCTTTCTTCAATGAAGTGCCAACAGACATAGGATTTCTTCCATTACTAAATTCTACATTCCTTTGTCTAGTAACTGAAGCAGTTGTAATCGCAACATACTTCTAGCAGCAGCCACAAATATTTTCCTGTTCTTTGTATCACAGCTATAGTGCTATGACCCTGAAACCAGAAATCCAGTGCAGCTCTCTGACATTTATTCCTTTGTCCTTTCAGCAATTTTCTAAGTACCTAATTACCTTTGGATTGAAATACCCAGAGAGGTTTCTGTTTCCCACATTAAATTTCACTGGTAGAATAATGTGTTATATTTAATTATTTGTTAGATTTTTAAAATCAGGGTTAGTTATGGTAAATGCTAAGGTTCTGTAAGAGCTTAAAATTTAGTTAGCTAAATAAAAGTATATTTATCCTTTATATAATAGTTCAGAGATACATACATTTTTATTACTTTGCATTGTAAAAAATGAGCATTCTAATTATAAAAATATACTGATTTTTCTGTTATATTAATAGTTCTCAAATCTCAGGCATTAGGAAGATAGTGGTTCTTAATAGAGAACCTATGCCAACAAGTTTGGGAGTGAGAACAAGTTTAGGAGACTAGGTGGAAGCTGCCCATAAGAATATTGTACAGGCTCCTGTATATCTGGAAAGATATTTCAACGACCTATACATATATTAAACCAAATCATAGAAGTAAAAATAAGGAGAGATTATTTTGGAAAGGGATTTCTGTCAAACAGAATGTGACACATATTCTCTTTCTAGTCTATTTTATTAGCCAGAACTATTTCAGTTGCAAATTTTGTATATTCACCTTAAACTAACTTCAAAGAGTAAGTTGGTTCGCAAACCTAAAAATCCCAGGGGTTGATTACGCTTCAAGCAAATGTGGGTCCAGGATTTCCAAATATTGTCAACAGGACTGTTTCATTATTTTCGTTTTCATTTTATTTTATTTTCAGTCAATACAAAGTCAATTTCATTATCTGAGCTACCCAAGAAGGGACAAACTTCTTTTTCAATAAAAGTCCGATAACAATTCTTAAGCCTCACTGGAAATGATTTAAATAAGATCATGTACTCATCCCTGAATCACATTTTTGAGAAGGCATTCAATACTCTGAATAGGTCATATTTCCACTTTGAAGAGGAAGGTAAAATCAGCTGTAACACAACACATGTAATGACACTGGGCAATTAAGTTATTTTCCCATGAGAATTAGTTTGTTCTTACTAGAATAAGAAGGTATTGATATTAAGCAGGTAAATATTTGTAGGTCAGTCTCCAGCTAGATGGCCAGTACACTAAAAATATGTAAACCATTTAATTAAAGTTATATCTTATATATTTACATGCTAATGTTTTATATTTTAGCATCAAACTTAATAATCTTATTTGATAAAAACTTTGCTATGTCAAATGTAGAAAATAGTGCATAATGGGTGCAAAATAAATATTTGTTGAGTTAGTTAATGTGTTTCCATTGGCAACATTTATTCATTATCTATTGCCATATTTTAAAAAGAATTAAAAACATTATTGCTTAAAAACAATAGATATTTATTTGTTCATAATTGTGTGGGTCAGCAATTTGGTCAGGTCTCAGATGGTATATCTCTTCGCTATTGTCAGTTGGACTCACTCATGCATTTGGAGTCACTTTTCAACTGGCAAGTTTTCGGCAGTTATAAAATGTTTCTGACTTGTCCCAGAACACCACGCTCAGATGCTTGGAGGTTGTCTGGAGAAATAGAGATGGCCGGACTATATATCTGTCGTCTGCCTACAAACTGATCACAGGCTTTCTTTTACAATAACTGTATTCACAAAACTTGAAGACAAGGAAAGACTCAGTGTACAAACACTTTTAGGCCTCTGTTTGGATAATGTTTGCTGATACACCTTTGGCTGTGGTAAATCACCAGAAATGGAGAAATAGATTCTACCTTTTCATAAGGAAGCTTACAAATTGTATGGCTTTTTTCATGTTTAAATTTACAATAGTCCAATTTATTTACATTCCTCTTAGTTGCAAAATAATTCATCCTCCCCAAAGACTTCTCAAGAAATCTCATCAAATTTCAATATCAGGCTCAATGATCAGTATCTGGTCTAAGATAGATGTATCTCTTATGATTCATCTCCTATCGATTTAGTGACTCGTAAACTAAAAGGATAAGTTACCTGACCTGAACATGGATACTCCCATTCCAAAAGAGAAGGAGTAGAAGGTCACATTACTCTGCAAACACAAAGTTTTTCTTGATGAAAGATGAATTCTGCTTCTTGTGAGTAATTCCTGAGTCTATTTTTCTTCATGGTACTTGGTTCCGCCCTCTGAGTCATTCTTCCTTTTAGAAAAAAAGTACCTAAGAAAATGCTCCACCTGATTTCTACTTCTAGAAAGTTAAAGGCACAAAAACATTTTCCAATTTGAACGAACTCACTTTTAGTAAAAGTGGTAGTGCTTTGATTTTTACTACTTCCTTCAAAATTCTATATGTTTCCTATGAATTCACAAAGCTCTAACCATATTTGCTAATGCTGCCCTTGTTAAAGCAAGTCACGTGGTCAAATCCATTTTCAAAGGGTGGAAAAGTGGTTTCCATCTCTTAATGGAAGAAGTTACATGTTATGATGGCTTTTTCTTTTAACACTACCACAAAATTAAGGTTTAAACATTCAATAGGCAATATTCATTTTTATTTACCAAAAGTAATTAAAAAAATGAGAACTCTTTTTGTGAGATAAGCTCTTGATTCTTTGTAAATTGACTTTTCCCCAAAGAAACTTGCTGTTAATTAGCATCTGGCATTAAATTCAGACTAATAAAGAAAAAAATAAATGTGGACTATGTAAAATATTTAGTAGACATGAGACTCATAAAAGAAGAAATAATATTCAAAATCTTATTTACTGTAGTCTCTAAATAGTCTCAGAATAAGATGATGAAGCCCAGAATTATAAATTGAGCATTAATACTAACCTCATATTGTGGGGTCTAAAATAAGGATATTATATACAATTGCAAACTAATCCAGATATCCTTACAGATCTTACCTCTAACATAATAAATGACAGTTATTTATTGGGTGAATGAGAATTTTTGTCCCTAAAATCTATCTCCCAGTGTTAGTATTATATTAGATTTAATTTAGAATACTGAAATTTACTGCATGACATAGTGAGAAAGGATAGTGAAAATCTTTGTGAGCCAATAAATGCTTTCAAGTCCATTGTTCAGGGTCAGTATACTTTGTACAGTTTCTATAGAAACCATATTTCAATAACAAATATCTAAAATAAAATCACCTTGAAGCAAACTAAAAATACTCGACTTATTTCATTATAGGTTATAAGTTTTAGAACAACAATTCAGTGAAACAAGCCCTATAGAATGCCTCTTTTTTTATAAGCTGTTAGTAAATCAGAATATAACAGCCAAATAGAAGATCTTAATAAATATCACAATTGCTGCTTTGTTCTATTTCCTCAAAGCTTTTTGTATTTTCCATATTTAGGCATGAGATGAAAGAGGAGGTGTGGTAGTTTATGGGAATGGAGGAGCAGCTGGATAGAAAGATAGATTTACCTTTGGAAACTCATATGCAAGGGAAGAAATCTACATAATCATTTCAATGCAAATTATGACATCAATATACCAAATGTTACTGAGAACTCCATTAAAGCAAAGAAAACATGAACTTAACATCTACTTTTTTATTGCTAGACTCTGTTCTAGGTTCTAGGAATAAAGTTATCACAATAGTATTATAAAAGTAAATGAGTAACCTATAAAAAATGAAAATAGGTGTATTTGTGCTTTACCTTGACAATGTTCTTTAAAAATAACCTGGTGTAAAACTGGGATTTTATTGGGGAAAGAGTGATTTTAATATTGATGATGACAGAAGTTTAAATATATTGGCTTGTTTTAAAAAGTATTAGTTATTTAAAATCTTCTGTTAAAATATATGTCTATTATAATGGAAACATAAAAACTATTGTGACCATGAGGAATGGAAAGCTCTATTTCAACTTAAGGAATCTGTGAAGATAATTTTGAGGAGAAACATTTGTGTAAGACTTTTGGGTATGCAAAGGAAAAGAATGTGATAATTCACTAAGGGGATGGATTTCTTATGATTTTTATTTTCTTTCTCTACTATAGCTTTATGTTTTCAACCGACTTGAAATTGGGTTCATTTGTATCCACATAGCTAAACTAACAGTACAGAGAACTGAGACTATCTTTATCAATGTGATAATTATTTCTTTCATGAAATTATTCCTCAAGAAGATAAAGCTATAAACCAATTAATAGCTTCACCATTTGTTTCAGGAAATTCTTTTAAATGAATCATCTGGACAAAGAGTTCCCTCATGTTGGCTATTAGTTGTATTCAATATAGAATACTCATTCACTTGGGCAAAGTTCTTGCTTATGAAACAAAAGAAACTCACCTAATTTTTTTCAACAATCTTATAAATTATCTTATGAAATTTTCTCAAATACAATCAGTCCCTACCTTGAAAAATCCACTTTAAACTACTTGATTCCAGATCCCAACCCCTATAAATATCCTTCTTTGAACTCCTTATTTTGTGACATAACTAAGATTCTATTAAGTTCATGATTTTTCCTCTTAGACTATGTTAATATATTGAGCTTTGCTTAACCAACAGTTTATTCTGGTGGTCTTCGAACGGAGTCAACTGCTGACAATTTTAGAGTGCTGACCAAAATTCAGTTGAGACACCTTTGCTACCGTGGTTCAAGACCCTTGACTCAGAAAGTCAACTACTCTGAAGCCCTGGAGCTTTTTACTAAGGACTCTTCATGACCATGTGATGCTCTCCCTTACAGAAGGACATCTAATAAATATTTGCTTGATCATTGTTTTTCTGTTGTTTTGGTTGTTTTGACAGCCAACAACCTAAGTAATTTGCTTATAGAGAATCTTACCATTCCATATCCCTAATTTGAGTTTCATTTTTGGCAGATATGATTCCCAGATTTTTTTTTCCATTGAGAAAAGTAAATATCACAATGAATAAATGTCCGTTCAAAGGTCACCCAATTATTAATGAACACAGATAAAGTTTGTATCAAGGTCCAGCTAAAGTTATCAAGACTAGTGGTACACACTGCTGGTTAAAATTTATGTAAGAGAATTGTGCCTCCAGAAAAAATGGAATAGTTGCACTTTTCTCCTCTTGCCAAGTGTGCTAAAATCCTGAAAATTATATATAAAAGAAATCTATGGAGACGCTAAAGGATGAAGAGAAGAAAACAGAAAAGTTAAGGACCTTGGGACCCAAGAAACAACATAGGAATGAGTACCATGGGTTTGTGGTTTTCATTTTAATTTTTAATTTATTTTTAGTTTTTGTCTTCATTATGTCAGAGAAGGTGCTGAAGAAGCCAGACACCTGGAACTGTCAAGGAGTGTGAACAAAAATGCCTCAGTATAAATATGCTCTCTTTATCCATAGAACCAAGAAAGGAAAAGCCTAGCAAGATAGAAGTATTTTTAAATAACTGCTGTATTCTAGCTAAATGCCACAGAATAAAACTACAGCTTCAACTCCAACTCTGCTAGCATAGGTCAAGTGGGGAACTTTCACTGCACCCACACCAGGTTGTAACAAAGTACTGCAAACCCTCCATGTGGTGCCAAAGAAGGTTGAAGAGATAGCCATGACTTTCGTCTCCACCAGGCACCTGTGAGCCCTCTTCTCCTTTTATGTTAGTAGAGGCTACATGAAGAGAATAGACTTCTACACACATGTGGTAATAACAAGACACCTCACCCACTCTCTGCTGGGAGTCAGATGAGGCCTAGTGTAGAGACAGCACTTTTTTCATTGCCCGATGTTAAAGATGTTGATATCCTTTGGCTTTGTGCCCACCTAAACCTCACCTTGAATTGTAATAACCTCCATGTGTCAAGGGCAGGGCCAGGTGGAGATAATTGAATCATGGGGGGCGGTTTCCCCTATACTGTTCTCCTGGTAGTGAATGAGTCTCATGAGATTTGTTGGTTTTATAAAGGGGTTCCCCTACACAAACTCTTGCCTACTGCCAGTAAGATGTGACTTTGCTCTTCATTCGTCTTCTGCCATGATTATGAGGCCTCACCAGCCATGTGGAACTGAGTCAATTAAACCTCTCTCCTTTACACATTATTCAATCTCAGGTATGTCTTTATTAGCAGCATGGGAACAGACTAATACAGATGTCATCCCTAACAGCAACAATATAGGCCATATCAAGATTAGGAACAAAATGCTACTGTTCCTCCCATATAAGCTGGTATAAGCAGGAGCCTCCTGGGGATCCTACACTCCCACCTAGGTCTAGCACTATTGAAGAGCCTCCAAACCTCTGATGTTAACAGAGGCCAAGTAAGGAATTTAACTATCATACTCACCTGGCAGTAATTTGGCAACACCTTTCTTCCCCCAGGGCAGTTGTATTGGAGGAGATCTGCTAAACAACAAGATTTAAATAATATCCAGTGTCTCATAACATTACATCCAAAATGCCCACATTTCAACTGAAAATCACCCATCATACCAAAGACAGAGAAATCTCAAACTGAACAAGAGAAGATAATTATCACACCAAAAGCAAAATAACAAAGATGTTAGAATTTTCTGACAAGGATTTAAACCAGCCAGTGAAAATGCTTCAAAGAGCAATTACGAACACTCTTGAAACTAATATAAAATGAAAAATTTCAGCGAAGAAAGAAGAATAAAATGGAAAATTTAGACTGAAAAATACAATAATAAAAATGAATTTCTTATGCTTAAGAGCAAAATGGAGAAATCAGAGAAAAATATTGGTGAACATAAATATAGGACACTAGATATTAAGTAATTTGAATATGAGAGATAAAATATACTGGAAACAAAGACTGTGGAACAATGACAAAAGATCTAACATTCATGTCATAAGAGTCCCATGAGGAGAGAATAAAAGGTAAGGCTGAAAAATATTGGAAGAAATAATGTCTGAAAAATTTCCAAATTTATTAAAACAAAAAACCTACAGATTTACAAAGCTGAGTAAACACAAAAACGTTTAAATACAGAAAAAAAATATGCAAGGGCATCTTGTAGTCAAACTTCTAAAGACAAAAGTATATATGTATTCCAAAAGAGGCAAGAGAGAAAAAAAAAACACTTTATAGAGTAAAACTATTTTAATGACAGAGTTTTTTTTTACTCAGAAACCATGGAGGTCAAAAGGAAATAACATCACATTTTTTAAATATTAAGAAAACTGTCAATACAGAATTCTATGTCCAGCAAAAATATCTTTCAGGAACAAAATGGAAATCAAGATACTCTTAGATGAAGGAAAGTTAAGAGAATTTGTCACCATCAGGCCTAACTTAAAAGAATAGCTAAAGGAAATTTTCAAAGCAGAAAGGAAATAATAAAAGAAGTCTTGAAATATTAAAAAAAAACAATTGAAAGAGTAAACATACAGGTAAATGAAACAGATGTTTCTTCTCCTGATAAGTCTTGTAAAAGTAGTTCAAAGGCCAAAGCATGAATTATAACATTCATGTGATTTTCAATGTATAGAGATGAAATATTTAAGACAATTTTTATAGATGTGGGAAGATAACAAAATGGAAAGGGAGATAATTTTTCCCATACTTCATGGGAACTGATATAAGTTATATATCTTATTTATAAAATACTGAACGTAAATAGGCAAATGGTAAAAAAATGTATACAAAAAGATACATTCAAAAACAACATAGATAAATCAAAGTAGAAGTATAGAAATGTTTGAGAAACCCATATGAAGCTAGGAGAAAGAAAATATTGAAATAAAACTCAGAGAGGATAAAACAAAAACAAAAAAATTAAAATTGTAGACTTAAGCTATTTAAATAAATAATTAAGCCATAAATCGATACATTTAATGTTTAGAGTAGATCATGCCTACGTAGAAAAACTAAAAGAGAGAGATTGAAAAAATTGCCTATAAAATCATGAGCCATCTAAACATAGCTTATAAAATATTGACTTCAAATATAACATTAGTAGGTTGACAGCACATGAATGCAAAAAGTTATACTATATAAACATAAATGAAAAAAGAAAAAATGACTATATTCATACCAAATAATGTATACTTTAGAACAAATAACATTTCCAGAAAATAAAAGGTTTTATGTAATGATAAAAGGTAAATTCACCAGAAAGAGATAGTAATTCCAAATATAGATAGACTAAACAAAAGTGCTACAAAATATATGAAACAAAAGTTAATAGAAATGTAAAATGATAAATAAAAAATGCAGAAATACAGATGATCTCCAAGACTATTTTTTAACAATTAATGAAAGAACTAGACAGCAATTCAGCATAAATATGTACGACCTCAAAAACACCATCAATCAACAGTATCTTCTCAACATTTATAGAACACTCCATTCAACAAAAGCAAAATATACACTCTTCTCAATAGCTTATTGAATAAATACCAAGATAGACTACATCCTAGGCCATAAAGCAAATATTAACAAATTTAAAGTAATTGAAATCATATTGAGTGTGTTCTCTGACCACAATGAATCAAACTGGAAACCAATGACAGAAAGATAACAGAAAAACATTTCAACAAATACAAACTAGACAGAACCTTTAAAACAACTGATGATCAAAGAGGAAGTCTGAGGAAAAGTAAGATAATATATTGTAATGAAAGGAAATAAAAATATATCAAAATATGTGTAATGCAGCTAAAACAGTGCTGAGAGGGAAATTTAGAGAACTAAATAAATGTTATAATGCAAAAGAGGAAAAGTTTCAAAGTAATACTTTGAGGTTCTACATCAAGCACTTAAAAAAAAGAAAGACAAAATATACCCCGCAAGCAGAAGATAAAAGTATTTCTTCCTAATGTTAGGGATAAAGCACTCACACCATCACCATCAAGTATAATATAAAACGAAGTTGAGACTGTGCATGGTGGCTTATGCCTCTAGTCCCAGCTACTTGGGAAGCTAATGAAGGAGGATGGCCTGAGCCTGGGTGGTTGAGGCTGCACTGAGCCGTGATCATACCACTGTACTCCAGCCTAGGTGACAGAGCGAGATTCTGTCTCAAAAAAAGAAAAAAAAAGAAATTGAAAATAGAAAAATAATAGATAAATATTTTTAAAACTGGTTCTTTGAAAGATTAATAAAATGTATACATCTCTATCAAGACTGATAATAAGGTAAACAAGAATTACTAATATCAGAAATGAAACAGACAAAATCACTACAGATTCTGCAGGTATGAAAACAATAATAAGGAAATACTACAAACTCTACATATACAACTTTGACAACAAAAATGAAAGGTACCAATTCAATGAAATATATCAACCAAGGTAACTTACTCAATATGAAATCGAAATTTGAATAGCCTTGTAACTATTAAGGAAGCTGAATGCATTATTTAAAACTCTCCCAACAAAAACATCTCCATAGTTTTATTAGAGAATTCCAGTAAAGATTTAAAGAAAAATGAACATCAATTCCATCCAATCTCTTCCAAAAAAATAGAGGTGGAATAATTGTTTTCAATTTCATATAGTTAATATTAATTACTCTGATATCAAAACCAAAGATAGAACAAAAAAAATTAAAAGCCAATACACTTTATAAATATAGACACAAAAAACTTCAACAGAATATTAGCAAATAGAATACAACAGTATGCTTAATTATACACCATAATCAACTGGAGCTCATTCCAAGGATTCAAGGCTAAATTCGTGTTTTAAAATTAGTAGTTTCCAACATCTTAATAGACTAGACAGGAAAAAAATACACATGATCATATCTGTTGCCACTTGAAAATGTGTCAGACAAAACTCAATGATCATTCAAAATAAAACTATCAGAAAACTAGGATTAGAGAGGGACTTTTTAAACCTGATAAAAACACTGAAACACAAAACAAAACAAAAACCAACCCTACAGCTAATAACACAGTTGATGGTAATAGTCTGAGTGCTTTACTTCTAACATTGAATGTAAGGTTAGAATGTCTGCTGTCACAATAGCTATTCAATATAGTACTGAAAGTTGTAGCCAGCAAAAGAAGGCAAAAAAGGAAATAAATTACATATAGATGGGGGAGAGGATAAATTTGTCCCTATTTGCAGATGACATAGTTGTCTGCATGGAAACAGAAGATTCTCTTCCAGAGAATCTTCAGAGTAACTCTTTGAATTATAAAAGTGAGTTCATCAAGAGCACAGATATAAGATGAAGATAATAAACTAGCAATAAACATATGGAAACAAATTAAAAATATACTACAGTACAATAAAATACTAGAATTTACTCTAACTGTATTTTTGTATCCGTTAACCAATTTCTCGAAATTCTCCCTCTCCTTTCCAGTCCCAGGCTCTAGTAAGCACCACTGCACTCTCTGTTCCTTTTTTCATAACTGAGATTTTATTGGTTGTGTTGAGGCTCGGTACACAAACATTTCAATTTGTACATAATTCTTGGCACATATGATGAAAATCTAAAAAAGCCATGTACAGTAATTCTTTTTTAAAGTTATTCCAGTGACTTTCCAACTTAAAATTTTGAGGCAAATTTTCCTTGAGTGGCTATCAATGACTAGTATTTTCATATTTTCACCAGTTGATAAGCTGTTCCATACATCCCACCAACTTATAATTTAATAACATATGTACTATATACTCAAATTTTCAACCTTTCACCATACATTAACAAAATTAAGAAAACAGGACTACAATGACCCAAGTTGTTACAAAGTGCACACAATTCTGGCAGCGAAAGCCATAGTCAAGGAGTGGTTTTCTGTAGGAAACAATTCTACTAAAAAACAACATGGAAATAGAGTTAATTTAAAATGTTCAAGACATTAAATGCAGGACTGTGACTCCACATCGCCATTTAGTATGCTTTGTATTATAGGATATAAAAACAAACCCCCCACCTATGGAATAATAAGCTGACATCCAAGACAGTCAAATCTTCCCATAGTTCAATATCCCTCATTAGTTTCTGGTTCTATGAAAAAATTAATAACCAGTGAATGATTTCACCTCTTTTTTATTTTTATTTTTAAAAAGCATTCCCACTTAAAAAATGGGATGAGGTGGGATTCCCTCATTCTTAAAAATGTTTCCAAAGCTATTAAAAAACTTGCATTTACAAAATAATTGATAAAAATATTCCTCTTATTACCCAAGGGAGACAGGGACGACAGATAAGACATAGTATATGATATTAGTCTGACTTGGCTTCTATCTCTCCAGCTTCATCAGAGGCTGGACTCTTCTCAGTTTCAGTTTCTCTGTTTTCTGCAGATAATTCTTCTTAGTTTACGTCTTTCACTACCCGTTCAGCTGAGCTGAACTTCAGGGAGAGGCAGATGGGTAAATGGGTGCAATCTGTACAAAGAAGTAGCCATGTGCCCCTCACCCTCCCAGCATGTGAGAACAATGCCATCATTGCACCCTCTACCTCCATGAGATCTACATTTTTAGCTCCCACATATGAGTGAGAACACGAAATATTCGTCTTTCTCTGCCTGGTATAGTTCAGTTATTAGCATTATGACCTCCAGTTCCATCCATATTACTGCAAATGACAGAATTTGGTTTCATTTTATGGCTGAGTAACATTCTATTGTGTGTATATATATATGTGTATATATATATGTGTATATGTGTGTATATATATGTGTGTATATATATGTGTGTATATATATGTGTGTATATATATGTGTGTATATATATGTGTATATATATGTGTGTATATATATATGTGTATATATATGTGTGTATATATATATGTGTATATATATATATGTGTATATATATATATGTGTATATATATATATGTGTGTATATATATATACCAAAGTTTCTTTATACATTCATTTTTGATGGACATTTCGGTTTATTCTCTACCTTGGCTATTGTGAATAGCACTGCAATAAACATGGGAATGCAGATGTCTCTTCACTACACTGACGTTCCTTTCTTTTGGGTATATACCCAGCAGTGATTTTGCTGGATCATATGGTAGTTCTATTTTCAGTTATTTGAGGAATCTCCATATTATTTTCCATAAAGGCTGTACTACTTTACATGACCATCAAGAGTGTACTAACATTAGCCTTTCTTCACACCCTCGCCATCATTTGTTATATTTTGTCTTTTGGTAATAGCCATATTAACTGGACTGAGATGATATTTATTGTGGTTTTGGTTTGTATTTCCCTAAGACTAGTGATAGTAAGCATATTCTCATACACCTTTTGGACATTTGTATGAATTCTATTGAGAAATGTATATTCAGATTTTTAACCCATTTCAATCAGATTTTTTTAAGTGAGTTGTTTGAGTTTCTATATATTTTGGTTATTAATCCATTTTTAGATGCTTAGTTTGCAAATATTGTCTTTTGTTATGTGTATGTCTCTTTACTTTATTAATTGCTTCCTTTGCTGTGCTGAAGCTTTTTATTTTGATGTAATCCCATTTGTCTATTTTTGTTTTTGTTGCCTATGCTTTTGAGGTCTTACCTCAAAAAATATTTGCTCAGACCAATGTATTATAATGTTTCCTGATGTTTTCTTTTAGGAATTTTATCTTTTCAGATCTTATATTTAAGCCTTTAATCAATTTAGAATTTTGTAAATAGAGAAAGATAGAAATCTAGTTTTATTCTTCTGTATATGGATATCCAGTTTTTTCAGCACAATTTATTAAAGAGACTGTCCTTAACCCAAAATATGTTCTTGGTGCCTTTGATGAAAATGAGTTGGTTGTAAGTGCATGGATTCATTTCTAGGTTTTTTTTACTTTATTATTATTATTATTTGGTTTATGTGTCTGCATTTATGCCAGTACCATGTTGTTTTGGTTAAAATAGCATTGTAATACAATTTAAAATCAGGTAGTATTATGTCTCCATCTTTCTTCTTTGTGGTTGTTGTTGTTTGTTTTGGTCAGGACTGCTTTAGCTATTTAGGGTCTTTTGTGGTTCCATGTGAATAAGTTAACAATCATTTACTGTATATTTAAAAAAACTAGAAGAGAAAAATGTTAATGATACCAACGCAAAGAAAAGATAAATGCTTGCAGTGATGGATAGCCCAGGTACCCTTATTTAATCATTAAATAATGTACACATGTATCAAATTAGCACAGGTACCCCCAAAATATATACAACTATGATACATCAATTTTAAAACATATCCAAAAAAACAAAAAAATCATAAAAGTAGTCCATAGACATAAATTTTAAATGTAAAACTATAAAAATTCTAGAAGAAAACATAGAAGGAAATCTATGTGACCTTGGGTTTCATTATAACACCCAACATGTAAAGCCAATTCATATGCACACACAAATACAATAAAATACAATATACAGTAACTCAGAAAATGAAATACTGAAGTGCAAATCAAAAGTATTTTCAGATCATATATGCTAAAAACTACAAAATATTGATGAAAGAAATTTTAAATATCTGTATAAATGAAAAGATGTGATGTGTTCACGGACTGACAGAATCAACATATTAAAGATGTCACTTTTTGCCAAATTGTTATATAGCATTAACACAATTTCTATCAAATTTTGAGCAAGATATTTTATGTAGTTGTAGACAAGATTATTCTAAACTTTATATGGAAAGGCAAAGGAACTAAAACAGTTAAAAACAATTTAGAAAATGAAACATAAAGTGGGAGAAATAACCCTACCAAATTTCAAGACTTACTAGACAGTAATCAAGACTTTTTGATTTGTAAGAGTAATAGGTACATAGATCAATGGAATCAAATAGAAAATTCAGAAACAGCCCCACACTCATATGGCCAACTGATTTTTAACATAGCTATAAAATTAATTATTTTCAAAAAATGTATTTGGAGGAATTGGATATCCACATGCAAAAAAAAAAAAGGATAACTGTGAGCCAAATCATAGACACTGTATAAAATTTACCTAAAAAGTTATTATAGATTTTAATATACAACTATGAAACTTTTAGAAAACAACATAGAAGGAAATATTTTCAGGACCTAGGGCGTGTAAGAATGTTCCTAAACATGACACTAAAAGCACCCTTTTTAAGAGAAAAATATAGATAAATTAACTTGATCAAAACTTTTAAAATTTTTTGTGCAAAAGACCCCATTAAAGGTGTGAAAAGAAAAGCAACAAACTGAGAGAAAACATTTTCAAACTGCACATCTGACAAAGGACTTATAGCTACAATATACGAAGAATTCTCAAAACTCAAAGGTTAAAAAACAAAAATCCGATTAGAGAATGAATGAAAGTCTTGAGGGAACACATCACCAAAGAGTATCTATGGATGGTAAATAAGCATATGAAAAGATGTTCCACATCAGTGGTCATCCGGAAATGTAAATTAAGACTATGATTATTGGAAATAATTGTCAATTTCCTAAAAAAACTAATCATAGTCTTAATTAAAAGATATGAATAAATTGAAAGTTATATTATACTTTCCTTTTTACTTATCTTATGCCTATAGAATATCCATAAAGCTTAGCATATAGACTATTTATATTCTCATTCTAATGTGCTACTTTATTTTTTCTCTGGAATCCTTGATGTAGTTGGCTTCCCTTTTTAATTGCTTCCAATCCATACTCCCTCTAACCTTCTTAAATAGACTATGACCTAATAGTCCAATATCGAAGTCACTTAATATGCTAGTAATTGCCATTTTGTGAAAAATATACATCCAATTGAACCTATTTATGTTTTGTATTTGTTTCAGATATTCCGTGTACCATTGCACTAACACATACCTTTTATTTTTCCTTTTCAGCATTTCTGAAATTAATGATAATGTGTTTGGTGATTAATTTAAGTTTTAAAACACCTTCTGGGTGTTTTATGCTTTTTATGAGTTTGGGGAGGAGGAATTAGCATGTGTGCTATACGGAAAATTTTTTATTTCTTTATTCTCTCTCTCCCTTTTTAAAAAAATTTACTGCTACATCAAATTTATACTACATATTCCCATACTATAAAAATGCCTGCTTTCCAATCTATTTCATGTGCTGGTATTATAAGGTGCACCGAAGGGTATTTCCCTTCACTGCATCATTTTGATAATCACTTCTGCCTCAATGCATGAAGGGGTTCTTTTGTATAATGGATGTTGGAATGTGTTGATAACTTTAACAGACAGTTGTTAAATTGAGCATACATTTAGACAGCAATTTGCACCGGCTATAACTACAATACCCAGTGTGCTACCAAAAGAACCTGGCATATTTCAGTAAGGGTGAACACTTGTAGTTCATCAGATATTAAATGACAAGATTGGTTTAACACATTCTATATATCTCATCTTGGTTGACATGCAACTATTTTACTTCTCCTAGAGTGCAAATCAAAATGACATCTATTACTGTGCTCACATTTCAGATAATCAAGGCCTACAATAATGGAACAAATATTGTTAAATGTGCATTATTGCAGCATTCACTTTCATCTTCATCACCATCATTAAATTAGTTGAAAGCATGAGCGGGGAGCATGACATTCCACTAAGTGCTTCCTGCCTTTTAGGAAACTATACCACTGTCTCCAACACCAGAGAAGTAACAGCAATTAATCTGAGTTAACAACTCCCTCCATCAACAGCCATCTAATATGATTTGACAAATATGCTTATGGAAATTCTTAGGCACTGGAATAGAGTTTTGATGTGTATTTATGTTTCCTTACTTATAAAAGGGTAACACCCCAAGATACAAACAGCAAAAATAAAGATCAGAGAGCTAAGAGTCATGGCTTGACAAATTTGCACTCCATTGCTCACTTGATAGTGGGCAGGCTGGAGTATTAATACCAACCCCAACACCACCCACCATGTTTAAGGAAATCACTGATACTTCTCCCTATCAGAAATTGTTTTGTCTTTGCTATGTGCTACCTCATTGCTTAATACTGCTTTTCTCCTTTCTTCACTCAGTAAAAATCTATTCATTCTGTAAGTACTGACATCTGGGAAACAATAAGTAAGTTGAAAGCACAAATGTATTTTACTTATTCTTACACTCCCAGTCCTTAAGAGGATAGCACATACAACATGGTTGTGCTGAATGTTTATTGAACAAATAATCAGAATCAGGCAAGCATAGACTTGAATTTTCGCTTCAACTTGACTGACTGTGTAAGACTGAACATTTTTGAGCCAAATTTTCCTAATCTGTAAAATCAAGAAAATAAAATTCGTCTCAAGGCCTTATAATTTTAAGAGATGTGTCCGTAATGTGCTTAGCACAGCCTAAAAACCTGACTCACTTTCCTTCCGCATGGTGCCTCCTTCTTCATTTCCTTTCTCATGCACATTCTGTTGTTATTGGAATTCCTCTTGAGTTTTCTTTCTTCCTCTTTCAAATTCTCAGAATCAGAGTTAGACCTTCTTCACACTCAAACAAAGAGAAAATCTCCTTTTGATATATAGTGTATAGTGTCCATCAACTCTGGGTTTATTGATTGGTAACCCTCATTAGTAGAGGTGGATTTCAAGTGATAAAAATCCTGCAAAACACAATTTATCAGAAACTCTGATTGCAGAGCACAAACCTGTAACAGTCACATGCTTTGATGCTATGAGTAATAATTTGCATACTTTATGCATCACGACACTCTAAATAAAACAAACAAACAAAACATTGATTTGATAACCACCCTACAGGGAACCTGAATTATCTGTCAATTTTCCTTATGATAATTTCCCAAAAATATTACCATAAATATAAGGAACAAGAGAGTATATGGCAAAGAAATGAAGAGAAAAAAGGGTAGTTGGTGGCAATCTGTTGGGGAGTTAGTTACTTTTAAAAGGATTATATTTTTCAAGATTTTGTTATATTTGTGGTGTTTGTTTTTATAAAGTTCAAATTTGTTGTATGTTTTCTCTTTCAAAATAAGTATTCATGTTCATACTTGATTCCTTTTAAAGCGGGTTAAATTGTACACATCTTGGCGCTTGCCTACAAAACTAGATCCAACCTCACTTAAAACTTTTCTTACAATTAGCTGCCTTCTTATTTAAATAGAAGGTACACATGTACAAGAATCACACATTCCCTGTGCACTTCTGCATTTCAATGCCTACACACTAGTCCAAACTTCAGATTTCCAGAGAAATGTTTTCCATCTTTTAATGTGACTATGAGACATCTCATTTTATTATAGTTCATGGTGACTGGCTCCCTCAAGCTTTACTTCACATGAAATGTCAACATTGAACATAAATACATGGAAAGTACATCTGGTCTGGTGGGATAGTATTGATGCTGGCTTTTTGGAAATTGTGAGTTGGGATGAGTTTGCTGCAGATATCCAAGCATCTGCCAGTTAATTTTGTGTGGTATATCTGGAAAGGTCCCATGCACACTGAGGCATAACTTCAAATACGTTTTTTTGGCTGTGGATTCCTGGGAAACAAGATGAGCAGACAGACAACACTGCCTAGAGTAATTAGGAACAGAGTGACTTGCTCTACATCCTCAGGAAATTGTTGCAAACTGGGAAGGCACATCCCCCAATTTGTTTTTTTCCTCTGAACATCCCTGTCTATTGAGAGGCAACAGCTGGCAGTGTAACTGGCTGGGCTGCTTGAGTTTGCACTAATATCATTAAAGAGTAAAATATTAATATACTCCTGTTAAAAGAAGTTACACAGAACTTATCCCTGAAAAGCCATCATTAATCTTCATAATGACCTTCCAAATAAGATAGAAAAAATGAACACATTTTATAGATAGGAAAATCTGGATAACTAGGGTTTTGTTCAAGGTCAGAAGTCTAAAAAAATACACACTGTATTTCTCATAAATTAAGTTTTTGCCATGATTGCCTCAATCCTATTCTCTGCCTGCTATAAGAAAGTGTTTTCTCTGCCAAACCGCATTTCTAGCAGAAATAAATACTTTATAAATCCATTCCCTTTGAAACTTGCATTCAAGTACAGTCAATCTTATTTTTAGAACATTTATGCATTCTTACTTTAAAAAATCATTTAAAGTTATCCTTATAAAGATCATATTTCTTCTTTACTGCCAAAAGATCACAAATGCCTACAGGGCAGAAAACTTCCTGTTGAACAAGGGAGATTAGATGAGACTTTCAACAAAAGATTAATTTGTCTACTGAAATACGGTTGGTATTGCTTAAGCTGATGATTTTCTTAGGAACCATTGCAATGAAAGCAATGTGACTTAATGTGTCCAGTTTAATGAGTAAACATGTTGGTACTACCAAAATGTATTAGATTCCATTTTAAATAATCATTTACAAGCAATATGAAGCAAGTGATAATCAATGGAAAATTGCAACAGAAATGGAGAATATGAAGAATTGAAAGAATGTGGCTACGTTTTTAAAAGTAAAATTCGCAAATAAAATAATCAGATCTTCTTCAAATTGCTGATAGGGCATAGCTTATACATCTAATTACAAAGATTGCATAGACCATATCACATAAACAAAGAAGCATTTGTCCTTACTGAAGAGGGTATTCAAACCACAAATTGCTCTGTAGTATGCTCCGAATACAGATAAGCTTGAAACTGCTTTATTTAGTCTTCATACACACACATCAAAATAGAAAATGGTTGCATATTTAAACATTTTAGACCCATTCCTATTTTAGCAAATTCTAGCTTACAATATGATTATGATTACATAGATTTATAAAACCTCAAATATCTCCAGTTATCACTTGGGATTTTTCTTCTTCCCTGATTTTTTTTGGGTGTGTGTGTGTGTGTGTACTTAATCAGGACTCAGATAATCACATATGGTCTGAAATGCCTTTCCTGCTGCTTGGGCTCTCAATATTATACATCATTCAAGTCCTTATTAAAATACTACCATGTTCATGAAACTGTCCCACTCTCTGATTACTGCTCCTACCACCATTCCCAATAGGACTGATTTTCCTTCCAAAATAGGTTTTGGCTGGAAGTCCCCATTGCAGTCTTTCCAACTTTCTACTGAAAAGCTCACAGATAACCTGAACATTTGAATGCACAGAAACAAAAACACTTAAAAAATACCCAAATGTGATTTTGACCAACAACTTACCTTCAGAATCTGAGTAGTATTTTGATAAAATGTTAAGACCCATGGGCCCAGGTTAAAAGAAAAAATCTACCACCGAATGGCTTATGATAAGTCTTTATAAGCCAGAGTTATTCTGTTCACCTGGAAGAAAGAAAAATGAACTCCATTCATTCAATGGCGTTTTGCTCACTTATTCATGAAGCCATGGTCTATAGTATAATAAAACAGAGTTAATCAGCAGAATTCTGGATGAAGACAGAAGGCAGGCTGGTTCAGTGGTTCAGCTCCTAAAGAAAAGCATAAAATGCAGGCCAGAATGACTTTTTTTTCCTTTATAGGAGCATAGGCAGGATGATCATTTATTCAGGAGCATGGAATTTTGGAAATCAGTGAAGCAAAAGGGATGGAGCCAGAGAGATGGCTGAACCTGAGAGAAAGGAAGTGCAAACTTGAATGTGATGGCTTCTACTTGGACCACAGTGAGGGAGAGACAGAGGTGGGATGTGAGGAACTGGTTCCCACAGAGAATGGCTCTGTCACCATTTCCCTAAACAAGAGAGAAGATCATGTGCAGGCCAGGTGATAAAAACCTATTACGACATCACCAGCGAGAAGCAGGAATCCGTGAAAATAGCATAAATCATAGGGCTAAGAGATAACAGGATGACATAAAAGGGAAGATGATAGCATAAAATCATGGGGCGATACCCAAAGACAACAAGCTGACATAATCAAGGTGTAAAGTGAGAAGGGTAAAGTTTAAAATGTTAAAGGAAAAAAAATCTCCATATAAAGTTTAATGGAGAAAATGGACACTAGAATATTGGATCAGTGAGGATGGTTTGTATGTCAGTGTGGTGGGGAGCAGGGCAAGTAGGATTGTGAGAATGAAATCATGGAAGAGATGTTGACAGATGTTGAGGGAAAAAAAAAAAAGAAACCACCCAAGACTGAGATACAGTCCCCTAAAGGGAACCAGGACAACTGAACACAGGAAAAAGCAATTACATATTTGAAGAGAAAATTTTAACAAATAAAATATGTCCTAAAATAGTAGATGAAATAACATCAGAGCATTTGACGCAAAACATAAAAAGAATAAGACATCCAGACATTTCTTGTGGAGAAATTTTAATTATGATAAAAAATTAAAAGATTCTTCATTCAAAAATGCAAAAAAGAGAACCAGAAAAGTATGTAAAAGGGGACAAAATTGGTCTGTCTTCAGACTTTCCCATGTTAAATATCAGAAGATACCAGAGAAACATTCAGAAAACTGATCAAAGAAAAGTTTGTGATTCATAAATTTTTAGACCCTGCAAGTTTTCATTGCTGTATAAAGCCAAAAGAAAGGAATTCTTAAAATAATGTGAAGTCTTACACAAAGATACCACCCACGTGGCCAGGCAAAGGAAAAATAGCTGAAGACATTCTCTAGCTAACATTGAGATGAATCCAAATCAAGGGCTCAAAAACAGGAAAGAATACTTTATAAAACAGATGACAGAGTTTTGTAGGAGACTGTATCTCTATAATTGTAAGTAGTGTAACTAAATAAAAGCAAATATCAAAAATCATTATTGGAAGCAGACAACATAAAAGTTATTATCGACAGCAATAATTCATATTGAAATTCATGTGTTAACATAAGTGAATAATACAAGGCAGAAAACTGGGCAAAGTTTGCTACATCATGTTTAATACAGAGGACAGAGAAGCAAAACCTTCATTTTATTTATTTATTTATTTATTTATTTATTTATTTATTTAGCTATTTACTTTAAGAATCACCAAAAGTGTAAAACAGAATGTACGAAACAGGCCAGGCACAGTGGCTTACACCTGTAATCACAGCCCTTTGGAAGCCAAGGTGGGCAGATCACCTGAGGTCAGGAGTTCAAGACCAGTTTGGCCAACATGGTGAAACTTCATCTCTACTAAAAACACAAATATTAGTCAGGTATGGTGGTGCATGCCTGTAATCCAAACTACTTGGGAGGCTGAGGCACAAGAATCCTTTGAGCTCGGGAGGCAGAGGTTGCAATGAGCGAAGATTGTGCCATTGCACTCCAGCCTGTGTGACAGACGAAGACTCTGTCTCAAAATAAATAAATAAATAAAAAGTAGAAATGAAAATAAAGTAAAATAAATGCAAATTAACATGGTCCATGGAGTTGAAGAAAGAAAATAAAGTGTATGTTTTTATATTTATTTTAAAACAAAATTTAATACATGAAACACACCAAATCAACTTAATAAAGAAGGAAATTATCTATTAAAAGACAAAGATTCTAAGATTAAGGTAAAATATAATAAACAAACAAATGTCACATCCAAGGTAGTATGGGTAGCATTTACTCACTGCCACACCTGCTGCAAATACTTTTACAGTTACTGATTCATTTAGTCTTTGCAGAAACCTCTCAGGCAGTACTACTTTTATCCTCATCTTACAAATGAGGAAACTAAGATGTAAAGAAAAGAGTAGTCTGGAATACATCTAAACTTCACAGGAATATTAAAAATAAAAAAAACAAATATTCACCAACGTCAAATAGAAGTATATAGTAGGGGTTGCTATACTGTTTTCCAACAGCTCCAAGCACTGTGTACAAGGAGCGTCATATAATTTTGTTAGAAGGCGCAAGCAAAATTAAAGGTGAACAACCATCAACTTTTTTATTCTAGACATCACAAAGTTGTTAAAACTAATTGGAAAAACTGGGAGTCACTATCATTGCAAGATACTTTAATACACCTCCCTCAAATCAAATGGTCAAGAATAAATATCAGAGACATTTTAGTGATTATAAGGTGAACTATTTCATCATGCCAAGCGCCAACTTTCTTTTTCAAATATCATATTAGAATATTTTGAAAAGAGGGGACATATTTTATATGCCCTAAGATATTGTTTCTTTGATTTTATACACATTCATATGTATACACAGAAAAATACTTAGGATGACATCAATTCAATGCTGTCTTAGTTTGATTTTCATGTAGGGGTTGGGTAGATTGTAATGGTCTTCACTGTATTTTTTAATTTTTTAGGTTTTTAATATGTCCACAAAATACTTCCATAGTTAGCAAGGTTATCCATCTAATATCCACTCATCCAAAAAGTACTTATTGAACCCTTAATTAAGTGTCTCAGTTGGTGTTAGTAAGTGATGACTGACCCTGAGAGAAAATATTAATAAGCAAAGGGAAAAAAGCACTTTCCTTTATTGTAAGTAAGGGATTCATAAACTTGACACTTAAGAACACAGCTGTACAAACCAGGAGGTTGAGTGGGATCAGCTTTGTAGGAAGGGCAAACAGTTCTAGCCTCCATTTCCAAGAAAGGTGCCTCACTTCCATCTCCACTGCCTAAATAGGGTGAGAATTCTACTAAGTGCTTTGAGGGGCTCCACTGCATTCCCAAGGAATTTTTTCACCCCCTCTTGGCCTTTCCCAACGGCTCTGTAGACCCTCTGTTTATGTGCCTATCTGACCACCAGGTGAAAGTACCTGTCTACAGCCCAGCAACTCCCTGAATGCTTACTGCAGAAAGCTACAAAAGGAATTTGGGGGACAAGGTCTGAGGTCTGTACTTCTCTGAAAGGCCCAGACTTGTAAACCTTTGTAAAATTGGTCCCTAAAACTAGATGCTGGCCATGTGACAATGAAAAAGTGCACACACCCCTGCCCTCCTGGAATTCATATTTTAAAGGAGAGGAAGGCATTGCATAAGTAATTACCAGCATGATGAATGGAACAAAGAATAGGGGATGGAAGCCATGAAGATATTTTTCTTTTCTCCACTGTCCCTTTTTGCATTGCTGATTATCCCAATGTGGACCTTGTTACCTTCTGTTTTGTTCTGTGTTTCTCTGTGAGCACATCTGTTTTTCCAAGCAGTCAGTTTCTTGCAGGCATCTGCAAAGGCCCTCAAATTAAATACTCAGTAATGTCTTGCTAAAATTAATGAAGAGAAAGCATTAGGTCTCTAATAGGCTTTTCTATATCAATATTGTCTATTTAGATTCAACTTTCAAGACACTAGGAGGCATGTTTATTTCATTATCTTAAATCTTGCACCAGACAATTCTTTAGAAGTTTTTCTTTTCTGCTTATTGTCTAACCTTGAGAAATGATGAAATGAGAGTGTTTACATTTAGAAAGTATAAAGTTAACCTCGTACTTACCTACAGAAATAAGCGCTAGGTGTTAGTAACACATTCCAGTGTACCAAAAAGATTGAAGTATTTACCTCTTTTGCTGTAGCAAATATGGGACAGAAGGTTCCTGATTCTGAAAGGGGAGGGGATAGCTGCACTGTGAGAAGACCACACCCTGTCAGTGATAGAGAATACACAGCTGATCCCTGAGCAACATGGGTTTGAACTGCACAGGCCCTCTTCGACATCTGTTTTTCAAAACAAAAAAAGTGTGCCTTCTTCTCCTGCCTCCCTTCCACTTTCTCCACCTCTTCTGCCTCTGCTACTCCTGAAACAGCAAGACTAACCCCTCCTCTTCCTATTTTTCCTCAGGCTACTCAAGACTCAAGACCTTTATGATGATCTATGCTATGATTAGGCTTTGCCTCCCCACCCAAATCTCATCTTGAATTGTAATCCCCATAATCCCACGTGTTAAGGGATAGACCAGGTGGAGGTAGTAGAATTATGGGGGTGGTTTTCCCCATGCTGCTCTCATGATAGTGAGTGAGTTCTCTGAGATCTGATGGTTTTATAAGGGTCTCTTCCCCTTCACTCGGCACTGCTCCTTCCTGTTCCCTTGTGAAGAAGGTGCCTTGCTTTCTCCTCACCTTCCACTATGATTGTAAATTTCCTGAGGCCTCCCCAGCCATGCAGAGCTGTGAGTCAATTAAACCTCTGTCCTTATAAATTATCCAGTTTGGGGCAATTCTTTGTAGCAGTATGAAAACAAACTAATACAATCTATTTCCACTTAATTAATAGTAAATACATTTTGTCTTCCTTATGATTTTCTTTTACTTTCTTTTTTTTTTTTTTTTTTGTGGAGACAGGGTCTCTGATATGGTTTGACTGTGTCCCCACCCAAATCTCATCTTGAATGGTAGCTCCCATAATTCCCTCATGTTTTTTAAGGGACCCAGTGGGAGATAATTGAATCATGGAGGTGGTTTTCCCCCTACTGTTCTTGTGGTAGTGAAAATTCTCACAAGATCTGATGGTTTTATAAAGGGGACTCTCCCTGCACAAGTGCTCTCCTCTTGTCTGCTGCCACGTAAGACATGCCTTTCACTTTCCACCATGATTGTGAGGCCTCCCCAGCCATGTGGAACTGTAAGTCCGTTAAACCGCTTGCTTTAATAAATTGCCCAGTCTGGGTATGTCTTTATCAGCGTCGTGAAAACGGACTAATACATGCTCTCTGTCACCCAGGCTGAAATATAATGCTGTGATCATAGTTCACTGTAACCTCAAACTCCTGGGCTCAAGTGATCCTCCCATCTCAGCCTCTTGAGTACCTGGGACCACAGGTGTGCTACACCATACCTGGCCAATTTTTTAACTTCTTTGTGGAGACAGAGTCGCTCTATGTTACCCAGACTGGTTTTGACTCATGGCCTCATGTGATCCTCCTGCCTGGGCCTCCAAAAGTGCTGGAATTACAGGCATGACCCATGGCATTTGGCCTTCCTTATGATTTGATTAATAACATTTTCTTTTCTTTAGCTTACTTTTTCCTAAGAATGCAGTGTATAATACATGTAACATGAAATATGTGTTAGTTGACTGTTTATGTTACCAGTAAGCTTCCAGTCAACAGTATGCTATTGGTAGTTATGGGTTTGGGGGAGGCCAAAACTTACACACATATTCTTGACTGGGGTCATTTCTTATAACCCCTGTATTTTTCAAGGATCAACTGTATTCAATTTTGGGAGGTATGGCATTGAGAACCAGTGAACCTATCAGTTCTCCCCTATTCAGTAATTTAGGTGGGCTCACTCCCATCAGCTATATCAAGAATAGGAAGAAGTCCAGTCACCTGATCCATACACCTGGATTCTGAAAATGTGGCAATTTTGGACCAATAGTGGTGAGTTAGTACTAGTACTTTGCTAGTACTTACCTTTTTTACTATAAGAAAGAACCTGGGCATTAACTGATTTATGTCAAACACTTTGAGTTTGGGATGATTGGATTCAGTTGCTCTCATTGAGGAATTAGTTGGGCCTTCCTCTATACTCAGTGCCTAGCATAAGTATTATGTAACATTGAAATACCTTGTGAAGACAAGGCCGCAGAGGCTTCAACCAATAAAATCTTACAAGACTACGATGCCGAGACCTGAGTGTTATTTAACAAGTGGGAAGCAGAAACCTCTTCTGAATTTTGTGTAGCGTGTCTTCAGTCTTCCCCAAAAGTTCCTCTATTGCCTGCTCTCGTTTTATACCTCTGTCCTCTGAGTCAGGGACCACCCTCATTTTCTAACTCATTTTTCCAACTAACCTAAGAGACACGCGGTATAGTATTGCATCCTTAACAGCCTCATATTTACGGGAGGGCTTCAAAAGTAATGCTTGGTGATGATTATAGTTAAGCTTGAGTTTCAATTCTGGCAGGCCTAAAATTGAGAATTGGATAGAGTTACATTAAAATATCTTTTTAAGCCTAAAAAGTAACATATCTTCCTTCTCTCAGCTGAGAGAACCAGATAGTTAATAACTACTGCCTAGGCTCAGAATGTTTTCAAGATTGAAATATAATCTCTGGTTCTTGTATGTGAGATATTCCCACACTGCTGAAGTTACTAGAGACTATGCAATCATCAGCACTATGAAATTTCTCAAGATCCATTTCCATGTGTACAGTTATAAATTCATCCCATAAGTCAACCTCAGCTGTGTTATCACTGTAGGGAGGAGATTGTCTGCCCTTTCCCCATGTCCACACTCATGATGCCTGCTCCCCAAGAGCCTGCCATTTAGTTGAAACTAATAGGCAACATTTATTGAAGAACTACCCAGAGCACATGGCAAGCACCACGCCTGAGTTATCTCATTTATCTTCATTTATCACACACCATGAGAGAGGTGGTATTATCACTTTTCAGATGATGAGACTCAGACCCATAGTAAGTTACAAACCTACATCCATTCAGCTATAAATCATATTTAGAAAAACATGTTAGAATTAGATATAGTGGATCAGAAGAGAAAGCTGCCACTTCTGGCTGGGATGTCACAGAAGGTTTAAGAATGGTGCTCATTTGTGATCTCAAGCTTGAAGCAGTGATTTGTGTAACAAGAGAAGTAGACTACCATCTGGGCAAGGAATTAGATTTCACACTAACTAGTTCCTTCATATTTATTCATTTATAAAACATATATTGATATTGACTATGTGCCACATACTTTTTTTTTTACTGGAATCAAGTTTGTATTAACAGTCAAAATCTGTACCCTTGTATTGCTTACTTCTTTTGAGAGAAGGGAGTGAGACAATGTACAAATAAACACACAATGTGTCAGTTTAGAATAAGTCCCATAAAGATAAATGCAACAAGTTTAGGGAACAAAGAGTGATGGGGTACAGGGCTGCCATGTTGTATATAGTTATCAGTGAAGACCTCATTGAGACTTGACAGCTTGCTGGAGAATGGGAGCCACTGGTGTAGCTAGGGGAAGAACATTTCACATGAAGGCAATGGCTAATATGAGGACTTGAGGTAGAAGGTGAGGTCAGAGAAGGTCCTAGGACCAGGTAACTCAGGGTCTTGTACTCAGTTAGAACTTGTTTTATCAGGACAAAAATGTAAATTAAACCTGTGTGTATGTTAGCAGAGGAATTGAATTTAGATTCTTAAAAGGATAACTCTGGCTGCCTCTTTTTTTTTTTTTTTTTTCCCACAGAGTTTTGCTCTTGTTCCCCAGGCTGGAATGCAGTGGTGCAATCTGGGCTCACTGCAACCTCCACGTTCCGGGTTCAAGTGATTCTCCTGCCTCAGCCTCCTGAGTAGCTGCAATTACAGGTGCCCGCCACCACGCCTGGCTATTTTTTTTGTATTTTTAGCAGAGATGGGGTTTCATCGTGTTGGCCAGGATGGTCATGAACTCCTGACCTCAGGTGATCCACCTGCCTCGGCCTCCAACTGCAGGGATTACAGGCATGAGCCACCATGCCCGGCCACCTGCCTCTTAAGCAATGAGTCCAGCATTACAAGTTTGGACCTAAAAAGATTAGAAAATATACGTCCAGGCTGGGCGCAGTGGCTCACACCTGTAATCCTAGCACCTTAGGAGGCTGAGATGGGCGGATCACTTGAAGCCAGGAGTTCGAGACTAGCCTGGCCAAAATGGTGAAACCCCGTCTCTACTAAAAAAATCCAAAAATTAGCCAGGTGTGGTGGCATATGCCTGTAATTCAGGCTACTGCGGAGGCTGAGGCAGGAGAATTGCTTAAACCCGGGAGGCGGAGGCTGCCGTGAGCCAAGATCAGACCACTGCACCTCAGCCTGGGTGACAGATCCAGACTCTGTCTCAAAAAAAAAAAAAAAAAGAAAGAAAGAAAGAAAAGAAAAGAAAATATAAGTCCTACAAGATGCAGACAGGCAGGCTCACTGCAGCAAATCATGGATTCCTGATCAGCATCTTATTTTTAAAACAAACAGCTAAGCTGAGGGTAGCTGACATAGAAATCCCATTAGATTCACTGCACAAACTCATGTAAACCCAGGCCAGTGGCACAAACCTGTAATCCCAGCTACCTGGGAGGTAGGGGAATCACTTGAGCCCAAAAATTTAAGACCAGCCTGGGCATAAATTTTTTTAAAAAAATTTAAAACTCACATAGAACCTATGAATAATCACTTGTTTTGTCGGGGGTTCTGAAACTAGTTTAGAAACTGAGGAGAAGAGTAAATTCTGTTACCTCAGCAACTGAAATGATTTGTCATTGCATTAGGAGAGCCTCACATAGAACTGCACCTCTATCAACTTCAGCTTGAGGTCAGAGGGCAGTAAGTCGAGGTCCTGGCTTCATGACTAGGAGATTTCTAACTCTACAATGAACTCATGTCTTGTACAAAGATGTAAAAACTGTGCCACTTGATGTAATAACTGCTCTCACCACCCCTTTGCAGAGCTCAGTACCTGTATCTACAGGTCAAATTTAAGACCTCAGTCCTGTGCCTCCTTCTTCACATTCACACTTTCATTTCAGACACCTCAAAGTAGATGTTCAATTTTTATCCTTGTTTCCATAAGTTCTTCATCTTTTCCCAAAGGCATCTGTATTTGTTCCAATTTCCCCTTTTCTAGAATCACCATTGTCATTATCCAAGACTAGACAGTTTGATATAGTCTTCAACTGTCAAACTTTCTTCAGATTTAATATTGAATGCAAAAAAAAAAATTCATTTTTGGCTGGGTGTGGTGGCTCATGCCTGTAATCCCAGCACTTTAGGAGGCTGAGGCGGGCGGATCACCTGAGGTGGGGAGTTCGAAACCAGCCTGACCAATATGGAGAAACCCCATCTCTATTAAAAATAGAAAATTAGCTGGGCATGGTGTCGCATGCCTGTAATCCCAGCTACTCAGGAGGCTGAGGCAGAAGAATCACTTGAATCCAGGAGGCGGATGTTGCAGTGAACCGAGATCGCGCCATTGCACTCTAGCCTGGGCAACAAGAATGAAACTCTGTCTCCAAAAAAAAAAAAGAAAAAAAAAACTCATTTTTTTTTCCTCTTAAAATGCCTTGCTAATCTCTCTGTCCCCACTTCATTCAAGTTTTCATCTGCTTTTAGTTGAAAACCAAGAAAAAGTCTCTCCTCTCTTCTAGCTAAATTCAGTCTTTCTCTAATCCAATTCATTTTAGACACTGCTGCCAGACTCAGTTTAGGAGAAGATTTGAGTTATTTCATCCCTTCAATCAAAACCTGTATCAGTTCACTATTTTATCTAGCAAGTTAAATCAAAGTTCTACTATCTAGGTTTAAAGATCTTCCCAGTCTTGGCAGTGCTCAGGCATTCTCAAAGAAATCTAGAATTGGACAGTAGTTAAAGCAGCAAAAACAGATTTTACTGAGGGACTATTACAATAGGTGATGATATGGTTTGGCTTTGTGTCTCCCTCCCCAAATCTCATGTTAAATTATAATTCCCAGTGTTGGTGGAGGGGCCTGGTGGGAGATGACTGGATCATGGTGGCCGATTTCCCCCTTGCTGTTCTCATAATAGTGAGTGAGTTCTCACAAATTCTGGTTGTTTAAAAGTGTATAGCACTTCTCCCTTCCCTCTCTTTCCCTAGCCCCCACCGTGTTAGAAGTGCCTGCTTCCCCTTTGCCTTCTGCCACGATTGAAAGTTTCTTGAGGCCTCCCAGCTGTTCTACGTATACAGACTGCAGAACCATGAGCCATTGAAACCTCTTTTCTTCATAAATTTCTGTTTCAGGTAGTTTTTATAGTAGTGCAAGAATGCACTAATACAATAGAGTAAAAGAAACTTCAGTATGGAATTAGGCTCAATTCCAAATACAATAAGTATAAGTGATTTATAACTGACGCACAGATTTGGAAAGGGGTGCAGGATAGAAAATTACTAAGAGGAAAAAACATGGGAGGAGGTTGTAAAAATTCTGATTTTCTGATTAAGCAAACCTAACAGGACTCTTGCCATGGTGATCAGGTGTCACCCAGGAAGGTGGGGGATGAGGAATTTGATCAGATATGAAGGGTCTAAGGATTCTCTCTAAACTGATCTAGCAGGATTCTTGCTGAAACAGTAGCTATTAGCCTGTTTTGCATGGCTATAAAGGAATACTGGAGGCTGGGTCATTTATAAAGAAAAGAGGTTTATGTGGCTCATGGATCTGCAGGCTGCACAAGAAGCATGGCACCAGCATCTGCTTCCAGTGAGGCCTCAGGAAGCTTAGACTCATTGTGGAAGGCAAGGGGAGAACATGTGTCGCAAGGCAAGAGAGAGAGCAAGAGAGGTAGGGGAATGGTGGGGTGCGTCCCAGACCCTTCAACAACCAGATCTCATGTAAACTTATTACTGAAAGGAGGGCACCAAGCCTTTCATGAGGAATCCACCCCCACGATCCAAATACCTCCCACTAGACGCCGCCTCCAACATTAGGGATCACATTTCAACATGAGATTTGGAGAGGACTAACCTCCAAACTCTATCACTGTTCAGGCTAAGAGGCACATGGTCAAGTCAAGAAAAGGCTTCCGAGGAGCCTGACTACAGTTAACGTCAAGGATGGTGTCTTGTCAGTACCTAAGAATTGTGTGCACTTGGCAGAATTAATCTGCGTTCTTCTCTTCATAGATCCTCACATATAATACACACATAGCCCTGTCTTCTCTAATAGGAAACTCCTGCGTGGACTGCCTATTTTGCTTCTTCTCCATCTAAATCACAGTCTTCAGAGCCCAGCCAAAAAAAAAAAAAAAAAAATTGCATCTTCATAGAACTTTTATGAAGTCGATGGTTCCTTATGACTTTTTTACTCTCAGGGTTAATTATTTCCATTGGCGAGCCCTTTCGAGCGGAAACTATATATCAAGCCCTGTGTCTCATGCAGAGAGAGTTACAAGCCATAAGACATGATCCTTTTTGTAGTGATTTCTAGGTGTCCTGCCATATCCGTTCTCTCCTTCTTTTATAGTAAAACCCTTGAAGTTTATCTATTTAGATATGAGAAAAAGAAATGTATGGTTTCCAGCTTATGAGATTAAAAAGGGGGTGTGCCCTCTATTTTTTCTACCTCTCCTTTCTGTTGCATAGAATGTGGACATACTATTAAAGCCGGTGTGATCATCTTGGGCCATGAAGTAGAAGCCATATGAAGTAAAAGGATTTGCTGTCTGGATTGTTGTGGGCTCATCATCCCATGGGCATAGGTATGCTTGTAAAAGACCAGCTGGCACATAGTAAATCATAAAAAATAGTGAATAATTATGTGATGTCGATGATAAAAATGAGGATGTTGACGTTTGTAGTGGTGATAACTATGATGATGACCTTAATGCCTTTGTTAACAACATGCACTTAAGAATTTGCTTTTTGATCACTTCTGGTTGTGAAAATAAAGCAGCAGTAACCTAGATTGTATTCTATCTTCCCCACTGTCTGGGATAGAAACACTAAATTCATGCAGTCTTTGCTAGCTCTCAGCTAAGACCATTGATCTTATTATGGTAGAATCCGAAAACTGGTAGATGAAGAAAAGACTGAGAAGTCAGAGGAAAGAGGACTGGATAGAGCCAGGGAAATTAACTTGATCTAATAAGAAAGAATGTGATGTTTGGGTAAAAGACTGAATGGCTAACAAAAGCCTCACAGGCCAGACGCAGTGGCTCACGCCTGTAATCCCAGCACTTTGGGAGGTCAAGGCGGGCTGATTGCCTGAGGTCAGAGGTTTGAGACCAGTCTGGCCAAGATGGTGAAACCCCATCTCTACTAAAAATACAAAAAAAATTAGCCAAGCGTGGTGGCACGCACCTGTAATCCCAGTGACTCAGGAGGCTGAGGCAGGGGGATTGCTTGAACCATGGAGATAGAAGTTGCAGTGAGCCGAGATGATACCACTGCACTCCAGCCTGGGTGACAGAGCGAGACTCTGTCTCAAAAAAAAAAAAAAAAAAAAAAAAAAAATCACAAACTGTGACTAGGGAGATGCTTAGTGATTCCTTCTGATGAAAGCTTTGGAGTAATTTAGGGTTTAAAAACGAGAAGCAGAGTAGAGGACGAGGCTTTTGATAACAATGCTGCAGGCTACAAATTGTACTTTTGCCTCTTTTGAGATATTAAAATAAAGACTAGAATTCCTTAATTGCTAAATAAGTGTTAGATTGGGATTGTTTGAATTTAAATCTATAGAGAGGCTGGATCCTAAGGTGCTAGAATTTTTATTAACAATACAGAAATTTTAAAATATAGATTTTTTCGAAATGGCAATGTTTACATTTCATTTTTTGCTGAACATATTTAAGTATAAAACAGCATTAAACATACCTCTTTTTCAAAAAAAATTTTGTTTCCAAAGTGAAAAGCAAACTGTGGAATGCTATTCTAAATAAAATAAGATAGCTGAAGGATAAAGGTAAATTTCTTTCTAAAAAAACAAATATGATGTGATTTGACTTGTGTTTATCAAGGTATTTTTACATCAGTGTAGAAAGCAATGGTATATACTAGAATTATGTAGAATTATTACAAGTTTGATGAATTGAAAACTGTTATGCAGTAAGGAACATGACTTACGTTTCATCTTCATTGTACCACCCAGCACATATATGGTTGGAGAACTAAAATTAAAATCAACCAACAGCTTCAATTACCTATATTATTCTAGTTTTACTTACCATACCATTGTGTATTTATATACTCACCTCACAGTCAAAGAGTTTTCTTCATATTATCACATTTTTCCCCCTAAAAATACTGCTGATGTCAGTAATGTCACAAAGACCTCAAAAGGTAAAAAACAAAACAAACAAAAAAAGTTTTCCCAGCTTATCTGATTTCTTCTTGAATTGTTTTCCATTAATGATTTTTCATTAACACATACTGACTCACAGATAATTGTATTATGAAATAATGTATGTGTCTACATGTATTTGATGTATATGTATTTGGGGGCAGACACTGTTATTTGCTCTTTATAATAACTTCTCTGACTTTATAACAAAGTTTTGAGGAAAATAGTAGTGATATACTCATTTTAATGAATGGGGAAGCAGACATAGAAAGGTTAAAGCACTTGCCCAAGGTCACACAATAAGAATTTCACACAGCTGTTATTTGAAAAATGATACGTCATCTCCAGGAAACTTGTTGCTACTTATTTTTCTCTGTTCACAGAAATGGAGCTGGCACCCCAATCTTGTAAGAACTAATGCCAGGCTTTCCCATATCAGCAAGGGTGTTATTAGTCCATTTTCACACTGCTGATAAAGACATACCAGAGACTGGGTAATTTATAAAGCAAAAGAGGTTAAATGGACTCACAGTTTCACATGGCTGGGGAGGCCTCACAATCATGGTGGAAGGTGAAAGGCATGTCTTACATGGTGGCAGGCAAGAGAGAATGAGGACCAAGTGAAAGGGGTTTGCCCTTATGAACCCATCAGATCTCGTGAGATGTATTTACTATCAAGAGAACAGTATGGGGTAACCCATCCCCATGATTCAAATATCTCCCACCAGGTCCCTCCCACACAATGGGAATTATGGGAGCTACAGTGAAAGATAAGATTTGAGTGGGGACACAGTCAAACTATATCACAAGACCAAGCATATGACATCAACTAATGAACCAGATGTGTGAATAAAAATGTTAGAAAGACAGAATGAAATGTGAGGACTCTTGGAAACTGGAGGCCAGTACCTCTTGGGAAGCCAGTGGCCAATACACCTGGCAGGATGCAGGTCCACTTTTACTATACTTGTCACTTTTTAAAGAGATGTCAGAGTTTCTAATTTTAAGTGAATTTTACCAGTTTTCAAATATTGGCTCAAAATAATTCTGGGACCAGGTGAAACACCTCCCCTTTAGGCTAAATCCAGTTCCCAGACCAATGGCTTTTAGCCTCCGCAGGCCATTCTGCACTTTGCAAAACTGAAATAATATGGGCAGAAAAAAAAGACTCAGGCTTAAATTCTGGCTCAGGTTTACTAACCTCTGAACCTCAGCTTTCTCATCTCAAGTTCAGAATCATGCCTGCCTCACTAGATTACTGTAGCCATTAAGTGAAATAACGCCTGTAACTCAATTAGCACAGTGTCTCATACGAAACACATGCTTCCACCCATGTTCCTAGTTATATCATTTGTATTTCTACTCCGCATTACCTTCATTTTTATTATTCATCATTTACCTAATTAGCTTAGAGTTAGGGTCAAGTATAGGATTACACTTAAGTAAGTTGCTTCCTAATCAATGCCATTCTTAGAGTCCAGATAAAATACAATTTCATTTTAACAGCATTTACCATGACTGATGCCAAAAAAACTTTTTTCCTTTGTGCTCTATTGTTTAAACTTAAGGTGCTAATCTCCATTAAAAGCTGATTCACTTTAGAGTCAATATTCTAAAGCCAAGTTTTAGACATTTATGTAAACCTCTCTTTGGCTAAGTTTGAGGTCTTTTCTGGGAAGAAAGTTTAGATAAGACAGAGGAGGAAGGGTCCATGAAACCACTGGGCATTGGAAAGAGGGTCAGCAGAGGGGGAAGTGGGCATTGAACAGGACTAAGCAACACATATCAATCTTCTCATCCTTTCTCAAAGCGTCCCTCTGTTGCCAGTTGTAGTAGCCAGAGCCTGATCGGGACACAGAAAGCACAGCAGCATAGGAAAGGGGGAGGGAATTGTGACACAGCAATGGAAGACCTCAGAAGCCGGACAGGGGTCTATGTAGCTACTGACACATTAGCAATAGCAGTAGGAAACCCTTACTCTCCTGAGCCAAAGGACAGAGAGAGGTGGCAGTAGTTCCAGGATCCAGGCACAAGGGTCACCTGGAGGAAATTAAAACCAGGTGGGCCTGCCGGACAGCACCTGAGCTGCAGAGGAAATGCAGCTGGGGCCTGAGAGGATACTTTGGGCAATAGAGAGGGAGGGAAAGAGAAATGCTCAGACTTCTCCCATTCTTCTCTCGCCAGTCTGCTGCCAGGGCCACGTGTTGGTCAAAACCAGAAGCCTGATGAGATAAGAGTCTTATACATCCAGCCTCAGGTATCAGAGCAGGACTCGCCCTTTGATTGAGCCAAGAGCAAATGAAAAACCAAATATGGATCTGAGGATGAACAAGCTAAGGGGAAACGCACCAGTAAATTAAATATACTGTGCTCGCCGGCTACGCAGTTCATGATGTTCCCTTAGTTTCTTTTCTAAAATAGGTAACTATCACCTTTTTTATTATTACAGCTTGCTAGTGTGGGCTTCCAAAATAACTGCATTTAAGGAAGAATTGCAATGGCACAAGTAATGGCCTAAACATTGGCATCAGAGAAACGTGGCTCATTCAAACCTCTGATACATACCAGTGAGATGATGTTTGAATGATTTACCTGTTTTTTTTGAACTTCAGTTTCTTCTTTTATTAACATGGAATAATGATTCCTGCCTTGGTAGTTGAATGAGGAGTAAATAAAAAAATACCTGCAGAGCAGTCTGCATAGTTTCAGGCCCAGAATAGGGAACTGTAAATGCTCTGTCGTTTTGCTTTTCCTGTAAGAAGTCATTTTACATTCTCTTTCATTTGAAAGATTAATTTTCAATCGCCATCTTCACTATTTCCAACAGTGAGAAGTTCCTGTTCTGATAGAGAGAAAAATCTCAAACACTACAATGTCCCAGATGCCCTTTCCCATGGTCTCCTGAGCAGACGCCCATCACATGTCTTCAAAATGTCTTATTACTGTTCTTTCTGTCATTTATACCCTCAGCCACTTCAAGTGTCTTTCCTACTGCCGTTTACATTATCTTATCACTTAGCTGTCTTGCTTCCCCTTAGTGAAACAATTTTCACAGAAAGCACTAAACTTTTTTCCTGGCGTTTTCTAATGACAGCATCAGTAAAACATGTGGCATGTTGCTGGGAAAGAACGGAGAAGCAAGGCATCAGCACGCGCATCTCTTCCTTCTAGAGAAAAGACCACGAATGGATATATTACAAAGGAGAGATATGTTTATAAACAAAACAGCAAGCCAAAATGTGTTGCCTTCACCCTCTAGATTCATTGACTAAGAAAATCTTCCTACAAGAAATATTCTTCTTGTAAAATTATGGAATGTGGAACCTCAGGCTCTTCTTATCTATGTCAGCCTGTCCATTTTCCAGGAGTGGATAGCATAAGAGGACATTTCTGGGGGTAAGCCAAGGGCTGATTTTTTCTTTTTCACAGGCAGCCTTTATTTCACACAAAAGATATCCAACTGAATGTGGAAAACAGACCTTTGCAAGTGTTTATTTTATTTATTATTATTATTATTATTATTATTATTATTATTATTATTTTTACTTTAAGTCCTGGGATACATGTGCAGAACGTGCAGGTTTGTTACCTAGGTATACACATGCCATGGGGGTTTGCTGCACCTATCAACCCATCATCTAGGTTTAAGCCTCCTGATGCTCTCCCTCCCCTTTCCCCCCACCGCCTGACAGGCCCCAGTGTGTGATGTTTCCCTCCCTGTGTCCATGTGTTCTGATTGTTCAACTCCCATTTATAAGTGAGAACATGCGGTGTTTGGTTTTCTGTTCCTGTGTTAGTTTGCTGAGAATGATGTTTTCCAGCTTCATCCATGTCTCTGCAAAGGACATGAACTCATCCTTTTTTACGGCTGCATAGTATTCCATGGTGTATATGTGCACCATTTTTTCTATATCTTTATGTTGTACTTTTATTTGCTGGTTTTTGAACTATCTGTGTTTGTTTTGTTTTGTTTTCTCAGAGGTCTCTTGCGTGTTTTTCTTGTCACTTCGAGATTAAATTTTTGAAATGGCTGCTTGCAGAACCCATTCTCAGTGGTTTAATTGAGCATAGACAGCCCAACAAAGACCAGACAAAGAGATGCCTTCAGGGGCTCTAAATTGCGTGGTCTTTGCCTACCAGTTTGACATCACCCCCATCAATTATCCCTAAGTATAACACCACAGACACACAGATTTAATTATTTATTTTCCTCATACAATTCAAACTTTCTTCAAACTTCAGATTTTTGTATGTGTGATTCCCTCTGCCAGGAATACATTTCCCATATAGATTTCTATGCTGCTCCACCTTGCCATCAGTTTTCATGAGAATATCACCTCCTCAGAGAAACCATCTCTACACACACAATCTAAAGTAACCCCTTCACACCACTTACACCTAACCCAATACTGTGGTTACATCATCTTTAGATCAACCTTCTGGGGTTTCTTTGTTCAGAGCCAATCATTCTTTGTTTATTTATTTGTGTGTTCAGAGCCAACCTCCACTCACTAGAATATAAGTCCCTGAAAGCAAAGATAATGTCTGTATTGTTTCACACCTGGTGCACCTGGTACAAAGCACATGCTCATTAAATGATTGAAGAATAAATGAATGATTAACTACCTCAGAAGCCAGAAGCTCAGAAGCCAGACAGGGGTCTTCTGACCTACTGAGACATGATACCACCTCACGCCAGTTAGAATGACAATCATTAAAACGTCAGGAAACAACAGATGCTAGAGAGGATGTGGAGAAACAGGAAAGCTTTTACACTATTGGTGGGAGTGTAAATTAGTTCAATGTGGAGATTCCTCAAGGATCTAGAACCAGAAATACCATTTGACCTAGCAATCCCATTACTGGGTATACACCCAAAGTATTATAAATCATTCTACTATAGAGACACATGCACATGTATGTTTATTGCAGCACTTGATGCCATCTGTAGGCAGTAAATGTGAGCTCCTGGAGGCTGGTTACTGGCTCTTGTTCACTATTTGTCCCCAGTGCCGATCCCAGAACAAATAACAACTGCGTATCTACTATGGGTCAGGCACTAGGCAGGGTGAGGGTGATGCACAATTCAGCCACTGAGATAGAAACCTTGCCTTAGTGGAACTTGCACTGCTTAGGAGGCAGCAGGGAACTAAACAAATAATTACATAACCCTATGATAAGTACCCCATTATAGAAAGTACAGAGTCTTTCAAGATGTTACAATAGGAGAAGTTGATAGCCTAGGGATCACTAGGGGCTTGCAGAGGATTGAATAAAGGGAGGATGGAAAAGAGAAAGGGATGAAGGGATACAGAGGAAAGGACAAAAGAAGGCAAACCTTCTGCATGTAATTACTGCAAGCATCTTTTTTTTTAATCTGGTTTTTTATTTTATAGCTTTTGTATGTAAGTGAACTGGACCTTTGTTACGGCCTGTCTGTAATTGCAGAATTTCTACTATGAGAAGCATGCCCTTAAGGCCAGCGTTCCCCTGTGCACAAGAACCGGGTCCAGGTTTCCAGCAGAAACACTCAAATATACCAAGAGCAAAGCCTTCTGTCCAGAGCATATCATTTTATTCTCAAATGCCCCTGTGAAATAATAATCAATATCCAATTCGTAGATGGGGAATGTGAGGCTTTTGCTAGTTAAATTCCTTCCCATAGTCTCAGAAGTTTACTTATAGAGCTAGAACCTATAGCAGACTTCCTAGACTACTCTTCATTCCCTATGTTTCAGTGGCTTCTTGCCCCCAGTGCCTCAATAAATAGTCTGACTGTTATAAACAAGAATTCCCAAACTCTTGGCATTACCAGGGACCTCAGAGAGCATTCTAATAAGACAAAAATCTCAAGATAAGCAATTTTGCAAAAATGACATGACCAGGTAGAAGGCTCAATTCTTTTTTATACTAGCACATTTTATTGGTGTGAGTACAAAAGTAAGAATTGCCTCTCGGCAGAGTAGTAGATGTCTATGAGAAATAATTACTGGGAAGGGGAGACCTCTCTGTTCCCAATGTACCCTAACTCTCCTCTGCCTTTACCATTGAATTGAACCACTGTTGAGGCTACTGATCCCTCTTAAAATGATTGGGAGGCTCCTTTGATCTCTTACTAATAGTAACCAGCATTTCTTGGAAACACAGGTGAGCTGGGACCTGCTCACCGCACTTCATATACTGCTGCTTATTTTATCCTCTCAGCAATCCTATGTGGTCAGTCCTAGTATCATGCTCATTTCACTGGGAAGGGGACTGCTGCCTTATGAACATTACTTATTAAAATTTGTTGGCTAAGTGGCAAAGTATGGGTTCAAACTCAGGTCCTTCTGAATGCAAAACCCACAAGCTGACCTCCTAGAGTTTGCTGGGCCCCTGCTGTTATAAATGTACACCTGGCTGGATTTCAGAGCAGTTGCAAACAGTGATCTGGGAGGTGGAAAAGGCCTGAGCACCCAGGTGAGGGGCAGAAGATGGAGCACCACTAAATGGAGGAAAAGGCAAAGGACCCATGTTTCTCTAAGCACCCCAGGTAGTTAACACTTTTGCCAGAGGGATTCCCTAACCATTTTCAAAGACTTACTTCGGTTTTATATCCATACACAATATTAAGTTCTGGGTTACACAAGATGTTATTTTATTGGGAAATGTTTTCCAAGTAATGGTCTCTAAGATATGATGATCGTCATTATTGTCACCAGTAACAATCAACATTTATGTAGGATTCTGCAAGACATGCAGTCTGCCCAGTGCCTTCTCTCACTGAGAGGGGGGTGCAGCTCATTTTGCGACTAAAAAGCAGAAGTTTAGAGAAGCTGAGTGACCATCCAGAGCATCATCTTTGAAGTCAGACTGATGTGGATTCAAATGGCAGCTGGCTATTCACTTTGGGCAGGAAACTCAATTTCTCTGAATGTCAGCTCTCTCAATGAAAAACAGACAACTGTGCAAGGTTATTGTGATGACTGAGTACTTGAGAAATGATCCATACACAGAGGGTGCTGATTTAATCTTTCTCTCTCTCTCTCTCTCTCTTTCTGTAGGCCCATACTCAGGGCAAATCTGGGCTTCAAACACAAATCTTTAAACTTAAAACCTACACTTTTACCACAATGCAATTCTTTCATTAAATCAAGCAGCTACTCAACATTTATTGGTATACAAAGCAAATGGTTTTGGGGTAGGAACATAAAAATGTGTCCTACTTTTTTGTTGCTTCTTCTTCCTGAATCTTGAATAGTTTCTCAAAGGGGTTCAGTTTGAGGGAACAATTCGTATCTACAAATTTGTCTTTTAAAAGGCATTCAGAGTTGCTTGAATCTTAGAGCTGACAGAGACCTCAACAAAATGGAAACATTATATTTTACAGATGGAAAACCTGAAATCCAGAAAGATAGAGTGACTTTACTAGGTCTCAGTTCCATCTTTTAAAGTGCATAATTAAATTGTGTACAATTTCTTGGTTATTGTCACGTGTATTAAACTTTACATTTTTTCTTTTTCCTTCTTCTGGCATTATTTGTGAAATTCAACAGTGATAAATATGCTTTGGCTTCATTATACCTATACACATTAATGCATCTGAAGGAAACTTTATATTCAGGCCCTATTAGTGCACAATGTAAATTGGAAACAGACTCTAAATGGCCAGCTACTAAATTTTTAAATAACATGATAGGCCCTCTGGAAGCAGGCAGCTGCACTGACTTTCTTCCTAGGGTGAAGGAAAAAGAAACAACTACTAAGAAAAAAAAATGTACTGATTCCTGGTTTGGTGTTTCTCCATCACCAGATTTATTGACCTGCAAGAAAAGTCAGTGGCTGTTTTGCCCCAGTAAGTATTAATTTCTAGGGTCAATAAATCCTGGTAATGAATGGAGAATGGGAGTCAATGTGTGCTCATTAGATGTGTTCACAAAATGTGCCATGTGAAAATAAAACAATAATAATCAAACTTAACAATGTTCAAATATTATTTCTGACATTGTTTGTAATCTTTTTTGTTTTCCTAAGTTTTTCTTTTGGAAGTGACTTTAGATGGGAAAAATAAATCACATTGGAAAGTTAAAGCTTCTCCCTACATAATGGTTGCCTCTGTCTTCCAATGGCCTTTACTTTAATGTCCCTTTGCTGTTCCCAGGATGGGGCTGGCATCCCTGTGGAAAGGAGATAATCACCCATTCTACAAATGGATTCTGCTGCTCCCAGCTTTATAAGCTAATGGCTTCTCTGCTCTTCAATCAGAGTGGAGATGGCAAATGGCCACCAAAAATGAATAGCAATGAGCACATTTGGTAAATATTCCCATGCGAAGGTGTACGCACAAATCTTTTGTAAGCATCTATCTAGAAGGTATGTAGAAAACCTAGCAGAAAACAATAATTAAAAAAATACTACCATTTGCTGAGACCCTACAGGTTCAAACACTCCAATGCAGGCACTACGCTAGACATTTTACATATGTTCTTTCTAACCTTTTAAAACAATTCAAGGTTTCTCCATTTTTCCAGTTGGGAAACTACAGCTAAGGAAGCTTAATAACTTCTGAGGGACTGCTATTCCATGGAATTCCAAAGCCCTGGTTGTCTCCACATTATCCTGCTGCTTCTTTTATCACAAGAGCTCAAGTTGGGAGGGAGTGAAATTCTTAAAAGTGAAGCTGTGCTATCAGCTAAGTAATATTCAGTAAGAGCTATGTCACCATGGAATTTTTATGGATTTGTCTATTTTGAAGAGTTTGTCTTCCAAGTGAATTTTTAAATTAGTAAAATATCATATTGCTGATTATGAAAAAAGAAACTTTAATAGTTTTTTTTCTGTTTGTTATTTCGCTTTATTCTAAAATGAAAACCTACTTTGTAAACAAACAAGTTTACATTTCCTCCAAATCATTGAATAAAATGCCTGATGACCTTTCGGGATTGGGGCGGGGGGGGGCAGAGATTAGAGAAAGGGAAAAAGAAACCATTTTTGCTATGACAGTAAGATTAATCTATAGGAAAGGATGCACTTATAAAAACCCACATGCATTTTCAGACCAATCAGGATTATGTGAAATAAATATGGCAAGCATTTTCTGCTAAATTTTCAAAATCATGTTCAAATAAGTGTCATGGGGGACGCTATTTCCTGAGGCCTGCCTTATCCACAATATGAAACAGGTTTTGCTCACACATTTCCAGAGTAACTGACAAAACTAATGAGCTCAGCCACATGAAATAAGTAAAAAGAAGCTGTATATGCGGTACACTAGATCATCTGAACCAGTGAGTAAATAAGCTCAGCCATCCAAAGTCCTGCACATCCTACTAACTGTTCTTCATCATCTGTGCACTAATTTTATTTCATGTGGTTCTAATGTAGGAATGGTGGGTGAGAAATATTTCTGTCTGAGGGTGTTCTGTCTTATGTTCTCATTTGTGAATTTAATCATTGCAAAAATGTGTATGAGAGAGGGAGAGAAAAAAAGAGAATGTCATGTGTGAAAGAAAGAAAATTAGGCATCAGATCACCAAACTGTTTTCTCAAGGAAGGAGGATAATACAAGGATTTGGGAAGATAATACATATGAATTCATTTACTCCTTTCTCGAAAGACAAATGTTGTTTCAGACACCCATAGCTGTATCTCAGCTTATTAACCTAAGAAGAGTACATTGATGCTAGATTCCAATTCTTCAATTGTCCTGAGAAAGGGGAAGGTATCCAGGACAGGTCACCCTGCCCATATGACCCATTCAGGTCTGGGCTCCTAAGGTTGCTGTTTCCTTACAAGTTCCTGGGTGGCCTTCTGAGTGTCTCCAAGTAGATCATGTTGCTGTAATTCAGTCCTTTACTGTTTATGCTTTGGACAAACTCCCAGTTTCAATAATATAGTGAGAAAAATGCTACAACTTGTAGGCATGAGTGCTTGAATTCCTAACCTGTGGCAACCACGTTTTGATCCACGTTACTTTAACCTAGATGCTCGTTCATATTCAATTAGCTTCTCTGCATATATTTATCCATGTATCTAACTAGGGAGGTGCGTGAAGCTGAATACACACACATGGAAGGTTTTTCATTGATCTGGTATTTACATGTATAGAAATACACACTGATTAGTATCAGAATGCTGTAAAGCACAAACATATGCACATAATTACTAGACTCCCTTTCTTTGATTGCAGAAAATAATATCATTCCTTTTGGGCTGCTTCCTTACCAGCTGCTACATCCTTTCCAATGGCCAGCTCTAAGATTTAATGTCTAACCTTGGACTCTGTTATCTATCCCTTGACCTGTTTCAGAATTTATATTTTAATTTCTCATGATCTTCTTGCTATATGTTACTGTTCTTTATTTCATTAAAAGCCAGAAATCATCCAGCCTTACCAATGTGTTATATTTCTGAAATCTACGTATGAGTTTAAGAGAAAATACTAAGAATTCCTTCCATTTCTCTGTTTAGTTTATTTCCTCATGGAGCAACAACAAAAAAGAATTGGCTGAAAATTAGTCTGACCTCACCTGATTCATCTTCTTTTGTGTTTGTTTAGTGAAAGTTTACCAAGTTTTAGCAATTTTAATACAACAAATAAGGAGAAAATTCCTCATAGTAGCCACAACCTAAAATGGTTTCTGCTTTCTGACTGATACACTATTTAGTAAACCTAAACTTCTTTTTTCTCAAGATATCACTTTTTATTTAGCAAGTGTATGTAGATAACATATTAAAATAAGCCAGGCTCTAGAATGTGTTATGAATAACATAGCAGCACATATGTGAATTGAATGCACACAGGGACGTCTCTTCATACTTATTTTTGTTGTTGTTATTGTTAAATGTACTAGACCAAAAAGATGGTACTAATCATAAAGATACAACTAAATGTGGGTTAATTTAACAGTTCTAGCTATTACTAAGCTTTTGAGTTGGACTTTTTTTTTTCCTGAGGAGTTGGAATAGATTAGCCAAATTGAAACTATTGAATATTTCTTAAAGTCTTATAAAATGGATAAAGTCAACTGTTGACTTGATCAAATAACCTCAATGCACTCAGTCATGTGAAAAAGCAGCATGACCCATTATCAGTGCCCAGTGTTCTGTGCCCATGCCCACAGAAATACTCCAATGCTCCTACCCAAAGTGGCCTTCCATGTGCTACCATCTACCTTGTCTTACCCAACTCTTAGTTTTTTCTTATTTTTCACTTCCATGTTGTATTGTTGTCATTCTTCCAACTGAAATGAGTGAAAAATTGGTATGGTGATGGAGTAAAAGAAATGTTAAAGAAAACCCTGCAGTCCAATATAAGTTCAACCAGAGACTTTGGACAAAGCTTTTAATCTCTAAAGTCTGACTCTCCCTATTAATAAGAAGAGAATATTCATTTACTGAATAGTATTTCTGAAGAAATAACAAGTTGTTTTTTCTATAACCCATCAGAACTATATTCATTGTAAATTAGAAAGTGTCGTGGGTTGAACCATGTTTCCTCAAAATTAATATATTGAAATTCTAACCCCAAGAGGCTCAGAGATAACTGTATGGAGATAGGGTCCTTAAAGAGGCAGTTAAGATAAAATGAGGTCATGCGGTGTTTGGTTTTCTGTCCTTGTGATAGTTTGCTGAGAATGATGGTTTCCAGCTTCATCCATGTCCCTACAAAGGACATGAACTCATCATTTTTTATGGCTGCATAGTATTCCATGGTGTATATGTGCCACATTTTGGGAATTGAACAATGAGAACACTGGGACACAGGAAGGGGAACATCACACACCAGGGCCTGTTGTGGGGTCGGGGGAGGGGTGCGGGATAGCATTAGGAGATATAGCTAATGTAAATGATGAGTTAATGGGTGCAGCACACCAACATGGCACATGTATACATATGTAACAAACCTGCACGTTGTGCGCATGTACCCTAGAACTTAAAGTATAATAAAATATATATATATATATATATAAAAGATAAAATGAGGTCATATGTGTGGACCTGCATTCAGTACAACTGATGTTCTTATAAGACAGGAGATTAAGACACAGATGAACACAGAGAGAATATGATGTAAAAACACAGTAAAAAGATGGATGCATGCAAGCCAAGGAGAGAGGACTGGGAAAAAAAATCAAACTTGCCAATACCTCGATCTTGGACATTTATATATAATCCAGAACCATGAGAAAATAAATTTATATTGTTTAAGCCATCCAACCTATGGCATTTTTTATGGCAGCCCTAGCAAACTAATACTGAAGGTACAATCAAAGGTGAAGCAGCTGTTCTCAATATCAGCCCTACTTTTTTTAATCTCATTTTGTTCCTCAGACATTTCAAGTGATCCAAGCCGACTCCAAATATGCAGTGAAAAACACACACATACATGCAGTCCTACTAGCAAAATATATGTTTACTCCCTCCATTGACATACTGTTAAGGATCATTCTTATGCGGATGTCACAGGAGGTGAGCTCAAGCTTTAGTCAGTTTTTAGTTATATCATTAATCTAATTTTAGGAGAGGCTGTTGAAAAACAAGGTCCATGATTCTATACCAGTAGTATAAAATTGTACCTAAGCTCTGATCTATCCATTAGAGAATAACTGAATAGTTCATAAAGGAGATTTTGTTACCTACTGAGAAAAAATCATCAATGTGTTTTCAAAGAATTCCAAATGGCCCCAACTCTTTCTTGTTCACACCTGTCTTAGTCAATTTGTGTTGCTATAAAGCAAAACCTGAGGCTGGGTAACTTATAAATAAAAAGAGGTTTATTGGGGCCATGGTTCTGCAGTCTGTACAAGAAGCCTGGTGCCAGCATCTGCATTGGGTGAGGGTCTCAGTCTGCTTCCACTCATGGTGGAAGGAGAAGGGGAACTGGTATATGCAGAGATTACATGGACAGAGAGGAAGCAATGGGGGGAAGTGCCAGCCTTTTATTTAAAAACCAGTTCTCATTAATAAGAGTGAGAACTCACCCACCTCCAAGAGAAGGTATTAATCTATTCATAAGAGATCCACCCCCATGACCCAGATACCTCCCATTTGGCCCCAACTCGAACATTGGTATCAAATTTCAACATGAGATTTGAATGGGCCAAACATCCAAACTATAGCAATACCCATTCGAGTTTCTTCTTAACAGCAATTTGCATTATTAATAGAGGTTCAGTGATGTCACATTTTTACACATAAAAAAAGACAGTACTCTATGGAGTCACCTGCTGGCATCCTTCCCATTTCACTAGGTCTGTAAAATTCTGTCCTTAACTGAAATTTTAATGTTATATTTCTTGGAAAAGAATGCAAGTGAAAGTGTGCTGGAGAGATTAAAGAAATTAAAAATTTTGGTAGATTCATAAGGCACCCTTGGGAAACCTTTATGGCTTAATGTTACATTTTAATTTTAAAAATGTTTTATGATGTAAGAAATTACCAGCCTCAGGTTTAACCTTATAAGCCTTACCACAAGACTATTTTAAAAGAGACCTAGAAGCAATTCACTGCAAATAAGGAAAGAAAAGATACTTACAAATGACTCACTCATCCAACTTTTATTGAGTAATTGCTAAGTACTTTCACAGTATGGACTGTGGTGTCTATATAGTCAGTACTTTGTATCCAAGGATTCTCCATTCCTGGATTCAACCAAAAAGTGACCAAAAAGATTTGGGGGACACAAAAATACAAAATAACAATATGACAATTAAACAAACATGAATGAAAACAGAGTATAACAACTATTCACTCTATTCTACTCTATTCAGAAATAAGCAAGTTAGACCAATCAGAGAACCCTGAGGATTAATGGTGGAATTGATTGTCTGGTTAATAGCATTTGCATTGTAATAGGTATTATACATAATTTAGAGATGATTTACATTTTACAGAGGATGTGTGTAGGGTATGTGCAAATACTATACCATTTATATAAGAGACTTGAGCATCCAAGAATTTTGTCTCCTGCTCTCCAAGTGCTTTTACTAGGCTCATGATGAGGCACCACCTAAGGATAACCCACTGTCCTGGTTTGCCAGGACTATGCCAGCTTTAGCATGAAAAGTTCCCTGTCCTGGGGAACCCCTTTATTGGGCAAACCAAGAGAGACGGTAACACTAACATTCCCTTTGGAGGTAGGTAGGTTTTATAGCATAGCTCTCTCTGAAAAAAATCTTTAAAAATCTTCTTTCAGCCTTTTTAACCTCAATATGAGAAAAGAATTTAAGAGTTGTACAATTGTTTCATCATTGCCTTCTTTTTCAAGTTTAAATAGATTGTCAGTTTCACATTTCTCTCTGACAAGTGTTATTTTTGAGGCTTCAGCAGAAACTTTCTTTTTAACATCCTGTTACACTTTTTTAAAAATTGATTTTTCTCAGTCAGCCAAAATAAACATGATTACTGTAACTGGGTACTGTGTATTTTCTCACATGTGCAGCATTATCCGCAAACATGGTTCTCAAAGTGTGGTCCCTGGAGTAGCAGCATCAGTAGCACCTAGGATCACCTAGAACACTATTAGGAATTAAATTATCTACCCCCATCAAAGACCTATTGAATCAAAAACTCTGGGGTTGAGGCCCGTGTCTTAACAAGCTCTCCTGGTGACCTGAGATAAGCTAAACTTTGAAAACCACTGGTCCACTGATCTCCAACTGTTGGTTCCCAACTCTGGTTGAACATTAGAATCACCTGAGCACCTTTGAAAAACAAATTCGGGGGTTCATATATTCAACTTCGTTAGTATCTATTTAGACTCGGGCACTAGTAACATTTTAAGAGCTCCCCAGTTGAATAAAATAAACAATCAAGACTTTGAACCACTTGTCTACAATATTGCTTGTTGAATCTCTTTATAGAAGGGTAGAATTGTTACCTGTTTCAGAGAAGTAAGACGCAAGGACTATGTAATTCTTGGGTCATTTACTTCAAGTCAGCCCTTATGTGTGTTTAATTATATGAACACAAAATGTTCCAGTCCACCCAGTCTGTTTCTTCACTACTAAACTCCACGGTGATGTCAATTTCTTTATATTCATTTTTTTTAACTTTGTGAAATTTTGAATTAAAAAGAATGCCATCAAAATCTGGAATTACAATTATTTTTTACTTGTGTTTGGTTTTTGTCTGTCATGGTCAGTGGACCCATAGCTATCTTTCAGTGTGCATCCAAACTTGGAAAGGTATTCACCTGTGTCTGCTTGATACTTCGATGGTATGCTTTGAGGAATTAAAAGTGGATGGTATTTATTTCATTGGACCGCAAATCTCATAACAACCTATAGTGTACGTGTTACAAATAATATGTGGAACTATGATCAGTTGTAAATAGGTACATTAACCTCCAAATGGCTACATCAACCCAGAACCAGCTAGAGCTCTTCAAAACCATTAAGGCTGTTAGGTCTGACCAGAGATAAGCAGAATAAACAAATTCTTGCTGAACCAGAATCAGTCATGCTGCCTTTCGAAGTCTCCAAAGAAGGTTTATGAAATCCAGAGATTTCACTGGTTTGTTTTCCTTTACATTGTTTTGCACACTCTGTCTCTTCCGTTTCAGAGAAACTTGAAGTTTGCATTGCTAAAGTAGTTTTTGGCTGGAGTGTCCCTACTCTGGTTGACTATGCAAAAAAAAAAAAAAAAAAGAGCTTAAAAGATTCTAAGGATTTGAGCTGTGATAATTTGTCATTGTGGAAAGAGATAAGTCCCATTTTAGCTAGAGGCAATTTAGATTAAAACAAAATCAGAATAAAAGTACCTAAATTATTCAAACAAATAGGAAACTTAGCTCTATTTTTTCAGTCTGCAACCTTAAGCATGCCTGAGAGACTTGGCTCCCCTAAAATAAAAGTTAGGCTATATCTCACAAGACTCTGACTGTTTTAAATTCAAAGACACAAATGAGAGTACAAAAACAACAACTACAAGGGAGGGCTTATGTCTATATCACCCTTATGGCTTGCTAAATTTTGTTCCTTTTAATTTGTTTAAGTGTGTGGAGGATTAGAGAGACATCATAATAATCTCTCTATGTGATAAGAATATGTTTTGGAAAAAAACTAATTTTAAGTGAGTTCACAAGCTAATACATATATATATGGCATAACATATATGGCATTATATATATGCCATATATATATGTGACAGCCTTAAAAAAATTAATCTGACTTCAAGACACTCTCTTGCTCAATTCTACAAGTCTACACTGAGGCTCTCAAGATAGTTCATTGCAATGTTTATGTATATTGGTCTTTTTCCTGGATCTTCATCAAGTCAGTTCTCTCCTATCATCACTACACTGGAGTGGAAACTTTATGCAAACTTAAACTCATTCATTATATCAAAAGCAATTTAATTATTTTATAACAGTACAGGGAGAATATTTTAGCCATACAACTAAGTAGTATTCCAAATGAGTAACTCACTGAAATGACACCATAAAATGACCCAAAAGATAAAAGCCATTTCCAAATGTTAATATAGAGTTATGACTCCACCTATGGCATCCTGAAGGGCAAGGCAGTTAGAGCAGAGAATGTGCAATAACTTTCAAGAGTAAATGAAGGCTTGGAGCCTGATCTTCTACCCTGTGGGCTGGAAGTTAAAGCCCATAAATCTCTTGCAGCACAGAAAGAAAAAAGAAGAAGAAGTAGCATTTTTGTTAAGAGGCAAAAGGGAAAAGGTTCTCTCTTTTCAAATTCCAGATATGCTGTGGAGGTGCCCTTTGGAGCTAGAATGGGGGCTAATTAGGCTATTTACATGAAACCCATGGTGGAGCATGATATTTAATAACATCAGTTTGACAGATAATTAGAAGATAAATCATTCAAACTACAATGCTACTGCATTCTAAAAATACAATGCAAATACTGTTGACAGCATTTACAATTGCACCTGTTCATTTAATTTTTCAGTTAACAGAAAAGAAAGCAGAAGGCAAATTTATTCACCAGCCAATCTAGCCGGCAAATTCTGGCAAGGGTTGAGCTTGGGCACACACCAATCTTGCATGAAATAGGACCCTGCTTCTCATTTATAGGGAACATTGAAAAGTTACACAACCTAATATGTGGTTTGGGGTCTTTTCTTATTGACTGATGGTAAATACTAGCCTTTGGGTCTTTGGGTTATGTGGGAAATAGCAATACATGTTTATGGTATTCAAAGTTTTGCCCAGAAAGTGCTGCAGAGGCAGTCTCTAAAGGTTTCTCATCCCCCTCCCAGTTGTTTAAATGCTTATAAAAACTTGTTTATGTGTGCTGAGTCTTTTTCTAAAGCATTTATCTTTGGATAAAAGCAAAATAAAAATACCAGAGAAATGATCTAAGTAACTTATATGCTATTCTGAAAGTTCTATCAATTGGAATTTAAAATACAATTGGGATAAAAATCAGGAAAATTTTTGAATATTATTTTTCGCTCAATCTTAAAGAGTTTAAATTTATGTTATATGGAACACCTATATTTTCATAGTGGCAAAATCATTTGCTATTTGCTATTTAGTTTTAAACCAAAATTAGATAGCACCATATCTAGTCTTTGTTTTCCAACCCATATGTGTATGTGTGTGAATGTGCACCTATCAACAAGTTTATTTTTAAAAATCGGTTTTGTATGAACTCAAGTGATAAGGTAGGTGTGGGAAGGGACATATAATTTAATCTGACTGCCGAAAGAAATCTTGAAGGATTGTTCTATGTTATTAAATAGGCAAGAAATTCATCACCAGCAGTTTGCACTGCATTCTTGGGAAAAATCAAATTATACAATTATTTCTTACTGATTATCATACTTTCACATTGAGGAGATCTAGAATACCAGCTTTATTTCTTTGAATTGTATACCTTAAGATGTTTTTCTAAAGACTACTTTTTTTCTTGATTTTTACTTATTAGCTGTGAATCATAACCATTTTATATCGTTTGCCCAAGAAATGTAATGTTTTAATACAGTGTTATACCTCAAAAAAGTATAAATATTAAAATTATTATACCTTACTTTTCCTAGTATAATTAAACTGCTGTGATTTCTTTATGATCCTAAATACAGATGATAGGCTAATATTGGAAATGAAAACTGAGTCTCAGAAAGGTTAAACAACTTATCCAAGGCGAATAGTGTGTGGCCAAAAAAAGCTTCTGAAATGTGGATTCAGAAAAAAGTTTCTGCTTTTACTCCATGCCCTTTGCAGGTTTTAGGATTGGAAAATAAAAGTACCCTATTGCACCAGTGGTCTCCTGAGCCTTGTAGTCACAACGTTCTTGAGATACAGTTCTTCTGTAGCCTAACATCTCTACAGCCACCTCTCCGGCCTTTTATACATTTTCTCCCATAAAATATCACCTTAGTTCCAAAGTGCTCCCAAAAGATTGAACTGAGCATCCAGAACAGAGCAGGATAAGAGCAGACACAATATTACAAAGACTAAGTTAAACCTGATAACTCATTCCATAGAGTCAATTCATAAATGCCAGTGTACAGGACAACCAATGGGTGAAATAAGAGAAAATAAGAGTCCTATTACTTAGAAAGAGAGGAGTGCAAAATTATATGTGTGTATGTGTGTAGGGGTGGGGCTGTGCACATATGTTTCAGTCAAAGCCTAGTTAAACATTAAAAAAAAAAAATTCTGGACTCCAAGGGAGGTGATGGCCAAAGGGTACAAACTTTCAGTTGTGCAAGATAAATAAGTTCTGGAGCTCTATATACAGTATAGTGCCTACAAATATCAATATTGCATTGTGTACTTAAAATTTGCAGAGAGGGTAGGATTCATATTAAGTGTTACAATAATAATAAGAATGGAGACTGAAGATGATAGGTATGTCCTTGACAAACATAACCTATGGCCTTGATGGGGATAATTTCTCTGGTGTATACTTATCCCCAAACTCATCAAGTTGTTATATTCAATATGTACAACTTTTTATGCATCAATTATACCTTAATAAAATGATTTTTAAAATTTTTTTTAATAAATAAATACTTCTGAACTCTTGTGCCAGAGTTGGGAATGGACAAAAAAAAAGTAGTCTGGTTATAGTTCATGTTTGTTTTTCTGACATAGACCACCGTCAGGGTCTCATTCTGCAAAGAGTGCTACTTTTTTAGAAGTTTTCCATCAATTTTAAATTGACTGCTATGTTTGGATCATGAAAACAAATTAAGTAATGTTGCTGAGTCACCAAACTGCTTATTTTATTGTGGCGTCTCTCTCACCCTACCTGTCCAAACAGAATCAGATCACAGAAAAGTCTCTTTGTATTCACACCACAGGGCAGGGAGTGAATAAAGCATCTGGTTACTTTTTACTTAATTTCTAGTAACTTCTAAGAAAATTTAATGTATTTTTTCTTACAATATAGTGAACTAGATGGAACAGCAGTCCCCAGCCTTTTTGGCACCAGGGATTAGATTTGTGGAAGACAAGTTTTCCACAGACTGGGGGTGAAGGGAGCTGGGTGGGGGAAGGTTTTGGGATAAAACTGTTCCACCTCAGATCATCAGGCAATAGACTGTCATAAGGAGTATGTAAGCTAGATCCCTTGCATGCACAGTTCACACTAGGGTTCTTGCTCCTAAAAGAATCAAATGCCAGCACCGATCTGACCGAAGGCAGAGCTCAGGTGGTAATGCTTGCTCACCTCCTGCTGTGCGGCCCAGTTCCTAACAGACCGGGGACCTGGGACGTGTACTGCTCTGTAGCCTGGGGTTTGGGGACCCCTGAGGGCTGGTTGGTTGAAGAGCAGTCTAGTAATGATTGCTCCCTAAAATCTTCTAGCACATACTTGATCATTTACTTCAGATGTTTCCAGTAAAGTGGAGGAATTTTTGGTTCATTAAGCCTTTCCTTGTTGATGAATCTCTGTTAAATGATACCAACCTGGAAGTGGCTGTCAGTGGCAGGAGATGACTTGGGAGGACTGACCCAGTAAGAAACATGGTGGCGGGGGAAGTGGTAGGAAGGAAGGCAAAATTGAGCAAGGTAGAATATTAGTGTGTTAGTCAGTTCTTGCATTGCTATAAAGAACTATCTGAAACTGCATAATTTATAAAGAAAAGAGGTTTCATTGGCTCATACTTCCACAGGCTGTACAGAAAGCATCAATGGGGAGGCCTCAGGAAACTTACAATCATGGCAAAAGGCAAAGGGGAAGCAAGCCATGTCCTACATGGCCAGAGCAGGAGGGAGAGAGAGAGAAGGGGGAAGTGATACACACTTTTAAACAACCAGATCTTGTGGGAACTCACTCACTATCACAAGAGCACCAAGTAGGAAGTCCATCCCATGATCCAATCACCTCCCAACAAGCCCTTCCTCCAACATTGATGACTACAATTAGACATGAGATTTGGGTAAGGACACAAATATAAACCATATCAATTAGTAAAGTAAAAAGGGACTGCATTGGATTAAACAGCTTCCAAAGATAAATGTTAGTATCCTTTATTTCCTTGCTTCAGGCTGATAGATACAGATAATTGAATTTTAGAAGGGACCTATTGACACTAAGCACATCGTATTACTAAGGTCAAAAAACGTCTTCTTCAATATACAAAGCAGAAGCAGTTCAATATTTCTCTCTCTCTCTGTGTGTGTGTGTGTGTTAAATATGAACTCCTATTAATCTAAACATAAATCACTTTGAGAATATATATATATGTATATATATGTATATATATATGTATATATATGTATATATATGTATATATATGTATATATATGTATATATATGTATATATATAAGTATATATATATATGTATATATATATAAAAGCAAATCAATGAACCATTCCCAAGTTTTGTTGAAGCCAACATTGAACTTACCTGTGAGGTTTTAGCATCCACCGATTTCCATTTTTTGAATTATTATTATACTTTAAGTTCTGGGATACATGTGCAGAATGTGCAGTATTGTTACATAGGTATACACATGCCTTGGTGGTTTGCGGCACCCATCAACCTGTCATCTACATTAGGTATTTCTTCTAATGCCATCCCTCCCCTAGTCCCTCACCCTCTGACAGGCCTCAGTGTGTGATGTTCCCCTCCCTGTGTCAATGTGTCCTCATTGTTCAGCTCCCACTTATGAGTGAAAATATATGGTGTTTGGTTTTCTGTTCCTGTGTTAGTTTGCTGAGAATGATGTTTTCCAACTTCATCCATGTCCCTGCAAAGGACATGAACTGATTCTTTTTTATGGCTGCATGGCATTCCATGGTGTATATGTGCTACATTTTCTTTACCCAGTCTATCATTGATGGGCATTTGGGTTGGTTCCAAGTCTTTGCTATTGTAAACAGTGCTGCAATAAACATATATGTGCATGTGTCTTTATAGCAGAATGATTTATAATCCATTGGGTATATACCCAGTAATGGGATTGCTGGGTCAAATGTTATTTCTGGTTCCAGGTCCTTGAGGAATCACCACACTGTCTTCCACAATGGTTGAACCAATTTACCCATTTCTCCACAATCTCTCCAGCATCTGTTGTTTACTGACTTTTTAATGATTGCCATTCTAACTAGTGTGAGATGGTATCTCATTGTGGTTTTGATTTGCATTTCTCTAACGACCAGTGATGATGAGCTTTTTTTCATATGTTTGTTGGCCACATAAATGTCTTCTTTCAAGAAGTGTCTGTTCATATCCTTCACCCACTTTTTGATGAGGTTGTTGTTTTTTTATTTCCTGTAAATTTGTTTATATCCTTGTAGATTCTGGATGTTAGCCCTTTGTTAGGTGAATAGATTTCAAAAATTTTCTCCCATTCTGTAGGTTGCCTTTCACTCTGATAATAGTTTCTTTTGCTGTGCAGAAGTTCTTTAGTTTAGTTAGATCCCATTTGTCAATTTTGGCTTTTGTTGCCATTGCTTTTGGTGTTTTAGTCATGAAGTCTTTGACCATGCCTATGTCCTGAATAGTATTGCCTAGGTTTTCTTCTAGGGTTTTTATGGTTTTAGGTCTTATGTTCAAGTCTTTAATCCATCTTGAGTTAATTTTTGTGTAAAGTGTAAGGAAGGGGTCCAGTTTCAGTTTTCTGCATATGGCTAGCCAGTTTTCCCAGTACCATTTATTAAATAGGAAATCCTTTTCCCATTGCTTGTTTTTGTCAGGTTTGTCAAAGATCAGATGATTGTATTTGTGTGGTATTACTTCTGAGGCCTCCGTTCTGTTTCATCGGTCTATATATCTGCTTTGGTATCAGTACCATGCTGTTTTGGTTACTGTAGACTTGTAGTATAGTTTGAAGTCAGGTAGCGTGATGCCTCCAGCTTTGTTCATTTTGCTTAGGATTGTCTTAGCATATGGGCTCTTTTTTGGTTTGATATGAAATTTAAATTAGCTTTTTCTAATTCCAGGAGCTGGTTTTTTGAAAGATTAACAAAATAGATAGACCACTATCCAGATTAATAAAGAAGAAAAGAGAGAAGAATAAAATAGACACAATAAAAATTCATAAAGGGGATATCACCACTGACCCCACAGAAATACAAACTACCATCAGAGAATACTATAAACACCTCTACGCAAAGAAACTAGAAAATCTAGAAGAAATGGATAAATCCTGGACACATACACCCTCCAAAGACTAAACCAGGAAGAAGTCAAATCCCTGAATAGACCAACAACAAGTTCGCAAGTTGAGGCAGTAATTAATCGCCTACCAATAAAAACAAAACAAAACAAAAAAAAACACAAGACCAGACGGATTCACGGCTAAATTCTACCAGAAGTACAAAGAGGAGTTAGTACCATTGCTTCTGAAACTATTGCAAACAATAGAAAAAGAGGGACTCCTCCCTAACTCATTTTATGAGGCCAGAATCATCCTCATACCAAAACCCTGTAGAGACACAACAAAAAAGAAAATTTCAGGCCAGTATTCCTGATGAACATCGATGCAAAAATCCTCAATTAAATACTGGCAAACCGAATTCAGCAGCACTTCAAAAGCTTATCCGTGACAATCAAGTTGGCTTCATCCCTGGGATGCAAGCCTGGTTCAACATATGCAAATCAATAAACGTAATCCATCACATAAACAGAACTAATAACAAAAACCACAGGATTATCTCAATGGATGCAGACAAGGCCTTCGATAAAATTCAACACGCTTCATGCTAAAAACTTTCAATAAACTAGGTATTGATGGAACATATCTCAAAATAATAAGAGCTATTTATGACAAACCCGCAGGCAATATCATACTAAATAGGCAAAAGCTGGAAGCATTCCCTTCGAAATCGGCACAAGACAAGGACGCCCTCTCTCACCACACCTATTCAACATAGTATTGGAAGTTCTGGCCCGGGCAATCAGGCAAGAGAAAGAAATAAAGGTATTCAAATAGGAAGAGAGGAAGTCAAATTGTCTCTGTTTGCAGATGACATGATTGTATATTTAGAAAACCCCATCGTCTCAGTCCAAAATCTCCTTAAGCTGATAAGCAACTTCAGCCAAGTCTCAGGATACAAAATCACTGAGTAAAAATCACAAGCATTCCTATACACCAATAACAGACAAACAGAGCCAAATCATGAGTGAACTCCCATTCACCATTGCTACAAAAAGAATAAAATACCTAGGAATCCAGCTTACAAGGGATGTGAAGGACCTCTTCAAAGAGAACTACAATCCACTGCTCAAGGAAATAAAAGAGGACACAAACAAATGGCAAAACATTCCATGCTCATGGATAGGAAGAATCAATATCATGAAAATGGCCATACTGCCCAAAGTAATCCATTTTATAATAACCATAATATAATAAAAACATTCAGATGTATATTCTCTTATTTAGTAGTCATCTAATTAAGATTTCTTAAATATCTGCCCATGAATATGTAAGGCCTTTTACTAGGCAGTAGAGATACATCTGAATAAGAAGTAATCCCTGTTCTGAAGAAGTTTACATCTTTCTAATTTTCCGTTTCAAACTGCAGAAGACTTAGGAAAATGCTACATTACATAAATTTAGTGTTCTCCATAGTTTTAGATTTTTGTTTTTGGTACAGTACAGCTTTGATTCTGACTTTCCATATTTTAGCTCTTCGTTTTTAAATAAACAGCCAGATGATAATAAAACTACTCATAAAAAAACTCCTCACATCTTACTTTTTTCGTTTTGGAACTCTAACTACTTAATAATTGAATGGGACTGAATAATGAATCAAATACTAAGTCTATGTTAAATGCTTAAAAATACGTTTTATTTCCTCTTAATATTCTATTTGGAGAAGGTGTTTTGGGAAAGAGAAGTGTATCATTTTCTCAGACACACTGAAAATAAGAAAAAGAGGTTTTGTTGTTGGTGTTTTGTTTTATTTTTGAGAGGGAATCTCTGTTTGTCACTCAGGCTGGAGTGCAGTGGCAGGATCTCAGCTCACTGCAACCTCTGCCTCCCAGATTCAAGTGATTCTCCTCCCTTAGCCTCCCAAGTATATGGGATTACAGGCGTGCACCACCATGCCCAACTAATATTTTTTGTATTTTTAATAGAGATGAGGTTTCACCTTGTTGGCCAGGCTGGTCTTGAACTCCTGACCTCAAGTGATCTGCCCGCCTGGGCCTCCCAAATTGCTGATATTACAGACGTGAGCCACAGCCATCACACCTGGCCTGAAAATAAAGGGAAAGTTTTACTAAAATTTTGGAGGATACAATTGCAATGTGTCTTATTTGCTTGCTGCATTCTTCTTTTCACATACACAATCATTTTATGCTATATATAAAGTATATGAATCATCACGACAAATCCCACAGACACCTTGGCATGTATAACAGTCAGGTTAGGATAGAGTTGTGTTTAAAATACAATTTGGATAATTACATTGTCATGAATTGTTTTTATTGAATTATGTTGTCCATGATTTCAATGTGAGATAATTATAGATATTATAATATATAATTATATATATAAATATATATAATTATATAAATTATATATAATATATAAATAAATATATATTATATTTATTAAATAAATATTAAATAAATATATATTTAATTATATATATAAATATATAATTAATAATTATAAATTATATATAATATATAATCATATATTATATATAATTATATAAATTCTATATAACATATAATTATATATAATATATAATTAATAATTATGAATTATATATAATATATAATTATATGTTATATATCATTATATAAATTATATATTATATATAAATATATATATATAAATTAATAATTATATATTATATATAAATATATATATATAAATTAATAATTATATATTATATATAAATATATATATAAATTAATAATTATATATTATATGTTTATGTAATATATAGAATATATAATTATTAATTCTATAATATATTATATATAATTATTATATATAATATATATTATATATTATATATAATTATATATTATATCTATAATTATGACATGTAACTTGCAACAACAACATAAAGACAGCAACTGCCTGAAGCAGATACTGCCCTTGGGTTTTTAGAAACTAGAAGCCTGTGAATGTGGAAGGAAACCAAGACTTCTGAGGAGGGGGTGTAGCTGGGTAGACCTAAAAGCTCCTGTGGGGCAGGGCTCACAGAGGTAGAACTTGGAACTTGATTGAGGGGCTGCTGCCTGACAGTTGTTAGTTATAATTAATATATATATAATATATAATATATGTAATACATATGTAATATGTAATATCTAATATATATGTAATACATATGTAATATGTAATATCTAATATATATTATATATAATACATATGTAATATCTAATATCTAATATATATTATATATAATACATATGTAATATCTAATATATATTATATATAATACATATGTAATATCTAATATATATTATATATAATACATATGTAATATCTAATATCTAATATATATTATATATAATACATATGTAATATCTAATATATATTATATATAATACATATGTTATATATAATACATATGTAATATCTAATATATATAAATATATATTTATATATATATTTTTATATATATAAATATATATTTATATATATATATATAATTGGTTATGTATTCTCTGGAGAACCTCAACTAATATCTTCCCTTTGCTCATGTTTTAAAGCAGCTCTGTAGGAGACTGACTGTCATGCTTGGAAAACATGTCCTATCATAAGATTCTGTCTCCAGTTTCCAACCTAGCATGAATACTCTTTCTCCTACGACTCATGCAGAGGAATGAGAGAAGAAATGTGTCGAAAAACGAGACACTGAGAGGACACCCTGAGCTCTTAGTAGCTGTTGGGAATTGTTATTGGGAGAAAGTCTACTCTTTGATCTGGGGCAAGAGGCTTCAAGGCTGGCTGTGAAAGGATGAAATAGAGAAGAACTTGGAATTCTGCCATGTTTCTCCCCTCCATTGTCTAGAAAAGTGTGGCCCATATCTGAACCAGGGATGGAAGGGTGTCAGGACTCAAGAGTTATATTTGATTCCATTCTGGACACCTGAGGGCTGAAAGAAAATAAATCATTATAAGTGGAGGGATGATGAAAAGCATTTGCTTGAGGGCCAGAAGAAAAGTCCAGGGGTCACAGACTCAAATGCATGTAGAGTCTAGGCCATTTATATTAATGAAGGCAATAGACATGTCAGAGTAAGTGAGACCTGAGTGTGTAGGGGTAAATTGAAACTTACTTCTCCTTCTAGAAAGCCAAGAGCCCATTTAGTACCAACAGGTGGTTGCCATGTTGTGAGCCCAGTAATGTCAGATCTTCCGATATTTCAAGGGAAGTCAGAGGTTTAATTTGTCTTAGAAATTTAACAACATTTAAGTGTTGCTTCATTTTTTAACTAAGTGAAAGCCAAATGAAACACATCTGTGATCATTTATGGTCCCTCTTATCCATCTAGGTCCATTCTGAACACAACAGACAGAATCATATTTTTAATACACAAATCAGATTGCTGAACATTCTCTAGGATCTCCCCATTTCACCTGGAATAAAATAAAACATAATTTCCTGTCTCATATGATCTGTCTCATGCCTGCATTTCCAAACTGCTTTCCTCATGCCAGGATGCTTTTTTAATATTTGTTGTTCTGTCTGCCCAGAATGTGATTACATCAGATCTTCACAAAGCTTCTTCTCATCTCCGTGAACTCCGTTCAGTTTTTCTTTCCTTGGATCACGTTTCTAATACAGCCTCCCTCACACCCACTTCTTTCCTAGCCCAAGCTTTTTCTCTCCTTTTTGTTTTGTTTATTTTTTCTTCACAATGTATCTGAAATAATAGAATTTATTTATCCTTTTATTTTGTCATCGATTCTAGAATTTAAGGTCTATGAAAGCAAAGATTTTGTTTTGCTCATAGCTGTGTTTGGCATAATATGTGGTACATAGCAGTTCTGCTGGATATTAAGCTTTTACTCTCAGCTCCAAATCCACCCTTCTAAATTCTACTACATGAGGCTAGAACTTGGCAAACCACCCTCCTCCCTTGCCAGCTAGATTCTTGTTAGCTTTTGCCAGGCAAGAGCACTGAAAGATATTAGGAGGCAGGAAGATGGAGAACAGACTTGCTTCTTCCTATTTTCCTGCTGTTCTCGCAGCAGCGGTTGATTCCAGTTTCCAGCTTTTTCCCACATCCCCACAACCAGCTTCACAGAACCCCATCTGAGACACTAACAACTGTCAGACAGCAGCCCCTCAATCAAGTTCTGAATTCCACCTCTGTGAGCCCTTCCCCATAGGACGCTTTCATCTCCACCCCGCTATAGCCCTCCTCAGAAGTCTTGCTTTCCTTCCACATTCGCAGGCTTCTAGTTTCTAACAACCCAAGCCTCTTCCCTCTGATCTCCCAGCCCCAGGGCAGTATCTGCTTCAGGCGGTTGCTGTCTTTACCTTGTTGCTACATGTTACATCATTGTTCCCTTTTTACAGTTTCAGTCCTTTAATACCTGTTTCATCAATCCTGTTACAAAATGCTCTCTTAACTAGTGTGATTTCTGTTTTCCTTACCAGGCCTCTACTGATACAGTAGGTATTTAATAAATATTTAACACATTGATGAATAAATGAATGTGGCCAGCAGACATCTACTTTTTAAGATGTGCCCTAGAGATCCTACTTATGAATTTCTTGTGACAATGAATCATCCTTACACACACACAACCATGGCAGATTTTTCCTTGGAGGCACTTGAATGCCTTGGTCAAATGCTGTATGCTCCATCTGCTAGTACTCTACCTCCAGGGGCGGATTCTGATCTTTAGAGGACCTTAGTCGTTGAGAAGATTAAAGTGTCTTGAATGGGTAATTCAAAATAAAATATCTATATAGAGAGATAGAGGCATGGTCATACACATGTATAAAATAAGTGTAAGACTAGCAAAGCTATTTTCTCATGCCGATAACTTTAATCTTTTTTAACACAATTTATTTTCTTTTTGTCTTTTTTTTTTCTTTTTTGAGATGGAGTTTTGTTCTTTGCTGCCCAAGCTGGAGTGCAATGACGCAATCTCAGCCCGCTGTGACCTCCGCCTGCCAGGTTCAAGCAATTCTCCTGCCTCAGCTTCCCGAGTAGCTGGTATTACAGGCAGGCACCAACACTCCCGGCTTCTCCATGTTGGTCAAGCTAGTCCCAAACTCCCGACCTCAGGTGATCCTCCCACCTTGGCCTCCCAAAGTGCTGGGATTACAAGCATGAGCCACTGCGCCCTGCCAAAAATTTATTTTCATATCTAATTCCTCTCAGAAAAATATCCTCCCCTTTCACTTTTAGATGTCTCTGCTTTCCTGATATCCTTATCATGTGTTCTGTCTATTGCATAATTCAGAACTCTATTTATTAACAGTCTTCAAATAACTACAAGAAGAAAACATTCAAAGACATAAAGCTCTAGAATGATTCAGGTAGACTCTGAACTTTACCTTCATTGCTTGACCCTCTGGAGAACCTGGACTCATCTTTAGATAGGCTCTTGTTTAATTTCCTGAAGCTCTTACATTTATTGAGTGTTTATTATTTGCTATTGCCCATGCCAGAAACTTTATATATATCATCGCTTTTTAGTCTCACAAAACTACTATGAATTAGAAACTACTTGCTCTTATTTATGCCCTGACAGAATCTAATGGAGTGCTGAGTACCAGGTACTCCATAAACTATGATTGTGCCTCTCAATGTTTTAAGAGTTTACAATGTGCCAAGAGTTCTTCAAGTTACTTTGCATATATTAACTTATTTAATCATTAGAACAATATTTTCACCCTGATTTTACAGATGAGAACACTGATATGCAGAAAATACCTCACCCGAGTTCACCCAGTGAATACATGGCAGAAAGGGGATTTGTAACCCAGCAGTCTTGGTTTAAACATTCACATATGTCTAACTAGAAAATGACACGTAAATAGCTTTATTAAATTTGCCCGATCTAAACTGAGTTAACGCTTTGTAAATTAGTGCCTTCAAATAAAACCTGTGTTGTGCTGTTCAGTGTCTCATGGATGATCTAACTTACGGTCCTCAACATGTTTAAATATGAGTTCTTCCCTCAGCATCAGTGTTAGTGGCCCTACTTTCAATTCCTCTTAGTTGACAGTATAGATGACAAAGTGCTCTGATTAAGCCAGTACTTAATAATTCTTGCAAAAATTCCTCAATTCCTTCTTATCATCTGTAAGACAAAATCCAAAATCCACAACTTGACCTGGCCTGCGCAGCCGCAGCCTCCTGCAATGATTACGGTCTTGCCACATGACTCTTCCAGTTTTCCCTGCAGGTCGGGAGCCTTCACGTGGAGGCATTTCCTCTGCTGAGAATGGTTCACCCCTTCCCCTTCCATCTATAACTGGTAAATCCCCACTCATGCTTTAGATCTCAAATGTAACTTCATCCAAGAACTCTTTGTTAATCCTCCAATTTTCACCAGGTCTCCTGTAATTCAACTTAGTGATTCCCTAAATGTCTCCTTCAGAGCACCTATTATTTCATTACACAATTAGATGTGTATTTAGTTGTTAAGCACCTATCTCTGACAAAAACAGAGACACTTCTGAGAGCACAGACTGTCTGTTTTATTCACTCCTGTATCCTCAGCACCTATTACGTAAAAGCAGGTGGGCACTTTTAGATTCCCATGACATAGACAGCTTTATCAATCCTCATCCGACATACAGGATGAAAGTTTCTATTGTCCCATGAATCTTTGAAACAAGTGACTAATATTAATAACACCAATAATAGCTGACACTTAATAAGCAGTTTCTATTTTCCAGGCGCAATTTTAAGAGCTTTGAAATTTGGAACTCAGTTCATCTTTACAACATGTGAGATTGGTACTATGAGCTATGAGATTGGTACTATTAAGCATTCTGCTCAACACATATATGCTACCCTCTAGCCAGGGGTTCAAAGATAGTGAAAAATTAGATGCTGCTCCCTTTTCACCCAGAGTAAACCCTATGGCCATGACTTAGTTCAAAATGATTCTCAGAAATCTTTCACTTGCTGAACAACCGGTGCAGCAGTTGAATATCCTTGGGGTTTCAGACCAGAGTACAAGTTGTCCTCAACCTCTGAGCAGTGATCACTGAGGGGAAAGGTTATGGCTGCAAGGAACCCCAAATTCAGCACATACAAAATGCAAATAGGAGTCAAAACAAGTAGCATTCCTTACAGAAAAGTGCCACTGTTTTTCAAATATGAGTGAACATTATGACTAGTAAACTTCAAATTCATTTGAAACTATTTCTCTGTTAATCACAATTCTCGTTATTTTCTAAACACTGAAAGAACTACCCTCATGGCCATTGTAAAGGATTCTCATAGTCAAATAGTTCAGGAGCTACTGCTACAGATAATCCATGAAGGACTATAGACCATTATATCAGTTGTATTTCAACACTTACATTGCAACACATTCACACAACTTAGATATGACAAATGTACTAACTATATCTACATGTCATAAATGGTCTATACAAATGTACCTGAACTACATAGCAATCTTCCAACACCTTTCTCTAGCTTCCAGAACTCTTTCACTCAAATAAAAAATACCTAGCCTTCTTAGTTTAACAAACTGTAAACAAACACTGTAAAGTTTTCAAAATTAATAATCACTTTCCCATATCTCCGATTCAAGATACTTTCATCACCATCTCTATATTTTTTGGAATTAAAATTAGATTAATTACTACACAGTGATTTACTTTTAAATTAAGAAGAGGTGGGATGCAAGTTCTAAATAATACTGTAATCTAAAATCATCTTTCTTAAGAATGTGGCCATCACAGCTTAGAGACACATGCAAGTTCCTCAAAGAATACTACAAAAAACAGACTATAATCCCGTTGCTCTACTGAGCATATACAAATAATTTTACGTTTTAGGAAGTCATGATCTATGTCCAGTAACACATACTAGTTCCTTTGGGTTGCATGTAAAGATAGAACCACTTTCCAGGTTTGGCTCTGGAAAATTTAGAGAAAGGGGATAGCAAAAGGAGAGACAGAGAAAGACTATGACTAATAGGAAGACAAATATGGGGAATAAAGAAGTTTTTAGATTTCTAGGACATTAAAGAAATTTTCAAGGTTTATCTGACTTAAATCATAAGAAACTTAATGGATGCAAATTCCTAATGCACCTTGAATTTTTGAACAAATAAATTATAATACCAATTATAACTAAAAGTCAATTAACAAGCAAATTAGTAAAATAAATAGCATATACAATGGAGCAAAGTAAGGAAAAAAAAAGTGATACCTGGTGTCCAGTGAGTGCAGTTTTGAATACATAGAGGAAAATCTCAGGGACAAAGTGACATTTGTGCAAAGACCTGGCTGTAATGAAGACTGAAGTCATGAGGATGTGCCTTTTCTATCAGGGAGAACAAATCTGGGAATCTAAGAAGTGTAACTAAATTTAGAAAAAACATTGTATAATACACATTTTTGTCCTCAGACTTTAGTTCCACTATGTGTGGGTTTCACCCCTTTGTATTGAGTTCTGATATAATAATCAAAATTGAGACTGAGAATTTGGAGGGAAAATTACACCTGTTTTCAACTAATTTGGTTTTTCATGTTGTGTTGCATATTTCATGTATTTGAATATTGGTTTTTCAGCTGTAACCCAAAAGATCCCCTCTGGAAATGACATAGTACATCTCTGCAGAATATATTTCCTGCATTTAAAAAATACACAATAAAAAAGTGACTCCATAGTGTCTGTGTTCCATCAACCATAGCCTATTTTCTAATTGCAATACATGTATGCTCATTTTAAAGTTGATTTTCTCTATATTTAAACATCTTAACAGACTTATTTTTAGATCTTTGCTTAGCTTGACTTTATTCCATTTAGAAGAAGAGTATTTTGATATTTTGGAGAAATTTGTATGCTTATAATTAACTATTAAACATGGGACTGTATTTAAAATAAAAACTATTTTAAGGGGAGAAAAGAAAGAAGGAAGGAAGGGAGGAAGGAAGGGAGGGAGGAAGGGAAAGAAAGAAAGAGAAAGAAAGAAAGAAAGAAGAGAAAGAAACAGAAAGGGAAAGAGAGAAAGAATCCTGTTTTCACAAACTCAGTTTGAAGAAGATAAACTTATAACTCTAAATTTGCAAGTATCTTCAACGTGCCTGGTGTCTTACATAGAAGGAAACAAAGCTCAAGATGTTACATTGGTAATAATAAGTTAACTAAGCAAGCATGTTGAATTATTAAATTTGGAGAATACATTGTGCTTATTATGTTACTTACCCTTGCAGTGAACTAGAAAATGAATGTGGTCATTCCAGACTGGTTAAATTGGAAATATATTTTATACAGATGTGTGTAATGTAGTTTCCTGGCAGAGGAATAATGCACACAACTTATATTTATAAGTATACAAATCTGGTTTTATATTACAATGCAGTTCTGTAAAATCAGATTTCCCCCTCTGCACTTTGGTTTTCACTTTCAGGATATACTTACCTCCTTTTATCATTTAAAGTATCTTTATTAAAACACTATTTTTTCCAGATCCTTCAGAGTTGGTTTCATTTATGTGCAGGCTGAGGGTTGGGAATTGAATAGGAGGGAATTTAAGAATAAACAGTGAGTGATCTATTTAAAGCCAAGGGATTCACCCTCCTTAATTAGTGCTAAATTGATTTTTACAAAATCCTATTACTGCTGCCAACTTAGTTGAAATTCCAGTTCTTTTTCATTTTGTTTGGATCTTTTTTAATGCTAACTAATTGTATTCCCATCTGTTAAGATAGCTAGACAGCGCTAATGTGTCCGTTTCAGTTCCTTTGGCCATGTTCATTAGATTAATCTAGCCATGAAGACAATGAAAAATTTATCTAGACTAACTGTCCATTAACTTCTCTGATATCTTGGACTTTAAATGTATGTGTGTGTCTGCAGGTGTATATGTGTGTTTGTGTGTGTGTATTATATTGGTTTAGTTAGTTTTAGTGCATTTATTTTGAGGGAAACTTCAGTGAACTAGATTTATTATGCAAATAAAATAAATTTTTGTTATATTTACTTTGGGGTTAATTAATACTAGCCATTATCCTCCACTTCAGAACCCAGAATAGAGTGCACTATAGACTGAAAGTTTATGTCCCCCAAAAGTTGCATGTTGAAACCTAATTCCCTTTGTGATGGTATTTGGAGGTGAGGCCTTTGGGAGGTATTTGGGTCATGAGGCTGGATCCCTCACGAATGAAATTAGTGGCCTTATAAAAGGGACCCCAGAGAGCTTTCTTGTCCCCTCTGGCATGTAAGGGACACAAGAAGACAGTCGTCTAAGAACCAGGAAGTGATCCCTCACTAGACACCAGATCTCCTGGAACCTTGATCTTGGGCTTCCTAACCTCCAAAACTCTGAGAAGAAAATTTATGTTGTTTATCAGCCCTCCAGTCTACGGTATTCTGTTATGGCAGCCTTAATGGACTAAGGCAAAGTGAGTCAAAAACTATTCCATTCAAAGACTTGAAGTTTTGATGTGATAGCAACACAAAGGAAGCATGGAAAGGTGTAAATAATTCAAAATTTAATCACTGTTTATCAGTGTAAAAGTGCCATTGGATTGCTATTCTGGTACTAAAGGTAACTAAGACTTACGCTGTTTCTCTGGGCTTCCTATAAAAGAATGATTAGTTAGTTACCTTTTTTTTTTGAGACAGAGTCTCTATCTCTCTCTGTTGCCTGGGCTGGAGTGCAGTGGTGTGATCTCGGCTAACTGCAAGCTCCACCCCCTGGGTTCATGCCATTCTCCTGCCTCAGCCTCCCAAGTAGCTGAAACTACAGGTGCCCGCCACCACGCCCAGCTAATTTTTTTTTTTTTGTATTTTTAGTAGAGACGGGGTTTCACTGTGTTAGCCAGGATGGTCTCGATCTCCTGACCTCATGATCCACCCGCCTCAGCCTCCCAAAGTGCTGGGATTGCAGGCGTTAGCCACGGCACCCAGCCAGTTAGTTAACAATTTTCTCAAGCCAAGACTCAGAAAGTCTGGGTGTCAGATCACTTCTGGAATATATTATTACCAGGAGATTATTATGTAATAAATAAGAAAGTGCACATCCGAAATTGGGCCTTTCATTTACCTTCAGTTGGTCCAAAGTGCAGTATGCTAAGAGGGATGAAAAGCACATTGAGATCTCACTGGGTATGTCAATGCCCATAACCAATGGAGTTCGAGATTAGTCTCCAGCAAAGTTATCAATTAGTTAATGTTTGCTTTCAGCATCACTTCACCATTTCCTTTCCCGCTGGCAAGACTGCCTCAGAGCTAACTTGTATTGGAAATCATTCCCAGGTCATTCCATAATTTGGCCCTTTCTTCACCAATGGAAATTCAGACAAAAGCAAAGCAAGGCAAATTATTCTAAATGACACAGCAAAAGTTTTATGAACGTACAGAGGAAGAATACACATGGTATGTTGGACTGGCCAGGGAAGGCTTTCCAGAAACAGTAAAAACTGAGTATTTACTATGTGTTGGGAACTATGCAAAACACTTTACACATATTTTCTCTTTCATTATTATGACTACGTTATAAAGTAGGTAGTAGTAGTGAGGCAGAAGAATAGGGTCTGGAGGCAGGGAACGTAAGGCCAATGCAAGCTGACTTTCTACAACTAAATCAAATGGAAACACTTCAGCTATGACAGGAAATATCCTCTCTATTTACATGGGGCGTATACCGCGTAAATGACTTTGTAACTTTACTTCACCCTCTTCATTTACATAGAGCATACACCAAGTAACCAATAGAAACCTCTAGAGGGTATTTAAACCCCAGAAAATTTTGTAACGGAGGCTCTTGAACCGCTGTGCTCAGGTGGCTCCCACCCTGTGGGGCATACTTTCATTTTCAATAAATCTCTGCTTTTGTTGTTTCGTTCTTTCCTTGCTTTGTTTGTGCATTTTGTCCAATTCTTTGTTCAAGATGCCAAGAACCTGGACACCCTCCACCGGTAACAGTAGTGACTCTTGTATCGTTAATAAAATGCAGGCTAAATTCAATTACATGTCATGTTTAAAATCATAGGTTCTTAGTGAGCTGGAAAGATCTCCTTTCATCCATAAGGAAGACCCTGGGTAGTTTCTTACAATCCTTTGTTAGCTAAAGTGAGAAGGGTGATGGTGATAGGCATGGGTTGGAGAAGGTCATCAAAGATATGGGGGTCCCTGCTTCTTTCTTAATGAGCAGAACCTTTGTAGATTTGCAATGAAATTTCTGGGCCTTGTTGAAACATGAAATTTAAATCTAAATACAACCAGAGAGCAAATATCAAGTTGAAGATAATGTTCTTTTAAATAATGTTTATGCACAAAATCACTAGATTGAAAACATTTTTGAATTGTCCATTGCCATTTGGCTGGTTTCTCAACTCTAAGTATGATATATGGATTTAATACTCTATTCTCTACCCCATGCCCATCATGATGACAGGAATTAACTATCAAATTTAGATATTGAAGTGAAGCCCTGGCAGTCCAAGAAAATTACTTTAAGAAATAATTATGAGATGGTAACACAATTTCATACATTCCACGACTGAACAAATAACATTATGAACTAGAAATCTAGCAGCCACACTAAATTACTTCCTTTTCCTCACCTCTAACAAATATCCTAGTGACTCTGTATCTGCAAATTTCTTTCCTATCGCCTCCTTTGTGGAGCTTCTACTTGTGACCTCTTCCAAGCTGTCAACTCTGAATTGTACATTTATTCAATGCATACTTATTGAGCCCCTACTATGTTCCTGACACTCTGCCAGGTGTTAAGAATAAAATAGAAAAAAAAACCAAAAAACAAAACTAGAACACAATTTGAACGTAAATTTCTGAAGGCTAAAACCTTGGTTTCTGTTTGTCTCTTTTCACTGTTATATAGACAATTCCCATAACAGTGCCTGCCTCATAGAAGGTGCTCAATAATTATAGGCTGAGTGAATGAAAACAGAATAAATCCCTATTCCCATGTAGATTATATTCCAGGGGTGGGGAGGGGAGGGGAGAGAGTTTGACAATTGGAAACAAACACGCAAATACTTGTATCAGGTTACATGTTAATACTATGCATAGAAATAAGACAGAGTAATGGATATAGAAAGATCAAGCATTAAGAGGGATTCTTTTTAAAATAGGGCAGTCATGAAAATATTCTCAAATGATATTTTATTTAGCAGGACCAGAAAGATTTGAGAGACCATATAGCAATGTGTGGAAAGAACATACAAAGGCTTTGAGTAAGGAATATGTTTAGCATTTTCATAGAACCAAACGACGAATCAGGCCAGAGCAGTGTGAGCCAAGGGAGAGGTGTAGAAATTAGGTCAAGTGAGTAGCAAGTCAGTAGCCAGCATCAGTTCATACAAAGCCTTGTTGTCCATGGGAAAGGCTGTGAATTTTAATTTGAATGAGATGAGAATAAATACATGGAAGCTATTTGAACGGAGAAATGATCTGACCTGTCCTTTAAGGTATGTTTTAAGTGGATGTCTCTGGGTAGCAAAGGAAGAAGCCAGAAGATAAATGAGGAGGTGATTACAATGGTCCTGGCAAATGATAATGTCAAAATCTTAACTGAACTTTAGTAAAAGTCTTTATATTTCCTGTCTTAATCACAGCATTCTAGCCCAATCCAAATGCCAAAATGACATTACTCATATGTAAATAAAACTGTGCTAATTCCCTGCTCAAAATTCTTTAAGTGTTTACTATAGTACAGAATTTCCAAAGTGATTCTCCTCATATTCCCTCACAACCTCCATTCTTTCATTTTCCATTCCTCATCTATTGATGAGGAATTTCTTAACATTTCCTTTAAAATGTTGCACCTTCGTGTGGCAAGTATCTTCCAAATCTCGTATCTATTGTTGACTGGAGCCTAAGGTATTGTCACAGCTAACAAAATACTTCTTGGGTACGTACTGAGTGCCACAGCCCTTTCGTCAATGCAGTGTACACTTTGTGGGAGATCCAAATGCTAACTAGGTACCTAATACTTACATTATTTAATTTCAGTTGTGGGTTAGTACTACAGAGAAGTCCAGGCACCCAAGAGCCTGTCAGTGGAGGACCCAAAACAATGATGATCTTAAAGGCCAGAGGAGTTAACTCTTTCTGGTAGTTTTAGAATTAAAAACTAAAAGATAAACATTTACTAAGCAAAGGGTGAGGACCCAAAACAATGATGATCTTGAAGGCCAGAGGAGTTAACTCTTTCGAGTTGTTTTAGAATTAAGAACTAAAAGATAAAAATTTACTAAGCAAAGGGTGAGGACACAAAACAATGATGGTCTTGAAGGCCGGAGGAGTTAACTCTTTCGAGTTGTTTCAGAATTAAGAACTAAAAGATAAAAATTTACTAAGCAAAGGGTGAGGAAACAAAACTAATCCAAGAAGAGGAAAAAGACAACCAAAGCTCCCAAATTTCACAATCATATTTCAAAATGATCCTGCTTATGTAACTCTATGAAGAAGTTAAATAAAGAAGAAGAAAAGAAAAGCTTAGAACATTTAACAATTATACTGTATTCTGATGCTTGCATGTTATTTTGTTAATTTATTTATCTGTCAAATCTGAATTGTAAGTAAAGTTTGTATATATTGTTACACCATAGGTGATACAAATCTATGTAAATATGTCATGATTTCTGCTCTTATGTATAGTGATATCTATACTTTACAAGATAATTTACCATAATGGAGCAATAAAAGCACTAGAGGATGAGAGCTGCAATGGGAGAGGATCTTTCCTTCATTTCTTCATTCATTTTTAATTGAAGTATATCAATGTACAATAAAATACACATGCCTAATGTGTACAAATTGATACATTTTGACATTAGGTACACACCTATGAAGGCATCACCACAATCTAAATAATAAATATAGTTATCACTATCCAAAGTTTCCTTTTAAAATTACACATACAGTTGTAATAGCCACTGTAACATCTTTGTCCACTACATATTACATCTATGTCAGTTCCATGTCAACTTCAATTGATTGATTTTTCTCCTCTTTACAGGTGGCATTTTCTTGCCTCTTTTCCTGTCTGGTAATATTTGATATGTCCCAGAAATTGTGAATGTTAATTTTCTGGGTCCTGTATATTTTTTTTATTCTTAAAAATATTCTTGAGCTTTTTTGTCTGAGATTCATTTTAGTTACTTGGAAACACTTTGGTTCTCTCAAGTGTTGCTTTGAAGATGTTAGATGGACTGAGGAAATGCTCAGTATAGGGCTGATTTTATCCAATGAGGTTTTCCAGAACATGAGTGCAGATCATATTTCCAGAACTGCATGAGAACTGGACACTTTTACCTATAATCATTTTGGGGAATTATTCCCTTGGCCTCAGATATTTTCTCCATGTGTATGTGTTGGTCAACACTCAGATGAATCCTTGGTGGAACCCTTTTCAAATCTCTGGGGTTCTCTTGGTGCAGCTCGCTCTCTCAAGTATGCTGGCTTAAAAATTCTAGTCCCCTTGTTATCCCTGAATGCTCTGCTTCATGTCTGAATCTCAAAGAGTCCCCTAGCTTTATCTATATTTTTCTTCCCTGCATCATGCATGAAGGGTCTCCAAAAGTAGTTCATTTGGAAAATTGTTATGTTTGCCTTGTTGTTTACTGTCTCAAAGGGATCACTATTCTTTGTCACCTTGTGTCTACTGTCTTGAAAACTGCTGTTTCATTTTCATTAGGCTGATTTTTGTATCAGCTCGGAAGGTAAATTCAATCCCTATCATTCCATTTTGGCTGAAGGAATAAATTCCATTCATGCATTTATTTAATTTCTAATATGTGATATGGACTTGAGTGGACTGGGAAAGAGCAATGAAAAAAAAATAGACAAAAAGTATTGCTTTTAGGCAGCTCACATTTAACATGAAGGGGCCAAACATTTTTGAAAAATATATGTACAATACGTATTTTTTAAAACTTAGATTGTGGTAAGTAACATGTACAAAACCAAAGCTGGGAAGGAAGGTAGGAAGTACTCTCTAGAGACACATTTAAAATAGAGTGATCAGGCTTGGCACAGTGTGGCTCATGCCTGTAATCCCAACAATTTGGGAGGCCGAGGCTGGCAGATCCCTTGAGGCCAGGAGTTCGAGACCAGCCTGGCAAACGTACCAAAACCCCATCTCTACTAAAATTACAAAAATTAGGCAGGAGTGATGGTGTACATCTGTAATCCTAGCTACTTGAGGCATAAGAACCGCTTGAACCCAGGAGGCAGAGGATGCAGTGAGCAGAGACTGTGCCACTACACTACAGCCTGAGCAACACAGCAAGACTCATAAAAAAATAAAAGCAAAGCAAAGAAGAGTGGTCATGGAAAACCATACTGAAAAGACATAGAGGCAGAGAGTAAACAATGTAGGCATCAGGGGGATAAGCTTTTCAGGCAGAAAGAACAACATGTCCAAAGGGCCTGAGCTGGGAGGATACCTGAGAGGAACGGGCTAAAAATATGTCTAAAGCATGTTGATTGAGAAGAAATGATTTGAAAGATGAAATTTGACAGATATGAGAACCAAATATTCAAGAGCCTTGTGGGGTGTCTTAAATCTTTATTCTACATTCAGAGAGTGGAGAACTGCTGGGATATGCCATATGCCTTCACATGTGATTGTTTGGCTTCTCTCATTGTGGTAGAATAAAGCAGGGCAAGATCTGTAAGGAAGGGAAGTCTGAGGTGAGAGGACCCGTTCTTTGGCTGACTTTTGAAATGTAGGTGGGAGGTAGGAGATGACAGTACAACAGAACACAATAATAGCAGTAGAAGCAGTGAAAAAATATTGGTTTCTAGAAATATTTTGAAGAGTAAAACCAAGAAGAGGTTCTGATGGATTTGATATGGGGTATGGAGAGAGAAATTCTAGGATAATTCCAGGGTGTTTGGCCTGAGAAACTGGAGGGATAGGCTGAAGTTACCACAAACAGAGGGAGGAATAGATTGGGGTTGAAGTGATGAGGAGTCTGTGTGCATTTAAAAAAAAAAAGTATTGAGGTAAGAAAGCCCATGGCAATTGTATAAAATGGCCAGGAGCTGAGTTATCTGAATATCTGAATGGCATCAAGATTCATACTGAGCCAGGCGTGGTGACTCATGCCTGTTTCCTAGCCCTTTGGGAGGCCAAGACAGGCAGATCACCTGAGGTCAGGAGTTCAAGACCAGCCTGGCCAACATGGCGAAACCCTGTCTCTACTAAAAATACAAAATTAGCTGGGCGTGGCGGTGCATGCCTTTAATCGCAGCTACTCAGGAGGCTGAGTTAAGGGAATCGCTTGAACCCAGGAGGCGGAGATTGCAGTGAGCCAAGATCGTACCACTGCACTCCATCCTGGGTGACACAGCGAGACTCTATCTTAAAACATAAAAAAAAAAAGAAGATTCACATTGAGATATAATAGTAAAAAAGAAAAAAAATAGGTGTAAAGGTCAGTTTGTGGTCAGATCTCAGGAATCCTTCAATACCAACCGCTATGGTTTCAATGAGTTCCCCATAAGTTCATGTGTTAGAAACTCGGTCCTCAATGCAGCAGTGGTGAAAAGTAGAGCCCTTGGGAAGTGATTGAATCATGAAGGCAATGCCTTCCTGAATGGATTAATTCATTCCATAGATTAGGGAATCAATGGATCAGTGGTTGATCCAGGAAGTGAGTTAGTTATCACAAGAGTGGGTCTGTTACAAAAGCCAGTTTGGCCACCTATCATGAGCTCCCTCACCATGCGATGTCCTGCACCACTTTAGGACTTTGCAGAGTCTCCACAAGGAAGCTGGTCCTGGTCAAATGTGTCCCCTACACCTTGAACTTCCCAGGCTGCAGAACTGTAAGAAATACATTTCTTCTTTTCATAAATTACCTACTCTCAGGTATTCAGTTATAGCAACAGAAGATGGATCAAGACATTTGTAGAGGGTTCCACCAAGGATTCATCAGTTTGTAATTTGTAGAGATTAGAGAGAAACTAGGTAAAGATTTTTGAGAAACTTCAGTGAAAAACATAAAGGTTACCAAAGCTTTACCCAGTGGTTTGGGAACTCTGCAGATACTATTGTAAAGTTAAAATATCAAGCTCAAATAAATACTATGGTAGGAGCATCTCCCTGGATTTTTGAAACTCGAAATAAGGCAATGTGGCATAGTTGTAAAATGCTGAGGAATATGGCTGTGAGCCAAGTTGCTGTATAGTAATCAAAGATGCAGTGATGTATATTGAGCAAAGGTGTCATATAGACTGTGATATACAGAGACATAAGTCACATATGGCAGATGATACTTCAAAGAACATACAAACATGAATACACCCATAGCTCTGTGAGGTAAAGTAATAGATAGCAGAAAAAGCTTTGGATGATAGAAAGTTTTAGTGAACTCCTCATTTCACCATGTCCAGCTAAGATGTTTAGGTAAGGAATATGGTCTCTCAGTGACATAAATGTTTTATCAGTAAAGTCGAGAAAGTATCTCATCTAGCATTTAAAATTAAGTGGAGTCAACAAAACAGTAAATGGCTGTTCCTTCCTCTGCTCTCACGTGTCACCATCCTGCTTATTATTGAGTGAAAATTTTGGGGATGAGTGTGAATGGAGATGAGAAATTTTCAGGGCAGATAATGTAGACAGAGCTCTTAAAGGTACAGAGGAACAGTAAATATAAGAACAGAGAAATGGTAAAGAGTTTCAAATGTTTAGAATAAACAAGATAATGAATAGACAGCCCTTTTATATAAATGGCTTATAAAAATAACTTAAACCTTTCATCCTCTGATATTTTGACTAATATGAATGGCTTCTTCCTGGCATTTCTGCCTGCAGAAATGCTACCCTAGAGAGACTTTGGAAGCCAATGAAAAGCAGGAGACACAGATAACATAATGGTAGCCACTAATACACAGAAAAGATAAAGAAAATAAGATATTTAGATATGGCAAGGAGTCCTGGGAAGCAGCAAAGTCGGTTATATTATTGGAAATGTAGTAAATAGTATTAGGTGAGATTGGAAGGGTGTTTGAAATCAACTAGAAAATGGTATGCTAAGCAAAGTCAACTACTTGTATTAAGTGGAACATAAACATATGAGCAGAAAGTTAATATCTTTTCATTGTCCAAAAAAAAAAAAATGAGCTGGATCATCCTTCTCTGAATGAGCTGGATCATCCTTCTCTGTAGTCTGCATAATTGTTCTTGGAGCTTAGACTCTACAAGACAAGTTGGATACCCTCTTAAAACAATTGCCTTACAGGATGGATGTAGTATTTGAACTATTTGAATGTAGGAATATGATGGCCACAGTCAGTTATAACAACACCTGAAGGTTTAAGTTATATTTAAGCTATTTTTATTTATCTATTTATTTTTTATTTTATTTTATTTTATTTTATTTTATTTTGAAACGGAGTCTCACTCTGTCATCCAGGTGCGAGTGCAATGGCACGATCTCGTCTCACTGCAAACTCCACCTCCTGGGTTCAAGTGATTCTCCTTACTCAGCCTCCTGAGTAGCTGGGATAACAGGTGTGCACCACCATGCCCCGCTAATTTTTGTAGAGACAGGGTTTCACCACGTTGGTCAGGCTGTTCTCAAACTCCTGACCTCATGATCCACCCACCTTGGCCTCCCAAATTGCTGGGATTACAGGTGTGAGCCACCACACCTGGCCTAAGCTATTTTTATTTAAAACAAACAAACAAAAAACAGGAATAAGTCTATTAATTATTTATTCTAAACATTCCAAATTCTTTACCATTTCTGTGCATTTATATTTACTGTTCCCCTGTGCCTTTAAGAGCTCTGTCTATCATTCTCTGCCCGGAAAATTACTTATCTCCATGCACACTCATCCCCGAAGCCCTCACTCATTCACCCAGAAAGTGGATCTGTCCCCTGCATTGAAATTCCAAATCACTTGGTAGGTACGTTTTGTTTAACCCCTCTTTCCTAGCTGACAGCTCTGTGGCTGGGACAGTGGATGAATCTAAACCTCAGTTCTAGCACCATATTGTAATTATTATTTTAGAAATCTCTTTTCCACCTCCAATCACCCTGAGGGTTCTTTTATGGGGGAACTTTATCCTCCTCTGAGTCTTTATCTTTCTGTATTCCCAAGTACACCACAATGCTAGCCAGGTGTGTTCAGTGAATGCATACTGATGGAAATCACCTGCCTATTCTTGCCTATTTCACTTGTCTTCTGCTAAGGCAAGGCTTCAGAGAGCCTAAATGCTGTGGAAACAGGTTTATATAAATACCTCTATAAGAAATGTGCTCTGCCAGAGCTCATAACTGGTTACAGAGTGAATTTTTCAAACTGAAACTTCTTCAAATAATTGCTCTGGAAATCTGTGTTGTCAGGCCATGCTTTAAAGAAAAAAAAAAAGCTTTTCCTCTACCAGATTACATTAACCACCTACATACTGTGGGAAATATCAGTTCAGAAGAGCCTGGTTAGCCCACAATTTTCCTTGCTGTATCACACTTCACATCTTAAATCGTCAGCTTCACCAACATGATGCTCGGGATCGATAAGGTCAGGTAAGAGCTTGTTCTTTTTTAATGTTATTTTAATCTGGTACAGACTAAAGCATTTTTGCCACCATCATGAAGCAAAAGAAACCTGTCTGCTGTGATGTTTTATGTATTTAGACAAATGCAGATTCAGATATATTCACTGATTCATTAAGTAACAAATGAATTACCGTATATTAAATTATTTAATGAGCAGGTACTATGTACCAGACAAATTGTTAAGCAGGGAAGGTGCAGTAACAAAAGGACCCTTGTGTTATCTACCTTCACACACATAGAGTGTATAATACATTTTTAAATAAGGATGTAATGAAAATCAGAAGCCAATATAATCCTTTCATTCCGACCATATTCCCTAAGTTTCCATGCACAATGATATTCACTGGTTTCAACAGCCTCCTGAATAGTGACAACGAAAATGAAATTAAAACATGGCTTTCACTGATGGCAAAATTTAACATGCTGAAATTTATTTCAGATTGAATCAGAATTATTAAATAATTAGAAAATTTTTTCCTTACCAGGAAATGAAAAATAGGGATAATTAGAACTACCACCTGGGCTGGAATCCCAAGATGGGTGACACAGTGGGCAAATTGCCCAGGAGTTACATGAGAATATGTTCCATTTTATATTTTATTTATTTTTCAACATAAAAGTTGACACAAAGGACAAAAGAAGTTTAAAGCATCTGTAAATTTGGACTATTTTCTTTCTACCGTCACTTTTTTATGGTTGTTATTTTTGTCATGGACAGTATCATCTCCAAAGTTGGAGCTTCCAATGCCATGAACCATGCTTACAAAGAAAGCACTTCTTATTGAAGTGAATTCCTGCATTTGATAGCAATATAAGTGCCTATAACCATGTTCTGTAATTTTTATTCTCAGTAACTTTTAAAAGAAAATTTATTTATTTATTTATTTTTAAAAAGGCATTGCATCAGTGAGGACCTGAAAACACCAACAAATGGGTTTAGGCAAATGTGAGAAGTCAGCCACGTGGCTGTTCTCAGTGGGAGCAGTTATCTGATATTACTATATTTTCATTGTCTCCTAAGCCTATGAGAATTTCCTTTAAGTGTTTAGATTTTTTAATCTTTTTTTCCACTTCTTTTTTTATTTTATTTTATTATTATTATACTTTAAGTTTTAGGGTACATGTGCACAACGTGCAGGTTTGTTACATATGTATACATGTGCCATGTTGGTGTGCTGCACCCATTAACTCATCATTTAGCATTAGGTGTATCTCCTAATGCGATCCCTCCCCCATCCCCCCACCCCACAACTGTCCCCAGTGTGTGATGTTCCCCTTCCTGTGTCCATGTGTTCTCATTGTTCAATTCCCACCTATGAGTGAGAACATGCGGTGTTTGGTTTTTTGTTCTTGCGATACTTTGCTGAGAATGATGGTTTCCAGCTTCATCCATGTCCCTACAAAGGACATGAACTCATCATTTTTTATGGCTGCATAGTATTCCATGGTGTATATGTGCCACATTTTCTTAATCCAGTCTATCATTGTTGGACATTTAGGTTGGTTGCAAGTCTTTGCTATTGTGAATAGTGCCACAATAAACATATGTGTGCATGTGTCTTTATAGCAGCATGATTTATAATCCTTTGGAGATATACCCAGTAATGGGATGGCTGGGTCAAATGGTATTTCTAATTCTAGATCCCTGAGGAATCGCCACACCGACTTCCACAATGGTTGAACTAGTTTACAGTCCCACCAACAGTGTAAAAGTGTTCCTATTTCTCCACATCCTCTCCAGCACCTGTTGTTTCCTGACTTTTTAATGATTGCCATTCTAACTGGTGTAAGATGGTATCTCATTGTGTTTTTGATTTGCTTTTCTCTGATGGCCAGTGATGATGAGCATTTTTTCATGTGTTTTTTGGCTGCATAAATGTCTTCTTTTGAGAAGTGTCTGTTCATATCCTTCACCCACTTTTTGATGGAGTTGTTTTTTTCTTGTAAACTTGTTTGAGTTCATTGTAGATTCTGGATATTAGCCCTTTGTCAGATGAGTAGGTTGCGAAAATTTTCTCCCATTGTGTAGGTTGCCTGTTCACTCTGATGGTAGTTTCTTTTGCTGTGCAGAAGCTCTTTAGTTTAATTAGATCCCATTTGTCAATTTTGGCTTTTGTTGCCATTGCTTTTGGTGTTCTAGACATGAAGTCCTTGCCCATGCCTATGTCCTGAATGGTAATGCCTAGGTTTTCTTCTAGGGTTTTTATAATTTTAGGTCTAACGTTTAAGTCTTTAATCCATCTTGAATTAATTTTTGTATAAGGTGTAAGGAAGGGATCCAGTTTCAGCTTTCTCCATATGGCTAGCCAGTTTTCCCAGCACCATTTATTAAATAGGGAATCCTTTCCCCATTGCTTGTTTTTCTCAGGTTTGTCAAAGATCAGATAGTTGTAGATATGCGGCATTATTTCTGAGGGCTCTGTTCTGTTCCATTGGTCTATATCTCTGTTTTGGAACAGTACCATGCTGTTTTGGTTACTGTAGCCTTGTAGTATAGTTTGAAGTCAGGTAGTGTGATGCCTCCAGCTTTGTTATTTTGGCTTAGGATTAACTAGGTGATGCGGGCTCTCTTTTGGTTCCATATGAACTTTAAAGTAGTTTTTTCCAATTCTGTGAAGAAAGTCATTGGTAGCTTGATGGGGATGGCATTGAATCTATAAATTACCTTGGGCAGTATGGCCATTTTCTCAATATTGATTCTTCCTACCCATGAGCATGGAATGTTCTTCCATTTGTTTGTATCCTCTTTTATTTCATTGAGCAGTGGTTTGATGCAGAAAAGGCCTTTGACAAAATTCAACAACCCTTCATGCTAAAAACTCTCAATAAATTAGGTATTGATGGGATATATCTCAAAATAATAAGAGCTATCTATGACAAACCCATAGCCAATATCATACTGAATGGGCAAAAACTGGAAGCATTCCCTTTGAAAACTGGCACAAGACAGGGATGCCCTCTCTCACCATGCCTATTCAACATGGTATTGGAAGTTCTGGCCAGGGCAATCAGGCAGGAGAAGGAAATAAAGGTTATTCAATTAGGAAAAGAGGAAGTCAAATTGTCCCTGTTTGCAGATGACATGATTGTATGTCTAGAAAACCCCATCGTCTCAGCCCAGAATCTCCTCAAGCTGATAAGCAACTTCAGCAAAGTCTCAGGATACAAAATCAATGTACGAAAATCCATGCATTCTTATACACCAATAACAGACAAACAGAAGCCAAATAATGAGTGAACTCCCATTCACAATTGCTTCAAAGAGAATAAAATACCTAGAAATCCAACTTACAAGGGATATGAAGGACCTCTTCTAGATTTTTTAATCTTAAGAGAAAGTTCTTGATTAAAAAATGTAAGTAGACACTGAGGAGGTAAAAGGAAAAACTTCCCAAACCACTCTTCTATTTCCAGACTCAAAACTAGCACTAACTTAAATTGAAAGGCTGACTTCAGTGAGTTCACACCATCTCAGACGTAATTAGTGACAAGATATTTATTAAGTAAAAAAACAAAAGGAAACTTTAAGCCTCCAGGTTCTAACTATGTCTCTGTTCTTCCAGAGCAAAATCTCTCTACCTGGAGTGGAACTATAGGTTCCACAGGGAATGCCTGCACAGAGTATGGAATATCTACCTGGATAATAGAACTTTGTGAAAATAATCAAACCATGAGTTCTTAAGACTAAAGCATCCTTGAGAGTAAGAAATAGAAACCCAACTTTAATTTCTGCTGCAGGGAAGAAAGCAAGCACCTAATGTCTTTTCAGCGAAGCCATAAAAATAATCTACACATAATCACATTGGGAGCAGATGTGAGAAGAATTAACAAATTGGTTACCAAATACTTAAATACTTCCAGACCGCAAAGGTCAGCCAGTACTCTATTTCATTTTAATGCAAGCATATCAAACAGACTAACTGCCATAGTTCCTAGGATTCAAAACTACTCTTCAACAACCAACACAAATCTAATTTTCCACCACCATTTCTTTCCTACTAGAGTAGGAAATATATAATGACATTTTCTAAAATTAAGAAAAAAACAACACAACTCTGGCAATATTTAAACTTTTGTCCCTCAAGTATTTTTTCCCCTAATGACATAATTTCTTATTGAAATCTTCCGACTGTCTTCCTCTATTGCTGGTGTGGTTAGGCTTTGTGTCCCCACCCAAATCTCATCTGGAATTGTAATCCCCATGTATTGAGGGAGGAACCTGGTGGGAGGCAATTAGATCATGAGGTCAGTTTCCCCCATGCTTTTATTGTGATAGTGAGTAAGTTATCATGAGATCTTATGGTTTTATAAGTGTTTGGCAAGTTCTTCCTTTACCACTCATCTCTCTCCTGCCGCCTTGTGAAGATGTATATATTTGCTTCCCCTTCCACCATGATTGTAAGCTTCCCGAGGCCTCCCCAGCCATGTGAAACGGTGAGTCAATTAAACCCTTTTCCTTTGTAAATTACCCAGTCTCGGGTATTTCTTTATAGCAGTGTGAAAATGGATTAATACAATTACAAAATTAGGGTTTAGCATGTTGGAATCTCATTTCAGAGTAAAATGGTAAAATGTTAAAATCGCACTTAGTCGTTGTGTAATAGCCTGGAAAAGCTAGCATTTTGCAGTGATCTCCAGCAATTATAAGTCATTTTTCACACACAAATTTTATATCATTTTCATAATGTCATTCATCCTCATTTGTTATTTATTCATGCTGGTTCCTTCTCCAGATGAGACAAACGAGGCTTAGAAATGCTTGTCATTTGTGTATGCTCTCAACACACTAAGCATCAGAACTGGGGCTGCCAGGCTGGCCTCCCGTATCTCCATGTCAGCGCACATTTGGTTGATCAGGATGTTCCCTTCTGCTTCACCTCCAGAGTAAGGCATACTTGTGAGTGCATCCCCACAGCAGTAACCCCACAAGGTCATAGCAGTCCCTGCTAATTTGTAGACCACTAAATGCAACTTCCGTCTCTTGTGTTCTTCTTTATCCTCTCCTCTTCAGAATGCTTACTTACTCTGCAAATTAATATATTATTAATTTTTGGTTGTAACCATTATCAAAATTATCTTTAGTAGAGATTATGGATTTTTTATGATTTCTAAGAAACAATAAAGTATCATTCATTTAGTAACTTTTCCATCTAAGTTATCTTAGACATTCTTCTCCACTTACACATCCTGCATCCCAATCAACTCTATGTTTTCTAAATGATATGTATATCAGGCTATTTTATAATTGATTCATTTTAGAAAATTCCTTCTCAATTCTTATTGAGGAAATTATAGTTTTAGCATTTACCTATCATTGCTTTTCCTTCCCTCCACACTAACACCCCACACCCATCTTCTTTATCCCTCTAATGTAAATATATTATATAAATGTATCATAACTTCTGGTCAAATCAATATTAGTATCCACATTGTTGACTAGATCAGTATCAATTATACCTGATCCTAGTAATATACTGTGATCATCTTTCCTTTTATGTTCATGTTATGATTTTGTTGGAGATTGTGATGGTTAATACTGAATGTCAACTTGATTGGCTTGAAGGATACAAAGTATTGATCCTGGGTGTGTGTGTGAGGGTGTTGCCAAAGGAGATTAACATTTGAGTCAGTGGACGGGAAAGGCAGACCCACCCTTAATCTGGGTAGGCACAATGTAATCAGCTGCCAGCACTGCTAGAATATAAAGCAGGCAGAAAAATGTGAAAAAAAGAATGGCCTAGCCTCCCAGCCTACATCTTTCTCCTCTGCTGGATGCTTCCTGCCCTTGATCATCGGATTGCAAGTTCTTCGGTTTTGGAACTAGGACTGGCTCTTCTTGCTCCTCAGCCTGCAGATGGCCTATTGTGGGACCTTGTGATCATGTGAGTTAATACTTAATAAACTCATATCTATATATATAGAGATATACACACACATTATGTAATATATACTATTATATATATATATATAATATATATATATATATTCCATTAGTTCTATCTCTCTGGAGACCCCTGATACAGAGATAATTGCTTTTTTATGTAATATATTTATATTTTTTAATTCAACAAGTAAAATTACTTAAAACACAACTAAAATTCCTCTGAAAGCTATTTTTTCACATGACTGACCACATCAGGTAGCCTGTTATTCTCATTATTTGTGTGTTTGTTTGTTTCTTTATTTAATTTTGTATATCACACCTCCCAGAGCCCCCATTCTGCTGCTCCAGTTCAGTCTGATTGCCCTACAACTGCTGTATTCTTGTCATCCAGGAGTTTCCTCTTGTCTCTGTTCCCCATTGGTTTTTTTGTTTGTTTGTTTTAAGAATCTCATGACTTCCTCTTGGCTTAGTTCCTCATTTGCACGTATTATATGTTCCAAAAGAAAAAAAAATAATCCTGAGAATGAGTGCCTACGACTCGTAGTGTTGGAAATATATTCTAAAAGTCCTCTACCTAAACAAAAAATCTAGAAGCATCAGACCTGTATAAAACAAATTTCATTTTAAATCTCAAGCTAAGTTTACTATAAAGCAAAGAAAACTCTTAGCTCAAACAGAGAGAGCTTCTAACAAGCAGTGAGCTCTTAGTGCAAAGAGAGAGAGCTGCTAAAAAGTGGTGCACAGGCTTCATGGCTAAGAGTTTTCTGTAGACATTTATGAATGTTATGAATGTTGTTCTTAGGTTTAGAGACATAGAAGGTTTTAGAATTAAGCAAGGTGAAGAGTTGAACTTGAAATCCCTCTACATCATGCAAGGAATAGGTCTCTACCGACCGAGAAATGGTTGTCTAGAAAAAATAAAATCACCTCAAGACAGGATGGTAAGGATATACATTTGTCTCAGCCTGGGCACTGGATTGGGTTAGGAAAAACATCTTCTTTAGGAATTCCAAAGCACAAGATGCTAAATTGTTACTATGTATTATTAGGATATTTTTTAAATCTCTAAATAAGTAAGTAATTTAAAGTGATCCCAGGTTAATTGCACCAAGACAAGATGAACAGAGTTCATGAAGAAATAAACCACCATGAAGAGTCCCCTGAAAAATTGGCTTAATTAGAATTCTAAGAATTCCAGCGATGAGAGTTATCCCAAAAATATGTAAAATGGTTTTCCTTAAACTGTTAAATGAAATAAAAATATAATAAAGGAAAATTTTAAAACCCCAATACATGTTTAAAAAGAGCTAAGAGGACTTGGAGACATGAAAAGCAATAACATTGAAATTTTTTTTTAATTGAATAGACGAAGCAGCAGATTGCACATGGCTGGAGAGGGATTGTTAAGCTAGGAGACAGATTTAATTAAATACCTTTAATGCATCATAGACAGGCAAATTAAAAAAAAAATAAGAGAAAGGCTAAGTCCCAGTAGGAAAAGATTGATTAAAATATATCTATTCAGAAGTTCAGAAGATGAAAGAAAGGATGGAATTAGGAGGGAGTGCTATATGGGAAAAAAATAGGTTTATAACTTTTACAGTATCTTTTTCTAAAAAAACTCGAATGATCAAGTGCAGAAAGCCAAACAAATTCCAAGTGAGACAAACTGAAATTAATACCTAGAAACACTATATTGAAACTGCTGAACACCAAAGACAATGAGATCTTAAAAGCAGCCAGAATAACAGACAACAAATTACTACAAAGCAATAACAAGCAGAGAAGCAGTGGATCATTAAGAGCAGCAGAATGTGTTCCAAAGGCTGAGGGAACAGAACTGTTAATCTAGAATGGCATGTCTTGTTAAGCTGTTCAGAAATAAGGTAAAGAGAGATATATTCAGAAGCCTCTTCACACTCACACACACAAAAATACCTAGAGAATTAACCATCACAACTTCAGATAAAAGACTTTGAATGTTAATACAAATTATACAAAACTTGCAAATAAAGCAAAGATAAATGTCAGAGAAGCAAGGCAGTTTTCCAACAAGTTTACCTGGGGGTCAGCTGATTCTCTAGGAGAATGTAAGACCATCTGCAAAATTGATTAGGGTTTAGACATTTTGCAGTGAAACTGAAGGTGTGATGATTTTTTGGTTTTGCTCAGCAGGAAGATATCATGAAAGTTATGGTTTTATTATCCTGTAGAATATTAAATGGCTTTGTAACTAACAGCATTCTGGGTTTTTTTTTTTATTTTTTTACCCCCTCCCTCACTCTTACAGCATTTTTAATTTAGCATTCCTTTGTCCTCACTGACTTTATATCCCATTTTCTGAAATTGTCTTTTGAACCAGTCATGTTATTTTGCTGCTAAATAAAACTTTGTCACGCACTATTTTCCAGGATTTTTTTTTCATTTTTGAATAATGCTCTGACAAGACTGTACTTCAAAATAAGAGAAAAGAAACCCAAAAAACAAAAAGAAAAAGCAACTTGTAGGAAAAAAATGTGTAAAACTAAATGTCTATACACGTGAGTAGATCTAAATGTATATTCGCCACTTGAGATTGTAATAAAATATAAATGCTTTAGAAGAAAATGTTTTAAATGGAACTAAACATTGAGAACATTAAGAATAAGATTATCATAATTAGTGAATTTTATGTTTTTTATGTTTTTCAGGAGAGGCTAGAGATATTAATTAACCTAAGATTTTATTATGTGAATATATTATAATTAGGGTAATTATAAAAATGGTTAAAAGGTCCAAATTGTTGGAGAAAAAACACTGAATTTTAAAAGATCAAACTTCAAGCAGTCATAGAAGTAAAAAATGAATATGGAAAAGCATTAAATTGTAAAAGTAATTAGAAAGCGTAATTATAATTATAGAAATCAGTAATTGGAATAAAAGTTAATAGACTCCTTTTAATAGTGGCAGAGGCTGTTGAATTGGATTTTGAAATTTGTTGTTATTTACAAGTCAAAAGCTTAAAACACAAGGGCCTGGAAAAGCACATAGAAGAGTCAAAGACTGGAAAAAATATATCAAGCAAATGCTAACCGAAAGACAGCTAAGATACCTATAGGTAGTTCATAGAAAAAATGGTCAAAGCACGTTACTGTGGATACAGAGAGTCTCTGAATCAGGATAAAACGTATCATCACAAGGAAAATATTAAAATTACTGATATTGGCCAGGCATGGTGGCTTACACCTGTAATCCCAGCACTTTGGGAGGCCAAGGCGGGTGGATCACTTGGGGTCAAGAGTTCGAGACCAGCTTGGCCAACATGGTGAAACTCGGTCTCTACAAAAAAATAAAAAAATAGGCTAGTCATGGTGGCACATGGCTGTAGTTCCCAGCTACTCAGGAGGCTGAGGTGTGAGAATTGCTTGAACCCAGGAGGTGGAGGTTGCACTGCACTCTAGCCTGCGTGATGGAGTGAGACTCTGTTTCAAAAACAACAACAACAACAACAAAAGAAAACAAAACAAAACAAAAACAGTGGCTCACACCTCTAATCCAAGTCCTTTGGGAGGCCAAGGTGGGTGGATCACCTGAAGTCAGGAGTTGGAGACCAACCTGGCCAAAATGGTGAAAACACTGTCTCAACTATAAATACAAAAATTACCCAGGCATGGTGGGGGGCACCTGTAGTCCTAGCTACTTGGGAGGCTGAGACAGAAGAATCGCTTGAACCCAGGAGGCAGAGGTTGCAGTGAGCCAAGATTGCACCACTGCACTCCAGCCTGGGTGACACAGTGAAACTCTGTCTCAAAAAAAAAATATATTGATATTTACCAACTTAATATTCTCGAAATCTATAAAGGAAAAATGACAGAATTCAGTTCTAATAAGATATTTGATTGCAACAATCTGTGGAGTTGATAAATATATCAATTAATACTATGTGAATCTTGAGTTCCCGCTTTTTGTTAAAATAATGTATAATTAGATATGGTAAAATAAAGCATTTTTATTTTTTTAATTATTATTATACTTTAAGTTTTAGGGTACATGTGCACAATGTGCAGGTTAGTTACATATGTATACATGTGCCATGCTGGTGTGCTCCACCCATTAACTCGTCATTTAGCATTAGGTATATCTCCTAATGCTATCCCTCCCCACTCCCCCCACCCCACAACAGTCCCCAGAGTGTGATGTTCCCCTTCCTGTGTCCATGTGTTCTCATTGTTCAATTCCCACCTATGAGTGAGAACATGCGGTGTTTGTTTTTTTGTCCTTGCGATAGTTTGCTGAGAATGATGGTTTCCAGCTTCATCCATATCCCTACAAAGGACATGAACTCATCGTTTTTTATGGCTGCATAGTATTCCATGGTGTATATGTGCCACATTTTCTTAATCCAGTCTATCATTGTTGGACATTTGGGTTGGTTCCAAATCTTTGCTATTGTGAATAATGCCGCAATAAACATACGTGTGCATGTGTCTTTATAGCAGCATGATTTATAGTCCTTTGGGTATATACCCAGTAATGGGATGGATGGGTCAAATGGTATTTCTAGTTCTAGATCCCTGAGGAATCGCCACACTGTATTCCACAATGGTTGAACTAGTTTACAGTCCCACCAACAGTGTAAAAGTGTTCCTATTTATCCACATCCTCTCCAGCACCTGTTGTTTCCTGACTTTTTAATGATTGCCATTCTAACTGGTGTGAGATGGTATCTCATTGTGGTTTTGATTTGCGTTTCTCTGATGGCCAGTGATGGTGAGCATTTTTTTCATGTGTTTTTTGGCTGCATAAATGTCTTCTTTTGACAAGTGTCTGTTCATGTCCTTCGTCCACTTTTTGATGGAGTTGTTTCTTTTTTTCTTGTAAATTTGTTTGAGTTCGTTGTAGATTCTGGATATTAGCCCTTTGTCAGATGAGTAGGTTGCGAAAATTTTCTCCCATTGTGTAGGTTGCCTGTTCACTCTGATGGTAGTTTCTTTTGCTGTGCAGAAGCTCTTTTCTTCTCTGTTCTCCTCTCTCTTCCTCTTCACCCCTTCCTTTCTTCTCTGTTTTCCTTTCTCTTCCTCTTCACTCCCTCTCATCACTTCCCTCCTCTCTTCCACACATCTCTCAAGAAACAAAGTGTCACAGATAAAGCTGAGACTCCACTCATCCTGAGACCCCATTTCTCCAGAGACGTGAACATTATTTTAAAATTGGTGTGCCATACCCCCATAGATAATTATGCAATTTTTCCATATTACCTTGTCACATATTTATTCTTCCATAATTCAATTATGCATTGTTTTGTAAATAGGTATCTTCAGTGACTTTCACACCTATGGATTTGAGATGTATCCTTTCACACCCTGAGTAATTGTGCCCTTGTTTTCAAAAGCAGTATTACATTGAATAGTCTCTTGGGTACATGTGCCTTAAGATTTTCTCTATATTAAATGCTGGAAGTGAAATTGGTCCGCTTTACTAAGGGATGGACAGTTTCAGCATTACTAGGTTTAAAAAAGTGATTGTATCAGCTTACATTTGTATCACAAAATATCGAAAGCTTCTGCATGTGCCTACACCCTGAATACATTTGAAATTATCAGACATTAATTTAAACATCATTTGGGTACAATTTTTAATTTTTAATTTAATTTGTGATTTTTCTTGTTATAAGTGAGATTGAGCATACATCTTTGTTCAAAAGTTGTTTATTGCCTATTTCTGTTTCTTTCTTTATATATTACTTGTTGCGCTTTTTTGGGAGGGAGTTTTTCTTTCTTATTGATTTGCAAAATTATTTATATATTGTGATTACTAAACTTGTCTATGCATATAACAAGCCTCTTTTCCAGTCTGTGGCTTTTAAGTTTCATGATATGTTAGCTGCCTAGCAGTTTATGACTATTTATGGTTTCAGGTAATCAAAATATTAATCTATTACTGTATAAATTATAATTTTTTTCTTTAAAAATAAGTTCTTATCCTGATATAGCAATAAACAAAGCCTCTGTATCATCTTTCAAGAGTTTTACAATTTTGCTTTTCACATTCTCTTTAATACAGATGAAATATGTTTGTATGTCTGGAGTGACATGAGAATTTTGTCTAACTTTCTATTTAAATAGTCCGTCATTTATGCACTATTTATGAATCCCCATCCCCTCTGACATGACTTTGAATGTTATTAGTAATTAACATAGCAAGTTCTCAAACATATTGAAGTTTTCAAAACTCCAGTTTGCTTATTTGCTCTACTTTTCTATACTTGTGCAAATAACAGCTTGCTTTATTTAGTTTTAACAAGTTGAAACCTGGTGAGCCATAGCCTCTTTCCTCTTTCTCCTCCTTAAGGGTTCATCTATTTTTAGTCTCTTACTTTCGTATTTGAATTTTATAATCAGCTTCTCAGGTTTCATGAGACACATTTTTGAGATTTTGATTGAAACTGAAATGCATGCATAGATTAATTAGTGGATAATTGCCATGTTTATAATATTGAGATCTTCCTTCTAAGAAAATGACCTAACTCTTCATTTATTTAGGTCTTTTGTCTTTTTATTATAGTTTGGATGCTATTATAAATGGTGTGGGGTAGTTGTTTATTGCTTGTTCATAGAATTGCAAGAGATCTTTATATATTGTTCTTGTCTCCACCAAATCTGCAAAATTACTTTATTATAACAAATTACTGCAAGCAGAGTGGTTTGAGAGAACAGAAGCTTATTATCTCACAGTTTTCATAAATCAGCAGTCCAGGTACAGGTTAGCTGGGTACTTGCTCAGGGTCTGACCAGGCTGAAATCAAGGTATTGGTGAGGGCCGTGATCTCAACTGAGGCCTGCTGCCTCTGCCCAGCTCAGTGGTTGTTAGTGAGATTCATTTATGTGTGGTTAGAAGACTGATATCCCATTGTCTTCCTAGTTGTAGCCTTGGGACCACTTTCACCTCCAGAGGTTTAGTTACTCCAGGCCAGCAGGACACTCCTTTAAGACCCAATCTGATAAGATTAAGTTCACAGGATGGTGTGACTTTCCATTAACTTAGTCAACTGATCAGGTGCATTAGTTACATCTGCAAAATACTGCCTCATGGCCATATAGTGTTACATAAGCATACGAAAGATACCCCATCATACTCACAGGATGAACTCAGATTCAAGGGGAGGAAATAAAATAAGGTGAGAATCTTGGGGGCCAGCTTAAAATTCTGTCTATCGCACTTGCCTAAGTTTAGGAATATTTTTACTGGATTCATAAGCGAGATTGGTATATCATTTTCCATTGTATATTCACCTTATGTGTTTGGAATATAAACTTAAACCTAGTCATTACTGTGTTGGGGAGTATTACCTCTTGCTTTATTCTCTAGACATATACTTAAATATAAGCATCTCTGTTCAACATTTTTAAAGTACTGCTCCAGCTGCAATCAATCACTTTCCTTTCTTCCCTACATTGATCTTCTAGCTTTCTGAATATCAGATCTAAATTGGTAGGAATGATAGAAATACTATTCCAAACTCTCAGCTTCATCAGTCACTGACTCTCCCTAAGGAAACAGTATACACTGTCTCCTCTAAGGAAACAGTATACATGTGTAATGTAGCATAGAGATCATGGAGTAAGTAGTTGGGAGAGTAGGTTTTAGTTTTAAATTTACCATTGCCCACCATTATATTGTCGTTAATTAAATCTCTTTCTAATTCCTGTTGGGAGGCAATTTTCAATGAATATTTTCAGGTTTCTGCATGCTACAAGCTTTCTAAGGCAAAAAAGACTTCCAATGTTTGTTAAACAATGAATGACAAGCACGCCTTGGAGGTTAAAGGTAGTGCAGGATCCAGAGAGATTCAGAGACTTTATCGTGCCTAGAGCCATTTACTTAACATTCCAAGGCAGAGACTTTTTCCTCCCTTTCCCCAAAGAGGATTTGCTTCAGTTCCAGCTAACACCTCTGTAGGGAGAGGATTTGCCAAAGTGCCAGCCTTCTCATATAAGCTCTGATCTCATAATATTAAGGTTCCTCTCATGTAGTGCATCCCCCACTACATATGCAGGTGAACATCTGACTTTTACCTTGTGGGGAATGAGGCCTGGGAACCAGATGCAGAGATATTCTGAGTAACAGTTGCCCTGTTCTTTGATTCAGAGTTCTTGTGTTTCCTGTTAGAATACGAATAAATACATATACAAAAATTCTCAAGCTTTTACAGGAGTAAGAGGGCTGTTAGAGTCCAGCCTGTAGCACAGTTTTCCTTTCCTAATGAGACAGATGAGGTTAGGTTTATGAATATAAAAGGAATTTTACAAAGTTAGGACAAGATATACACATCAAAGTTGGAGAGGTAGTGATTGTTTTTATATGCCTACTGGTTAGACAGTATTTAAGAAGGTAGGTGTCAATTATTCAAATGTGCTCATTTACGTACTTCCTTTTCTTCCACAATAATGCTTATCCATGTAAACCACTGTATCCCTATATGATACAGAGACCAAGACAGAAGGAGTTTCTCACTTCCATTCAGTTTCTAGTCATGTTGTAAGGCAAAAACTAGATTGTAGGAAGGAAAGGAAGAAAGTCCCTGCAAAGCTTAACAACAGCAACAACAACAACGACAACATACTAACTGAAAAGCTCATAGTTATCACTTACATAAGAAGAGAGTTTCAGAAGCGAAGGGGTAGGTAGAGAATCACTCACAATTTTGATATCGCTCTCCAGAAACTCTTCTCTGCTTTCCCTGCCCATCGCCCCAAGATACCTCTGCAACTTTGGTACTTTGATGCTGGTGAACTTGCCTGTGTTCACCAGTAGACTATAAAATCCATGAGTAAGGGCTAAGCCTTTCTTGATCACTCATGACCTAGCCTCATGACTGACCATCTGTAACTATTTTCAGAAGGGAAGGAAGACAGTAAAGAAGTAAAATAGATGAAAAGAAAAATGAGGAAAGGGAAGGATGCAAGCATTTATACTTTCAGTTACATGGACCAAGATGCTAGGTAAAAGGAAAACCATGGATATGGTTATCGAAAGCTTTTTTTATTAGTCCATTATTATATTGCTGTTAAGAAATACCTGAGCCTGAGTAATTTATAAAGAAAAGAGGTTTAATGGGCTCACAGTTCTACAGGCTGTACAGGAAGCATGATACTGGCATCTGCTTGGCTTCTGTGAGGCCTTAGGAAACTTACAATCAGGGCAGAAGGCAAAGGGGGAGCATACACTTCACGTGGCTGGAGTAGGAACAAGAGAGAGAGTGAGCAGGGGAAGGTGCTACATACATTTGAACAACCAGATCTTGGCAGAACTCACTCACTCTCAGGAGAAGAACACCAAAGGGATGGCACTAAATCATTCACAAGAAACACCTCTTGATCCAGTCACCTCCCAGACTCCACTCCCAACATTGAGGAATATAACTCGACATGAGATTTGGGCAGCTATATCACTTTCACACACATCTCTTGAATTTTTTAAAAAGGCTTCATACATTATTCTCTTTTTTTTTCTCAGTTACGTGGCCGGGAGACCTCCTTCTTCTGAAATCACCAGTTGCCAAGGTTCTGCATGTGGAACCTACCTCATTAAATGCTGTCAGTGACATGCACTGATTATTTTCTTCCATCCTTTCAACAAATCTATGTCACTTTTTTATGCTGAGTAGAGAGTTATTACTGATATTTCTCATGTTCTCTTCAAAGTCTTGTTTGACACTGAATATATGAACAAAATCGTGATTTGAAGGTTTGACGATGTAGCAGAAAAAGAACTACTGACAAGAATTTTGGAGTTTGAGCAATGAGTACAATATTTTAAGTGTTTTGGATTCTATGTTCCCATCCACCAGTGCTTAACTCCTAGCACTGAGTCCAATTTTTTTTTGTCATTTCCTAACTAATAGTTATAGCTGAGCCAAATCAACAGTATATTACTTAGAGAAGTAAATTTACATTTTTCTTTTTCTATTTTTTCTCTTCTGAACATCTTATCCTAAATATATTGTTTTAGCCTGACATAAAGCTTATTTTGCTACCCAAGTTATTATATAGAATTGAGCTTTATGGTTTGGTTTGCTAAACCCATAGTTGAAAACTAAACATTTCTCAAAAAAAATAGATAGGAATATCATTTATTGAACATGGCCAAGAAATTTATTTTTAATAACTGAACCACAGATGGGATGCCATCTGTCAGCATATGGCATTGGCTCTTAAAGCAATGTTTACATCTGGGGGATATGACGCTTTCTTTGAGAGAACAAGAGGCATTATTGGACTAAACATGAAGAGGAGTGATTTTAGACTCATGAATATTGTAAGTTTGCTAAGGATAGAATCAGCATGTTTATATGCATACAGTTTTCGTACATTTGGGTGGATAAAAAGAGAGAAAATCTGTTCATTGAAATTCTGTTATGATAATGAAAATAATTATAATTTTGAAGTTGTTGGGGTTTTGTTCTCCTGTGATAGACAAAACTGTTATAAGAGATGACCGGATCACCACATATGAGTGCTTTTATATACTCCATTTCACTCTATAAAGTTCCCTATAAAGTTACTAATTTATTATTTTAGTTTCTTGAAATCTCAACCATCAGCTTAATTTTATTCAGAAATTTACGCAGAAGACGAATTTTTGTTTCTTAATTTTCAAAAACTTCAAAAACTTATCTGGCGTAGTTTTCTTGTTTTACTATGTATAAATGTTCTTATTTTTAATCAACTTTACATTTTTAAACATAAAATCAGAAAAATATTTTCTTATTTTTATTATAAAAGCTCTAACCTGATATAATTTTTAATTACCATACACTTGTAAGGAAATGGTGTTTTGTTTATATGCAACTAACTCTCTGGTTGCAAGCAACCTGAATAAATTCTGATTAATACTACCTTTTCCATTGTTAGTTCAAAACAAATTCAAAACAGAGCTTCTCTTTTCTTTCACCTAGTATGACAAAGACTCAATACCTTTACTTGCAAAACTATACAAATTGCAAAATTCTAGTGAATGGAGATTGTGAACAAATATTTAATAATAATTCAAAAAGCAATAATCACAACTACTGTTTTAAAATATTCTCTATGTAGCAATACTTAGGGGATTTATAGGCATTCTCTTGAATCTTGAAAGTAACTCTACAAAATTATAATTTTTCCCTAGTTACAGTTGAGGAAAAAAATGTGTTTAATGAAATTAAGTAATAGGACTAAGACCAGGGAACTGTAGTAAGCCGTATCAGCTTAAAGACACTCTTCTACTATATATATAATGCTACTTCCCTGTATGGCAAAATGCTGCTGGTAGACAAACATAAAACATTTATTGATTCTTGAAAGGAGAAAAAGATTAACTGCACCACTAATTACAACATAAATTAAAATTACAATGAAGTACCAATTTCATTATATATAAATCTGAACTTTTGTAAGTTTAACTACTAGTCTTCTCAAAAATTAGAGAAATGGTTAAAATCATATACTTATAATCTGGTTGTGCATATATAATGGGTTTTGGAAAGACTGAGTAAGATTTCTAAAGTGTTCATAGCTTTTGATCTATTACTCCACATCTATAGTTTTTATTTTAATAAAATAGTTAAAATATTAAGAAACTTAAATTTACAGAAACATTCTCTGTAGCAGAATACATCTAGGAAGACAAAGGTGATAAGATAAGTCATCTTCAGTATAAAGATGGTAAAATCTCATTATGTAATACATACTTAACAATTTTCCTGATGTAAGCCTTATATTAAAGAGAAAATTCTAAAAATACAGCAACAAGGATGAGACATGCTATTAGGGTCTCTTGTATCTATCTGTATCCTTTCTTAGAAAAGTTTCTTATTGAATTTCTGAAATGCAGTTTCCCCGTTTGTAAGATGAAGACAGTAATAGAAATACTTTCATGGGACTGATGCAAATAAAAATTATTTAACATATTTAAGGTATTTAGATCACTATTTAGAACATAAATGCTCAGTACATGCTAGGTATTGTGGGATTTTTAATTATATAGAGTTAAGTAAAGAATAGAAAATGTGATCAATATTGTGATCAAAGGTATTACAGAAATACATATGAGCAAGTAGGCAAAAACAAAAGTCTGATTCGTTTGGTAATTATGGTGAATATTTGTTTTTCCCTTGGATTTCAATGACAACTCTAATTATATGTATTAATATTTTTTAATTCAAAAACTTCTATTCCTAACCATTACTCTTAAAAGAAAATACTTGGGGAAAAGGATTGTGACTATTCAAAAAAGAAAAATTGAAAACCATTGGACTATTTTTCAGATATTATTTTTAGTAAAAGGATGAAATTTCCAAAGTGAAAAGAGAAAACAAAACTGAAAAAAAAAATTCTTTTTTGTTAACTGTATGCTCAGCACATAGCGGTAGGTACCATACATTCAATTCTACCTTCAAAATGAAAGTGAAATATATGTACCGATTATCCTACATCATGACTTTTGAATTCAGAAAACTAACTTTGTCTCAAAAAGTTATATTAAATGCTATCTAGGGTATGTATGTGAATATGTTCATGCATAGGCACTTATGCTATCAATGAGTTGAGAATTGACTACACTTATATTGCTAAAGAGTCGTAAATTGGCAACATATTTTTTTCTTGCTCACAAATTCACTTAAACCACATGATAGGATAATGCAGACACATTTTTAATACCAAATTTCATTAGGACCTTTGAGTAATTTCTCTGTATCAAGGGTTACCAAGTGGCTCCGCTCTAGGTGTCGGCTATATCAGAATCATATAGGAGCACTTGCTACAAATAGACTCTTTGGTCCCTATTGCATCAGTCAGAGACTATATCCCAGGAATGTATATTTCTAACATAGAAGGAAATTGAGAACAATAACGAGTAGGGCAAATTACTATAACTGCTTCATGCCCAGGTTCTTCCGTCAAATCCAAATTTAATTAGCATGAAATAAGATATTCATAATCTGTTAGATAAAATTTCTAATTTTATAAGGTTATTTCTCTCTTTTTATCAGATGTTCTGTTGCAGAGAACAGATTCCATTCTAACTAGTTTGAACAGAAAAAAAAAGACTTATTACTTGATATTGAATAACTTTCAAAATTACTGAGAAGGAGCATGAGACAGAAAAGAGGTTGAGCATCTAGAAACAACCCTGAAGGTAACAGTATAAATCTAGAACAGCATGGGAGTTTCTGCCCCTCCCAACATTAGGGGTGTGAGATGGAAGCTGCTCTGTCAGAGCACTAACATGACAGCTTCCAGCTCCCGAGCCAATTATAACTATCCATGTCCGCAAGCCATGTAAGCAAGATAGATACTTCATGATCCGCTTCCCACCCTCTCTGTGTTGACACAGTTACATTTTCAAATATGATGAGTGTTCTGGATTAGTGGAAATTTAATGATATTCAAAAACTTGGTGAAAATTAGTCTGAGGAAAATTTAGCTTTCTAGTCTCTTCAGCCCAAGAAACTACACTAGAAAGGAAGTTGAGAACAGTAATGAATGGAGCAAATTATTATACCTGCTACAATATCCAGGTTATTTAGTTGAATACAAATTTAATTAGATTGAGGTAAGATTGTTCCTAAAAATGTTACATTTCATACCACGTATTATTTTCTGTTTTTGCTGACTGATGCCATTTTTTCCTATTGAAGTAATTTCTCATTCCTCTGAGTTATCAATCACTTAATCTGGACCTCCCTATCAGCATGTATCACTTTCTACCATGTACTCCAGATATCAATTATCTTCCCTACTATTGCAGAAAAAAAATCCATAAATTCCTTTCAGTCAGAATTGATTGTGAATTCTCAAATTTAGTGTAGTCCTTTGCAAAAGAAGATGGCTGTTCCCAAGAATCAGCTTCTCCGAAAGGCAAGTTTAATGATCTTGATATTTATACTGCTATAATTTTGAATAAATAAGGGAAATGTTTAGACTTTCTTCCCAATTGTTGTCAGGCATTATAGAACTAGGTTTTTTATATAACTTGGATATATTTGGATTAGATCTACTATATATATATATATATATATATATATAGCCATATATATATAGCCATATATATATATATATATATATATATATATATATATATATATAGTCAGTCCCCTGCCAAACTTTACTATCCTATTATAACATTGGATGCAAAGTTAGCAACAGTCAATTTTGCAGTGGAGATCAAGTGCTGCACTTCCCAAAATACATGTCTCTTTCTTCCAGCGACAGCAGATCTTCACATTTCTCTCTACTCAGTTTGTATTCCATTGGCCACTATTATAACTATTCATTTGCATGCACCTACCTGCCACCACTAAACTCTCAAGTCTTCATACCTAGGAAAACTTGCTGTTGGATAAATCTAACATTTTACCCGCTGTACACCTGCATTCTCCTGGCTGAAAGTGCCTGAAAGGAAACAACCAACAGTGCTCTTTCATGTATTTCTGATTGTGAACCCAAGAGGGCTTTTAATGGATTCCCAACAATACTGATCTATTTGCTGAAATCATTCATTCTCCCACTTTCTCATTAACAATTTCATACTGTTTTCTCTCTCCTACAACTCACCAGTTTATATTGCCCCTTCCTCATTATCGCTTAATGACTGTTTCCTATGACAATGTCAGAAGAGACACCACAAAAAACCACCAGGCTCCCAACCACACATGCACCTATTTATCTAAGCCTGAGCCTATATATTCTTCTTTGTCCTTCTTGCATATTAACCAAGACCAACTCCTTGGTGGTATCTCATTGCCTGTTAATTATTCCCCTCTCTGCAGAATCATCAAATTTTCTCTCTATTGGATTTTTATAAGCAGAAGACTTATCATTTTGGCCATCTTATTTAAAAAACCTTCTCATGATACCCCTTTTCTCTTTGACAATTTCCTGCTCCTCTTTATGAAAATCTTCTTAAAACTGTGGTTTATGTGCATGATTAGAATTCCTCTCTCCCATTGCTCCTTGAAATCCCTGCAAATGCAATTTTACTCCCACATTTCTACTATAATTGCTTATTCATCATTACCAATGACCTACACTTTGCTAAATCCAATGGTCAATCTTACTGAACCTATCAGAAGTATTCAGCTGAGGTGGTTATTCCCACTTTCTGAATCACCTTCTTCATTTAGAATCTGAGACATCATGCTTTCTTGTTTCTCCTTCCACATCACAAGCCACTTCACAATCTGCTTTGTCTGTTCCTTCTCATGAACCCAATTTCTCACTGTTAGGATTTCTAGGCCTCAGTTCTCATTCTCCCCCTTTTCTAACTATATCCACTGTCTACAGGATCTTATCCTGTCTCCTGGCTTAATTAGCACATATCTGCCAGCAACTCACAAGTGCTTAACTCCACCAAGTCCTCTGCCATGTAGTCCAGACTAATATATTCAACAATCTCACTTGACCTCTCCACTTGAATTGTTAATACCATTTCAGAAGTATCATGTTTAAAATTAGGATCCAGCTCTTCTCTCCAAAGCCTGCCTTTTCTACAATATTCTCCATCTCAGTAAATAGCAAACCTATTTTTTCAAGTTGGTTATGGAAAAAAACCTTGGAATCATCCTTTACCCTTCTTTTGACACACACGTCTTGTATCTGTCAGCAAGTCCTGTGAGCTCTGCTTTCAAAATATATCCCGTATCACATTACTTTTCCACACCTCTACCAATAACACTCCAGGCAAAGGTGTTATTTGTCAAAATGATCTCTTGCCTGGATTATGTGAGTAGTCTCTAAATTGATCCATCTATTCCCTTATCCGTCTACACTCAATGATTTGCACAATTGCAACAATAATTATTTTAAAAGATAAGTCAAAACATGCCATCCCTTGTCCCAAAACATTCCTCTGTCTCCTATTTCACTCATAGTAAAAGCTCAGAGTAAAGTACTTGTCTCTTCTCTACCACTCAAAGAGGGATGAGCACATACCAGGCTGAATTCAAAGTTGAGCTATCAGCATACTAGTGTGCTTTAAATTATGTTATATAAGAAACAGCTCATCCACGTATTAATTCATTCAATAAATAATTATTTAATTAGTTCTTACTGTGGAGAAGCATATTAGGTACTGAGGATGTATTATTAAGCAAAAGTAGCAGGAACTTCACCTTTCGAAGCTATCAAAACATATACAAATAACTATGCAGATATATCATTACAAATTAAGAAAAGGCTAAGCAGGAAAAAATCCAAGAGTCTTTGAAGACACATAGTAGGGGAACCTGACCTAGTCTGTGGAATCCAAAAAATTTTCACTGAGAAAGTGGTATTGTAACTGAGAATTAAAGAGAGATGACTAAGAGCTAACTAGATGAATTAGGTGGTGGAGTAAAGAAAGGGAAACGAACAAATTATGCAAATGTAGACAGACTCACTGGAGGAAGGATGTGTCTCTTGAGCACATATGAAAAATCGGATTACAGTTTCAAAGTAATTCCAGGCTTTGTAAGCCATATTAAGAACATCTTGGCCAGGCGCAGTGGCTCTTGCCTGTAACCCCATGGCTTTGGGAGGCTGAGGCGGGTGGATCGCGAGGTCAGGAGTTCGAGACCAGCCTGACCAGCATGTTGAAACCCCATCTCTACTAAAAATACAAAAAAATTAGCCAGGCATGGTGGCAGGAGCCTGTAATCCCAGCTACTCAGGAGGCTGAGGCAGGAGAATTGCTTAAACCTGGGAGGCAGAGGTTGCAGTGAGCTGACACCACGCCACTGCACTCCAGCCTGAACAACAGAGCAAAACTCCATCTCTAAACAAACTAACAAACAAACAAAAAAAGAACATCTTAAGAGCAGCAGGAAGACTTTGAAGGATATATGGTAGGCCCTTTTATCTGTGATTTCACTTTCCACAGTTTCAGTTACCTGCAGTCAAACACATCTGAAAACAAGTGAGTACAATACAGTAAGATATTAAGAGAGAGACTACATTTGCATAACTTTTATTATAGTATATTATTATAATTGTTCTATTTATTTACTAGTTGTTGTTAAACTCACACTTGCCTAATTTATAGATTAAACTTCACCATAGTTATGTATGTATAGGAAAAATCATAGTATATTCGAGGTTTAGTACCATCTCTGATTTCTAGCATCTGCTGGGGGTCTTGTATCCTTTGTGGCTAAGGGAGGGCCACTGTAGTCTGATAAAGGAATAATGTTCCAGTTCTAGAGGTGAAGCTAGAGGCAGATTTTTTAATCCTTCTAATGAACTTCTATGTATACATGACCAATTCACTACAAATGTTGCATTGCTTCAGATACACTTGCATGCAAGTAACAGAAATCCTGAAATTCTGTCATACATAATAGGAAATTCAGAGGTGGAGTGGGCTGAAAGATGAATTAACTGAGTGATTCAAAATTTTATTAGGAAAAACCCCTCACTTTATCATTCTGCTCTGCTACCCTCAGTGTTAGCTTAATCATGAAGCTGGCAAAAAGATGGCCGCTGGCCTCGCATTCAGTCAAGACCCCATACACTTGTTCTTCTAGCCTTCTCTTGGGAATGATTACATAATTCTCAGAAGCTTCTTAGCAGACTTCTCCTTATCTACAGAAAGCCACAGTTCAGTCACATGAACATTCCTCACCCAATCGAAAAGAAGTGAAATTATCGTTAACTGGCTGAGACTAATCAAAGGGTAGAATAGATGCTGGGAGTCTGTCACAATGACCGCTACCTGTAAGCAGAGTACAAGTAAGGCTGAAGACCACCTTCCATCCACAGAGACACAGTGGAAAGCAAGTGGAGGGACTCAGTAAAGGGATGTATTAAGGGTTGGAGTTTCTCATCATCCCAGGCAACTTTCACATACACCAATAGCAGAAAGGGATGCGTTGATTCATCCCTACCATCTAGAGATCACAAGATCTGCCTTGCCTCACTTAATTCCATGTGAATTACATGTGAGTGTAATGAGATACCTTGAGTGCTCATCCTGTTGCTTCAGATTGTTTGCAGAAAAAGCATTCAGACTTTTTCTTTGTGGGATGATACAGAACTGACTAATTTAGGGAGTGGAGCATGGCCAAGCCTTTAGGTACTTGGTTGACCAGGCAGGCACAAGTCATGCAAAAGTCCTTTAAAATACACAGATAAAAATAAAATATACATTTACATTTTGAACATAATATAAGTGCCAACTGTTATGGACAGAATTGTATCCCCTCAAAATTTATATGTAAAAGTGCCAACCTCCAATGTGACTGTATTTGGAGATAGGGCCTTTATAGAAGTTATTAAGGTTAAATGAAGTCATACAATGGGACCCTAATTCAATAGGATTAGTGCCCTTATAAGAAGAAGAAAGGCCAGGGCCACCAGAGCTCTCGCTGCATGAGTACAAAGGAAATGCCATGTGAGGACAAAGTAATAAAGTGAAAATTCACAAGCCAGAAAGTGAGTCTTTACCAGAAATCAAATTTGTTGGCACCTTGATGGTGGACTTCTAGCTTCTAGAACTGTGTTTAAGCCACGTAATCCATGAAATTGTATTATAGCAGCCCAAAGTTTTCTAATACATCAACTTTCAAACAATTGAAGCATAAAGTCCACTAGCTAGATTTAAATCTGCTGCCTACAGATCTGAGCTACTTTGGGAGATAAACTAATGACTAAAGAAAATGTCATTACAAAGAGGCATTTGGTTGAAGAATTCCAGAGAAAGATTGCCTTATGATTCACATATGAAAATAATGCATTTTATTCACAAGGGAAAAAAACTGTTTTATGCTACTTTTGAAGATGACTTTGATTGTTCTTTTGTAAATGGATTGCTTTGTGGAAGGAAGGGAAGAAAAAAATAAGACAAATTAGATTATTGGGGAAACACAGGCAATAAGCAATGGTGGAAAGTTTCACTTCTGATTAAGATGTAGTAGAACGTGGAAGACCATAGGACCTGTGTTAACAACAAGGAAAAAAACTAACAAAATAGCATACTTTCCTGTAAATCTATTGTAGAGCAGTTGATTCAAAGAATCTGTAATAAGTTAAGGCCAAAAAGAGATGAAACATCTATAGGCAGACAAAGAGGCTAGGCATGGTGGCTCACGTCTATAATCCCAGCACTTTGGGAAGCTGGGGCAGGCAGATCACTTGAGGTCAGGAGTTCGAGACCAGCCTGGCCAACATGGTGAAACCCCATCTCTAATAAAAATACAAAAAATCTGCTGGATGTAATGGTGGGCACCTGTAATCCCAGCTACTCAGGAGGCCAAGGCAGGATAATCACTTGAACCCAGGAGGCTGAGGTTGCAGTGAGCTGTGATGGGCAACAGGGCAAGACTCCATTAAAAAATTCTCTATAGGTGGACAAAGAAGTGCAGATCTTCAAGAACTAGGGACAAGTGTCTCTTGTGAGTGTGGCTGTGCCCATGAGAGGCCCACCTTAGACAGGGAGACTTTACAATGACAAAGAAAAAACAAATGAGCTTTTCATGTCAGTATGGCTAGAAAGATAGATTAAAAATATGTGAGAGACCCAAATACAAAAGTAAATATTTCATCTTGGCAATTCCTTCAGCTAGAAATTTTGATGAAGAATACCAGAGAAAGCAGCAGTATTAGCAATGGATATGGGCTGGAAAACAGTGTTTGCATAGTCTCACTCAGTTTGTTCAGATTCAAGGGCTCTGCTGAAGGAGAATATACAAGTGAGCCAAAAACAACTAAATCTAGAACCCAAACCACTCCTAGCTCAAATCCTGAAAAGATCGAGGGATTAGACCCTCTGTGGCTACTGCTCTGAAAGCTGAGGGTAGGGCTAAAGGGTAAAGTGCAATCTCCACAATCCCATTGGAAATCAATGGTGAACACAATATAATTAAAACTTCAAGCTAGTTCTTGGTAAAATCTAATAGGGCAACTCTTCACCTTAGGTACCTGATGAAAGAAAGGGCTTTCAAACTGTAGGAGATAGAGATGGAGAGATAAAAATTTAATATCCATTTTTCCTTTAGATATACTGTATGCCATGTGGTCATGTGAAGGGATTATGAAGAAGTAGGAAAATATGGCCTATAACTAACGGCAAAATTAATCAATAGAAGCAAAATCGCAGATACTTCAGATCATGTAATTAGTCATCAAAGATTTTAAGAAAACTATTATAGAAATGTTAAATGTTTACTGTAAGATGGAAAGAATGGCTGCGGATATGAAATATTTAGAAGAGATATCAAATAGATAATAGAAAATCAAATTGATATTTCTAACTGAAAAGAACAACATAGGAAACAAAAATGAATTAGTTTGTTTTAGAAACAAATGAACAAGGCAGAAGGAATAATTGGTAAACATAAAAAGAGATTAATAGTAATTATCCAAATAAAAGTACATGAAGAATATAAGATTGGGGGAAAATGAACAAAGGATAAGATTTATTTTTTAAAAAATATTACATTAGCAAACATACATGTATGTAATTTGAGTTCTAGAAAGTGAGAACATAAAGAATGAGCAAGAAAACTATTTGAAGAAATAATGACGAAAAACTTGCAAAATTTGACCCAAAACCTTAACTTACAGACCCAAAGCCTAAGGAAACACAAAGGAAAATCAGAACAAAGAAGTTCATACCTAGGTACATCATAGTCAAACTTTGGAAAACAAATATAAAAAGTCTAAAAGCAGCTACCAGATAAATAAGACACAGTGCATACAGAGCGGGGGGAACCAGACGGCAAGGGAACAACATCTTTTAAAGTGTTGAAAGATCAACTTAGAATTCCATACCTAGTGAAAATATACTTCAAAATGAGGATGGAAGAAAGAAATATTCAGATAAAAATAAGTAGATATGATTCACTTCCAGTAAACCAACACTGCAACAAATGCTAAAGGAAGGCTTTTAGGCTGAAGTAAATTGCAAATGAAAACTAATGTCTAGAATAAGGAAAAACAATAGTGGTTAATATGTGGGAAAATATAAATACTTTTTAAAATAAGATTTTAGATAGACTGTTGGCTTTTAAAGTTAAAAAATATATTGTGTAGTTTATAACACAGAGAAGTAAGATACATGAAAGTAACAAGACGAAGAATGGAGAAATAAATAGAATTATCCTGTCACAAGTTCTCACTTTATTTGTGAATTGCCATTATGTTAACTGACAATAAATAGTGATAAGTTAATAATGCACATTATGATTGCTAGAACTAATAAAAGTAAAATAGCTAAATACATAAATTTTATATAAATAAAATATATATATATGAATATATACAAATATCATAACTAAAAAGTTAAAAGCCAGAATAAACTGAAAACGAAAAATAATTCAGACAAGGTTGTAATAGTGACACAATGCATTTGTCAAACACATAAAACTTTGTAGTACAAAGAGTATATGCAAATTTAGAAAAGTATCATTGAAGAAGCTAGACAGTCCCTGGAAGACTATAGAATGTAATAACAAAAAAAACCAAACTATATTACAAATGTATGAAACGATCATACATTGTTACTCAGGTGCTGACCTAAGTAACTTTAGAAATGAATGCAATCTGCATAATAACAATTTTTATAACCCATACATAAGCATCATATTCTAGTTGATAAAGTTATCACCCTCTAGGATATAAATAGCAAGATGATAAAATTAAACCTAACTGTGCCAAAATTTATCTCTATGGTAAATGGATAAAATACATTCATTAAAAGGCAGAGATAACAATCTTATAAGTTACTATTAAAAAGAATAAAAACAAGCAATTGCATAATGTCTAAAAAGATGCACTTTACATATGAAGACTTAAACAGTCTAAAAGTAAAAGGATAGAAACAGATATATCATGCACATCCTCATCATAATGAAATGGGAGAGTTCCCTGCTTCCCCTCTCAGAACATGCGACAGGAGTGTGGCTCACCTGTGTTTGCCCCCACAGCTTAAACCTCTACAGGAAGGGGAGCACACAGACAGGCATGTGCAGGGACCAGGGTAAGTGCTTTTGGGCTCCAGCCCCACGGCAGTGTATAGAGGTGGGTGTCTGCGACTCCCAAAGCCCAAGTGGGTGTGTGTTACAGTGTGCTCCTTTAGCTTTGCTGTCTGCAGATGGCTTGTGTGTTAATCAGCTCAATGTACCTTCTGCCTTATTGCAAGGGAAGGGGTCCAGTGTGACAGTCCTCTGTATCCCGAGCTCTTGCTAGTGTCCTGAAAGAATCAGGGCTTGAAGGATGAGTGCAAGGTTTTACTGAGTGGCGGAGGTGGCTCTCAGTGAGATGGATGGGGAGCGGGAAGTGAGGATGGAGTGGGAAGGTGGTCTTCCCCTGGAGTAGAGCTGCATCATTCCCCTGTAGCTGGTCTGCTGGTCCACCGGTCTGCTGGTCTGCTTGCCTCTTCCTCTCCTCACTTGTGGGTCTCATCTGGAACTTGGAGTTTGCAGTTTACATTAGGGCAGCATAGGGGGCACGCAGGCCAAAAGGCAACTTTTTGGTAGCAAAAACAGAAATGCCTGTCCTCATTTAAGGCCGCAGGTCTTCAGGCTTGAGGGTGGAGTCTTTGCTGGGGAACTGCCCTCTTATACTCAATATTTCCCTCTCACGTCCATATCAATAAGATAGTATATATGGTTATATTAATCTTAGACAAAGTATATTAAATACAAGTAATATTACCAAAGATAAAGAAGTATATTTCACAATAATAAAACTATTAATCATCAAAACAATGTAACATTTTTAGTGAATATCCACCTAATTACAGAGCTTCAGAGTACTTGATACAAAAATTGACCATAACTAAACAGAGAAATAGACAAATCCACAACTACTTGTGGATTATAAGTGATTATAATCATTTATGGACTATCTTGACAGTCATTTCTCAGTAACTGAGGATATAATTAGACAAAAGAAAATCAGTTACAATTCAGAAGATTTTAATTTGATATAAATTATGTTTAAAAAACACTGTACCCAAATTTGGGTGACACATTCTTCACAAGTGCGCATGGAACATTCATTAGATTAATTAAATGCTACTTTCATAAAGCAAATCTTATTAGTTTTGAAAACCATATGATGATGAGTAGAAAAATGATTTGACAGAACTTAACATCATTACAGATTTAATCTCTCTCAAATAAGACTAGAAGGGAATTTACTTAATCTCATAAAGAGCATCTATGAAATGCCTATAGCAATTGTTGTAGTGAATGGAAAAATACTATTTCATTTTAAAGATCAGGAATAGGCAAAATATACATATTCATCCCATGTAGTTTGCACAGTACTGGAGTCCATGCCTGATGAAATAAAGAAATTAAACAACAAAAAAATGGAAGGTAAGAAGAAAGACTGTTTTAGTTCACATATGATATAAACATGTATATAGAAAATGTAATGGATTTTTAAAAATGTATTAGGACATATATAAGAATTCATAATGTTTGCAGTATACAAGGATGATATAAAATTTAATTGTTTTTACACATCAACAAAGAAATAAAAAATAAAATATAAAATACTGTTTACAATGTCATAAAAACAAAATTGCTATTCCAAAATTTTTTAATCACCTACAAAAGCTGATGATTTATATATAACTAGCAGCTACAACTTAGTTATAACTAGTAGTATCTAACTATGTAAAATGTGAAAGGACTTCCTTCAGGCTGACACAGTTTTGATCAGATGGAAATATAGATTTTTACAAAGGACCAGAGAGACCCAGATATAGTGATTATGTGGTTATATTTAAATGAGATTTATTTTAAACACTTAAAGATGTTTTAAAGTTACATGGCTTTTTAATGTAAAGTGAATATCAATGCATTGTGAGGTTTATATCATATGACGATATAAAATGTGTGGCAAGAGTAGTGTGAAGACCAGGAGAAAATAAATGGAAGAACACTATTGTAAGATTCTTATACTGTATGTGAAGTGGTATAGTATCACTTGAATGAAAACTCCAAAATATAGTTCACGGTTTATAAACTGTAAGCTAAAGGTGTAAGCTATAAACCCTAGAACAAATACTAAAATAAATCAATGAATATTTAAAGCTAATAAAGCACAAATAAAATTGAATCATACAAAATAAACTATATAAAATAAGAAAAGAAGCATAACATGCATAACAAAAGAAAACGTATGGAAAATGAGGAATAAGTTTACAATCAAATTTAATCATCACATTAAATATAAGGGACTGAACACCCCATTTAAAAGGCAGAGTATTTCAGGTTAAATATAAAAGCAACACTCAATTGTGTATTTTTTTATTTTTATATAGTATATATTTATCCCCAAGAATCCCATTTTAAATATAAAGATACAAATAGGTAAACAGTAAAGGATGTCTACAAATTAGATAGACAAAATGGAAAATTCCTAGAAAGACACAAACTAACAAAATTGACTAAGGAAGAAATAAATAATTTGTATAGACTTACAGCAAGCAAATACTTTGAATTATAATTTTTAAACCTTCAACAAAGAAAAAAACCTAGACTCAGATGGTTATACTGGGGAATTCTACCCAATATTTAAAGAAGAATTAACATCAATTCATCACAAACTCTTTCCAAAAAATAGGAGGAATAATTTTTCAATGTATTATATGAGGCCAGTATTACCCTGGCACCATGACCATCCAATGATATCACAAAAAAATACAAACCAATATTATTTATGAATATACACATAGAAAAACTAAATACTAGCAAATCAAGTCTGGCAACATATTAAAAAATATTACGTGCCATGACCAGGTGGGATTTATCCCTGGAATGCAAGGTTGCATCAAATAATTTGTATAATATACCTCATTCATAGAATAAAGAATAAAAATTATATAATCATCTCAATAAACACAGAAAAACGTTGATAATATTTGTCTTTTATGATAAAAATACTCAACAAACCATTAATAGAAGGTACTCCCACACTTACTAAAAAGTTGGTGTACAAAAACTCCGGAGCTAACAACATAATTAATCAGAAAGAACTTAAAATTTTCACCTTAACATCAGGAATGAGAAAGATATGTCCACCACTCTCAGCACTTCTATTTAACGTTATACTGATGATTCTATCCAGGACAAATAAGAGGAAAGGCAGAGCTGGAGGGGAGAAGGAAAAGGGAGAGAAATAAAAAGAGAGGAGGAAGAAGAAGAAAGAAAGGAGAAGAAGAAGAAAGAAGAAGAAGGAGAAGAAGGAGGAAGAAGAAGGAGGAGGCGGAGAGGAAGAAGAAGGAGAAGGAGGAGGAGAAGAAGAAGGAGAAGAAGGAGGAAGAAGAAGGAGGAGGAAAGGAAGAAGAAGGAGAAGGAGGAGGAGAGGAAGAAGAAGAAGGAGGAGGAGAAGATGAAGGAGAAGGAGGAGAAGAAGAAGGAAGAAGAAGGAGAAGAAGAAGAAAGAGGAGGAGGAGGAGGAGAAGGAGGAGGAGGAAAAGAAAAGCATCAATATTAGAAAGAAAGGAAGAAGTATATCTCTCCTTGTAGACGACAATTACTTTTATAGAGAAAATCCTACGGAATCCACAAAGATGTCACTAGAATTAAAAAAAAAATCAGCACATCCAGTTTGCAGAATACAAGATTACTACACATAACTCAATTGTGTTTTTATACCTTAGTAATGAACAATAAAATTTTTAAAAAAGTTCTATTTGCAATCATGCCAATCATAATAAAATACTTAGGAATACATTTAGCAAAATAAGTTCAAGACTTGTACCTTGAGTACTAGAAAACATTAGTGTTAGAAATTAAAGAAGGCCCAAATAAATGAAAAGACAGTCCCAGAAGACTATTCTTAAAATGACAATATTCCCAAAATTGATCCAAAGATTCAGTGCAATCCTTATAAAAATTCCTTCTGATGTCCTTGCAGAAAATGCAAACAGATTGTAAAATTCATATGGAAATGCAAGGGATTCAGAGTAGCCAACATAATCTTGAAAAAGAAAAACTTGAAGGATGCGTACTTCTTGAAGGACACATACTTCTTGATGTCAAGGCTCTGGCAATCAAGAAAGTGTAGTGCTGGATAGATATATGAATACATGGAAATGAATTGAAAGCCCAGAAATAAATTCTTCTATTTATGGACAGTTGATTTTCTACAGAGTTAAAGTTTTATTCAAATATTTTGAATACAATAATTCAATGGGGGAAAGAGCAGTCTTTTCAACAAATGGTTCAGGAGAAGGCCAGAGAAAAACAAAACCACTGCAAACCCATAGCCAGAAAGGAAAGGAGCCAGAGGAATAAATGATTTAACTTTACTCTCCTCCCATCCTCTTATACCACTAGTACCTTGTGATCTTCAACAACCTGCCTGAGTTCGAGGAACACAGTTGATGCATCTCATGAAGAGTTGTCACCTTTGAACATAGAGTATAAGAAGTCAATACAGGGTAGGGCTAGAGAAACAAATTAAGAAAATTGAGAAATTAAATTAGGTTACATTAGTCCCATTCTGATAATCCAGGATAATCTTCCCACTTCAAAGTCCATAGCTTTAGTCACATTTGCAAAGTCCCTTTTGCCATGTAAGGTAACATATTAACCTTATATGTTAAGGTTAATGTTAAGGTTATATGTTAAGGGCATTTTTGTAGGACCAGCATTTTCTCCACAAAATGATTGCATGTTAAATGATTGGAATGATTGTCTGTTGAATTATTCTTTTGATATAATGCAATTTAAATAATAATTGTGCTACACACACACACACACACACAAAAACCTGTACACAAATGTTGATGGCAGCATTATTCACAACAAAATCAAAGTGGAAATTACGTAGATATCCATCAACAGTTAAATGAATAAATAAAATGGGGTATGTCTATACAATGTCATATCATTAAGCAATAGGAAGTAGTGAAGTACTGGAAAAACTTGAATAAACCTTTGAAAGATCATGCTAAGTGAAACAAGCCAATCACAAAAACACATTCTATGTGATTTTTTTTTATGAGGTGCCCAGAATGAACAAATGTACAGTGAAAGTAGATTGTTGGTTGCCTATGGCTTAAAGGTGGGGTCTGGGAAAAAATAGGAAGTGACTACAAATGGATACAGAGTTTCTTTTGAGGTTAATGAAAATATTCTAAAGTAAATGAATTATATCTCAATAAAGGTGTTATAAAAGAAGTTTTCCTGACAAACTTAAACTATTGTTTAGTGTTAGTGGTCAGGAGGTCTCCTTTAGGGGAGAAAGAAAAGGGGAATGGTCAAAAGGAGTCCAAGGGAGGCTGTTAGTATATCCACAATGTTTTATTTTTTTACCAATTGGTCTTACATGATTGTTCACTTTGTTATGGTTTACTGAGCTGTATATTTATGATTTATGTACTTTTCTGTATCTATGTTACACTTCAAAATAACATGTATAATTTTTAAAAGTAACAATAAGTGTGTTTTTATCCATGACAAAAATAAATAACTATTGTTTGGAAGTGTTATAATAATGACAGGGAGAAATAAAAAATTAAGGAAACAAAAATAGGCAGTAAATTGGGAGACCCAAGTCTGAGTGGTATTAAAGGTTACTTTTAGCTTTCTTGCTTTCAGGCCCACTTTGTTTTTTAACAGCAAGTAGACTGGATTTAGGTTTGTGACATTGGATATACTTTTTAATACATTGAATCTGAGATGTCTTAAAGACCTCCAATCGACGATGTCAAATAAGACGTAATGTACATGTTGAAACTTGCGGAGACATATGGTTTGAACTTTTTGACAACTCTGTATCCTCCTCCCACCCTCTACATGTCCGAAGAATGCTGCTCTTTATGGGATCCCTACACTGTACCTCTTGACCTCTGGGTGGGGTTGTCCTGGCTGAGTTTGTCCTGTGGGAGGTACCAGAAGATGAGAGGTAGAAGGAAAGTAGAGTTCATACTTAGGACTGATAAAAGCTTCCAGCCTTTACTAGCTGCATAGTGCTTTAGCATCTCTTTTAGGTTTCTCTTATCCCTACTCACACCTCTATAAATAGTCCTTTATTAAATTCTCCCTAATTGGTCCATTGGAGTGTACCATCTGTTTCCTGTCAGGATCTTAAGTGACTCAGTAATTGACTGAGACCAAATAAGTGGTCCCAGGAAATGCCCTTAAAATAGGTGTCTGGGGTTGGGTAGCTACCATATTTGAGGTGCTCACGGATAGCTTTTTTACTTTAAGAAAGGGATACTGATAATCTCTGGCATGCTGTGACATCATGATTAGTCAAATAATCACTGGCGGTGGCATAAGATGAAGTGCAGATGCAATGAAGGCCTTGGGAGACCAAGTGGTTGTGGCACTTAGTTACTATGGCAACAGTGGTTTTACAAAGACTGTAGCAAGAGAGAAGAGAAAAATTGAAAGTCAGAGCATGAATGAAAAAATCAGAAAGCTTCTATGAAATCTTTAAAGGAGTCCCTTATCTCCAGTAGCCACAGGGCAGATATGAATGAGAAAAGTCAAGTCCAAGGACTAAATGTGATGGCACAGCTGTTAAGGCCAACTAAATAAAAAACCCAGCCAGGTATCTCATACTAAGTAAGGTAAAGGCACTCACGGGAAAAGAATAGGGCCCTAAAATGTTTGAGCATATGGAAGAAAGGATAAGAATTTTAAATCTCCAAATTTTAGGTATACTCAACTCAGGTTTGAAATGTAGTAAATGAACTTAAGTACCTGTGGAGTGGTGTTCACATCCAAAAGGCTGTTTAATTAAAGTCTGGACTAAACAATGGCTATAATTAATGTGACATAGTGCAGTGGCTCTGAATCTTAATTGTACATTGGAATCACCAAGGAGGCTTTAAAATGCATGTATGTCTAGTTCTCACTCACATACACTGTGCAACCTGCTCAGCTACCTGCTACCAGTCACTCTGAGAGGACCTAGAGGACACCCCCTTACCAAGGCATCACTGAAAGTCTTCATGGTAAACATTTTCTATAAGCCATAGATAACTAATGGTGGGAGATGCTGCACTAGAAATCCACTCCATATTTCAATGGGAATAATGACATGCCAGTGTAGTAGAAGCCAGGTCAAAGGGCTTAACCATCAGAAGTGAGGAGCTTAAAATCACATTAATAAGGCAAGTGTTGAATTGGTAGTCAGTGCTCTGACCTGCATTAACCATGTCAGTAGCTTACTGATCCCTAGGTCCTCAGAATGAAATAGATGAGCAGCCTACTGAGGTGTGACTTAATATATACAAGCAAAAATGTCTAGGTCTAGTGCTAAAAATATAATTCAGGTCATCATAATGGGAATCCATAGCCTCTTATCCAGTTGCAAGACCTAAGCCAATACACCAGCCTGGAGTCCCTCCTTTGAAGGGGAGGCTGGTTCCTTTTGAGAAAGGATCTACAATGTAGCCATTAATAAGTACTATGTGTGTTCCCCAAACCTTCTGTATGTGACCTACAGCCAATTACCAGGAAGGCTGTGTACTGGTGAAAGAGAAATAACCCAGAACTTCTGAGGGTTTATTAGTTACAGAATCTGAACTGCTGCTAATCACTAGAGATGCTAAATGCCAGCCTGGCCCACTAGTAATGGACATTTATGGAGATCACATGATAGATGAAATCCTCACTTGAATTCACCTCCGGGTGTGTATAATGGGGCCATTGACTTATTGTATGGGCTATATATGCTTATGGTATGATGAAATAAGTGGATGCTTCTAAAACTACTCCCACCGCCAAGATATTAAGCCAAACGCAATCTTCTATCCCTGGGGGAAAGGCAGAACGGTAGCACCATCAAACACCAGAAAGATGTGTGGTGAGAGTTACGTGGCATTTTTAACACATGCTCAATGAACTCACATTTCTGCCTGATGGAAAGCCAAGTGAATCTTGAACAATGGCTGTAGATTATTGCAAGCAAAATTGCCTAGATCATCTACATTTTCAGATGCAGTATCTTTACTGGAGAAAATCAGTGCTACCTCTGCCACTTGACTGCATTCTCAAAGGACCAGCAGCATCAGCATCACTCCAAAATTCACTAGAAATGCAAATTCTTGGGTCCTACTCCAAATAGACAAAAATCAGAAACTTCAGAGGTGGCGCCCAGAAATTGTATTTTAACAAGCCCTCAACGTGAATAGTTTGCACTTCTCTATTAAAGAAACACTTAGGTAATGCTTTATTTTCCTACTTCAAATCAGGAAAAACACTGGCAAGGCGAGGGTAGAAGCTCATCTGCACTGTCTAGTCAACTCGTATGCTCTCTTTTATAATATAAACTGTAAAGAACTTAATCATCTTTGTGTCCCATAAAACATCACATTGATCTTGACATTGATGACCTTACATTAATTGAGTCTATAAGTAGGAGGTAGCAAGCACTAGATGCCTTATTAAGACATAACAGTGTCAAGGGTTGAGAGATAAATCCTTTGAAAGTTCAAGATCCTGAGCCTGCCAGACTGATAGGTTTATGAAGTGTTAGTGGTCTGGAATAGGACAGAATATTTTATCTAAAGGGAGAGATAAATGACTGAAACTTGCACTCCTAATTTCAAGAGGCAAAAAACTTGTTGGGCCTTTTTAAATTATGGAAGCAAAATATTCTACATTTAGACATGATGATATAACTCATTAACTGATTAATTCATGGCATCCAGTTTAGATTTGGCCTGAATTAAAACAGGCTCTGCAGTAGGTCTATACTGCAGTGAAAAATGTGCTACCACTTGGGTCTTATGACCCATCAGAAGAAGTTGTTTGAGAAGACAAAGAAGACATATGGAGCTTCTGAAAATTTCCAAAAAGAAGCATAACTGTGCAGAATTTTATAGTTTTCATGTAAGACCAGTTTGTACTTTTCTACCAACAATGTCTCTTTATTTGAAAATCAGCTTCACACTTGCAATTAAGCCGTTTTAATATTGAGTATCTGGAAACAGGTCTGTGAGAAATGAACTCATCATGAACTGATCATTTTATTATTCAATTAAAATTAAATGTTAGAGATTAACAAGGACTAGATTCATTCTCACATCTGAAACATCTAAGATACTGGAGAAAACATATGAAACAACAGTTTTCAAAATATCAGAATGAAAGGTAGTCATCCCTGAAAGAAGAGATGCAAACAAAGCAAGTCCAGTGATTGTTCCAGCTTACTGGTGGGAAGGAGTTTTGAGGCTGTGGCTAAGGAAAAGGAAAGCAATACAGAGCTTATTGCTCTCTGAGTTGAAAAGACAGTGTTAGGTGTTTTGAGAAATAAAAGTATCTGGAGCTTACAAGGCAGAGTACCAGAAAGGCGAGATGTAAAAGAGGATCTAAAGATCTACAGAGGGTCCCCTGGAGACTTCAGCTGAGTACTGACTGGTAGATATATAAAGCTCAAGAAGGAATCACTTGAAAGAATTACATAGAATAATCATCAGGGTTTGGAATATTTCCTGTTGACACTAGCTGGAGTAGAAGACCTCATGATTCAAGGTGCGTCTGGTAGAATCCCCAAAATGGTTAAATCTTGGTAATTGGCCAACACTTGTGCTAGACTAAATGCTGCTCTAGTAGCTTAAAAACAAAATCAAACGGAGTCATACTGTTATAAATAACCTTACTGAATACCACAACAAGCTTAATTGTTACAGAAGTAAAACTTATGGAACAATAAAAAAATCTCACTCAACAATATAAAATTCAAAATGTCTGCCATCAGATAAAAAATTACTAGACATTTAAAGAAGCAGGAAAATATGGCCTATAATGAGGGTAAGCATACTCAGTTAAAACCACTGAGAAAATGATACAGACTGTAGAAATAGCAGTTACTTTAAAACTATTATTCCACTATATTCCATATATTCAAGAAGCTAAAGAAATTAGTCAGGAGTTTAAGTAGAGACATGGACCGTATAAAAAGGGATGATATTTATGTTCTACAGGTGAAAGTTACAGTATCTGAGATGAGAATAATTAGATGAAGTCAACAGCAGATTACAAATTGCAGAAAAAAAGATTGATGAATTATAAGAGTAGTAATGAAGACTATCCATAATGAAAAAGAGAGGAAAAAAGACTTAAAAAATGAACATAACATCCTTTCCCTGTGGTACAAGTTCAATAGAGCAATATACGATTAACTGGGCTCTCTGAAGAAGAGGAAAGAAGGACAAAAAATTTGCAAAAATATTGGTTAAAATGTTTTAAATTTGAAAAAATCTATGAACCTACAATATAAGAATTTAAATAAGCCTTGAAAACAAGAAATATGAAAAAGGTAACTCATGGAATATAATAACCAATATGAATAAGTCAATAAAAAGGGAAAAATGTTAAAGCATCCGGTAGAGTAATATACATTATGTACACAGGATTACAGATAAAGTGAATGACTCATCTGAAATCAGAAATTCATGCTTGAAGATGGTAGAAAAATAGGCTACAGTACTGAAATAAAATAAATTACCAACCTAGAATTCTATACCCAATGAAAATATCTTTCAAAAATAAAGAGGAAATAAAGATGTTTTCAGACAGTAAACAAACAAAAAAAAAAAGGTGGGAGAATTTATAGCAACAACCTGCACTGCAAGCATAAACGATAAAAAAAAAATACCCAGTGAAAATATAAATCAACATAAAGGAAGGAAGGACACTAGACATTGTAACTATATAAGTATATACGAATTTTATTCTAATAATTTAAATAATTTAAAAGATGAGTGCAAAATAAAAAAGTAAGATATTATATGTTTGGGGATTTATAAAATAATTAAAACTAAAATGTATAGAACAATACAATGACATGTATTGACAATAGAAGAAAGGCCAGGAGGGGATAAATGGAAAAATACAATTATATGATTCTATATTATTCATGAAGAAGAACAATATTTCTTGGAAGTTGAAAATGAGAGATTAAAATATATATCATAGGCCAGGCACAGTGGCTCATGCCTGTAATCCCAGCATTTTGGGAGGCCGAGGCAGGTGGATCAAATGAGGTCAGGAGTTTGAGACCAGCCTGGCCATCATGGCAAAACCCCATCTCTACTAAAAATACAAAAATTAGACAGGCGTCGTAGCGCGCATCTGTAGTCTCAACTACTTGGGAGGCTGAGGCAGGAAAATTGCTTGGATCTGGGAGGTGGAAGTTGCAGTGAGCCGAGATTGTGCCACTGCACTCCAGGCTGGGTGACAGAGCAAGGCTCCATCTCAAAAAAAAAAAATAAATAAAAATAAATAAATAAAACATATAGCATAGACTAAAATAATATAACAAAGAATTTTGGCTAAAGAGCCAACAAAGAAAATAGAATGAAATCATAAAATGTACTCAACTAATTCAAAGGAAGGCAGACAAAAAGGATAAATGGTACAAATAGAAATGGAAAGATGATAAATTTAAATCAAACCATACAGGCCATTACATTAAATGTAAATGGTCTAAACATCCCAATTTTAAAAAAATAGAGATTGTCAGATTCCATAAAAAAGCAATACTGAATTACATGTTTCCTATAAGAAACACACTTAGGCTCAAAACAAAGGGATGGAGGAATATTTACCAAGCAAATGGAAAGCAAAAAAAAAAAAAAAAAAAAAAAAGCAGGCGTTGCAATCTTAATCTCTGATAAAACAGACTTTAAACCAACAAAGATGAAAAAAGAAAAAGAAGGGCATTACATAATGGTAAAGGGATCAATGCAACAAGAAGAGCTAACTATCCTAAATATATATGCACCCAATACAGGAGCACCCAGATTCATAAAGCGAGTTCTTAAAGACTTACAAAGAGACTTAGACTTAGACTTAGTTTCCCACAAAATAACAGTGGGAGACTTTAACACCCCACTGCCAAAATTAGACAGATAAATGAGACAGAAAATTAACAAATTAACAAGGATATTCAGGAATTGAACTCAGCTCTAGACCAAGCGGACCTAATAAACATCTACAGAACTCTCTACCCCAAATCAACAGAATATACATTCTTCTCAGGGCCACTTAGCTCTTATTCTAAAATTGACCACATAATTGGAAGTAAAACACTCCTCAGCAAATGTAAAAGCACGAAAATCATGACAAACAGTCTCTCAGAGAACAGTGCAATCAAATTAGAATTCAGGATTAAGAAACTCACTCAAAGACGGCACAACTACATGGAAACTGAATAACCTGCTCCTGAATGACTACTGGGTAAATAATGAAATTAAGGCAGAAATGAATAAGTTCTTTGAAACCAATGAGAACAAAGACGCAGCATACCAGAATCTCTGGGACACAGCTAAAGCAATGTTTAGAGAAAATTTTATAGCACTAAATGCCCACATGAGAAAGCTGCAAAGATCTAAAATTGACAGGCTAATATCCCAATTAAAAGAAATAAAGAAGCAAGAGCAAACAAATTCAAAAGCTAGCAGAGAACAATAAATAAATAATTTCAAAGCAGAACAGAAGGAGACAGAGACATGAAAAACTCTTCTAAAAATAAATGAATCCAGGAGTTGCTTTTTTTAAAAGATTAACAAAATAGACCACTACCAATACTAATAAAGAAGAAAAGAGAGAAGAATCAAATAGACACAATAAAAAATCATAAAGGGGATATCACCAATGATCCCACAGAAATGCAAATTACCATCAGAGAATACTATAAACACCTCTATGCAAATAAACTAGAAAATCTAGAAGAAATGGATAAATTCCTGGACACATACACCATCCCAAAACTAAACCAGGAAGAAGTTGAATCCCTGAATAGACCAATAACAAGTTCTGAAATTGAGGCAGTAATTAATAGCCTGCCAACCAAAAAAAGCCCAGGACCAGATGGATTCAGAGGTACAAAGAGGAGCTGGTACCATTGCTTCCGAAACTATTGCAAACAATAGAAAAAGAAGGACTCCTCCCTAACTCACATTATGAGGCCAGCATCATCCTGATACCAAAACGTGGCAGAGACACAACAAAAAAAATTTGCAGGCCAATATCCCTGATAAACATCAATCTGAAAATTCTCAATCAAATACTGGCAAACCACCAAATCCAGCAGCACATCAAAAACCTATCCACCATGATCAAGTCAGCTTCATCCCTGGTATGCAAGGCTGGTTCAACATACACAAATCAATTAACATAACCCATCACATAAACAGAACCAATGATAAAAACCACATAATTATCACAATAGACGCAGAAAAGGCCTTTGAAAAAATTCAACACTGCTTCATGCTAAAAACACTCAATAAACTAGGTATTGATGGAACATATCTCAAAATAATAAGACCTATTCATGACAAACCTACAGGAAATATCATACAGAATGGGCAAAAGCTGGAAGCATTCCCTTTGAAAACCAGCACAAGAGAAGGATGCTCTCTGTCACCACTCCTATTCAACATAGTATTGGAAGTTCTGGCCAGGGCAATCAGGCAAGAGAAAGAAATTAAGGGTATTCAAACAGGAAGAAAAGAGGTCAAATGGTCTCTGTTTGCAGATGAAATAATTGTATATTTAGAAAACCCCATTGTCTCAGCCCCAAAGCTCCATAAGCTGATAAGCAAATTCAGCCAAGTCTCAGGATATAAAATCAAGGTACAAAAATCACAGGCAATCCTATACACTAATAATAGACAAACATAGAGCCAAATCATGAATGAACTCCCATTCACAATGGCTATAAACAGAATAAAATACCTAGGAATACAACTTACAAGGGATGTGAAGGACCTCTTCAAGAAGAACTACAAAACACTGTTCAAAGCAATAAGAGAAGACACAAACAAATGGAAAAACCTTCCATGTTCATGGATAGGAGGAATCAATATCATGAAAATGGCCATACTGCCCAAAGTAATTTGTAGATTCAATGCCATCCCCATCAAGCTACCATTGCCTTTCTTCACAAAATTAGAAAAAACGACATTAAATTTCATGTGAAACCAAAAAAGAGCCCATATAACCAAGACAATCCTAAGCAAAAAGAACAAAGCTGGAGGCATCACACTACCTGACTTCAAACTATACTACAAGGCTACAGTAACCAAAACAGCATGGTACTGATACCAGAACAGATATATAGACCAACGGAACAGAACAGAGGCTTCAGAAACACCACCACACATCTATAACCATCTGATCTTTGACAAACCTGACAAAAACAAGCAATGGGGAAAGGATTCCCTATTTAATAAACGGTGTTGGGAAAACTGGCTAGCCATATGGAGAAAACTGAAACTGGACCCCTTCCTTTCACCTTATACAAAAAGTAACTCAAGATGTTCTAAAGACTTAAATGTAAGCCCTAAAACCATAAAAATCCTAGATGAAAACCTAGGCAATACCATTTAAGACATAGGCATGGGCAAAAACTTCATGACTAAAACACCAAAAGCAATGGCAACAAAAGCCAAAATGGACAAATGGGATCTAATTAAACTAAAGAGTTTTGCACAGCAAAAGGAACTATCATCAGAGCGAACAGGTAACCTACAGAATGGGAGAAAATTTTGCAATCTATCCATCTGACAAGGGGCTAATATCCAGAATCTACAAGAACTTAAACAAACTTACAAGTAAAAAACAACCCCATCAAAAAGTGGGCAAAAGATATGAACAGACATTTCTCAAAATAAGACATTTATGCAGCCAACAAACATATGAAAAAAGACTCATCATCACTCATCATTAGAGAAATGCAAATCAACACCACAATGAGATACCATCTCATGACAGTTAGAATGGTGACCATTAAAAAGTCAGGAAACAACAGATGCTGGAGAGGATGTGGAGAAATAGGAAAGCTTTTACACTGCTAGTGGGAGTGTAAATTAGTTCAACCATTTTGGAAGACAGTGTGGTGATTCCTCAAGGATCTAGAACAAGAAATACCATTTGACCCAGCAATCCCATTAGTGGTTATATACTCAAAGGATTATAAATCTTTCTGCTATAAAGACACATGCACACGTATGTTTATTGCAGCACTATTTACAATAGTGAAGACTTGGAACCAACCCAAATGTCCATCAATGATAGACCGGTTAAAGAAAATGTGGCACATATACACCATGGAATACTATGCAGCCATAAAAAAGAATGGGTTCATGTCCTTTGCAAGGACATAGATGAAGCTGGAAACCATCATTCTCAGCAAACTAACACAGGAACAGACAACCCAACACCGCATGTTCTCACTTGTAAGTGGGAGTTGAATAATAAGAACACATGGACACAGGGAGGTAAACATAACACTTGGGCTTGTCAGGGGATGGAGGTCAAGGGAAAACATAGCATTAGGAAATATACCTAATGTAGATGACGGGTTGATGGGTTCAGCAAACCACCATGCCATATGTATAATTATGTAACAAAACCTGTACATTCTGTATATGTATTCCAGAACTTAAAGTATAATTTTTTTAAAACAAAGAAACACTTCATAAAGGAAAAAATGAAATTAAAAGTAAGATATGAGAAAATATATACTATGTTAACAATTTTTTAAAACAATACTGAACTGTATGTTTCCTATAATAAACACACTTTATAAAGGAAAAAGTGAAATTAAAAGTAAGCTATGAGAAAATATATACTATGTTAACAATTTTTTAAAAGATAGTTTGGCTGTATTAATAGTAAACAAAGTAGATTTCAGAACAAAGAATATAGCCGTGAATAAAGAAGGTCATTTTAAATAATAAAGAGGTCAATTGTCAAGAAAGTATATATTCCTAACTATATGCCTATTGTATTCCTATTTATACATTGAATAATAACATTTTTTGAATTACATGAATCAAAAACTGGTGAAACTTTCAGGAGAAATAGACAAATTTTAGCATCTTTCTCTAGTAACATATAGAATAAATAGAAAACCAGTGAAAATATAGAAGACTGAAAACATTACCAACCAAATTTTAAATCACGTTTATAGCTCCCTCAACCTAACAATAACAGAATACATTTGGTTTAAAGTGCACACAAAAGAAGTTTGCCTAGATAATCCGTTTTCCAGACAATAAACAATTCTTAATAAAATTAAAAGTATTCAAATAAAACAAATTATGTTTTCTGATTCTAATGGAACTAATTTTGTAATCAATAATACAAAGACATCTGGAAACTAAATTGAAACTAAATTTTGACATCAAATACTATACTTGTAAGTAACCCATGTATTAAAGAATAAATCAATAGAAAATGGTTGAAAGAAATGAAAATAAAAGTTCAATATAACAAAATTTGTGGAAAATGGCCAATGTAGTACTTAAAAAGAAATTTATAACACTAAATGACTCTGTTAGAAGAGCAAAAAGGTCTTGAATTAATGATTCCATCTTTTACTTTAATAAAATAATAGAAAAATAAATTAAACCCAAGGTAAGTAATTAAAAAGAAAAAAATAAAGATTATAGTGAAAATCAATGAAAAAAATAGAAAATTATACAGAAAAAATCTATAAAGCCAAAAACTGGATCTTTAAAAAATTTATTAAAATTGACAAACCTGTAGCCAAAGAAAAAGAAAGACCATATCGATAATGAAACAAGTGACATCAGTAAAGTTTCTACAGAAAATAAAAGAACAGCAAGAGAGCAACTATAGATAATAAGGGAACAAGAGTAAACAACTTTTTGCCAATAAGATAAAATGGACAAATTCCCTGAAAGGTATAAACTATGAAAACAATTGGACAATTAGAAATACATAACCTGAATGGCTTTTTTAATGATATTGAATTTGTAGTTTAAAACTCCTCTTCCCTGTGCACTCTGCTGCCCCACAAAAATAAAAAAAACCTCCAAGCCCAGATGGCTTTATTGGTTAATTCCAACACGTATTTAAGGAAGAGCATATCAAGTCTATACAAACTCTTCAGTACAATTGAAGAAGAGGGAACATATTTCATCTCATTCTATAAGATTAGTATTACTCTGGCACTAAACCCAAAAGAGAGCATTACAAGAAAAGCGAATTATAGATTAATATATTTTGTGAATAAAGATGCAAAAATTTCTTTAAACATTTTGGAAAATTGAATTCAAGTATATATAAAGAGGATAATATATAATAACCAATTAAATTTATTCCAGAAAAGTAATGTTGTCTTAACATTCTAAAATCAATCAATACAGTTAACCATATTAATGGACTGAAAAAGAAATAACATGATCAACTCAATATAAAAAAGAAAAAGCTGGCAAACTGCAACATTTACTCCTGGTAAAAAGTACAAGAAAACTAGGAATATAAAAGATTTTCTCCAGCTGATTAAAGGCTTCTATCAAAAACTTAGAGTTTATGTACTTAATAATGAAAGACAGTATGCTGTTGATAAATCAGTAGAACAGAATGGTACAGAAATAGAACTGTGTACAGTTGGCCATTTAATTTTTGACAAAGATGCAAAACCAAAACTATACAGAAAGCACAGTCTTTTCAATAAATGCTATTTGACCACTTTGATAGCTACAGGAAAGAAAAACCCACGAACAACTAATTTTGACTCATACCTCACATCATACACAAAATTTAACCTAACATGTAGCATAGACCTAAATGCAAAATTTAAAATTATATTAGAAGAAATGATAGAATCTTTTCATGACTGTGGGTGAGTCATAGGTTTCTTAGATAAAATAGCCAAAGCACAATACATAAAAGAATACCATTTGACCCAGCCATCCCATTACTGGGTATATACCCAAAGGATTATAAATCATGCTGCTATAAAGACACATGCACATGTATGTTTATTGCGGCACTATTCACAATAGCAAAGACTTTGGAACCAACCCAAATGTCCAACAATGATAGACTGGATTAAGAAAATGTGGCACATATACACCATGGAATACTATGCGGCCATAAAAAATGATGAGTTCATATCCTTTGTAGGGACATGGATGAAGCTGGAAACCATCATTCTCAGCAAACTATCGCAAGGACAAAAAAACAAACACCGTATGTTCTCACTCATAGGTGGGAATTGAACAATGAGAATGCATGGACATAGGAAGGGGAACATCACACACCTGGGACTGTTGTGGGGTGGGGGGAGGGGGAAGGGATAGCATTAGGAGATATACCTAATGCTAAATGACGAGTTAATGGGTGCAGCACACCAACATGGCACATGTATACATACGTAACAAACCTGCACGTTGTGCACATGTACCCTAAAACTTAAAGTATAATAATAAAAATAAAAAATTAATTAATTAAATAAATTTAAAAAATAAAAATAAATTAATAAATTGGCTTCATTAAAATTTAAAACTTCTAAACTTCAAAAGCAACTGTTAAAAGAAGTAAAAGGCAGGCCACACTCTGGGTAAAAATACCTACAAATTATGTATCTGATAAATGATTTATATCAGAATATTTATTGTCAACAAAAAGAATAAGATGACACAACTTTTAAAAACTGGCAAAATACTTGAATATAAACATCACCAAGGAAGATATACAAATAGCAAATAAGCACTTGAATCATGCTCAACATCAATAGTCATTAGTAAAGTGCAAATTAAAACCTCAATGAGCTACTACTCTGTGCCTATTTTAAAAAGATGGTATTTGTAAAAGACTGACCACATCAGGTTTGGCAAGGATATGGAACAACTGGAAGTCTCATTCACTGCTGGATAGTATGTAGAGTGATACAATCAATTTGGAAAATAATTTGAACATTTTTTAAAAATATATACATATGCCTACCATATGACCCTGCCATTCTACTAGATACTGATCCAAGGGATATGAAAGCATTTATCCACCTGCCTGAGTTGTTTATTGCTGTTGTAACAAATTACCACAATTTAGTGGCTTAAAGGAACATAGTTTTATTATCTTACAGTTTTGGAGGTCAGAAGTCCTTAATGATCTTCTGGGGCAAAAACCAGGTTGTTCAGCAGAGGTGCATTCTTTCTAGAGGCTCTAGGGCAGAAACTGTGCCTTTTTCACGTTTTAGGGGCCACCTGCCTTCCTCCTTTTGTGTCCCCACTCAGTATTCTCAGAGCTAGTAGCATAGCTGCATAACATTTTCAAATCTCTCTTCTCTCTCTCTCTGACCTCTGCTTCCACAGTCACATTTCCTTCTCTCACTCTTACCATCAGGTTTTCCTTGTGTAACACTCTTCTGAATTATATTAGGTCCAACTGAACAATACATTACAATCTTTCCATCTCAAGATTCCTAATCACATCTGCAAGGTCGTTTTTGCTATGTTGTAAGGTAATATATTCATAAGTCCCAGAGATTAGAATGTGGATATCTTTGGGGAGATATCCTGTCTACCACACCACCCAAATCTTGTACTTGATTATTAATAACATCTTTAATTGTAATGTCCCTAAACTGGGAACTCCGCAAATGTCAATCAACAAGTAAATAAAACCATCAGATCTAGAGAGAACTCACTATCAGGAGAACAGCAGCATGAGGGTAACTGCCCCTATGATTAAATTACCTCCTACCAGATCCCTCCCATGACATGTGGGGATTATGGGAACTACAGTCCAAGATGAGATTTGGGTGGGGACACAGACAAACCATATCATGTATTTTATGTGACTATACCTCAATAAAGCTGTTTTAAGCATTTACAATTAATGCAAGGAAACTGGAAAACAATAATTGTCACATGTCTTCTGCCTTCAGCAGGTCCAAAACACAAACAAATTAAAGGAAAAATTAGGTGGCTCAGATACCTCTGGAATCTTCTCCTAGTCCTTCTGTGCATTTCTCACAACCGCTACCAGTAGGCTCATGGGAAATTACCCACGACCAGTTAAGACACAGAGGAAGAAAAATGTAGTTATCTTTATTGGTAGATTGGTAAAACAAACCATACCAGCTGGGAGTAAATTGTTGCTACATAATAGAGAAACTCAGGAGAAGTCTTGAAAGTTATTAATAAAGGAAATTTATAGATTCACTGCGGATCACCAATAGTGGCTAATCATAAAAAGGGAGATTAGTGAAAAAGCACGTGAGATAAAAATACTCATGTGCCAGATACTGGTTTATTAGCAGGCATCCACTGTGAGCTCAATAATCAGGTAGATAAGATGTCTTATCTTGTATATATCATTGTGACTCCCTTTCCAGCAATGTCAGTACTGTTCAAATGGCAAAGTGCAATATGGCAATGACAACAGTATTAGAAGGTATGTATAGGTTCCACTTGCCCAGGCTGCCTAAGGCTGAATCCCATTCTGAATTCTAATATGGTGCCATGCTCTGGGAAGGCCAGATAGCCATCATGTAGAAAAGACAGGGATTTTCCACATATAAATTGACTCTGGTATGTGTTTATCCATCCATCCCCATAGTACTTCTGCCAGTGCCACTCCCGTGGACTTAAGTAATGCTGTAGCCATTGTCAAGCATTATACACAAAAAATCCCAACCAGGGAAGATATTTAGCAGCAGAAGATCAGAGACATTGGACTCATTCTGATAGAATTCTCTGGTCTTAGCAAGTCACCAATCTTCCCAAAGCAGCTGGCTTAGAAGAGCTACATAAGGCTTAGTCATAAGACTAGCTAAAGAACAGAGGCCAGAATTCATGGTCCAGGACCCTAAGGATATATTTTCCTAAGTAACTTACTTAAGGAATGTTTGCTTTCCATCCTAGAATCCTGGGGCTTCGTGTATTTGTGGGCATAGTACTCAAGTAAAAAATAGCTCCATCAAGAAAACTTATAGTTTATTTGTATTGGAAGCTGAGTCTCTGTCCTCAGCACTATATACTCTTAATGCTGCTTAGGCCTCAGAACCTGCTACTGAATTACCTATGTTTTACCTTATTTTTTTTTTATCCATAATCTCCTTCCCCCTTCATATAAGAAATACTCTTATATGAAGAGTATTTCTGGCCAACAGCTTAGATTTTGGCCAGGGACATAGCTGAATTATGATGAGCTAATGGTGATAAAGTTGCTGATGATTTTCTGTGCCCCTTATGTAGGAGGCATGCATTTAAAAAAATCTGGACAAAGACCACAAGTGGATTTTCAAGGGATAAACAGGTGAACTGTGCTGAATATGCTTCCTCTGTTCCTTCAGATCTGAGATCTACACTTCTCCTCCCTAGTCTAAATCCTAGACAGTACCAATTAACTCCCTTAGGCTCCAGCTGCTGGGATACAGTCAATGGCAGGTGCCACCTAAAGACGAGAGAACAGAAGTAGGGTATCATTAGGACATTTATTCCTTCAGTTCCCTCTCTGTCAGGCCACGGTGGACATTAGAATTGAATAAAATAAATAACACAAAATATGAAAAGCTTTCAGAAGCAGACATATAATGAAAGGGTACTTTCTTTTTTCCTCTTTATATGAGAGACATTCCTTTTTATATAAACCAATTATATTATTCAGGATCCTAAGGAAAATCAGATGGCCCACTCAAAAGGGTTTAACTATTTACAGAGATGTGACAAGAAATAAGAAAACCAGTAAAGGATAAGGAAGCATCCAAATATGGGCAACAGTGAGAAGCCCCTTAGTAGCCCTAGGGCTGAAGGAGAGGACATTATACAGTCAGCACTGAGTCTGTGAGAGCCGATTCCATGGAAGAGGGAAAGCCACTAGGAGCTGTGGTGGAAGCAGGGCACAGAGGCAGATGGGGCATGGGGAGAACAGAAACTGAATATCTGATCCTCTGTCTGTCTCCCCTTTTCATTTCTTGCTGGGCCTTCCATTGGCCAGATGAAACTAGAAGCCAAAGAGCTAAGGAACCAAGTAATACCAGAATTCCAGGCCAGAGAGCATTGCAGAGACCATCAGAGAATACAGCTCTGATAAGTGTGTGGTGAGGATGGGGACAGGGTTGGCATGAGAATGAGAGCAAACAGATAAAAATTGGTATAACAAGAAATTTTTTTTCAATTGATAGGTTAATGAGCAAAATCAAAAACAAAAGACTGAATGGAAGTGCATTGAGAAAACTTGCATTTTTAAAATAATGTTTTGAGCCAAAAAAATTGTAAAAGCAAGGATAGTTTTTAAATGTTCTTGGATTCAATATACTTACAATAGTTCCAAGAAGCTGTATTGAATAGTATAGCATTGACTCTTGCTTCCTCTTGATCGTGTAGTACATGCTATCTTTTAAGGTACAGAATGATGAATACTATTACAGATTACTTTGCATCTCTGTTGTGACATCTTTGAAAAAGTTAACTACTAAAAATAGCCCATTTCTGCTAAAAATTATCATATAAAACTTTCATGTAAGAACAACAAATCAACCAAACATCTGCCTCACCATTTTTCTTTATAACAAACTTATGATGTAGCCAATTGGAAAAAAATGCAACTTTCCTAAAGTGCCTCTTTGAATTATTCAAAGTTTCTCTTGCAGCTAATTAATTTAGAGCATATTACGAAAATGAAGCAATGAAAATAAACCAAATACGGAGCAAAAATAGCAGTACAGATGCTAGTAATATTCTATTTTCTTTGTTACTGTGCTTTATACATTGGCCCCAAACAAGTAGAAATTAATGAAGTAAATTGATATTATTTTAATGGGTTTATATACAGTCAAATAAATATTAGTAAAAATGATTTGATATACACTCAGTATAATACTGTAGATGTAGAGCTATACAATTTGTTTGGAGAACAGGTATTTGTCACTAATAAAAACTGGAGTGAGGTGAATTTGTAATAAAAACTGGAGTGAAGTGAATTTGTATTCAACACCCCATCATTTCAAATGCATCTTCTTATCATTCATCCCTTACTTGCAAGAGACAGCCTTGTTACTGTATAAGTCTATTTACATTTCTTATATCTAACATCAGATCTTCTCTTGGTAACATCATCAGAAAAGAAATTTTGAGGAATAGCAATGTCTGAACATAAGACATTTAAAAGAAGATTTTACATTCTAAAAATCATGTCCACTAAATTACTAAATTGCCCTTCCTCAGGTTAAAGCCACATGCTCCTTCCTTGTAGTTCCCTTCTCCATTTAAAGCAACATTCAGCTCAGTCTCTGATTTAATAACAACGGAGACACCGAAAACAGAATTTTAATTCCATCTCTATCATTAATATATTACATGACCTTGGGCAATCTCCAAGCCTCATCTCCTTCATCTAAAGAAATGATATTCTCAACTCCATAGTAGCTTACTTTACAGTCTTGTTCAAAGGAATGATTAGCAATGTCTGCCAGGTATATTGAACATATTAAGTGCTAGATACATATTTAATTACAAGATGGAATCTTTATGATATTAAAGGATCTGCTGCAAAAAAAAAAAAGAAAGCAAAATAAATCATGCACTGGAATGCAGGATCAGAGCAATTGGACATTTTTCTTCCTTGGTAAGAAATTTATAAGAAAAAAAGAAAACACCTTCTAATGCTACCTGTTGCAAAAACCAACTAGGTCAGTTTTACAATAGAATTTTTTAAGACAATGAACTATGTGCCCCAATGTGGTTTATGTTGAGGCACAAATTTTGCTATTTTGTGCAGAACTGCAGAACACTTATTTGTCCTACTTTAAGTAAACCTCCTGTAGACCAAGAAACCATAGACCTGCAAAATAATCAGATGTGATATGCAGAGTTTCCCCCATACTTTCTTGTCATCTCTTGTACTCAGAGAGTGGGCACAAGAGGTGAATGGAGAAAATAAAAATGAATTACACTCCACAAAAGATGAGGGTAACATTTCCTAAGTAAAGAAATAAAGTCACATTTCCTAAGTAAAGAACAGCATGGGAATTTCTGGATATTAGCATCGTAGCACTCAGTAGAACATTTAGGCCTCAATGCATGTGGTAGACTGTCCCACTGGTGCATGAAATGGCTGCACCCCTCAGTATTAACCCTCTTGTGTTGTCAGTTCCCTCCTACATTGAATCCAAGCCAAGGAAGCATTAGCACAAGTGATACAAGCAGAGCCTTGATACACACTTGCACTTAGCACTTTTCTGCTTGGAACTCTTAGAAACCAGCCACTATGCTTAAAGGAATTGAAGCTATTCTGTAACAGAGAGGCCATAAGAAGATATCCTACAACATAGGACAACACATATGGTAGACAGCTGAGGGCCCCAGCTGAGTTCTCAGACCTGTGCCAACACCCCACAAAGCAAAGGAATCTAGCAGTTAACCCCTCAAGTTTCCAGAATTTATAAATACTTATTTTAAGCCTCCAAGATTTGGGGTAATATGCTACACAGGACTAATTAATTGAAACACCACCTATTCACTTTCAGCTCTTTTTATGAGAAATTCATAGTTACCCCAATGCAGTGAATTCTTTTAAGTTTATGTTGCTTTCGTATCCATTTCAAACACAAGTTTAACTTTCACATATGAGAAGCAGGGCTCAGTCACCCTTGATACAGTTTTCAGTTCTATACCACACCCAAATGGCTCAAGCCATTGGCCAGAAATAAGAACTCAGAGGCATCTCTCTACCTAACAGCCTGGGCTCCCTTGCCTATGAACTTAAAGTGGCTCAAGCCTCAAACCCTATTCATATATATATGTATAGTTCCCAACTTTTCTCTCTCTCTCTCTCTCGCTGCCTTACTTTTCATTCCTGCCTCACGTGACCTGGGCACAGAGGACTGCTCAGCTGTCTCATTGTGAGGTTCCTGCTCAGGATGTTTAAGGAAAAATCATTGAACTTGTTTTCTATTGGGAAGTATTGAATTTGAAACATCTGAAGAACCAGGGGCTACTCCAGGCTAAGTTTCCCCGGGATCCTGGGGCATGAGTGGAGGGCTAGTGGAGAGCTGCAAGATCAGGTTCCCAGCCCCAGAGCATAGTGAGGCTGAGATGAACTGCACATGGGTCAGGCAAGAGCTGCAAGGGCATCTGCCAGTATAAACATGTTTCCCACATGAGCGAACCCCTGGTCATGGGTCCAACAGTTAAGCATGAGGCTGTCCTCCAGGTAAGAGAAGCATCCTGTGAAAGGTATACTGTTAACACCCATATCCAGCTCCCCTTCGGGTTCCCACTGGGGAGGGTTGCTAGGCACATTGTTATTGGAACCCCAATTTAGCAGGAGGCTCCCCCAATGCCCAAGCACTAGGATTTTCCAAGCTTCCCTCCCTACACTTTGATCTCAGATACTCCTCAAGCATTCTTTCCTGTGGTTTTCTTAGTTTTGCTTTGCATCATGGTTCATCTATTAAGAGTTGGCATGAGGAGTGCATATAGGGGATAACACAAGTATAGGGGATCATATTAGATTCAGCTGGAGGGTTTTTTTTAATCAACACTCCAAGAAATTGGGTTCACTGTTCTTTCTCTTATATCTTGATATGGTTTGGATCTGTGTCCCCACCTAAATCTCATGTCAAATTCTAATCCCTAATGTGGGAGGTAGGGCCTGGTGGGAGGTGAATGGATCATGGAGGTGGATTTCCCACTTAGGTGCTCTTCTCCTTATAGAGTTCTCATGAGATCTGATTATTTAGAAGTATGTGATACCACCCCACTCTCTCTTCCTCCTGCTCCAGCCATTTAAGACATACCTGTTTCCCCTTCGCCTTCCACCATGATTAAAAGTTTCCTCAGGTGTCCTCCCCAGAAGCTGCTATGCTTCCTGTATAGCCTGCAGTACCATGTGCTGATTAAACCTCTTTTCTTTTTTTAAATAAATTACCCAGTCTCAGGTGTTTCTTTATGAGAGTGTGAGAATGGACTAATACACATCCCATCTATTTACAAGGGATTATTTTCTTAGCGAGACACTTGCCCTGAAGATAATAAGTGTCATCTTGCATTAGTCTGTTTTCATGCTGCTGATAAAGACATACCAAGACTGAGTAATTTATAAAGAAAAAGAGGTTTAATAGATTCACAGTTCCACATGACTGAGGAGGCCTCACAATCACAGCAGATGTCAAGAGAGAACTTGTGTAGGGAAACTTCCATTTATAAAACCATCATATCTCCTGAGACTTACTCACTATCTTGGGAACCACATGGGAAAGACTCATCCCCATGATTCCATTACCTCCCACCCAGCCCCTACCATGACACGTGGAAATTATGGGAGCTACAATTCAAGATGGGATTTGGATGGGGTCACAGCCAAACCATATCACTCCTTAAGTACATAGTAACAGAAATAAAAACTGGAAAAAAATGTTCTAGCCCTTTGATTGAATACTTTCTTGGTTCTTGATCTTATACTCTTTCAGGACATCACTTACAGAATCTGCACACTTGGTCATCAGTATTGGAGGAATAGGCACCTTCCCCCAGCCTCAGCCAGCACCTGTCTATAGGAAGTAAATAATACAACAAAACATAAACAAAAATAGGTCATTTGAATAATCTTAAAGTTCTGTCATTGAAATATTTGCTCAAAGATCATTTTTATTTCTAGACCATTATAAACCAAGACTGGCTGCAGCTATCATTGTACCTGATTCACAGCTATGTAATATAAATAAGAACTTTTAAAAAGATTTCCAAAGTAAAGGCAAGGGGACTGGCAAGTTTTCAATTAAGATGTCTCAACCTAATTTAAGATTGAAATGCCAAACACAAAGTTGGTCATTTGGTGAACACGTAAAAGAGCAGATAATAAAAAGATGCTTTTAGTAAGCAGATGTGCAATGTTAATATAGAGGTTATGTCATTTTATCAAATTCCACTATTACAGTGGTCATATGTTTATTGTAATAAACTGTCATCAAAGTTTTCACCAGACTCAGCTGAATTATGTTTTTTAATTCAGCTTTTTCCAAGTTGTCAAATATTGAATGTGACTGTGAATTTTTTTGGCCAGAAAGGGGGAAATAAAGAGAAAGAAGAGAAACTGGGAGTTTGAATTGATTTATTTTAAGAATAATTCATATTGGTTATTTAAGTAACTCATCAGTTAACCACATCAACACACTTAATATCTTCTACTTACATAGTTAAAAATGTATATTTTGCTTATGTTAACTTGAAAAGAGGATATGGAGTCCAAAAACATTCAGATTATAATGCTTTTTAAATAAAATTTGACAATATCAAAAGAAAACAAGACTCTAGGTCCATCCCATAGTACTTTACTAAAGAACACTCCTGTCAGTCTAATCTAATTTAATTATGTTGAAAGTGGATTGGCTTCGAAGATTGAGGAAAAGAAATAATATTTAAATTATCTTCATTTGAGTAAGATATTTTATTTTGTCATACAAGGTTATATGTCATATTATTCATATAATTGATGAGGAAAATCTGGTTTGGATATCATATACCTATTAGGGTGATGCATAACTGGCTGGTGAATAATAGTCACAAATTTTTTTCAGCATTGACTTGGAGATGGAAAAGATAAATACCAGCATTTTTCAAAAGCTGATGTTGAATGCTTGGTTGGATTTATCTCTCTTATCTAAGATCCAGAGCATATTTTCAAACAAATTCAGAATTCTCCATAAATGGATAAATTAGGTTTAATGATGATAATAATATTAAGGTTTAACCGACAGAAACTTAGAGAAAAGAGAAATTCATAGATATTGTTTAGCTCTGGGTCCCCATCCAAATCTCATGTTGAATTATGATCTTCAGTGTTGGAGGAGGGGCCTAGTGGGAGGTGATTGGATCATGGGGGCAGATTTCTCCCTTGCTGTTCTCATGGTAGTGAGTTCTCATGAGATCTTCTTGTTTGAAAGTGTGTAGCACCTCCCACCTCTCTCTCTGTGTCTCTCTCTCTCTCTCTCTTTCTCCTGCTCTGGTGTGTGAAGACATGTTTACTTCCCTTTCGCCTTCCTCCATGATTGTAAGTTTCCTGAGGCCTCTCAGCCATGCCTTCTATACATCCAGCAGAATTGTTGAGTCTAAACCTCTTTTTTCATAAATTATCCCATCTCAGGTAGTTCTTTATAGCAGTGCAAGAATGGACTAATATATTTACCTAATAAGAAACCCACACAGATACAATATGAGGAATAACTAATAATACACCTAAAAGAATTTAAGACCATCATTTTATGTGGAATTTTTTTTTTTTTTTTTTTGAGACGGAGTCTCGCTCTGTCCCCCAGGCTGGAGTGCAGTGGCGCAATCTCGGCTCACTGCAAGCTCCGCCTCCCGGGTTCATGCCATTCTCCTGCCTCAGCCTCCCAGAGTAGCTGGGAGTACATGAGCCCGCCACCACGCCCGGCTAATTTTCTTTTCTGTGCTATCCACTCTTTCATATTTTATCTGTACATTTGGTCCAACTTTCTTCTTCTATCATCAGTCTACTGAACACAATCACCAGAACATGTTGTTTACTTGAAATCAGTACATCAAATATGAGCTAATAATAAAAAAGTGATTTCTCAATGGAGTTAAAATATTCTTGAATACTTCAATCACATGAAAAGTTTCTTGATTTACACAACATGACTTATAATAAAGGAATACAAGATAACTTTTATGCAAAAATTATATAAAATTCCATATAAGGCCAGGTGCGGTGGCTAAGTGTGTGTGTATGTGTGTGTGTATGAGAGAGTGAGAGTGTGTTTCTGGAAGAGATTAGCCCTTGAATTGACAGACAGAATAAAGCAGATGGCTGTTCCCATTGTGGCCGGGTATTATCCAATCCACTGAGGATCTGAGTAGAAAAAAAAGGCAGAAGAAGGGTGAATTACCTTTGCCAGACTGTTGAGCTGGCCCATCAATCTTCTCTTGCTGATGGTGCACCTGGTTCTCAGGCTTTCAGACACAGACTGCAGTCTATAGCATCAGCTCTCTAGATCTCAGGCTTTAAAACTACTCCAGGAGCTTTACTGAGTTTCTAGCTTGCAGATGGCAGACTACAGGACTGCTCAGCTTCCATATTCATGCAAACCAATACTTTATGGTAAATACCCTACTGGTTCTGGTTCTGTTTCTCTGGAGAATCCTAACTAAATCATATTTTGGTACCAAAAGAGTCCAGATGAACAGAATGTTAAGCATGAGGTTTTTAAATTAGTTTTAGGGTTTCTGGAATTGGCTCTTTAATTTGATTAGACTTAAGATGCTAATGACTTAATTTAATTACTAGAGCTAGCACTGTAATCCATGGTGTGATCTGGCAATATACCTATAAAAATATGTGCATTACATAATCCTAATCAGCCACTTATAAGAAGTGGGATGACTGTATATGATGCTTTTAAATAACTTTGGGAAACTAATGAATATAATGTTGCTGACTGGTTGGTCCCAACATCAGTGGGAGATAGAAAGGACTCTAACAGTTAGGCTGGTTGACTGAAACATGGACTGAAAAGTGGCCTGCTATAAGCAACTTGTAAATGCTAGACATGTGTTGGTTTAATGTAGAGAAATAGATTCAAAGACTTGCAAATGCAAGGAGACTGAAATGTTAAGAGTGAATTTGTCATTTAAGGCCTGCTCACCCACACTGGGAAGATCCAGAAGACATACCTTTCACCAATACTGTGAGAAATATATCTGTGAGGAGAACCTCAGCACCCTTGAAGAGCTCTGTAATCACCTTTCTCTATAGAACAGAACTCCCAATGGGATCTACAATCACTAAATTAGAAAACCTAAATGCAATGGGAGTAATTGGATTCCAGTGTGACAAGGGCAGCACTCAACCAACAAAGGCAAGGTGGATGTGGTTACCATAATGGACAGCAGAGTCAAAGTAAGAAAGCAAAATAGTCTGACTTGAACAGACCTACGACATTGGCTAATTGATCATGGTGTTTCTAAAAGGGAAATGAATAGGAAGCTTACTAAATTCTTACTTGATCTGTACAAGCAGAAAAGTTCTAGGTAAAGTCAACAAAAGAACATGGGGCATGTTCTATGGTGAAGGATAAATTGTTGCATCTGGTCCCTGGTTCTTCCTACAAGCAAGAAAAAGGCACAACACTAGTGGGTCTCTTTGTATTTCAGAGGCAACGTATTCCTCATTTGGGTGTATTACTCCAGCATATTTATTGAGTGAACCAAAAAGCTACTAGTTTTGAGTGGGACATAAAATAAGAGAAGGCTCTGCAACAGGTCCCTTCTGCCCTACAAGCTGTTCTGCCACTTGGGTCATATGATCCAGTAGATCCAACAGTGCTTGAAGTATCAGTATCAGACAGGGATGCTCTTGGGAGCCTTTGGCAGGTCCATAGGGATGAATGACAGCACAGACCTTTGGGATTTTGGAGCAGGACTTTGCCATCTTCTGTAGATAACCACTCTCCTTTAGAGAGACAGCTTTTGGCCTGGTTACTGGGCCTTAGTAGAGACTGAACACTTGACCATGGACCATGTGTCACCAAGTTACAATAAAACCTAAGCTGTCCATCATTAATTTGTTTTTACCTGGTCCAGCAAGTCATAGAGCTGCACATGCATAGCAACACTCCATCATTAAATAGAAGTGGTATATATATATGATAAGATCCAAGCAGGTCCTGAAGATACAAGTTAAATGAAGAAGTCGTCCAAATTTCCCACTCATTCTACACTATCTTTTCTCTCACAGCCTGCTTCTATGGCCTCATAGAGAGTTTTCTATGATCAGTGGACAGAGTTAGAGAAGAGTCAGGCCTGGTTTACAGACTTTTCTGCACATTGTGCAAGCACCACCTAAAAGTGGACAGCTGCAGTAATACAGCTCCTCTCTGGGATATCTCTAAAGAACAGTGGTGAAGACAAACCTCCTACTGGGCAGAACTTTAGGCTGGGCACGTGGTTTTGCGGTTTCGTTGGAAGGAGAGAAGGTCAGATGTTTGACTATATATGAATTCATGGGCTGTAGCCAATGGTTTGGTTGGATGGCTAGAGACCTGGAAGTAACATTATTGGAAAATTGATGACAAATACATTTGGGAAAGAAGTATGTGGATAGACCTCTCTGAATGGACAAAAAACAGAAGATATTTGTGTCCCATGTAAATGCTCACCATAGTGTGATCTTAGCAGGGGAAGACTTTAAAAATCACCAGGATAAAATGACCTGTTCTTTGGATACCAGTTGTCTTTGTTTTCCAGGCAACCCTGTCATCAATGGATTAATTAACATAGTGGCCATAGTGGTTGCAGTGATGCTGGTTATGAATTGGCTCAGCAACATAGACTTCCACTTATCAAGGTTGACCTGGCTACAGCCATCAATGCACTGCTTCCATCAAGGATGGTAAAGTGTTCTGAACTTACTGGAATAGACACTCTGGATACAGGTTTGTCTTTCTTGCATGGAGTACTTCTGCCAAAACTCCCATTCGTGGATTTATAAAATGTCTTATTCACCATCATGGTATACCACAGAGCATTGCTTTTTATCAAAGAACCCACTTCACTGCAAAAGAAGTGAGAGAATGGGCCCAAGATTATGAAATTCACTGGCCTTCCCATGATATCCACCATCCTGAAACAGGTAGCTGGATAAAATGGTGAAATGGCCTTAGAAGACTCAGTTACAGAGTCAGCTAGGTAGCAATACCTTGCAAGACGGGGGCAAGACTTTCCAGAGAATATGCTCTGAATCAATATCCAATATATGGTCCTATTTTTACCATGGATAGGATTCATAGAACCAGGAATAAAGGGGTGGGGGGGGGAATGAGAGTAGTGCCACTCACAATTACTTCCAGTGACTCACTAGCAAAATTTTGTTTTCTGTTCATGCAACTCTATGTGCTATTCACTTTGAGGTTTTAGTTCCATAAGGAGAACTTCTTCCACCAAGAGATAGAACTTTGATTACATTAAACTAGAAGCTAAGACTTTCACCTAGCTACTTTAGGCTCCTCATGTCTCTAAATCATTAGGCAAAGAAGAGAGCTACCATGCTGGGTGGGTTGATTGATCCTGACTACCAAGTGAAAATTAGAATTCTACTCCACTAGGGCGGTAAGGAAGAGTAGATCTGGAATAAGGAAAATCTACCAGGATGTCTCCTAATATTAGCATGCCCTGTGATTAATGTTAATGAAAAACTATAACAACCAAATATAGGGAAGAGTACTAATAACACAGTCCCCTTCAGAAAAGAAAATTTAACTGACTCCAGCAGGTAAAGAACCATGACCACCTGAGGTACTTGTTGACAGTAAAGGGAATATAGACTGGGAGTGAGAGTTAGCGAAAAATAACAGCAACAACCCCGTGACTAGGTACAGAAATAAGAACTGTAATTATCTTGAGTATTTCTTCCTTATTTTGTTATAAATACACACACACACACACACGCAGATATATATATATCAATGCATATATAGATACGTATATATATTCTATTTTATCTCTCATTTCTTTACGATGTGACATAAGATGTGTTGACTTTATGTCATGGTATTTAAGGATTGTTAATTTTACATCATAGTATTTAAGTTACAGGATATTAAGAAAAAGAGTAAACATCAATTAAGAACTTTACCTCCTCTTCTGGAGAAGGGGTTAATATGTTTTTGATTGTACAAATGATAGCTGTATTATGTTAGGCAGAAATATAAACTTGTTATTGTTCTTATTTGGAGAATAAATATGGTTTAAGAAGATGTGTATGAATGCCAAGTTAACAAGGGGTGGACTTGTGATGGTTAATTCTCTATGTCAACTTGACTGGGTCATAGGATGTCCAGGTACCTAATTAGACATTATTTCTGGTTGTATCTCTGGGGATGCTTCTGAAGGAGACTAACACTTAAATTAGTGGACTGAGTAACGCAGATGGACTCCCAAATGTTGGTGGGCATCATTCAATCTTTTGAGGGCCTGAATAGAAAAAAAAAAGTGAAGAAAATTGACTTAATCCTGCCTGATTGCTTGAGATAAGACAGGGATCTTTTCCTGTCTCTGACACTTCTAATTCTCAGGGCTTCAGCCCCTGAATCTGTCCTACTTAAAATAAGGTAAATGCTAGGGATTAGACATTAGAATATGCCATCAATATTAAAATTATAAAATTACTAATATGAACGCTTCAAAAGTGGAATTTCAGAGGATTTATTTGCAGAACACAACTCAATAAAGCTAGAGAAGCTTTTGGTCAATAAAAACAAAACTATTGTATAATTACAAAATAGTTACAATGAGGCACATGTTTTCAGGATCTCCTGAGGGCCACGTCAGGGCCAAAGAAAAAAAAAGTTATGATGATAGCAAGTCACATGAAATCTAAGGTGTGGACAGTACCAGAATCAGAGTCGTAAGCACAACAAGTGCATTTAATATGAAGCAAGAATGAATGGAAATAAATTAATGAAACATTTACCTCAACAAGCTACAAAAAAATAACCAAGAGAAAGAAGATGAGGAAACAGGCAAAAATTAATAAATTTGAAACTAGAAAACTTTAAGTAGAATTAATAAATAAACCCATGTTCTGAACTTCTGGGAAATAACAGCAAAATATATAAGCTTCTAAGTAATCCAATCAAATTAAAACGGAAACAGTTAAAATTTAGAATTAAGAAAAATATACAACCTCTCAAACAGATAAGAATTTTAAAAATTATTGTACAATATGTATAATTCTCTGTTACACATGATAATCCCAATGAAATGAATAATTTTTCTAGGAATAAAAAAAAACATGAAACTCCCGAAGTCGACCTAAAAAAAGTAGAAAATCTGTATTTACTAATAACCCTGTAAGGAAGGGAAATACTCACAAAAGAGCTGTTCTCTGAAAAGACATGGTGCTCAGATGGTTTTAGCAAAAAATTCTGGCAAACTCTGAGAAAAAACTGATATTTTTGTGCTGTTTAAACTCTTACAAATCAAAGAAGAAATGGAAAGTGTCATAATTTATATTATCAAATTATGTTGCCATTCTGTATATCCTCTCCCCTCATTCATCCCCAAGCTGTTAGGATTTATAATTCATTGCTGCAAATATTTTTGAACTGATTCTCTGTCCTCTTTTGCAAAAACTCCATTGAAGGAACTAAATTGTTTGTGTCATGGAGATCAACTTTCATTTAGATTTAAAAAAAGGAAGAAATTCACTCAAACTAGCGACAAAGGAGAGATTTATAATTCCCTAAAACATCAGGGATGTGCACTGTGTGCTCTGGCATGGTCTAAGAGTTGCAAATCCTATGAGGAAAATGGCATCTTTGGGATCTAGGACTAAACCATAGATGGCTTTGGAGCAACTGGGGAGTAGAGATGACTGATGACAAGGAGTTTCGGCCAGTGTTTTAATATTGTGTAAGACCCTAGAAACTTTATTCTACCTTAGTAACAGGAAAGAGAGTCAAGATCAATGCTTTACATTTCCTGTTAACCTGGATCACATGTTCTTGAAGCTAGAATTAAATTAATTTAAAGATAATAAAAACTGTGATATTTCTTTCACAATTGAGTATATGCATCAAGATTCATGCTCACTACATATAGATTTTTTTAAGTTAAATTCATTTCTGTAAATTAGTTCCAGGAGAAAAATTAAAAATAAAGCAGAGCTAATTACACAAATACAAAAATGATTAAAAATAGATTAATTATTTTTATAATTGATCGTGTTAATAGTCAAATTAAAAAATTATTATGCTGAAAAGAAACTTGAAAAATTCAGCATTCTTGAATTTTTTTTTAAATTTGATTTAAAAAATCCAGTGAAATTAAAAATAAAAGGCATTTTTCCCTTTTGCACTAAGTACTTTCATATACTATCTTGTTTTATTCTCATAACAGTCCTATCTATATTTTATAAAGATGAAAACTTACCCTAGCATACTAAATTAACTGGCCAAGGTCATACACTTTTTAATTGATGAAGTTAAAGTGTAGGCAGTCTGTTTTCTCACAGACTTACTGCTCCGTGAAATTACATGGTCAAAAAGATAATAAATGATAAAGTGAAAAATAAATCAAACACATCTTACTCTGGGTTTAGTACTTCCGTCAATTGAAGTTGGCAATTTCTTTCTCTCCTGGTAAATTATGCACCCTGAGACTACAACCTTGCCTTTCTACTCATCTTAATTTTTCCTGATATCGTTGTGTTTGCAACCTATGACAAACTCCATGGATGTGATTTTATGAATAAATGAGCATTTTGAGTAGAATCTGTGGGTAGTGGTGATATTGAAAATGTTTAACAACTTATATGGCAAAGGGACCAGCAGCTAATCAGAACAGGCACCAGTCGGAAACAACTATCATAATCATATCAGTGTGTTCTGATAACTGTCAGCACTGGCAAAGAGTGGCCAGCTTTTATCCACATGAAAATGTCATTGGATTCCCAAAAGTCATTTTGTCCAGCCTAGCCCTGCTGCATTTGACATCGTTCTTTGGGCTAGTGGTGGGGACCAGACATAGCCCAATCCTTCCTTAGAGCCTGCCTCCCTAAACACTGATATACTATCCAAATGAGTCCAACAGTGTCTGTTTCCTAAAAATGTAGTTTGTCACCAGAGAAATACATATACCAAGTAAAAGAATTCATGTCTTCAGGTGGTTGAACATTTAAGTGAATCCAGAAATATCAGGTTCATATTTTCCAACACGTATTCTGGAGATGCATAAAAATACTGTCTAAAGCAAAAGAAAAGCTTGAAGCTAGCTTGAGACCAAGCAGAAATGAGGGACAGCTTGAATTCTAATGATCCTGATTCTTAGTCACTGCTTCTGTTTTTTGCATGTAGCCATCACGGCTTAACCAGGGAAGCAGAACTAATGTGATATATAGATACATGTCAAGAGACTTATCGTAGGGAATTTACTAACCCAATTATAAGGGCTGGCTATGAAGTCTTCACATGACTGTTTCCACATCCAGTGCTAGAACCCAGCACAGGCAGTCTGGAAGAAGAAATCACCAGTGGACTGGAACCCCATGAGTACAAGCTGGAACTCCACAAAATCAGACTACAGCTTATGCCCATTCTTGTTCCTCCTGACCTGAGAAAGGGTATCTTGTAGAAGAAGCCAGGGCTCTTGCTCAAAATGATGAGCACGCATACACATCCATACCTGAAATAATAGAAATTGAAGAAAGATCCAAGGGGAAGGGGAAGCAAATCCAGGCCCAGCTGCTGTTTCACACCAAGGAAGTGAGTCAACAGATCAGCAAAAATTTATGTATCCTACAAAATAGCATTGTTCTCCTTCTGCGCTGTGGAGAGAATCATCATTGTAGCCCATCCAAATGAAACCTACCAAAAGAGATCATTCAGGGAACAGTAATTCAGCATAGCCCTATGGATACATTACAAAGTCATCACACTGTGGTACTAGCCCAGATGCATCTTTATTATTTGAACTCAACAACACAACCATAACAAACTTCTACCTTATGCAGGACTGGAATTAGAACTGTTGAAAATAAAAGACAGAAGATGGATGGAGACCCCCAAAATCAGATCACAGATGATACCACAATAATAACAATAACAAAATGGCTTATGTCTTTTAAATAGGACACATACCCATTTGCTGAAAGGTTGCAGGGGGATCCTTTAGCCTAAATAGAAGAGTAGCAGTAGATGACCTCTCAAGATTCCTTTCAACTTCATGATTGTATTATAAACCCCAAATTCTTAAATCCTACTATTCCCCTGACTTCAATTAGCTTACTCATAATAAGAAACTTTTCAGTCTATGAAATTATAGCCTCATCGTGTTGGCTGCAGCAAGTGTCTTCCATGAAATGCTACAGGAAAAGAAAACAACTTTCAAGAAGAATAACTGCTTCCAAAATTTGACTTGGAACCGATATGCAATACCTCTTCTGCTTATGAAAAGTATATACGATCTGACCCTAAAAATAGCTTCTTGATTTAAGTAAAATGGCTCAGGGTTAAACTTTAACAATGAATGGAAACTGACCCTGTCAAACTTCTCCCGGTTGACCTAGACAGCTCCTGTACTAGGCCAGATTTTGAGCACAGGGAAGGTGTCTTTATTCGACAGAGTATGCCTCAATTTCTTGAAGTATTCTCATCCCACATCCCAAGTCCCAATTCTTAGTCAACCACAGATCATATTCAATACTACTAATGATTTTTTTTTTTAAAAAAATGGGGTGGGCGCGGTGGCTTCCGCCTGTAATCCCAGCACTTTGGGAGGCTGAGGCAGGTGGATCAGGAGGTCAGGAGATCGAGACCATCCTGGCTAACACGGTGAAACCCCGTCTCTACTAAAAATACAAAAAAAAAAAAAAAAAATTGGCCGGGCGTGGTGGTGGGTGTCTGTAGTCCCAGCTACTGAGGAGGCTGAGGCAGGAGAATGGCGTGAACCCGGGAGGTGGAGCATGTAGTGAGCCCAGATCGCGACACTGCACTCCCGCCTGGGAGACAGAGTGAGACTCCGTCTCAAGAAAAAAAAAAAAAAAATGTTATTTTGGCAAACATGCACAAAACCTTGGCCTGGCCTTAATTTAGTCTTCTCAGGAGAATGTGTATTTTTTAAAAGCAAGAAAGGGAACACAATGCAATAAAACCAATTTTATTTGTGGTCTTATTGACATTATTTTAAATTATACATGCCCTTCAGAAAATACAAATATTTACACAAAGAAATAAAATAATTAAAACATCAAAACTGAATAATTATGCCTCATTATCCTTCCATGTATTTCATATAATATATATGTGTATTTGTGTGTATGTGTGTGTCTGTGTGGTGTGTGTGTGTGTGTTTACTGTGTCAAATTAGACAAGCCAATTTTTGGAGTATACAGCATGCAAGGATTTTCAGTGTCTTTTTGGTTTTGGAAAAGGAAGACATCCCCTCTCCCTCTTCCTTACCCCCTACATTTTGCTTCTCATTTGAAAAGATATTCAAAAAGTAGATTAGTAAAACTCTGAGATGCTTTATGGAGCCTAAGTTCCAGAGGCTCAGAAATTCACTGCTTTTGTTGTGAGGACCTGTAGAACTTCCTAGTTTCTCAGAGCTAGAGAACTAACACCTCTCCCTGACTCCTTTTCTATTTTGAGAAAGCTCTACCTTCCAAATGTATTGCAAAGGAAGGCAAGCCCATGGGCTGCACTTGTGACTGACCTTGAAAGGCCTGAGATTTGTGGCTTGGACCAACTTTGCCAGTGCATTGGCACACCCTTGGGTTCTATTTTTCTGAAAAATGTAGGGCTTTCTCTGCAGTTGGTGGTAAAATCCAAAACTCAGGTATGTATTTGTGGAGGTAGATGGCATTTGGCTTGCTTTGGTTGCAGGCCATTTTAGCCTAGTAATGGCAAGCATTCCCTATGCTCTGACTCCTTGCAGGTAATTGTCTAGAGGGCTCACATGGATCACTGCCTTATTTATTATGTCAACTCCACAAATTTGTGTTATGAATTGAGTAACCCAATTTGATAATTCAAAACTCTGTGGTTCTTTTTGGTGGGCCATATACACAGTAAAAGTTTGGATGGGTTAGTTACCTTAAATGGAAGCCAATATCAGATCAAATTCTGCCATGTATTAAAGTCATTAGCTAAAGAAACTTATTTTACCAGGCACATAACAGCTTATACAATCTATTCTATACATTTTATGAAGCTCAGGTGTCTGTCCTTCTAGCTGCTCTTACCTCCAAAATAGGGAATGGGCTATCTAGCACAGATGATGACAATATTCTAAAGACAAAGATCCACCAACATTAGAGTCAGCATCAATTTAAAAAATTCCCCAAACCAAGTAGAAACCATATGGACACTAACTTCAAGGATAAAGACACCTCACTAGATTCCTCTATCTTGTTCATGCAAAGACAGAGATCACTGGTGGAGATTTTCAAACATTTAAGTAAATCCAAATATTTTGAAAAACATCAAGTTTACTACTTAAAGCACATTTCTAACACTTATCTCACTAACCATCAAGCCATAATTTCACAAATATTAACTCATTTCTGACATTCGTCATGCTAATGAAGAAAGTATATTATTTTGATAAAGCCATCAACAACAGAAACAATTCCAATAGCCACTTTCCAATATGGCTTTCTGGTGTGCATTATTTCTGAAGATAGTATTAATTATACTAAAATACTTTCAGAGGAATTATAGACATCATAACAAATAGGAACTGTGATCATACTTACAAGTAAAGGATCCAAGGACTCTCAGAAATTACATAACTCACTTAAAAGCACATATTAATCAATGGTGGAGACAAAACTTAAACCTAACAAGTATGACCCAGAGCCCATGCAATGCAAAGCTACCCCTTTAGACAAAGTGCATTATTCACAGGATTCAGCATAGGTCATAGAGTCTTACATTGGATATGGGGACTAAAATTTAGCACATAAATAGGTCATTTGCTAGCTGTGGTTCTCCTACATATGTCTTCTTTATGGACCTCTTAAGGAGGAGTTACTACTAGTAAAAAAAAAAAATCAATGAATTTTGGATACCAGGATAAATGTCTGCACTCATAATATTTAGATAATTATCAGGACCATTTAGCTCATACCGCATAAGATCCAATGTAGTCTTTGTTCAAATGGTTGAACAAATCATTTATACTGTCTGTTGCTTTCTCATAAAGGAAAAAATACAAATTTAAAAATATATAAATACAGTAACCTACTATGCCTTTTATTTATTTACATTTTGGCCATAATATACCTTAAAGTGCTAAATAGCTATTTATGATGCTTCTCAGTCTTTAAATTACCAGCCTTGAAAATAATTTGAGGTTTTTGAGTTTCATTTGCATTGAGCCTGATAAAGTGCTGCTAGACTCTGAATAAATAGTCTTAAAAATACTTGAAACAAGAAGCCTCTAAGGCCCTTTAGACATCAAATGGTACTTATAAAACACTTGGATGGGTCAAATATAAAAGAATCAGAAACATAAGGAATAAATTTCCCTTGAGGTCCATTTAAATTGTAAAATTTAAAAAACAGTGATTGGCAAGACAGTTTTGGAAATTTTGTAACATTTGTAAAGGCATTCAAGATGCTTTTAAGAACTGAAAACAGGCTGGTTTCCTCCATTCACAATTTTTAAAAACATAATAAATACACACAAATGTAGAGTGAAAATGTGTATGTGTATGTGTGTGCATACATATACACACACATATACAAACATTTGTATGTCTGTGTATATATATACACACACGTATATACATTTGTCTGTGTGTCTATACATATATATATAACATTTGTCTGTGTCCATATATATGTGTCTGTACATATATATATACACATATATATATGTACAGACACAGACAAATGCTGTCTCACGTATAGGTGATCTTTTTTAAATTTTAATCTTTATATATATGTATATATAATCATTTGGTTTTATAATTTCACAATTTCAGCTGGAAAACTTGCATCTCGATTTTTCCCCTCTGGTGAGAACTCAACATATGCTACGTAATTCCATTACCTTAAGCCATAGATCAATTACTTTTTTGGCAGAATTTTTTAAATGGAGAAAATCTTGATCACTCACCCAACTATTGTTATATTATAGCATCTGGTGGCTCATCTGCAAATGTTCATTTTCTTAAGAAGCGAAGGCCTTGTGTCATACATATTCTCTGTGTGGTGAAGCTCCTGCATATGCTCCATGGCCTATGGCATAGGTTGTGTCTAAGGCTCTTCAAATTCCTCCTTTCAAGGCATAGCTCTAACTAATTCTTGATGCAGCTTCCCTACATCGGGCCCTAAGACATACTTTAAATACAGCTTGTGTAATTGTCTTTTCAACCTTACCAGTATTATTCACCATTTTTCAAGGGTTAAATTCTAAGAAATGAGTTCATTCCCAATTGCGATTTTTTGCCGAGGTGGGGAGGAGCTTCCGTATATTAACCTTCCTAAACTGTATTATTTATATCATACTTACACACTTTTCTCTCACCCTAGAATGTTAGTTTCTGAAAAGAAGGGTCTATGACTTTGACTCTTTTTCCTAGGCAAAACACACATAATAAACAAAGTTGAGTAAAAGAATAAGCAAATGAATAAATGATATCACTATATTCCACCCTTTTATAAAACAAAAAATAGTAAAACACACCACACACCAGTGATTTTCAAATTGAATGTGCAGCCATGTCTTTGTCCCAGAGGTCAGACTGTTTAATTGAATGTTAACTGAGCTAGCCCTTCTTGCCACCTTCAATTAAACATGTCCCAAAGTGAGCACATCATTTTTACCCTGTTATACTGTTTGCAATCTGCTTCAATCACTTCAGCCTTGTCAGTGTGATACATATGCGTGTGTTAGTTTTCATCCACACCCTAGAGGCAGTCAGCTGTCCTGATCTGGAAAAGACTCCAAGGATGAGTTGCTGGCATTTAATTAAAAGGCCACATTCCAGAAGTGGTTGCTTCAAGTGTTCCAACTATGTATGTTTCTTTCCAAATAAGACTACAGGTTTTGTTAATTGGCACAATGGACATTAGAAGGTAGAGTCTTTGGTGAAGTTAGTGATATGCAAAATATGTAAATGGGCTAGAACAAATTTTAGAAAGCAAAAGATGCCAGTAGTATGTGCCTTTAGGAAGAGTGTTCTTGGCTTAAATCCAAAAGCTCATCAGAAGATTCTTGGACACATCCCTCCCACTAGATAGATGGTTAGCTAAATCCTGCCATTAGAATATCAGTACATTTGCCTCAAGTGAAACTTTTATAAAAGTTACTATAGGAGTCCCTAAAAGAACAGAGATGTGGAACTGCTTGCACTTACAAAACAGGTTGTGTGTATGATTTTTTGAGCCTGATTGTGAATGAGTACCTATGTGTATGACAGCATTTGTCTGAGAATGCTTTCTTATAACCTAGGAGCAAGATTGAGTGGAGGACACCAATAGCCCTTGCCTACCTGTATTTATTGGAGACTACAAATACTTACCAAAAAATCTGGTGCAATTGTGAACCATCCAACATTTTCCTGTTTTCATATTCATTAGTATAGAAAGGAAGTCTCCACTCTGATGGTTAAAGCCTGAAATCTAGGTACTGCTGTGACAATTCCGCCTTCCTAGCCCCAAACAAAATTTAACATTAATTCCTGTGATTCATCCCGAATGCATTTTTAATTTATATTGTTTTCCTAAATCTTTATGAAATCCCACAGTTTGGCTTCCGTTATTTCTTACCTGAATTAGGACAACTGTGTCCTAACTGCTTTCTCTGGTGACCATATTGCTTTCCAATCTACAAATCTCGTAGATGAAAAGATAAGTCTAAAATTGCATTTCAATAATGGTGCTTCACTTCTCAGTTGCTTCTCAGGATCTTCAGGATAATGTCCTAAGTTCCTGTGAAAATAACAAAGTTCTTAAGAGAGCCCCTGATCACTTTACTATTGTGTTGCCTTTAGTAAAAACACAGAGGCATGAAATAGGGTCACATTTCTTCAGAATTTCAAACTCTTGTGTGGTGCTTGAGAGTGAAGTTAAGGTGGCAGAATGATGAGTTTGGAGAGCTTGGCGGCAACATCATTAAAATCCTTGTGTAGAACACCTGGCAACTGAGCCATATTTCATTTAGGCGATTTATGAAGACAATGTAAAATTAACTGAATATTTTGCCAAAGTAAGGTTCCAACAAGTATTATAATTCTTATTCTTAATTCAGTCATTGAATTCCTTAATGAGAAGATAGATTACAAATCATTATTTGGGTACCTGTTAGTTCCCATTCAATAGTTTCCACCTTGTAAAATAATTTGCCTTTAACTAAAAATGCTTTTCATTCATTCGAAAGAGTAGTCTTAAAGAATGATCTTAAATTGTTCTTATGTCTATAAATAGTAACTCATTGTTCTTTGTCATCCTCCTCTGCTGGCTATTAAAATAGTAAGCTTAGATCTCAGAAATCCCCCTCCCACCAAAAGTCTATAATTTTTACCATGTGATCTTTCATAAGAAAGCAAAGTCTAACAGAAGCCAAATTTTGAGAAGTTTCCCAAGCTCATTTTAAAAGACAAAGAAGAGGAAGGAAAAGAGGAGGAGAAGGACTACTAGAAAAGAAAGAAGGAGGAGAAAATTGAGTCTATTTTTTATTTTATTACGTTTTTAGTTTAATTTATAGTTTCTCCTTGAAATATTCATTTGTCAATTCCAAGGCCTACCTGGCATCATAAGTGCACTGGAAAAGAGTAATCCTATGGTGCTGTCAGTTTTAATCCCCTGTGGGTCATGACATCAAGAGTGCTGTAAACCATACATGCAAGTCAATGTCTGTAGTTTGGATTATGTGGTAGCAGACAAACAATACATAACAAGGATGAACAACACAGAACCATATGGGTGTCTCCTTACAAAACATATGTTATATGTCCATGAGCACTAAAGCAATTCCAAGGCATTGTAAACTTGATATTTTTGAAATGTCCTAGAGCAAGTGCTTTTGGGTTTGAACAATTACTGATAATTTGTTATATAAAATGTGTTTGTTTAAAAATATATTAAAGAGCATATGGTGGCAATGAACATAAAGTAATGGTTTCAGTTATATGAGTTTTTTTCATATAATCTTAGGGATTAGAAATGGACTACTTTCAGAATTTACAATAGCCAATTTGGTATAAGAAAATAATAGAAAATTAAAGTACAGGTGAGAGTTAGATTTTAGTAAGACAACTGAGTACACAGCTGATTTCTATAAATTATATAAGTAGAGAAAATAAATCAGGTGAGGTCAGGGAATGGTCTTTATATTTGTATTTGAACGATAATTAGAAGTCTGCTCATCTTTGTGCTATGGGTTTTTCCTTTCTGTATCTCCTAAATAAGCAAACCTAAATGTATTAATTTATTCTTTGGCCATGCATTGTCCAAGCAGTAGCTGTGCTTGGTCCCTTCGTAAATCTAAATCTCTTTAGATATTTGTCAATTAATCTTTCTTTTTTTTTTTAACTTAATCATTCACTTAATCATTTAATCCTGATGGCAACACCACTTTGTGGATGACAGATTCTTCCCAAAGGCCACAGCTCTGCAAAGACCGAGCCAGGATGTGGAAATTGGGCTGATGACTTCAGCACTCTTCTCCCCGCTCTGCACTCTGACAAAATAAACCACTTCACTAGGAGATTTGACAGATAAAATTTTAAATAAGACTTCAATTCTACCCTCAAGAAGTTTACAATCTAAAACAGTAGATGATATTTACATATATAATCTTATTACCAGGTGAAGGGTAGTGGATGACATGATGCAGATAAGGATAAAATCCGTGAATGTTCCTAGATGGGCCAATCTGAAAAGGCATTGTGGACAAGGTGACACTGCAATGACACCATTGCAGAATGACAGAACACACCTAGAGGCAATGTAGGCAACTGGGTCCATTTGTGAAAAGTCAGAGTGTATTAATGAGTATGGGGATTTTAAAAGATGAATAAGTTATTGTCTAAAAAGATTTGTTTAATTAGAAGTGTAAGAACTTGACTCTGTGGGACAAAGCTTTCAGTCATTATGTAAAATCTGAAAGATATATGTATTGTTATAGACACATGTAATACTTCCATTTTTATAGTGAGCAAATTTAAATAGCTTAGATATAAAATAAATAATTTTTGAAAAGCAAAATATATAATTACTTCCATATATTTTTGATATCTAAAAAAGAAATAAATATAAGAATATATAAACAGATAATAAACTCAAACTATATCCATGCACCAGATATTTAAGATTAAAAAATCACATAAAAATTATCTAAAATTTAGTTTTTATAGCTATCTTTCTATGTATATTTTATTAAAAGTTCTTATTAGGTATTAGGGTTGAATATTCTAATGCCCTTTTTAGTATTTACAAAATCTTCATCTGATTTTTATCTGTTCAGACAAAATGCTGAATTATTATTAATATTCCTGCCAGTATAGTCTAGTACCTATATGTTGGGCAAGTAAACAACCACAAATCCTATAACTTAACATAGTAAAATCTTTCCTTGCTCATGTGAAAGGCTTGGTTTGGGATGCCAAGGGGGTTCTCTTCAGGCAATCACTCAGGAAACCAGGTTGACAGCCACTTTGTCTTAACAGCTGCCACAATCACCAGGAAGGGAAAATCAGACTGGTTTTAAACTTTCTGCCCCTAAGTAACACATGTCACTTCCACTCACATTTATTTGGGTCATTTGTCCATGCCTAGGTTTCAAAGGAACAGAGAAGGGTAATCCTATGTGTCAGAATGAAGGAATCCAGAAATAATCTAACAACAGCTCCAACATCTTTGCCTTGAGCTCCTGCAGTTATAGAGGCTAAAAATTCCAGACCCTAGAGAGCCAATGTTGTTAGTTCTGGTCCAACCCTGAGTCCAAAACCAGAAAAACAGTGGTGTCTCATCTCAAAGACAGTAAGGCAGACAGAAGGAATTCTTTCTTATTCATCCTTTGGTTCTCTTCAGGCCATTGGTGAATTTAATCACACTGGGAAGGTCAATCTATTTTATTCAGCCTATGGAGTCATATGTTAATCTCATCCAGAAACAACTTCATAGACACAAAAATAATGTTTAACCACATATCTGGGCACCATGTAGCCCAGTCAAGTTGACACATAAAATTAATCATCACTTTTCATCAAAGTCTATTATTGTTGTAATATAGTGGCTCCTCCTTATCCACCGGGGATACATTCCAAGACTCCAAATGGATGCCTAAAACCACAGATAGTACCAAACTCTACATACACTTCATACATACATATCCATGATAAAGTTGAATTTATAAATTAGGCACAGTAAAATACTAACAACCATTAATAAAATAGAACAAGTATAACAATATACAATAACAAATATTTTGTGAATGAGGTCTCTTTCCCTCTGTCTCTGTCTCTCTGAAATAACTTATTATACTGTACTCGCCCTTCTTGTGATGATGTGAGATGATAAAATGCCTACATGATGAGATGTGAGGTTAATGACAAAGGCATTGTGATATAAATATAAAATTTCAGAAATAAACATGTATAAGTTTTAAATTGCAAACTTCTGAGTAGTGTGGTAAAATCTTGTACCTTCCCACTTCATCCCAAGTGGATTGCCGTTAGTCATGGTAGTCATCTTGGTTCTCAGACTGACTGTTATGGTCTTGTAGTGCTTTTGTTCAAGTAACCCCAGGTGCAGCAGTAGTGATATCATATTTTCTGACCATGGCTGACCGTGTGTAACTAAAACCACAGAAAGTGAAACCATAGATAATGGGAAAGTACTGTATTAAATCATGGATTATTTTATCTTGGATTTTTAAATCTGTATGTATAAGGCAGATGGTAAGAGGTTTCTTTCAACATCTTAGTTAAATAATAGTTTTATTATTGTTTGGATTTTCTATAATGAATCAAAAATATCCCCTTTTTGTTTTGGAACACCATTAAAAGTATAGCAAATATTCGTTCTTTGAAATCTTGAAAAAATTCACCCATGAAATTATTGAGGACAGGGCTTTGTTAGTACGTAGGCTTTTAGAAAACTTTTCTAATCTTTCCTATCTAATCTAATTTATTACAGATTTTTAAAAAGTCTCTTTTAGTGGATTGCAGGTTTTTACAAATCAAATTGTCAAACATTGCTATTTCTGCTGCTTATTCTCATACATACTGTGTGCCCTCTTGATCTGTGGTTATATTCCACTTCTCATTGCACTTCTTTTTTTTACATTTAAATTTGTGTATTTTATTATTGTTTCCCAAAATGAAGTTTTGTTATTGTTTTTCAATATTATCTCTTTTTCTAACTTTATCAATCCCTTTCTTTTATTGTTTTCTCTAGGCTATTAAGTCATATACTTATATTTTTCTTTGTTGTTTATTATAAAAAGCACTTAAAACCATTTACTTTTTTCTGACTACAGCTTTGACCACATTTCTTAAGTTTAGATATGTAATGTATCTTTATCATTTTGAAATAACTTAATCATATATATATGTGTGTGTGTGTATATATATATACATTTTTTTTTTTAAATTTGTAGCTGTGTGTAGTGGCTTATGCCTGTAATCCCAACACTTCAGGAGGCCAGGGCGGGCAGATCACCTGATGTCAGGATGCATCCGGAATTGGTGGGCTCTTGCTCTCACTAACTTCAAGAATGAAGCCGCGGACCCTCGCGGTGAGTGTTACAGTTCTTAAAGGCAGCGTGTCTGGAATCTGTTCCTTCTGATGTTCACATGTGTTCGGAGTTTCTTCCTTCTGGTGGGTTCGTGGTCTCGCTGGCTTAGGAGTGAAGCTGCAGACCTTCCCAGTGAGTGTTACAGCTCTTGAGGCGGCACGTCTGGAATTGTTCGTTCCTCCCAGTGGGTTTGTGGTCTTGTGGTCTTGCTGGCTTCAGGAGTGAAGCTGCAGACCTTTGCAATGAGTGTTACAGCTCATAAAGACAATGTGGACCCAAAAAGTGAGCAATAGCAAAATTTACTGCAAAGAGTGAAAGAACAAAGCTTCCACAATGTTGAAGGGGACCTGAGTAGATTGCCACTGCTGGCCAGGGCAGCCTGCTTTTATTCCCTTATCTGGCCCCACCCACATCCTGCTGATTGGTGCATTTTACAGAGAGCTGATTGTTCTGTTTTACAGAGAGCTGATTGGTCCATTTTGACAGGGTGCTGATTGGTGCGTTTACAATCCCTGAGCTAGACACAAAAGTTCTCCACATCCCCACTAGATTAGCTAGATAGAGAGTGGTGATTGGTGTATTTACAAACCCTGAGCTAGATACAGAGTGCCGATTGGTGTATTCACAATCCCTTAGCTAGACATAAAAAGTTCTCCAAGTCCCCACCAGATCAGCTAGCCACAGAGCACTGATTGGTGCATTTACAAACCTTGAGCTAGACACAGGGTGCTGATTGGTGCATTTACAAACCTTGAGCTAGATACAGAGTGCTGATTGGTGTATTTACAATCCCTTAGCTAGACATAAAGGTTCTCCAAGTCCCCACTAGACTCAGGAGCCCAGCTGGCTTCACCCAGTGGATCCCGTACTAGGGCTGCAGGTGGAGCTGCCTGCCAGTCCCGCATCATGTGCCCTCACTTCTCAGCCCTTGGGTGGTCGATGGGACCTGGCACCATGGAGCAGGGGGCGGCGCTTTTCAGGGAGGCTCAGGTCGTGCAGGAGCCCATGGTGGGGTGGCTGGGCAGGGGTGGGGAGGGAGGCAGGCTCAGGCATGGCGGGCTGAAGGTCCTGAGCCCTTCCCCATGGGGAGGCAGCTAAGGCCTGGTGAGAAATCCAGCGCAGCACCCGAGAGCCAGCACTGCTAGGGGACCTGGCACACCCTCCGCAGCTGCTGGCCCGGGTGCTAAGCCCCTCACTGCCCAGGGCCCACTGGCTGCTCCAAGTGCAGGGCCTGCTGAGTCCACGCCCACCTGGAACTCGCACTGGCCTGCAAGCACCAGGCATGCAGCCCCGGTTCCTGCCCGAGCCTCTCCCTCCACACCTCCCCTCAAGCCAATGGAGCTGGCTCCAGCCTCGGCCAGCCCAGAGAAGGGCACGGTTCAGCGGCAGGCTGAAGGGCTCCTCAAGTGCGGCCAGAGAGGGCGCCGAGGCCGAGGAGGTGCTGAGAGTGAGTGAGGGCTGCGAGGGCTGCCAGCACGCTGTCACCCCTCAAGGAGTTTGAGGCCAGCCTGGCCAACATGTCTCTACTAAAAAAATGCAAAAATTGGCCAGGTGTGGTGGTGGATGCCTATAATCCCAGCTATTTGGAAAGCTGAGGCAGGAGAATCACTTGAACCCAGGAGACAGAGGTTGCAGTGAGCCAAAATCACGCCACAGCACTCCAGCCTGGGCAACAGAGCGAGACTCCATCTCAAAAAAGCAAAAATTGTATATATATAATTTATATATATATATTCTCTTTGATTAAAAAATTCTATTTAAGAATACCTTACTTTGTTTTCATAAGGTTTGATTTGTAAGACTGTTTGTTTATGCTTTTATATTAGCCTCCAATTTTATTGCATTTTAGGGCAAAAGAACTTCAGGTATGCAATTTTTAATTTGGTGGGTTTATTGTAAAGATATTCTGGACCTAAAATGTAGTCTCTCTTTGCAAATGTTCAATATACTTTAAAATAGTTTGTAAGTTCTGTGATATCTGCAGTATGTTAAATCCAGTATATGAATTATGCAAAAGAAAAATGCTTTCCATTTATATTTTGTCTGTCTTTATTTGTCAAAGACCAAGAGAGAAATTTTAAAGTTTTCTACTAAAGTTGAAGTTTGTCAAATTATCTTAATTCTAATAACTTAATTTATAATTACACGCTGGGTTATTTGGCACATAAACATTTATAGCCAGTACATAGTCATTGTAGACTTTACATTTATTTGATAGAAATCATTTCTGTCTTACAAAATTATTTTAACCTTAAACACTCTTTCCTTTAACATAATAAATAAAATAGAAGTGGTAATAGCATTACCACTTCTTTCTTTTTATTTGAATTTATCCAATATATTCTTGTCCACTCTTTTATTTAAATGTTGCGCTTTGTTAATTTAGTACTTTTGTTTTATATATAGCAAATTGTTTAATGCTGTTTTTTTTTTTACCCAATCCAGACTCTACATTTTATTAGGAAATATTCTAAACTCCATAGAGAGGATAGAAGAGATGAAGGGTAAACACATCACAATGTCAAAAATTTGTAAGTTGAAACTTCCTAAGTTGAGGACCATCTGGATAGCCTTTTTTTCTCCTCAGGAAGGTTTTCTTCTATTATATCTTTGATTATTGTTTTTCTTCCATTTACTCTGCTTTTACTCCCTAGAATTTCTATTATGAATATACTGGCTTCTTTAGGACTTCACCCCCAGTAACTTATTTTTCTTCTCTTTGTTTAATTTTCCTTCTGGAGAAACTATTTAGCTTGTTTCCTACCTCATTAATTCACATTGACACTTGCAATGAATTTCCTCATTTATATGAGATTTCTTTTCCAAGATTTTGTAATGATGATTTTCCTCCGGAACAAAAGTTCTTAATCTCAGATTGTTCTATATTGGTACACACAATGTTTTTCAAATTTTCTTGAGAATAAAAGATAGAATGACTTTTTGTTTTGCTTTTCTGTTTCAATAAGTAAGTCCATTTCACAGAAATTCATTTTACTGATTTTTCAGCATATTTTCTTTTGAACTACTGAGTCTTGTTACATATGTGGTGATTTTCCTCTATCTTCCTATTCTTTAAAAGGGAGTTCTATGTTTGTGTGGTAATATGACTTGTAGTTTATTTTTCAGAGATTGTGTTTAAGTTTTCATCCTCTGCCAAAAAAAAGAAAAAGTTTATAATTTCTGTACTTTGAAGGTGCTAGACTGAGGATCCAGATGACCACAGGCATAGAAAGAGATGCTTTACTTTCACTAACAGGTCCTTCCAGCCACTAAAGTAGGAGGCTGATTTCTGACCCACCTTCGCCTTTAAAGTGGCCAAGAATTAGTTTTAAGATGCATTTTCAAACAGAAAGGTAAAAGTGACTATAAAGCTGAGCCTTTAGGAAAGTCCCTTACTATTGCAAATGATTGTTGTTCATTCATATTTGTTGAATACCAAGAGGAGTTTGAGGAAAATTTCTGTGGCTAGTCACTTGAGTACCAAGAACTTTGACATACACTACTTACTTCCAGACTGTCTAACTAGCTAACTATCACCTCGAATTCTTACGATTCCAAGCTTGAGTTTTCATTTTTCCAATCCTCTGGTGAGAAAAACTACCCACTTTCCAAATAGACCAACCTCTCCTTTGCCTTTGTCTGCTTCATATTTTCCAAGAATTTATCAGAGATTCTCAATAATTGTTGAAAATCTTGTGTTTTAGTGCCATGATGAATATATTCTCAATTTTAGGCCCCTTGGATAATTTCAATATTTGGGGAGTGACCAATAAGTAAATGCATGCACACAACTGTTTTAAGACTCAGAGAAGAAAATGTAATTTTTGAGCCAAATCATTGTGTAAAAGCCAACTTTTCAAATTACAAATATGGTTTAAAACGTTTCAACTGCCTACAATATGTGCTTATTTGTGGTAAGAAATAAACCTTTTTTAATGTTGATAAGCCTTACACGTACATGAATATTATAAGACTGAAAATATGCTACTTTATCTAAAAACCAGGCTTAATACAATTTGGGGAATGTCGGGGGTGGGAGCTAAATTGATAAACAATACTTCAATATTTCAGGCTTTGCCTAATAGAATTTTGTGGTTGACATTTTTCCCATAGTATATCTTAAATAAACTGCATGTTAAAAATGTCAATGGTATTTCTGACCTTAAGGCCTGTGGGAAAAGTTTTTATTTTTAATTAGAGTTGGTAATATCTACTTGAGAGATTAGAAGCTATTATTATCTGGTTAATGTTGATTAACCATATCACAGTATGTTTTTTCTACTTTTCAGAAAAAAAAAATGTTAAGCTCCTGCCTGGGTGGGGCAAGTGGGACGTGGAAATGGAGAGAAATTAAGTTTGAGCAACATCATTTACACCCTGAGCCAAGTTTTTCTTGAAGCCATTCCTACTTCGGGACTGCTCAGTACATTCTCCTAATCATCCCTTTTCTCACTCCTTTGCAGCTCCTGATTTGCTTTGAAAAGGACAAATTAATTCTCACTCAGGTCGCTGCATTTGCTATTGCCTCTGCCTGGAATGTCCCTTCCTCAGCTATCCATGTAACTCCCTCCTTCATTTTCTCCAGGTCTTTGCTCAAATATCAACTACTTAGAGAAGCCCTGCCTGACACTCTTCTAAAAAAGTGCTTCTGGTCATTCTCTACACCCTTAATTGCTGAAGCCTCCCCACTGAATTCAACAATATCTGTCATTAAATCATGTAGCTGATTTTTATTTGTAACTTCTCTGCCTCTTCCACAAGGCTCTGAGCTTCTAATGGGCATAAGGTTCGAATGCATTTTCATACTGCTCTGCAGCATCCAGAACCATGCCTATCACAGAGTAGGCACCCAAAAATTATTTGTTGAATGAAGGAATAAGTAAGTCAATAACTCCCTTTTCAGTGTTTCTTTTTCCTAATTCAGGAATAAATTTTCTGTCACAAATAAAAGTTTTAACTACAGGTTGAGCATCCCTAATCCAAAAATCTGCAATCCAACATACTCAGAAATCCAACACTTGATTGATTGAATGATTGATTGATTGATTTCAGTAGATTTTGGGGAACAGGTGGTGTTTGGTTACATGGATAAGTTCTTTCGTGGTGATTTCTGTGATTTTTGTGCACCCGTCACCCAAGCAGTGTACACTGTACCCAAGGTGTAATTTTTTATTCCTCACCCTCCTCCCACCCTTCTGCACAAATCCCCAGAGTCCTTTATAACATTCTTACGGCTTTGCGTTCTCATGGCTTAACTCCCACTTTTAAGTGAGAACATATGATGTTTGGTTTTCCATTCCTGAGTCACTTCACTTGGAATAATGGTCTCCAAATCCGGGTTGCTGCCAATACCATTATTTCATTCCTTTTTATGGCTGAGTAGTATTCCATGGTATGTATATACATATGTACATAAATATATATATATAAAATATATATATATACACACACATGCACATACACACACACACATGCATGCATACTACATTTTCCTTATCTACTTGTTGGTTGATGGGCACTTAGGCTGGTTCTATATTTTTGCAATTTTGAATTGTTGCCGCTATAAACATGTGTATTCAAGTGTCTTTTTCATATAATGACTTCTTTTCCTCTGGGTAGATACCCAGTACTAGTATTACCAGATCAAATGCTAGTTCTACTTTTAGTTCCTTAAGGAATCTCCATACTGTTTTCCATAGTGGCTGCACTAGTTTACATTCCCATCAGCAGTGTAGAAGTGTTCCCTTTTCACCACATACATGACAACATCTATTTTTTTATCTTTTAATTATAGCCATTATTGCACGAGTAAGGTGGTGTGATCATCTTCAATAGACATAGAAAAAGCATTTGACAAAATCCTTTATCCATTTATGATTAAAACCCTCAGCAAAATCAGCATAGAAGAGACATACCTTAAGGTTAAAAAAGGCCATCTATGACAAACCTACAGCCAACTGAACAGGGAAAAGATGAAAGTATTCCCTCTGAGAATTGGAACGAGACAAGGATGCCTACTTTCACCACATCTATTCAACATAGTACTGAAAGTCCTAGTCAGAGCAATCAGATAAGAGAAAGAAATAAAGGGCATCCAAATCTATAAAGGGGAAGTCACACTGTCATTGTTTGCCAATGATATGATGTTTATACCTAGAAAACCCTAAAGACTCACCCAACAAGCTCTTAGATCTGATAAATGAATTCCATAAAGTTTCAGGATACAAAATCAGTGTACAAAAATCAGTAGCACTGCTATACACGAACGTGACCAAGCTGAGAATCAAAATCAAGAACTTAACCACATTTATAACAGCTGCAAAAATAAAATCAAATACTTAGGAATATACCTAACCAAGGAGGTAAAAGGTCTCTACAAAAAAAAAACTACAAAAACTTGCTGAAAGAAATCACAGATAATACAAACAAATGGAAATACAACCCATGATTGTGGATGGGTAGAATCAATATTGTAAAAATGACCATAATGCCAAAAACAATCTGTAAATTCAATGCAATTCCCATCAATATACCATCAGAATTCTTCACGGAACTAGGAACAAGCAAACCTAAAATTCATATAAATCCAAAAAAGAGCCTGCATAGCCAATGCAAGACTAAGCACAAAGAACAAATAGGGAGACATCACATGACCTGACTTCAAACTATGCTACAAGGCTATAGTTACCAAAACAGCATGGTACTGCTATAAAAACATAGACCAATGGAAGAGAACAGAGAACCCAGAAATAAAGCCAAAAACAGCCAAGAGATCTTTAGCAAAGCAAATAAATAAATAATAAAGTGGGTAAAAGACACTGAATTCAACAAATGGTGCTGGGATCATTGGCAAGCCACATGCAGAAGAATGAAGCTGGATCCTCATTTCTCACCTTATACAAAAATCAACTCAATATGTAGTAAAGATTTACATTTAAGACCAGAAGCGATAAACATTTTAAAAGATAACTTTGGAAAAACTCTTCTAAACAGTGGCTTAGGCAAAGAGTTGATGACCAAGAACCCAAAAGCAAATGCAGCATAAACAAGGATAAATAGATGGGACTTAATTAAACTGAGAGGCTGTGCACAGCAAAAGAAATAATTGGCAGAATAAACAAACTTTTGAAGCATTGACACGATTCCACAATTGGGAAATTCCACACTTGACCTCATGTGATGGATCATAGTCAAAATGCAGACGCATAACACAATTCATTCAGCTTCCACAGGGGAAAAAGTCCTTCCCACACTCCTTCAGCTGTGATAATATCTTTTCTGTACAAGGCCAGGTTCCCCAACCCAAGCAGGCCAACAGAGGGTCATGAAATAAAAACTTTGTTTTAGGCACAAAGTTATTTAAAATGTTGTATAAAATCACCTTCAGGCTATGTGTATAAGGTGTATATGAAACATAAATGCATTTTATGTTTAGACTTGGGCTCCATCTCTAAGATCTCTCATTATATATGCAAATATTCACTAATCTGAAAAAAATCCAGAACACTTCTGGTTCCAAGCATTTCAGATAAGATATACGCAACCTGTATTAGAGTAGTATCATGCAGTTTTCATGACACAGAATTTGGAGGCTTACATGGTTAAGCAAAGAGTAAGTGTAGAAAGAGATTTAAAAGTCAGGCTCTGCCTAACTCCAGAGTTCTTAAAAGCTTGCCCCTAGTTCCAGAGTCTATCAAGGAAGGCTTAACAAAACGTTTCTCTTCTAATTATGTCCATATTTTTCTTCCAATGAATAATAAATATTTTAATAGAAATCTCATATTATTTTGTATTCAGTGATAAAAATAAATAGCTAATGTGATGATTAATTATATGTGTTAGTTTTACTGAGGCAAGGAGGCTCAGATTATCATTTTTTAATGTGTCTGTGAGGGTGGTTGGTTATGAGATTACCATTTGAATCAGTGGACTCTGTAGATTGCCCTACTCAATGCAGGTGGCCATCATTTAATCCCGTGGGAGCCTGAATAAAACAAAAGGCAGAGGAAAAAGAAATTCACTTTTTTTGCTTTCTGCCTGTCTACTTGAGCTGGACATATGTCTTTTCCTGCCCTTGGAATAGGATCGACACCATTGGTTCTCCTGGTTCACAGACTTTGGGACATGAATGGGAATTTTACCACCAGCTATCCCGGGTTTGCAGTTGACAAATGGCAAATTGTGGGACTTCTCATCCTCCATAATTGAGAAAATTTCTCATAATAAATCTCTTCATATGTACCTGCTATTGGTTCCATTTCTCCTGAGAACCCCAACTAATACACTAATAAACTCTTGCCAAGTAAAGATTCTGATAGAGGTATCCCTGGTAAGTGGGAAGACTTATTGGACAGCTGTACTTTTTAAGTTGCTAGTAAGTCATATGCAGTGGCTGTATACTCAGTGTCAACATATATCCAGGTTTTCCTGGGACTGTCCTGACTTATTTCTGTTGTTGTCCTGGCATATCAATGAATAGCACCCCCTTTTACTTTCAAAATATACTCATAAACATGTACATCCCTTCCTAGTGTTAGACCATGAAATGTTATGAGCAACCTATTGGTATGGTTTTCTAAATGTCTTGAATGATTATTCTGCCTCATTTATGCAACAGAAAATATACTATTTTTCTGCAGCATGCTAGCAACTCCTATAGACAGAGCATTCATAGTTGAATGGGCAAGTGTGTAAACAATGGCAATGCACATGAAAAGGACTAGGAGGGAAGAGAAAGCCAGATCTCAAACTTGTTCACTTATTTCCACATCTACAGCTGGCATTATTGTCCAATCCACCTTCATCTTTCATGGGGACCATCGCATTAATTCCTAAGTAGGTGCAAAGTATTGATCCTGGGTGTGTCGTGAGGGTGTTGTCAAAAGAAGTTAATATTTGAGTCAGTGGACTAGGAAAGGCAAACCCACCCTTAATCTGGGTAGGCACCATGTAGTCAGCTGGCAGTACAGCTAGAATATAAAGCAGGCAGAAAAACGTGAAAAGGCTAGACTGAGTTAGCCTCCCAGCTTTCATCTTTCTCTTGTGCTGGATGCTTCCTGCCCTCAAACATCAGACTCCAAGTTCTTCAGCTCTGGGACTCTGACTGGCTTCCCTGCTCCTCAGTTTGCAGATGGCCTATTGTGGGACTTTGTGATGGTGTGAATTAATACTACTTAATAAACTCCTCTTTATATACATCCCATTAGTTCTGTCCCCCTAGAGAACCCTGACTAATACAGTAGGTAACCCACTTCTCCTGCTTTTAGCTGTTAGCGTGCTGCAGCCAAGATGAGCATTTTAGAAACAAACTGGATCTTATCCTCTTGTGAGATTAAATGAATGTATAAGCCCAGATGCTCTAGAAAACAGACTTTGACCAAAGCTTATGTGCTAAGACTGTATTGAAGAGTTAAATGCCAAGAAAGAAGAAGTGATGGAAAAGGAAAGCAAAACAGGGAAGGAGGGAGAGGAAATGGGAGGAGATGTGCTCCTGCCAACTTGCCACTCCTAGGTATTATGGTGATTGACTGCTCAATTTCATGGAACAATCTCCTAAGGGGCCCTGTGCAGTACTATGTCTCAGGGCAATCTGTGGATAGTGGTGGGGGCAGTGGGGGTGAAAAGACTTTGTCTACTATCTTCTTCCACTGAGGATCTTTGCTTCTCAGCATTATATCTCCCCCACACTTCCAGGTTAAGCAACTAGGGGAGCCTCATGGTTCCTGAAATGATTATATAGGTCTCTTCAGCCACAGTAAGAAAATAAAACATGGTGCTGGAGGGGGAGAGATATAACACCAAGGCAAGAGGCAAGGTACAATTCAGTTGTACTCCAGCAAATTTGGTTTGGTGGGGATCAGAATTAAGGTGAAAGGTGTGGCCCAGAGCAGTCTCAGATACAAGGAGGCTGAGAAAATCTAAAGCAGTGTAAAATAATGCAAAATCTGAAATGGTGTAAAAAGAGGTTTTGACACAATAAGGTAATATTGAGTGCCTAGAAGCATGCCTGTCATATTGAAAGCACAAAACAAATGTTACTGATCTATTATTTAGTGTTCTTATTGGTGAAATATTTGAAATAGGAGAGTGATGGTTATAAATACATTATAAATACTGTTCAGCTGACATATGGAGGTTTCTTGTATTCATAAAGAGTGCTTACTAATTCATTGGTTCTGAACAAGTATCTCATTTGTTATTGGGTCAGTAAGGACAGTGATGAATAATCAAACATGACCCCTATCTCCACGAGAAGACGGAGTTAAACATAAATCAAGTATATGATTATGAATTAAATCATGACTGAGTTAAGGAAATATAGTGTCCCCTAGGAACACATAGAAAGGGCATCTGACCTAGTTTTGAGGAGAGATGATCAAGAGATGATCAGAAATGACAATGTAGCCAAGAGACAAGGAAGAGAAAGGGCATCAAGGGTAGATGATTGCATGGACATGAGGGTTAATTTTGTGTTAACTTGGATAGGCTGTGGTTACAGCCATAAGAACTCACTCCTTACAAGAACAGTACCAAGAGGATGGCACTAAACCATTTGTGAGAAAACCACCCCCATGATCAAATCACCTCCCACCAGGCCCCAAACCCAACATTGGGGATTGCAATTCAACATGAGATTTTGGTGGGGCACAGATCCAAACCATATCAGTTATCCCTCTAATTCTTGTATGTTTAACTTCTCCCTCTCTACTTGATTATCTATAAGCATATACAAAAAACACTTTAGTGTTTCCCATTAAGGATGGAAGAGGAAGAGGAGGGGTTATCTCTGTATGAATTATTTCTGCAGCCGTCTGCTGCTCTTTCTTCTGTCTTCTCTCCTTCAAATAGTATACTCCTCATAACTGTGACATAATCTCTCTATAGCTGGGATAATAACTAAATTAATTCATCCTTGATCCAGTCATTAAACATTTACATTTGTGAGACACTACTTAGTTTTCAGATACATGGTAATTAAGATAGCAAGTAATGAAGACAACCTTATAGTCTTAAAATATAAAATGACATCTGCAGCAAGGTGTATCGTCTGTTCACTTCTGGAATTCATTATTAGGAAGTCCACTAGCCCACAGATACTAAACACAGTCTCTAAAATCAGATTTTTCTGTAATAAATACTATAGGCTACAGCTGCCTGGCTCTTTTCTCCCATTTCTTGAAGGTAAGAGAGATGTGCTAACTTTGGTTCTTTCATAGAATCGCTAATGCACAAAACCTACCAACAACCACCACACCTTATGAAAGATTTTTAGCCATGGATTCCTCTACAAACAGAAACATTTTTCTGTAATTTACTGGGTTCTTAGAACCGTGTCCCTGACCAAAAATATTACTCCAACTGATCCAGAAATAAACATAATAATTCTAATATGTTTAACACTTTGATATGATTTCACTAAAATGTAAAATCATGTTGATGTGGTTTGGCTGTGTCCCCATGCAAATCTCACCTTAAATTATAATAATCCCCACATGTCGAGTGCAAGGCCAGGTGGAGATCATTGAGGAATGGGGGCAGTTTTCCTCATACTGTTCTCACGGTAGTGAATAAGTCTCTTGAGGTCTGATGGTTTTATAAACGGGAGTTCCCCTGCACAAGCTCTCTCTTGCCTACTGCCATGTAAGACATACCTTTGCTCTTCCTCCACCTTCCACCATGATGGTGAGGCTTCCCTAGCCATGCTGAACTCTGAGTCCATTAAACATCTTTCCTTTACAAATTACCTAGTCTTGGGTATGTCTTTATTAGCAGTGTGAGAACAGACTAATACAGTAAATTGGTACCAGAAGTGGGTCACTACTATAAAGACACCTGAAAATGGGGAAGCTACTTTGGAACTGGATAATAAGCAGAGGTTGGAACAGTTTGGAGGGCTCAGAAGAAGACAGGAAAATGTGGGAAAGTATGCAACTCCCTAAAGACTTGGAGGGTTCAGAAGACAGGAAGACGTGGGAAAGTTTGGAACTTCCTAGAGACTTGTTGAATGGCTTTGACCAAAATGCTGATAGTGATATGGACAATAAAATCCACGTTGTAGTGGTCTCAAATGGAGATGAGAAACTTCTTGGGCACTGGAGTAAATGTCACTCTCGCTATGCAAAGATACTGGTGTCATTTTGCACCTGCCTTAGAGATCTGTGGAATTTTGAACTTCAGAGAAATTATTTAGGGTATTTGGCAGAAAAAATTTCTAAGCAGCAAAGCATTCAAGAGGTGACAGAGCATAAAAGTTTAGAAAATTTGCAGCCTGATGATGAGAGAGAAAAGAAAATCCCATTTTCTGAATAGAAATTCAAGCATGCTGCAGAAATCTGCATAAGTAATGAGGAGCCAAATGTTAATTGCCAAGGCAATGGGGAAAATGTCTAAAGGGCATGCATGTCAAAGACCCTCACAGAAGCCCTTCCCACCACAGGCCTGGAGGCCTAGGAGGAAAAAAATGGTTTCATGGGCCAGGCCGAGGGGTCCCCTGCTCTGTGCAGCCTAGAGACTGGGTGCCTTGCATCCCAGCTGCTCCAGCCATGGCTAAAAGGGGCCAAGATAAAGCTCAGGCCATGGCTTCAGAGGATGCAAGCCCCAAGCCTTGGCAGCTTACACATGCTGTTGGGCCTGTGGGTACACAGAAGTCAAGAACTGAGGTTTGGAAACCTAGATTTCAGAGGATGTATGGAAATGCCTGGATATCCAGGCAGAATTTTGCTGCAGGGGCAAGGCCCTCATAGAGAACATCTGCTAGGGCAGTGCAGAAGAGAAATGTGGGTTTAGCCCCCACACAGAGTCCCCACTGGCACACACTGTCTAGTGGAGCTGTGAAAAGAGGCCCACCGTCCTCCAAACCCTAAAATGGTAGATCCACTGAGAGCTTGTAAAATGTACCTGGAAAAGCTGAAGACACTTAACACCAGCTAATGAAAGCAATGGGGAAAAGGGCTGTACCTTGCAAAGCCACAGAGGCAGAGCTGCCCAAGGCTTTAGGAGCCCACCTCTTGCATCAGCATGACCTGGAGGTGAGACACGGAGTCAAAGGATATCATTTTGGAGCTTTAAGATTTGACTGCCCTGCTGCATTTCAGATTTGCAGAGGGCCTGAAGCCTCTTTGTTTTGGCCAATTTCTCCGATTTGGAATGAGTATATTTACCCAATGCCTGTACCCCCATTGTATCTAGGAAGTAACTAACTTGCTTTTGATTTTTCAGGCCCAAAGGTGGAAGGGACTTGCCTTGTCTCAGATGAGATTTGGACTGTGGACTTTTGAGTTAACGCTGAAATGAGTTAAAATTTTGGGGAACTGTTGGAAAGACATGATTGGTTTTGAAATGTGAGGACATGAGATTTGGGAGGGAGCAGGGGTGGAATAAAATGGTTTGGCTGTGTTCCCACCCAAATCTCACCTTGAATTATAATAATCTTCACATGTCAAGGACAGGACCAGGTGGAGATAATTAAATTATGGGGGCAGTTTCTCCCATACTGTTCTCGTGGTAGTAAATAAGTCTCATGAGATCTGGTGGTTTTATAAATAGGAGTTTCCCTGCACAAGTTCTCTCTTGCCCACTGCCATGTAAGACTTGACTTTGTTCTTCCTTCATCTTTCGCTATGATCGTGAGGCTCTCCAGTCATGCTGAAGTATGAGTTTGTTAAACCTTTCCTTTATAAATTATGTAGTCTTGGGTATGTATTTATTAGCAGTGTGAGAACAGACTAATACATGTGCCAATGTTTTTAGCTATTCATCTATTATCATATTCATTTCCTTAGTTAACACATATTATTGATTGTTTTAAGGATAGAGCTGGATGAGCTCCATGCCTTTGAATTACAGTAGTGCCCCCTTATCCTTGGGGAATACATTTAAAGACCCTTAGTGGATACCTGAAACCACAGATAGTACCAAACCCTGCATATTGTATAATTTTCCCATACATACATACCAATGATAAAGTTTAATCTATAAATTTGCCACAGTAAAAGATTACCAACAATAACTAATAATAAAATAGAACAATGATAACAATATACTGTAATAATAGTTATATAAATGCGGTCTCTCTCTTTCTCAAAATATCTTATTGTACTGTATTACCCTTCTTCTTGTGATGATGTGAGATAGTAAAATGCCCATGTCCTGAGATGAAGCGGGATGAATGACACGGGCATTGTGATGTAGCATTTAAAACTTATAAATTGTTTGTTTCCGGAATTTTTTATTTAATATTTTCAGGCCATAGTTGACCATGAGTAACCAAAACCATGGAAAGTGAAACCATGGATAAGGAGGGGCCACTGTACTATTTATGTGGGAGAAAGACAAGTATTTGTTATCATTTAGTGAGAAACACACAGTATAAGGAATAGTTTATGAAAGGATAACCAGATCAGGGCAGAAATGCTCCTAAATTTGACTCATGGAGGCTCCTTAGAGAAGTTATATGTGGGTTAAAAACAAACCGAAAAAGGTTTTAAAGTGAAAATGCTAAAGAAAATATGACATTCATATCCTAGATCCGATTATTTTATTAGGTTGAGGGACCCAGATAAAATGATATCCAATATGGAGTCATTCTGGTGAGGAGGTAAGTAGCAAGGTCAACAGAACAAAGACTGCTCAAATAATCCACCTAAGGAGATATCAGTCCTATAATGTGGACTGAGCTCACAACATGGACATCACATATCTTTTTACTCCTCAACAGCCTTGTAATTTAGGTCCTCTTATTATTACCTGCATTTTTAACAGATGAGTAAATTAAGGTTCAATCTGATTGAGTAACTTTCCCAAGTTTCCAACGTCAGAAGGCAGTGGAGCCAGGTGGGATCGTTAATTTTATGTGTCAACTTGACTGGGCCACAGGATGTCCAGCAAACTGGTTAAACATTATCTCTGGGTGTGTCTGTGAGAGTGTTTCCAGAAGAGTTTAGCCTTTGAATAGGTGGACTGAGTAAAGCAGATGGTCCTCCCCAATGTAGTTGGGCATCTTGCAATCCATTGAGAGCCTGAAGAGAGCAAAAAGATGTAAGAAAGGTGGATTTGCTCTCTGCCTGACAGCATGAACTGGGATATCAATCTTCTGTCCTGGGTGCTCGTGCTCCTCATTCTCAGACCTTCAGACTTACTGGAATCTACACCATTGGCTCTCCGGCTCTCAGACCTTAACACTATACCACCTGCTTTCTCTGGAGAACTCTGACTAATACATCAGGATTCAAACTGAGACAATCTAACTTCAACACTGTTTTCCTGACAGTCACTCCACAGTGTGTCAAGCAGCAGCCAGGGTGGAGTTTCCAAAGGGTGAAAGGAGTTCAGGCAATAATGCAGCAGGAAGATTCAGGGAAAGACGAAGAGAGGATGAGTAGAATCTGGCAGTCAAAGGCAATAGGCCTTGTCTTCAGGGGCTGGGGCAACACTAGAAGGGCAATGATTTACCTTCCCAGAACATACCCAGAAGTGATGTGGCTTAGGAGCAGTCTGGCAGCTGAGGATTCCTGATAACTATGGAATTGGGATACCTACTAACTTTCCATCAGCTTCCCTATCCAGACAAAAGTACAAAACTTCTTCACTGGATATTAGAGAAAAGTCTACAAGACAAACTCTTAAAACCTCTTGGATTTCAACAAACTTCGCCCAAGTGATAAGTTTCAGCTGTTTTTCCAAGTTAAAATCCAATTCTCACCCTTTAAATTTTTCCTTGAGGCTATAAAGTACATTTGGAAAACAACATTAATATGGAGGAAATTGCTACTTGTAGGGTTACAGAGCTCTTGTTTGGATCATTTTATTGCCTTGTCAGTAAAACTTTAAAAACTCGGTGATATATTTACTTTAAAATATTCTAAACTTTCCAACATTGATGATTCTGTAAACTTTGTACAGAATATCCTGATTTATATATTGGTTTATTTGCTGTTGAAAAACTTATTTTTAAAAGTGAACAACACCACTTTGAATTTTTAAGCTCTTATTTTAAGTGGTACAAGTATTTTTTGCTTTTTAATGGCAATTTAATGTTAGTTTTTCTGAATTTCTCAAATGCATTATGGAAATCCCCTTCACTGCAGCTATGACTCATTCATTTTTAATTGTACACTGATATTGCTTAACTTCCTCTAAATTTTGGCAGTTTTCTAACATTCAGTGCAGCAATATTTTCTTGAGAAAAAAATATTTACTCCAAAGTGAAAACAGGTTTCTCTGTGTGTGTTCTAATATATTTGTCACTTTCCAGTTCTAGAATATTTTGACATTGAAAGTCCATTTGGCCTTTATAGAAGGTTTTGAAATAGCTATCATGTTTGAGCACTATTCCTCCAAATCTGTGAGCTAGTCTTTGTTTAGAATTTTGCTTTCTGTAAATACTGATATAAGGAAGAAAACAACATCAAGCTAAGTTGGAGATACATATTTGGATTGTGAATGGATTTATGGGGGTTACTAGCATATATACAGAAATACGAAGCTGGGAGCTGAACAAACAAATAAGCCTGAATGAGTGTGTAGATATCAATATGTTCACTTTTAAAATGAAAAGATTCAGATTAAGAGAGGTTAAGAGGCATGTCCAAGATTACACAAGGATAAATAAAACCTGCTTCTTTCAGGATCCAAGACTCATGCTGATGCTACTATTCCACATTGACTCCATACTTTGGCATTTCTGAATGAATTCCATTCATTGAAAAGGATATGAGGAGGAAAAAGTAGAAATAGGAGAGTGATTAAATATTTCTGTGGCTTTGAGACAATAAACCAATCATGCTTTAGTCAGCCATTTTCCTGCCTCCCACCCAGCTTGGAAAATTTGGTAAGACAATAAAGTATTTTTTATTCCAGTAATTCTGCAAATTGTTTAAAGAACCAAAGAACAAATAAAAAATAAATATAAGATATGACCCCTGATCTGAGTGAATATGCAATATAGATAGAAGGAAAATATGCATGTAAACAAAGGAAATAATGATTTTATAAAGCCATATATTAGTAAGAGCAATTAAGCATGTAAATAAGCATGAAAATGCTGGACCAGGTCATAGGGATGAAGATGGGAATAGACTTTAATTGTAATCAGATGTACTACTCATGAAAGATTACTTAAAAGAGAATAACTTTAACCAAATTTCAAAAAGAAAAGAAATAAGTGGGGAAAAGATGACAGGACAAGCTGGAATTCAAGGAGTGATGAGCTTAGCTTGACTTGAGTGAAGGAAAATAGAACTGGGAAAAATTATAGAGTGGAAAGGAGCAGAAACATTTGGAATTGGTAAAAAAAAAATTAAATTCTGGATTTAAAAGTTTAATTTGATCATGAAAGCTACAAAGATGATCAATTAATGATAAGACTTTTAAAGATTGTGTCCTTTAGAGTACCTCCAATGCAAAAAGTCTCAAATCAGGCACATGACCTTCCATTTTTCTATCAGTTCTATCTTAGTTCCACATACCAGGAGACTGAGTCATCTGTAACTGCTCCCTCTTGCTCACCCTACCTCCCCCAATAAAATTTATACCAAATTCTGGCAATTTTACTTTCTAGATATCTGTTAAGTGCATCCAGTCCTCTCCATTGCTTTAACCACAATTCTAATACAAGACTGGCAGATTGACTTTAACCATATGCCCTGAGTCAAAAAACTAAGATATCTTTTGGTCTGGGTAGATGCATTCACTGGATGGTTAGAGGTCTTTCCCACAGGGTCTGAGAAGGCCACCAGGATCATTTCTTCCCTTCTGTCAGACATAATTCCTTGGTTTGGCCTTCCCACCTCTACACCATCAGATAACAGTCCAGCCTTCATTAGTCAGGTCACTCAAGCAGTCTCTCAGGTCCTCGGCAACCAGTGGAAACTTCATGTTCCCTACCAACCTCAATCTTTGGGAAAGGTAGAAAGAACTAATGGTATTTTAAAAACACACCTCACCAAGCTCAACCTCCAACTTAAAAAAGACTGGACAGTACTTTTACTGTTTTCCCTCCTTAGAATTAGAGCCTGTCCTTGAGAAGTTACAGGGTATAGTCCATTTGAACTTTTATATGGACGTACCTTCCTGTTGGGCCCCAACCTCATGCCAGACACCAGCCTTCTAGGCAACTATCTTCCAGTCCTCCAGCAGGCTAGACAGGAAATTCGCCAGGCTGCTAATCTTCTCTTGCCTATTCCAGATTCCCAGCCATATGAAGACACCCTAGCTGGACGATCAGTTCTTGCTAAGAATCTGACCCCTCAAACTCTACAACCTCAATGGACCACACCCTACTTAGTCATCTATAGTACCCCAACTGCCATCCGCCTGCAGGACCCTCCCCATTGGGTTCACTGTTCCAGAATAAAGCTGTGTCCATCGCAGGGCCAGCCTGATCTACTCTTTCTCCTGGAAGTCGCAAGTACCCTCCCCTACTTCCCTTGAACCCACTTGCATTTCTGAAGAACAGTAATAAACCTTATGAGCCTAATACATCCCTTCCTTCTGTTAGGTCTATTCGTTCTTACTCTACTTTTTGCAACAGGGCTTTATGCAGTCACCCCCACTACTTGGACTCTGCCCCAAAAACTTGTCATCCCTACTATCTTCTGCCTAGTCATACTCCTATTCACTATTCTCAACTACTCGTAAATGCCCTGCCCTTGTTTATACTTCTGGTTTACACTTTTCCTTCAAACCATCATAACTGATATCTCCTGGTTTTACCTCAAACCGTCACCCTTAACTCTCTCTTGGAGTGGATAGAAGATCTTCAGTGGCAAGGTACACTCCAATTCTTCTATCCTGATGAAGTCCTTTTTTTACTTTTCTACTCATTCTTATCCTTGCCCCCATTCTCCAGTCTCTCTTTACCTCTCCCTAGTTACCTCCAGCATACTATCAATCTCACCCACTCTCTCCTCACTGCCTTCAGTCCTTCTCTAGCAAAGAACTGTTGGCTATGTGTTTCCCTTTCTTCCTGCTCTTACACAGCTGCCCCCACTCTACAGGCCAACTGGGCTACCTCTCCTTTCTACCTGCACCTCCAAACCTCCTTTAATAGCCCTCATCTTTACCCACCTGAGGAACTTCTTTATTTTCTAGACTGATTTGGTGAGAACTCCCTAGACATTTCACAGGAGCAAGGTACCACACTTCTCTGCATCTACTTACGGCATCTTTCTCCTTATGTCAATTCCACCCCCACCCCCTGCCATATTTGGACCCCTAACCACACAAACAACTATCCCTGTTGCCGGTCCTTTATGTATCTCCCAAAAACAGTCTACGGGGATCCCTTTAGGTAACCTTCCACCATCCAAATGTTCCTTTACTCTGTATCTCTAGAACCCAGCCACATACATTACCAAACAGATGGGAGCATTCCAACTTCACATTACTGATAAGCCCTCTATCATTACTGACAAACTAAAACACATTGGCAGTCACTATTGTTTAGGAAGACACCTACTCTGCATCTCACTCCTTCCTTGGCAACCCATTCCCACCCCCGCCTGTCTGACTCTCCTTCTAGCACCTCCTCTTGCTTGCTTTATACCCAGCCCCATGAATAGCGGTGAAAGATTACTCACAGACACTTTGCACTTTCTCATACACCATGAGAACCAAACCTCTCCCTCTACATATTTGCACCATCAATCCCCATTACAACCTCTAACAGCTGCTGCCCTTGCTGGATCTCTAGGATTTTGGGTGCAGGACTCCTCTTTCCATACACCCTTTCACCTTTTCACTTTCCATTTCCAGTTCTGCCTGACACAAGTTCTCTTCTTTTCATGTGGCTCTTCCACCTACATGTGCCTACCTGCCAACTGGACAGACACATGTACTCGAGTCTTCCTCATCCCCAAAATCCAGTTTGCCGATGGGAATGAACAACTGCCTGTCCCCCTCATGACACCAACATGACAAAAAAAGGGTCATCCCACTAATCCTTTTACTTCTGGGTCTAGTACTTTCTGCCTCCACTATTGCACTTGGAACTGGAATATCAGGCATCTCAACCTCTGTCACAACATTCTGCAGCCTCTCTAATGACTTCTCTGCTAGCATTACAGACATATCACAAACTTTATCTGTCCTCCAAGCCCAGACTGACTCTTTAGCTGCAGTTGTCCTCCAAAACTGATGAGGCCTTGATTTACTCACTGCTGAAAAAGGAGGACTCTGCATATTTCTTAATGAAGAGTGCTGTTTTTACTTAAATCAATCTGGCCTGGTATATGATAACATCAAAAAACTCAAAGACAGAGCTCAAAAACTTGCTAATCAGGCAACTAATTACCTAATTACACGGGACCCACCTGGCCACTCTCTTACTGGGTATTCTGGCTTCTTCCAATGGTTAGTCCTCTAATACCTATCTTCCTCCTTCTCTTATTTGGGCCTTGTGTCTTCCAATTAATCTCTCAATTCCTATGAAACCACATCCAAGCTATCACTAATCACCCTATACGACAAATGCTGCGTTTAACAACCCCACAATATCACCCCTTACCCCAAAATCTTACTTCAGTTTAATTTCTCCCACTTTAGGTTCCCGTGCTGCCCCTAATCCCACTCAAAGCAGCCCTGAGAAACGTAGCCCATCACCCCTCCATACCGCCCCCAAAATTTTCACCCCAAGGTTTCACTACTCTTTCTCATTTTATTTCTTCATTATTAACATAAAAAGACAGGAACGTAAGGTCCTCTGAGCTGGCCGCACCATGGTCAAGCCATAGTGACAACCCCCCACAATCCCCCTGGTCCCGGTCGTTGTGATAATGTTCTTTGTGATACTCCCCCATCCTTGTGAATGTACTTTGTAAATTCCTCCTCGCCCTTGTGACAATACACCCTCCCCATCCTTGTGAATGTACTTTGTAGGATGCACCCTCCCCACCCTTGTGAATGTACTTTGTAGGATACATCCTCCCCACCCTTGTGAATGTACTTTGTAACATCCTCCCTGCCCTTGAGAATGTACTTTTTAACATCCACCCCCTGCCCCCCAAAATTGCTCCTAACTCCACCACCTATCCCAAATCCATAAGAAGTAATGATAATCCCACCACCCTTTGCTGACTCTTTTTGTTGGACTCAGCCCATCCACACCGACGTGTAATACACAGCCACTGTTGCTCACACAAAGCCTGCTTGGTGGTCTCTTTACTTGGACGCACGTAACAGCTCCCATTTTCTTTCTCCTGAATTAAGTTATTTAAATAGCCTAATGTGTCTCCTCTTAGCCAACCATGCCACTCTGCAATCCAATATCTCATTGCATTCAATATGATAATGTGGCCATGCTGCTAAAAACTTCCATACATTGTCCTGTAAAGCCCTTCATCAGAGGTTCCCATCTATCTCTCCAGCCTTACTTTGCTCTCTTTGCACCAGACATAATGACATTCCATCTTTACCTGTGCTCTTGCTGATTCTTCTCAACACGTGGCCTCTAATTTTTAGTGCTCTTTCCTTTTTGATCCTGTTAATGTAAACTAATTCTTAACCAGCACATCCCATCGCATCCTCCTCTGACTTACTTGACTAGGTCAAATATGAATGTTAAGTTCTTATAGTACCATTTACCTCTCTCTTGAAGCTCTTAACACTACTGCTATTTTACATTTATTTTTGTGATTATTTGATTAAGGTCTATCACCATCACTAGGATGCAATTCTGTGAAGTCTGAGAATGGCTTTTTTTCCCTCACCTTTATATTCCAAGTGCCACTAACAGTGCCTGGTGCATATTAGGCACTCAATTATAATGTGAATAGGTGGATGATAACTAATATATCTTTTGAGTCTTACTTTATGCCAAGTACTATTCTCCACCTTTTATTGTATTATCCCCTTTAATTTCCAAAACAACTCTATGAAGATGGTCTAATTATTTTTCCATTCTATAGAAGAATAAAGAGGTTAAATAAATTGTTCAAGCTCTTATGGCAAATAAGTGATAAAACCAGAATACAGAACTAGTCTGACTTCTGAGCATGTTTTCTTGATGCTACAGCTGCCTCTGCGCATTTGTCAAATGGATGAGTGACAGACAGCAGAATAGTCAAATGAGCAAATGTCAGCAGCAGTTCTTTTCTGGAAATAGTTATTATTTGGAAAGATGATGGAGGGAGAAAAGATATCTATGACTGCAGTAGCAATCAGGTGTTTTGAAAGTTGTTGAGATTGATAATGGAAAAGATTGAAAAAGCGTATCTTTTTTTGTTTGTTTGAGCTGGACTACAGTAGTGCAATCATGGCTCACTGAAGCCTCCTGGGCTCAAAGTATCCTCCCACCCCAGCCTCTGGAGCAGCTAGGATTACAAGTGGGTACCAAAACGCTTGACTAATTTTTAAAATTTTATGTAGGGAATGAGGTCTTGCTATATTGCCAACAGTGCCCTTGAACTCCTGGACTCAAGTGTTCCTCTTGTCTTGGCCTCTCAAAGTGCTGGGATAACAGGCTTGAACTACTACACCTGGCTGAAAAAGCACATCTTCAAGGCAGTGAAGAAACAAAACTCAGACCTGAAAGAGAAGTTGACAGCAATTCTAAGAGCATGACCAATGGAACTTGGAAAAGTCGTGCTGAGAGCCTTTTATAAATGCTGTGGGGCCCCTCAATTTCAAAGGTTTGGTCCATTATGTTCTCTAAATGAGTTTCACAGAACTTTCCCATATCCCCTTCCACAACTAGACACACCTATTGTAAGTTTTAAATCCCTCTGGAACATACCATTTTTATATCTTATTTTTGGGCTAGTACACAGTATAGTTGGCTCTCTTGAATAGAATTCATTTGTGTTATTTTATGACAATTTAGCTATTATTTATCGATCATTAATATTTCAACAATTACATTTTATTTCTGACTTCTCCTCAAAATAAAAATCAGGACTACCACTTATGAGGGATATGGATTTAGAAGCCAATTGCTGTAAGGTGAAAGTCCCCCACCCCTGCTAAATTATTAACAATTTTACAATGTTTTTGACATAGCTATATATTTTTTCTCTGGAAGTTTATTTAGTCAACACATTTTCAAAACATTATTTGCCTTTTTAGAGATTTCACTAAGACAAACAGCCAGTATGTTTAATTATAATAATAATACAAATTATACAGAATATTTAAAAATAGAGCCATGTTTCTCTAGAAACAGCCATGGCAAAATAATAATACAAATTATACAGAATATTAAAAAATAGAGCCATGTTTCTCTAGAAACAGCCATGGCAAAGTGAAACTGTTCAGAAGTACCACTTACAAGATTCTATAAAGCCTATTCTTAAAGTTTTATTTATAAATACACATTTGCTTTCTAAGAAACAAGGGCAACCCAACTACAAAAGCACATACATAGCGACATGCCTGAAATGCTTTAACATGAGCAGTGGGTACAGTGTCGGAAAGCCATTCCCCTGTATCATGCAGAATGAAACAGAATGGGGTTGTTTCACTTTTTCTTAACACAGATATGACAATACAAACTTCTATGACTTGGATGCTTTCTCAAACGAACTTTGAAAGCATTATCACCTGGGTTGTCCCTATTCTATTTCACAGAAATTTTTGAGAGGAAAAAACTGGTCTTGAGAAATATCTACTTGTAACAGATGTGTTTGTTTTGTGTTGTCATGTTGTCATTTGCTAGGTAGTAATGGAAAGAAAGACTTTGCACTATTGCAGGTATAAATTAGCAGTGAAGGGTGTAAACTCTACAGCCATATTGCCTTTTTAAGCTACGTAACTTTGAAAAGTTACTTGATCTTTGTGTCTCTTTTTCACTAGGTAGAATAGGGTAAGAGTAATAACAACCACCTGGAGTCCTTGCACAAGTTTGATGCATTGTAAAGTACTTAGAAGAGTTCCTGACATGTAGCAAAAACATAATCAATGTTAGTTCTTGTAATTACTAAATATTAATTTCATCATTATCAATCACTTGTTCAAAGTCTCTCACAGCTTCCTGTAATCTTCAAAGCAAACCAAACCTTCCTTTTTGTCTTTCAAAGAAATCCATAATCAGTAGTCATGCTTCCCATCTAATCCCCTACCATCTACAAATGTAAGCCACCAGCACTAATAAGGTTGTCTCCTTACTGACGTATAAATATATTCTACTACACTATACCTAGAAATATGCTACTTTCAGTGTACCTCTTTTTAAACATTCTTTCATGTATTAATTAATTAATATACCCATACTGATGTACACAAGGATTATGCCTGTTTCGTTTTTACTATTTTAATAATGATACAGTATACATACTCAATGATGGATTATACTTAAATCCAAATTTGGTTATTTTATAATTTGCCAAAATGATTTTGAAGCTTATCTGGAAGTTTAAACTCTAGAGAACTGTGGAGAATAATTTGATTGAAATAACGGTAAATTTGGGAGGCTGAGGCAGGTGGATCACCTGAGGTCAGGAGTTCGAGACCAGCCTGGCCAACATGGTGAAACCCTGTCTCTACTAAAAATACAAAAATTAGCTGGGCATGGTGGCAGGTGCCTGTAATCCCAGCTACTTGGGAGGCTGAGGCAGGAGAATCACTGGAATTTGGGAGGCAGTGGTTGCAGTGAGCCAAGATAGCACCATTGCACTCCAGCCTGGATGACAAGAGAAAAACTCTGTCAAAAAAAAAAAAAAAAGAAAGAAAGAAGGGGAAGTTTATCTCCCAGATATAAAATACCCTCTAAAGTTACAATAATCCAAAACATATCTTTCTTCACAAGAAGTAAAACTGCATCAATAAAACAGAACAGAAATAGAGATTCTAATCAAAGTCCACACCAAGGCAAACAGCAAAGCAGGAAACACATTGAATGCAAAAGTGACAAAAAAAAGGTAAGTATTTTTAAAGTGATTCTAAAAGGCCAATAAGAAAAATCAAATAGCAAATGGAAATTTAATTATACAACAATGTAATAGATCAAAGTGTCACTTTTTTTAAGCAGAGGCATTTTTGTTTATTGGTGGTAGAAATTAAATTGGCAAAAGAAAAGCTTCTCTGAAAACAAATTTAGCATTATGTATCAAAAGTTTCAAAGGATTGATAATTTTTGACACAGTAATCCAATGTATAGGGACCTAACCTAAGTAAAATTTTAGAAGATATAAATTAAATGTACCATATCATTATTAAATAGAAAAAAAGAAGCAGGCACAACCCTGTGTCCATCAATAGGGTGATATTAATTAATTAGAATAGAAATTTCATGTTCAGAAAATAGCAATGTGAGAAGATGCTCACAAAATAATGTTACATACACAAAGCCACACTATTTTTTAAATAGGACACTTTAAATGCCAACTTCAAAACCTATGTTGCTTTGCCAAGAAACCAAGCAAAAGGACCAAAGGCAGAAAGGGTGCAGGACATTTTAATCATCAGCAAAATGAGAAAAACAGCATCAGATACAAATGTCAAGGAATTCTGACTAGTATATTCAGATAGAGACAGAATGAAAGACAGACTTACACTACTCTATCCAAGAAAATGATGCAGCAAGGCAGGAAGTATTAAAAAAAAATTCTGGCATCACATCATAGCCACCCATATTTCAGAGAAGCAAGATTTACAATCAAGAGTTTTCTGCATGAGTAATGAGGCCCTCTACTTGGGGTCCTATTTTTTGCAGTGGATTAAACATAATCAGATGCAGCATCTGTGGCCTTCTGGCCTTCTTGAGAAATTTGAGGGAAGAATGCCTGAAGGCTGCACTTCTTGTCTCTTGACTCATCTCTAACAAAAGGCTAGCCTGAATGTAGTATGTGACTATGGACAACCTATTTATCCTCTCTGTCTCAAATTGTTCATCTGTAAAATGTGAATAATAATAGCGGTGACCTCAAGGAGTAGTGACGATAAAATAGAAAATGTTAAGCAAACTCAAACCCATAGGAATGGCTCACTAGGTCTTGAAAATCACTATATTTGTAATTAAAAATCTTGATGTGAATTCTGAAAGCATAGTGCTGCATTAGAGAGATGGTACCTTAGGTCTGCTGCTACAGGAAGAAGATTCTGATATGGCAATTAGCCTGCACTAGGGAGTACCCTGTGGGGAAGTGAGGTCAGTAGGACTGGATGGAAGAAGGAGTTGAAATTCAATGCAGCCGCAACAAAAATATTAACCTATGCCATGCGAAGTTTTAAAGCTTGGATGATCCTTCAGAAATCATGGACCAGTTTTGGGTAGGGACAGTCCTTGGGAGGGGACTAACTTGGGGGACAGAGTACCCTTAAACTAGGGCAATTACAAGGGTGTGCCTCAATTGTGAGTTTGCAACAACAATGCACCTGCCAGCTGGAAATAAGTGCCTTGGTCCTAAGAGGAATCTGGACTTCAGCATCCACAGTGGAAAGTGCTTGAAATCACTTCAGCCACTACAGACCAAGAGTCGAAGGGAGATACTCATGGTCATGTCAAAGGGATAGACAAGCAAGAGGGACTTTTTCCTAGCCTGAGGTTTCATGTCCAACACAAGATAGTCTTTTAATTAAATTGTAGACTCCCTCAAAAAGTCTTACTCAAACCAAGAAGCAAAAGTTCCAGAAGGGAGTACAGGCCCAATTTCATGCTTACCTGTAATAGAGACATGTAAAACTGAAAATCTGATGCCTAAAATTAGGTCACAGTGTCAAAATGTCAACAACTTTTTAGGAAGAAAACACACACACGTGCATGTGCGCATGCACCCACATGCCTGTCAACTTAAGAATGATGAAGTTCACAAATTTGGAAAGGAGGACTTTATTTCTCCTAAAGGGTTGCAGACTGCAGTGTGGTCCTTCTGACAGCTGGCTAGCATAGCCTTCTGTCAGAAGCCGGAAACAGATACTTCAAGGCAAGGGCAAAGGGAATGGGAATTTATGCTGAGCAGGGGACCAAATACACATATTTAATACGCTATAGGAGGAGCCATACTTATTTACGAAAGGAGAAAATTGTGTATGTTCAGTTAAGCTTCATGCCCCATCTGAGTCACATGTACAAACAAATGGCAGCGTCAACATGATCCCAGGGTGAACTTTTTGGCCCCCGATAGCAAAAGGTGAAGCAGAGGACATGAAAATCCTCACTATACATCCTCCATAGACAGTTAAGGACAACCCCATGGTCTGTGGTCTCCTATCAGGAAGGAAATTTGGTTGGTTGTTTTGTCAAATCTGCAAAAAAGAGGGGGCAGTGTCAGGCAACTGGTTGATACCTAGGGTGGAGCAAGTCTCTCCAAAGTGCTGGTTTCTGTTTAACCCTTAGGAAAGAAAGCCTAATAGTGGTTAGCAAGGGAGTATAAGGAGGCATGTCCCACCTCCCAACCCATCATGGCCAGGAATTCAGCTTCTAAGGCTTCTCTGAGGTCCCCTCAGCCACGAGGGGGTCTGTTCAGTCAGCTTAGCTTTTTTTTTTTTCACATACATACAAACACACACAGAGGCAAATTTCCCCTCTGAAACTAAACCCCTGGCCTCCAGTTTCTGTTTTTAGAAGATCTAACAATACCTGTGTAAACAAAACAAAGGGATGTAACAGTTAAAACAGAGAAAAGAGGGCTTCTTCTTTGCTTGTTGTCCAGAAGTTGATGTCTCTAGGACACCAGAGAAGACTCCTACATCAGTAAAATATTGAGATTTTGAAGACAGGTTTATCTCTCCTTAAACGAGGAAAATTCCCTTTGCCCGACGTAGAGATACTATAAGGTACACAGGAGAAGTGAGAATATGGCCACTGGGAGATTGTGGGCCAGGGGTCAGGAGGGGATGAGTCTCCCACCCTGCAGTCATAGAAGAAATTGATGGAGGGTTTCAAACTCAGAAGAAAGGAGACTTTTCATCTCCCCTGGGAGCAGTGGCTCACACCTGTAATCCCAGCACTTTGGGAGGCCAAGGTGGGGCCTATACAGGGTCAGGATCACCAGCATCACTGTCTTTTATGCACACACATTAGCCTGGGCCTACAGAGGGTCAGGATCACCAGTATCACTGCCTTCCATCTCCATGTCTTGACCCACTGTAAGGTTTTCCAGGGCAGTAACACACATGGAGGGGCCATCTCCTGTGATAACGATGCTTTTTTTTTTTTTTCTGTAATACTTCTCAAAGGACCTGCTTGAGGCTTTCTTCCCGTTAGCTTTTCTTTTTGTAAGTAGAGGGAGTAGATTCTAAAATAACAATAAAAAGTGTTTATAGTAAATACATAAGCCAGTAACAGTTATTTATTACCATTATCAAGTATTCTGTCCCATATGTAATTGAACACCCCATAGTAGTGTACAACTGGCCGCACAGTAGGTTAGTTTATATAAGCATCACTACAAACATGTGAGTAAATGCATTACCCTACAATATTACAATATCTACAATGTCACTAGGTGATAGGAATTTTTTAGTTCCACTATAATCTTGCAGAACCACTTCTACAGATGCAGACTGACATTGATAGAAACATCATTGTGTAGCACTATCTGTAATCTTACATATATATACACGCATATATTGTTTGTTTCTCTGGAGAACCTTAACACAGCTCTCATGGGCCAACAGCCAAGTCACATTACAATAGAGGCCTGCATGGACAGGTAAGAGATGCTAGGAAGCCCTCCCTTTCTCCCTCCAGCAAAAGGTTGGGATGGGGCATGATTTTATCATGCAATGTATTTAAGATTCCCCACCCCCATCTCATCCTGAGTCTAGTGGCAACAGGGTAGAAAGAGGAGACAAACCCTCCAAATTGGATAAAATTTAGTTCCTACCAAGATGACAGAATTATACATTCAATTGACTTGCAGAAAAACAGAAAATTCAGTTTCTGGAATACTAGGATTTACTTAATACTTATGTATATTAAGCAAAATTATCAGAAAGTTGAAGAGTAATTAATAATAATAGTACTAAGAGATTTAATTTGATAGGCAAGTGGTAAGAAGGGGATAAAAAGTATTTAAATAATATAATTAATAAGATTAATTCAAAATATAGAACTTAAAATAAACAACCTTCAATAAAGAGAAGATTTTTTAAGTATCCATAAGATAAAGAAAACATATAAGCCACAAAAAAGTTACATTCATGCTTCAAATTAGGAATTGAATTATTTACACTGTCTTACCTTGAGGCAATATAAGAATCACAAAATTGTAGACAACACAACAATGTTGAAAACTGTAAAACAAAACATAATAAAAGAAGTAATCAAAATTACATTTACTAAAATCTTTAGAAAATAAAGTTAATGGTACAAAATGGGAAAGGATTGACAGTGAACACAAACTCAGGAAAATACATTAAGCTAAATTCTTACACTCTATTCCTAAAAATTAAATTCAGTTAACTAAGTATTCAACTGAAAATTGGGGGAAAAAAGTGACTGGGAAAAGAAAACAGCATGAAAAAATTAATAACATAAATTCAAAATCTCCTTCGTTGAAAATAAGAGTTCACAGCAAGAGAGAAGCATAAAAAGAAAAATAAGAGCACAAAAATAAAAACTTGAGAATGAAAACACAAGGTTAACTACAGATTTTTAGTAAAATAAAATAATAAAACATTTAAGCTAAATCTATATTTGAAATATTCTCATATATCTGAAATGTACGACATCTTGGAAAATGCTACTAAAATTGACTCAAGAAAGGGTAGAAAACCTGCATAAATTAATTACTTATGATTAGAAATTATATTCAGTTGCATGTATCAGAAACCTGACTGCCATGACTTAACCTAATAGGGGTTTATATTTCTCACACTGTAAGGAGTCGTGAGATGGGCAATGAAACTCAGGTATGTGTTTCTTTCCTCTTTAGGGAGATGGCTTTTATCCACATGCTCATAGTAGAGCTGCTGCAACATGAGTACCCTGCCTATATACTAGGCAGAAAAGGCAGAGGGCCCAGGACTACAAATAACTGCCAAATGAGTTTAATTTTTTATTAAGGAAATAATAGTTTTCTACGAAGCTCCACCCATCCACTTCCATATCACCAATCAAAGCTATTTTACATGGCTACCCTGGCTAAAAGGGAAGTGCAATTTTTTTTTTTTTTTAACTCTGAGGACATTGTTTTAACTCTGAGGACATCATAATCAACTCAGAATTCTCTACGTAGTGAAGGGATGGCTATAAGGGAAGGAAAAGATACTGGTTGGCTACCAAAAGATCTATTATACCATCAAGAAAATTAAGCAAGTTGTAAACAAATAAAACAAATATTTTAACTGTATATCCTGGGACAGCTAGTTTCTTCACAACTTAAAATTTCTATTTGTTTAATATGTAAACAGTTTCAGAACCCAAATAAGGAAAGGAAGTTTACCAATTCTTTTTACAAAGCTATTGAAGCAATGAAACCTAATCTGAAAAACTGTAGAACAAAAAAGAAAATGATTTTAAAAGTTTATTTGGTAAGATAGATGAAAAATCTCTAAACAAAAACCTAGCAAATTGCATATAAAATAATATATAAAAGAATACTATGCCATGAATAACATGCTTTATGCCAGGATTACAATGATGATTAATATCAGAAAATGGATGGATGAATAGATAGATGCATGATAGATGATTAATTGATAGAGAGAGAGAGAGAGACAGAGACATCACCATATTAACAAGTCAAAGGAGAAAAGATTTGGTCATTTTAATAGATGATAGCATTCAATATCATTTCTTCTATGGTCTGAATTTTGGTATCCCTCCCCTAAAATTCATTAGTTGGGACCTAATACCCAGTGTGACAGTATGAACAGACAGAGTTTTTTCAAAAGTATTAAGCCATGAGAGTTCCACCTTCATGAATGAGATTACGGCCCTTATAAAAATGTTGAAGGGTTCAATCTTTCCTTTTCACCATGGGAGCATGCAACAAGAGACTCTGTCTATAAAGCAGAGATGGCCCCCACCATATACCTACTTTGCCTGCACATTTATCTTGGACTTCCCAATCTCCAGAATTGTGAGCAATAAATTTCAATTGTTTATAAACTCCCTAGTCTAAGGTATTTTGCTATAGCAGCCCAAACAAACTAATATGATTTCCTAGTAGGGGAAAAATAATTCTTAAACATAATAGGCTAGCTTAAACCTAGAGGCAATAACACACTTGATGAAATATTGTAATTGTTACCATGAGTGGGAAGAAAAAATATCAGGATGCCTTTTCTCCCCAACGTAACATTTCTACCAAAGAAGTAGCTGGTTCAATCACTACTTTGTTAGCCTTTTTTTTAAGTTAAGTATTAGAATAGATAGGACATAAATTCAATAATTTGCTGATGATATAATTATTAGAAAACCAACAGCAAACATATTAGAAATAGTAAGAATGTTCAAAGTGATGATAAATTGGGAGTTCAAAAATAAGAAAAACAGATTTCTTAAAGACTAATATTAGAAAATATGGTGAAAAATTATCTATTTATAATAGCAGACAAAATTTTAAAAAGTGTAGATAAATCTAATGAGAATATGAGATATCATTGGAAAAAATGTCTACAAATCTCACTGAAAACATATGAAAAACAGTTTAAATAAATAAAAAAGAATAGTGTATTATTTCCTAGCAAAGATCAATATAATACAAATATCAATAGCTCCCCTATTCAAATAGTCATCCCAAATAAAAGTTTCAAGAATATATCTTTAATTTGCAAAACCATTTCAAGAAGTCATTTGTAAAGATAACATGAAAATAAGAAGAAAAATTTTGACAAAAACTGGATTATTTAAGGGACCTTTTCCTTCCAGTTATTCGAAACACCTTATATAGCTAAATATCAAAAATGTTTAGAACTGCTGTAAATAGTTTGGTGCCAGGGGAAAAACATACATTAGAATGGAATGTATTGTTTTCTAGAAAAAAGAAAGAAGAGAATAGAATCTGTTTTACCCTTTATGCAAAATGCATTCTATAGAAAGCTTTGTTTAAAAAAAAAGAAAAGAAAAAAGGAAACAAGAAAAGGGGAGAGGGAGACAGGCAGGCAGGGAGGGAGGCAGGGCAAAAACATAGGAAGAAAATATAGATCAATAGTAATAAAGTCCTGGAGACTGAGAAAGATCTGAACATAGTACAAATGACAAAAGTCACTTTAAACGTTTAGATAAATGTTGTAATATAAAATGTCAATGTATAAAATATTTAAAACCTCTATATGAAAGACATAAACAAAGAAAGAAATGATGAACAAACTGGGCAAGGGCCACCTTCAATACATTATTTATAGAAAAAACTTTCAAATCAATAAAAAGTCAACCACCCCAATAGAATAAAAAATGACTATGTATTTTACAATACATAATAAGTATATCTAGATGGACAGATAGATAATTTCCAGCTTTTCTCATATTACAAATGATGTGGTTGGAAAATTTCTTGTTCAAGTCTCCCAGTGACAGATGTAAGAAATTCTGAAGGATGTATACCCAGGAATGCAACTGCAGATTTGAAAGGTTTGAATATCCTCAACCTTACTATATCATGCTAATTGTTTTCTAAAGTGTTTGTACTAATGTACACTCCCACCTGCTGGGACTATGAACACATTTACTTCCCTCTAAAGTAAAGTCTGGTATTTTCAGACTTTTTAAAATAGGCCCATCTGTTAGAACTAAAAAGTATCATTGAGAACTTCATTTACTTTTCATACATCTAATGATGTCAAGAATCTTTCATATGTTTATTGATGATTCCTACTTTCTGTAAAATGCCTATTTATGCCTTTGTCTTAGGAGTGAGTTTTTTATTTCAAAATATGTAGGCGTTTAATATTTGTGATTCCTAAATCAATTACATTATGGACAGAGAATGTGGTCCAAATGATACCAGTTATCTGAAAATGTTTAAGACTTGCTCTATGGCCTACGCTTTATGACATGGGTCAGATTTATAAATGTTCATGTGAGTTGGGAAAGAATAAGTGTGTTGAGTCAAAGTTCTCTATTTTATCCTATATATGTGCTTTAGATCAAGCCTATCTATCACTTTTTTTTGAGATTATTTACTTGATCTATCCCATGCTAAAAGCAGTATGCTCAAATATCCAAATACGTCGATATATTATCTGTTTCTTCTTGTAGATGTAGAAATCTTGCTGCAGTAAATTTTTAAGCTATGATACTCAATCTATGTATGTTTAGAATTATTGTATGTTTATGGCCCTTGATCCTTTATCATTAGCTAAGGCACACCAGTTTTATCTAATTTAACATAAGTCTAATATATTAGTTTGTATCATTTCTCTTATGGCTATTCTTACTCGTATGGTTAAAGATGTATATGCGGTAAACAGCAGATTGTATAAGATATATCAAAGAAGATCAATAAAGCTAATCATTCTGTTGACAGTTTAATAAAGTTTAATAAAATTATTCCACCTTTGGCAAGAGTAATCTTTTTTCTTTCTTTTTCTGATCACTGATATATATGAATGTATTTTTACCATCTTATTTTCTGCTTTGTCCCAGGTTTGCTGTGCTCCTTTTGCTCCTCTCTTGTCTTCTTTTACATTTTTTTATTTTTCCCCCCATTTTTTCTCCTTTTGTAGTTTGGAATTATATACTGCATTCTGTTCTTTAAGTGGTTACTCATTTTTTAATTGCATGCTTCACTTAAGACTAAAGTAAATCAATGTATATACCCACCTTCTAAACAACTTGGGGAAATTAGAGGACATCTAAACTCCAATCTCTCTCTCTCTCTCTCTCTCTCTCTCACACACACACACACACGCGCAAATGTGCACATGCACAGTCAAAAATTTCCCATCTTGTGTTGTTCTAATGCCTTCACCATAGATATCATTGTAACATGTTTACCATTTCCTTTGTTTACCAACTTTTTAAAAATCATGCCTTCCTTTTAGAATCATTCTCCTTCTATCTAAAATGCATCCATTTCTTTTGAAATTCAGTTTTGTCTGAAATCTCTGTTCTTCTGTCATTTTTCTTAAATTTTTTTTTTGGCTATATAGCTTTTGGTAAGTAGTTGCTTTTCCTCAACATTTTAACAATATTAGTTCTTCCCGCTCTTCTGTCAGAATTCTATATCTGTCTTTGGTGTTTAATAGTTTCGCCGTGATAAATTGGGTTATAGATTTCCTTTTGTTTATCCGTCTAAGAAAGTACTGACTGTTATTTGTCAACCAAACATTTTAAAATTAAAAATCAATTAAATATTTTAAAATTTTTTTGAAAGATAGAATAAATACATAAAAGTACACACTTCACTGCTAGACTCCCTAGCTTTTAATCTTGATTCAGCAACTTACCAACTGTAGGATTCTAGGAAAGTTATTTAGTTGATTCTTCAGTTTCCCTATCTATCAAACAATATAACAATAATAATAATAATAATAATAATAATAATACTCACCTAATAGTAACCCTACCTGGGCCATAGTAAATGTATGTATAACATTTGATTTATGGTAAAATTAATAACTACAGTTTTCTTAGTATTCTGCTTATTTTCACCTTCTGAAAATCTGATCAGTCTTCTTGTTTTGAAATCTCTTTATGCTCTTTTTCATGTAGTCATTCTCTTTGCCTCCTTGTTCTTCCTTGATAAATTTTTTCATGTTTGTCTTTACTTCTGCTCTATCAAAAGACTTTTTAACAAATTCACTGGATTCTCTATGGTAAAAGAAAAACTTCAGACGAATTAAATTTAAAGGAGTTTAATTGAGCTACAAACCATTCGTGAATCAGAATCACAGCACATTCAGAGACTCCACAGATGCCTTCTGGTCAGAACAAAGTTACAGACAAAAAAAAAAAAAAAAAGTAAAGTGACGATAGAAATCAGCAGTAAGGCACAGAAATAGCTGGATTGGTTACAGCTCAGCTCAGCGTTTGTCTTACTTGGACACAGTTTGAACATCAGCAGTGTATGAATGGTTGAAGTACTCGCTGAGATTGGCCAAGAATCAGCGATTGTTACAGGCGCATACTCCTAAGTTAGGTGTTCGAACTTGTCTATTAAGTTAGGTTGCAGTTCATCCACAAGGACTCAAACATAGAAGTATGGAGTCCTTCTCGGTCATATTTAGTTTGCTTTCTCATGTATAAAATAATTCTGTCATCTTGGGTTCTCATGAATCCGATTGTGCATTTTATTGTTTCTGCTGACCCTCATTCAGGGTGCCTTGTTTCCTCATGTGTTTTGTGTTGTATGCTGAAACTTTATATGTAATAGTTTTTTGTGTACAAGTTGGAAAGTGAATTATTTCATCAAGGAAAGCAACAGCACTTTAAATTCAATAAATTTACCCCCCCTAAGTTGTTGAGAGTCTTGTAGGAGAGTCTCAAAAAAGACTCCTACCACCTCCTTACCCAAAGTCAAGTTAGACAAGTTTCTTCATCCTTGCAGAGTATGTCTGCCACCCACTCTCTAAATGTTGCCCCCAAATACCTCTGTTGCTGAGGTTTTAGAACTCTTAGACTCTTAGCTTTCTACTCTCCTCTAGGATGTGATTCCCTGTCTTGTAAGGGCTCCAGGCTTTATCTCCCATCTCTTCAGTGGTCATTTTTATTAAAGCTCCAGGTTAGTGTGTGTGCCTGCAGGTATCTTTAATATTTCAACATTCACCGCTCTGGATTAATGCACAGATTTTAGGTTTGTTTTTGGTTCCTTGTTACCTCTTATCCTTCCCAAAAGTTTTTCTTACCTTCTGACAGATCACCTATGCATCTTTAAATGCTTCCTTTTAAATTCCAGTACTGTTATGTATGTTGTAATTGGAGGAGATTTTAGAATATTTCATCTATTATCTTGTCAGGATGAGAGTTTGACACTTAATCTCAAAAAGTAATTTAAATCCTAGGATAATTAAATTCAATGAATATATCGGTATGTTATTAGATTCCCAACTAAACTGTTAATCAAAGAAAATATTTTAATGTAAAGATGGATGTCTATACATATGAAAAGTTATTGTCTTTTCTGTTTTATATTGTTACTACACATACACAAACAAAAAGGCTAGATGTATTTTCTTTAGATTTTAATGATTAGAAGTATTACCATTTGAAAGGGAAAACAATGATTTCCAGGGAACCTACAGAAAGTAACAAGAACCACCAATTACAAAAGGCAATTAGCAAATGGCTAGTTTTCCTGTTTGAATGGGCAATAGTAACAGTGATTTACTTGTTTAATGATAGGTGGGATAGCTATTTGTTCAACATTTTTATAATCAAGATAAACACTTCTTAACTGAACAGTCAATCCTATTTCATAGATGTTATGTAAGCTTTTCCTAAACTAAAATTAAACATAATTTGCCAAAGCCATTTTGGCTTAGTAAACACAATTTTAAGCAAGTATTATTTATATCTAACTTTATTTATCATGCTATTTTCCAAAAAGGATTTTCATGTAAAGGAGAAAATTGTAGACTTTTCTAAGTTAGATTCTCAGAATACCTAACTTTAAATAGAGATGAGAACATATTTTGCAAAAGTAGATGTTCAGCAGGAAACACTGAGAGAGGTTATACAATCCCTTCAATGTTTTTTTTTTTTTTCAGGCTGCAAAAGAAGTCACTCTTCCTCTTACTACATAGGAGTGGCTTAGTCCATAGATGAATAATGGACACTAAAGTTATCAACCGCACCTGTCTGTACAGGGTCTGAAATTTGACCTTAACCAAAGAAATTGGAAATTTTATTTTCTATAAAAGTATAACAAATTGTTAGCTCTCATATTTGCAGGAAGTGAGCCAACGTGTTTTGAGGGCTACCTGCATGCAAAGCACTGTGATAACCAGTTTTTAGGAGGTGAATCTACTTGTTGACCTTTTACACAGGCATTAGCATGATCAATATGCTACAAATTACCTGCATGTTAAGGAGCATGAGGCACTGCTCCTTCCAATATACAACAAATTCAGATATATAATAACAGGCAGCCGGGCCAGAAATGGGTAGGGAATGTTCTATACGAGTTTCGTATAAATTGATTGTATATACAGTAAAGCATGACTGATTTTGCACAAAATCTCTGTAAAATTATAAAGTCCTGCCCTGCTTATGGCAGTGAGTTGCTGTTTATACACTCATTGATTCTATGGCTGCATCTGATAGAAGGAGAGTTCAGCCTTTATTAAGTTAAAGCCCAGGAACACACCACTGAAACCAGATAAAAGAATGTTGTCACAATGATCCAAACATACACAAAGAAAAAGTTCAGTGTTTCAGACTCTGCACCAAGAAGCTAAACAAATCGAAGGAAACATTTGATTCTAAAGTATCCGAAGTTCTCTTGCTGACCAAATATTCAAATGCCAATTTAGTTGACATGAAGAACAAAGTGAAAGTTAATAACACAATTAGGTACTTAATCTGCAAAAGCTCTTACTTAGAAGATCAGAGAGTCTAATTTCCACATTCAGCATAAACTTTTGATGCTGGTCCTTTCTGGAATAGAAGAATACATACTCTATCTTTAGTACTCTGTTACTTTCTGCAATATTTTGTATCATTGCTGATACTGAATATTACAGAATAATATTCAGTAAACAAGAATTGATAATGAAATTTCAGAAAAATATGGAGACATTTACTTGTCAACATTGCTACCAGTTAGTATTTCTGCTTTGATACATCAACTATAAGATATTATTTTTACAATGATGAGAATTCTTAAAGTCATTGTGTAAGAATTTACACCTTCAGTATTGCAGACTCACTGTTGCTTCTTTAAAAGTAGTCGTACAAATCTTGCTGCCACTATTTCATGAGTATCTTCATTTTCTGTTAGTAGCAACTCAGGTAGATGTTGATGTTCATTTCTTTCTATGCTGCTATATATCAGTCTTTCTTTTTGATAGGTAGTTCTTATAATGTGAATTATCTTTCTGTTTCTCTACTCATTCTGTCCTTTGTAGCCCCATCATGCTCAGCTTGACCTCCAAGTCATCCTTTAAGCTTGTTGCAAAGAGCTTGAGTTATTTTGTTGATTTCAACTTCATGATTAATTTATTCAGGTGCTGGGATATAGAATGAACAGAACATACCAGAAGTCCAGCTTTTTTTTATAGTAGGAAGATACATACAATAAGCAAATAAGTAAAATATTTAGTATGTCAAATAATAAATGCTAGAGAGAAAAATAAAGCCAGCGAGAAGAGTTTGCAAGGGAAGGAGAGATGAGTTATGCAACGTTAGATAAGGTGGTTAGAGAAAGCATAAGAAATAGGGTGATGTTTGAGCAAACAAAGGAAAGAAGTGAAGGAACAGGGCATGCTGCTCTCTGTGGGAAAAAGGTTCTGTACTCAGGGAGCAAGTGCAAAAACTCAGAGTATGCCTAGTATGTTCAAGAAGCAGCAAAAAATATTTAGCATGAGTAACTCAAATGATGGACTTTCTGCCTACCGAGAGAGAGAAGACTAAAGGAGAGTAGAAGTTAGAATAGGTATGAACATCATAGTTTCAGGTTTATATGTATTCATTTTGAGATATCTATTAGATATCCAAATGGAGACAAGAAATTTCAAGTTGCTTACATCTATCTGTAGTTAAGAGAGCCCTCTGGGCTGAATGTTCATATTTGAGAGACCTTGGTGTTTCAACATTGTCCCTGTGTGTGTGTGTGTGTGTGTGTGTGTATTTTAAAGCCACGCCATGAGATCAGATAAGTGAATATAATAGGAAAGAGAAATGGTCCAACAGTGAAACTCCAGAAACTGTAATGTGTAAACTGGGGAATTCAAACTGAACTTTGTGTATCCTGGGAGTATAAATAAGACTTTCCAAAGAGTATGCAGGCCTGAATGGATTAGGGAAAATCAACTTCCATATCCTCAGCATTGATATAAGTAATAATGACTAAAATTGATCTGCCTGATACCTGAGACCCTTCAGCTGAGCATCTCAAGCATTCTTATTTCCCACTTTTATTTGCAAAACACTCTACCTTTATGCAATTTACAGACAAATGATACATTTTTCACACATTATGAAGCTTTCTAGGCTGCACTGCCTCAGGTGTTATTGCCTTGGGATGCCAAACAATGGGAAATTTTAAAGTATTGTTGTCTAATTGGACTCTAATGACTGAGAAAAAATTCTGGCATATCAAGTGGTTTCCAATTCTTGGATTGCCACAAAATTGTGATGGGGAGCTCTGATATTATTAAAAGTAATTTATGACGATGGATCATTTAACTTAGGGGCATAGAGTTTGAAAGGTAATCAAAAGACCAAGTGATATTTTTATGAGGAAACCTGTACTATTCCCACCTATGTAAATTAGGTTCCTCAAGGAGCCCATATATAGCAATGAAAATAAAAATGTAAAATAAAGCAGTTCTACCATATTAAAAACAAGAAAGTCATATGATATGCCTAGAGCTGGATGTTAGGTTGATGTGGTCAAGGGTTGTGCTGCAGTTCTCACTGATTGTTTTTCTATTTTTCAGTGTAATTGAAAAAGGTCATCCCAGGTAAGAGTGAGGAATGGGGAGAAATTTTGGGAGTGTGACCAGAGAAGAAGGTGTGAAATACTACTCGTCAAAAAGAGTAACAGACCTAGAGTAAGGGTGTATGGTAGGGTCACTCAAGGTTAGTGATCAGGAATTATTTAAAATGAATCACCAGTAAACATGCTTGTTTCTCCCTCTGGCCATGGTCAGTCATGCACAGTATTTTTTCTCTAGCCACAAATACAGATGTGGAGTAGGCAAAAAAAAAAAAAAAAAAAAAAAAAAACTGGATTTCATCAAGGTTAGACTTTGCTGAGCAAGTAGAGTGCAATGAAAAAGTTCTACTTGCTGAGTGAGTGATTGAGAGGTTGATTTATTAAAATGAGTGAGTGATTAAAATGATATTCCTGAACCCAGTAGGATCAACCTATTGCTGAACTCTCCCATTATTTTTCCTTTTTTTTCTGACTCCCCTCATCTTTTCTTATTTTTTAAATTTTTACTATTTATGGGTACATAGTAGGTATTATATATACCTACTCGGGTACATGAAATATTTTGACACAGGCATGCAATGTGTAACAATCATATCAGGGTAAATAGGGTATTCATTGCCTCAAGCATTTATCATTTCTTTGTGTTAACATTCCATTTAGATTATTTCAGTTATTTTGAAATGTACAGTAAATTACTGTTGACCATAGTCACCATGTTGTGCTATCAAATACTAAATCTTATTTATTCTAACTATATTTTTGTATGCATTAACCATCCTGACTTTCTCTCCCCACCACTACCCATTCCCACCCCTAGCAAACATCATTCTATTCTCTATCTTCATGAGTTCAATTGTTTTAATTTTTAGCTCCCAAAAGCATGTGAGAACATGTGAAGTTTGTTTATCTGTGCCTGGCTTATTTCACTTACCATAATGCCCTCCAGTTCCATCCATATTGTTGCAAATTACAGGATTCTATTCTTTTTTAATGACCGAATATTATACCATTGTGTATATGTGCCACATTTTCCTTATTCATTCATATGTTACTGTATACTTAGGTTAATTCCAAATCTTGGCTTATTACAAATAGTGCAGCAACAAACATGGGAGTCCAGATATCTCTTTGAAATACTGATTTATTTTCATTTGGGTATATACCCAGTAGTGGGGTTGCTAGATCTCATGACAGTTATATTTTTACTTTTTTGAAGAACCTCCATACTGTTCTCCATAGTGGTTGCACTAATTTACATTTCCACCAACAGTCTAAGAGGGTCTCCTTTTCTCCACATCCTCACCAGCATTTATTATTGCCTGTCTTTTGGATAAGTCATTTTAACTGAGATGAGATGATATCTCACTATAGCCTTGATTTGCATTTCTCCGATGATTAGTCATGTTGAGCCCCTTTTCATATGCCTGTCTGGCATTTGTATGTCTTCTTTTGAGAAATGTCTGTTCAGATATTTTGCCCATTTTTTAATGGGATTAGTAGAATTTTTCCTGTTGGGTGGTTTGAGCTTCTTATATATTCTGCCTATTAATCCTTTGTTAGATGCATAGTTTGCAAATATTTTCTCTTATTCTGTGGGTTGTCTCTTCACTTTGTTGTTCCCTTTGCTGTGCGAAGCTTTTACACTTCATGTGATCCCATTTGTCCATTTTGGCATTTGTTGTCTATGCTTTTGGTGGGGGTGGGTATTACTTGAGAAATATTTGCCCAGATCAATGTTCAGGAGAGATTTCCCAATGTTTTATTTTAGTAGTTAATAAGTTTTTTGTCTTAGATTTAAGTCTTTAATCCACTTTGATTTGATTTTTGTTCATAGCAAGAGTTGGGGATCTAGTTTTATTCTACTGCATATGGATATACAGTTTTCCTGCACAATTTATTGAAGAGACTATCCTTTCCCCAGTGTATGTTCTAGGCTCCTTTGTTGAAAATGAATTCACTGTAGACATATGGATTTATTTATGGGTTCTCCACTCTGTTCCATTGGCATATATGTCTGTTTTCATGCCAGTGCCATAACATTTGGGTTACCATAGCTCTGGAGTATAACTTGAGGTCAGATAATTTGATTTCTTCAGTTTTGTTCTTTTGGCTAGGGATAACTTTGGCTATTCTGGGTCTTTTGTAGTTCCATATAAATTTTTGGATTTTTTTTTTTCATTCTATGAAGAATGACATTGGTATTTGACAGGAATTGCATTGAATCTGTAGATTGCTCTAGGGAGTGTATTAGTCAGAGTTCTCTTAGAGGGACAGAATTAACTGGGACAGAACTAACTAAACTCTCTCTCTATATATATGGAGTTTATTTTATATATATATATACATATATATATATATATATATATGAGTTTATTAAGTATTAACTTACATGATCACAAGGTCCCACAATAGGCTGTCTGCAAGCAGAGGGGCAAGGAGAGCCAGTCTAAGTCCCAAAACTGAAGAACTTGGAGTCTGTGTTTAGGGGCAGGAAGCATGGGAGAAAGATGTAGGCTGGGAGGCTAGGACAGTCTTGCCTCTTCACGTTTTTCTGACTGCTTTATATCACTGGTGGCTGATTAGATGGTGCCCACCCAGATTAAGGGTGGATCTGCCTCTCCTAGCCCACTGACTCAAATGTTAATCTCCTTTGGCAGCACCCTCACAGACACACCCAGGATCAATATTGCATCCTTCAATCCAATCAAGTTGATACTCAGTATTAATACTCACAGGGAGTATGAACATTTCAAAAATATTGATTCTTCCAATCCATGAACATAGGATATTTTCCTTTGCATGTATGTCTGTCCTCTTCAATTTCTTGCAGCAATGTTTTATTTTTTTTATTGTAGAAACATTTTACTTCTTTAGTTAAATTTATTCCCAGGTATTTTATTGTATTTGTAGCTATTGTAAATGAAAATACTTTCTTGATTTCTTTTTCAGATTGCTCACTGTTAACATACAGAAATGCTACTGATTTTTGTATGCTATTATTGTATCTTGCAACTTTACTGAATTTATTTATCAGTTCTAGTAGTTTTTTTGGTGGAGTCTTAGGTTTTTTCAAATATAAAAATGAGATAATCTGCAAAGAAGGATGATCTGACTTCTTTCCAACTTGATGCCCTTTATCTCTTTCTCTTGTCTTATTAGCCTAGCTAGGACTTCCAGTACTATGTTGAACAGCAGTGGCAAAAGTGGGCATCCTCACCTTGTTCCAGATCTCACAGGAAAGGCTTTCAGTTTTTCCCCATTCAGTATGACACCAGCTGTGGGTCTGTCATATATTACTTTTATTGTCTTGAGGTATGTTCCTTCTAAACCCGGTTTTTGAGGCTTTTTTCATGAAGGGATGTTGAATTTTATCAAACATTTTTTCAGCACCAATTGAAATGATCATATTGTTCTATCCTTCATTCTGTTGATATGATGTATCACATTGATTGATTTGCATATGTTGAGCCACCCTTGAATCCCTGTGATAAATCCCATTTAATAATAATGAACTATCTTTTTAATGTGTTGTTGAATTTGGTGAGCTAGTATTTTGTTGAGGATTTTTGCAACCATGTTCACTGGAGATGTAGGCTTGTAGTTTTCTTTTTCTGATGTGTCTTTGGTTTTGCTATTAGGGTAATAGTGGCCTCATAGAATGAGTTTGGAAGTGTTACTTTCTCCTCTATATTTTTGGAATAGTTTGAGTAGGATTAGTATTTTTTACTTAAATGATTGGTAAAATTTAGCTGTGAGGCCACCAGGTCCCAGGTGTTTCCTTGCTGGGAGACTTTTTATTACAAATTTAAGGTTGTTGCTTATTGGTTTATTCAGGTATTCCTTCTTGGTTCAGTCTTGGTAGTTTGTATGTCTCTTCTAGGATTTCCAATTTATTGGCATTTAGTTGCTTATAGTAGTCTTTAATATCTTTTGAATTTCTGTGGTATCAATGACATTCCGTTGGAATGTCTCCTTTCTCATCACTGATTTTATTTATTTGGGTCTTCTCTCCTTTTTTCAGTTAGTCTGGTTAAGGGTTTGCCAATTATATCTTTCCAGAAAATAAAGTATTCCTTTTGTTGATCTTTTGTACTGTTTTTTAATATTGCAGTTTCACTTATTTCTGCTCTGATCCTTATTATTTCTTTTCTTCTGCTAATTTTGGATTCAGTTTGTTCTTACTTTTCTAGTTCTTTAAGATGCATCATTAGGCTATTTACTTAAAATTTTACTACACTTTGATTTAGATGCTTATTTCTATAAACATTTTTTAAATTACTGCTTTTTGCTTCATCTCATAGGATTTTGTAAGTTGTGTTTCCATTTTCGTTTATTCAAGGAATTTTTAATTTCCTTCTTAATTTTGTCATTGACCCACTGGTCATTCAGGAGCAGATTGTTTAATTTCCATGTGTTTGTATAGTTTCCAAAGTTCCTCTTGTTATTGATTCCTACTTTTTTTCCATTGTGGTCAGAGAAGATATTTAATATGATTTCTACTCTTTTGAATGCTTAGACTTGTTTTACGGCCTAACATATGGTCTAACCTTAATAATGATCCATGTGCTGAGGAGAAAAATGTGTAATCTGTAGCCACTGGATGAAATGTTCTGTAAATATCTATTAGGTCCGTTTGGTCTATAGTGTAGATAAAGTCTGATGTTTCTTTGTTGATATTCTGAATGGCTGATCTGGCCAACAGTGAATGTAGGGTGCTGAAATCTCCAGCTATTATTGTATTGGGGTCTCTCTCCTTGGATCTAATAATATTTGCTTTATGTGTCTGAGTTCTTCAGTGATGGGTGCATATATATTTATAATTGCTATATGCTCCTGTTGAATTGACTCTTTTATCATTATATAATGAACTTTTTGTCTCTTTTTATAGTTTTGTCTTAAATTCTATTTTATCTGATATCAGTCTAGCTATTCCTGCTCTTTTTGGTCTCCATTTACATGAAATATCTTTTTCCATACCTTTATTGTCAGTCTATGTGTCTTTATAGTTGAAGTGTGTTTCTTGTAGGCAGCAGATAATTGATTCTTGTTTTTCAATCCATTCAGTTACTCTATGTTTTTTGATTTCAGCATTTAATTCATTTATAACCAATGTTATTATTGATAAGTAAGGACTTAATCTTGTCATTCTGTTATGTGTTTTCAGGTCTTATGTTCTTTCCTTTCTTCCTTCCTTCCTGTCTTCCTTTTTGAGAAAGTGATTATCTCTGATGGTATGTATTAATTTCTTGCCCTTTATGTTTTTCATATCTGTGGTAGATTTTTGAATTTGAGGTTACTGTAAGGCTTGCAAATAACATTTTATAACCCATTATTTTAAACTGATGACAACTTAACTCTAATTGCAAAACAAACTAGCTAACAAATCAGTAAGGAGAAAAACTAATGAAAACCCTAAACTTCAACTTCATCCTCCCTGCTTTTTACCTCTTAGCTTATTGTATTTATGTCTTATACTCTCTAGGCCTTAAAAAGCTGTTGTAGTTATTATTTTTGAGACATTCATTTTTTAGTCTTCCTACTCAAGATATAAGTAATTTACCCCCTGCAATTACAGTGTGATAATATTCTGTATTAGTATGCGTACTTACTATTACCAGTAAGTTTTGTACCTTCAGATGATTTCTTATTGCTCAACGTTCCATCCTTTCAAGTTGGAGACTCCCTTAAACATTTTTTGAGCACAGGTCTGGTATTGATAAAATCCCTCAGATTTGCTTGTCCGGGAAAGCTTTTATTTTTCCTTCATGTTTGAAAGATATTTTCATTGGATATAATATTCTAGGATAGAAGAATTTTTCCTTCAGCCCTTTAAATATATTATGCCACTCCCTCCTAGCCTATAAGGTTTCCACTGAGAAGTCTGCTGCCAGACATATTGGACCTCTTTCATGTTATTTGTTTCTTTTCTCTTGATGCTTTTAGGATCTTTTGTTTATCTTTGACCTTTGGGAGACTGATTATTATATGTCTTGAGGTAGTCTTATTTGGGTTAAATCTGCCTAGTGTTCTATAACTTTCTTGTGCTTAAATATTGATTTATTTCTCAAGGTTTGGAAAATCATGTTAATATCACTTTGAAAAAAACTTTCTACCCCAATTTCTCTCTCAACCTCCTCTTTAATGCCAATAACTCTTACATTTGCCCTTTAGAGGCTATTTTATAAATCTTGTAAGTGTGCTGCATACTTTTTAATTCCTTTTTTGTATTATCTCTTCTGACTGTGTATTTTCAAATAGCCTGTCTTCAATTTCACTAATTCTTTCTTCTGCTTGATCAGTTCTGCTGTTGAGAGACTCTGATGCATTCATCAGCTTGTCGTTGAATTTTTCAGTTCCAGAAATTATGCATGATTATTTACAAAATATTTTAGTGTCTTTGTTAAAGGTATCTGATAGGATTCCGAATTTCTTCTCTGTGTTATCTTTAATTACACTGAGTTTCCTCAAAACAGCTATTTAAAATTTTCTGTCCAAAAGGTCATATGTCTCTGTCACTCTGAGAATGGCCACTGGTGCCTTATTTAGTTTGTTTGGTAAGGTCATATTTTCCTGGATGGTCTTGTTGTTTATGGATGTTCATCAATGTCTGGGCATTGAAGAGTTAGGTATTTATTCTAATCTTACTGTCTAGGCTGGATTGTTCCTATCCTTCTTGAGAAGGTTTTCCGGATGCCCCAACATCTTTACTTATTTTTGTTTTTGCCTTCTGTCTATATTTCCCATTCCATATATTTTCCTATATGCCTTTGAACAAGTCACTTAATCTCTCTGGAGTACTTCAGTTTCCTCATCTTTAAAACAGAACCCATCTTACTATATTGATGTGAATGTAAGTTACTTGACATATGGGATATATTTTAAAGAGCACATAGCACCTAGCAAATATTCTATGAATGTTAACTATTATTGTCATTATAATCCTTCTGTGATGCTTTTCCTTCTTTACACATTTACTAAACTTCTATCAAGTTCTGAAGTGCAGGGTTACAAAGTTGAATAGCACAGGTTCCTTGCTTCCAAAGAAACTCAAAATGTGGTCAATACTAAGAAAGTTAACTGCACAGGGTGATCTGGGATCACATTGAAGCAGACATCTAACAACATCTGAACTGATTTCTTATGAATGAGAAGGAATTAGCCAAAATGGGGGCTAAATAAACCAAATGATGGAGACAGGAAGTAAATTCCAGGAAGAGAAATGGGTAGTATATTAACTAATAATTCTTAAAAACAACAGAAGGGCCAGAAGCAATGGCCCACACCTGTAATTCCAACACTTTGTAGGGCCGAGCAGGACAGATCACTTGAGCCCAGGAGTTCCTGACCAGCCTGGACAACATGGCAAAACCTTGTCTCTACAAAAATTACAAAAATTTTCTGAGTGTAGTGGCACACGCCTATGGTTCCAGCTACTTGGCAGGCTGAGGTGGGAAAATCACTTGAACCCGGGAGGTCGAGCGTACAATGAGCTTTAATGGTGCCACTGCACTCCAGCTTGGGCAACAGAGTAAGGCCCTATCTCAAAAAAAATAAATACACAATTAAATAAATAAAAATGTTTAAAAAACAAGAATTCACAAGTATCTTCTTGGTGAACTGAGCTGATTCTGTTCTCCAAAAGACAAATAATTTCTGAGATTGTTACGCATGAATGGCACACATTTCAGAAATGTCTTGATTTACATATGCCTAAAGGCTCTTTACTAGTAATCTATGAGTAAGTTATTCAAGGTCAGTGTATTTTATAGTCTTATATTAGAATTAGCTTATTATTTCAAAGAGTTCTTGGAAGACTATAATATGGTGTGATACTAAAAAAATCTGGCTGCCAGGAAATTCTTAACAAAGTTATTGAGCATCTACTGCAACTACACACGGTGGAATATTTCTAACAAATTCAGAAAAAGCACATTGTTATCAGTGCATCATAAAGTGACCTGATTTGTGGTTTCCTTCTGCAAAAATTCCTGAAAAAATTTATTTTGGTTTGGCTTTATGAGTATCAGTTTCGTGGCAAATTGCTTAACCTATTTTACAGCAATTAATACATATTTATATATTTTGGAATTATACTTTTCCAGTAAGTAAGGATTAAGAATTGCATGCTTTGAAATTTATATATAAATCACTCATTTTTATCACTAAAGTAGATGCACACTTCACTTCCCAGAAATTCCCTGTAATTAGCTTTTTCTTGGGGATATGCGACCTCTCAACGAAAACTACTCAAAAAAATTACAACTTATTATCAAAACAATTTGTAAGTTTAAAACTGGTAATTTTGAAATTTGTAGGGTATTTTTAAAATACAGAAATTATATAAACAACTTGAACTATTTTCTTATCAAGCAAATAATAAGCTATTTATGTGCATTGCTAGCAACAAGTTTTCTGCAAAAATAATTCCTTTTCAGATCTTTATTTTGGTGAAAGTTGGAAAACAGTGGAGATTTTTGGATCTCTATGGTCTTGGTCCTTACAGTAGACAGAATAGCCTCCCAATGATGTCTAAATCCAAATAGTCAAAATCTGTGAATGTGTTACCTGACGTATCAAAATGGACATTGCAAATGTGATAGTTAAGAATCTTGATATGAGTATGTTATCCTGGACTACCATGTATGTTCAGTGTAACCACAAAGACCTTTATAAGGGAAAGAAGGAGGGAGGAAGCAGGATAGTTACGGAGTCCAAGAAGAAGAAAAGTCAGAGAAAGAGACATCTGAAGATACTACCCTACTGGCTTTGAAGATGGAGGATGGAACCACAAGGCAATAAATGCAGATGACCTCTAGAAGCTGGAAACGTCAAGGAAATGCATTCTCCTACAGACTGCAGAGAGAATGAGGTCCTATCAACCACTTGGTTTCAGGGTTTCTGACCTCCACAACTGAAGGATGATAAATTGTGTTGTTTTAAGTCACCAAGTTTGTGATAATATATTACAGCAATACAGGAAATGAATAAAATTCTATTTTAGAATAGTAGAATCATTTTTAAAAATTGAAGCTACTGATTTAGAGAACAATCATGACAGCGTTATTTGAAAGTAGCATCTCTTTGGATTCTACTATGGAAACAAAACCGTTTGAAGATCATGATGAAACTGTCTCCAAGGCTAAGCAATGATGTGTTTTGTCTGGGAACCTGTGGGAGAGAATATCAGATATAATTTTATTCTTTTATACTTCAAATAGAGTAAACACGTAAGTAGAGAAATAAGAAATTGTGAGTTAATAATTTATTAGCTCACACTGAATTATGCCTGGCTACTCGTAACCATCTTAGTATGCCTACTGCTGCCCTTAATACACCTGAACTGAAAACAGCGGTACTGAGAGCTCATGTTCATATCTGTTCCTGAATATATTTTTCTGATTGCCTAAACTGTAAAGCCAAAGACAAATAATTATTAATTGAATTTCCTTATTCATGCTTTTTAGTTCCTTCTAAAAGAGGATAACACAAATTCATGACATTTCCTTTATAGTTTGTAAACAGAAAATGGAAGTAGAATACTGTTAAGTAGCTTATTCTGGAAGACAGCAATAAAATGCTACTCTCTGCCAAAAGTGCTAAGGGGTGATCCTATGATAAGAGGACCTTGGTGGAGTAAATATCATCAGATGTAGGTATGAATTATTTCTGGGACAGTTCTACATTCTCTGGCAGTGTTTTAATCTATGCGAACCTATAGATATCTTTGATAAATCCTTAACCTTCATTCCTTTAGTAAGGAGCAGAATACTCCTTTGGTTTGAAATTTTAATACTTTAGAGGTTGAGAAATTTCTAAACATTGCAAACAGCTGAACTATCAGGCCACTAATCATGTAGTAATGGAAATAGCACTCAATTACCTGCTCCAAATGCTTCGACAACCACATTTTAAAAGATATTTTTAAAGTCTCTTCTAGCTGCTTTTCCCAAGCTGAATATTTTAAAGGCACACTAGAATAACATGTTTTACTTAAGAAGATGGATCTAAATGGACTTTTAGTGCAAAATGCTCTAAAAGTAGCATTACTCTTATTCCCAGATTACTTTTTCACAGCACAGTAACAAGACTTCTTGAGAGATGTATTCTATGAAATTATTGCTCAATAAAATAGTTCTAGATAACTGACTTACCAGATCTGGGCTACTGTCTTGGTCACACAGCAAGTATGATTTGAACATAAGCCTGTCTCATAAACAAGACCTGGAGCTGCATCTACCAGTCAGACTTTTAGCTTTAATCTTTCATTTATCCCACTGGAGTATTGTTTCTGCAAAAGAAATAAATGGCTATCCAAGTTATGCACAAGTAACAAAAGCTATAACAGTCATATATTACCATAATAATAAACGTCATTAAATCATCCCAAAACTAGTGGCTTAAAACAGTAATCGTTGATCCTTGCTCACACATCTGCAAGTCAGCTGAGAATTGGCTGATCTATGCTGGGCTTGGCTTGGTTCAAAGCTAAAAGTTGGGTCCAGATCTGCTTCATGTGTCTTTCAACCTCTGTGGACTAGAAGCATGGCCACGGTATGTTATTTTCATGGAAATTGCAGAAGCACAGGAGGGCAAGCCCCATCATACAGCACATTTCAAGCTTTTGCTTGTATTATATTGTATAACATTGCTGACATTCCATGGCTAAAGCAAGCCATACATCCAACCCCAAAATCAATGAAGTATCAATGGAATGACTGTGCCCATGGTGGGAGGAAAAGGTGGATGAGACATATCGACTAAACAATAATTTAAACCATTACTGTAAAGACTCTAACAAAAGCCATATATATACAGCCATCCCACAGTATAATCTGGGGATTGTTTACAGGACCTCTGCATCTACCAAAATCCACATATGCTCAAGTCTCACAGTAGCCCCACACAACCTGAGTATAAGAAAAGATGCCCTCTCTATATGAAGGTTTTACAGCTTGAGAATACTGTATTTTCCCTCCATATTTGGTTTTTTAAACATTGGCATATAAATGGACCTGTGCATCTCACACCCACCTGTGCCATTCTCAGAAGATCTAAGGGAGAGCTAAAGAAACTGGCTTATAAAAGAAACAGAGTGGATCCAGGGGTCTATGAATTACAGGCTGACTCTGTAGGTACTGTCCCCACTGAATGAGCACCAATCGTTTTTTGTCTTTGCATCACTCCAATCTAATTTGAAATTCCAAGAAGAGAACATCTGTTTGGCTTAGGTTGGGTCATGTGCCTACTCGTTGAGTTGGCTAATCAGGGCTTCATAATATAAATACCAACTCATTTTCATTTTGTCTTTCCTATTTGTCATTCAAAATGAAGAGTCAGCTTCATTTTAAGGAGGGTGCCCCTGAAGGTTCTAAGACTGACTGCCAGCTTTGTTAGGAGTTACACATGTAAGTAGATCTCAGATGTTTATATTCCAGTGGAAAAGAGAAAAACTGTCATACAATTATAGGCAGGTGTTTGAAATTAATTCTGAATCGTTGTGAGGCCATGAAATTGAAAAATAATTATTTATGTGGGTGAAAAGTGTTCCTAGAGCAAATGATGGTCATTTTTTCTAATCCTATACACTGCATTGGGCAGGGAAATACCCAAATGAATATCTGACTATCTTTAGGATGGAAGGGAGAGAGAAAAAATGCAAGTCGACAATAAACTAATGTCAACTATATATAGAAAATAGTACCATAACTTTGGAATTTGCTGCAATCTTCACTGTCATTCAAAGATCTTTGAAAATAATGTACTATAAAAATACTACAAAAGTATATGCATATATAATTACAGATATTGGTAGAGGAACATAGATGATAGCATTTAGTAAGCCATGCAGAGATTCACATGGCTGAGTTTCTCATAGCTGAGAAACACTTTGCAATATTTAAAAATTCATATCACTTAAAAATATGTAGATATACAAATATACATACATAACATGTCAAGTATGATACTAATCCATTATCACTGAATGCTAAGTATAATACTAATTCATTATCACTGATGGGCACTGAATACTAGAATTCCTTTCACTTTTGCTTTACATGATATGGTCGGAAACTTTTGATTTTAAAATACGTAATAAAATAAGTATAGCAAAATAATGTATCTTCCTGTGTGTTAAATATATCATTTTGAATATTTTAGAAAAAAAAACTTTTTGAAAACATGAAAATAATAATGATTTTCAACATTTTACTTTTTTTCTGTATGCTTTTGGATGGTAATTGAACATTTCATGCATTTTAAAGAATAAGTTACATTTTATTATTAGTCCTTTAGCATGTAAGAGTTGAAATAGTGATAGAAACAGATGACACAAAAGTGCAAATAAGAGAAGAAGAAAAAGGAAACAGAAAATCTTCAAAGGAACAGCCTGATTAAAATTTTATAGAAGTAGAAATAGTGGAAGTGAGAAGACTGCCCTTGGACATGATCCATGTAAAATATGCAAACGACATAGTACGTATCCTTTACTTAATGGAAATTTACTATTTACTAATCAAAACAACACAAATGAACAAGAAAGATTTTTTCCATCAAAGCAACTATTAAATATGTCAGATTAATCTCAGCAACTTCATGTACCTTACTACATTTTTTGAATTATGATCCCAGAAAAAGGCTCTAACATCCTTCTGACAGTACACCTGGCTAATTTTGTATTTTTAGTAGAGACGGGGTTTCTCCATGTTGGTCAGGCCGGTCTTGAACTCCCAACCTCAGGTGATACACTCGCCTCAGCCTCCGAAAGTGCTGGGATTACAGGCATGAGCCACCGCACCCGGCCACAAGAGTACTTTTAGCAAAACACAATCTGACTATGATTTTTCATTGAATATATATGGTAGAATATTTTGTATTTAATTTTAAATTGAAAGTATTTAAATGGAGAAAAGTAGAAATTGTCATTTTGGTTTTAAGTCAACAGCAAAAAGTGTTATTACTACATTTATGTTTCTCATAAAACATATAATACATATATGTTTCTCAACTAATCTTTAAGTTCAATCTTGGTTAATGAATGTATACATGACTTGAAACACTTAAGTTTTTGGTTAAAGATGCAAAAAATATCCCTTTTGAAGGAAAATAAATATAATTCACAAATTATTTCCAATAAAATATAAAAATAATTCACAAATAATTGTTAATACTCAAAAAGATTGAATAAATATCATTCAATAAATAACATTGGGCCAGGCATGGTGGCTCATGCCTGTAATCCCAGCACTTTGGGAGGCCAAGGCGGGAGGATCACGAGGTCAGGAGATCGAGACCATCCTGGCTAACACAGTGAAACCTTATCTCTACTACAAATACAAAAAAATTAGCTGGGCATGGTGGCGGGCACCTGTGGTCCCAGCTATTTGGGAGGCTGAGGTAGTAGGATCACTTGAACCTGGGAAGCGAAGGTTGCAGTGAGCTGAGATCGCACCACTGCACTCCAGCCTGGGTGACAGAGCGAGACTTCATCTCAAAAAAATAAAATAAAAAAAAAATAAAAATAACGTTCAATTAAGATAAATAAATGCCAATATATTAATGCCAATCTGGAAAATAATATTAAATGTTAACATTAACTGACCATAACAATGCTTTTTATGACACTGAGAGAATAGTATTTACAGAAAAGAATGAGATTATTTCAAAATTTGCTGCCAGCATAACCGACCATGTAAAATGGATGAAAAAATAGCTATTTAAATGATTACTATCTGGCATGGACAAATAAAAAGATTACTAGTTTAAAGAGTAATATAGTTTTACAATTATGCATAAGTATAAAGTAAATATTATTTATTTCAACTTGTTTGTAACAAGTACAAAAGCTATATTGAACAACTAAATATTTCTTATATTCATTATAAGTATTGTTCAACTCCCCGAAGAAAATAATAAAGTATATTTTATTAGTTTTATACCTGTTGTGAAAAGTACACGTTCTGGCTTAAGAACTAAAAAACAATTTTCAATTTTCAGCATTGATTTCAGGTATTTTATGGCCATGATAATAATGTTAACATGTTTGATAATTAAAAATGTATATAAGGGGCCGGGCGCGGTGGCTCATGCCTGTAATCCCAGCACTTTGGGAGGCCGAGGTGGGCGGATCACCTGAGGTCGGGAGTTCAAGACCAGCCTGACCAACTGGGAGAAACCCCATCTCTACTAAAAATACAAAAATTAACCGGGCGTAGTGATGCATGCCTGTAATCCCAGCTACTCGGGAGGCTGAGGCAGGAGAATTGCTTGAACCCAGAAGGCGGAGGTTGCGGTGAGCCGAGATCGCACTACTGCACTCCAGCCTGGGCAACAAAAGCAAAACTCCGCCTCAAAAAAAAAATGTATATAAGTTAAGAACTGTGCCAAAAAGCTTGGTATACTGATAGCAAATAGAGATTGTCACTAGAAGGCATGGAAAAGTTTACCAATAACAATGACATTCTTTAGAAAAAATTAGAGATTGCACACAATTTTGTGTGGGTTTTTTGTTTTTGCTTTGTTTTTCTGGGATCTGCCCAAAGATGGAACAAACAATTTGAAAAAGCAAATTGAAAATATTAACTTTGTAGAAACTTACAGGTGAAACACATAGCAGGAACGGTATTGCAACAAAATATAGTGACATTGGAACAAGGAAATAAATATGTTTTTTAGGACAACAGAGGAGAAAAAGACTACAGATAGCGATTTCTACACAGACTGTCTTCTGGCCATTTTTTCATAGTCTTATTGAGATAATTTTACATACCATAAAATTCATCCATTTAAAATGATCAGTTTAATCAGTTTAATGGTTTTTAGTATATTCACAGACTTGTGCAACCATTGCATAATCTATTTTTCTCATACTTTTTTTTTTTTTTTTTTTTTTTTTTTGAGATGGAGTTTCACTCTTGTTGCCCAGGCTGGAGTGCAACCGTACAATCTTGTCTTACCACAACCTCCATCCCCCCGGGTTCAAGCGATTTTCCTGCCTTAGCCTCCCGAGTAGATGGGATTACAGGCATGCGCCACCACACCCGGCTAATTTTTTGTATTTTTAGTAGAGACGGGGTTTCTCCATACTGGTCAGGCTGGTCTCAAACTCTTGACCTCAGGTGATCTGCCTGCCTCGGCCTCCCAAATTGCTGGGATTACAGGCGTGAGCCACTGCACCCGGCCTCTCATACATTTTAGTAACAGATTCATTGAGATATAATTCATATACCATAAAATTCATCTTTTAAAGTGTACAATTCAGTAATTTTTAGTATACTCAGAGTTGTGCAACTATGTCCACTACCTAATTCCAGAATAATTCTTCACTCCAAAAAAAAAAAAAATTCCTTCCCAATTAGCAGCCACCCCTCATTCCTCCCTTCTCCCCTGCCCATCAATCCCCCATCCTCAACCCAACTCCTAGAAAATCACTAATCTACATTCTGTCTCTGTGGATTTACCTATTCTGGACATTTAAATGGAAATGTGGTCTTTTAGGTCTGCCTTCTTTCACTAAACACAATGTTTTCCAGTTACATCTACGTTTAGCATATATCAGAACTTCATTTTATTTGTGACTAGTAATATTTTAATGTATGGATACACTACATTTATTATCTGTTCAATAGCTGCTGGACATTTGGGTATTTTCTGTTTTTTGGCTATTATTAACAATGCTATTATCAACGTATATTTTCAGTTCTCTTGCATATGTACCTGGGGTGGAATCAATAGGTCATATTGTAATTCTACTTTTAGCATTTAGGGGAACTGCCAAATAATTTTCCAAAGCAATGGCATCATTTTACATTTTCAGAAGCAATATATGAGGATTCCAATTTTTGCGTGTCTTTCCTAACACTTGTTACTGTCTGCCTTTTTGATTATAGTCATCTTACTGTGCATGAAGTGGTATGTTATTGTAGTTTCTATTTGCATTTTACTAATAACTAATGATGTTGAGCATCTTTTCATGTACTTACTAGCCATTAGTGTATCTTCTCTGGAAAAATGTCTATTCAAATCCTATCCTCCCCTTGAATTAATTTTGGGGAATAGGGTCTCACTTTGTCACTAAGGCTGGAATACAGTGGATTAGAGCTCAACGTAACCTCAAACTCCTGGGCTCAAGTGAACGTCCCCACTCAGCCTCCAGTGTAGCTAGAACTATGGGTGCACTCCACCACCATGCCCGGCTAATTAATTTTTTTGTTTGTTTTGGTAAAGATGGGTCTCACTATGTTGTCCAGGCTCCTCTCCAACTCCTGGTCTCAAACGATCCTCTTGCCTTGGCTTCTGAAAGTGCTGAGATTACAGGTGTGAACCACCATACCTGGCCTGGCTTTTTATTGACTTGTATTTCTTGCCATTTTAAGATCAAAATATAATCTTGATGGAATCAAAATTTGATAAAATTGAACAAATACTGCTCTCTCTTTGTTTTTTTAAATATACAACATTTTAAAATTTGAAAGAACAGCATGAGTAAGAGTTACATTTATATGTCACTTTTAAAAGATGGTAAAATTACAATAGAAATGACAGCAATTCATACATAAAATTAAAACATTTTGAATATTTTTATGATCTTGTAATTTATCAGTGGGATGATTTGATCATATTTGAACATGATATATAAAAATCCACAGCTCATTTTTGAACTTAAGCATTGAACTACAGAATTTGTTCACTATTCCGGTTACTACTGCCTCTGCAGAGCAACATTTTTTCAAGTTAAAATGTATACAAAAACACCAATCTGGACATTATAAGCTAACTGAATTTGGCATTACTCTCATTAGAACACTAACTGTGTGAAAAATCTTGACTGTAATATCAACATGATTACTTAAGGTAAAATTTATTTTCTGGCTAAATATGAATTATATATTTTTATAACTAATCTAAACACTTCTAGCCCATAAAAAAACACTCAACTATAAGCCATAGTAACTACTGCAGTTATTTTTGATATTTTTCCAACTTTCAATCAAATGAAAAGTCTTTTATACATATTTATCAATTTTGTTGTATTAATGTCAAAGTCAAGGTATAAGAATATAGCATATTTAATAGTTTGTTTACTTGATAATTTAATTTTAATAGTTTACTTATTTATATATATTAAGTTATTCAATAGTTTGTTAACTGTATAATTTAAAAATGTTTATTTGTTCTCTTGTCCTAGGCAGGCCTGGTCGTGCCTATTGTTAAAAATTTGTGAATGCCTTATGATGGTGTATTTGTTATGATTACACAACATGAATTAGTGAAAGAATGATAAATATGAGTCTCTTCTAATCCTGGAAGGCTCCAAATACCCATAACTATGTTGAGAAGAAGAGACAAGGATGTGAGGAGATAAAATGATACAGCTAATATAAAAGTATATCTAGAAAAGAAGTGCAGGAATTTATCACTATATGTTTCCCACTGAATCAAATAGATTAAAAGTCCTAGAATATTACTTTACATCTAGAGAAAATATAAGCCAGAAATTATAAATGTCTGAGACTTTGAGAGACTTAAAATGGTCCTTCCTTCTCTTCTGTTTATAAGCATGGGGCACAAAAAGCTACACAGCCTGTAATGATGATGCACTTTTATTTAATGCCCACTGCAGACTTCACAAACAGGGGAGAGCCAAAGACCATGGGAAAAAAACAATGGATTTGAGGTGCCTCTGCTACAGAGCAAGATCAGGGCCTATTCAAGGAACGTTCCTATCCCATTCTCATCTCCCAGGGTAGAGGGTCCTCACCACCTTTACCTGGTGAGATTTCAGAACTGTTGTGAATCACATTGGTGTCTGCCATGTCTATTCTATGATTCTCTTCATATGGAAGTGTTTAATGAATGCAGTCATTCTGATCCTGTTCTACTGCTGTATATTTGGGGAGCATGAAAAACTAATCTTTTAAGCTCATGCTTGACTAGAGCAAAACAAATCATAATCAGATTTTATGTGGAGTGTACTCCATTATCACAGCTGGAAAGCCTGGGCTTTGAGCTTAATGCCATAGCAAAACAGAACTTTTGGACTGACTTCTTTGGGGAGAGGCTGAGTATATTTTGCCTATGGGAGATATGGGGAGTTGAATATTTGATTATCTGAAGGGTGGTAGAAAGTGATAGTCCCAAATGCTGTCCACCAACTATTTCCAGCTTTCATCCTCCTGGGCACATGGTAGAACTAGCCCTCTTGTCCCATCTGAAGTGGAGTGGCCCATGTGATCAGATTTGGCCAGTGGGTTATGATGAAAGGAATGCCACTTCCAGGATGGAGTTTTTCATTGCTGTGTGAGACTCCATGATAACAAACAATGTTTAAGGTAGTGGCTGCTTCATCAACCTTAGGTCGAGAGAACCTTGAGTTAGAGCTTCAGCCAACCACCAACGGACAGATAGATGAGGCAAATAACTGTTGTTGCTATAAGCCATAAAGAGATGAAAGTTATTTATTACTACATTATAATGTAGACTCTTCTGATTGCTATAATGACACCAAACATCAGCTTCGTTAATAAAAATGAAACGTTTCTCCAAATGAAATGAATATTAGAGACATTTACTTAATTGTTAACCTGGACAAGAAACATTTTGAATTGTGACTATTAGGTCAAATTATTTTTGAACTTAATTTGTTGGCCCTATGATGAGATTGAGATTCAGAACCATGTGATACCTTGCCCTGTGAAAAGCAGATGAACTCTTAAATTTGAGATATTTTACCCCATCTGTAGTATTTACAGTTACTGCAGGTGGCACAATGATTTTGGAATAATGAAAGCTAATGTAGCTAATTTCTTCCCAGGATACTTGGCAGTTTTTCTCAATCTTTTGGTTGCTTTCTCAAAACAGCTGGAACTTAATTCTAACAATACAGAGAGACAACATTGTCCTGCAGCTTTTAATTGCCAATTATGGAGGTTTCAATTTATGAATCTATCTTTTATGTGATTATATTAGAGTTTAAAAAGAAGGTTTTTAAACACTATCAGGATTACTTCTTCACATTCCTTACCTAAGTTGTGAAGGTTAATAGGTTTTAATCTATAGCTGTAAACAATAATGAATATCTATATATAACCACTGAAGAAAGGTAAATATCTATACTGTCATATCTTTGCAAATCTAAATAATATTAGATTAAGTTTATAGAACTATCATTTATAGATAATTCTGTTAAGTTCATAGAATTATAAAGCAGATAATTACATGAAAAATACATCACTATAAATTAAACATATTGACTAGGCAAAAAGCATAAATATCAAAATATCAACTATCTTTCACATATCAGAAATATATATGACACATATATAGATAAATATACATATATGTGTGTGTATATATCCACACACACCAGATGTACTTATCAGATATGAGCATATACATAAAATCCTCAAATTGACATTTTCTTAAATAAAAGCAATGGTATACATTCCTGAGCACAAAATAATGTTTTAAGGATTATTTTTACAACAGACTCTTGACTTATATTTAGATTTGATTGATTGCTGGTCTTAGTTAATCAAATTATTTCACAGTCTCTATTTTCCCATAAGAGGGAAAAGCAAGCAGTATTTATTCACTTAACTGGTTCTGGAGTAAAGGGTTCGTATCTGGTTCCTGCTGTATTCCACAGTTAAATAATGTATTATACTAAAAAAAAAACTTAACTAGTCCTGGGGTAAAAGGTTTTTGTTTTGTTCCTGCCGTACTTCTAAAGTTAAATCATGTATTATATTAAAAGAAAATAAGTTTTGAATAGAGTTTTATTGAACTCTTTTGTTATGAATGGCATATTGGTTCGTATATTTTCTCCCATGACTTATTTCTGTCTTGCTCCGTGGACTCCAAAAATGAAAGAGGAAATTAGATATTTGTCTCTATATATTGATTACCAAAATTTACTGATGCTGATACTAAGGTGCTCAGGAATTTCAGGGCTGGGAAATACCCTGTTTACTTAAAGAACCCTACTTAAACCAACTGGAAATTCAGTGCCCTTAACTACCACATTATAGCCCCTTCTAGACGTTAACATTGTTTGTTTTTCCCTTTTTTATTTTGAAATCATTATTGATCCACAGGAATTTTCAAAGGTAGTACAAAGATATCCTGAGTGTGCTTCATCCAGTTTTCCCCAATGGTTACTTAGTGTCAGTCCCCACAGCCCCTCAGTCTTCTACAAGGAACACACTCTCTTGGATAGAGGTCCTCAAACTTGGCTTCGCATTAGATTATATAGGGAGCTTTAACAATATTGATGCCCAGAACACACCCTGGATCAATATACCTTCAGTTTATGATTGTTAATTTTATGTGTCAACTTGACTGGGCCATGAGGTGCCTAGACATTTGGTCAAACATTATTCTGGGTGTGTCTGTGAAGGTGTTTTTAGATTAACTTAAAATTTCAGTTGACAGACTAAGTAAAATAGATTGTTATCCCTGAGTGGGTAGGCCTCACCCAATCAGCTGAAATTCTATTTTTGAATAGAAAAAAAAAAGGCTGACTTCCCTGAATAAGTGGAAATTCCTTCTGCCTCACTTTAGGCTGGAACATGTTTCCTCCTGCCTTCAGGCTCACACCGAAACATCGCCTCTTCCTGGATCTGTAGCCTGCTAGCTTCTGGACTGAAACTACACCCCATCAGTTCTCCAGAGTCTCTAGATTGCTGACTGCAGATCTTGGTACTTGTCAGCCCTCATAAAATCTTTCTCTGCACATATATATAGTATACAGATACTATATATAGTAAATATTAATTATAATCTTAGGGTATAAATATTAATTATATTTTATAATGGTATAATTGTGATATGATATAAATATATATTATAATCTGTACAATAATAATTTAATGATAATTATTGATGTAATATTAATAAAATGTTATATATTACATATATTTTTCCATTGGTTCTCTTGCTCTAGAGGACCCTGATACAGGATGGAATATCGACATCACTACTTTTTGAACTTTCACACCATTTCAGTGTGCAACAAAGGTTGAGATGCTATGCTAGTACATTTAGGGAAATTTACAATTGCTGCCCCAAATTGTATGTGTGTGTGAGATTGTGTGTGTGTGTGTGTGTGTGTATGTGTGTTTTCTTCCCTGTTCCACCATAGGCAAACACTTATTTCTCTACTTATTTAATCCTGCAGTTTATGAGTTTCAGTTACCCATGAGTAAGTGTTGTTATCCTTTCAAAGGCTTTGACAAGGATTGTGGTAAATATAGTTCTCATCTACTTTTATGGCCTGGTTCCTTACATTTCTCCATACTGTCACTGCTCATAGCTATATAGACATTTTAGACTCTAACATAAATTTGGGGGAAACAAAAGGCTTGATTTTGGTGACTAATTTTAAATTGCATATGAAATAACTTTTTCTATAGTGCAAAGAGGGATTGTCCAAGCAGTCAAACTGTCTACAGGATGCTTCCATTAGTTAGCACAAAAGGCTAAGTTTCTATAACAAAGACACATCAACACACAGCAGCTTGAGTATAACACATTATCTTCTTTCTCTCATATAAAGTTCCAGGTGGGCATTCCAGCTCATGTAGATGGTTTTGCTGCACCCAGACCTTCTAGGATCCATGGTTCTTCTCTTACATTATTTCATTATCCATTAGAGCATTTTCATTATCTGCCTGAACAAAGCTGCATGGGTTCCACCTGGTAGGAAGGGGAAAAGAGCAAGAAGCAGGCATGGCCATCACCCTAAGGCATAGCCCGTAAATGGCATAGCCACTGTCAGGAACTGAGTGGCTGCACCTAACTGAGGGAGTCTGTGCTATGTAGTCTATCTGTTCACCCAACAAGAGGCAGAAAAGAATTTTGGTGGGAAGTAATAGGACTTTGACACTACCATCTACTGAAAATTCCCGGTTTCTAAGCCACCTCCATTGTACCAGGAGGGAAGAGGGGTGTTTAACTTTTACTGAATTACTAGTTTTCTTCTCTTAAACTCCCTTAATGTTTTATTTTTGATTATTTAGATCCTGTCTTATTTCCACAAATAATTCAGAAATGTGTGTGAAAATTTATAAAGTGAAATCGGATAGAAAAAATGAGTTAAGAAATAGCAAAAATTTATTAGGAAACTTTATTAGAAAAATAAAGTTAAGACTGTCATATGGTTAGCATGCAGAAATGTGAATTTTTACACAATACCTAATAATATGTCCAAAATTTAGCTTTGTGATTCCTAGCACTAAAAGAAAATAGAGAAACAATAGCATTTATAAGATTCAACAGAGCCATAATATAAAATTTACCTATAGATAACATTTAGTGAGAGCTTTTTAGGTGCCGTGTACCACTCTAAGCAACTTACTTATATTAACTCATTTAAACATCACAACAATCCCATAAAATAGGTACTGTTATGGTCCCATTATTAGAGATACGAAAATTGAGGCCGATTTAAGTCACTGCCTCAATAACTTGGATTCAGACTTAGGCAAATCAACTGCAAAGTCAGTGCCTTTAACTACTATACTATAGCCTATTCTAGACATTAATATTATTTGGTTTTACCTTTTTTATTTTGAAATCATTATTGACCCACAGAAATGTTCAAAGGTAGTACAAAGAGATCCTGGGTGTGCTTCACCCAGTTTTCCCCAATGGTTACTTAATTATAATACAGTATCAAAACCCATATGGTATAATATCAAAAGATACCAACACATTTAGTACTATGTGCGTCTATAGTTTTATGCCAAACAAAACATGGAACTATTCCATTACCACAAAGATCTGCCTTGTGCTCTCCCTACATAGTCAAATCTGCACTTTTTCCCCTACCCGTCCCAACACTTGATAAGCATCAGTTTGTTTTCCACCTCTGCAGTTTTGTCATTTTGAGACAGTTATTTAAATGGAACCATAGAATATGTAGCTTTATGAGACCAGCTTTTTTGCTCAGCATAGTGTGTTTTTAGATTCATCCATGTTGCTGTGTTTATCAATATGTTGTTCCTTTTTATTGCTGAGTAGTATGCCATGGTGTAGATGTACCACAACTTGTTTAACTTTTCACCTGTTGTAAGCCATTTTATCTGCTTGCAGTTTGAGCTATTACAAATAAAGCTGCTGTAAAAATGTGTGTGCAGACTTTTGCATTGACATAAATTCTCATTTTTTGGGACAAATATACAAGAATGAGATTACTGGAATGTATAGTCAGTGTATATTTAGTGTTATTATTTAATGAACATGCCAAACTATTTTTTCGTACTGGCTATACCACTTTAAATTTCCATGAGCAATGTATACATCCAGTTTTTACACACCCTTGCCAAACTTTTTATTGCCACTATTTTTTAATTTTAGATGTTCTACTAGGTGTGTAGTAATATCTTGTAATGGACTGGAATTGCTTTTGTGTATTCAAGCCTGTTTGGAAATTGTTCAAACTATTATAGAAATTAGGAGACTTGAATAGCCTTTTTGATGTTGCCTATAACTACTTCTGTTACTTAATGTAGGTCCTTAACTTGTATGAATCTCAGCTTTCTCTACTGAAATGTAGGAATAATAATTACTGCCTTATATCCTTATTCCAATGAAGATGAAATTATAAAATATATATGAAAGTATCATTAAACATTGCTCTTTTGCAACATGAAACCAATGTTTTGATTCAGATAATTTTTTTTTTTTTGAGACAGAGTTTTGCTGTGTGACCCAGTCTGGAGTACAGTGGTACAGTCAGTGCTCATTGCAGCCTTGACCTCCCGGGCTCAAGCAATCCTCCTAATTCAGCCTCCAGAGGAGTTGGAACTAGAGGTATGCACCACCATGCTCAACAAATTTTTTGTTTGTTTGTTTGTTTGTTTGTTTTTTGGTAGAGATGGGATCTCACCATGTTGCCCAGGATTTATTTTTAAAGATCTAGGAATTTAGGGATTTTCCCTCTTCTTTTTCTTTTTAGTAGTTCCCACTGTCTTTCCTCAACTAAGCATTTGCGTATGTTTTGCTTTGCCTGAAGTGAGAACTCCCAAATCATTAAAGGCATTTTACTCTTTGTTATTATCAACATTCGAATAAAGAAAGCATCTAAAATATTTTGCTTCTTTGTTCCATATAGTGGCAATAAAATCATAGACTCTCATAGCTTGAACGACATTAGCAATTATATAGAGCATCCTCATTATTTCATAGATCAAGAGCCAAACATTCAGCTAGTGTAAATGACCTGCCCAAGCCCCCCAGCTAATTGAGAATGTTTATAGGAATAACCTCCAGTTGTGAGGAGTCCTAGGTAAAGATACATTCCCACTGAAAGCTGTTGGTCCATCTATAGAATTCCTCCTCCCCCACATGACTGAACCACAGCTTGCTTTCTTGTTTATTTCTTTGTGCATATGTCTCCTTGAGGGCTCACAGCATGCTTCTGGTTCCCATACTCTCACTCATAATGGCCAATATCCTTTTTCCCTTCTGGAAATCCTTCCTGTGCCCTGTGAAGAGTTCTTCTCTCATATATACACCCTCATACACTCCTCACATTCTTCCCCATCAGTCTTATCCCCTTCCTCCAATTACTGCCACCTTCATATCTCAATCTTCCCTCTTCTCTATACATAGCTCCCCTCTCTGGATCTTCCTTACTCCTCCCTCACAGCTCATAACCCAAAACCCATACTTATTAATCCTTAAGGACTTTTCCTTCCCCATCCCTCAGTATCTGTGTAGCAATTTTTAGCCCTCCACAGGGTTTAGGAATAACGCCTTTTAGTTTGTCTTGTTGTGATTTCAATTATGTTTTACCCTTAAAGTGTACAAATTTAGGTGCTTGGTTGTTTATCTTTATAATTTTAAAATAATTTTAAATTCACAAGAAGTCACAAAGAAATGTACAGGGAGGTCCCATGAACTCATCACTTAGCTTTCTCTGATGTTAACATCCTGCACAACAAGCATACAATATCCAAACCAGAATACTGATACTGGTACAATCCACAGAGTTAATTCAAATATTACTAGGTTACATGAATTCATTTGCATGGTGTGTGTGTGTGTGTGTGTGCGTGTGTGTGTAGCTCTGTGCAATTTCATCACATGTGTAGTTTCATGTAACCACCACCACAATCATTTATCTGTATCATCCCACAAGGCTCCCTCATGATACCCACTTTCAGTCACACCTACTCTCCTCAATGCATGTCCCTAGCCTTTTTCAAACACTAATCTATTTCTGCCTCTATAATATTGCATATGCATTTTAAAGTGTCAAGTTTTCTTCATGGATGGACCTTTTTTTATCATTATGTAATATTCCTTTCTGTAGCTACCTTCCTTCTTTTTTCTTTTTTTTTCTTTTGAGACAGAATCTCACTCTGTCACCCAGGTTGGAGTGCAGTGGTGCAATCTCAGCTCACCTCCTGAGTTCAAGCGATTCTCCTACCTCAGCCTCTCAAGTAGCTAGCACTATAGGCCTGTGCCACCACATCTGGCTAGCTTTTGTATTCTTTTTATTTTAGTAGAGATGGGGTTTCACCATGTTGACTAGGCTGGTCTCGAACTCCTGACCTCAAGTGATCCACCCACCTTGGCCTCCAACCTGCCTTCTTTTAATTAATGTTTTTATGGTTTATATTCTTCATCCTTTTACTTTCTACTTACCTATATTGTATTTTCAGTGAGCTTCTTATAGCCAGTATAGAGTTGGGTCATGGCTGTTAATCTCTGCCAATCTATTTTTTTAATTGTTGCGCTTAGATCACTTACGTTTAATGTAAAAATGTGTATGTTAAGGCTTAAGTTTGCCATTTAATTATTTGTTTTCTACTTTTCTCTGTGGTTTCCATTCTCTGTTTAAATTTATCTGGCCGTGTGAGAGTTATTTGAACATCTTTTAGAATTCCATTTTGATTTATCTCTAGTGTCTTTCAGTGCATCTCTTTGTAAAAGTTCTTTTAGTTGTTGTTCTAAGCATACATCGTATATCTGTAACTTATCACAGTCTAATAATGTTGATATTCTGCCAGACTGAGTGAAATGTGGACACTTGACTTCCCTTTCCACCCCTTGACTCTCATCTGTTTAAAATTGTCTTCAATATCTCTTCTACATACATTAAGAACCACAAAGATGCTGTTATTATTTTTGCTTCAACCATCAAACATAATTTAGAAAGCACAAGAGAAGGAAAATATATTGTATTTACTCACATATTTACGCTATCTATTCTTTTCCCTCCTGATGTTCCAAGATTCCTTATTTTATCATTTCCTTTTGTCTTAGAGAACTTCCTTTAGCCATTTTCTTAGGATAGTTCTGGTAAGACAAATTATCTTAGATTTTTTTTTTTTAAATCAGACAATGACTTGATATCCTCTTCCAACATCCAATTGGCATCAGTTAAACATCACCTGATTGTTTTTTCTCATTCAGGTTGTGAATTTTCTAGGTTCTTGGTACAACGAGTGATTTTTCTATTATATCTTGGACATTTTGGTTACTATGTTAGGAGACTTCTGCTCCTATTTAAACCTTCTATTTTTGATTGTACTCACCATTTTTAGGTTTAGCATGTAGGCTGTGGCCTACTTCTGTGGGCTTTAATTCCAATGACAGTTTAGTTTTGGAATTAAGTGACCAATGGCAGTCTAGTTTCGAATTGCTATCCCAGTTCTGCTGGGGCCCCTGCTTGATTTCTATTGGTGCTGCCTGCGGGGTCAGAAGAAATATCCTGGGTTATCTTCTGCCAGAGGGTAAGGGAGGGGCAGTGGAGAGCTATAAGAGCTGGGCCTAGGTCTCTTTATGACACTGAATGGAAGGCAGGGAGACACTGGGCTGGGACTATGGGAACTCTGAAGCGGCTATTTATGATAGATCTCAAACAGCTGGTCTCTTACATATGGAGACGGTGTTGGGCTCCTCACCAGGTCTCTCCTGGGTTTGCCCACTCCTAGCACTATGTGAGATAGAAAGAAAACTCAGGGAACTCATTTTATACTCATAAGCTCCCTACTCAGTATTTCTTCTTCTCAGCTATTTGAGTCCTATTATCATTGTGTTCTGAATTACTTCCAGGGCATTCAGTCATAGAAGGATGGAGCACGGAAACATGAGCTATGGCATCTTCTTCCAGAACTGAGCTTTCCAAGTGCATTTACTAATTTACGTATTTTAATCTTGGCAATTACTTTGAGGTAGATAATACACAATCTTTTATTTTCCACATATGACAGTTTAGGAAAGAAAAATTAAAATTAATAAGATCCTTGCAATGTCACCAAGGAAGGCAATATATATAAGTGAATCACATACAGAGCTGTACAAATGCGTGCCTATATATAGGCAAAAAAAAAAAGATAGTTATGACTGTGATCCTGAACAGACTTACAGCTATATTATCTACTTTAATCACAAAATAAAGCAATTTGGAATGAATGAAAAAGCTTTTAAAAGTTACTGTAATTTATACACTTTTTTCAAATGTCATTATAAATCACATTTCATTTTTCATCATTTTTCACGGCATTGCTGGGGAATCTACTTAGCAACATTTTTCAGTTGTGTTATTTTATAATTACAATAAAGAAAACACAGCTTTATGAATTGATTCTTCTTACAAAACAAGATATCCCTTGTTAACAAGACGCAAAGTAATTGTATTTACTAAAAAGTTAAAATTCTTTGTGTATATTTGGAGATTCTTCTTCATATAATGGTTTTTCTTAAATTCTCAGACATTTTAGAATTTCCATGTTTTGGTGGGAAATATTCCTTTGGTTTTATGTAACTAAGGAGAGCGTATATCAAATCTTGAAAGAGAAATGAAATAATCCTATTAACATGGAAAGAAAGGGATAAAAAGAGTTGGCTGAAGTCAGATTATATTCACTGCAGTGATTCTTGACTAAATGTATACATTTTTCGCATGCACTATCTTCAATTTAAAATAATAATCATAATGCAAATAGAAATGTTGATACTTTATTTTACAGTTTGTTTAATTCATTCGCATACACTGTTTTCATTTCATTACCAAACATTTCCTTTGATTCACGAACTACTGAGCATTCCAGTGCTCTGGTCCATGGTTTCCTGGGTTTAGATTCTAGCTCTACCCTATCCTAGCTGGATGCCTTTAGCAGGTTACTTAACTTCAACCCTTCTGTCCCTCAACTTTCTCATCTCAAAAGTAGTACAGTTTTCAAGGAAAATTAAATGAGAAAATAAAGGAAAACACTCAGGATAATGCCTGCACACAATAAATACTTAATAAATGTTACTTATTGTTATCTCCATTTTATACATGAGGACCATCTGGTTCAACCGATAAGCATAGCTCACATGCAAGAAATGGATATGCAGCATATCTTGTACTAATTTATTTTGTATTAAAATGAAATGGATTTAAATTTTCTTTAAATGCTTTTGCAGAATTACACGTCAGAGCTGAAGAAATAGGGAGAGCTGATAGATAATACTGAGGAAGACCTTTACTGCTTGTCACAGAGCAGCCACTTTGGAGCTCAGAACTCTTATCTTTACAGCATCCCTTTGAATACTAACATAACCCCTTAGCAAACTATGACCTCGTACATTGATAATCACATCTTTGGACAAAGGCAGAGATCTACAAAATACAGGCAGCAGGCCAAATTGGACCCATTGCATGTTTTTGAATAGTTAGAAAGCTAAAAATGGCTTATAAAATACGAAACTTTGCAATCCATTTGAAACACTTACTTTGAAACCTAATTAAATAAAATGTTATCCTTCTCCTCCAAATTCCATAGTTCTCATTAGTAGACATGTCTGACCCCAAAATTATAAACAATTGTTATGTTTTTAATTACTTCAGTAAGACACTTGTGGAAATGTGTTTTCTCTCTTTAATAGATTATGCATGTACATAATGGTCTTGATTTTTTTGACTATTGGCCTATGAAGCCTAAAGTGCTTACTTACTAGCTGGTTCTTGACAGAAGAAGTTTTCCACTTCTTGTACTAAGATACTAATGAGACTCTTTGTATGAGAAAATGGCTTTTTGGCCATCAGGGAGGCATTTACTTTGAACTATATTTTTCCAATAGTGGTTATGAACTGCCTCTGTTAATCAGAGTTGATTTTTATCTACAATATATAATATTTAGCTTTGGGATTTGAAAATATTTATTTTGAGTTTCTATTAGACTAGAGTACCTTTCTGTGTAATTTTAGCTTGATACTATGACCTTATAGGACGAAGGTCAACCTTTTGCAATCTAGCAGAAGAAGCCTGCAGGAGGTGTGAGAGGTTCCTTTCCTTTCCTTCCAAGTAACCCAGAAAGATTTTTCTTTTCTTCTGTGAAAATCCAGGATGCACATTATTAGACTTCGTAGAGTCAAAAGATTAGGACATTCAAAATCATTTACAACTGTATTTCCTTCTCCTCAATGGTTAAAGGAAATCGACAATTTAAAAATTTGAAACTCATAAAACTATTAAAATTTTTACCGTGTATTTTTGTTTGTGTGTTTTGATATTAATGTATTTTTAACCTGCATCGAGTATTAACTATCTTTTGCTTTACTTTTCCCACTATCATTTTTCTATTATCAGCATATTCTCTTTTGTTCTTGCTGGAGTATCTCACACATTTAATATTCAAATGTCACTTTAAACCACTGCACTCTTTCCTCCCCCAATACATCTTTGTCTTCATTTTATATAGAACAAGTCTTTGCTTGGTGTACTCAAATCATAGAATTTGAAAGGTAGGGTATTACAATGTTTGTGAAACAGAGTTTGGGATTGAATTGGAATTCTAGTGCCTACTTTGCTGCTTGCTAGCTGCATGAACTGAATGAATTCCTGTAAACCTCAATTTTCTTCACTATAAATCAAGGATAAAAATAGTATCCAAGTCAGAGGATTGCTGTGAAAATTAAAGAAGCTAAGATATATAAGGTGACCAGCCCAGTGTTTGGAACACAGACACTGCTTAATAAATATATTATTACTAATAACAGAAGGATGGATTTATGGTTCAACTGGTCTAATCCCAACAATGTATAAAGGAGGAAACTAAGGCGAGAGCTAAGCCGCATATCCAAAGCTACCCAAGCACTCCCACTTATCAGCAGATCAAGGTTTAGAACTTCTCCCTTTAATTTCACTGCATAATCAACAAGCAGTTATTCTGGCAGCGGGAAACCAACTTTACCTCTTCAAAGATTAGTTTATATTATGTGACACACATAGCACAAAACTAATTATATCTATCGCCACTCTTTTGTTCATGGGATACTGTAGGTCTGAGCAGGGCTTGATTATTGTAAGTTGATTTGTTCTTCTTGTAAAGTATCACCCTCAGCCCAGCCCTTCCCAGGACTCAATACAAGAAGTTATTGGATCATAGTAATAACTAAAGGAATATGTTATCTATTCTCATAATACAAATATAATATTTTAGAAAATTTCAGATATTAAAAGTAATAATGAAATACCCTTTATTTAATAAGCACCTAGCTCTATGCCAGGCCCTGTGCTGTTAGATTGAAAAATAATATCTTAATTTTCACAATAATCATGAGAAATAGGAATCAATGCATCCATACAAAAGTGGTATTAAACTGGAAAAAATCCCTATAAATATAACAGATTTTTTTAAAGGGTTGAGGCATATTCGGGCAGGTTGCTGATGTAATAACTAGGAAGCCCTTTCCACTTCTGAAGGCCATTTCCTTGGAAAATAAAACTAAAGTCTTATTGCCTCTGCGGAGCTGTACATCAAAATATTTTGGTGCCCCCTAGAGGTAATCAGTAATGTGCAATTGTCAACCCCCAGGAATGAGAAGCTGAAGACAATTCAGCAGCTGTTATCTATTATTCTTTGCTGCTTCATTCTCCGTACCAATGTGTCACAGATACAAACACAGAGCAGCTCTTGAGTAATGGATCTCAAATTTTAGTGAACATCAAAATCTCTTGGAGGGCTTGTGAGAACACAGCCTTCTGGCTTCTGTTCCCAGATTTTCTGATTTTGTGGGTTTGAGTTAGGGCCTGAGAAGTTGTATCTCCAACTACAGTCCTGGCGATTACGATGCTGTTGGTCCAGGGACCACATGCTGAGAACCACTCACCTAGAGAATCATCTCAAAGTCAAAGCTATGTCCAGAAGCAGGTCAGGTTTCAGTATCCTTGAAGTGCTGGTGCTGAGGACTCTAGCTCTTTACTGCTCCCTGTAGATGCCCTTAAGGAGTGTGTGCAGAGACATGACCATCTCCTGTATGAGGGTGATCATTCCTGAGGATCTATAGATTCCTTGATCCCCACGAGTTCCAGTGGATCTACAGATAAACAGTTGGGTGAAGAAGAATCAATTGAGAATTGAGGTCAGAGAACTTAGGTTCTGGTTCTAGCTCTGCCATTTAATAAGCTGCGACTTGCATGAAGACCAACATCCTCTACTGTAAGGAGTGAAATAGCAACCATCACTGTGGATGTAACTCTGTCAAATAGCTTGGAATTTAGTAGGCTTGAAACAAATTTTGGTTAAATCTTAATTTCCATTATATTAGGGTTCCATGTCTACGTTTCCAATACAAAGATATTGTGAGAAATATCAGATAATTTAAATGAAAGAAATATCAAATAATTAAAATGAACACATTGCAACAATGGAAAATAGTAACATGAAGGCAGTTAAATTCAAGGAATTAAGTTTCATGAATTTGATCAATGCAATTACTGTTACCTACCTCTGTTTAAAAAGACAGAGAACAATAATTTTTACTCTTCTTTATCTCTTTTTCGTAAATTCTCTTTTCTTCCTCCCTTTTCCCATATAACCCAACTTCACAACCTTTTTATTTCAAAAAAATGCAAAGTTTATTAGACATTTAATAACCTACACATTATTCTGATGCTTTTTATTTCTTTGCTGCATAGGTGATTGTCTACATTGTTTCCAAATTATTGTACGAACTGGATTTTTTTTTTTTTTTTGCAAGATAATAGGAGACTCGGATATTGGCTATAGTGGATTCCACTTCTGCTTAATCCAGGTCAGGATTTATGGAGACCTCATGTGGTGACAAGAGGCACCACAGAAGGCTTTCTTCAGGCTGGGTTTAACAGTGAAAGAGAAACTCAGAAATTCATATGGGAGCAAAATAATCCATAAAGAATTAAGACCTAGAAGTTAATGTTTCTGAAGCCTGCAAGGCCTTCAACAAACATCCTGCAGTAATACTAATGGAATAATACAGTAATATGTTAAAGGACAGGAGACCTGGTTGTTTATGTATGTATAAAATTCCCCTTATCAACTAAAAAGTTAATAACGCAAAAAATAGTAAGATATGCCTCTCAAGAATTAATTACAGTCTTTCTTTTTTCTGAATGAAATCCACTGAACATAGCTTCTTATTTAAATTGGCTTCAAATTTTAAAAAGATGTTTCTGTAGGCATGTTGCTATGTATGTTAGTTTCTCCTTGGTTTTACACAAAACAGAAAGTGATCAGAGATAGAATGAAACTTGAACTTATGTCTGTGAATTTCACTTATGCAACAATATCAATAATATTATTTATAAATATTTGGAATGCAGGATATGTTCTTGGAATTAAAATATGGAACAACAATTCTATGTGGTGCACAAAGTTGAACACAAACACCTCTTGTTGCTGACAAGATATTAAAGTTGTGAAATTAAATAAATTAATGTATCAGCAACCATATTTAACCACATAATTTACTGGTACACACTAAGGAAAATTCACTGAGGGTTGGGGGAGCTCCTTCCTCAATGACAGGTACTTGTTCTTTATCTCATTTTCCTTACAAGAAAATGTGACAAGGGCTTCTTTTTTCTCCTCCTCAAGGAAGTTACATAACAGACCTTTAAGCTAAAATCTAGAAGGACAAATGAGTTAATAAATGTCAAATGTTTTTGAAGGTTTTAAAAGAATAGAGCAATATAAATCTGTGGCATTAAAATGAGTAATCCTAAGAGTTCCAATTCAGTTATCAGATGGTACCCTGCCTTTGGGCGTGTCCTCGAAAAGGCTTACGTTTTCCAAGGCAGGCAAAATGAGGTAAGTAGGGGTAGCCATTATGAAAGGACATCTTAGAAAATGTTAACCAGGAAAAACGTTAATGAGGATATTGCAGAGATTTTAGGTTGAGCATACTCTTGAGTTAAAGAAATCGGTTACTTATGAGGAAACCTATTATGTGGCAGGCATAGATGCTGGAAATACAAAGAGTTGGACAGGTCTTGCTTTCAAGGAAGCTTCTAATAATTATACAAATAACTACTACAATATGAGGCTGGTATTAGGCGGGGGCTTGCACAAATTCCAGGGAAAGCTTCTTAACGTGGAAATGGGAGGAAGAACAACAATATGATGCATATTAAATCCAAGAGAAGGAGCAGAGTCATTTAGATGTCATTTCAAACTTACAGTGACATTGGCTCTTGCTGGGGGGGAAAGGGGGGCGAGAGAGGCAGCCGTTGCCAGACATACGTCACACTAAAGAGACAAGATGAAACAAGGAAATTCTCTTTCAAAACATAGCGGGGAAAAAAATATCCAGAACTGCCCTGAAATAAAGAAAACCTTCTGGTATAATGTGCGTTGCTAGGGATTTATTTTTTCCCCTCCTTTCTCTCATAAGAGAGTAAAAAATCACACAGATACGTTCAAGCCCTTAAGAGTTTTGTGAGCCTATTGAATATCCAAGACATCAACTGACCACGGTGTGGTTCAGTGTGTGTCTACAAAGGAAGGGTTAAACGGAAGGGGGTGGCTTGGAGATAGAAAGGCAAGCAAGAAGGTTGGAAAATGCTGTTTTCCAACTTGCAAAAACTGAACTTTTCAGCTCCCCAAAATACACGTGTGTGTCTGTAAGCGCAGGCAGATCTATTTCGGTAGGATTTTTCTTAAATTTAAATCATAATTTCTCTGTTTCTGTCTCTCTGTCTCTTGCTGCGCTGCAAAGAGTGAGCAGCCCCCTTAAGGATCGCGTGGCAAAAGCTGCAGGAGAGGCACTGGCAGGGCTGTTTATTTATGAGCCGCGTTCAAAGCCGACCTCTTCCCATTCTCCCACTGCAAACGACTATCTCCGAGCCCAGGTCACCTCTGGGGCCAAGGAGTTGGGGGCTGGGGCTCGGGTGGCTCCTTCTTCGGGCCAAGTTTGCCCGCGCGTGGGAGCGAGGGGGCGAGCCAGGGCGCACGGGAACGCGCGCCGCCAGCCGCCGCCTCCGCCCAGCGCTGGCAGCCCCGGCCTCACCTCTCCCCTCTCCCCAGCGAGGTGCGGGCTCCCAGAGCGGAGCCAGGGGGCGGGCCTGGGCCTCGAGGGGCGGGGTCAGGGGGCGGAGGCTCGGGCGGCTATATAAGGCCCGCGCCGGCTCAACTTCGGACTTGGTGTTATTTATTTGGGAAGCGCCCGGACGGCGGAGCTTGGCGGCGGCGGTGGTGGTGGCTGCCGCAGACTGTGGTTAAAAAAAAGAAGGCGGCGGCGGCGGCGGCGGCGGAGGCGGAGGCAGCTGCGAGGCATGGGAGCGCCGAAGCGCCCAGGCGCAGGCCGAAGCTGCCGCGCTTTCTGGGCACGGCGGGAGTGCTGAGCAGAAAGGGGAGCGCCGGGGGCCCGCAGCCGGCTCCGGAGGCGCGGGCCGGGTTTTTGTTTGGCTACGCTGAGCGCCAGTCAGCCCCAGCGAACAACTCCAGTTACGACAACAACCCACCTTCCTTCCAGACAAGCGAGACTTGGGCTGCTGCGTCCGTCCTATTGTTTAGACACTTGCCAGGGGCTCCGGAGTCGGCAGAGCCACCGAGTCCCCGCTCTGAGTCGTCGCCCTCCCTCTCCCCGACCTCGCTCCCTGGAGCGGGAGGCCAGGAAAGCAGCGGGAGAGGGGAAGGGGCTAGAAGGAGAAGGACTACCCGGGACTGCGGCCGCCGCGTCAGGTGCAGCGCCAGGAGCCGGGCGGCGTCGCCACGCCGGCAGGGGTACCGCCACTGTGGCCTTGGGGGACGGAATTCAAAGCCTGGGAAAAGTTGCTGCACTTTGAGAAGGACGAACCACTAGTGGGAGACCGCCGGGGGCCGGCCGTGGCTCTGCGCCCTCCGGAACCCGGCTCTTGTTTCTTCTACCTTTGCCATCAGGTGTCTGCCGCGGAGCTGCGGCTTATCTGGGAGACGAGCGGGGTTGACACGCGCGCACACACTACTGCCATTCAGCTGCCGCCTGGCTCTGCCTGGAGTAGTGGATCCCACCCGCCCACCTGCCACCGAGCCATTCTCCAGTACGCCCCAGCAGGACGCTGACACCTCCAACCTTGGCCTTTGCCTTTCCACTCCTTCCGGTCTGCCTGGTTTTTAAGTCCGCCCCCAGTCAGTCCCCACTCAGTCTTCGCAGCAGCTCTCATCCTCCACTTGGCCTCTTGGAGTTCCTCGCCGGAGTGCTGACTAGTGGATATTTCTGCCCGGCTGCGGCGGCCCGACTGCCCTTTTGTCTTTTCTGCGTGACCTCGGGGCAGGTCCTGGTGCAGAGCGTCGCCAAGGACGCCGAGCGGGAGGCGGGATTGCCCAGACATCCTTCAGCGAAGTGCATGTGTGTTTGTAAACCATCGTTGGCTGTCGGGAGACCGCGAGGACCGGTCCAGGCTGCGGCGGAGTCGAGGGCGAGGGAGAGGCCGCGTGAGTGAGCAGAGTCCAGAGCCGTGCGCCCCCAGAACTGCGCGTCCGCCCCGTGCACCCCCGCGCGCCATGCCCAGTTGCCCCGCGCGCTCTGCTACGGGCCCGCTGGGCTTCCGCGCCTTCTAGCTTCCGGAGCCCACTTTGATCGGGGCCATAATACCTATTGAGATCCCCTCTTCTGTCTTGTACCTTCGCCACTGGCATCGGATTTGCAGAAGCGTGCGTGGGATCAGAGGACCGCCCTCCCCACAACAACCGGCCCCTGCATCTTAGCAGCCGTTGGAAGCCCCAGCTCTTTTACCGCCAAGTTCATCCTTGGGAGACAGAAGACGCGTGATCTCCTCTCCGCTGCTCTTGGGGTCTCCTTGCAGCCCTGGCCAGGCGGATTCATCCTCAGGACCTAAAGTTGCCCAAGGAGCTCCTGCTCTGCCAGAGGAGGGTGGAGAGGGCGGTGGGAGGCGTGTGCCTGAGTGGGCTCTACTGCCTTGTTCCATATTATTTGGTGCACATTTTCCCTGGCACTCTGGGTTGCTAGCCCCGCCGGGCACTGGGCCTCAGACACTGCGCGGTTCCCTCGGAGCAGCAAGCTAAAGAAAGCCCCCAGTGCCGGCGAGGAAGGAGGCGGCGGGGAAAGATGCGCGGCGTTGGCTGGCAGATGCTGTCCCTGTCGCTGGGGTTAGTGCTGGCGATCCTGAACAAGGTGGCACCGCAGGCGTGCCCGGCGCAGTGCTCTTGCTCGGGCAGCACAGTGGACTGTCACGGGCTGGCGCTGCGCAGCGTGCCCAGGAATATCCCCCGCAACACCGAGAGACTGTGAGTATGCGCTCTTCGTCTTCCCCTCTCCCCATCCGGGCCGCGCACCCCTGCCTCCACTGGAGGAACCTGTCAGCTCAGGGTCCTGTGCCTGGGGCAGCCCTCGCTAGCTCTCCCCCATGCACATCCTGGGGTTGAGCTCTCCGGGAGGGCACTGGCCAGGGAAGGGCCTCTGTCCAAGGAGGGGCGGGTCCGCTGGCAGCTGCGCTAGTTCTCCCTCCCCTGCTCTCGTCCCGCCACTCGCAGCTCCTTGCTGGCTAGTTCTCTGGGGCTGGGGAGCGGGTAGATAGGGGACAAGTACTGGAGGATGCCCGGGGCAAGTGAGACGCCACTTTGTTCTCCAGAGTCCATAAACGGAGTCACCTTGCGATTGCCAGCATCCAGGTCGGTTTCAGAGCCCAGTCCTCGCTCTTGTCGCAGGCTGGCGCGGAGGGGATAGCAGGGAGACTCAAAAGAGAGAAACTTGCCTTCCCCGATTTTTTGTCACCCTCCTGGGGGCGAAGGTTAGGAAGAAGGGGTCATGGAGTGCCTGGGGGTGCTTCTCACAGGTCGCGGGGAGAAGGGTGCCCCAGGACGGCGACACCTCGCATAGTAGCCTCGCGCAGCCCCCCGCCCCCCACTTCTCCGGGGAGGGGAAGACGGCGTCAGGCCCCTAGGGACTTGTCTCAGCGGGCGACTGCGAGGGAGGACCGTGTCCCATCCGTTAAGCGAAGTTAGCACTGGTTCTCCAGCGCAAACCAGCCCAACCAGGTCTTACCACTGCGGCGACCCGGCGGTGCCCGGCTGCCCCCTCCGGCCCTTCCTGCTGAACCCCTGCGTCCCCATCCACCTTTCTGGCAGTTTCTGCGCCCCTTCACGTGGCAGCAGTTCCCCTGCCTTCCCCTCTTCGCGCTCCGTTGCTCGCAGACGTCCCCGCCTCCCTGTCTTTGCGAGTCTCTAATGAAGAAGTAAATGCAGACCCGGTGTTGACGGCCCACGCGCTCCTGATGAGGCGCTTCCAGAGTTCAGCGAAGTGGAGCATGGAGGCCGTTCTCTTTGTGAACGCCGAGGCCGCCGCCCCGCGCCAGTCCGGCCGCCCTAGGCACGTTCCGCTCTCGCGGTTGCGTGTGGGCCGGGAGTAAGCGAAGGGCGCGGGGCTAGGCCGGCAGGGGCCAGCGCGTCTGGATTCGTCCCGCGGCCTCTTTGCCCCCGGGGTGTAAGGGTTTCGGGCCGTGGAGAGGAGGCGCTCTGACCCGCACGTCTCCACCCGCGCAGCCCATTGCACTTCAAGTCGCCCTTCTTATCCAACCCATTTCTCTCGCCCTTAGTTTTAAGGCCCAAGTTGAGCCACCTTTTGCTTTGCAAATGGCTCTTCTACCCCCAGCCTCACTAGGTTACCCTTACTCCTTTCTCACCTCTCCGAGCTGGCCAAATCGGGGCTCTACTAGGGGTGCCTTGTCAGGATTCGATCCACATTTGTGTAGGGTGGTGGGTGGAGATTCGTGTTATATCGAATAGCCCAACAATTTTAGGAACAACTGAATGGTACTCTGCTTAGCATGGAGAAGTGGGTTGAGTAGAAAGGAAGAGAAGCCACGCAGAATTCTGTTTTAGCACTTGTCATTTCATGCTATTCAGAACAGTTTAAAGTTTAAGCACGAACATGTCTTACTCAACAAAAAGGGAATGCACTTGGGTGGGTGGGGGTGAGGGGGGAGCGTAGCAATTGAATTTCAGGTCCTTGAAAAAATATACATCCTTATGAGGGATGAACAAAAAGTTTCCAGAAAATAGTTTACTGGGTGCTGACTTGTAAAATTCTATCATTGAAACAGTTTGAATACAGATTTCAAACATGATGTTGTAGAGTCAAAGGTGATATAGAGCTTACTTCTATGAAGAGCATTCAAACCGCAGCAAAGCCTGGTTTTACTTGAAGTGATTGGAACCAGGGCAAGTTTAGATCTTGACCTGAAATGCCAGAAAAGGAGATCGTGACTCCTGAAGGAAAAGTGCTGCAGAAATCTGAACAAAAATGTCAGGGCCTGAATACTATTTCCATTCTTGCCCCTGTTAGTAGTTTTCACTTTACAATCACAGCGGGGTTCCCTGAGCTGCAAATGAAGAATTAAGTTTTAATACAAACAGAATTGTTGGAAGGTAAATGCCTATGAATGCAAGTCTTTGAAGTGCAGTTGTTTTGATGGCACTAATTTTTTTCTGTGCCTTAGGAAGTTTCGCCACCATGCTACCTAAGGACAGTGTTCTGAATTTTTATAAAATTTCTTCCTGAATAGCATGAGAAAATTGGGCATTTAACCTCCTGAAGGGAACTTTTTTTTTGGGGGGGGTGCCTAACAATTATAGTAAAATAGCAGAATACCTGTGAAATTAATATACAATCCTTACAGAAACAAAAATGGAAAGGACTCTCCCATACACAAAACAAACGAAAACTTTTTTGTGATAATGTAACCACTTCATTTTCTTGTCATATGCCAGCAAGAATGAACCTTGTAAATGTGTTGAGTCATGTTAAAAATATCCTTTTAAAGGTTATCCTCTTCTCCTTCCTACATACTTTGTATACTACTTTAGTAATTGAATTAACTTTTAGTTCTGATTTACTCTAAACTTTACTTGAAGCAGGTAAACATAGAAATAAAATGGAACTTTCACTTTCTGGTTTTTCTCTTAGGGATTTAAATGGAAATAACATCACAAGAATTACGAAGACAGATTTTGCTGGTCTTAGACATCTAAGAGTTCTGTAAGTGCATCCTCTGTATTTTTAAATAATTTTTTAAGGTTGCATATTTTGAATCATTACTGGCCTCAGTTTTTATGACTATTCTGATGACAGTAACATAAAACATTTAAAAGGTCATGCTTTCCTTTTTTCTGTGTTTATCATTGTACTACAACATTTAATAAAAATTGGGGCTTTTATTTTAAGGTTGGAAGCATGCCATAGAACCAATAATCCAGAAATGACCTCAGATCTTTGTTATACCATACCCTAAGCGCTTTATGCATATAAAAATGTTGAATAATTGTTTTCACAAAATGAATAAGTAATAAGAAACATTTGATACTTTTAGGATTTGAAATTAACTAAAATATTTAAGTGGATCTGTATTTTATTATTGATAACAAAAGGATTCTTATTTTTTTGCGAAAATCTAATATCAAGCATTAAAATCAACCATTCAAATTTTCAGCAGAGTTTATAATGATACATTAGTCATATTTTGAGTTTTTATATTTTGTGTCTTTGTAGCTTCTATAAAATTGTTGCAATATGATTACTTCTTTAATTAGTGGGTTAAATTAGCTGTGAGTAAACCACCACTTGCGAGTCAATGTAATGTTAAATTGTTCTCACCCACAGGATTGTAAATATTGACATCCCAGTAGCCATACAGTTTTGACCATTGTGCATTCAGTGTTCTAAGTTTTAAGAGACACATTTTGGTCATTACAAATTATTCCAGTTGCTGATGTGTATCCATGTCAGAATTGAAGTATGTATATGATGAATTACTGTATTTTGATTCTTTGGTTAAGTTGAAAACCAGTGTATCAAAGAAAGCTATCAAAGCTTCAGTGTCAAGGATTACTCTTCAGATATACTATTAGTTTAAGGGTCAGAGTTTTGACCAGTAAATCTCATGAGAAACTGCATTTGTATTAAGTTTTGTGATGCAGACACTGCTATTTCCCTTCCATGAGTTCACTCAGATATATTATTATTAAATTTGATATTGGATCTCAAATCAGAGCACAATTTAACTTTATAAAGGGAAAGAGTTTACAAGTTTTCAGTTGCTGAATTGAAATTTATTCAGATGGTGAGTGGTAACATTAAGAAGCATGTTATATTTTGCATTTCAGTCAGCTTATGGAGAATAAGATTAGCACCATTGAAAGAGGAGCATTCCAGGATCTTAAAGAACTAGAGAGACTGTAAGTATTTTCAATTCCAAAGTTATGACAACATAACTGTGTTTTTTAAAAATACTTAAATTTCAAGCATCATGTCTTCAATTTCATGTCTTAGGGTTTGAAATTTTGCAGAAAAAGGAGGATGAATGAGTGGTTTTCAGGTTAATTTATGACAAATAGAGTTCCTGAATAAAAAGTTCTAACTTGTAATTAAGCTCAAAAATACAGTTACTTTCCTGAGACATGTATTTCCTTGATAATCATTGCTTTGGTACTTAAAGATGTACAAGCATTTCTTATTCTTCATTTGATTTGTTTTATTTGCTCATGTAGGAAGAAAGGTGGTACTTTTATTTGCGTTAATGGTGCATTAGGGAAGAGAGAAGTTTTGCTAATTGTTATTTTCATTTTCATGGTGGTGCTTTGTGTGTTATCAGTGACATTTGATGAAATATTTTATATTTTACTAATAAAGATTTACTTTTTTATATTTAGCGTGGTGAACATTGTTATTGTTAATAATTACTTTTCAGTTTTATTTTATTTGGCCCTAGCTTTAAAAATATTTATTCTGGAAAAATAATCTAAACATTATGAAAGTAAGAACTGTGTTATCAAATTGTGGTCATTCAAAGTTGGTTTTCTTCCCAAGAAGATTAAATGTAGACTTCAGATTTTAAGATACGTTTTTTACATATTACTTGAGGACTTTAAAAATGTTTACAGTATATATCTGCAAAAGACAAAACCTCTGTCTGAAATAATTAAGATAAATTACAGACCTTGTAATTGAAGTACGAATTGTATGTCTTACATGCCTTGATTATTCAGGTTTGATATGTTTGCATTTTGAAGGCAAAGAAAAGCTCTAGTAAAAGAAACAACAATTATTTTAATAAGTTTTCATGCCTGCCTTAATAGTCACTTTAAGTAAAAATAATTTTTTTCAAAAAATAATAAAATCTAATGTTCATTTTAAGCTTAACACATATTCAGGTTCACTGGGCAAAAGGGCAGAAGTTAATTCCCTGTAATTGTCCATAAGTAGAAAAATGGTTTGTCCCCTTCCAAGATATTTATAAATATATAGACTATATTTTTATCACCTCAAGTAAAACACAGAAATGTCTACTTTATTTTACTATTGGTCTTTCTCTATGTTAAATATTACAATACAAGGACTATAATTGTGGAATTCAAAATAAATTTAAAATCACTACTTTCAACTAATTTTAGAGGGAAATTAAAATTGGTAAACATTTGGTTGCATTCATAACAAAGCTTATAAGTTCATAGCCTATCTCTAAATATATAAAAAATACTCTGAAAGTATTTATTCTTTGATCTCCTTGATAGACTATGTGATTAGCTAATTCCTAGTAAGTAACTTGCAAAGATATTTTAATCTTTAAGAAAGCATCAATATAATTCAAATGTTTGGTAAAATGAATAGATAATTTAAATTATCATTTAAACTTTATGTTTTCAAGAATAACTTTTAGTCACCACAGGAAAGTATCTTGAGTTTAGTTGTTAACTTCCAAACCATTGAAGGAGTTTTGATGGCTTTTTATGCAGTCTCTATTTTGGTTATATTGTTGTTTTAAATATTTTCAGGGACACTAGAACTAAACAAACTTTCTCATTCTTTTTCAAGTCACTTCAGAGTGTTGTCTGAACTTTCATCTTGAATAAATTAACTTTTCCTAAAACTTATTAACCAGATGCTATATGCTCTGAAATTTGATTAGAGTTGTAAGTAGGTACTATTTTTTGACTTTTACTTCCTCTGGGAATGTCACTTCATCTCAGAACAATTTTCTATTCTACTAAGACTAAGTCAGATGTTTCAGAGTGGGAGGAGGATTTGTAATTCTGAATGAAAACTAATATATATGCAGGACTTCTTTAAATCACCCCAGCTGTTGGCCAAGAGCAAATATTTCATATTTGTGAGGAAAAGCTGAGAAAATTCCTTTTGTTTACAACTGCCAAATCCATCTGATGGAAGCACATTGTTATCTGACAGCCAATTCATTTCCTTGGACTCTGGAATTCAAAACCATTTCTTAGGAACATTGTGGATACACTTTTCAAATATTTATTTTTTAAAAATACATTAAATGGCAAGGCAGGTTTGCTAAGGAATGCATTCAAGTTATTGTGAAACAAACTATTTTAAATTTTGTTCATTGTATTGATTTAAAAAATAAAAACTACAAAAACCCCAAAACTACCCAGAGAGTTCCATAATCAAACTGCTATGGCCTGTGGTATATATCTTTATTTTAGTCAGTGTCATTAACACCAAAAAATTGCTTGCTTTTTCAAAAGCTGCAAGAGACAATGTGAGAGACAAGAAGAAATCAATAAATTAGCTTTTTATTATGTATTGTGTAAATTTATATGGTTTTTAAGAATTTAGTTGTGAAATTTAAAATTGGAACTCAATTATGAAAAAAGTATAAAATTAGGTTTATGTTGTAAATCCCATTTATATACTGAATAGTGATTTAATTTTTATTCCTTGTATGAAGAACAAAATAAAATAAAAACATTAATTTTATTCTTGTGTAATTTATGGTTTTAAGTTATTTTCATTTTAAAATGATAAAATAATTCTAAATTACATTTTGTGAATATTTCATAGTTATACATTTTTCTTTTTCTTTTATTTTATGTTGATGGACTTTTAACTTGATCTATAGAAAAATCTGAAAACAGAAGATAAAGATCTGTACCTTTTAAAAATTCAGCTTTTTAATCTGCAAGAAACAGTCATGTTGTTGATTTGAATTTAATTGTAGCATGGAATGGCAAAGTCATTATTTGCAAATCAAAACATTATAGCTATAAAAGATAGTTTTCCCTTTCAAAGAGTGGATGAAATACAACATTTTCAGATAAACTGTCAAGGAGTTAATAGTAAAATACCTCCTCCTTTCTTTCCTCCTCCTCTCCCTCACCTCCTTCTTTTTTTCTTCCATTTTCTTTTCTTTCTTCCTTACCTCTCTAACTAGCTCCTTCCCTCCCCTCTCCTCCATTCTCTTACAACATGAGATAACACATCATTGTCAGAATGTGGTTGTGCATCACTGTAAAAGGAGGAAGTTGTAATCACGTCTGCATACCACGAGCACACATTATTTTCTGTTTTGACAGTTTGTTTCTGCACTCTCAGACCTAACATGTGCAGAGTCACATTTCCTAGGATGCTCTGTATTGCTAGTGGTACCTGTTTATCTGGGATGAAAATGAAGCCTTCAGTATGTGCCTTATATAGACTGTATTAGCAGGTCTCCTGTTGTTTAATCAAAAAAATTTTCAAATGAAATGTACTCTACCTAGATGACCAGTTAATTCAATGGAAATTCGGATAAAAAAGTCACAAATAAGCTGCAGTAAGAATCAGGACACTTAGGAAGTATATTTCTTTTATATACCTCAAGGAAGATACCTGTGTATATCTGCAATAAATTCTCCATGCAAAATTATTAATTTGAGTTTTTTTTGGATGCTGCATAATGTCCTAGAGGGTTAAAAAAATAACACTGGGACCCAGCAATGCTGTGGGCTTGTGTAAAATTCTCTTGTTCACACACTGTTTATGGGATTAGATACTACAGTCATTCACTTCTATTTTATGGTCTTTTAGGGGGACCCAGATCATGTCAGGGTTCCACTAGTGAAAACAATCTTCTTTTGAAATTTCCTTGATAATACAAATGCAAAAGTATGAGAAAGTTTTTGAAATTTTTTAGGGTTGTTATAGGATGTTTTATTATTTACTCCAAGACTGAAAAGTGAAATGCATATATGCCTAGGTTATGTTGGTAAGAATCAGTAGCATACTGTGAAAAGTCTTGGATATTAGGCTTTGTGTGAACACCGCAACCATCTTGTAACCTTAAAATAAGAAAATTGTGGAAATAACAAAGGCAGGCATGTGGAGTGTTCATCTTTTCCCACCAATACTTGGTAAATGTGTGCTTTTAAGACAAATATTGCTTTAACTTCTCCTAGTGTTAGTATAATTGGGTTTGAAATGACATTTTTCCCACTAGCTTTGTCATTTGATACTCATTTATGCTTGAAAATGAGCTCTGAAAATATTATTATGATAAAGCCATGTAAGGAATCTTGAACAGTCAAGCTGTTAACTTAGACATTTAAAGTTTCCAGCAAGTTGATATAAAGAACATATTCTTTTTAAATTAGAAAAGTCTAAGTCCCTTTACAGTGGAGCCTACATTTGACTAAACACTACATTCTAATGAGATGGTATGTAAAAGACAAATTTATTTTTTTTAAGGTGATGCTGAATTAGTTCTCCCTGCATACACATATCACTCCTAAGCATGGGACAGACAGTGTGAGTGAGGCTGAGGAAGTATGATGTTGGTAGGGTTTTTGTTGTAGGTCTTTACACATGAGTTCAAGTAGAGAATATGTTGTGGAACAGGTCTGAAAGAAAGCATCATTTATCCTGTGTTCATCAAGGATCTGGATATATTCTCTGTTTATCAAGGATTAGTCTCTTCTGACTAATCCGACAAGTTTATAGGCAACACATAACACATACCTTTTCTTAACAGAATGACAGTCTAACGGTGCTAATCTTCTTGGAAAAGAATTCAAGCCCATCTCAAAAGAATTGTTTTCTGGTATCTTTCCACACAAGTTTAAAATCATGGCAGTCATTTTCTTGGAAAGTCTCTTTAAAGGACACATCAAACTCTAACAGAGGCTGAGTATGCACATAGCATAAAATATAAGTGTTCCAAAAGATATAATAGCCATTATATGCCAATGATGTTCACCTATTCGTAAGCAATGTGGTCAATTTTAAATTAGGTTTACTGACGCTGGTCATAGAAAGCTTTAATCCCTGTGCGCTGTTACAAGTTTAGCAGAACATTGAATCCATCTGAGAGAATTTCTCATGCAACAGTTTTTATGGGCCTTGAAGTTTAATGGTGGTGAGAAGGCCCGTTTGCTCTTTGTCGACCATTTTATAAATTCTGAAGCAGTGAGGGTGTTTATTTTTCCCACATCTGTTTTGGGTCCTCTTTTGTGACAGTGTTTGCTGGATGCCGTGTCCTTTATACCTCCCCTGAAATGAGTAGTTTAGTTTGCACTGTTACAATGTATTTGTGGAAGCAGCCAGTGTCAAATATTTTACATTTAATTCCCTCTCTCATTTCTTTTGGATACCTTTCTGCTTGAATTGTGTCTTCTAGACTGAATTTCACAACTTGACATGGAAAGAGAGACATTTCTGCATGGACTTCATATATATTGCCATTATGTTTTTTCAAACCAAGTGTTATCTGCTGGACTGGAAAGCATATTGATGAAAATGCTTTCAGAACGAAAGCTTGATAATAGGGCTGTGATTTGATCTCATCAATATTGCTTTACGATAATATTTACAGAAAATTATTTGTGTGTCCTCTCTGCAATGTCCATACACTCTGAATACAGATGGACAGTTCTGGAGCATTGGCTCTTTGCTGCAGTTTGAGGTTCTAGAGTAAAAGCACAGAGTGTGGATTATCTAGAAATCCCTGTTCTTCGACATCTTATTTTATCTACTGATGCTTGGTGTCTCATGGAATACCAGGCAAATACACATCAATTGTACTGTTGATTGTGGTTTCTAACCAGATACAAGCTCCCCTTTCTCCTTTTAAAATCAGAAACGCTAGAAAAGAGTGATATCAGAAAATCTTTGGTTTTAATTCCACTGAGGGATCTTGATCACCTTGCTTCATCTTTCAAAACTTCAATTTCCTCATCTTTAAAACAGGGATAATCATTATATCTCATAGTGGCAATAAGTAAGATAATGTGCATAGCTTCACAAAATGCTGGGCACACAGCACTTAAATAACTATTATTCTGCATTTCAACATACCTCTCATATTTCTCAATAGCTGAGTTTAGGAATTATTTTATCTTAGCTGCTAAAGTGTATATATGATCCATTTGACTTTTTACGACCATATTTACATTTTTAAAAAATGTTCTTCCTAACGTAGTATATGGTCAACTGAAGAGATGTGAAGAAAAGCTTAACAACCCTTCAATGGTTATTTCAGAGTGTTTCTCATAGTCTCTCTGAGTCTATAGAGAAATACCGGGAAGTAAGGGGATAAAAGAGGGAGCAATATTTTGCTAATAAGTATTGACATCCCTAGCAAGGAATACAAGGGATTAAGTTATCATTGATATCACTGCTGAAGATGTAAACTTTATTTTATTTACATAATACAAAATAAATTTTAAAATCTGTGCTTTAAAAGTGTTAAAATAAAAACATTTTTATAAGAGAAGTCAAAATTTACCTGAGAAGGTGGCAAAAGAGGAGGCTAAATAGTTTTATGCTTGATCATTCATGTAGGAGAAATAGGAGGTTAGAAATGGTAGGCTTTGAGGCAGCATTTATCAAACATTTATTACAGACCTAGCACGCTGCTAAAAACACCTTATATTTACATGTAAATATGACATGTAAATATGGAGCACAAAATTTTACTGGCTTTGGTAAAACTGTTTTCATATTACGTTTTGAATTAGATGGAAGGTTGTGAACATTAATTGAATTGAGGTGAAAGTCGCAAAAAGTAAGAGACTATGACCTCTGCTAAAGGACAAGAGTCATAGACACAGCTGGCAGATAATAATTCAAAACAATGTTTGTCAATACGTTCAGGCTGCCCTTCAAATTGAGGTTGTTAAGAATCAGTGTTTCAGAGGCCAGTGGTGTTTTGTGCAATGCAGAAAGATCATTCTCTCTTCTGAAAGTCAAACTCAAAAATAGCTGGTAGCACAGAGCAAACAGTTACTGGAATCCTTTCTCATCTTTGCCCTGGGAGAAAGTATCTCAGAGACATACATTACACACCTTTCTGAAACTGTGAATTGCCATCTAGAGAATTATCAAGCATTTCTGGGATGTTGTGGGCAGATTCCATTGAGGGGTGATGACACATGACTTATATATCACTATATCTCTGTCATTCCTTTGATACCATTGAGTGTCTGTGCTCTCAACAATGATAATTGACTCACCTGGTCTGTTTAACAAAGCTAATTTATGTTGGCTCCCATAAATAATCCTCTGTGATATCTTTAATTCACTACATGCTGTTTCCTGTTCTGGAACCATCAGATTTAACTTCAACTCATTTACGTTAGAGATCTTATTCTGACACGATCATCTTCAAGCTGTTAAGCAAATTTCTGTCACAATTAGAAGCTAGGCTACTTTTTCTCTAGCTCTGTTTAGTAATTGTTATATACCTTAATAGTCTTTAAAATAAGTTTAAATTTTAAATAAATGCTCTTTATTTTAAGGATTTAATTTCTGGTGATTGCACAGGCGGCTATCCTTTAAAATTTTTCTTTAATATTTTGAAAGTTTTGCTTTTTCTGTTAATGTTTGTATAACCATTTAACCTTAGTATGGATGGAAGAGAGAATAGAAAAAGTGGAGCCAAATGTGTATTGATACTGCTTTAAAGACAATAAAAGGGAAACGTATACTGTTTTGTTGTATCCATATTACCACATTACTTACGTTATCTGTCCTTTTTGTGCAATACCACCTTGTCTTATCCTAAAAACAGAAACGTATCTGGTGGGTTTAGACATATAAAGATCACTCATAATAACTTTCATGAAATAATTATAAAGTACTGCAATTCAGAGAAGAATTCTTCGTATATATTTTCAGTTTTTTTTTTCTGAAATTTAAAATACCTAGTTTTCAACAGGTGTTTAAAACCATGAGCTGAACGTAGAGCTAGCTTTTTTAAAAAATAAAACTTTGTTGTATTTACAATTGCTTAGTTCATAGATATTTAAGAAATGGATCAAATAAATCTATGTTTTGCCTCAGGGAATACAGGTGAAAAGGAAAGCTTCCGCATTATATTATTCTGAATTATTGTTTAGGAATGTTTAGACTATATTTTTTCCAGAGGAGTGATTCAGAGGGTATGTTTTAGTGTCATACCACCTTTATTCAGGCCCTAGCTTTATGTCTTTGAACTCTGCACTTCTCTCCAGAACAGCAGTGAGAATTGTACTTACTCATGGGGATGTGGTGAGGAGTGAATGAGATAACTTGTATAAACCTCTCAATAGTGACCATCACCTAGTAAGCTTATTACTTACACAGTGAATTAGAACACATGTTAGCTATTAGTTACACAGTGAATTAGGAACCACTGGGAATAAGAAAGGGATAATAATTAAGAAAAAAAAAAACCACTTCTTGTATCCAGTCTGAAAAATCTGCTTTCTCACAATATATGAAACTATACTGATGTAGACTCGTTAACAAGAAAGCTGGTAGCAGCTGTTACTCACTTATATCTCTGAATTTGTTTAAACACATTGAATTCTTTCCAGCTTCTAGGTGATGCCGAGAATCACATCATCAAGGATGTTGATGGAATGGAAAGGAGGAAACTATTGTCTGGGGCATGTGAAAGCAGGTTTGACAGCCAGAGAATGGCATCAAACCCAAGGCAGGTGCCTCAGGGAGGATGCCAGAGGAATGTTGGCTTAATATAAAATGTAAATGCTAGGGCCTTGCTGAAATATATCAAAATACTAAGAGAACAATCTGTTCTCATTCAGCATTTCCTAAGAACCTACTAAGGGCCAGAGATTAGGGAATGTTGACTGAGAGCAGGCTGCTCTCTTTGGCTTTTCATATGGTTCAGAACTTACTAAGTGCCAGGGAAGAAGGGAGGGAATACAAAGATTTAGTCTTTATGCTTGAAGAGCTCACAGTCTAGTGGGAAAGAGACCAGTACATGAATAAATATTACACAGTGTAAGGGACTCTTGCTTATCAAATGCTGTGGGGACACAGCCAAGAGAAGCACTAACTTTTTGTAGGAGAATCAGGGGAAGGTTCACAGAGGATGTAAGAAAGCACCATTTGGAGAAAAGGAGAAGCACTTCATAAAGAGAACTGCCTCTGCAGGGCCCAGGGGCTTGCCGAGAATGCTTGCTCTGGCTAGAGAATAACAAATGAGGCTGGTAAATCTCGTGGTTTGGATTACATCATGAGAGCTCATTTCTGATGTTTTAGAAATTGGAATTGGCTCTTTGGACAATGGAGGTCCTTCCAAGAGTGGTTGCATTCCTAGAAAAAAATCTCATTACCACTGTTGCAAATATGTGTAATATATTTTTAGAGGGAAATACAACAAAGTAACAATCTGCATTTCATTGAAATTGTATAATGCTAGACTCTGGAAGTACACTGTCTTCAGAATCATACCTAACAGAGAACAAATAAATGAAAGCTTTTGATTTGACTTTAAATTTTACCTTGTTATGTGCTTCATTTAAAAAATTAGCGTGTAAGTGGGAAGTAAATTCACTCCTTTACCACTAATTTTACTATTTGCCTCTACTTGTCTTGGCATACTTTTTTTTATTAGTATGCATTTTATTAAGGCCTGAGAATGTTTCTGTAGATGATCAACTTCTTTCTGAGTTCACATAAAGTTATGGTGCCATCATTGCTTCATGGCATTTTTTAGAATGGAAAGAAGTTCTGAAGTTTACCTGGTCTCGCTTCTCACTTACAGGATTTTAAAAAATTATATCATTTTCCAAAAAAAATTCATAGCCTCTGCTTGAATACATTTTGAGATAAGCAGTTGAGAGTTTCCATTTCTTAATAGCTAATTCTTAGAAAGGTCTTCTGTATAATCAAATTTCTTAGGAGTTACAATCAAGGGGCCCATTTCTGCCCTCTGGAGACTAAATAAGTATAATTCTGCATCTACCCGATGACCCTTGCAATATGTCAAGATTGATATGCCCTCTTTTCCTGTCCCTTTTACTATTTATCTTTAAAACTTAAGAAATACCTCTGGTTTCCTCAGTGTGACATTACCTTCTGGAACTATATCCAGAAACTATACTATATAATATGCCTCTACTCCTCTCGAGCTAGGCAGCTTGTAAGTCATTTGAGTGCAAAATGTTACATCAGCTCTTTATCGTTTTATTTAGATTTGGGAAAAGCAGAGAAATAGACAGTTATTTTAAATTAAATGTTAAATTGTACACTGAAAACAGATGGGATTGGGATATGACTACATCACAGATAGTATTTACCCACTCTTTCTTTAATAGGTGTGCATACCAAGCATCAGGGCTTAAATTGAGTTACAGTTGCAATCACACTCTTTTCTAAAACATTTAAAACATTCCAATTTACTTAGACATTTTAAAACATTACTGAAACTGATTTGACACAACTGTTAGTTATAATGCTGAGCCTTAAATTCAGTTAAGGGTTGGAAGCTGTGGGTTGAGGTTTGAACTCTGGGTTGGTATTCTCCTGATTTTGCCTATGGGACAAATCATGCTGACAATTTCTCACACCTTTTTTTTTTTTCCTCCCAACTAAATGAAAAGCTAAGAAAGTTGAAATTTCCATCTCCCCACAATTCCTTGGCTGAACTTTTAGGCCAATTGGGACTGTGTATGGATTATTTTAGACACCATTCACTGTGGTATTTCTGCTGGATATTGAAGTCACCTACCTTAGGCGCCTAAGACTGAATCACAAAAATCCTTTATCATTGTGTGTATTCTGGTTGACTGATGTTGCACAGGATTTCAGTTTAAAGTTTAGACCCCAGTAATCATCATCTTAGTAAGCACAATGGAAAACTGCTGTAAAGAGTCATGTAACAAAAGGTGTAACCAACTTTTGATTTGCAATGCTTGAATTCTCCTGAATGTCATTTCATTCTTTTCTGAAATACAGGATGAGGCATGACACTACCAAATCACAGTCTCATTGTTGGGTATTTTCTATGTAACATAAGCTTTGTTTTTGTTTTCTCAAAAGGCGTTTAAACAGAAATCACCTTCAGCTGTTTCCTGAGTTGCTGTTTCTTGGGACTGCGAAGCTATACAGGCTGTAAGTAGACACAAATAGTTATTGTTGCTTTGGGTAGTACCTTGTGTTTTATTAAATGTATTTTGGATCTGTTTGTGTGTGCTTTCCTGGAATCTGTTCATCAATAGATTAATGGATTAAAAGTTTGTGTTTTTTCTTTAGGAAATTTATGATTTGTTTTCTAGTGGTTCCAGTTGTTTTATTTGGTTAGGATTTAGCGGTTTATGTATGTGTTATGGAAATTGGATTATTATTATTTTTTTGGTAACGTGATGATGGCGAGATTTACCTACCTTTTAATGGAAATGTTTGATTAAGTTCTGAAGGGAGAAAATTGCTACTGTTTCCTCTTAAGAGGAAGTTGGCAGTGTGTTCTTATAAAGTTGAGATTTTTAATGTCAGCTTTTTTGGTATTGTTTCTGGGCTCAAGTAGTCGTGTTTATTAGTCCGAAATATTATTATAAGGTATTTAAAGAGGGCTGTAAATTTCCTCTTAAATGTTTCCTTTAAAGCCACAATTTCAGCCTCTGCAATATGAATGACTGTATGGCAAGGTTTTCATATCAAATACGTCATAGACTATTAAAGGAAGTAATTCCTTAAAGGAGCATAATGTGAGTATTAGGGGGAATCACTTTTTCCTCCCTGGAATGCTTTTGCACTGACCTAATGTGTAATAGTGAAAACACATTTTGAAAGCATTTAAAATGAGATTTTCAGCCATATGAAATGACTTTGTGCAGATGGGAGATAAGCTACAAAGTTTTGGAAAAATAAATAGCAATGATTATTGAGGTATATGCATGTTGTGAAAAAAACTGCTGGAATGTATAGAGTAAATTGCTCCATTAGCCCCCACCTGGATGGTGGGTGTCCCATATGGTACTGTTTGTAGAGAAAGTGAGCATAGTTCCTTTTTCTGAACTTGTCTTTGTAGCCTACTAGTTCAATGTGGTTATCAATTCCAGAAGTAGGAGGACTGTCCTCTCACACCCTTCACCCCCAAGAATAGCCAGGATCTTTGTTACATCCTCCTGAAACCTTAACAACCTTAACTTACTATAGGGAGATATTCCCCAGCTGACATACCAGATCTCTCCAGAGTCTTTCCTGACTTTGTTCCTCTAAGGATAGCTAAAATCACCTGACATTTTTCTCTTCTTTTTTGTGTTCCCTGCTGCTCAATTGGACCAATTTAAGTAAATTTTAAAAATAAAATGAAGAAACCTTGGAATTGCATTTTTAACAAAAATTATCTAATAACTATTTTTACTTAGGAAATAGGGTGTAGGTTTGCTATAAAGATTATAGGTATGCATATCAGTAGATAATTATATCTAAATATTTGTGCTTAGTTTCTAAAAAGGGCCATAGAATTGGTTTTGATAGTATTTCACTTTCACCTTTAGTTATTGGTGACTGAGGAGATTTTTAAGGAATCGACTTGGATTAATTTCCCCCAGTTTAAGGTGGTATAATCCATTGCAGAATCCCTCATCAGCAAATTATATTCTCCTTGACATTTTGCCATCTTTGACAATATCTCATAGCAGACCAAGAGATTTTCTTTTATGTTTTGTTATGATTTTATAACTGTATGCAGCTGCTGTATGAAAAAAGACTTGAAATCTTTAAGTGAATTAAAGAAACAGAATCCATAAAACCTATGACAGCATTTCCTAATTAATTAAATGCGTGTTGGAAAATGGGGAAACAGGCAGCTAGAAAATGTGTTCAGATTTTTTTATGTGTCTTTCTGGCTCAAAGGATTTGTCCTGGGGAGTAATAACAGCTAAAGCAGTGTTTGTTAGGTGGAGCTAGTTACAAGAGGGATGTGAATATTTTTATGTTTCAGGAGTTATATAACTTGATGGCCTAGCACTCAATATTGACAAAGTGTATCCCTTTACATGAGATTTGACATCAGATTTAGGCACTGGATGTACATAGAAAACTAGAGGTGGAATTTTTATTTGCATCCTCACGTCAGGAATCTTAATTTGAGTTAAGGAACTGTTGCTTCATCTGAATTAGACTTAGGTGAATTGTTGAGTGCTTTTTCTCTCGAGAGAATAAGTTATAAGCTGCATGTGACCACTTGTTTATGATGGTGATAATTAATTAAATTAAACAACTGCCATTGGAAGTCTTTAATAAACAAAGGAACACGTGCTTGTGAAGCTCACTACTGGCTAGTGTAATTATGAAAAGCAAGGGTACAAGTTCACATTTTCTCACATGATACAGATGCCAAGTAGCTCACCTGAAACAAATATTCTAGCAGATGGGAAAATGTGCACAAACCTATATGCACAACATCCTTTATAATGCTCATTTAAAAACATATTTTTTTCACAAGAAGAACAAGTGACAGAACAAAGGATATGGAATTTTTGACAAATAATGGGGAAAAATGATAGGACAAGGAAAGTATTTGATAGTTGATATATATATGATCGTTTTATAAATATGTGTAAAACAATATATAAGTATTCTATAAATATATATTTATAGAATATATGTTTTGACATTTATATAATATATAATTATTATACATAGTATATATTTATATGTAATATAATATATAATTAATTTATATATAATATTTATATATAATTTATATTTATATATTATATATATATATATAGCAAGCCATAGTTGCCCCTACTGTCTAATGCAGTAGAGGCATACTATATGCAGAACTCATAAAAAAACAAATTTAGGATTTACTTCCTCTGTATAGGTTGTTCCGAGATACGAATTAATGTTTCAATTTCTTTTCTTAGTTATTGTATACTTTATTCATACTTAACACTATGTTTTCCCAGGTATATCACTAATAAAAAAGTTTACTGGTTTAATACATAGTTTATACACTGAAGTTTGATTTTTCGCATTGTTTGCTTAGATTAAAGCTAGTTGGATATACTGGACATTGTGTTGCTTTTCTTTGAGCTTTGGAATAAATAATCGCCCTTTGACTAGTGGTTGAAAATAAGATGCCAGGGGAAGAAGCACACATGCTTTTCATGGACTCTAAATGCAATATAAAAGAAAAGGAGGGTATACTGTATATGAATTATGATTCGACACACTTGGTTGCTGCTAGCGGCCAAATATGCTTTTCCTTTGCTGTCTGCTCCAATTTCTCTTTGGACGGGTTGAGAGAGCACTACATGTTCAGGTCAAGATGTTTGCTCAGAAATAGTAGTACAGTTGCAGCTGTGTTTGTTGGAGTAGGAGACTAGTTTAAATAGCATTACCATTTATCCAGTCCATTAACAGAACTCTGTAAAATAATACCAACTCTGCATAAACTACAGGACAGTGTAATAAAATTACAAGCACTTGTTGACAGATGGAAAGTGCAAGTCCAGGGAAACTAAAATAAGGGACGATAGGTTGGAGGTTAAAAAAAAAAAAAATAAGCCAGCATGAAGTTTTCTTAACTTATAGACTCTATCTTCCCCTTTGCTCCTCCTCCAAAATCAAGGTTGCATTTTTATTATGAACCTAAGAGTAGAGGAAATTATTTTTAAAGAAATCTGGAGCTGGTTAACTGAAGAAGAGATTGCAGGGAATTTTGAAACAGTTGATTATGATTGATTGAAATTTATGAGTACTAATACAAATCTTCCTGATAAGTGTAACCTTAAAAGAGGCTTAAGAGTAAGTGATTCACACTTTTTGATGAGTTTGCGACTACTAATCTGGACTCATTAAAGAGGAATTTCATTGGTAGTACTGCGGTTAGGCATTTGGTTATAAATATTTGTTTTGTGGTTTTCGGTTTATTTCTTTGAGTATATTATATTTACTGAGACTTCTAACGTAAGCTTAAGTATCCAAAGCACTTTTTAGAAACTCATTTTTCACTTTTATCTGCCAAACCAAACCAAAACTAAACAAACAAACAAAAAGAACTGCATCTGTCCCAGGGACTCATTTTCTCTACTTCTTTGAATGAAAACTTTTTACTTCTGGTTCTCAAGTGCCATTCATGATTCCCCAGTGAGTTTTGGAGCGACTAAATTATCTAACATTAGGAATGGTATTTTTAAGGCCAAAGACTCTCTTTATGGCCTAGTGAATACTTACCTGAGACAAATAGGTTTTGACTGCTTAATTTCATTGGCCAGGTCATAATTCATTATCTCTCAGATAGGATTTCAGATTCTCAAAATTGCTTTTGATAACTATAATAATTGGGACTTTCTTAAGAGGAAAACTTAATTTTTTTTATTAAGGTAATCAATTAATTTGTTCAGCATAACAAATATATATAATTAAGCTGTCTTTATTTTCCTTTCCATCACTGCCATAGAAGGAGACTTATTTTTTTTTAATAGTTATAAGAGTAACACATGCTCATTGTAAAAAAGATCTAGGAAATTCAGAAAAAAATAGAAAATAGGAAGTAAAAATTATCTATTATCTCACTACGCAGATATAGCCATTATTATACTTATCAATTATTATCTTAGAATTATTTTTATGATTATACATATAAGTGCTACTTAGACGTGTATTATGAAAACTTTTTTTTAATGTCCCCAGGGTCTAGTATAAGGCTTGACCTTTAGAAGCTCTCATCAAGTGTTTGATGTATTGAATTAAATCTCTGTTGGGTTCAGGGTTTGTAACTTGAATGAGCAAATAGTAACTCTGGGACGGCATTATAAATAATGGAGAACCAAATTAAATTTAAAGGATAACTTGGTCAATTAAATGTTTGATTCCCCTAGGTTTCTCAAACATTGAAGTGTTTCAGTAGACATAACACAATCAAAATGATCCATTTTTCACCTAAGCAAAATATACCTTAATTTAATAAAATGTTTTATAAAACGAACTCCCTAGTTCTTGGATGTCAGTTTAGTCTCATAGGTTTCTTGGAGTCAACCATGAAAGCAGGATACAACAGAGGAGCCCATGTACAAATTTCTCTTGAATTAATTTCTGCCAGCTCTGATTAAAGTGTGGACTACTAGAGATGTCAGGTGCCATCGTTTCCTGCTTCATTTTACTCTTGGCCTGTTTGGCCCCTGCCACAATAAATCCGACTGTGATTGTGCAGGAATTGCAGGTTACAGTTGCTACGGTTACTGTTGTTCAGCCAGACCGACATCATTACTCATCTAGCGCGCTGCCATGATAGCTACCGCTGATTTCTGTTGCTGAGACTGCCAAAGAGCTTCATGTGCTAAGGGTGAAAGTTCCGTCGAAGGTGGCGTCTGTGTTCTAATTTGGTGTAAGGAAACACTATCTGAATTATATACTGATACTTTGCTAAGGGGAACAGATTGACTCTGTATCGAGAGAGAAAACTTAGAAAAGTGTTCACTTTCAGTGATTAAAACACCAAGTCCTTCATTACTAAGGTAACTTTTTAATTACTTATTGGGCCCAAGGGACTATGTTTTTGCCACTTAAAAAATAGAGGCATACAAGGAGTATTGCATTTAAAAAAATTACCACTATTTAACCAAAACTTTATTTTCAAATAGATAGGCAACAGACTTGATATATGGACATCTGAACACAACTCAAAATAGCCATTACCACTTGTCATGAAAGAAAGAAAAGTGCAAAGCCCTGAGCAGGACCTACTTCTACTTTTATTTTTTAAATCAACGTGTAATCCTGTGATTTAAACGTCCTAAATCCAATGAAGATTAAGATCATATTTGAGATTTTGCCAGATCTAGTGTTGATGGTTTTTACTTCAAAGGAATTACTAATAGACTTGTTGCTAAAGAAAGCTAACAGTTGTCCGGTTTCTGCTGTTACCAACACACAGAGTGGACCTTCTGAGTGTGAAATCCACAGCATAGCTCATAGCATAAGAAAATCAAATGCAAGAATGCAAGAAAGTTTCTGTGTTTTTTTTTTTTTCACTCAGCTGTACTTATTTAAACGACTGCTTTCACAAGTGCAAATGTTTCTAACTCCACCAACAAGTACTTATGGACTGCCAACTTGAATTTGTAGAATACTATGATCAATGCTCAGAAGGGAAACTAACAAAATATGTGGCTCTATATAATATGTGGTATTTGTGGGCCTCAGCTGTTGCTAACGTCTGACCTATACTGCGTGAATTAATGCCTAGAGAGTTCATTGAGAGTGATCAAATATGTGAATTTCAGTCTATCATATTCATGTAAAAAATATATCGTATACACATAATCAGGTAATATTTTAAAGTTTTTAAATAATGAAATTGCCACTACAATCTCAAGGTTACAATTTTGGGGACTGAAATTTACATAAACATTATTTCTAGGAATAAGGGTTGGTAGGGTTTTAGTTATATTTAGGTAATTTTAATGTATTTGCTTTATGTTTTAAGACACTGAAATCAATTTACTTTCTATCTTAAGGGAGGTTGTGTAAAATGATAGTGTTTAAATGCCTACTCAGATACTTGCAGTTCTGTTAACTTTGGAAGTCAGTAGACAACCGTATTGTTGAGGTTTCTTATCTGTAAAATGGGAAGGATCATACAATTTACTTTCTGGGGATAGCACAGTAAAATTTAGATTCCATATTCAAAGGAACATTGTAAATTTTCAAGTATGATAGAAACTATAATTATATTATTGTCATCCTTTCATTGCAAGCAAGATGGAAATGATAGTCACTCAGATGTCCTTGCAACTTGCCCTCAGTCAGCAAAGTTCCTGATACTATTGCACAGCCCTCTTGCATTTATCCTTACTGTAGTAACACGTAAATATGTGTAGTCACATTAATTATCTTACCACAGCAAATTGACATAAAATGTGCATTTGTACCATGTTATTTCTCTTTACTTGGCTGCAGAAGGTACATTAGGGCCAGGATATTCTTAATGAGATCTCTTCATGCTCTCCCAGTTGATGATTCATATAGTTTTAAAATTCATCTATAAAATAAATTACAGATAGAAACAAAAAGACTGTGACTCAGGAACTATTTGTTAGTGCATATATTTAGATTGCTGTTTTAATGATGTGTTTTTCTGAATGACAAATGAAGGAAAAATACAAATGTTAGAAAATGCTGAGTAAACTCCTTAAACTATAGGTAAAGTATTCTGAAAGTTGTTCAGAAGATTTACATATGTTGCTAAGGAACACTTTCACTACTAATAAAAATTTTATTTTTTAAAATAATATAAGATTACTCTGTTAGCTTTGTAATATGTACATATGATTTGATCTATGGAACATTGTCATCTTTATATAAATTGCATAGGTGATTTTAAGTGTATTTTTAGACTACTAATTATGTCAAAATCCAGTAAAAATTGCAAATCTTTTAGCACTTTAAATCTAAATAATGTTACATTATGAGACAAGTTTGAACCAGAAGTCGTTTTGTTTTGTTCTTTTTTCCACAATTCCAGTACTTCTCAAAGTAGCATAGATCTATATGGTGTATATCCACTCATTACATGTTACCTATAACTGAGTTGATTATAATCACTGAATTTTTTCTGGAGGGTTAACCTTAAAATATTTTATAAATTTTGATATAAGAAACCTTTGGATGGAAGTTTTAAAAGAAACTAAATCTTAGAGAAGGAAGCAGTGAAGAGTAAAAAGACCAGTCCTTGACAACACCTATGGCCTAGGGTACAGCATAGAGGTGTGAAATGTTATTAAGAGAACATCTGTGTCTCTTGAAACATCCCCCAAATGAAAGTTTATAGCAAAGTATGGCAACTTGATTTAAGTGTTAAAAACAAAACAAACAAACAAACAAAAACTTAAAAGAGAAATAAGTAAATCTGGAAACAGAATTGGAAAAAATAGCTTTGCCCCATCATGATAGGTTTCTTCTGCTAGTGAAAGATTAAAGCTCGAAGTATGTGAATAGCTGAGAACAGCACAGAGAAAGGTTGATTGCTTCCCCTCCGACAGTTCCAATTGATTGAAAAAAGCCTAATTTAAAGTTCTGTTTGTTCTATGTCTTAAACCATCAGAATTCTCTTTTGGGACCTGAGGAATGCTCTGGAGGAAAAAGAATCCAAGGATAAAAAGTCATTGCAAGCCAACAATTGTTCCTAATCCTCACAAAATGCTGGAGAAATTAAATTTATTCTTTATTGCTCAAAGTGTTACCTAGGTCACTGGGCGATGGGAAAATTGGACTGGAAGTCGAGTAGGCGCAAGCTTTGTTTTGTGTCTAGATGCTTAACCTTAGACACGACAAGGCATCTTAGAGTGTTGTGGGAACTTGGTTCAGAGCATTAACACCAAGACTTTTATTACCCCGGATTTATAATAGGCTGTGCTGTCAGGAGATGAAAATGTTGTGTTTACATTTCAGTGTTAAATGATCATTTAATTAACACCTAAGGGGAAAAAAAACTTGTGAAATTCTTAGCAGCTTTTATTGTTGGTTTCCTGGGAGGTTTTAATATCCAAGTTTCATTGAGAATTTTTTTGTAAGTAAAGACACAAAAGACATTATAAACTTTTTAAGGAAGACAAACAGTTTAACCTTGACCCTTTAAAAAAATATTAATTTAAATTAAATTTTAAATCTGGTGTTCTTCTCATAAGTTTCTAGACTAATATATTAAAATACATTTTGATTGGACACTACTTTTGTGTAAACAGTATATAAATATGATTGAATTTACATTATACATTTTCTAGGGTAAAACATTTGAAATTACTGATTAGTTTATCTTAAGAAGTTTAAAATGTTTAGAACACTGACTTAAACATTTTGCATCTGTTAAACTACCACTGTAGTTACATTGTTTAGAATCTGCCTCAATGTAGGTATTCATATGCAAGCATATTCTATTGGTAAGTTATGTCATTATTCTATTATTTTTAATCATTAATTTGGATATAGCTACATCATGATGAAAGATTTTCATCATGATGTAGCTATATCCAAATTAATATATATATATATACACACACAAACACAATAGGGAAGAATAATGCCATTAATATGAAAACTCAGATTCACTTAATTAGAAATAACTAAAAGATTAGACGTCATAAAATGCTTTTATTTACTCTTGCTCTTTTATGAGACAGTTAACCAAAAAGGAATGGTCTTGAGGCAGAGTGATAACATTTGGAAGATGTAATGTGTACTGTCAAGAGTAGCTGCATAGTTAGTAACACTTTAAGGGTACCTCTCTAAAACTATCTTTAAAGTTTACATCTTTTTTATTCCCATTTTATCTGAATATGAAGCTTTATGTTCAAATATATGAAACTTAAAAAAAATTTACCAGTTTACATGCTGTTAAAGTAAAATCTTTCTTAATTTTTCCAGAAATGAACATGTCATTATGATGTAGTCTTTTTCTAAATACACTGTTTATGTTCACACTGAAACAGAAATGCTTATCTGTTTTTTTTTTTGTTGTTGTTGTTTAAATTCAAATGCCTCAGGATAAAACCCACTCTCTGTCTTATTCATGATAAAGAAGTGCATGGAAAATGGAATGTTGTTAAAATCTCTCAATAAAAAGCCCTGCTTTTAACTAAGGATTATACCCTCACTTACAAAACACTACTGAGCAATTATGTAGGCACTTTTTATGATGTTATATGCTCTACTTACTTCTATCAAGTTTCAACCTTTCTGCAAACTTTCCTCATTTTTTTTAACACACTTTGATCTTTTTCTTCCCAAAGCGACTTTTCTACCCAGCCTCTTGTCACAAAAACCCAGAAATAGGAATATCGCTTTAAACATTTTATCTTCTTTACGTAAGGACCAACCTTCTGGTTGAGTTAGTTGCAAGACAAAACAAACAAAAACAAAAACAAAAAAAACACAAAACATTGTCCAGAAGTATAAAAGAGTGAAAGACAAGAGAAAGAGAGGAGTAACAAAACCTGGTTATTTAATATAATAGCCAGGGTATTCTAAATGGTATAGTTTGTCATACCAACTGATATTCCAAGCCAATTGGGTGATGCCAGTGGTGGGGGGCGGTGGGGGGAGGGCGTGTGGAGGGGGAAGCGAGAGGTGGGCATACTGAGTGCTTAAGAAACGTACAGAAGAAGAATAAGTATTTAGGGAAATTATAGGAAATTCCATTTAACATAGATACATGTATTTCTTTTATACTAAGGAAGTCAATGCTGTGCTTTTATACGGAGAAAGTCAGTGTTAAAATTTCATACATTCCTTTTTTGAAATCTCTGCTCAGAAACTAAAAAGAAATATTTCAGTATTTATTTTAGATAAACTCTCCAGGCTTGCCTCTTAAAAAAAATAGGAATAACTTCTAAATACAATCTGTGCTAACAAATATATTTGACAGTTACTCTAAGTCATTTCATGTATTGAGGTTGGGAAATAAAATATCGAGAAATACTCTGTATTGTACTTGGCAGTGATTAGTTAAAATTAACCTCCCATTTATATCACACTCTTTCACTTGGCTTTGATGACCCACCATAATGTAGTTCTGCATTACCTCTTCAACGTTATCATGCTATCATAGCAGATCTACCGTATCTCAAGCAAGCAGATTTTCCCATTGCTGCCTGGAAATTCCCAGCATTATTTCTGGACTTCTTTCTTTCCTCCTTCCTCCTCATATGGGCCTCAGCTCCTCTACTAAAGCTTTCTCAATGGTTTTAGTTACCTCCACATGATCATTCATTATAATATGGTACAGACTATTGATTCTATGGTACATTATAATGTGGTACAGATGGTTGATTCAGACCACCTGGGTTTGAGTCACTGAATGTGTCATCTTGGGAATATCACTCAATTACCTGCCAAGCGCCTCAGTTTTTCCTTGTGTAAAATGAGGATACTAGGAGTATGTTTCTTATGGAAGTGATGTGTGGAGTAAATTATTTCCTAAATGAACTGAGCTTACTATGGTACTTGGCATATAATAAGTGGCATGTACTTACTTTTTTTGCTTCCTTTTATCATTAAAACTGTATCACTGTTTCCTGTCCCATATAATGGGTTGTCACATATAATTCTTTAATCGTAACCTGTGTATTAACTTTGCCAAGATTCCTGTCTTATATTTGTCCTTGTTTCATATGTAGCATCCAGCCTAGTACAGGTCGGCTAATAAATATCTTTTTGATGAAATAGTTGGAAATTAAGCCTGAGAAAGACACTACCAATAGATTGAATTTGGGATGATATATGTTGAGGTGTGAAAAAAGCACTGGATCAGAAGCCAAAAGGCTTTTACAGCTGGGCATGGTGGCTCATGCCTGTAATCCCAGCACTTTGGGAGGCGGAGGTGGGCGGATCACGAGGTCAGGAGATCCAGACCATCCTGGCTAACACAGTGAAACCCTGTCTCTACTAAAAATACAAAAAATTAGCTGGGCGTGGTGGCGGGCGCCTGTAGTCCCAGCTACTTGGGAGGCTGAGGCAGGAGAATGGCGTGAACCTGGGAGGCGGAGGTTGCAGTGAGCCGAGACCGCATCACTGCACTCCAGCCTGGGTGACAGAGCGAGACTCTGTCTCAAAAAAAAAAAAAAAAAAAGAACAACAACAAAAAAAAACCAAAAAGCTTTCACTAGTTACATTCCTAGCTCTGCTGATCACTAGCTGCAGTTGCTGAGCAAAGATACTGGCTTTTTTTTGAGGATCAGTTTCTGTGTTTATATATGAGTATGTAGTAAGTCAGATAAGAGAGGGACCTTGCCCAATGTGTTCACCATCCTATTACCAGAATTTAGCAGAAGGCCTCCAAGCCTCTAGGGAATGTGTGAAGATAATTGAGGGAAAGGAAGGAGATCAAAATACATCTAAGATGTGTTCTCTCTGTTTTTCAAAAATTTACAGGGAACTCTACACAGGCCCTGGAATAATTACAGTGGTGGAGTTATTCATGGTAATAAATCAGGAATTAGATAATTAGGTTGTGGATAAGTGATTTGAGATTATTCTCTCTATTATTAGCTTACATTTTGAATGGCTTTGCTATTAAATGTGAATTGTTTGAAGGCTTATATTAAAAAAATGTTTTTTTTTTTTTTTTGAGACGGAGTTTTTCTCTTGTTGCCCAGGTTGGAGTGCAATGGCGTGATCTCAGCTCACTGCAACCTCCGCCTCCTGGGTTCAAGCGATTCTCCTACCTAAACTTCCTGAGTAGTTGGGATTACAGGCATGCGCCACCACGCCCGGCTGATTTTTGTGTTTTTAGTAGAGATGGGGTTTCTCCATGTTGGTCAGGCTGGCGTCAAACTTCACACCTCAGGTGATCCGCCCGCCTCGGCCTCCCAAAGTGCTGGGATTACAGGCGTGAGCCACTGCACCCAGCTGGTTAAAAAAATGATTAAAGGAGATTTGATGCTTATGCCTTATTAAGTGGTGATCTTGATACTTGATAATCTCTCAATATGAGGTAAGTGGTGTACAACTGAGGTAGTTTTAATAATCACCTGTCTCTCAAACATCGCTAGTGGTAGCATGAAGAAATAAGTTAAAAATTAAACAGGGCAAATCAAGATAATATAATGGATTTGGTTAATAAAGGTTTATATGTTCATATTTGCGTTATAATTTTTTTTGTAATAGGTTGGAAGCAGGGACCATCATTTTCTGTAATTCTCCCTAGGAAATGCATTGTGCACCCGGGACAATTCATTTTCCTGACTTTTTGAGGAGAACAGAATGTGTGGAACCTGAATACCCTGAAGGCAAAGGAATCTGGAGTCTGTTTCTAAGAGGAGAGCTTCTCTCTGACTTGGTGTGGGTTTTCTTTCCCTCTGTTGAAGGGGAATGAATTCCACACCTAATGAATAGTTTCAAGGAAAGTTGTTAATCAGGTACTCCAAGTGACCACCCTGGATTCTTCTTTTATTACACAGGAACGTGAGGGAATGAGAAAGCAGCATAGTTACATTTGATAAAAGGAAATACTCTTTCTCCTCTCCCCTCCCACCACACCATCCCTTGGAATTTAGTTGATGTGGGAAATTACTGCAGCAAATAATGTGTTTGAAAAAGCAAAGTTGTATGAATGAGAATAACGCTTGTAGCTACAATAATTATGTTAAAAATTCACAAGGTATATCCATCATCATATTTCAGAGCAAGAGTTTTCGTCTAACGAGGTTGGAAAAGAATTTTTCCTTAGTTCTTGTCAATCTCCCAGGGAAGCATGGCATGCAGGAATAACTGTTGTTACCAACATTATATTTTGTGCTTTTCTGATTCATCAGAACCTTTCTGTTGCCGTAAAATGGGAAACTTCATCAAAATCAGATGAAGAACTTCAAGTAAATGTGACAGAGGGGTAATAATGAACTATAAATATAATTGATTTTTATTCAGATGGACAAATGTTATTCTTTAATCCTTTCCCATTTAGAAGCCATACTCTAATTTAAAAAGAGAAAAGTGGTCTCTAATTTAAAAAGAGAAAAGTGGTTTAAAACAACAACATTACAGTCCAGATATTTCTCTGTCTTCTAAATTAAGCCACCTGGGTTGAAGAACACTATTCAAGTGTGGGTAAACATGTTTTGATAAAAAGTTTTGTTATTTCCAAATAACTATTATACCCCCAATCATAAGTGTGATATCTATTACCAGATACTCATTTGGGTTGTTTTTTAAAAATAATATGATTCAGTTTTAGGTTTTTAAAAGTATAGTTCTTATCTTCAATTCTCAAGAATATGTAATACCTTTTATTTATTACTATACTAATTTTATATTATATTTCAAAGAAGTGATACCTCCAGTGTGCACTCCAGTGGTTCAAGAGAAAAGTGTTCTGTGGTCAAATGTGTTGGGAAATAATGAAAGTCATATCACCTGTGGTGGCTACAGTGTACACTTGTGTGTTAATCTTAAAGGCATACTACAATAAATAAATCTGTTTAACCTTTTAAAATTTGTTTTTCAAAGTTATTTAACTATAGAGGCCTCTCTTCTTTCTTAACTATTCCTGTTTGTTCTTGTTAATCCAGAGAGCAAAACCAGTTTTTAGCTTTTCCAATGAATAGTTACTTTTTATTACTTCTGATTGAGATTTTATTAAAGACCATTTAGGACATATAGGGTTGACATATATTATTTTTTTTGTGCCAGCGTTGTCACGTGTAAGACTTTTAATAGTGCATTGGCTTATAAATCTGTTCTTTTCAATCCATCTTTGAAGGTGAACTCGGCATTCTGTTGTAGCCTTGAGAAATAGAAGAACTTAGAATATTTTCTAACAATTTCATTAACTTAGCACCACTATTTGCTTTAGGTATTTGTTTATATGTGTGTGTTGCCTGTGTGCCTGTGTGCGCGCGCGCACACACACACACACACACACACAAAGTCATTCAACTACTATTTTAAGGACTTTAACATTTTATAGCTTAACTGTCTCTCTCTTCCCTGCCTCAGCCAATTGAAGCACCAGAAGTCCTTTGTGGAACACCTGCTGTGCACAGCATTCTTTAGCAACACAATGAGGGGTGCATCATCTAAGCTGGTGTGAACTTGCAGGAGTCTTTCTCACTCTATAGAGAGGGTGTTGGAGCCAAAAGCTTTTATTTTATGTACAATTTGGAGATGATTGGTGGACTTTGAAGTCATTGCAAAACTAATTTGTTCAGTATTTTTGCCAAGACCAATCTTTCCAGTATTAGAAGACAAAATAACTTAGATATGAGGGTTTAGACACAGGAAAAAAAACAAATGGAAGAAATGATTATAAATCTCCAAAGGCAACTTTTAAAAATACACCTGAATGATGCTTCTCACCAGGACACTTAATATTAATCATTACTGAAAATTACCATCTCATCTCTTAGTTCCCCCAGTAAGTTGCTTTGGGGTCACCAATTTTTATTTATTGTTAATATTGAGAGAAAAGACACAAATGAAAACAGAATCATAAAATTAGAGTATGACTCAGTCAAAACTATTTCAAAGCTTGATATTAAATAAACAATATAAATAATTTACTTCAAATTATACCCAATATTTGCACACACATTTAATCTTCAGCTTTTACTGTGCCTAAAGATCTATTCTTAATCAGTTTTGGCTCCCTCTTCTTAAAGAAGCAGAATACCCAAACCCTCCCATTCCCCTTCCCTGATCTATTCTTCTCCTTTGGTTTCCATACCATGTATATATCGCAGTGTGTATTTTGCTTATGTTGTCTTTCAATTCCAATTAATGTGGAAGCGTTGTGAACATAGACAGTAACAGTAGATGTACAAGAAATACAGGTTGAGTGAGTGAATGAGGGCCTTCCAACAACCTGCCAGAATTGGAATCCTAGCTCCAGTGTTTACTAGGTGGGCAACTTGCTGCCATTCAGAGAATGCCACCACCCTGCCTGGAGAATGGGGCCCCTTTCCTTGTGTTGCTGTGCAGTACCAAATGATGGACACCTTCCCATATGCAGATGTTTTCACTTACTTTTTAACATAATGAATCCACAAACCTCTAGCCTGGGGACTTAAAAATGTGCTGCTTTAGTTAACTCTAGTGTATTATAGAAACTGCTAATTCTTATATTGTCATTATTAGCTTACTAACCAAATCCCTTCCATAGGTTATACATTCTGTGAGGGTTTGGACATACATATGCCTCTCCCTTCACCACAGAGCAGTATTCACATGCACTGAGTGCTCAAATATTCATAGGTTGAAGGAAAAGGGTAGGGAGAACAAAGGAACCATGGAATCATCCTTCATGGTAAATAAGCGAAAGACAGCATGTGAAGCATCATCTTTTTAATATCTTTGCGTATGTTCTTTCTTGATAGTGTTTGAGTTTAAAAAGAATAGCCATCAGTACACTTGTTCAGTCAATATATCTAAGCACTTATGCATAGGTGACTTTTTGTACCAATGCTTTGACTGTAATATATTAATTCTGTTTACAAAATCCTGAAGAAAGGGCTGTCCTACAACACTTTTTATATTATTTGTCAGTTCTCTCCCAATGTTTTTACCCATTTATGTGTGTGAGAGATTTTGTTTTGCTTAATTTGCAAATAAAACAATATTACTACAAAATTACTACAAAGTTGAAATTGCTAATGTAGTAGGAAACAAATGAGGCAGATGGTTTAGTCTCATCATTTTGTGTCTTTACATAGGTTTCTAAGGGATAGCTTACATCATTTAGTGTGCTTCCACCATTCTTTGCCATTCTAGGGCATGTACTTCTGACATTTTTATTAGGCTTTTGTGTTTGGTCACTGTATTACATCCAGCAATTTATTCCTTTCCACTTAAATTGTCTTCCCTGTACAAGGGGTGGAGAAGAATTCAGTGTCTGCACATAAAAGGCCATTATCTTATCTTAGCAACTCCAGCCATACACTCCTCTGTGAATCATGACAGCTCAGCTGGGAAATGCAGAACTGTATCATAAGAGGGCGAGATCATGGGAGTGAGACAATGATGAGGCCTATGACATTGGAAGGTGGTGAGTTCATCATCTGCAACAAAGATTAACAACCCTTTGCTGAGCCTGACCTGATAGGCCATTTAGTGGAAAGACCAAAGCTTGCATCCAGGAAGTGTGCTCTGCCTATGATCTTGATTTACCTGTAGCTTGTAAAGACTACTCAGGTGATCTCATTGTTATTTTTCTTGCCCCAAATCAGAACACCTCCTTTATCAGAAAACTGAGATAAGCACACTGACACTGATACTTCATATGTATTGCAGCAGGCAGGCTGTAGGGCAAATACATAGAAACTTTTGCACTTTACTCTTTTATTTTTATTTTTTCTGAGACGATGTCTTGCTCTGTTATGCAGGGAGTGCAGTGGTGTGATCTCAGCTCACTGCAACCTATGCCTCCTGATTCAAGTGATCCTCCCTCCTAAACCTCCCAAGTAATTGGAACTACAGGCACACATCACCACGCCCAGCTAATTTTTGTATTTCTTGTAAAGATGGTGTTTCACCATATTGCCCAGGCAGGTCTCAAACTCCTGGGCTCAAGCAATCTACCTGCTTCAACCTCCCAAAGTGCTGGGATTACAAGCATGAGCCACCATGCCCAACCTGCGTTACTCCTAATACAGTCTTCATTCTACAAAGAGAACTATTTTCTGACTGGAGGAAGTGGTGATGCTGAGGATGGAGTCAGTTGTGTAGCTCTCATAAAATGAGAACATGATCCAGAGGCTCTTCCAAGTGCCTTATTTATATTAATAGTGCTTCATTCGTTTTTCAATAATATGGAGGAGGACCAAATTACGGATGAGAAAACTGACACCCAAAGAGATGATGTAATGCCCACATGGCAGGCTAGCATTTGAATACAGTGCAGTGTTCTTTACCATGTATATTAACTGTTCTGGGGATAAGAGGGTCTTTTAATTAAATAAAAACACTATACAATGTGTAATCCTCATGGTAATCTCTTTTAAATCCTCACCTCACTTTATGCATCGTTAATTGTGCATAGGTGCTTACAGGGAGCTTGTTATCCTCTCTCCCCCACCCTCATCCCATCATTTTCCAAACTTGAAGTTTAATGTCACTCTTGGCTCCTTTTCCCTTCCTTAGCTCCACTTTCAACTTCTGTCAGTTCTACCTCCACAGTTGGTTCATCCGTCTTCTCCTTTCCCTCTCAGTAATTTGCTTCCTAACTGTACTTCCTGCTCCTGTATTTCTTTATCTATACAGTCCTCTGCCTAATGGCCAGAAGTATCCTCCTAAAGTACAGCTAGGAGGCCAGGTGCAGTGACTCATGCCCGTAATCCCAGCACTTTGGGAGGCCGAGGTGGATGAACACCTGAAGTCAGGAGTTCGAGACCAGCCTGACCAACATGGTGAAACTCTGTCTCTACTAAAAATACAAAAAATTAGATGGGCGTGGTAGCGTGTGCCTGCAGTCCCAGCTACTCGGGAGGCTGAGGTGGGAGAATCGCTTGAACCTGGGAGGCAAAGGTTGCAGTGAGCTGAGATCGTGCCATTGCACTCCAGCATGGGCAACAGAGCAAGACTTCATCTCTAAGTAAATAAATATAGCTAAGATCACGTCCCTTGCCCAAAGATCATTTTGTATACAGGCACAGCAGTTTAGATTTAATAAAACATTTTTCCACGCATTACACTCAAAGGTACTCTGATAAATATGTATCACCATCTCAGTTTTATAGATGAAATAACTGAAGCCTAAAGTGGTTATCCCACTTACTAGCCCACCTTTCTAGGGCTAGTAAATAATAAAACCATTATTTTCCTGTAAACTTACCCAGCTGCTGTTGTCTAAACTCCTACACTGGCCTTCAAGTTGTCTAAGTGGTCTCAAGCTATTGTTCTTATTTCCTGGTGTTTTCTCACTGTACCATGGACTTCAGGAGTGACTCAAGGAAGCTAGCTACTCTTGAGCCTATGGACATGCCTCTGATATTTCTTCTGCCTTCTTCACCAGTAAACGTGTATTCACTGCCCAAGAACTAGATCCCGCTTTCTCTGCTCTACTGACCTACCTGATTGAACCCAAGAAGCTGTGACCCCATTTATGAAATCAATGCCACAGGCAAGCAATGCGCCCCATTAGGAAGCCTCTCACAGTGGAGAGTCTAGCAGAGAATATCTCTCTTCCCTGGAGTGTTTCTTCCTGCTCCTTCACTGCCTGACAACACCTCCCATCCCCTTTTTTGTTAACAGGATGTCTTATACATCTCAAAGGAATGTTCTAACAGGGTTCATATTTATTTATCTCATTATCACCTTAGGTCTTGGTCCTTAGTTGGAACTTTTTTGTTGATGGAAAGACTGTACCTGATAAACTCAAATGTGTTTTTCTCCTGTGAGGCTTGTTTGGAGGGTTTAATCTGAGCCTATTCACTCTTCAGTTGTGCCTAGAAGCATCTCTCCATTGTCTCCATAGTTTTATGTAAAAATGATCATATAGTGAGTATATCCCTATCTCTCTCCTTCTAGAATTCAAGCTACTGGTGGCAAATTCTAAGTATTTTTCATCTTTATGCTTCCCACAGCACTTAATATAGGGCTAATAAGCACATAGGAGAGGCTGGATAAATACTTGCTAAATAAATTCAATAAGGTCTTTTCTTAAAAACAATTTTCTTTAAAAAAAAAGCTATGTATTGATGTTTAAGTTTTATAAAGACTTCTCATTCTTTTCCTCCAAGTCAAATTTCTTTTATTGAAACAGAAAACTTGCTTTTGAAATGAAACAAAATTTCAGTAACATGGTATCTGATTTTTAAACAGCCTATATAGTTGCACATAACAGAGTGTGTTTATGTGTGCAAATTAGTAAGTCGATAGAATTTCCAGGTAAACAATCATGGCTGTTATTGTATGCCATCACGTTTATTATGGAAACATATTATTGTAATTTATCTGGGAATTTAAAAAAACAGTGTGTGAGTCAGCACGCTGTGGTACAGAGCCAAGTTTTTGTGGGCAAACAGGGTGGGATTCCGATCTTGGCTTCAGCAGTGTGGTGTGTAGGCCTGGGTTCCTCACCTGTGGATGGACGCTCCTTACCTCATTGGCTTGTTGTGAAGATCGAATGAGTCTGTGAGGTCAGTGAAGCACTTACACTTAGTAAATTCTCAATAAATATTCACTGTGATGTTTTTTATTAGAAACACTGACACATTACTGAGTGCATGTGCTCTGCACGTGTGCATGACAATGAGGAAATTTCCCTTTAATTCCTGAAGTGCTGGGTGATGATCTATACCCAGGATAATTTTTCTAGTAAATCAGCTTATTGGGGATGCCTATGGATAAAGCCCTTCACTTTTAAGGTATTCCCTTTAATTTAACAATAAGACATAAAACATTGAAGTATACAAAATGAACGGCTATGGTTAATGGATTACCTGCAAATAAATGACACCTGTCCAAATCTGGCTTCAATAATAAGGGAATTCATCACTTTACAAAAACAAGAAGTTCAGAGGTAGGTCAAGCCATAGCTTTTAGTTACTTTCTCCCTCTTCATTTCTCCAGCCTCACTGTCAGTGTCCAAAGGCTTTGCTCCTGGTGTCAAAACAGCCATCAGTGTGCCTTGTGCTTCCTGGTTCATAGTCAGTGAGAGAGAGAAGGGAAGAAGGGAGGGCAAAAGAGAGCATAGGAGATATCTCCCCTCAAGATGGACTTCAAGTCTCTGTTTTCAATTGAATTGAACCAACTTAGGTGAAGTTGCCAAAGAAAGGGCATGTGTTGATTGATTTAAACTAGTTGAGATACGTCTCTAGACTTTTGCATGGTTGTGTAAGTGAATCAGGTCAGGACTCTAATAGGACAGAGAAAGGTGGGGCAGGGGGTGCTGATGCATGTGGGGAAGTAACCAACAATGTCCGTACTCTCCAATTAAGAACTTAAATTTTAATATTTCATCTGATTTTTGCCACAGGAATTTGAATCAGTTTTCTGTTACAGCATTTTTAATTTTTGTGAATAAAATGGAACCTCTTAGAATTTGGTTTCTTTGTGACTCATTTCCTCATAGAGGGATAATAAAACTCACATTTCCAGTTTTGAGATGACTATTAAAAAAAATCTGTGTATGACCCAGTGCCAGCAAGCCCAGCTTGCTTTTTGAGTAGTTACTATTGTTGTTGCCATTGCTATTTTCTTGGTCAGGATGTCTTTATTTTATTTTGTCTCATCTAGACTCCAGTTTTCTATTTCCAAATTTTTACATTATGAATCCACATGGGTGCCTTATCACCTCATCCAAGAAAAAAACCCATGAAGGTGTGTTTTCTTTTTAACATTTTATAAATTATATGCTCATACAATCTCATAGAGTTCTCACAGAAACCCTATGGTGCAGATGCTATTTGTGCAATTTTAGAGATCTCTTTATCTGCCTCCTTTAAACTATGAGCTTCATGAGGACAGAGACTTTGTTTTGTTCACTGTTGTATCCTTAGTATTCAAAATAGTATATCACACAAGGTAGACTGGCAGATGCTCAATCAGTGTTTTCTGAAGAAAGGGAGAGAGGGGAGGAGGGAGGAGCCCTTTGTGACCTACAGAGGTTGGAGGGCTTTCCCAGTTTGTGACATTCTAGTTAAGATATAAACCCTCATTCGTAGTGGGCCTCTGAGGCCTGTATACCCTGCCTCTCTACAGCTTCATCTTGCTTTCTTCACTCTGCTGTCTCTGTCTGTGCTCCAGCTGCACAGGCATATGCAGTTCCTACGATATGCCTCCCTCTACACCGCCACAGGGTCTTTGCACATGCAGATTCTTTAGCCTGTGGAACTGCTTGCTCTACCTGCTCATCTCCCAGTTGCCTCCCTACACCTGGCCATTCTCCCATATCCCTGCTTTACTCTGTTGAGAACCTTCATATTCCAGCTTGAACACAGTTTTCTGGGAAGCCTTACCTAATCCCCCAGGTTAAACCATGTTCCCTTTATAAATCCCCACAGCATCAGGATTCTTTCCTCAACTGTTTTTAAATACAGTCAGCCCTTCGTGTCTGTGGGTTCCCCATCTGTGGATTCAACCAACAGCAGATCAAAAATATTTGAAAAAATGAAAAAGAAATGAAAAATAACCATTAAAAAATACAAACCAAAAACTATACAGTATAACAACAATTTGCATAGCATTTACATTACATTAGTTACTGTAAGTAGTTTAGAGATAATTTAAAGTCTATGAGAGGATGTGTTAGGTTCTATTCAAATACTAGGCCATGTAAGGGACTTTTGCATTCTTAGAGTTTGGAATCCCTATTAGCCTAGAGCACGGGGTCCTGGAACCAGTGTCCCATGGATACCAAGGGACGACTATATGTGTGTATTTGTGTGATTACTTATGAATACCCTTTCTTCACTAGAGCTTGAAAACAGGGGTGGGTTTTCACTCATCATTGTTTTGCCAGTGTCTGGCATATGGTGGTTGCTTGGTAAATATGCGTTGAATAAATGCTAAAAAATACTGTTTTGTCAGCCTGTTTTCATGGTTTTTTTTTTTTTTCTGATTACACTCATGATTTACAGAAGAAAGGTTAGCATTTGTATTAATATCTTATTTTTTTCTGTATCATTTTTCGTAATAACCTATATATCAGAAAATCATAAAGTCTGCAGGGACAGCTTCTGTGTCCCTAGCTTAAATTATTATGCCCATTTCCTTCTTTTAGGGCTAAGCTTAAAATTTATCTTCACTGGCCTTTACTCAGTCAAGGCTGGATTGGGTGTCCCTCCCAATCCAGGGGTGGCCCAGCATCCTGTTAATGTGGTCAGCACCCAACTATTTTTTTTTCATCTGGCTCTCCACTGAACTTAAAAGTAGAGACTGAATTTAGTTCGATATGTTTGCCCATTGCCCAGCACAATGCCTGGCATATTAGACACCAGAGATACTTTTCCAAATGAATGAATTAATAAATGCATGTCTTGCACTTGTGTGATGTTCCTCAGATATCTAAGTCGTTCCTGGAAAAGCATTCAGTAAATAGTTGTAATTCAGTGCGTTCAGTGTGGTATGCACATTCTTCAAGGATTGTCCAAGTTAATCTACTTTTTAGTGATCTTATCACTGGATTGCAGATTGCACACTACATACGAGTATTTGGCTGAGGAGGAGGAGAATGGGGCCTGAAATCCAGCATGCACTCTGACCATTATGGTATGTCTGCTCCTAAGAAACCTCATATATATATATATATATATATATATATATATATATATATATATATTTTTTTTTTTTTTTTTTTTTTTTTTTTTTTACAGCAATGCTATGTGTAATTGCATGGTCCTAAATGTAGGAACAAAAATGTTAAAAATTTTCTGTTTAAGTTCTATTCACATTTTCTCTCAACTTTGAAATGTCTCTATTTTAAAAAATGTATCGTATATTGGTACAATAATACTAATCTATACAAATAGAAGTAATTTATAAATGGTGAAGGCGTATGTTCAAAAAATTTTGCTGATGCAGTAATATGTAATCAAAACAATTATAGAGAACTTTGATTTAATCTCTAAGCCGAGTGCCATGGTAGTTTCCAAAAATAATTTGCAGCTTTCTTTTGATCTCATTTTGAGATGGCTGAAGAAGGGACTAAATGATCTTAGGGTAGAAACATCCTAGAGCTCCTGCACACCTCTGTGTGTGTGTGTGTGTGTGTGTGTGTGTGTGTGTGCATGTGTGTGCATCCTGTGTGTATCAGGTGTTCCTGCGTATGTGCTGAAGAGGAGAATGGATAGACTATGGCTGGACTATGGCTGAGATTTGTCTTCAGGTTTGGTGCAAATCCATCCCAATGCAGTCCATTTTAGGGAAAGCAGATACACTAATTTCAAGATTTGTTAGCCAATTCTCCTTTCAGATGAGTAGTTTATGATGAATTCTCTTTTCCCCATTCATTGGCTTTCTCTAAATTGTAGATCTAAAACAACCTCTTCATGTCTGCTCTGCCTCTGGGATAGAAATAATGAATTGTAGGTTTCTAATAAAAGAGACACGTTTTGTGTCTGAACATCTTGATTAGAATCGTTGCAGCCATTTACTCAACGTGTGACTATTTAGGAAAAATAATCATTCTGAGCTTCAGTATTTTCTTTTGTAAAATGAAAGTAATATTAATTAATTCATAGATTTGTTACAGCTACTTGGGAGGCTGAGGTGAGAGGATCGCTTGAGGACAGGAGTTTGAGAGTAGCTTTCTGGGTGATATAGTGAGACCTGTCTCAAAAGAAGAAGAAGGAGAAGGAGCACTGAGACGGAGAAGGAGAAGAAGGAGAAACACTCTGACATAGTACTAGGTAGACAGTGTTTATGGAAATTTTTTAGTTTTGAGCTTTAGAAGTCTTTTTTATTAGCAATGATAAAATCACAGCTGTTTATGTGCTGTCTGATGTGATGGTTACTTTAAAACACATGTATTATTTCTCTATATCAAACTCGTTAAAATAAGATTATTTGGTTAGGGATTAGCTAATGTATTTGTCTGTTTTTTGAAGAGTGACAGCTTCCTAGCTTTTTCTTTTTTCTTTATTTTTTGGTCTACTTGAAGCTGCCGTATTTATTATATGATTGAGTAATGATACAGTGATAATGTATTATATGACTGAGTATTGATACAATGATAATGACTCCATCCCATGGTCTGAGTAATTTTGCAACATGTGGGTCCCACAGGACCGTAGAGCAAAAATCCTTTCTGAATGGGGTATCTGCGAAGGCAATAGAGACTTCACTTTAAGTGGATTTCTGTAGTTTCCAAAGGGATGAGAGGGAGAAAAAAAAGTCTGTATAGAAAGAGGGGGGAAAAAGTCTGTATGGAAAGGATGACTTAGTTGACATGGTTAAAAGGTGTGCTCATTGACTGGGAAAAAGTTCATAAGTTTGCAGTATTAGGTTAAGGAAGGAAAGTCCATTCAAGCTGTTTTAAAGACTCTGAGATGCCAGACTAAGAACTTCATTCAGACTTTATTTGATAGGCAGGGGTGATGTGATTAAGATCATGCCCTGGGAAGATTATGACTATGAATTGAAAGAAACAGACTGGAAGCCTAGAGATCAGTTACAAAAATAATACCATAGTCCAAAGTCATAATTCAGGATGAAACTGTTAGGAAAAGAGGAAGGACATTTAAAAAGATATTTGCAATGAATAGCTGTTGTATATTGTATGGTGGGTTTGGGTGAAACTAGACTAAAATTTTTAACAAAGCCTAAATAAACAGCAATGAGAGCTGGTTCCCTCAGCGTTTTGTTTGAGGTACTAGTGATTATCAAGTGAAGTTCTTAACGCGTAGTAATGTGAACTTAAGAAAGGAAGAGCATTACTATTTTTTCAGGGTTTAGCATCAATTCTTAGCTTTCTTCCTGAAACCATTTCCCATCTTCTACTATTTGAAGAACTAGAGGCATAGATGTATTAATGTGGCCTTTATTTTTCTTGTGAGAATAAGAAGGATAATACACCTCCCATGCTGGAAACTACCTTAGAAACTTAGGTGAAGAGACAGGTGTCAGATATATTATGTGACTTGCCCAAGATTGCCTGGCCCGTGGAGAGAGAGCCTTCACTGTGGCTCAGGGATGTGGGCTTCCTGTGTGAAGGTCCTCCCAAGACTCTGTGCTGCCTGGTCTTTACCTGGTCCACGGACACCAATCCTTTTTTACTTTTTTTTTTTTCTACCATTTCATGGTGTTTGCATTTGTCAATATTTAAAGACACCTACCTGAAATTCACAGAACTGTATATGATGCTTCTCATTTTTGTTTGTTTGTTTTTTGTCTTTAGAAAGTACCCACATATTGTCTGGGTGTGGTGGCTCATGCCTGTAATCCCAGCAGTTTGGGAGGCTGAGGCAGGTGGATCACTTGAGGCTAGGAGTTTGAGACTAGCCTGGCCAACATGACGAAACCCTGTCTCTACTAAAATTGCAAAAATTAGCTGGGCATGGTGGCATGTGCCTGTAATCCCAGCTACATCATGAGTCTGACGCACAAGAATTGCTTGAACCCAAGAGACAGAGGTTGCACTGAGCCAAGATCACACCACTGCACTCCATCCTGGATGACAGAGTGAGACTCTGTCTCAAAAAAAAAAAAAAGAAAGCACCCACATAATAAAAATGTTGTGCTGGGCACTATATAAAGCCAGGTAAATATACAAAGGTCTCAGCCTCCACTGTGTATCATGTTTCATACACGGAAGATTATATCCTGAAATCACTGGAGTAAATGTTGAAGTATCAGAGTATCAGTTTCTCCCCCATAAATTCTCCGGTTACACTTAGAAAGTTTTTTGTTTAGTTGTGTTTTGTGTTTAGTTTTGGCTCTAAGAGGAAGGAAAGGAAATTCACATTTTGTTTGTCTGACACTTTTACGAGAAGTTATATATGGCCTTTTAATTTACACATGTAAAATTAATTTGTAAAAGCAGCTATGATGTAATTTATGGATGAAAAAGCTGAAGATTGACTAGCCTTGTTAATGAAAGGTAGATAGCCATGGTTGGAATTCATGTCTTCTGAGGTTCATAAAACAGGCCATCTTTTAAATTGAGAAGTGACATCATAATAGCAACATGGGCAACCTGAAAGGCAGTCAAAGAAAAACAAGGAGGGTATTAAAAGGTCTGAATGGTATATCACACGAAAATCAGTTGAAGAGACTTGCACTATTTAGAAGAAAGAGATAAAACAAAGGTGCTACTTAATCAAAAATTTTTAAACAGCTGAGGTGTTATCCTTTCAAAGAAGTATCAAAGACTAGTTAGCTCAAAAAGATGAAAGTAATTTGATATTGGAAGTGACTTTCCTTTCCAAGGCTCATGTCAAGGGTTTGGGGCCAGGTATTTGGCAGGACTTCACTGTTGGGAAGATTGCAAAAGAACCTTGCCTTAAACATTTATAATTTTAACCTTTCTGCCACTGAATTCATTTTAATAGTGAATCTGATACAAAATAATTACTTATAAAATAGATTAACTGGAATTTCTTTGCTTAAAGCAAGGATGATAAAGAGGCCCCTACTCTTGAAAGTTTTCCGGGGCCCCTTTCTGATACACTGTGAGTACAATGATTTTAATTTGAAAACCTTTGTTGGTAAAAATGATTTCCAAATTCCATTCCTGTGGAAAGATGCTAATTTAACTTTAATTTGAACAAAGTCGACTTATGCTAACAACTCCTAATTTGGTCATGACTTTTGGGGGAAATCTTCACTCAGGTTTGGGCAGTGAAGTTACTGCTAAGATAGCTGCTCAAGTGAAGGGCAGATGACCGTCAGCTCTCTTAGTAGTAAGTCAATCCAAACCAACTCCTTCATTGCCAATTAATCCAGTCCCTGCGTCATGCCCCTGGAAAGGTACTTGGGCTTCCTGAGAAGTTATTCATCCTGATAAAGTGAAATAAAACAAAGCAAACTCATAGTATTTTCAGGATTTCAAGGAAATATATTGAAAGATTTTTGCTGTGCACAATGATTTATTTATTTAAAAAATTTAAAATTGATGCTCTGCCGAAAAGGCATAATTGTAAGGGAATCTATAATTGCAGCCTTCATTTCTCTTGAGTACTAGGAAAAAAAAATAAGAAAGGAAAAATGGAAGGACAGATATTATTAAATAAAGTGTTACTAGCATCACATGCTCAAATTAACATGTTCTTTGCCACAGTGCTCTAAAGGAGATATTTGCACTTTATCTGTATGATGGCCAGTGCCATATATGAAGTATATTCAATCCAAGAAAATGTCTGGGAGTCAGAAGTATGTTCAGACAAGTTTTCTATCATGTGTTGTCTACCAGCCTTTTACATACTGTAGATATTCTAGAAAGACTAACAAGCTAGACAAATTAATTTCTCCTTTTGTTATGCTTATGAGAATAAACTGATTAAACAGTTCCTATTCTATCTGTGTAAACAGAGACATATTAGTTAACTTACTGCTTATTTTATTTTCCCACATACTTACAGTAATTTCAAATGTTGAAAAATGAGGAGAGCAGAATATGGCATTAAGCAAAGAGAATGAAATAAAAAATAAAGCAATGATCTGAACTAGAAAAAAAAGTTTTAAAAATGTAATTTTTCAGTTACACAAAAGTTACCATGGCATTACCTTTCCTTTTGTGTCTGTTGGTGATTTAATTTAGTAGTTTTAGAAAATGTGTCTATTGCTGTATTTAAAAATTCTAATTACAGCAATTGGTAAAGAAGTTTCCAAGTACAAGGGGTATTTGTAGAGAACCTGTAGGACTGACAAGTGATTGACAGGTAAACAACCCCACTGTGGCCTTATATTCCATTCTGTGATGTTGGACTATAGATACTACATAAGCCTCAGGAAGTAACCACCTTCCAATTTTTATTAAATGCTTGGCGTCATGGATGTAAACAGTATTGTGCCTTAGTTGACTAAATGTGGCACTTTCTTTTACACTGCCGCACCACCCTGACTCAGTGTGATGGAATATCTGTGAAAAGAACAAATGGGAACTTTTCTTTAATGCGTTTAACTGAATGTATCCCCCGAAAAGAAAAGCAAGTGCAGATTTCATCAAATAAATTGAAACCATCTAAAAGTGAATGAAAGAGGATAGCATTTCTAACTTCAAATGTTCTGTTTATGACTTACTAGTGCCAGTGTGAAATTGCCCTTTCTTCTCTGCTAATGCAAAGGCTGACAGGTCAGCATGCACACACACATTATGTTATGCGCAATCGGAAGCTCTTGAGCTTGTCCTTGAACATGCTTTACAGTTAATATATCTTGATTTTCAAAGTGCCATTTTTTCCCGTTTTGAACCCAGACTTTCTTTTCCTTGCTTCCTTACAAATAGTTTCCTTAATTCGTATGCATTTCTTACTGTACTTCTTGGTACTCATTTCTTTTTTGAAAAATCTTTATAATAGCCTGCTTTAATAAAATATTTTAAAATAGTTAATAAAATTGGATGAATGCTGTCATCAACTGTGATTCTTTAAGAAATAGTTCGTATGTTTACTAATAAATTCAAAATTAATGGATTTGCCTGATGTGAAACTTTGTTTTCCTGAATTTTAAAATGTGGAAGCAAGTCTTCTTTTTGTAACCATTTCATATTTTTAAGATGTTCTAATGATTGCCTCAGAGTCTAGAGGAAAAATATTCTGAGGGTTTTCCCCCCTTCCACTTGAATGCTAAGAACTTGGATGTTTTGAATGAGCTATTCGCCAGCAGATGAAAAGTCATTCCAGATAAATGAGAAACCAAGTACAGTAAAATCTGTGTTTTCTAACCAGCAAAATCTGGAAAATCGTAATTTTTTGATTCCCCAGGCAAAAATGTCAATCTAATAAATAGGCTAACTGAAATAGGGTAGGGTGACTGTGGTGAAATTTAAGTTGTTAAGAGATGCAATATGTATTCTTATTGCTAATTTTAAAAAAAATCTCATGGGTTTTTGTGAGCAAAAATGATATATTTGTGTAAATCATGGCATTTTCCTTCCTTTTCTAGACCATGAGGAAAAACAAATAGGAGGTAAAAAGAGGAGATCAACACATGAATTAACTCTGAGTTATCTGTAACGGATACCCTGTCTTCATAATGTATCTCATAAAAGTTTTAATACCAGTGTATTTCAAAGGTTTGCAAGTTATTTAGTACTTGGAACATGTTTTCCCATAGAAACAATGTTGTAAATATTGGTTCAGTTCCCAGGCCAGTGCACACAGCCTATTTAATCCATATGTATCTAAGAGACAGTACCAATGTTTGCTTGAGTACTGGATCCTAAAGGCATATGTGCAGAAAAGAGCATAGTAATCGGTATCTTCTGTTAGTTTTTTTTTTTTTTTTCCTTTTTGAGACAGAATTTCCCTCTTGCTGCCCGGGCTGGAGTGCAATGGCGTAATCTCGGCTCACTGCAACCTCCACCTCCCGGATTCAAGCCATTCTCCTGCCTCAGCCTCCTGAGTAGCTGGGATTACAGGCATGTGCCACCATGCCCGGCTAATTTTTGTATTTTTAGTAGAGACGGGGTTTCTCCTTGTTGGTCAGGCTGGTCTTGAACTCCCGACCTCAGGTGATCTGCCTGCCTTGGCCTCCCAAAATGCTGGGATTACAGACGTGAGCCACTGCACCCGGCCCTATTTTCTGTTAATTTTATGGAAAGGAAATGGTCTTATAGGAATTTCCAGAAGGCACTAATTTTGATATTTGTCCTTTTCTTTTGTGCCTCTTATTCAAAAGTCACCAGAGTTCTCTTGTGGACCTGTGGGAACAGCAGGACCCAGAGTTTACTATATAACCTGCTCTTTAAAGGAAAAACAATCTCCTTCAAGGGATTCCTGTAGGTTGGGGCATTTTGGCCCCTTTATTGCTCTGGACTTGTTGATAAAGCTTATTAACCTCAGTGTTCTAAATGGTACAGTTAAAATGATTTACTAAGCCCAAGAAACACAATGAGGATATGACAGAAACATCTTGATATGTTGCTGGAGGTTTAAGAAAGTCTTGTTGCTTAGTTGTGACTTTTAATTTATTTCTTTGTTTTCCCCTTCACAATGTCTTATTTCAATAAAAACTTTATAGTTTTTCACAGTAGCTCTCATAGTGATGGTGGCAGAGCCTTTGCTGAGCTGAGGCAATATCAGAGAGGTTGATAGTAAGCTCTTTGTTTGGAAATTGGGGATTGTAATTTATTGCATTATTTTTAATAAATGAAAAATTACCATTATTCATAGTTGTAATTTGACATTTATCTGTCATTAATTTTTGCAATATGTTTTTGTATATTGCAAAAATGCAATTTGACAATGTAATTTGACATTTATCTCAGACTGTATGACTTTTTACAATATGTTTTCCCCAATATTTTATATATATAAGCAAGCAGGGCCTGTATGATTTTCTTTGCTCTTGCCACACCAGTTGTATTCAAGCCAAAGACAATCCACCCAGTGGGTGATTTATAACATAGCTATTTTTTAAAGAGATATAAAGCACTGTATTGCTTTATCAGTAAGAATATACAGACTTTTAAAAAACATTATTTCTAATATATTTATATATCAACAAGGATCAAAACAAATTTTGTTACTGGAACTTTATCACAAACCATGTTTTTAGTGAAGAAATAGCTATTATACTTTCTTGTACAGTTCGTTCAAAGGAGGACATGTGTTTTGTCAACGAGGAAAGAAATCAATGCTATTTGTGATATTATATACCTCATTTGAATATTTTATCTATTTCAATAAATTGAAAATGAGTTCCTACTTTCTTTTCCATATGCTGATTTTCATGATTTCTTTTTCTATAGAGAAAAATATAGCTGAGCAGATTTTTAAATGCAGCATTGGCAGTGTTACAGGTCTTTAATTTTGTTGGCATTGTTCATTTTGCCTTTTTTTGTTTTTTTTTTTTAGTTTTGTGATGTGAGGTGATGTGATGGTCAAAAATGTGGACTTTTTAAGGCCCGACAGGGGGAGCCAATTCCATATTCTATTGAGATTTCCTGGCATTATTGCAGTTGTCCATTTGTCACGGCCAAAATACTTTCTTTAGCCTTGGCTGTCCATAGGGCTCCGTAACAGATACTCTTTGCTAAAAATAATACAGTATTTTATATTAATTACCTTTCAGTCATTAATATTGAAATTATTAATCTATTGAGATAATGCCTAGGAAACTGAAATAGGGTCATTATTTTAAAATGTATGATATCATCATTCAAGGTAAAGTTAATCTTATAAATATAACCTTTTCACAATAAAGATCAATGTAGAATATATGGAACATTTTAATGCTCATAAAAATTCTTTAGTATAATATTTTATGGTTAGATTAATAAACATGGGACCATCTCTTCTCAGATTTTTAAGCAAATCAAATTTATAAAATAATTAAAATCACATGACTCTATTATATGACTTTTTTAAAACCACATACCTTACTTTAAAAAAAGTAAAGATCCTAAACTAAGTTCAAGGTCTACCACAATGAATCATTTAGGATGGTATTGAATTCCCATAATTGTTTGGTTCTGTGTTTTGTTCTCAGTAAAGAAAGTGGAATGGTTTTATTTATTTGAATTATATAGGGTATATCTTATCAAAAGACATTCTAAGATTACAAAAACATTCAATGTGATACATTTATCTTGACAAGGAACATGGAATTATATGTGCAAGAACATTCATTTGTTTTCATAGTTTAGAATATATAAAATTTTATAATTTCTGTGCATTTATCACTTTGTAAGCCTTAATTCCCTAGTTAGCTACGTATCTATATATCCTAAGATATAATATATGATGAGTGCATTTTAGTTGTCTCGCACATGTAGACACGTGCAGACATGCACACACACACACACACAAATATAGACATCCTCTTTGTTTTTATTTCCTGTATATTCACTAACATGATAATGGACATATATTATGTGATAAATTATATTGTGTGTTAAATAACTACCATAGATTACCTATTTTAAATTTCAAGAGCAATAAATCTCTGTTGCTAAAATCAAGCACTAGGCTTTTATGGAACTCTTCCTATTTTTTAAAAAACTTAACTTTGTTTCTGCTAGAGCTTCGTTTGAGTATGATTATGCTATCAGGAGCCTAAAATGCAATAGCATTTAATGAATTTTTGGTTTGATTTTGAAAAAAAAATGGATATGGTATACATCGTTTTCTAATTTTAAAAAGTAATCTCATTAGCCTTTGTGTTACCTTAACATATAGTACAGATTTTGCCTTATGCTAAAGACTTCATGCAAGTTGGATAAATGAATGAATGAATGAGCAACTCTTTAAAGGCTATGCTCTCTTGAACAGTGTATCTACCTGTTTTCTCATATATTCAATGAGATGCTAATTATTTGCTTTGTTCATATGGTTGATAGGGAAATCAAATAAGATATTGAAGAGCTTTAAAAATTAGAAAATTTTAAATTTTAAATTTATGAACAATGATAACACTACATTTTTATAATTCAAAATGCTGGCTATTTGGGATACATCTTTATTTTTATCTTAAAGAGATAAGCATGTTACTGGCTATTTGAAACTTTCTGTATGAGAATGTCTCTTTTTTGCAATGCTGCAGTGAATCATGCTTGTAAGAATGGCCAAATAGACCTATGTTTGCTAACGTTAGATTCTTGTTATACCCAATTACCCTTTTGTTCTTCATGCCATTCTGAATGTCATTTTGCACCAATGGCCAGGCATTAACGGGGCATACTAACTCTATTGTACCTGCCACTTATGCAGTATTAGTTTCAGACTCCCTACTTTTAATTGAAGAGCTATGTAGTTAAATTATCATGTCATGAATTCCAATTCACTAGAAGAGCTAAGGAAGAAAATGCTATTGAAAGCTTTCCCAAGTAACATTTCTTTTAAATTGACAAGTCTTTAGACTAATGAGATATTAGTAGAGGAGGATGTATTTTCATTTGTAAATAAAATTGAGATTAAAAAATGTTAAAGAGAACCATTTTAGAATAATCCTCTCTCTCCTGAGAAAAGTTGTCTTGACAACAGTACCATTTATAATTAGAAATGATGAATATTTTATTTCTCGAAGGAAAATTCTCCCTAACTATGCTAGACAGTGATCGGGCTAAATGTTCATCAGGCTCAATCATTTTTTGGTGCAAAAATATACTGTCGATTTTTTGGCTCAGTAATAATCAAGCCTTGCCTTGTAGTTTATAAGGACTGGGTTTTCCTATGCATTTCTTAATAGTAATCTGTGAAATTAAGAAAAAGAGATCTTATTGACCTAATTTTACAGAAAGAGTATGTATCTAATAAGTGACAAAAATAGAACTAGAGAAACGAAGATTAATTTTTTTGCTTTTCATCATTTTGCCAAAGGGGCAGAAACACATGACACATTTCAGAGTTGTGCTTTCACTCATGTTCGAATCTATTCTTTTATATCATGGAATTTGTATTTCTTTCAATTTAAAATATTTTATTTTCTTTGCCTATTATAAGTGAAGAATTGGCTTAAACTTAAGATATCTGATATAGATTTCAGTCTTTCTCTAGTGTTCATGAAAATAAAGCCATTTAAACAAATGGCTATTCAAATTAAAAGATGTGATGGAAACTTCATCTTGTGTCATCATTTATTCCATCAGTTATCCAGTGTCTGCTACATGCCAGGCAATGGGGGAGGGACAAGTTAAATAAATCATAATGTCTATGGGGGGGATGGAAGGACACATCTAGAAAGCAGTGACCAGCCTTCAGAGTATTGAAATTGAAATGGCTGCATGATGTCAGAGGCTAGAGCATTCACTTTGAGATAAAGCGTTCATGAGGACTGTGGGAGGAGATGGCACTTGAGGTGTGTCATGAAAAAGGGGGATATATTTAAGGAGGGAGGTTAAGGAGAGGGTGTAACATCCACCAGAGGAAATGACTGTGCAATCCAGTGACCAAGAGAGGAGAGTAATCGATTGGAGGATGCATTGGAATGTTAAATGGGGCTTGATTCTAGAAGGCCTTGGTGCAATTCTAAAGCAAACGTTTATCATCCAATCAAATCTATTACCTTGAACTCAGTGGTTTAGTGAATTACACAGTTGTTTGTATCTGATTGTATATGACGTGGAACTTTCATGATATAAATTTACCTTCTGTCTTCACTTTTATGACTTCGTTAAAATCCATTCACTGATGAAATCTTATCCCATTATCTACATTAAATCTTATCCCATTATCTACATTAAATCTTATCCCATTGTCTACATTACACTTAAAGTTTAAGACATATTTTATTATTAATTCAAATAATATACTTTTGAAACCTTTATTATCTATATCTGTGATGACCTCAAAGTTCAAGTAGTGTTACATGGAAAATGTTAGTTTTATACTGTGCAAGACTTACTTTAATACAGGTTCACTCTTTGGATTCTGTTTGTAAAAGAGTAGAATTTAATTCAAGATTTCCTGTGGCTGGCTGGATTTAGAGAGCCACTCTCAGTACCCTTACAAGCCAGGCACTTTGCAGATACAAGGCTTTGAAACAAAGACTGAAACAAAGTGCAGTGGCTCTTTATATTTATATTTTACTTGTTTTATTGTTTTCATTGAGGAGGAATTTATTTATTAGCTTCCATTTATCATTAGAACACATTTCATTTTAGAGAAGCTCTGAGGTCTTAAAGCTAATATGGAATTACAGTTACTTTTTTTTTTTATTTTGAAGATCATATATGAAAGACAGTACATTTCATAGAAATGAAAGACAGATGCCTCTTCCTCTCTTTCTTTCTTTTCCTCCTTTGTACCAACCTCTGTGTTAATAGAAAATGCCTTGTGGTGTGGCCATGAGCATGGTGGTCTTGAGGAGCCCACGCTCCACTGAATGGATAAACAAACAACAGTGACACAGCATCAGGCTTAAGTCAGAGGTAGGATCACCGTCTGTGTAGACATATGTATGTGGTTTCTTCTTTCTGTCTATGTGGGTGCCTCATAGCAGAGTGTACGTGAATGTGGTTCTTAAATAAAATTATATGCACTGGGAGCTTAGGACTGAGGAAGAATATTCCAGCTAGATGGAATGGCAAAAATAAAGACATAGAACTACAAAGGTGAGTAGGTGGTAAGTTCAAGGGAAATGATAGGAGATGAACCTTGGAAGGCTGGTCTATGCCACACTACATGAGGTGATAACTGAGTTTGAATCACACCTGCTAGGCTGGGAACAGCATGGAAAATATTTAAGCAATGTTGAGACATGTTGAAATCTGTAAAATAGAAACATAATTACCATTTTGAGGGTGGGTTTGAGGGCCTAGAGGCTTATGTGATTTTCTCCTGCAGAGTTTTAGCTATGATAGCAGAGGAGGTGTTTTCTGCAGTATCTCTTGTGTCACAAAAAGTTCCTACCAGTGTATATTATTGTAAACTACTCAATACACATTTGTTCATTGGATGAATGATGCTACTTATCCCCCTACTCTTAATTAAAAGCTCAACTAGATAACTTTTTTAAAAGAAAAGAAAACGAAAGAAAGGAAGGAAAAAATAAGGTAAGAGAGAACTAAAAATTGGACTATAAGGCAGTGGAAATAGGTAATACAGAGTGTATTTGCAGAACTCAAAGATACATGGTTGTGAAGGAAGGAGAGGAGTTGTAATAGACTATTACTTTGACTCCAGTGAAACACACCTCTCAATTTTCATGCCCTTGTGTAGTGCCTTTCCTTGAATCTGAGCTTGGCCATGTGACAAGCGTTGGCCAATGAGACATTAGCAAGTGAGATGCAAGCAGAGGCTTGACAAATGCTTACATGTTAGAGATGGTCTTCTTGCTTGGAATACTTGTGGTTAGAGTGCACCATCTTGGAACAGCTGCCTTGCTGTTAGGAAGCCCGAGAAGTGATACAAAGAGATGCACATGAAGGAAAATGGAGATGCAGAGCTTACATTCCCATCTGTGCTCCCAGCCAGTCCCAGCGCTCAGGCCATTTTGTAACTTCCAACCATCCCCTCACCCCCACCATACCATACAAAACGCAAAAACTGCCCACTCACACCACAGAATTTTAAGAGAGCGTGATTGGTGGTTGTTGTTTTAAGTTGCTACACTTTAGGGTAGTCTGTTAACATAGCAAAGTATAACTTCAAAATGAATGGAGAATGGTTTTAATATATGCAGGTTAATTACTTGGTGGATTGTGATACCTTCATTTATCTTAGCTCAAAGTACAAGATAAGTAGTTTTGTTGCTAGTACACTAGACTGTGAATTCTTCGAAGAATGAATCTATATTTTTACTGCATTTTGGCAAATAGGTATTCGAAAATGTTTGCTGAATGTAATATTGAAAGCAAGCCATGCTCATGATGCTATGCCATTTAGCTGCTGCTAAACTGGTAACTCTCCATGTGGCTCTGCTTTTTATTTTTGCTTTTGGTTATCATGTACCCCTGTGACCCAACATACAGAATGGTAACAGGAGGTGTAAATACACACACACCCCACACAGACATATATACACCAAAAAAAGAACAGAAAATAAATGTTTGATGAAATGGAGACGGCTAGATCACAACACGTGGGAAAAATTAAGGTCTATGTCACCTGTGAAAAAACTGAAATTAATGAACAAATTTCTGTAACATAAGTCAGACATTCTTTCTATTAAATTTAAGCTAATTTATATAAAACACCATGTATGGGAACCCCCTATTCAAACACACAGCTTGTATACTTGGGTAAGAAAATGTGGGTTACCATTAGAATGAAAGGCAAATGATGTATTTGGAGATTAGTTATTACTTCCTTGTAAAAATGTGTAATTAAGCAATCCTGACCGGGCATGGTGGCTCATGCCTATAATCCCAGCATTTTGGGAGGCCGAGGTGGGCAGATCACTTGAGATCAGGAGTTCGAGACCAGCCTGACCAACATGGTGAAACCCCATCTCCACTAAAAATACAAAAATTAGCCGGGCATGGTGGCGCTCAACTGTAATCCCAGCTACTTGGGAGGCCGAGGCAGGAGAATTGCTTGAACCTGGGAGGCAGAGGTTGCAGTGAGCCGAGATAATGCCACTGCACTCTGGCCTGGGTGACAGAGTGAGACTGTCTCAAAATAATAATAATAATAATAATAATAATAATAATAATAATAATAATAATAATCCTAAAGAAGTTATGGTGCCCACATAGGTTAGCGTTAAGTGTATGTTAGATTTTCAAAGCTGTAAGTTACTCCTATGAAGTTATGCATAATTCTTACATCTTCATTGCTTCCAATTTGGTCAAGAAAGAAACCCTAGAATCTTGATCCTTCTGGAAGAAAAGGGAGAAAACAGGTAAAGTGGTAAAATTGGTTAGTGAAAGATAATGAAAGCCTTTAAGAAAAATTCTGAAACTGAAAGCAGCAGGGGGCAGTAGAACATTTTGAGTATGGAACACGGGGAGAAAGGGGACTGGTCAGTGGAGAAGGATGCTGGCATCTCTGAAGAAATGTTTTAGTTTTATTTTTAAATACACAAGACTATCTTTTGATCATTACGTTTCCTGTTTTCATGATCCTGCAAGCTAGGGATAGTCACCTGTGGTCAATATTAATATCAAATGAAACCTGTCCATTTAGAAAAGTAGCTTATGCTCCTTTCCCAACATCAGTATGTAGAATGTGCCCCTATGCATAATATATAGCAATTTATATTTTAATTCTCTTTTCTTCTTTTGTATAATTTGGCTTGAAAATCCTAAAATGTAGGGTAGAGGGACTCAAATTAGGAAGCTTGAGAATTACAAGCCAGGTAATCCATTGAGTATTAATTTTTCAATAGATTTATTTCCCGCGATTTGAGATCCTTATCCCACTGCATTTTCGTGTGCTTTTTTTGTTTTGTTTTGTTTTATCAAGTCAAAACAAACCAGTTTTTATTCATGGAGAAATCTTGCCTCTGTGCCTTTGCCTGGACTGTACTTTTACTTAGGATTTCCTTTCTTGTATATCCATGACTCCAAGTTATAATCAGTTCTTCAAAACTTATTTCAGATTCCAGATTATTGGTGACCACTTCTGGTATTTCCCCAACCAAAGAAAGCTGAATCCTTGCTTGCATTCTCCATAGCAGTATCCATGCACTTAATTATAGTACTTAATTTTCTATCTTAAAAAAATATATATAAATAAAATTTGTATTTTTCTTATAGGATTGTCAACTTCTTGAGTGCAGAAATTCATTTCTCTGATATACACAGCATCTACTACAGTTTCTTTCCTCCATTCCCTTCCTTTTTACCTACCTTCCTTCCTTCCTTCCTTCATTCCATGCCTCCATCCCTCCACCCGCTCTATTTCTTTCCCTCCCTCCCTCCCTTCCCTTCCCTCCCTTCCTCCCTCCCTCCCTCCCTCCCTCCCTCCTTCCTTCCTTCCTTCCTTCCTTCCTTCCTTCTTTCCCTGACTCCCTCTCTCCACCCCCTCTATTTCTTTTCCTTCCTTCCTTCCTTCCTTCCTTCCTTCCTTCCTTCCTTCCTTCCTTAAACTAAGGGTCTCCTTGTCACCCAGGCAGGAGTGCAGTGGCGCCATCATAGCTCACTGCTGCCTTGAATTCCTGGACTCAAGCCATCCTCCTGCCTCAGCCTCCCACGTGGCTGACACTGCAGGAGCACACCACCACACTCGGATAAATTCTTAATTTTTTTTCATAGAGGCAGGATCTCACTTTGCAGTCCAGGCTTGTCTCAAACTCCTGACTTCAAGTCCCTCCTTGGCCTGCTAAAGTATTGGGATTATAGGCATGAGCCACTGGGTTCAGCCAGTTTCTTATTCTTGTTAGACATTTGATTAATACTTGTTCAATCTATATATGCAGTTACTCTTTTTGAATCTTACCTATGCTGCATTAAGACATTCAAGACAATGGGGTGAAAGGACAGGAAACTAGTATTTAGTAAGTGCTTAAGTGTATACCAGGGACTCTAATTCTTTGCATCTGTTCTTTTAAAATCCTATTAGCAACTGTTTAAAATAGGTAATATTATGTCCATGCATTTAAGGACATGAATCTCACAGGCAGTAACTTGCCCAAGCTCACATGGATAGTGTGAGGCAGAACTGGGATTTGAGACCCACTGCCTGTCCCCTGACCACCTCCAAAGCCCATGTCGTTTTCACAACACAGCAGCTATTATCTATTTGGTGCTACACATTGCTTTAGGAACTGCTGATTCTACATTGAATAAAATACTCTACTGTCTTTGAAAGACTCACATGCCAGCAAGGAGGAGATTAATTATTATGATTTTTAGTGATAAGTGCTTTAAAAATGTCCTATGGCTACCAGGCCAGGGACCATTACCTGTGCCTGGCAAGAGACACGCTTCATGGAGAGGTGTAGCTTGGACTTGGGAAGTGATGGGGCCTTGAGGGATTAGCAGTTCACCAGGTAGAGATGCTAGAAAGGCCAAGGAAGGAGTCTACCATTCAGAAACGGGATGTCATAGCTCACTTGATCAGCTCATTGGCTGGGAATTTGTGTACATGGTAAAACGAGTGGAAAATGCCATCACCTCATTATGGAATCTCTGGAGTGCTCCAAAGTGCCAATAGGTAACCTGATGTATTAAATCACATGACAACAGAGGTTTATAGTATATAGATTAGATATCAGAGAAGTGATTTATACTGCAGTGGTAAGGTCAGACAGAAAATATAGGAGGGGAAACAACGTGGTATAGAAAGCATGAGCTTTGAAGTCAAATACATGAAGCTTTGAATCTCAGCTCTTGACACTTTTCAGCTACATGACCTTGAAAAGTAATCCAGTTGCTTTGAGTATCAGTCACTGCCTCTGTAAAATGGGGATATTAGCTACTTCAAAGACTCTTGGTGGGATTAGAGAAGGAATGGAATACTTAATAGAAGGTAGGTATTTAGTAAACAGAGGCTTATATATACCCTTAATTTTTGTACATATGGGTATACTTATAAAAATGTTGGTAAAGCAATGCTGTTTCAAAGATCCTATTTTAAATATATCAATATATGAAGTAATGTCAAGTTTCTAGTTGTACATATGTACATACAAACAAACATATATTTACCTTTATTCTAATTTAGTGACATTCTGATGCTAAAAGGACATGGAAAGTTCACATGCTTTTCATTTTCTTATACTTACTTGTATGAAAAAGACTATGTCATTCTTCATTGAGTCTTATTTTGGAGGTTTCGAGAATAAGTTTAATTTTATGCCATTCCTAAGGTATTTTAGGATTCTGTCATCAGATTCATCATTATTATCATAATTAATTCAAAATTATAAATGATATGATTCTCCTTGTTTGTAAACCAGTTTCCTTGGGTTTTAGATATGGTCAATTTAACAATGATACTGTTCCTGTTGTTGAAATAACGTTTGCCAAAAGTTATATTCTAGATATTCTTAAATTAAAAGAGTAATATTCTTATTGCAATAAAGTTATTTTTATGTATTTCACAAACAACTTTATTGAATATTGAAAGTTTTTAAATAAGAACACCAATTATAGCATTCTTTGCACTAAAATCCTCTAGAGGCTCAGATTTTTACTTTTAGTTTTAGAATAAAGCAGTGAAACCTCTTTCTGCTTTTAACAGATCTTTTTTTTTCTTTATCCACTCTCTTTTCTTCTTTTATAGCATCCCTTTTCACCAATTATTTTCATTTCTCTTATTTTTTTAACTTACAACTTTTTATTAGAGCTTTTCCTCTGTCTTCAAATATGCTTAAAATTCTTCTGTCCTCAAAAAATAAAAATAAAAAAGAAGCAACAAATAAAATCCTCTTTACTTGTGTAAGATCCTATTTCTCTCCTCTCTCTAGCTAGACATCTTGATATACTTAATTTGCTATATCTAATACCTGATCTTTAAATTAATTGATTAAAAATCTACTGTGATAACCTCAGTGTCCTTTACTGTACTACTAAAGCTCCTTCTACTAACAATCTTTGGTGACCTTCTAGTCTTTCTTTCTTTTTTTTTTTTTTTTTTTGAGATGGAGTCTTGCTCTTTCACCCAGGCTGGAGTGCAGTGGCGTTATCTCGGCTCACTGCAAGCTCCGCCTCCCGGGTTCATGCCATTCTCCTGCCTCAGCCTCCCGAGTAGCTGGGACTACAGGCGCCCACCACCACGCCTGGCTAATTTTTTGTATTTTTTTAGTAGAGACGGGGCTTCACCATGTTAGCCAGGATGATCTGGATCTCCTGACCTCGTGATCTGCCCGCCTCGGCCTCCCCAAGTGCTGGGATTACAGGCGTGAGCCACCGCGTCCGGCCCCTCTAGTCTCTTATCAGATCTGGTGGTTCTATCTTCATCAGCTACTTTGCACAAAATTTACCACCATCTCCTTCTCATACATCACTATTTCCTCAAATTTCTTTCTTACTCTTTTTTAATGTTTCTCATTGTACACATGCTTTCTGGACATTCTTGCTAATTTTCAGGTTTTTAACTTCCACCACGAGCTGCCAACACTAGAGTTTATATCTCTGTCTCTTTTTACTATCTGTACAAACCTGGATGAAACATTAGCAACTCAAATTTAGTCAGCAAAAAAACAATTATCTTTCTCTATGCAATCTTCTCTTTCATCCTGCCAAGACTTCGTTCCTTCTGTATTTCTTTGCAGTTCATAGCACCATCATAACCCGAGTTTCCTAGGGCACCAACCTGGATATCACACTGAGACTTTTCTCTTATCCCCACATTCAGTAAGCCTTCATCCCTGACAACTTTCCCTCTTAAGTATCTCTTCTTCTCCTGTCCTGTTCAGCATCGTCCCAGATTTGCCTTCTCTAGATTATTACATTGGTACTAAATGGACTTGCTGGCTAGAGGTATGTATGCTTCCTTTCAGTGACTTTGCCCCAATTGCTGCAGAGTGCTCTATCCTAAACCCACGCCCCTGCAGGTCTTTATTCTGGAAGCTCTTTCATATTATTTGGTCTCATTCTGTAACTGAATTTCAAGTAAGTTTCCACTCATAAATCTTTAAATGAAGGGAATGTGGCTATTATTATCTGTGTTCTGAGAGAGTTTATCACAGTATAGGTAATCCATAAATCCTTATGGATGAACTGAACTCAATTTTTTAAATTAGTTAATTAATTTATTTTCAGAGACAGGCTCTTATTCTCTTGCCCAGGCTGGAGTGTAGTGGTGCAATCATAGCTCATTATAGCTGTAAACTCTTGGGCTCAAGTGATCCTCCTGCCTCAGCCTTCCTAGTAGCTGGATTACAAGTTCATGTCACCACACTCAGCAAATTATTTTTTTAATTTTTTGTTGAAATGGATGTCTTACTATTTTGCCCAAGCTGGTCTCAAACTCTTGCCCTTATGCAATTCTCCCACCTTGGCCTCCCAAAGCACTGGAATTTTAGGCGTGGGCCATGGTGCCAGGCCTGAACTCAATATTTTATACCAAAATAATTTTGATTTAAAAAACGTATGTGTGGGAAAAGTTGGGAGCAATTAGAAAACAGTTTTAAACTTTGTATCTAATTTTAAAACCATGCTCTTAAAATAAGATTATCCCTCAAATATTTGTGTTCACAGGTAAATATTTTAGCAATAACTTTTGAAAAATGTGATGAAATAATGTTGAATTTCTTTACATTTTTGTGTTCGAAAGTCAGTGTTATAAATGAAAAATCACATAATCGATGTAACAAGTTATTATAGGATTTGCTACACAGTAGATGGTAATTCTGATTTTTATTTAATATAGATTGTTATGGAAATCTTTATAAAATTTTGCTACAAAAATGTTTACATATGTGACCTTACTGGAAGTGAATAGTACTACTTTGGTTTAAAAGTTTGTTCTTAAGAATAAGAACATTTTAGAGTTATAGAAAATAGTCCAGTCAATGATAATAGCTGTGTGTAACTATTCTAATTGAGAATGGATCATTCTTTATGGAAGATTTGGTAAATTATACAGAATATTGAGCCTTTATTGTTTGTAAAATTAATTTAATTTTGTTTGAAATATACTCTATTAAGCCACTATAAATGTGTATCCAATAAGCTATCTGAATTAGTATTCAGATGAAAATATATTGAATTTCTCAGGGCTTTCAATATCAGTTCTATTTCCGTGAGCATTTTAGCTTTCTAATACAAGAAATGCAATTTGAATTGTTTACTGCTGTAAGCCACTGGTTATTTTCAGACATAATGGAATAATGGTGTTTAGCCACAATGTGGTATTTTCTAAAAGCACTTGAAATATTTCATGAGTAAGATTAGCTAAAGAATTTAGTCTTGTTTTTTATGACCATGATAGTTTATGTCTGCAACCTGAGAAGTTTTTATTTTCAGAACAGTTTCTCAAGAGTTTTATTTTAAAGAAAATGAAACTTTTTCTTATAAGATCAGATATCAGGTTTCCACTAACTGTGTTAAATATTTCGCTTTAAGTTACAGTATGGAAAATTTGAGTTACTCAACCAACTCAACTAACTTAGGCATTTTATTGTGAACCAAGAGGAGAGGAGTGTGAGATAATTATAATCAAAAACTACCATAAATACATGATGTGATTGTAAATTTATTCTTTAGTGAAATACTGAGAACAGATTATTTTAGATTATCATTTTTAATTTATGTTCACAAAACATTTTAATGAATAATTCATATTGATAAAGTGTTATATATTTTGTAGTTATAAGTAAAATTAAAATATATATTAAAGAAAACATATGGCTGGGTGCAGTGGCTCATGCCTGTAATCCCAGCACTTTGGGAGGCTGAGGCAGGCAGATCGTGAGGTCAGAAGATCGAGACCATCCTGGCCAACATGGTGAAACCCCATATCTACTAAAAATACAAAAAAATTAGCGGGTTTGTTGGCGCGCATCTGTAGTCCCAGCTACTTGGGAGGCTGAGGCAGGGAAATGGCTTGAACCTGGGAGATGGAGGTTGCAGTGAGCTGAGATTGTGCCATTGCATTTCAGCCTGGCGATAGAGTGAGACTTTGTCTCAAAAAAAAAAAAAAAAAAAAAAGAAAGAAAAGAAAACATATTTTAGAGTAGGGCTTTTAATTGATATTTTAGTCCTTCTTTAAATGGCAAATATAAAATAGATTTTCTTGCTCTTATTATTTTATCCTAAAGTGATTTTCATGGAATTTTGTCTATAAGAAATTGAAATAAATTTTATGCTGTATAATTATGTCAGAATTTGACACAATAAAGATATTTTTCAGTTCTATGATTGGGTTAACTGTTTCTAGGCTTGAGGGAGAATTTTGCTTGTAAACCGTATTAATTTGGTAGATCGCATTCTACTGTAGTCTTGTCACATTTGTTGACTTTCTGTAAAAAGTGGCTGTATTAGTCTGTTTCTGCATTGCTATAAAGAAATACCTGAGACTTGGTAATTTATAAAAGAAAAGAGGTTTAATTGGCTCAGAGTTCTGCAAGCTGTAACAGAAGTATGGCACTAACATCTGATGGCTTTTGGTGAGGCCTCAGGAAGCTTACAGTCATAACAGAAGGCAAAGCTGGAGCAGGCACATCACGTGGTAAGAGCAGGAGGAAGAGAGAGGGAGGCAGATGCCGTATGTTTTTAAACAGCCAGCTCTCATGAGAAGTCAGAGCCAGAATCCACTCATCACCAAGGGGATGGTGCCAAGCCATTCATGAGGGACCCACCCCTGTCATCAAGTCAGCTCCCACTAGGTCCCACCTCCCACACTGGAGGTCACATTTCAATGTGAGATTTGGAGGCAGCCAACATCCAGACCACATGAGTGGCTTTCTGATTACTTTCTGCCTTCTTTTTTTCTTTTTTAGTATATCCACTTTACTGTTTGTATGTGTTAAAGCGGTGGTCCCCAACCTTTTTGGCACCAGGGACTGGTTTTTGGAAGACAGTTTTTCTATGGAATGGGTGGGGGATTGTTTTGGGATGAAACTGTTCTGCGCTAGATTCTCATAAGGAGTGTGCAACCTAGATCCCTCGCAAGCACAGTTGGCAAAAGGGTTTGTCCTCCTATGACGATCTTACGCGGCTGCTGATCTGAACACGAGGTGGCGCTCAGGCGGCAATGCTCACTTGCCTGCTGCTCACCTCCTCCTGGGCAACCCGCTCCTCACAGGCCATGGATCAGCACTGGTCCAGGCCCAGGGGTTGGGGACCCCTGTGTTAAAGTCATGTTCTTATAGCTATTTTTAAGGTTACAAAGATAAATATTTTTCATCTCTTATGACTGCAAATTGTATATCATAGTTAGATTGTTTCTCAATCCAGGAGCAATTAAATTTGTACATTAGGTAATAAGCATTTTTCTGCCAACCCCATATTAAGAATACATGGTAATAAAACAGGATGACACAGAGTAAAGTACCTGTTTCTGGTGTCAGAAACAACTGACATATTCCAGCTCTCTATTTTTTGCCTGTGTTATCTTGGGCAACTTTCTGAGTTTTAATTTTCTTATCTGTGAAATATAAACAATTAATGAAACGAGATAATGTTAAGATCTGATAAGGATTAGAAACACCAAATGATAGCAAAGTATGAACAACCTTCTTTCCCGCTTGGGAAACAGGTATTTCACAGTTTTAGAGGTTTATGTATATATACACATACACACACTTACTCAACGGTTTGATATATTGAGTAAATGTATCTGTAGCTATTTACTGAGTTCCTGATTGCCAGGCTCTGTTCTAGGTTTCTGAGATACATGACTTAATAAAACAAAACCTCTGTCCTTGTCGAGCTTAGTATTTTAGAAAGTGAATATTGTGGGTTTTCCTTTCATGTCATTAATATTTATTTTAAAGCATTCTAGCAGTATTGGCTGTCTATATTCTTGGCTCACAATATATTCATATTCCCATGAACTAATGGGAAGAAGAAAAAAATAGGACAGGATAAAAGTTAGTTGTTTTTCATATGAAAAGAGGTCTTATGACTTTATTTAAAAAGACAAACAATATAAGGGAAATTGAAAAAATGATGTTAACAGGTAATTCACAAAGAACTGCAGATGGTCAATAAATTCATGGAAAGCTGCCCAAACTTACTAGTAATTAGGGAAATAATAAAAGCAAATAAAACCATGGATACTCTTTTTTCCTGCATAAAATTAGCAGAAGGGAAAAATGTTAATAATGCCTAGTGTTGTTAAAGGTGTGGGGAATATAAGCACATTTCTACACAGGGATATGAATTGTAACTTTTTTGGAAAGCAATCTGTATTACCTGTAATAAAATAATTAATTATTATAATTAAAAATTATAAACATGTGATCATACCCAAGGTTCTGCATTTTTAGTCATCTATCTTAGAGAGATCAAAGTACCAATATATAAAAGTGTGTCTTCAATACTGTGTATATTATTATTTGAAATGACAAAAAGCTAGGAATAAAACCTTAGAGTTTCTCAATAAAGAGACATTTCAAGACAAAAGTACCAATATATGAAGTTTTGCCCAGAAGGCATAATGTTTTCATCCATGCTTGTGAGAACAAGGACTGCAAAACGTCATGAATATTCAACCACAACAGAGTAGTTCAACAAATTGTGATGAACTCAAAGTACACAGCATTAGGTAGATATTTCAAAGATAAACTAGAGTTGTTACCATTGACGTAGATGATAGATATCTGTGATATCTTAAGTGAGAAAAGCAAGTAGGCTTGTGATGTGCTTGTTATAATCCATTTGGTTTTAAATTTGAAGATACTTTATGAACATAGAGAAAGAAGGGGAAGAATGTGTATCAAATTGTAAATATTTATCACTTCAATGTGGAGGTTGTTGAAGGGAGAAGGGAAGGAACACTTGACTTTCTTCTGTCTGATTTATTTATTTTCTCATTGATAAAATTATCAGAAAGGAAAAAACATAAGAAAGTTAAAATTTCAAGCTGTTAAAAATGTTCTATTTAGGGTAGCATTGGCATATGTCTTACACTAAAGACAGTACAGAGTTCTGCTGGAACTCTTTACATTAGGTAGTAGATGTTTAGTAAATATTTCAGTCACTCATTAATTGAAATATATTGAGAATTCTATAGCCATGGGCTTTTAATACATACACACACATAATCTATGATACATTTATTGTGTATTCTATGTACTTATTACATATTAATTCATATTTATGATATTTTGAGGGCCATTACATCCACGGTACCTTTATCTATACATGATTTTCCTACTTACTTTGCAGTTTTATTTTCTTGGTAGTGATAGTGAGCCAGGCAGGGATAGTAATACTCCACAATAAAGTCACCTCCCTCTGGCCTCCTCCCAGATTCCAAAAATGTGAGCTAGGCAAAACATAAAGAACTTTATGCATTCATTCACTGCGTTATTCTAAGGTTTATTGCTTGCTAAGTCTTGTGGGAGGAAAAAATATTTATTCTAAGAGATTTATTCAAAGGTCTTTTACCTACAAGGAGTTTACACTTCTGCAGGTTATAAACATGTCAACAATTCTTTGGCACTTAATTTTTATTCTTCAGCCTAGATTAAGGTTTTTTTACATACTTATCAACTACTACACAAAAATCAAAACCCCTCCATTCTTAACTTTTAAATACGTCCTCAGTAAAGGAGACAAGACCAGAAATTATTTCACAGAAGATATTTACAAAAATTATAGCCAAGACATAGGAGACAATTTAGATATGCTACACTATAAAAATGGCTACCATGGGTATTTTGCTTGTTGGATCCCAGTATATTTGGTCTTTATTTTAGTTTAACAGGTCTCACATAAAGTCATCTACTAAAAACACTTCCATTCTTTAAGTCCAGAATTCTAAGTAGAAAAAGAAAGCATTCTGATTGATTCACAGAAATCTCTGTGAAAGTATTGCCTTTTATTATATTTATATATAAATATGTTTTATATATTTGTAGTGTATCTATATACTCATATGTGAGAAATATGATACCAGAAAAGCTACTATGAATTATTTTACCTATACATTAGTTGTTGGTATATTATGCATTTTTAATTTGTGAGTATATTTGGGTAGCATTATTATATTCCTGGCAGGGCTTGAGCTTTTTTTTTTTTTTTAATCTCCAGGGATTCTTCCTATTTTCTAATTCAGTTCGTTGTTCTTGGTTTATTGTGAACAAGGAAAGCAAATAATCAAGCTGGCTGAATTATGTTTAAAATAAGTATGAATAAACCCAGAAGGAGGACCTGCAGTATTCTATGTGTAAAACACATGGGATTAGTGGGAAAAAAATGTGTGAAATATTTTGACTGTTTGAAAGATTAAAAAAAAAAAAGTATCGTTTGGTTTACTTACTAGTTCACAGCCACGTTTTGAAGAGTTAAAGTTGTCAGATGGTTTGCTTCTGGATGCATGACATACATAGGAGAGTAATATCTCCTTGAGTTTATTAACATGCTACAATTCATGAGACTTTTTCCCCACATACCTGTTTGTTACGCAGTATTAATGATGACATGGTATATTTACATTTAATTTATATAGACAAAAATGCTTCATTGTTGAACTCATATTTGTTAAAATGAAAGGAAAGAAAAAAAAACAAAACTGAGACTTCAATTTCATGTATTTTAAGGTACCAAAGCATTCAATCTTTAAGTAATAAGAATTACAGTAAGACCCTACAGCATAGCAAATTCCACAGGCAGTTTATTGAAATACATTCAATTATCTGAAACTTCTGTAGTCCTTAGAAGGCACTGTGAGAATCAGAGGTGCATTAGCTGCAGTTTCAGTCAGACCTGAGTTTGAATCATTGCTCTTTTATTAGGTTCTCTAAAATGAGTTATCTAAGGCTGAACCTCAGATTCTATGTCTGTAAAATGGGATTTAAGTACTGTACTTCTAAGTTTGTTATGAGGAATAAATGATCCTTGTCAAGTACCTCTAGCCTAGGCCTAGGGCTTGTTCCTGTCAGTAACTGGTGGTTTCGTGCTTAGTTATCATATGCCAAAATTGTGTGTAATGAGTTACTACTACAAAGGCCAAAGCTTGACCCTGGCTGTAAGAATGCATTTTTCAAAATCATTAAAAAAAATTCTCATTAGAGGATAAAAGAACAAATACTGAGAGAATCCTAAAGAATCTACGTCTTCTTGTTGTGACTGATTCTCAAGCAAAGGAAAAGGAATTTTAAATAAAGGATTTCTGTTGGATTTCTAGCCTTATAGAAGAAACATTTTCCAAAATGCTGATATGTTTTAATTTAATGATGTGCTATTTGGGGTCCATTTTTTGTACATTCATCATGATTCTAAAACTGAGTTTGGATGAAAAGCATGTAGTGCTTGCCTTGTTCTTACATCAGAAGAATTTTTTCTTTTGTCCATTTTATGCTTGTTTCCAAAGGCTTAAAATGAAAGCTTTGTTTCTGCAATAATGGCTTAGTGTAGGCTTACATTGTTGATCCCCTCAGTAGATGCAATGTAATCCACTTTGGTAATGTGAATTTTTAAACAATCATCGGCCTCTGCCATTAACCCTTCTCTGCTAATGATAATACTCTACAAAAACTACAAAGAAGCTCGGGCCTAGCTTAACATTAGACTTGGAGCGCACTTAGCTGAATTTGCATTTCTTATTTTAGCAGCAGTGAATTGCTGAGCATATGTTGAACTTCATCAATACCAAAAGTAGAATAGGTGATTGTGAAACTAATGTTCAAGTGCAAGCATTCAAACACAAACACGGGAAACTAGAAGAAAATAATGATGAAACGAATTAAAAGTGCTTTCCAGTCCAAAATTCCCCTTGAAGGGGCTTCGGCTGCTGTTGCTTTTTGCAATATTTTTTAACTTGACCTGTTGCTTTGCCTAGTTCATTGTAGTGCAAATGTCTCAAATAAAGCTGTACATGAGTCATTTTTTTTTCCTTCTCAGTTCAGGCTACTTGGATAATAGCTCACTTTGAACACAAGCATGGGAACCTATTGAATGTTTCCTGCATAAAGCCTACAGAGCTTTGCTCAGTAACTTGACATGTTTCTTTAGGAGAGAGAAATGGTAAATTAGCTAAGAGTGATTTTATTCCATGACTTATTTCCGAACTAACTTTGAGAACACATTTCCACTTAGTGTTTGGATTCCACTCTGGGGACTTAGAACTAAGGCTTCTTACGTATGGTTAAGTAATATATATGGTGGACGACTAAGTTAAGATGTTCCTTAGAGACTTATAGACATTTAAAGCTTTACCTAAAGTAGAGAGGACTTTACTGCAACTCCTATTGAAGCTGCAGTACTGTATGCCTTCAGGGCTGTGGATTTAATAAACAAAAGATCTGTCACCAAGCTTGGTTCACAGTAGGGGGTAGATGTAATTATATACTTTAAAGGGGAAAAGACTGTTGTTATTATTTTACATTTATTGAGTGCCAACATTTTGCAATGTGCTGTACCTAACATAGAATTAGATACAGTCCTTGCCCAGTGGACTATCTATTTAAATTAGACACAATCTAAATATTTCTCTTAAGTAGTTCCTGTGTTTTCAAATTTGTTACCCAGTGCATTGTATGAGTGTACAAAAGTATTATTGTACTTGCAAATGTTATTTAAAAGTATAAAGACTTTTAAAGACAGGTGGTGAAATAAGATGTGATTATTAGACTATAAAATCGCCCATGTTTTTCAGGTCTCTTCCTTTAACAATTATTATAAAACTAAATTTGAAATGAAAAGCAGGAAAAATATTAAATTTAGAAAATGATGGATGCATCATATTGATTTTTACTTTGAAAAAAATGGCAGTGTAACAATAATAGCACTTGTTTCTTGCTTAACTAGGTTTGGAATTATATTTATTTGTGTGGCTTTTAAGTAATTCCAGTATGGAATTCCACAAGGGTCAAGATCACATTTTCTAGAAGAGTACATTGCACCTAATAGGCATTCAGTAAAAACTGTTAAAGGAATGAATGAAATGAGTTTGCAAATATATTTCCATCTTAGTTATCGTTTTCTCAGGACTCTTCTGATTTTAGAGTCAGAGGAGGCAGTGCTGGACTGGCTTTGGGCCAGCACTAAAAAACAAAACAAAAAAAAAACAAAAACCATAACATCCCCAAACCAAAACACCTTCCTGGGAGTATCTTTGAATAGCCCTGGTTTGGAATGCATTCTTTCTAATAAAGATGTTTCTTGTCTCTCAGCAAGAAAAAGCATGACTACCCAGCAGATCTCCGACGCCCGTGAGAGTCCTTAGAGCTGTCCTGATCCTCATCAGTGATCAAAGGATCTTTTCACACTGGATTCCTGGTTTCCAGGGATGTAGTCACTGTACAGTGTAGTCAGTTTACTGGTCTGGTGTGTAGTCACACACAATTCTTACCATCTCTATTATAAGTCAGGCTGATATTAGGGGAAAATCTACAGATAAACATGAAGAAGAATCTATAAGTTGGTATATTTATGTATGTGTCCTGGATATTGTGACTATTTTATACCAACTGCTATATTCCCAGCCCCAACATTCTCATTCAGTTTCTTCTTGGTCTTAACAGCGCACGTCAGTTCCCAGTTGCATGACTATAGCTATTCATTTAGCAGACAGAAACAAGGATCCTTGGTGTCATGGTGGAATCACTCAGCTTTCAGTTTGACTCTCTGGACTCCCATTTACACTGTGTTATCTAAGTTATTCAACTTATTCTGAGCCCCAGCCTCCTTAGATGTAAAATGCAGGAAACAATTGTACTGAACTTGTCTTCTGTTTGCTTATCACATACTCACTGTTCTCCCTGCCTCTTGTCTAAGATTGTGTTCCAGAAATGCATTTGTCATGTTCTCGTCACTGAATCTGATAGTCTCTTCAGCCACTTCCCTTTCCTTATCCCCACTACTCCCTTTACTCATCCCTGTTTTGTCACTTAATGGAAGGATTTTCCTGGACAGTTTTAAGCTCCTTTCACTCTCCCCTCCTCCTTCACTAATATCACAAAGGGGTTAAGTGTTAACTATTACATTTTTGTACAGGATGTACAGATCTGCATAGCCCACTCCAACTTCTATCTCAAGCTTTACGCCTTTCATCTCCAACTCTGTGCTAGAAAGGTTCATCCTTCTGTTTTTGAGACAACTCCATCAAACACATAAAAGCTAAATTTAGGCCAGGTGCAGTGGCCCATGCCTGTAATCCCAGCACTTTGGGAGGTTGAGGCAAGCAGATCACTTGAGGCCAGGAATTCAAGACCAGCCTGGCCAACGTGGTGAAATCCTGTCTCTGCTAAAAATTAGCCAGATGTGGTGGTGTGCACCTGTAATCCAGCTACTTGAAAGGGAGGCGGAGGTTGTAGTGAGACTAGATTGCGCCACTGCACTGTAGCCTGGGCGACAGAGCAAGACTCTGTCTCAAAAAACAAAACAAAACAAAACAAAAAAAACTAAAGCTAAATTTACCAGCTCTCCTCCAAACCAATGTCTTCTCTTGCTTTTGCTGTTTCTGTTAATGATCCCAAATTTCTCCAAAGAAGCCCAGGCTACACATCACTCAGTCATTGGATAGTCAATTGCCAAAATTCTGCAGATTTTCCCACCACACTATCTTTCGTATTTGCCACTTCTCTTGTTTCCTCTGTGGCTGGCCCTCACTAACGCTTGGCTCCCCTGCTAGCAGGAAAATCTTCAGGGGCTACACCATTTCTAAGTCTTAAGTAAAAATAGGAGTATATGAGTAAAGAAGGAGCCATAAAATTCAAGCTGGTGTGTAGGACCCCAGTGACTAGCTTCTGACCCAGTGGCCAAGAGACCTAAACACATAAAGGTCACTTCCTGACTCTAGAGCTCAATGAGGCTGCAGAAATGAGATGCCTTTCTGAGAGAATCCAGGAGAAGTACTGTGTAATACTGGTTCACTGCATTGGAACCATGCGGGAAAATTCATAAAGCATGAAATGCGTGGGAGCAAATGCCTCTTTGTGTTCCTAGTTAGTGCCACTTTACGTTAGACCTTACCGCCTCATGCCCAGATTTTTTCTATTAGTCACTTTCATTTTGCATTCTCTCTCCCTACAAATTATCTGCCAGAATCATTTTTATTCAAATCTGATTCCTAAACTCATGTTTAAACTTTATCAGTGGCTTGATCCATCTGAAGGGACAGTGGTTCTCAAGTGTGGCTTTGGGACCGGTAGTGTGAACATCATCTGGGAATTGTTAGAAATGCAGACTCTCTGGCCCAGACCAGATCTGCTAAATAAGAATCTGGAGGGGTGGGGTCCTCCAGTTAATTCTGAGGCACTAACAACTCGTTGAAAGCCAGTGCTTTAGCTAAGATAGTTATAAACATAGCTGGGCTTTCAGCATCCTACTCAGTACAGGCCAGCCAGATTCCAGACTTGTATTTCCTGCTTTCCTCTATCACCAGAACCTCCATTTCATATGTGAACCTCCAAATCTCAGACAGGTTTCAGTCAATTTAAGAAGTGTATTTTGCCAAAGTTAACTACATGCACCCATGACACAACTTCAGGAGATTCTGATGACATGTGCCCAAGGTGGTTGGAGCACAGCTTGGCTTTAGACATTTTAGGGAGACATGAGACATCAGTCAACACATGTAAGATGAACATTGATTCGGTCCAGAAACGCAGGACAACTTGAAGTAGAAGAGGGACAACTCGAAGTGGGGAGGGGTCATCAAGGTCATAGGTAGATAAGAGACAAATGGTTGTCTTGAGGCCCCCAAATTTATTTTCCTTTCACTCATAATTTAGCCCTTTGTGAATGCAGGCTCCTCTGTGCTTATCAGGTTTTTCATAATTTTGAGTTTTTTTCTTTTGCTTCTTTAGTCCAGCCATTTTTTCAAGTCTGTGTTTATGCCTCACTTCCATGAATCTCTTCTGAAGTGAAATCCTATAGTATTTATACAATAGCAATACTATTTAAGAGTGGTCATGCATTATTCCCTTTGATCATTATACTTTATGTCTTATGCCCCAAAATAAGCTCTAGGGAAAGAAAGTCAGTGTCTCTGCCCCATTTTAATTCCCCGCAGTGTCTAGCACAGGACTTCTTTATAGGTTTCGGTGATGAATTTCAGGACTACAGAGACTAATGGTATTGAACACTCTGGGCTCTTTATTACTCCATGTCAATACAACTTCACCTTCTAACCACCAGCTCTTAGGGACACTGTTTGTAAAAGGAGTCTTCTACATCAGTGGATTAGTTGAGTACCATTTTAAAAATGCTTCAGAGTTTGCAAAGTACTTTCATAGAAATATGTCATTAGATCCTCATCACAACCCTGTCATAAAAGTGTTTTTATTATCTCCATTTTGCAGACAAAGGAACTAAAACCGGTCATGTTTAAAAGTACTGCTGTCTGTGTGAGAGTGGAAAGACTATGGAGGTTAGAGCAGGAATCTCCTATCTAGGCAAAGATAGTAAAAATTTCAGTTCCTTTTGTAAATAATTTCAGCTAAAAAATGTATTGTAACCTTGGATATGCAGGGTATTTATTCGTATCAAGACTCTGATATCTTGCTTTCCAGGCAAAAGTAAAACCAACCTTTTCAGTTAACTGTAGTTGAAGAGAAAAGAGTGGATTCTGTCTTTGGATGAGGATATTAACATTTAAAGGATTGGAAACAATGATCAGAATAAATGTTTATATGTGCACACATGTATACTTACAATTAATGGCAGAGCTTTAAATTGAATTGAAATCAATTTATTGAATGAATCATATTCAAAATACTTTATAAGAAATTTTATCATTAAGGCAAATACACATGGATATCAGTCTAAATCTGATCTTTTTTTTTTCCCCTGAGATTTTCCACAAGGGAAGTGGAGGAAGAAAACAGTAGAATATAACATATACAATACCGGCCTCCAGCCACAGTGCTACTTCCCTTAACCGTCTAAGGAAAATAAATATATATTATGTTCCAGTTCAGTTATCTGTAGCCTGTAGTTAGAGATAGAAAACATATCAGATTGGGCAGAGTCTAAGATTGGCTGGCATAGGAAAAAACAGAAACTTGTATAAGCTAAATCAAGTTATGTCACTCGAACTACCATAAAATAGTTTGTTTCTGATTTTTCCTCTTTAATTATCCCCATGTGCCTTGCACAGTATATTGCATATAGAATGTGTTCAGTTTGTACTTACAAAATTATTTGATGTATACCTAAAACAATATTTTAAATTTGGAAGTTCATAACATGATCCTGAAGGCACTTTGGACAATTTTTGATTAATGACAACTAAAACTTTTCAAGGCAGACCACTAAACACTTAAAAGCGGGGAAGAAACAATAAGATTGTGAACACTTGCGGGGTAAAATCAAAAAGCAAGTCAAGAGCATAGGGGTGGCGAAACAGAGCTTGCTGAAGGGTAAGGCTAGCCAGTCATCACAGCACGAGCAAACCAGACTGAGGACTGAATCATGTGACACTTGAGATCCTTGCGATAGAGTCTTTGGAGCCTGGGCATGACACAACCAGCTTGCTATGTTGACAACCCCAGTGCATTGAGACAATGTATTGGTGAGGTGCTGATGTTGTATTGGTGAGGTGCTGATGTTGTATTGGTGAGGTGCTGATGTTGTATTGGTGAGGTGCTGATGTTGTATTGGTGAGGTGCTGCTCACCCCGACCAGGCCATTTCCCTGCTCTCTTTGCCATTGGTGTTAAAGCAGAGGAAGTGATTATAGAGATATCCTTTTAAAATTCTTCCTTAAAGTAACGGAATGATGTAACCAAAGGGCAGAAACCTGCAAGTCCCAAATCATTCCTGAAAATGGAATCAGGAATTGAAAAGACATGGGAAAGAGATCTGTTGTACAGCGTGATGACTATAGTTGATGACAATAAATAATTTTCTTGAAAAATGCAAAGACGGTGGATATTGCATTCTCATCACAGAATAACTATGTGATGTAGTTCGTGCTTTTGTTAACTAGCTAAATTTAACCATTCCATAATATATATACTTCAAAACATCATGTTGTAAATGATAAACATATGCAGTCTTATACAAAGGACACAAAGGAACTGTTGAAGCTGGTGAATATGTTCACTACTTTGATTGTGGTGATGGTAAACACAGATGTATGCATATGTCCAAATTCCCCAAATGTGCATCAGATTGGTGCAAAAGTGCCACTTTTAATGGCAAAAACTGCAATTATTTTTGCATCACCTAATACGTTAATTATATTTTGCTTTTTGGTCTAGTTTTCAACTATATCTTAATAAAGCTGGAAAAGAAAAGCCATAGGAAGTCAGGCAGGCTTTTTCTCACCCTCAGCTCCTCTTCCTCCTTCTCTCCCTTTCCTTTTTGCTTTCTCTTTTCTTCCTCTCCCTCCTAAGCTCTTTTTCCCTCCTACTTTCTCACCCCTCTAACCCTGTCCTTCCTCTGCTTTTTTCTACCCTCATCTTATCTTTCGCCATATACAAAATCAAGCAATGGTGGAAGATGGCTTTCAAACTGCTCTCAAGTTGATCTTACTTCTGCTCAAGGGAACAGCCTAAACCCAGTAAGAATACTCAGAAAAATGTTCTTGGAGAAAAATATCTCTGGGACAGCTTTAGTTTGGTGACCAACTCTGAGCCACTCACCTGTGGCCAATGGCAAGATTAGTAGTAAATGCAAACTCACCACAACATGTTGTAGAAGGTCAGGGGTAGGGTGGGGGTGGGGGGTGGGAATAATCTTAAAAAAAAAAAAAAAGAATAGAAAGTAGAAAAAGCCTAGGCTTAATAAATGCCCTGGAAAATACCTGCAACATTAACAAGTGCCTTAGAAAATACCTACACCATTCATTCTTATATTCTTACAAATTTTTACATCAGATTACCAAAAGAGAGCATACCTAACGCATGTACTTATTTTAAAGCACTGCTTTTATATAAGTATGATAAAATATTTTGCCCTAACTTCATCAAAGTTTGTTTTCAGAAACAGCCCTATCTAGAACATTTGAATTTTGTTTTTGCTAGAAAGGACACCATTCCTTCATCATACTGTTTGGTATCTTTCATATAAATCTCAAAACAATAAATACCTCTCTGAGTTCAAAGCTAGGAAAGAAAAACTCTTGATGAGCTATTGTTTCTTTTTTTATAGTTGACCATAATTTTATACATGCAATGTGACCAATAAATATTTGCTTTGTGGTGGAATACAGTGATGAAAGAAATATACTTTATTTAGCCCTTTCTCTGGCAGCCAAAAATTTAGTGCTTGGTTTTGTGTTAAATGGCAGTGGCTTTTCTTAGTTAAGTGTTTCTAGTATATTCTTGTTCACCCCGATTTACTATTTTAATGCTCTTTTATGATTTTACTCTGTCTGTGCCCTTAAAAAATCTGTTTTGGAAGATGCTGGAGTATAAATAGCATAGAAAGTGAACTGCATATTCTGACATTTACAGTTCTAAGGATAATTCTATTTTAAGGATGATTCTGTCTGCAAGTAAAGTTATTAGCTATCTATATACTATATGTTTTAGACAAATTTTGATTGTCATATACCTTTTCTCAGACTCTATCTACTGTGTCTTGTTTATTGTTGTTGTTGTTTTTCTTCCCATAAAACCATGTCTCTTTTACACAAGAATGTGTAATGACTCAGTCTGACTTAGTTTATTATTAAACTGATGTTTCAAAGGGCATTTGATTCTTCTGAACCCTTCCATAGGCCCTAAATTTTCTTAATTGTACCAAATCCCATATGGATTTCTATACCCCAGAAAGTATGGCTACCCGTCTTGCTCATTTCCAACTTTGTGCTTTTATTTTTTCTGGTTCTTGTTGCATGTGCTTGCATTTTTTCCTTGGGTTTTCAACTACTCCACTTCTGCCTTGTCTTTCAAAGCCTGGCTTAAGACTAACCTCTTTTAGTAAGACTTACTTAATGAACTCTAAGTGACTCTTATTCTGAGTCTTCTTGGAATTATCTACTCAGTTTTTGTTCTATTAATTTGCCCTTATTTGTTTGACATGTTGAAAGCATTCTGAAACCTTTTTTTTTTTTTTTTTTTTTTTAAGTACATGAATGAGTTCTGGCTCCAGTTAGAAAATTTGATAATTGTTTCTTAGAATGTGTCTTCTTTTCCTTTTTTTATTTTCCCCAAACCACAGAGTTTAATGTGCTCATTAAATAATATTGGCTCCCTAATTCTTAGAAAGCATAGAATATTGATTATGTTTGTCATAGCAAACATTTTATTAGGAAATAACAAGATAATTATTTTTGTAAAATTTAAATTTCATCTTAAAACGGTGAAACTCATTTTTGTTGTAGTTATACATTAAAGCATCCCAAACAGTAGGTTTCTAAGCCAGTTTCTTTGTTTTCCCTCCTATTATTCATATTCTTTCCAGATTGAGGCATATGGCTTTAATTATCAAGTATATGCTGAGGATATGCAGAGCTACAGCTTTTTTCCTGACTTTTCTAATGAAGCCAGTTCCTAACAGCAACATTTGCCAGAATATTTTGTTGTATTATGACATTAAACATGGGCCAGCAGAGGTCTGGCTAATTGAGAATGATACCTTTCCCCTTCCAACTGCTTATTTACTTTCCACGAAGCTAATTTAGTTCAGTTATAAAATCAAACCTCATAATACAGTGTAAATGAGTTTGTTCACATAATATCAATTGCTAGGATGGGGAAAATCCTAAAAATAAATAAACAAAAATTCCAAAAAAGTTATTTTAGAAAAATTAATAAATGCAGCTTTGTTGCTTTTATTTACTACCTGCAAGACTGGAAATGACATAGAGTAATTGTTTTTCTTCCTTCTTTTAATAATTGGCAAGCATTATTTGTAATTAGTGGGTAAATTGCTTATAGGCAAAGACTTGCTAAAGAGCTTTAAAATCATAATTTTATTTCATTTCACTGGAAAATAGAATTATTTCTTATGTGAAGTGATAAAATGTTTTAAACTTTTATAACCAAATTAAGTAATAAATATTATAGATATATTTTATACTTACGATGTATGAAAACTTGAAGCCATGTGCACTTGCCACCACTGCCCATTCCATTAATTATCATCATCCATCTCCTTTGAATTATGGGACTCTGATTTCTGTCAAAGCAGAACCTGTGTTGCCTATTTCATACATGTTGGAAATCTAAATGTTGTTTGCAAATTTGGACTTTTGAATTTTGCTCTAATGGCTGCATACTAATTTTATGAACAATGCCAATGACTATATGGAACATGATGCCTTTGGCTTTTAGAGCATATTCTACATCAATAAGTTACGCAATGGGAGAGTCAACAGGACTCCTGAGAATGCAGTGGCCATCAAAGTGTGTTTTAGGGAACGTAAGAGTTTCTTAGAACTACCCTACAAGGTTTCTGGGAGAAGAAGAAGGTTATTGGTCAAGTTAGAATGTCCATTTCAGTTCTTTGAATGTTTTTAAACAAAATGCAGATTCAAATTGTAAGTAAATTTTGAATACCACTGAGTTCAAAAGCTTCTTTCGTAGATAAGAAATTATTCAAACAAGTAATTTGATGAATGACACATAGGAATATTTTGCTAAGGCTTGAATTTGAACCAGTACTATAAATTCTTAGAGGATTTATCTTTCATTGCAAGTTGAATAAAATTCGCTCCATAAAGATGTGGAATCTATTTTGATATTTTAATGTTAAACAAATAATTAGTTTTTGAATTTAAAAGGTGGAAAAGTACCAAACTCCTAAAATTTGCTATAAGGTTCAAAAATGTTAGTTAATGTACTCCATATTGTGTTTGTAGATTTTCTAATTTGTAGTCTTTATCTAGCTCTAATTGCCAGTTTTGCTGCAATAAAAACAATAGAATAAGAGGTTTACAATTTGAAAAAAAAAATTATATTTGAAAATTGAGTTTGGGTATGTGGGACTTCAAGAAAAATATTTTTAAAACGTTATTAGATTTTACTTATGTCCTAAGCACTCCACTGTATATTGTGGATTTAAAAATGGAGTCAAATAAGGACTCCACAATTAAAGAATTCAGAATTCAACAGAAGTGACAATCTAAATATAAACTGTGGTATGATGGTGATGCTATTGTAATGGATAAGTGACTTTGAGCTGGGCCTTGAACTGAAAATGAGAATGTTCCAAAATAAATGTGTGTATGTACATGTGTGCACACATGTGCACATGTCTGTGTGTCTGCATGTGGGAGCGTGGAAAGTGGGGAGAGAAGAGAAAGGCAGAAGAATGACAGAGAGACAGAGATATTAATTCATGGTGATGTTAATCAAGTTATGGAAGCTGGAGAATAGGACAGAATATGGGGACATTTGTGTCACAGATATCTTCAGCTAACGAATGTCCACTAGATAGAAGATAGCTTAGCATTCAGGCAAGTAGTTAAGGCTGGGGATAGTTACCTGTTTATTCATTCATTCACTATATATTATAGGGTATTAACTGTGCCTCAGGCATTGTAATAGGAACAATATTAGGGAAGGAAATACGTAGATGAAATGACATGGACTATTTCTCCAGGAAATTTACAGTCCATCAAGGAGACAAATATAAATAAACATTATAACTTAATTATTATAATAAGATGATTATATTAGAATAATTAGATGAAATAAGATGTATAATTAAAATATATGATTTATAATCATGTTAGAATAACTTTAATTTTTATAATTCTAAATACCTCATTCTTATTAAATAAGGAGAATTGTTTTACCACAGGTGTTTGTTGAGAGTGTTTATTCCATAAGAGAAGATCAATGTATGTATACTATCTAGAAGTCTTCACAAAGAAGGTAGCATTTGTGTAAGGATTGACAGATGATGTTGGAAGTCACTGCTAGCATACTAGTAAAATCATAGGACTAGAGTCTATTTAAATATACCAGTTAAGCATATATTTGGATTGGAAAGTGGATTTTGCTCACATCTCTCAAAGTTAGGCTTTGAATCCTTGATAGCAAATGCCCCTCTGGGTAACAGTCTAAGCTGATTTGATCATACATGTCCATGATGTTTGATGTTTTCATGGCACTGAAAATAATCAGACAGGTTCTAATAATTTGCTGAGGAATAATATGCTAGCATCATAACCAGCCTCACCAGTTGATGATAGTTTTTCATTGTATCTCAACCATCCTGAGAAGTACCATGGGCTAGTTTTCTGAGGCCTTTTTCTGCTCTCATGAGGGTTTTCTTGACCTGCGTGCTCTTTTCATGGCTTTTCCAAATTCTTTGGCTATCCTAATTTTATCATTTTTTATTTTCTTCTTTGCCTCTTTTATTTCCTTTTTCTTTAGGTTTTCATTCCATTTTCTTATTGTTTTCCCATGTAAACCTTACACCATAGCACTGTATTACATACTTTCTCATTTTACACTTCCCTTACCACAAATTTGGCAGTGTTGATTGTGCAAATCTAGCTGAATGATCAATTTATTCTGTGGTTTTTTTTCTTTATCAACTGGTATGTAGATTTTTCTTTTCAACTAGTTTAGAATAAATCAATATTCCAGGAGGCAACATGGCTCAAATTAGAAGGTCCCACCAAACTCCTTTCCTGCATATAACTTATTGTTGGTTTAAGATCTCCAAACACCACTGAAATCTTAAATGTAACTGTGCAAAGTATGAAATAAAAGTAGTGTATTAGGTGATAATGATGTGGTCGGTGTTAGACTAGCACTATTGTGAATTACTCCTCACTATAACACAACATCAGTTTTGGATTTTGAAAAATTAGTTATTTTTCATTTGAGTGGTATCTTAGAAGTTTAGAGAGTTATAACTTATGATTCATAGCATGTTTGCAAGGAAAAATGAATTAATAGTTTTAAAGCATTTGGAAAGCATGAAGTGTCAAATACATAATAATTACATACTCTCAGAAGATAGATATTTATGTTTGTTAGCATATACACACCAATTCTAATTTCTCACAGTTGGTTTTGTGGATTCTTTGATTTGGGAATGGTATTTTTTTTCCTATTTCCAGAAAATTGACAACATGGGGGGAACATGGATAGTATTAATTCATACCACAAGTAAATCATTTAGAATTTAAGTGTCAAGTCATGGTCTTACAGAGTTAGAAAAATCTTGCAGATCATATACTTCATTACTTGTTAAGGAAAGAGACATCCTAATATATAGATAAATTCATTAAGTGGCTTAGCCAAAACTGGTTCCCATGCTTATGTTAAAATTGGGTCTTTAATTGCAGTTCTCTTCAAAGTAAGCCTGTAAGAAAGTCAGAAAATAAACCAACAGACAAATATTCCGTAGACAACTAAATTTCCGTATCTAACAAAACTCAGCTTTTTATTGAGGAAGGACACATGACTGTGTTGTAAAGTGATTCTGCAAATTTGCCAAAAGCATTAGAGGAAATGTCCTGTTGTTATGCAGTCTCTTTTATGATACTAGACATGCCTTTTTGAATTTTCAGTAAATTTCATAAAGATTTCTATGAATTCACATAGGAAAAAACAGAGAAATAAATTATGATGGCATAGGAAAATATTGATGCTATCTGGAGGTAAAAGAAATTTACATCAGAAAAACACATTTCCAATACATTTTCCAATTATTGCTATGAAGTGATATTCGTTTACAAAAGAAGTGTTATTGATTGATCTTCAGGAGTAAACTAGTGCAACAGTCTATAAGAATGTTGCATTCTCCCTGAGAAAAGGAAATTTTGTGTCCATATTGTTACTATAATTTTCAAAATCTATTTTGCTAAATACATTTGTTTTCAAATAGTAATTACAGATAATTATAGCTAACATTTCTTTAATACTGTGATGTCAGTCACTGTACTAAGGGATTTTCATGAGTTTGCTCACTAATATTTTCTTACATCAATCTTTGCCACTAGATTTTTTAAATAAGAGCTTTCTTGAAGTATAATTCAAATGCCATAAAATTCAGCCTTTTAGAGTATGTAACTCGGTGGTTTTATTATATTCATAGAGTTGTGTAACCATCACCCCATCTCACTTTTGAATATTTGCATTATCTAACAAAAGAATCCCAGTACCCATTGCCAGTCACTTTTTACTCTTCTGACTCCTCCTGGCAACCATTTTCTGTCTCCATGTATTTGCCAATTCTGGATACTTTATGTCATTGAAATTGCACAATATGTGGCCTTTTGTGAATGGCTTCTTTCACTTAGCAAATATTTTCAATGTTCTTTCATGGTTTAGCATATATTGGTAAGTTATTCCTTTTTACTGCAGAATAATATTTCATTGCATGGATATGCCTTACTTTGTTTATCCATTCACCAGTTAATGATCATTTGGGTTGTTTCCTCTTTTTAGCTGTCGTGAATTATGCTGCTATGAGCAGTCATGTTGAACTTTTGTGTAGAAGCAATTGTTTCCAATTCTCTTGTGTATATACCTGGAAGTGTTACTTATTTCCTTTCCAATCTGGATGTCATATATATGTGTGTTTGTACACACACATACACACACACACCCACACTTTTGCCTAATTGCCCTGGCAAGAACAGAACTTTTAGTAAAATGTGCAAGTGAAGTGGAGAGAGCAGATACCCGTGTTTTATTCCTGTTCTTTGGGGAGGACTATTTTTCATAGACACCAGGATCATGAGCCAGTTGATTTCCAAACCTGCCCTGGAGCTGGAAAGAGGGGAGTAGTAATAGACAAGTTAAAACGAAATAAAGGGCCAGGTGCGGTGGCTCACGCCTGTAATCCTAGCACTTGAGGTCAGGAGTTCGAGACCAGCCTGGCTAATGTGGTGAAACCCCATCTATACTAAATACAGAAAAATTAGCTGGGTGTTATGGCAGGCACCTATAATTCCACCTATTTGGGAGACTGAGGCGGGAGAATTGCTTGAAACCTGAGTTGCAGTGAGCCAATGTTGCGCCACTGCATTCCAGCCTGGGCAACAAAGTGAGACTCCTTCTCAAAAAAAAACAAAAACAAAAACAAACTTGCTGTTTTTATTGATATTTAGCTATTTTATTTGAATAAATTATCCTCAGATTGTTGCATGACTGTGATTTTCAGAGATCTGAAAAAGTTGATTTTGATAATATTTGTCATTGCTTTTCTTGAGTAAAGGACTTCAAAATGGTTCTTACCTTACCATTCTGGACGTGGCATAAGTTTTTATGAGACATATTTTAGGGGCAGAAAAGGGAAAACTTAGTGTAAAGAGAGGTCTTATGTAAGTATTATTTTCTATTTTTAAAAGAAAGGACATAATATTTTCTGCAGAAATATTTCTTAACATATATTATCTCCTAATTTTCTTGAAAATTTTAGTATATTTAAGACTATCAGTTTGGAGTTACCACATGATGTAAGTTTTTTTGTGCTTTAGAAATTGTCCTTTTATTTGCAAGAAAAAGTAGCATATTTGGAGGAGAATACCCTTATACATATTGAAATGAAAGCCGTTAAGCTTTATAGCGTGCTTTTAGATTCTTCTGGGGGAAAAAAATTCAATGGACTAATAATTGACTGAGACACCTTTTATGTTTTATTATGTGAGCTGAGAACTTGGATCTGTGCTAACTTTCTCGTCATCAACACACTGTATTTTTAAACAATCAGTTTCTTTGGGTGAAATAAATCTCAAGATAGAATTCAATTTCTTACTGCTAATCCAGAATATGCCCTTGAATCATTCTTTAAGCACTCTTTTTTTAAATCATTGTATGATTATGCATATGTTTCACCTCCTTGTTTCTCCCTCTCCCTCCACTGAAAACAGATTGACTTTGTAGTACTCTGCAATTTGCTTTGCCAGTCACATTCTAGCAGCTGAAAATCATCCTTGCTTACTTTGTTCTGAATAACTCTGAACCAGGAATTTAGCTTGTTTTTAAAATCTGTTAACTGACAGATGTTTCTCTATAGGCCCCTGTTGTCACACAGAACAAAGAGAAAGATGCTTTAGCCAGTTCAATATGCCAAGAAACTGATTTTTCACTATTTGGTTCAAGCTTTGAGCCATAGACAGTTCCTTTATTAATTTGTTTTGAAAAATAACACAGGTCAAGGATACGATGTTGTATTGCTTTTATTTCATGTGTAAAGGTTGCAATTATTTAGGAGAAAACATTATGAAAAATGGTTTCAGAAGAAACTTTATTAGGGACTAGTTAGAAATGTTTGTCAATTGCATTTGCTTTGGATTGTTGCCTAATAGATAACAAGAAATAGGTACCTACTGCAAAGATTGGTGCCAATTGATGCAATTAGTTATAGCTTTGAAGTAATTGTTCAGCAATGTTTTCTAAGCTCACTGTGTTCTCCTTGATTAGTGAATGAGAGAATTCAGTAATTTGTGTATTGTATTTTCCCTATGTCTCTACTTTAGATCATTTTTAAAATCATCATCCCATCTCTAGAGAGAAAATATGGTTATCCCTCGCTAGAGAAATTAAATACTGAGGGAAAAGATTATGTTGCACTGGGTTGAACTTTGGAGGCCACAATCGTGGTAATATGTAAGACTTTTGCACCCCCAAGAACTGTTTGCTTCATTCGGGATGACATTGTCCCTGTTGAGTATGCATGCCTTGTATTGTCTCTTTTAAAACTATGTTTTAAAAGTTCATGATTTCAAACTAGACAAATGGGATTGCATCAAACTAAGAAGATGACACAGCAAAGGAAACAGTTAACTGGAACTGAAATCCTTCTTACCCTAGTATCTCAAAACCTACTTTAAAAGGTTGCCAATAAAGTATAATATAAAACTAATTTTTAAAATTGTTTAGGAGAGATATCTGCCCTTAACTGGGTGGTTCCTTTTCTAATTGGTATGAACTCAGTTAAGACAAATTACATAATCCTACACTCAGAGGTAAATCATTTCTGTTTTGTCTGCAAAATATCACCTTCCTTGAATTCATTGTAACTCCCTGAGGTAAAAAAGTCCATGTTGAATTTATCTTTATATGTCCATGCATTCTTCTTCATACTCTTTGTACCTCAGTTTTTCATAGTATGGAGTCCAGGAATTAGACTGTCTGGGTTTGAATCCTTGTTACACTTATTACTACTAATATGGCAAATCAATTAAAATTCTAGAAGCCTCAGTTTCCTCATGTGTAAAATTAGGATGATAAAACCTCATAGAATAGAAAGGTAATGCATGTGAAGTCTTGACATAGAATCCAGCACACTGAAGTAAGGCTTTTCATATGTATAGTAATTAATAAATATGTTTCAGGGATCGAATAAATAAACTCAGAATCCTCTCATGCAGTGTCATCACCAGTTAAATAAATTAAATACTAGAACTTTCATCTTAGATATATGCAATGGTGTTCTTTCTGTGTAGTCCCAAAGGGCTGGAGAGAGAGCACAGTGTTACCAAAGCCCAGTGAGAGTTGATGTTGAGGAATGGGGGTCCCTCCCAAGTCACCTGGGAATTTGGGAGCTACAATTCAAGATGAGATTTGAATGGGGACACAGCCAAACCATATCAGGGAGCTTGAGTGATTCATCTGCAGAGTCAGGATTATGGTGCACAAATCAGGGCACAGAATGGAGACTGGAGCTGCAGGGTGAAGCCAAACAGAATCACCGGTGTGCATAGTCAGTGTCAGTACTCTCTAGTTTTAACCACAGAAGTTAAATCAATATAAAGTAGAAATGAAATGGCATGGCTTATTATTCAATGAATGTTTGAAATGTTACAATGCCATATAAATGATTACCTTTTTGATAATATGTGTAAAAGAGGACCATAGTTGTTATTGAGCTTATATTATGTAACAGGGCGGGTTAAAAAATATGAGTTGAAATATTGGAGCTGTGTACCCTTCCAAAAAATTGTTTTGAAGTTGGAGCACAAGATGGAAATATTTCTCCTTAAAACACAATTCAGGAGTCAAGGAACCAGCACTGGGTCATCAGATCTCAGGTTGGAATAATATTTGTTGTTTGTGGCTGAGTGTACTGGAGAGGGGTGATAAAACTGCTCAAGTACTCCTAGTCTCAAAGCAAAGTAGATTTGAGTATTTAAATGGGGCTATAACCATCAGATGGAAAAATCAGAGAAATATTACTGTCTAAGGACTCATAGGCCATAGTCATGGTAATACCATTAATAATAATATACAATTAATAATAATAACTACCATTTATGGGGGACTACATACATGCCCAACATGATGGTATACCTTTAGGTAATTTTATAACAATGTGCTGCCAATGACAACTGATAGATGTAGAGAGGTAGAAAACTGAGTTTAGCCGACCAACATGTTATTCTTGTTGTATCTAGGATAGGGATTTTCATGACAAAAACCTACCAAGTTATATTCCAGGTGTGTAGGGTGATACAGTGTAACTTTCCATTCCATGATGACATTCTAGGATATCAAAGTGGGCACATAGCCCAAGCACCTTCATCAAAGTAACACAGTCTTTGTGTTGCGTTTCTAGCCACCTCTTCTCCCAGGAGAAGCCTCCCCAAATTTCCATTTTAATGAGCTGAAATTAGTTTTTCCTTTAATATGTGAAGACACACAATAACAAAGACTTGCAACCAACCCAAATGTCCATCAGTGATAGACTGGATTAAGAAAATGTGGCACATATACACCATGGAATACTTTGTAGCCATAAAAAAGGATGAGTTCATGTCCTTTGTAGGGACATGGATGAAGCTGGAAACCATCATTGTGAGCAAACTATCGCAAGAACAGAAAACCTAACACTGCTTGTTCTTACTCATAGGTGGGAATTGAACAATGAGAACACTTGGACACAGGATGGGAAACATCACACACTGGGGCCTCTCATGGAGTTGGGGGAGGGGAGAGGGATAGCATTAATAGAAATACCTAATGTAGATGATGAGTTAATGGGTGCAGCACACCAACATGGCACATGTATACATATGTAACAAACCTGCACGTTGTGCACATCTACCCTAGAACTTAAAGTATAATAAAGAAAAAAAAGAAAAAAAACTGAAATATGAAGACACAGAGTATACAGTGAAGGCATAGACACAACTGAGCACCAGTTTGCACATGTTCCAAGTGTGAGGGGCTGCCTGCAGCCCATGAACTTTTCAGTCACTTACTTTCCTCCCCAGTCATTACCATGGTCATTTGAACCGCATTTGCAACATTTTAATTTTAAAAATGTTGACACCATGTGGGAATTCCACATGATTTTCTAAACATTTTTAGTGCCTGATAAAATTTTTGTTTGGATTTGGCTCCTGAGAATACAGCTAAGAATTTTATACTTTTCTTCAGGGGTCCAATTGCTTCCTATTCCTCTTATAAGAGTTTTCAGAGTATTTTATTAGAATTCTTTTAGTAAACTACTGCAATAGGAAGTAGTTACATATTTTTATCACTTTTTAGCAAAGGCTAGGTTAAGTAGTGTATTAGTCTGTTTTCACTCTGCTGATAAAGACATACCCGAGACTAGGTAATTTATACAGGAAAAAGGGTTTAATGGACTTACAGTTCCCCGTGGCTGGGAAGGCCTCACAATCATGGCGGAAGGCAAGGAGGAGCAAGTGACATCTTACATGGATGGCAGCAGGCAAAGAGAAAGCTTGTGTGGGGAAACTCCACCTTATGAAGCCATCAGATGTCATGAGATGTATTCACTATCACAAGAACAGCACAGGAAGGACCTGCCCCCGTGATTCAATTACCTCCCACTGGGTGCCTCCCAGTGGGATACCCAGCACAGTCAGTCCTTACCACATAAAGACCTGCCCCCATGATTCAATTACCTCCCACAACATGTGGGAATTTAAGATGAGATTTGATGGGGACACAGCCAAACCATATCAAATAGCAAAGAGCTTAAGTAATTGACACTGGATGAACTAGGTAGATAATTATAGAGTCAGGACTGAAACTTAGATAACTTGACATTTAATTCAATTGTCTCTCTAGACTAGCTTAGTACTAAAAGGCAATACTGACACTCCACATAAACTAAGCCAAAATTGGGCCACTAAATAGTTTCAGGCTCACATATACATACTGAGTAAGAAGCACAGAGGTTGATCTCAACATGTAGCAGATGGCTTCTATATTCTTAAGGGATAAAACTTTGAGATTTTTCTTTTGCTCCTTGTGTGTTAAGAAGAACCAAAACACTTTAGAGGTCCCAGTCAATTTGTGTTTTAAAAGAAAAAAAAAATGATGCCACTAAATACGCCAGATTTTTCAGTGGAAAAAACCCTAAGTTCACAGCAATTGCTTGAAAGCTGCTTTAAAAATTAGTTGTAAATCCAAGGAAAAGGAAGGAAACCTGAAAAATGTCACTCATTTGAAAAGGGATGTTCATTTTTGATAAATTATTAGGTAATTTTTCAAGGATATCACTCACAAGTAAAGATTTTTTTGGTATATTTAAATGATTCATTTTCAGTCTCTCATACATTTTTAAATTGTTCTCATTCAAGTTGTCACATCCTGACAGGGTTTCTTATAAGGATTTCTCTTCCCTTGTGTTAGAATTACAGAGGATGAAAGTATTTTAAAATCTCTGTTGCTGAACAGGGACATGTGCTAGGCAGCCTACAATTGTCAGTTTTATTCCATAGGTACGTTAGTGGTCAGAATGACTTCTTTTTTGATGGCACAATTATTTTCATAATATTAGATTGAATTAAGCTGGTGAGACAATCTGTCCCTAAAAGATTCAGAAAATGACGCTTTGATGTTAGCTTTGAAGCAGGGTATTCCCAGCATCACATTTAGTCAGAAATATGGAAGGTATATGTTAACATGATTTACATATCCTACTCTGGTGGAGTCTAAAGGTAAATAACAGAAATAAGCAAGGAGCTATGCAGCAAGGCAAATTCACCTTTGTTTCTTGACACAAACAGTGAAGCTTATTTTGGGAATAATGACTGCATATGTTCAGGAAAATTGGGCTCATGAGTCTACTGTCAGAACATTTTTCAGAAAAGAGAAAAATGAATGTACTGCTGGGAGACAGCAGGGAGGGGTTCTTTTATTATATACACAATCTCTTCTTATGAGAACAAATACCAACAATCTATTATTGTTCCCTTAATTAATAAATCATTACTGTGGGCTGGGCAGAGTGGTTCATGCCAGGAATCCCACCACTTTGGGAGGCCCAGGCAGGAGGATCGCTTGAGTCCAGGAGGAGTTTGAGATCAGCCTGGGAAACAGAGAGAGATCCCATCTCAACAAAAATAAATAAAAATTAGGTAGGCATGGTGGCGTGTGCCTGTAGTCCTAGCTGCTTGGAAAGCTGAGGCAGGAGGATTGCTTGAGCCAAGGAATTTGAGCTTATGGTGAGGTATGATCTCACTGCTGTATTCCAGCCTGCATGATAAAGTGAGACACTCTCAAAAAAAAAAAAAAAAAAAAAAGAAAGACATTGTAATGATTAAATATTTAGAAAAAAATCACATACACTGTACATTCTGTATGGATTACAATTATTTCTAGTATTGAAAAGGTAATAACCAACTCTTTAACATGATAATATAACTGAACCTGATTTAATTTGTTTTTTTCTTTGGATAAGGGAGTGGAGGATTACAATTTCTCAGTGGTCTACTTGGTCACATATATTTGTTAAAAGCCATTGTATGACTGAAACAATCTTAGTGCCGGGGTGTACACAGTAATTGAACACACTCCCTGCTTTCCAGATACTCAGAATTTAATTTCAAGAAAGGCACAGCAACAAGAATTTCAGGAGCAAAAGGGTATGGTACTAATAACGCTTGGGCTGTTTGGAGGAATCTTCAGAGGAAATGGTTAAAGAGACTCTTAGCAAATGAATTTCTATGTGATTTTCATGTGGACTCTAGGGCAAAGGACATTCCCAGAAGGGATGGCAACAAGCACAAGTTTGAAGTGTATGAAATGGCATTACTCTTTCTAGGTAGCACAAGGGATTAGATGTGGCTGAAGCATAGATTGTTTTGAAGACATTAACAAGATCTAAGTTTCTAATCTAAAGACAGGCCATGTTGTGATCATGAAATGGCCTGTAGACTCTCCTATGGTCTTGGATTTCTATCCTGAAGACCCCAAGTCATTGAAAGAAAGGGAAAGCAGTGTGATTTAAAAAAAAAAGAAAAAAATCTAATTGAGTTTCAGAAACACCATTCTGGTTTTTACCACATTGTATATCATCGTATGTCTTTGTAGTATGGTACCTGACACATTGTCAAATTAATCTAAGGATCATTCTAATTGCCTTTAAGTATAGTAATTTGTTCATAGTTCATTACTAATCCCCTCCATCTATAATCTGAATACCTTTCCCATCAATCTTGCCTTCTCCAAAACTTTCTTTTCTCCTTTATTCTCTTTCTCTTTTTAAAATTTTTAAATTTGCTTTCTGTTTTAAATTTATGTGGGAACGTAGTAGGTGTATATTTTTATGGGGAACATGAGATGTTTTGATACAGGCATGAAATGTGAAATAAGGACATGTTGGAGAATGGGGTATCCATCCCCTCAAGGATTCATTCTTTGAGTTACTACCCTTTCTTTCTCTTAATCTAAGTGTTTCCCTTCTGTACTACCTTCTTTATTTAATATTCTTCTAACCCTTGGGAAGAGAAGGAGAAATAATAACCACAAAAACAAAATCAAAAATCCCTGGACATATTAATTTATGTGTGACCATTCTTCATTTATGTATTATAATCCTTTTAAACCAAGGGAGTATCTGTATCTTGTTCATTCATTAAATATTTATTAAAAACCTTGTAGTGCTACTTCTCTTCTGGATGTTTAGGACATATTAATAAACAAAATGATCCATGATACCTGCCCTCATAGAGTTTAATTTATGGCCAGAAGAGATAGACAAAAACAGTAACATAATAAATATTTTTTATAATAAATATATATTTTTTGAGATGGAGTCTCGCTCTGTCCCCCGGGCTGGAGTGCAGCGGCGAGATCTCAGTCCACTGCGAGCTCCGCCTTCCAGGTTCATGCCATTCTCCTGCCTCAGCCTCCTGAGTAGCTGGGACTACAGGTGCCCGCCACTAGACCCGGCTAATTTTTTGTATTTTTTGGTAGAGATGGGGTTTCATTCTATTAGCCAGGATGGTCTTGATCTCCTGACCTCGTGATCGGCCTGCCTCGGCCTCCCAGAGTGCTGGGATTACAGGCGTGAGCCACCGTGCCCGGCCAATAAATTTTGTAATATATTAGAACACGTTAAGTTCTATGGGAAGAAAAAAGAAAGACGGAATGAGGAGGGTAGGGATGGTTGGTTTCAATTTCAAATAGATAGCTAGATAAGCCTTACTAAGAAGGTAAGATGAACAAATACAGAGAGATACAGATGCCTGGGGATGGACTAAAAAGACAGCCAGTGTAGGGCCTTCAAAACAAGTTGCCACTAGTACCCCAAATGCTGAGGACCTTGCACTTTGTAGGAGTATTTGAAAGTATATTGAAATAAAGAGCAAGGGGTCACTGGCCTTCTGCTCAGACGCATAGACTTTAGCAAAGGAGAGCTGAAGGAATTGTGTTCCCCTTCAGTACCCATGGAGAATGTGTCCTCTGTTGTGTAAGAAAGAATTGGATGAGATATTATACTGAGTCAATGTTTGTACCATAACACCTTATTTTTCCTTAGACAGACAGTAAAGCAACCACTAAGGGTGCTTAGGCAGCCCCACTTACTGTTTTGTTTACTGTAACTTTTAGTGTTCACCAAACACATCTTCAAGGGCATTTTAAATAGACTTGTTTTCAAATAGAGTGAAAGAAAATTTCCGCAAGACATTTGTCATTCCTTATTTCCACACGAACCAGGAGCAGCAGGAGTGAGTGGAGAAATCCATCTGCGAGTTAATCTAGTGGAACACCACTGAGTCTGATCATTTGACAGAAGTAATTGTATCTAGGGGAAGTATTCAGGTCTCTGCTTTGTGGTAAACATCCTGCCCTCCTAAAACTGTGAGGTTGAAAAAGATCAACAAAACAGCCATTTAACGCATTATTGACAGATACAAGTTTTAGAGAATTAATCACTATTAACTAACTGTATTACATACTCACACTTAATACTAGAAATAATTATAGCTTCTTTAGGTATGAAGTAGATTTGTGTCTTTACTTCTAATTCTCTAATCATTCATGAATTTGCTGAATTTAGATTCTGTTTCAGTTAATGTTTGTCAAATAGGATGTTATAATTTTCGCATGAAATTGCATTTTTGTCTACATGGTTAACTTCCTAGAGTTTGTTCTTTTCTGGTAGTCAAAATCTATGATGAATTTATTAATAATGATATTAGGGTAAAAAAGTCATTGAACATATTTTGTGTTCAGTTCAGTGAGTTGAATTCAGTTGCTAGATTTCTTTGTATAACTGGGCAGATTAGGACATAATTTTTAGAAAGTGTACCATTTATTATTACTAGTTAATTAATCACATTTCTAGGAAATTAGTGATTTCCTTTAAGTTTATATTCCACTGTGGGATAAAATAAAATTAACATCTGTTTAGCATTGTATGCCAAGTATGGTTGATGATGCAGATTTCATGGATGATTTTACTAATAGACACATTAAAATAATAAAAATAAAAGTAAATTTTCTAATAATTCCAGACAATATATTGATAAATACTAAAATGGAAAAATGAATTATAGTGTTGTTTATTTGAGTGTTGATATCTGGGATAATCAAAACCCATCATATATGCTAACAGGGTTTTACCACATCATTTTTCCCATACAGAATCTCACATAGCTTTACATTTGAGAAGAGGTGGAATTTGACTCACGCTATTTCTAAATCTGACTTTTATATCATAATAAAGTATTACCTAGGATAGAACTTTTAGCATAAATCTAATTAATCTATGATTTAGAATCTAGATTTGAATATGCTACTTTAAAATAAAAATATTGATTTATTTATTCCTTTTTTAACCTCTTAAAATAGATATCTTATAGTTATTTGATTTGATTCTGCCATTCATCGACTATCGCACTTTTTTTTTTTTTTTTTTTTTTTTTGCACAAATACACGTTCTAATGTCGGTCCATGTGCTGGAGATACAGGCATAAGCAACAGCAGGGTTGACTAGCTGTGGATAGTGGTACATGATTAGAAGCCTAAATGTGTAAGTCAGGAAACTAATAAATCCTGCCTGCCTTGCCTGCCTTTTCTTCCTTCATTTTCTTTCTTTTCTTTCTTTTTTTCTTTCATTCTTTCTTTTTTCCATTATTTTTGATGCATTATACTTGTACATATTTTGAGATACATCTGAAATTTTGTTACATGCATAGAATGTACAATAATCAATTCAGGGTGTTTAGGGTATCCATCACCCTGAAGAGAGGGTGTTCCTCTCTTCTAGCTATTTTAAAAGTACAGTACACTGTTGTTAGCTACTAACACTTATACTCTTCTATCAAAGGTTAGGATTTATTCCATCTATCTAATTGTATGTTTGTACCCATTAACCAGCCTCTCTCTTCATCCCCCAATCCACTCATACACCCTTCCCAGTCTCTGATATCTATCATTCCACTCTCCATTACTTCGTGGGGTCAACATTTTTAGCTCCCACATATAAATGAGAACATGTAGTATTTTCTTTATCCCTGGCTTATTTCACTTGACGTAATGATCTCCATTTTTATTTTATTTTATCCATGTTGCTGCAAATGACATGATTTCATTTTTTATGGCCAAATAGTATTCCATTGTGTATGTATACGCAATTTATCCTTTCATAACCCTGTATTGCTGATAATCACTTAGATCTTCATAAAACTTTTTTTTTTCTTGAGATTAAGTCTCACTCTGTCACCCAGGCTGGAGGGCACCGACAGCATCACGGCTCACAGCACCCTCAACCTCCTGGGCTTAAGCAGTCTTTCCATTTCAGCCTCCTGAGTAGCTAGGGCTACAGGCATGTGCCACTGTGCTAAGCTAATTTTTATATTTATTTTTTTGTAGAGACAAGATCTCACTATGTTGCTCAGGCTGGTCTGAAACTCCTAGGCTCAAGCTACCCTCCCTCTCCAGCCTCCCAAAGTGTTGGGATTATAGGCATGAGTCCTTAAAACTAAAAAAAAAAAAAAAAAAAATTGACATTCATTCAGTAATCTATTATTATTATTAGTATTATTTTTTTGAGATGGAGTCTCGCTCTGTTGTCAGGCTGGAGTGCAGTGTCATGATCTCACCTCACTGTAACCTCCGCCTCCTGGGTTCAAGCAATTCTCCTGCCTCAGCCGCTCCAGTAACTGGGACTACAGATGTGCACCACCACACCCGGCTAATGTTTTGTATTTTGGTAGAGATGAGGTTTCACCATGTTGGCCAGGATGGTCTCGATCTCCTGACCTTGTGATCCACTCACCTCGGACTCCCAAAGTGTGGGATTACAGGCGTGAGCCACCGCGCCCGGCCACAAAGTATCCTTTTAAATATAGTTGAAACCACAAAGGGAAATGTGGTGTTTTTGCTACCGTGGCTTACAATCCAGGAGAGTAGACAGACACCTGATGAGACAGATACCCCTCTGATAAAGTTGACAATGATGTAAGTGCTATAAAGAGAAAATGAGTTTCTCTGGGATTGGGGAAGTGAGAATTCATTTTGATTAGAGCAATTTGGGAAGAATTCTTGGAGAAATTTTTTTAGGTATTATACACGATTTCATGGTCTTCTCCAAGATTTTGATATTTCTCTCGGTCTCTCTCTTTCATTCTCTCTGTCTTTCTGCCTGCATTGAAACACTGCTAGCAAAAATTTTGATGTTGCCAGGGCATATAAGGCTTTAAATGAAAGGAATAGCCATCTGTTGTGACTGACTGAGGCAGGGAGAGTGGATATGTAGTCAATATTTTCTCTTTCCTTTCCTTTTACTTCCAAAGTCTTCACACATGATTTGTATCCTTTTTCTGTCTCCCTCATTGATATCCTGGAATCTTTTGCTCTGTCCATTCTAGTGAACTGCTTTGTGAATGGTCACTGTTGAACTTGACTTAGTCAAATATAAGAACTTCTAATCATACTAATCCCCTTTAACCTCTGTGGGTTAAGAGATACTACTGATAACCCTAGCTTCTGAAAATCATTTTCTCATGAGAGTTTCTTTCTGTTATTTTTTCTGCACTTTTCTTTTGTTTAAATATGAAAGATATTTTTCTCCTCTAATGCATTTTTGGAAGAGAACATGCTTAATTTTAAATTCTGTAGTGCTTACCTTGCCACGTGTATGTATGTAATAGAAGCTCTATAAAGATACTGAGATTAATTTTGGGAGTGATTATATTGGTCATACCCACCATTAATTATTGATAGTAAAATACATAAGTTATGTGGATAGAATTAAACTAATATTTTTGTGAAATAATACAAATATCTATGTTTTAAATCAAATTAAATTTGATTTTAAGTTTGCATCCTATGAGGCAGGTAAGAAATTAAATCTCAATCATTATGGCACACCTCCCCAAAAATAAAATCCTGTGAGAATAGAGGATATTGGGTAGTACTCAGAAAATAATGGCAGGTCTTCTCTCTTTAGTCTGTCTTGGTCTGTGCTGATATATTTTTATCCACATCTCCTTGAAAACCTGTAGCTCTTTGGCTTTGTGCCTCAATTAGAGCACAGGAACTTTTGCCAAGGTTGGGAGCTTGAATGTCCAGGTCCAGCATCCTATTGCACACTTTTCCCTGCAGAAACCCTGCTATTCACTAATGGTACTTTAAAAATCTGGCTCTTTCCTGGTCTGGAATACTTATTTCTTTTTTTTTTCCTTTTTTCTTTTTCTTTTTCTTTTTTCCTTTTTTCTTTTTTCTTTTTTTTTGAGATAGAGTCTCACTTTGTCACCCAGGCTGGAGTGCAGTGGCGTGATCTTGGCTCACGGCAACCTCCACCTCCCGGGATCAAGCAATTCTCCTGCCTCAGCTTCCTGAGTAGCTGGGACTACAGGCACACACCACCATGCCCGGCTAATTTTTGTATTTTTAGTAGAGATGGGGATTCACCATGTTGGCCAGAATGGTCTCGATCTCCTGACCTCATGATCCACCCACCTCGGCCTCCCAAAGTGCTGGGATTACAGGCGTGAGCACCCACGTCTGGCCTGAAATACTTATTTCTATGTGACTCTTCTTGATCCCCTTTCTCCTATCTTCATGGAGCCAGTTTCCTGAAAAGAAGTACCTTGAAGCAAGATATCTGTAGACTAATTCTGCATTTGCCCTTGTAATCCAAAGTTTCTCAACCTAGGCACTATTTATTTTTGTTGTTGTTGTTGTTTTGGAGACAGAGTCTTTCTCTGCCACCCAGGCTAGAGTGCAGCGGTATGACCATGGCTACTGCAGCCTCGAACTTGCTGATTCAAGCAATTCTCCCATCTCGGCCTCCCAAGTAGCTGGAACGACAAGCACGCACCACTATGCCCTGCTAAATTTTAAAATATTTTTGTAGAGATGGGAGCCTCCCTCTCTTGTCCAGGCTGGTCTCCAATTCCTGGGCTCAAGCTATCCGCCTGCCTCGTGCTCCCAAAGTGTTGAGATTACAGGCATGAGCCATCACTCCGGGCCACTCTTGATATTTTGGACCAAATAATTCTTGTATATGAGAAGCTGTCCTGTATAGATACCAGTAGCATCCCTCAATTGTAACAATAAAAAATGTCTCCAGAAATTGCCAAATATCCTCTGAGGGGCAAAATAACACCTGGTTATGAACCACTGTTAAAATCTGAAGTTATTGAGGTATGAAAGACTGTTAATAAATTACGCTGTAACAGATATAGTGTTGGATGATGTATTAGGGTTCTCTAGAGGGGCAGTACTAATAGCATATATGGATATATGAAAGGGAGTTTATTAAGGAGAAGTGACTCACACAGTCACAAGGTAAAGTCCCATGATAGGCTGTCTGCAAGTCGAGAAGCAAGGAAGCCAGTGGTGGATCAGTCCAAGTCCCAAAACCTCAAAAGTCAGGAAGCTGACAATGCAGCCTTCAGTCTGTGGCCAAAGGCCTGAGAGCCCCTGACTATCCACTGGTGTAGGTACAAGAGTCTTAAAGCTGAAGAACTTGGAGTCTGATATTCGAGGGCAGGAAGCATCCAGAACGGGAGAAAGATGAAGACCGGAAGGATCAGCAAGTCTGGTCCTTCCACGTTCTTCTGCTGCTTTTATCCTAGCCAAGCTGGCCCCTGATTAGATGGTACCCACCCGGATTGAGGATGGGTCTGTCTCTCCCAGTCCACTGACTCAAATGTTAATCTCCTTTGGCAACACCCTCACAGACACACCCAGTAACAATACTTTGCATCCTTCATTATGATGAAGTTGACACTCCGTATTAACCATCACAGATGATACCAATTATCCTTTGGAAAATATCAGAAAATGAGTCAGATTAGTAGCCAGATGGAAGATGGTAAAGAAAAGGAAGCGGATTGGCACTTATGTGTCAGCAAGATGTTATTGCCATTTTATAGAGCACTGAGGGATTGTTTGCCATGGATGCTTCTCTGTTAGGTAAAGGAGGCAGGGCTCAAGCCCACATCTATTCAACCTTAGAATCCCAGGACTTTTCATGATACCATATACTGTTCCAGCTATGTAACTCACTTTGCCAAATATTTAAGTACATAATTAAGAAGACTGAATTCTTTTTTTTATTTGTATAAATTTAGGGGTACAGTGCAGTTTGATTTCATGAGTCTATTGCATGGTGGTGAGGGAGAAGACTACATTATTTACCTTACTTATTCCTGTGGCATTTTTTAGTAGGCACTGGGTGACAGGCATCAGTGTATTTCACCAAAGATAAGTCAGAATATAAAACACCATCAGTTCATTCTGATATGAGTGGCAAATATGTCAGGAATCCTTAAGAGTTTTGCCTTTTATAAATTATATGCATGGAAACATCCATCAGGCTTAGCTAAAAGCCCATGCTATTTACTATTTTGCTAAACTCTCATTCTTTTAAGCCAAGTTAGGCAACTGAGAAGGCGAGAGAGCAGTGATGAAGCAGATATGATACCCTTTCAAAACTACACATTGTGTAATACGGCAGATGCAACAGAAGCAAAGGGTGAAATGAAGAGAAGTAAAGCTCATAGATACCCAGGGACTTGGCTCTAGCATCTTTTTATGCTGTGTATAATGAGCTTTGACTTTATTCTCTAACACACTAGAAAGCCATGGAAGGATTTTAAGCAATATCATTGTTTCATGAACAAATCTTTGTTTTAGGAAAACAAAACAAAACACTAGTACTGTTACAATTTAAACATTGAATAAAAGTCTGGATGCTGTTGGTATAATCTAATTTTAAAAAGGGTGTGTACCAACACCGTACCAGTGGTGACCATTTATGTATTTACGTATTTATTTATTTTTGTATTTGACTAAAGTTTTTAATTTTAATTCATAAGTTTTCAGAGTTTAGTGAGCAACCAAATCACCTGTTAAAATGCTGAGTCTGATACATTGGGTTTAGATGAGGCCCAAGACTCATGTTTTTTGTTTGTTTGTTTTGTTTTGAGATGGAGTCCCACTCTGTTGCCCAGGCTGGAGTGCAGTGGCATGATCTTGGCTCATTGCAACCTCCACTTCCCAGGTTGAAGCAATTCTTCTGCCTCAGCCTCCCAAGTAGCCGGGACTACAGGCATGCACCACCATGCCTGGCTATTTTTTTTTTTTAATATATTTTTAGTAGAGATGGGGTTTCACCAGGCTAGCCAGGGCTGGTCTGGAACTCCTGACCTCAGGCAATCCGCCTGCCTTGGCCTCCCAAAGCGCTGGGATTACAGACGTGAGCCACTGCACCCGGCCTGACTCACATTTTTAGCAAGCTTCCAGATGATGCCAATGCCTCTAGTTGGGCAAGGCTATGAGCTGCCAAGTTCTAATGACAGCCACTGTGCTAGACAAGGGGAGAATAAGGTAGTGGCATGTAGTATTGCAACTGTAATCCCAGGTGACTGGAATATAAGTGCTCTGTCATTAAGAGTTCGTTTGTCAACGTCTTGAGTCTTAAATATCCTGTGTTGGTTTCATTCTGATTTCACACAGTGGCCTTCTGCAGCTCTGGGAGTTCATCCTCCCAGATTCAAGTTTTACAGAAAGAAATTACTTGGCACTTTCACAGAAATCCCAGTGAGAAGCCTCATTGCATTTGTTCCAGTTAAGTCATATGGCTGCTTCTGAATCTAAACAAATCACTGTGGTGAGAAGACTATGATGTTCTAATTAGCCTGACTCCACTTTGCCTTTTCCTAGAATCAGTAGTAGAGTCAACTCCATCTGAGGTGCTTGGACTGGTAATATGGAAATTGTGCCATTCCCAAAGAGAAAGTGAAGATGTTGAACTACAAAGGTGATTGGATATCTATTACATATAGGAATTCGGTGTGGACAAGAGGTTTCCATACTTTCTTGGTTTCTTAGGAAATGTTCATGATACCCTCAAGTCCAAAAGAAATGCCTGAGAGTTGATTTATTCGGCAGTTAGTTCCAAATGATGTAAGATTTACGTCCTTACTATTAAGTAGCTGTTTGATAAAATAATACATAAGGACTTGAAGAAAATTAATATTTTTGTTTCCATCTTATATAAACACAATCACTTCCTAACAAGGATGTGCACAGCTATTGGGCTGTACAGAACGTCTTGCCCTTAGATTGAGATTGGATACTGTCACCCTCACTTCCTGTTCTGCATGGATTTTCATGCAGTAGTTCCCTTTTTTATTCTAATGGTAACCACTAAAGCCCAGATTTATAAAGATATGATGCTATTGAAAGAAATGTACTGTGAGCTCCACGTTTCCTGAAACTGCAAAGTACTTGAAGCTAGTTTTTGATGTGAACTTCAATAAATGTTCAGTATCATTGTGTTTCCCTGAAAATGTTAAAGTATCACGAAAGCCCCATGAATTCCCCAAATTGCTTTTGTGCACAGATTGAGAACCATAATCTTAGGACTTTTATATTTGAATTTCTTATTAGACATCTTTGTAGAGATGTAGAATAAAATGTTGACCCTATGGGTTCAGTTCTGATAAGAGATCTGGGCTGGTGAGGCATCTCAGCACAAAGGTTGGATTCCTTTGGTATCATGGCCTATAGTGCTCTAGGCATGCACTACACATCTTTCTGTCTCTTCAAGAGAAGAATAACATATGTCTGCTCCACTACCACACAACTTTACAATGCACTGTTTTATTTTTTGATCTGAATCTGTATAAGTAATATTCTACTTGGAGTAACTCATCCTAGTATTTGCATTCTACATGTGCATTCACATTTACAGTAGACTGCAATAAGAGTGATTTTTATCCTAAGCTCTGGATAGTTCATATATTGGCATAAATTACTAAGAGGTAGGCATCATGTACTTCTTGTTCAGATTGCAAACCCTCTGAAGTTTAAATCTTGTTCCTTAAAACGTAACCATCTGTGGGATAGCTCAATTAATAAGCACTGAGCAGAGCATACTTTTGATTCTGAAGTGATTTTTTTTATTAAATAAGTCGATATAGTATTTTCTCAGTGATTACGCTTTTCTCCTTGCTTTTTTTTTTTAATGCTGAGTACAAATATCCTCCAACCCAATTTTAAAAATAACTTATATGTAGTCTGGAACCAGTAGATTTCCCAAAGCATGAGCAAATTCTATTTTACTGGAGTCAATAATGTTTCAATCTCTCAAGTCCATGTGTGAGATATAGTGAATCATTGTCATATTATCATTATATCACTATGGCTCATCTCATAAGATCCCGCATCATCTGATGGCCCTATCATTACTGCTTATTTTGCAGAATAATATGTAAGTCTCTTCCTAAAATCCAGAAAACAAATGGATTGAAAATATTAAGTACATCATTATTATGTAAATATTTAATTTTTGAAATAAAAATATGGAAGCTAGTAACAATTGTTCAGTTACTAGGGAAACACTAGTTAGATTTTTCTGTTTAAATATTCAAATTGCTGGGTTTGGTAGCTCATGCCTGTAATCCTAGTGCTTTGGAAGGCCAAAACAGGAGGATCACTTGAGGCCACGAGTTTGAGACCAGCTTGGGCAAGAAGTAAGACCCCATCTCTACAAAAAAAATAAAGAGTTAAATAATTTCAACTTTTACTTATAAAAGTAATATAATATTAAAATGCGTATTCTTTCTATTAAATTATCTTTTTAATAACTTTTAATACTGCAAACAAAATATTTGAAAAGTATTAGTGCAGCATTGGCCATTGTTCACAGTAGATCTGGAACACACAACTTCATTATACATGTTTTTGAGGTTTGATATAGTCTGTTTCTTTTTTTCTTTTTTTTTTTTTGAGACTGAGTTTTGCCCTTGTTGCCCAGGCTGAAGTGCAATGCTGCAATCTCGGCTTACTGCAACCTCCGCCTCCTGGGTTCAAGCAATTCTCCTGCTTCAGCCTCCTGAGTAGCTTGGATTTCAGGCTCCCACCAACACGACTGTCTAATTTTTGTATTTTTAGTAGAAACGGAGTTTTGCCATGTTGGCCAGGCTGGTCTCAAACTCCTGACCTCAGGTGATCCACCCGCCTCGGCCTGCCAAAGTGCTGGGATTACAGGCATGAGCCACCACACCCGGCCTATAGTCTGTTTCACAAATGGCAGAAACATTGCTTGGCTATGGATGTGTAGATATGACATTATAATATATTAGGACATAGAAAGTAACTCTTTTTCTATTGCAATTTCCCTGTCTTCATAAATTGGCCTTTCTGGGCAGTGGGCAAGAAGAACCCAACACTTATATGAGAATTCCCACCCTGATTCCTCTCTACCACAGACAGCTCCCCAGGTTACTCAATTATCATTACTGCCAGGTGACAACCTCCACTTACAAAGATGAGGACACTGACCATCCCGGGCACAAGATCAGTGAGTGGGGAAGCAGGGTCACATGGAGGTGGGAAGAGTGGATGGGCAGTCCTGGGCAGCTCTGAAGTGGGACAGTATGAAAGGAAGGCCCTGGGCTTTGTCCCTATGAGTACCTATTGTGTCACATAAACAATAGTGTGTTAATGGGGTGCTGAAAAAGTCTCCTGCTTAAGCAACTCAGTTTGTTTATGATTATGAATGTCAGCAGAGGTCTATAAATGACAATGCAGTTTGTGTTTTGATGATTGTCTCTCTGATGGGGGTGTTGATAGCTTTTCTTAGTTCTTGTCTCAGCATTTATTCTTGATTGGCATATGACAGTCATATTCTTGGGTTCTGTTGGTGTTTTTAAATCATGCACATGCTTGAATTTCTCTTACAGAGCGAGAATGACATTATATCTGCTGCTTGTTAAATAGATTCTCAGTTTATGCTGGCAAAGTGTCAGTGCTGTATGTCTCTATGTATGCAATTTTTCTTTTGTACAGTCATTTTTCTCTTAGCATTCTAAAGATTGATTGAACTCTTGTGTTATAGCAGTACTTAATGTGTCACTTACTGAACTTAAAATCATCACTGTAACTCAATGCATAACGCTATTCATCATCCATTGAACCTGTCACTCCTGCTGATTGTGCAGAATAAAAGCCTCTTCTCACCTTTTTTTTTATTATAACAGATATAGTTTGTGCATTTTTTCTTCATGTTTTAACTGATATTTTGTCATCAGTTCTCTGATGTTTATCAAGAGTTAACTTTTTTTCCAACCCAGATTAATACAGGTTAGAGAGTAGAGGAGTTTGTTAATACGTAACAACTACTAATCACTAAGGCTAGATTTATTACATATAAATATGTCAAATTAGATAAACGCTACTTAAAATTTTGGCTGTTGGAAAAATATTAACTTGTACCTTCAAATTTATTAGGGCTCAAGGCATATTAAACTTTATAGCAGACTTTGGATGTTTTATCTTTTAAGAAATATTTGAGGCCGGATGTAGTGGCTCACGCCTGTAATCCCAGCACTTTGGGAGGCCGAGGCAGGCAGATCACGAGGTCAGGAGATTGAGATCACCCTGGCTCAACATGGTGAAATCCCATCTCTACTGAAAATACAAAAATTAGCTGGGCATGGTGGCATGCACCTATAGTCCCAGCTACTCGGGAGGCTGAGGTGGGAGAATCGCTTGAACCTGGGAGGCAGAGGTTGCCATGAGCCGAGAGTGCGTCACTGCAATCCAGCCTGAAAACTGAGTGAGACTCCATCTAAAAATAATGATAATAATAATTTGACTTAGTGAACAAATTTGCAGTAAAACAGAAAAAATAATATAGATTACACACCTTTATAAAATCTGTTGTATAATCATCTAGAGATGCAATTTGAATGCAGCAGTATAACGGAGAAGCATCAGATGAATTCTCAGAGTATATCAATCTTGCCTTTGTTCTAGATTAGAGCCTGGTTTTTAGCTAGAGGTGCTGTAGTAGGAAAAACAGGTTTGTATTGATTCAGATTGTGTGTGCATTCATAGCAGATGTGGAATGACATATTTCTGCCAGATAATTATCACTTAGCAAAGGGTAAAACATTAGAACATCATGAAAGTTAAAGTTTTAACTTCACAGGAAAAAAAGGAGCTTTACTTTAAAGCATGATGAAAATTATAGAATTTATGCATAACTCAGTTATTTTGTTCTGAACTTTAAGAAGAAACTTTCAGAAGACATCCCTAAAAAAGCAAGTATAATGACCATAGTATGAAACTTAATTGTGATATAATAAAGCTTTTTGCTGTATCCAGACATGTTACACAAATATTCTTTATGAATTACATAAACAGAAAGGCAGGAGCTAGTACAAATAATGAAGAATATTTATTTAAAAAAAACAAAAAGCGGTTATTTTATGTAGAACAGGCTGCATACATTATTTATTACACCGTATTCAAAATATTGTACAACTCTGTTATGAGGAATTTTACTTGCACTTGGAGAATACAGGTAAATACATTAGAGGCTTATAGATCCTGAATGCAGCTGCAGATAGTGTCCCTTAAAAGAAGAAATGCAGCTGGTTTCCTATTTCCCACTCTTTTTTGTGCCAGACAAGGAAGTGACTTTCTTTAGAAAAGAGGATTATAATAGTCATATCCTTAAATGAGGAAACTAGAACCAGATTTCTTTTTAGAACTTGCAGTGGGGATTAGAAGAAATGTTGCAATAAACTTTAGGTTATTCTAATCTCAGTTTACTAAGTTTTTGGTAACACTGCTCATTTAACATTGGAAAGAGATGGGATCTGCATAATAAAGTATACTTCCCATAACTTAAAAGTAATCATGTTCATTGCGTAGGATAAAATCATCCGTTATTCCAAAACCAGAGGAAACTGCAAAAAAAGAGTGCTGTGTTAGCAGTGACTTAAGTATCCTTTCACAGTTTGCTAAAAATTTTTAAGAAATTTTTGCAATTTCCCTCAAATTAACTACCAGGCAGGCATCAATTTGTCATTTTTGTATATTGCATTAAAGCATTTAATGCTAAATTAAGACGGAAAGGTAGGTTTTTTTTCTTTTTTTTTTTAACTTTTCCTTTCTGCAAAAAAAAATCAAACATTTATTAACTGCTCTCTATTGTTGTCTTTCTCTTTAGAAGGTAATTTGTGGTCAGTGGAGCCCAGCAGGGAAGCTCCTTCTCCTCCAGATGGCAGTGACATTTGAGAAAACCTTGGAGGATTAAAGACACTCTAGTGAGCACTCACTGCAAAGTCCTGACACAATTTGACAGTCCTAATCTGGGTCCTCAACTGATTGGATGACCAAGGGCACAAAATTCTCATCCAACTGTGCAATCACCAGGCACATTGTTAAGGGCACTAAAAATGTTCCAAAGTTTTGGTGACTGTTTTAAACAAAAATATATAAACCTTTTCTTCATGGCATGTTTTTGGAAAAGGTCTTGGAGGTACCTTGCATGGCTTTTAAAAACTGACTATATTTTTGCATGAATGAGCACAGCATGCTATAAATGTCTTTACTCTTTATTAAGTAGGGTTTGCAAACAATCTAAATGGTTAAATGGTAGAGGAAACTATAGAAATTGATCTCAGTGAGCAAAGCCTACCAAATCTAATTATATATTGTCACCATCTGCTGCAATATGATAACAGAATTAATACAATTACTTTGAGAATTTTGAAGAAAAAACTTTTGAAAAAAATGGACACGTGTGGCAAGTCTGCGTGTGTGTGTGTGTGTGTGTGAGAGAGAGAGAGAGAGAGAGAGAGAGAGAGAGAGAGAGAAGCAAGGGCAAGAAAAAAATGCCATCTTAGCTGTTCTTTCTTTTTCTGTTTCTTTTTTACCTTTCCTCATTTTTAAGTTATTGCTTAAAATGATTTGAAATATGTTTTCCTAATTTTCGTGTTGATTAAAGTTATCAAGTTTTGGTAAGGTGATTTTATGGGTTTGGAATTTTAATTATATCCACTGCAGCTTCTAAAATCACCATGGCAACAGGTGTGTAATTATCAACATTGCACATAGCTTCAATGTGTAATGCATTTCTTCTGGCTGAATGAATATTAAATCATACTGCTTAACACCTCCTCTACTAGTAAACAGATAAGGCTTTGGCCATGGCTTGCAAATTGATCTTGCTTCTGTAGATTTCTATTACTGCAGAGCCATTGAATGGGGTAATTTGTGCCTTTGAGGGTTTTCTGACTTTGCTAGAGCATGACAGAAAGTCCAGTTTTATTTCATGTAATGAGAAAAAAAACATGTTTAATTATTACTCACATTTCCATTAGTAGAATTCTTTCCAAGAGAATATTCTCCTTATTGTTTTCCATTTCAAGGTGTGTATTCAGGACAGATGAGATTTTTTTAAAAAAGACATTTTCTTAAGGAAAGCTTACATTTTAAATGCTACTTTTCCTAGCAAATGCAGGTGGTCATTGTATGAAGCACATATGAAATGAAACCTTTGATTTAATACCAAACTATAGCCTACTGTCAACTCTAAGAAAACTGTATGATCCATAATTTTAAGTAAACCAAAACTTTACTTTGTTTCTAATATTCCAGGTGGTCTTTTCAGACTGATATCTATGTAGAAGTACGCAAGAAAGTGACGTGATTATCTGATTATCAGATTATGTTTATATGTCTCTGATTGTTATCAAGCTCAAAATTTTCCTTAAATAGCTATGGAAAGAGATAGCAGTTTACTACTACTACTATTATTATTAGGTCATCTAATGTAATTCAATTTATAAATCTGATGCATACATTTGACTGATAGGATACAGACTTTTAAGGACCTAGCATTATAAAAAATATAATTTAAATACATAGATCAAATAGAGCCATATATAATATTGTTAAATAGGGAACAAGATAAATGATTATGAAGATGTATAGATCTTTTAATCATTCAGTGTTTGTTTTTAGTGGACATTTTATTTTGGGATGCCATTCAGTAACTTGAAGTTATTAAATGAAGCATAATCAATATTAGAACAAAAGCCAGCATAAGAAGATTTATTTAAATTTGATGTATTTAGAATTTGGAGTCTGGTCACTAGAATTTTGAGGCTAGGTGATTCTATGAAAGGCTGTATGTAACCACCTTCTACTCTATTCCTTCCTCTCCACCCAGGTCAAATATCCCAGAATATGGTATTATTTAAGTATCATCAACTTTTAATTTTAGTGTGTTTCCATTTTCAAACTAAGACAGGTGCAAAGTTGAGGTTACCAGCGGTACAAGATCAGATCACCTAGTTAGATATTGATGCATAGTAAAATGTAGCCTAACACACTCTATTCATAATGTGGATTGACAACTAAGAAAAAAGTGAATGCTTTATTCACACAAATAGGTTAATATTCCTGAAATAGTGTCCAATGCATTTAAAGCCATTTAAAAGAACATAGAGAATACATTATTTTTCTTAGCTTATTTCTCCAGTATTTCTCCCTGTATTACTCTAGCTCATATTTAGACTTTTTGTTAATCTTAGAAAAAGGATAAACACACACAGTGTATTTCTGCAGACTCCCCTTTAATGGATCTCTGCCAGTGTTAGCCATTGTTTCAGTTGCCTGTGGCTGCTCAACTGTGCAAGGTTGCCTGGAAACGCTCCTTCTTCAGTGCAAAGCTCTCCGGCCACTTTCCATACCTCCCAGCCCAGGGCTTAAAGATTCAGGGACTCCAGCCACTGGTGTTTCTTTTTGAAATCTCCTTAGTAAACTAATGATCTTGTAAATGTAGAAAACAGAAAAATTACTTCTCAGTCTGTAGGGCGTGCAAGTTTAAAACAAAACAAAACAAAAACTTTGAAAAAAATATGTATTTGTTACAAGTTAAAACAAATACAATTTTTCTTCTCTATTGAATTTGATTTAAAATTTTGTTAAACCAGCATTTTGTAATGTGTAATATTTTTGGCAAATATTTTAAGTTAACATCTACCACTGTCTTTCAGCCTGGAAATTGTGTGCTATTCCCATCAAGGTTACATCATGTTTCCATTACTCCTTTAATTGGGGGAAGTTTCAAAGTCAGACACCTTGATTTGGAATTTCAATGCTTTTAACAAATTTTAAAGCAAGTACCACTATTAGGTAACAGAATATTATTATTACTCACTTTTTTCCTTGGTTAAATTTGTTTGTTAGTCCTAAGAGGCTTTAGGAATATAAAATGAATGTGATGTTTGATAGTATCAATACAGTTGATTTTACTTGTCTCTGCTATTTTCTCTTTTCATATTATAACTTAATAACAACAACAAATTAGAGATATGCTATTTTTCCACAGTTAGTTCAAGTTTCTAATTCTGGAGTATAAGATGGGGATATCACTGTGCATGAGTTAAATAGATGCCCCTACATAATACCTATATATCATTACTAGTTTTAAAAGAAAGATTATGTAAAAAGTGGTAGTAGGTAGTAGGTAGTCTTTTTCTTTTGTTACAAGTGCTTTGAAATTACTGGTTTGTGATATAGGATGTGAAAAGAAAGACAAAATCCGTGATGTTTGAAAGACATACTATTATCAGATATGGCTTACTTAAAATTAGTTATTAGACTTTGGTCTCCTAACAGCTTTTATTCCCCCCAATATACTTTCAAATTCCGATTTTCAGAAATCTTAATTGTACAATATTAATATTGCTACAGACACAAACTTTGCTAGCCCTTTATTGGTAGATTACATAGACTACATTGGTTATTAGATTTTAAAGTTTATTAATAACATCATATCCATTCAAGTTTATTTTAATACTTTTTCCTTATTTATTTAAGGAATTACTTCAGGTGATATGTGGATTTTAATTGTTACATAAATGCATTTTATGGTTATTTATAACATTCACTTTAATTTAAAGGCCTATAAGACCTGTGGTTGGATGACGGTATGTATTAATGTTGTTTTTAACATTAAGAACTTACATAATTGGTCCAGAAAATCAGACCTATCCCTTCATGTTCTCTTTCCTTCTGTACTTCATAAGCCTACGTGTCCCTTAGGATAGATTACTGGATCTGCTTCTCGATTGCTGATAGACCTTTTTCAGTTAAGGTAAGTTATATGTTAGACATCATAGAGTGATCGGACTGGTTTTATTACATAGCATATTGGGAGCAAAGCAAAAGAATAAAGCAGATACATATTTCTGCATGTCGATGCATGTATCCACTGTATTTTTAACGCAAACTAATTAATTGTGGGCCAAAAGTTACAGTAATGAATAGAAGTCTGTTGTTCTTACTCACATCAGGCACGCAGTCTTACTTTTTTGTAAATTTAAATTGACGAGGTAGGTAGAGTATCACGATAAGCTTAAAATGGTTATTTTGAAGAAATTTTCAAGAAAAATATTAAGGAAAAATTTGGGTGTCTACTCTGTGAGACAATCTGTCTCTAAGGTGCTTTACATATTTTATCTCACTTAATCCGAGGAACCACCCTATGATTTAGGTAGCATTGTTCCTATTTTGAAGTTTGACAAACTCATGCACCTTGAAGTTAATTAAACTCAGGGTTGTCTTAATCATTTCTAATTTCAGTGAATATACTTTCCCATTGGACATTTAACTTTCTAATTAATGTGAAAAAAAGACAGTATTTCTGATAGCATATACAGCAGTCACTTTAGGGGCAGATAAACATGAGATGCCAGGGATTTGGATTGTTCAAGTCAATAGTGTCCTGAAGAATAATATATTCACTGTGTGAAACAACAACAACATCAACTAGATACAAAGTTTCTGTAAAATTCGGACAATCATTTTGGGTTCTTAACATAAATAGACAAGATTGATATATATAATGGTATTTCAGTAGAAACCAGGAAAATATCCCAACTTCGAGAATCGTTTCTTGCCAAGCCCACAGTAAGAGTTCTAAATATAAGTTAAAATAGGTTCTCTGCCACCATGAAACTGGTACCCAACACATATCCCAATTATAAAACGTCTTTATAGTCCACTATGGCAATTATGAAGGCAGAGTATAATATGGGAGCCTGAAAAGCTATACTAAAGAGGCGACTTTTGAATGGGGTCTGGAGGGATGTGTTCACCAAGGAGTGAAAGGAGGAAAGGAACTTAAGTTGGTGAAAAAACACAGATGGATGTGTGAACAACTCCACATGGCCAAAGAATGGTGTGTTTTGGTGTGTAGGGAGGGATTTCTGGTTAGGTCCATGAGCCAGTATTACAAAGGGCTTTGCATGGCATGAGAAGGTATTCGGATGCCACTTTGTTCAATACAGAGATCTACTAAGCACTTAAAAATTAGAGACAAATAATATTCAGATTCATATGTTGAAAAGATTGCATTTGTGCCAATGGAGAGGACATAGCAAAGGGAGCTAGATTAGAGTTAGCAGTGTCACTTAGGATGCCATTACCTTTGTCTAGGGATCTTAGACTCAAGGTAAGCAAAGCTTAGGTCTTGAACCAAGCAGATAAAGACTAGAGAAGAGGTGCTCAGAAATGTTGAATCAGTACATTTTGTTATACTTTAAAAATTGTTACAAGGCCAGTGGCTGCCACACAAGACATTAAGCTTTTTTGTTTTTGCTTAATGAATGAGTACAAATGTGGGGGAAGTAAGGAAAAAGGCAGCTCTGAGGTTTGCTGGAAGTTAGCTACCCTCATGTTTAGCAGACCTACAAAGTCTTGAAGCAGGAAGTAGATTTATCATGGTGGGAGGGAGATGGCTTGATAGAATGAGGAAGTGAAATGAAATGGCTCTTCCCAAGAGTGACAATGCATTTTAGAGAAGATGTGAAGATGATGCGGTTGTTGAGAAGAAAGAGTATTCAGTGAGCAGCACAGTGGAGAAATGGTATGGTACCTAGGTAGGAAAATGAAAATGAAGGATTCCTCATTTTCTCTTCCAGATCAGGTCATGTGACAGGACTCTGCTCACTCCCTCTCTACACTTTAATCTTCACTGAAAGATACATAGGGATAGGAAAATTTCCTAACATTCTCTCTTTTCCTCTGTATTAAGTCATTCCATTAACCAAAAAGTTCAATAAATATCAACTGAATACCTATTATCTGTCCCTTTTTAATTTTCTTTCTGCCCTGTAAAAAGCTGAATAGAGGAATGCTTATACGTTAGTGGGAGTTTTAGAAGTCTCTGAAAGTGAGAGGTAAGTCGTTTGTCATTTTGGCTAGATCTTCCCCTAGGAACTTCTAAATGGTTTCATGACCTCATTTCATCCTAGACAAATGCAAGAGGGCTTTAATATGAGAAGAGCCTCAGGAATCCAACTTGTAGATATAAGCCTCTCTTTTAACAGGTTACTTAGTAAATTAGTTTTCTTTGTACTGTGATTCATTAAGAACAATAACTTTGATTTCATTTTATACTTTACAGGAAGCATAGAATGACTCAATAGTAGAAAAATACAATAACATTTTTAAAAATTATGTAAATTAAATAAAATGGTATACGTTAAAATTGTGAAAATTGTGTAAATTACATAAAAAATATATGTGATTAAATTAAAACCAGGATTTGTGGGGTGGCTGAATTAGATTTCTTAATAAAATTTATGAAAAACTGTGCATGGTACATACTATTCTTTCAGAAGCAATAACAGTTGTAAGAGATTATTTTTTAAAAAATAGATACCATTTATTGAGAGCTTACTAGGTGTCAGCCAGTGCTGTATCCACATTACATGTATGAATTCATTTAATTTTTAAAGTCAACCTGTGACTTACCCTGTGAGCTCACTATGTGAGCCATCACCCTTGTTTTGCAAACAAACAAATTGAGGGGGAGAAATGAATCCATATTCTTATTTTATATCAGCCATATCTCTCAACAAACGCTAATCAGAGCTGATTAACAAATTATAATCAGCATGTTCAATATTTGATATTTCATTTACCTTGCAGGACATCCTTTGTTTTACAGAATTTTTTAAAAACCTTAGTAGAATTTTTCTTTTTTAACTATTATTAAGGCTCCTTAGGTGAGTGGTTTTCAAACGATATCCTAAAGGTCTCCAGAAATTTCTTAGAGAATCTCATATCTTCTTCAACCAGATTCACTTGAGGTATAGTCATTTCATATATTAGGTTTTATTAGAGCTTTTCCCTCCTTCTCTTGCTCTGCCTCGCATCCATCCATCCACCCGTCCACCCATCTACCCATCCATCAATGAACTTAATTTTTTTAGCTTTAAATAACTAAATCATGTACTACTAATAAAAAATAAAGCTAAAACTGGAGGACAACATATTAAAATATTAGATTTCAGGATCTCTCTTTAGATTGTACACATCACTTCATGAATGTTAGCAGTAGCATTAAATCCAAACTTATAAAATGTTAGTGATGAAGTAGCAGTGCATTAAATATAGGCAGGTGCATTACTTTCAATTAAAAGTAATGGCAAAACCACAATTACTTTTGTACAAACCTAATATGTTGGCCTTTCCTGATTGAATGTATATTAGCTACTTTATACATATTGTTATAATGTATAACATTAAAATGGCATATTGAATTTTTAAAGTAGCTAATACCTTTAAAGATTCTACAACATAAAAACAATTTTGCATAAGAAATGTTAGGTATCTCTAAGTATATTTTATTTTTAATTTTTTATTTCTTTTTTCTCTTCCAAAGAAAAAACTCAGGTTTATTGATGTATAATTTACACAAAAAGCATTCACATTTTTTGGGTGTACAGCCCAATGAGTTTCTGTAAATATGTCCTAAATTTTTTTTAACAATCATATTCAGAAAGTTTAAATTCAAAAAAGTTTAAAATTATTTTCGACCTTAATTCAAAATACACCATTCAGGATGTTTCCTGCTCATTTTGCTACACTGTATTAAGAAAGAATTTTCAAAATATGGCTGCGTTCTCTTGGTGAAAAGTACTTTCCAAGGGACAGCCTAATTAGCCCATGCTTTCCCTCCAGCTCCATCTTGTCCTCCTTTCCTGCGCTGGATGGCCTTTTTCCTGAGGTAGGTGAGAGTGCCCAGGACAAAGGACACACTGATTTCTCTGGGAAATTTAAACCATGTTATCAAGGATGGTTCTGTCTGCCTAATTTGTAACTTTTGGTTGGGGCTTGGAGTCAGTTGTGGAGCACAGGGTGGGTGAAGGCAGAGGAGAGAGCTCCATAACAGGAACGCAGAGCAGCAAGGTCTCAAGGGAACCTGACAAGGATACCTCGGAAGAGGCAGGCTCTCAGTGCGTCAACTTTTCATTGGTTCTATGGACTGTGGGGGAAAGCAAAGGGACAGCTTGTTTTTCATGGATTGATTTTCCAAGCAGCTTTATGAATTGTTACAATTTTGATCTGGGTTACATACATTCAGTTAAATGGATGTTTGTATTAATATAAACATTAATTTTATATTATTTATGTAATTAAATATTTGTGTTTAATTATATAAATTTTTATATTCTGTGCTGTTTTACTTTTTTGTATTTTTTAAAATAACGTGTATCTTCTTTTTAGCTTGCATAAATATGTTTATTCACTTAAAAAGTAAGGTTTTTATATTTAAAACTATATTAAAACAAACGCACAAACATGGATTTTTCTTGAAGGTTATTCTGGAAGGTTTTGCTTCATCTTAATCTCAAAGACTTTGCTTTGTTGTTTACTTTTTATAAATGAATATATTTTAGCCTAATACTTCTGTTCTAGAACTTAAATATTGGCTGTATTATTTTTCTTAATATTAAAATGTTTCCTTTAAAATTTATTTTCCAAGAGGAATGAAATTTTTTTTTTTAAAAAAGGGATTTTAATGTTTAAAAACTGCTTTGGGACTGGGTCTGTAGGTTCAGTACACCTTCTGAGACTGAAACAATAAGAGCACTCGTGGCTTATTGAACCATGATAATCAAAGCAACCGAATAACAGTAAATACTAGAACTGGATTCTGCTTCTTATACCTAATTAAAAATATATATTGTTTTAAATGGGGAATTTATAGTGAATCTCATGAACAAGTAATATAGACTAAACAATCTGACATTAAAATTAGAGAATACAAATATTTGTGATTTATGTCCTTTTCTTAATTTGAAACACGTGTGTGATACATAACATGTACAGCAAAAGATAAAAATAAGATTAAGCCAGAATGCCATTTTGAAAACAAAATACAAAAAAGATATGTTCCATTAATCCACAGATATAAACTATAGTAGTGTTTCTGCATTACCATAATTATTTCTGCAGAGCAGGAGAATAAGCAGAAGAGAATTTACATCTATGTTTGCTTAATATTGTTTCTGTCTTTAGGTTTCACTTCTCTCCCATGGTAATGTAAAAGTAGGACCACCTGTTTTCCATTGGGCATTCAGTTTGGGTAAATTCTTACAACACAGCAATGTATTTCTAATCAGAATTTTCTGGAAATCTGAGGGAAGTTAATTATAACAATAATATTTTTAAAAACTGCAGTGAATAAAATTAATTCCAGGAAGACACCCTTCCTCCCCACCAAAAGAGAAATCTAGGAAGAAACACACTTCCTATGCAGATTTAAAAGCTTTGGGAATCAAGGTTATGAATAAAAAAAATCATTTCACTTCCATAAGGATCCAGAAGGGAAATATTTAAATGTAAAATTTGATCTATAAAATCTAGGCAGCATGTATTTTCCTGCAACTATTTATAAGAGAACGGGGCATTGTAGAATAAAATTTGTAATAAGTGGAAGTATTTCTGTCTTCGAAAGGATTGCTGTAAATTGTGGGATGTGTAGAAAAACTGCTCCTGCTTAAAAAATTGCAAACGTGTTTTTAAGCAATGTTTCTAAGTTTCTATTTTAAGTCAGCAATAGGAAAAGTTATTTTCTTGTATATATGTCAAAAAATATCAAATCAGAAAGGCCATCTACAATTGATTTTTCTACTTGAAAGGAACGAGGAAGGGAAAGTTCGTCTTTGCTCTTGTCCATCAGAGTATTATGCCTGCCAGCTTGTGTGCAAATGATTTATTCTGAAAAGCAGACTTTACACTTAGAGAAATACTGGGATGGAGCATTTGTGCCCTGTGGAGTGTTTGGAAATGGAATAATGCATCCACAAAGACAGCTTTCTGCATCCTTTCTGCCTGCACATATGAAAGGGTAAGCATTAATTTCAATAATGGTTCAAGTAATTGAAAAAGGGCCTGCATTTCAGGATAGCTGGACAGTTCACCCATTAGCTCTCTACTGCAAAGAGAAAAAGAAAGCTGACCTGCCCATTTTAACATTTTAACAGATAATTAAGAATGACAAAATCTAAAGATATCAAATAAAATGTAAAACTTAAAAGTCAGTCAGTAACCATACTCTAATAGTTTGTTTTCTAGTTCCTACTTTTCATTAACTCCAAAATTTTTATGCTTAATACCTTAACTGCCATTTGGTGTAATTATACTTAATTTTTTTTCATGTAAGTCATTTTCCTGCTCTGAAGGTTATTTTTAGAAAAACTTGATCCATCTTTTCTCTCATTCACATATATTTGCAAACAGATAGTTTCTGTGAAAAGCCAGGTGTTTTCAGTGATCTAATTACTATAATTACAGGCTTTGAATTTTAAACCCAATTCTTAACTTTTAAAATAAAACTTTGGAGATAAATTAAAGGCACTAGAAGGTCACAAAACCAGTATTAATTGTAATATACTGTGAAGTTCCTCTTGGTTTACATACTAATGTATAGAAGATTTTTGAAGGCTCTTTTTACTCTTATCAATTGACTCAATGGACTCATGACTGTAGCATGTCTTATTTTCACAGATGAAACATTTCAGATGCACCGTACCAAATAAAATCATACTCCTTAGCATGATTTTTCAGATTATCCACAGTCTAGTCTCAATCTCTTTCCAGCTTCGACTCACTGCTTCATTCCCCCAGTTGCCTAAACTCTATGTTATTTTGAGTGTGCTCGTTCTGCAAGTATTTCAAAGTTTCAGTGCAGGTCCCAGCTATTCAGGGCAGACATTTGAACATAAAAGTGTTTAACTGCTGGACAGTTCCAGTTTTTCATCACACATGCTGTTATTCCTAACATTCCCGTATCAGTTAAGAATGGTTCATATAACAGAACATACAACCCTGCTGTTGGTGTTGATATAAGAAAAAGTCCACAGGGAGGCGGCCAGTTCAGAGGTAGTGTAACTCCTCAGGGATGCTGTTAAGGACCCAAGATCTTTCTGCCTCTCAGCCGTATCATCTTTACTATGTGAACGTTTGTCCTCATGATGGTTGAAGCCTCAGTTGAAGGCTGCCGCACCTTCAACTCTCTGCCATGTTCCAGGCAAGCAAAAAAGAGATGTGGAATGGGGCGTGAGTAACGGGCTGTACCCGATTGTTCTGTCCTTCCCCCCACCCTCCCGTCACTTCTTTCTTTTTTTCAGGAAATTACAAGCTTTCTCAGAGGCTGACAACAGTAGTCTTTGTTTCACATCTCATTGGGCAACACCCAGTCATGGCTGCCCCTACCTGGAAGATGGCTAAGGGAGAAAGGAATGCGAGTGGGGACTGGGCCAGTGAAAGAACTGTGCCTGCCACACTGCTTTTCACTCGCACGCATCCCTCCACTTGAAATGCCTTTTCTCTTATCCTTTATGTGTGTTCATCTACATCTTGTGTGGAGGCTGTCCACTTTCTCCAGTTCTGTGTGAGCTCCTATGAGCTGCTGTTTTTATTTTCCTATGGGATATCATTTTTAACCTTCATAATAAAAGGCAAAATGACTGTCATTAGCTTTATGTAGCTGTGTCTTAACACTGAGGTCAGAAATTGTGCTATATGAATTAGGAATCTTTCAGTGACAAGCGTCAAAAAATTATGTTAATTAGTTTATCCCATAATTTGTTGGTTCACTTAACATGGAAGTCCAGGGAATCGCTGGCTTCAGGCATGTCTGGAAGCAGAAGCTGAAATGATATGCTCAGTGTTAACTCCTGTGCCTCTTGTCATTCTTAATCTCATCCATCCTCCCTCCCTCTCTTATTGCTCCTCTCTACTCCTCTTTGTCCTTCTTTTTCTTCCTCTCTTTCTCCTACTCTTTATTCTATATCCCTCTATTTTGCTCATTCTGAAACTGGTTCTCAACACTTCGTACAATGTATAAATGATAGGCATTCACAGCTCTTAGCTTACCTGACTTCTCATTATGCCAGAGTCAAGGAATTCCTTTCTACAAAATGCATATATCAAATGTTTCTGGAAGGAATATGATTAGCCTTGGTTGGCCACATTTCTGTTTTTTGACCAATCCTACCATGGAGGAGAATAGAATAGTAAGATTGGCTATGAATAGGTCCATTCTAGTTGCCCAGAAGTAGATGAGGCAGTGTATTTGATAATCTCACCCAAACCATATGTGTTGTTGGGAGAAAATTCTGGGAATGCAAAATAATAAGTACTTATCCCAGATCTCCTTTTACCTGTCATCATTCATTGCATGTGCCTATCTCTATCTAAGTAATAGGAGCTCAGTAGGGAGATGAGGAAGTGAATGGATAAATGGGAGAGGGGAAGAACTGAGTTGACCTATAAGCAAAAGAAGAAAACGGCAGTTTTAGTGTTTTATGAGCTGTATTTAGATCATGCAATAATATTTTAGGGTTTTTTTAGTTTAGTTTATTTTTTTTAATTTTTGAAACAGGGTCTCACTCTATCACCCAGGCTTCAGTGCAGTGCTATGATCGCAGCTCACTGCAGCCTCAACCTCCTGGGCTCAAGTGATCCTCCAACCTCAGCCTCCCAAATAGCTGGGACTACAGGCAACCATCACCACCCCTGGCTAATTTTCTGATATTTTTACAGAGACAGTGTCTTCCTCTGTTGTCCAGGCTGCTCTCTAACTCCTGGGTTTAAGTGATCCTCCTTCTTCAGCTTCCCAAAGGGTTGAGATTACAGGCATGAACCACTGTACCCAGATGTTTTATGTTTTAAATTTATATAAATCCACAGTGGCTGCATCATTCAAATTACAAAAATAAGGAAATGTGGTACAAAATCATATTCAAAAAATGCATCTGCCATTGCTCCTTCAGAAAATAGTTATTGCTTGCTTACTCTGTGATAAGGCATTAATTACATGGTGCTTCATTTTTTTAGTGACAATAATTGAGATGCTTCTCTCTGTTCTTAGAGAACATCTTAAGCTGATAGAAAAACTAACAAATGGGATACATAGTTTGTAAGTAAAGTATATTTGGGAAACCTTTTGTCTTTTTAAAGCATATAAAACTAATAGTGTGTTTTCAACTTCAGTGTATGGATGTAAGAAGCTTAAGAAAATGAATTCATATATTTAGCCTCATTTATTTTAAACCATTTATGGAGACATTTGATATATTTTTAAGTCTCCCAGAAAATATCCTAAGCATAAGCAAATAACTTCAAATACAATGTTTATATTTGGACATACTAGTTCTCTGCTGTCATCTTGACTGATTCAGAAAAGTTCTGAAGTGAAAGATTTTAGCATTTATTTCTCCTGGCTTTCTTCCATCTGCCAGGAATAACTCAGTTCACTGAAGGCTTCTGACAGGTCCCTGACCTTGGCCCCTATCTTTGCCATCAGTGTTTGGGGTGAGGAGAGAATGGGCTTTGAGGATGGTTGCCTCTTTTTCACTGCTGCACCTCCTCATTATCTCTCCAGGAAGCAGGTTGATTCTGGCCGGCAAAGCTCCCTGAGGTGGGATCCATTCAGTCCATTCTTACAGGGGTAATAGGGCTTGGGGCTCATTTCAGTCAGCCTTCGTTGGAAGAGAGAGGTCCCTTTCCTTTCCTTTTGAAGATTGATTAGTTTCCAAAGAAAGACAGATAACACCACTCTCATTCTCACTTTCTCTCTTTTTTCTGTTCTTGAAAACTCAATAGTTGTGTACAATAAGAAGTCTTGCTAGACAAATTGTGCCTATGCTTTATGTTCTGTAAACATGATTCTTGAAGCTGAGAAACTTTTAATGGAACCCTTTAGCTAAGCTGAAATTACTTACATAATCCAACTCTGTATTAGTTTTCCTGGTTTTTGAAATAGTGTCACAAAATAGCAAAAAAAAAAAAAAAGAAAAAAAAGAAAGAAAAAAGAGAAAGAATGGGAAGTAGAGAATTTCTAACACAGTCATCTAACAGACTGACTCAGATGTAACAAGAAAGTATAATAATAATAAAATTTAAAAAAAAAGATTAACAGAAAACAAAACAAAACAAAAAAAAGAGAAAGTTCTCAGTAGCCCTCTGGAAAGAGAAATTTCTAAGCACAACTTTTTTTTGTTAAAGATAATTGAAAATAATTATATGTGTGTTTGGTAAACCACAACGATCTTTCTATATTGTTAACACCTAAAGTAGGTGAAGAGGTTAATGAGGAGGTTTCCCAGCAACAAATTTAATTGTAGTCATGTAAAAATTACATAAACTCAACATAAAATTTGAACACCTGTGCAGGAATCTGAAAAAATTTCATTCTAAGTAATTCTTATAATTTGGACTCTCAGTCTAGTGGTGAGAATTTGAAAAAGTAAAGAATGCTCATGATAAAGTTTGACAGGTGCTCTGAAAGCAGTAAATATGAGGAATTAAGGCAACCTCTACTTTTGACATCGTTTGCTCTGAGGAAGTATTGTATATCCTGACTTTAATTTTTTCAGGACCCTGTGCACTTACAGGATGACAGAAATGATATTTCTTCTCTCCTGAAACCCTGGGGTTGATATTTACATATCACACTCAGACATACAAAAAATACTATTCTGCTTTATTTATCAATAACAAGACCCTGTCCTCAATGATGGAGACAGAAAACAACTTTGCTAAGTTAAGCTATTTCAGCCACTACTTCTGGTTTTTATTGCTTTATTTCAGAGGAATTCAATTGCAGTTGACTAAATCCTCAGTCAATTTAAAGTTCATATTTCATGTGAGGAATGTTTTTCTCTAAGTGAGTCCACATTCCTTTCTCTTTCTTTCCCAAGATGGTCCAGGGAACAGGGCTGAATTCCCATGTTCTCATGATGAGAGAGGAAGTTCCTTCTGGTTTGTGTGCTGTCTCTGTCCTCATTGATGTCCTCTGGGATATAGTTGCCTGGTATCTTGTGTTCTTGCCCACCGAGGTCTGGCCATTACAGGGTTGTAATGCTCATACATGCTGTTGAGGCAGAGGTTCCTTTTCCTCTGGTTTTTGAGATTTCCATAGCAGGGGTCGGTAAACTACAGCATACAAGGAAAACCCAGCTGCTGTGGGCTAAATCCAGCCATTTAGCTTGTTGGCTAAGGCTGTCAGTTTTCGTTCTACAACAGCAGTTGTGAGTACTTGCAACAAAGACTGTATGTCCTGCAAAGTCTAAAATATTTACTCTCAGGCCCCTTACGGAAAACGTTTGCCAGCCCCTGATCTCTCTGAGTCCTTGGATTGTCCACTCTTTGTTTGTCCTTCCTCTTGGCATGTTTCATCTTTTCCAGAGCACACAGGAACCACTGGGTCTCCTGCACAGAAACTCAGGGCAGACAGAGTCACTGTCTAGGGACCTCCCCATCCCTCTCCTATGTCACTGCTTTGGCATCATGCTGTATATAAAAAGGTAGCAGGGGACCAGCCCTATCTCAGCCTGTCTATTGCTCACCATATCTGGAGGTATTTGAAGTTTCTGTGTTTTAGGTTTCCACCCTCTTGCCTGAAGGTCTTTGATATCTTCTTAGAGACTCATGTATCATTTTCAAGCTACCTTTCTCCCTTGCAAATCCCCTTTCTTCTTTCCTCGAAAGACTTAGTATCTGGAAAGAACTTTCCTTACGTGAATGATTCTTGAAGTGTTTTCTGTACCAGCAATTCTGCATCATATGAGAATTTGTTAAAAGTGAAAATATTTGGTCTCTACCCCAGACCAACTGAATAAGATTGTCAGAGGGAGAGGCCCAGCAAGCTGCATTTTAGCAAGCTCTTCAGGTGATTTGTGATCTGATAAAGTTTGAGAACCCCCTACCTTACATCATATCTGCCACTAAAACCAGATGATCTGAGTAGCCAGGTTTCCTGCTTGATGTGTGAAAGGGAGCTTTCAAAATATAGAAAACTCCTTTCCCTTTCCACAAAGATTGGCTGGAGTAGACTCAAAAATTCTGTTTTGAAAATTGAATATTTCAATCGATTATCTTTTTCCTTGTCTTTCTGGTCTACTAATTCAACTCCTCCCTGAGGCGGCCAATGCCTCTGGTTAAACAGAGAGTGTATAGGAAGTGCTCTTAAGGAGAAACATCTGGTGCTTTTGAATAAATGCTCTTCTATGCACTCATGATGCACACATTTATCTAAATAGCACAGTACATGCCTGAAACCAGCAACACTATTTGCTGAGTCAGAAATTTAAGCCTTAGCCTGTGAGACAGAGACTCCAATACTGGATTCCCTTTAGATCTCCATGGACATTTCAAACTTGGCAGGTGTGAAAGGAAATTTACTGATTCCTTATCTTTCTCCTCAAATCATTCTCCATTTCCCAAATTCTTGACCTTGGTAAATGGCTATGAGGAAGTGACTATAAAGTACTGATTTGGAAGTGGACTGATCTGGATTCAAACACCAATTTCAGCATCCATTAACTTTGTGATCTGCAACAGCCAACGTTTCTAGCTATACATTTTCCTGTAAAACAGAGGAAGTCCCAAATCCCATGGGTAGTTTTTAAGCTTTGGAGAAAATGTATGCCGGATATATGATATTTATTATCCTATGCTTGCCCATTCTCAACTCCACTTAGTGACCAAATCACTAGGCATCGTTGTGCATTCTCTTTTAGAAATGTCTTGAATTGATCATCGTATCCCCTTCCTTTCAACAGATTGCCACTGTTAATAAAGGTCATCTTCATTAGGGGATGGCATAGTTTCTTATTTCTTCCTATCTCTAGTTGGGTCACTTCTTGGGAGAGCCACTTATGGTTTTGTGGGTTTGGGAGTGCACAAGAACACCACATCTAAGGGGCACCATTCAGATGTTACCCAGACCTTATAAAGGTCCCTCTGCACACTTACACTAATGCACCAACACACATTCTCACAGTCACACATGCACATGTTCTCACACAGTCACTCATACACTAACACACACTGGCCTTGATGCTCACACAGACTTAACACAAATGCACATCCTCATAGAGACTCAGATACCACTCCACCACACACACACCCACTCACATTCACACACACTTTTGAGTGTTGTGTATTATTACAACAAAACAGTAAATCATGTTTCTCCAATAGAAGCAGTATATTAAAACATGTTCCTGTAACCATATTGAAGAAGGACTATCTTTCTTTAAATCTTTAAAGCACATGGAGGTGTCCTGGGGCCGCTCTGCTCTCCACTCCCATCTTTTCTTCAACAGTTGCTAGGATGATTCTATCTGAAGCCCCCACTTTTTCAGGCTTCCTGTGCCTAAGTTCCCATTGCAGCTCATGCAGACTGCATTTTGGCCCTCTCACACAGTGCATGGTTATGCCACCCGAGAGGGAAAAATGCACTGTGATCATCACTGATAACCACCATTATACCTGGTCAAAAGGAGATGTGTAAGAATGTAAGAAGTTATTTTGCCTACTGCATGAATAATTAATGCTAGTGGCCTGTTTTCCATATGTATGGAAATATAGAGAGATTCAGCCAAAAATACTGTACTCTTGTACTTTTTTTTTTAATTTGGTGATTATCCATTTACCTATTTTAATTACAAGGAAGAGCTCCAAAGAAATAGGAATGTTTTAGGAAGAACTTGATGGAAAGTGCCTAACTGCTTTTTAGGACTATTCTGTGCAATATGTTTTTAACAAAAAGAGAGATTCCATTTATCCAGCACTATTTTCATCATTCTGTTGCTTCAAGTGGATGAGAGGGTTCTCTTGTCTTTCTTATTCTTCACCCACTTTTAGAGTTTAACATCTTACATTTACTGAGTACTCTTTATAGGTACGACACATTATGCCAGTTGTTTTTGAAGCCTTGATTTCATTTAATTCTTCAGACCAGTCTTAGAGGTGGGTTGATTCTATTTCCATTTCACAGGTGAGGAAGCAATTATTTTGAGAGGAATTTACCTGACATTAAGTGGTGCAGAAAGGGCAGAACATGGCTTCAAAACTAGTTTTGTCTGCTTTGTGAGCCTGTGATCTCTAGAGGCGTGATTATTGGACTTTTTTTTTTTACCTCCTTAAATTTTACAAAAAACTAAAGTGAGGAAAAGAAACCCAAAGAGAAAAGGTAAAATACTGTTGAATAAAACCTGTTTTCTGACTTTTTATTAAAAAGAAATGATTTTATATTATCTATTGTTAATTTTCTAATTTCCAAAATTAACTTTGTCCTGTTTGTAAATTGTCTTTATAATTTATATCTTTAACTGTGTTCTATAGCATGGATCCTGCTAAATTCTGACTTTCATGCTGGGAAGGACCCTATTTTCCATTTTTATGATCTTTGTTGGTTTCTTTGCTCTGTTCTTACAATTTTGCATATGAATTCTAGAAATAACCAGATAAGAGAAAGCAAAGCATAGACTAGGAGACTTTTAAGCCCACTCACAGCTTCAAGCATCATGATAACAAAATTGAAAGCAAGTGTATTGATTTGGGTGGTATTATATTTGTCTCTAGGGCTTGAAAAGACCTTTAATTTCTCTCTTTTTACACACCATTTTTTGTTGTAAGTATGTTTACAAATGAATAAATGTCATATTTAATAAACCTAATGGAGAGAAGTTGCCTTTAAAGAAACCAACAGATATGAGCATCATGTTGTGAGCATGTTTACATTTACGAACATATTATTTTCTCATTACCTACTCAGTTATTTAGAAATCATAGGAGTTAGATGCTAAATGTCATTATATTTATATGTGAAGCAGCATTTCTAATCTCCAGTCACTTCTTTCAACTTACACATCTGACTTTGACCTCTCACTTCCCATGGCATTTCAGAGTTGTTACAGAATTTATAATCAAAATTAGTTTGGCAGCTTAGAACTTATTGGAAGAAAAACATCACCTTATTCTGCCGCTATTATCATACTCAAGAAAACTGCTTTTTCACTTTGTTTAAACTGTATTTTTGACTTATAGTAGATCAATTTCTCCGCATTTCAATTTACAATTATATGTAACATGAATCTCAATTTTTGAAATACCTAACTCAATAATGTATGAAATCATTTATAAAATAATTTCTCCTATTTGCTTTGAAGGAAATTTTAAAGAGATAAAAGTGCTTCCACTTTCACACACAAGTTTAACTCATAAGTTTAATGGTGACCAATATTATATTCTTGGTGTAAATCCTACTAAAATTTTATCTATCCTGTAATATTAAATATATATAAATTACACACAGTATGTGTGTGTTATTAATATGCACATGTATATGTGTTGGTGTTTAATAAAGTTGGTTTCTACAAAATTTCTTAGAGCTACCCTTAGCATTAATTTACTCACTTGATAAATATGTATTGAGTCCTTTTGAGGTGCCAAACTCACTTCTAGGGACCACAAATATATAAATGACTAAGTGAAACCCAATTGCATATCCTGCAGGAGCTTAGAATCTACTGGTAGAAACATACAATTCAAGAGCAATGATAATACTCTGTGGTGTTTCTCTGGTGTAGCACATGGAAGAGGCACAGTCCATCCCAGGGAAGGCTAAACAAGAAGCAGGAGTTAGCTTGGAATCACAGGGGGAAAGAAGATTTTCAGTGAGAGGAACAATGAGCAGCTTATAGAAGAAAGATGTAGTAGCAGAACCTGGTGATATTTTGTCTCTTAGAAATTGCTGTCATCTGTGAGAGACAGTGTGTGTAGTGGCTAAACCAATACAATTTAAACTGCCTAAGTGTGAATCTTGGCTCAGCCACTTTTGGATTGTGAGTCATTAGCATCACTTCCCTGTGCCTCATTTTCCCCATTTGTGTGAAAGTGGGTTTTAGAATAATGCCTACTTGATGAAGGTACAGGGAAAATTATATGCGATGATACATGCAGGGTGTCTGGAGGAATGAACACCAGATATGAAGAGAGTCCTTGTATGTGTTTGCTAGGATTGCTATATCAAAGTACTATGAAGTGCATGGCTTAATAATAGAAATTTATTGAGTTACTTTTTCCTAGCCTGCTTATTATTTGTGTGAAGAGAAGGACTTCTTAATGAATACATGAAGCAAAATTGTTCTTTAATCTTTTGCTTTCAGTTTTACCCTTACTGCTTTTTGTGTTTGGACTTTTTATCTAGATTGTCATTTCTGTTCTTTGGCATTTAAATGGCCTGCTTTAAGCAGTCCAGACCTTTCTTTGTTGTCTGAGACTCAATAGTTTCCTGCTGACCATCTATCTGATAAGTTGAGTCTTTTGCTAATTGTGATCTCATAGCCTACTCCTTCAACTTTCTTCTTATCCCTTCTCCCAATTTTTCCAATCTGTATTCTTTTTCCTCTTCTCTCCTTCTCTTCCCTTTCTCCTTCTTTCCTTCCTTTCCCTTCCCTTTGTCCCTATTTACTGCTTTGTCACTTATTTTCCTGTTTCTTCTGCAGCAGTAAACAGGAAATGCAGCTTCAGTTTGCTGCTACATGTTGTTATAATAATACTCTGAAGAAATTAATGCATGGTTTCTTCGCTGTGACAATATAAACTTATTAAAGGCTTACGTTCACTCGATACATTGATCATTTTTCTGATAACTCTAAAAACCACAAATGTCAATAAGTCACAGAGTTGAAACCTGTCAACATCACTACAGTTGTTAGATTTGTTGTTTAGCCTTTTTTATTATTGCTTTTTTTTTCTTCCTTATAGCTCATTGAAATTCTAGTTGGAAAGAATGGAGCAGTGAACTATGAAGAAACATTAATTAATTTTACATGACGTGTGTATGTGTATAAGTGGATTTTAAATAATTAGTCACAATTAGTATGGTTTTTAAAAATTTTAGCTTAGTGATCTAGACCATTATCATCTTGGTTATTATGTTTTTAATGTTCAGATTGTAAGTGGATTAATAGTAGAGTGCACATTCATCCACTGAATAATTGTTGAAGGAAGAATGGTATCATCAGTCTTTTTGAGGAGTTTTGTTCGTCCAGTTCTGCCATCTCACTGTAAATAATTGTAGAAATGGTACAATGGATGGCTGATGAATCGGTAAAACATGGAGATTTCCTATAGCAAGGAATATGTACACCTGTCACTTAAAATCTATTATTTTCTTTTTTCTGGTTTATAAATAGAGGCCTGAAAATAGTTTATACTTAAAAATATCCTAATATGATAATTTTGTTGATTATGAATAAAGAGTATTTTATCTAAGTCGTATCACTTGAAGAGCAAGGGTTAGTAGAACTAGGCTCTGGATTTAGTTTTGCATTAACTAACAGTTTGATTTATGGCAAACCATTTAATCAGTCTTGACCTTCATTTTCTCATCATAAGTTGAAAGTGTTAACTTCTGTGTTCCTTTAGGGCCCTTTAAATTTCATCAGTTGATATTTTAATATTTTTAACAACCTGGTCATTACAATAACATCTGCGTATGAACCCATCAAAGGATCTAATTTTAGAGTTTAATTTTATACTTTGTAGATGTCTGAAGGAAAAAAAAAGGGACAGTGTCATACATAAAAATGCACTATGTGCTTTCATTTTAAAAATATTTTATATCACTGTTCTTCAAATATTGAAGCATCAGGATCCCTTTATATTCTTAGAACTTGTACAGAACCACCACGAGCTTGTCATTATGTGCATTATAGATACCAAATTTAGCATTTTATAAATTTAAGCAGTACATTTAGAGATTTAGGAATTTATTCAAAAACAATAGACCCATTATATGTTAACATAAATAACATATCTATAAAAGAAATAAAAAATTTTTCAAAACAAAAAACAATGAGAAGAATATCATTGTTTAACTTTTTTTTTTTTTTTTTTTTTTTTTTACAAATCTCTTTAGTGTCTGGCTTCTTACAAGACACCTGGATTCTTCTCTCTGCTTTTACTGTATTCATACTGTTGTAATATCACACAACATGGACCTCTGGGAACTCCACTGTACAGTCATGAGAGATTGAGAATGAAAAAGGCAAATGACATTTCAGTATTGTTACAAAAATAGTTCTAACCTATAGGGACCCGTTGAAAAGTGTCTCAGTGACCCATAGATGACCCTGGAAATCACTTTGAGAACTACCATTCTATATTTTTTAATATGAGATAATTCCATTGTAGAAAGCATACTTCAAAATTCGAAGTTTTGATGTATCTTTCAGTTACCCAAAAATTCAACTTGACTTTTAATGGTGCAATGATGCCGAAATCCCCCTGTCCGTGCATCAGTTTATTTTTCTACTGCCTATTTGCATGATGGTTAAAAATATGGGTGAAATGATTTTCTTCCCTTTTAGCCCCTGCAAGAGACCTTATCTTTACATATGCATCTTCTTTACTCGACTATAAACTCTGTAAGAAGAGGGAGTATTCCTGGGCAGCCATAAAAAAGGATGAGTTCGTGTCCTTTGCAGGGACATGGATGAAGCTGGAAACCATCATTCTCAGCAAACTGTCACAAGGACAGAAAACCAAACACTGCATGTTCTCACTCATAGGTGGGAATTGAACAATGAGAACAGTTGGACACAGGGCGGGGAACATCACACACCAGGGCCTGTCGTGGAGCGGGGGTTGGGAGAGGGAGAGCTTTAGGAGAAATACCTAATGTAAACGACTCGTTAATGGGTGCAGCAAACCAACATGGCACATATATACCTATGTAACAGACCTGCACGTTGTGCACATGTACCCTAGAACTTAAAGTATAATTTAAAAAAAGTAAAAAAAATAAAAAGAGAGAGAGAAAGTATTCAATACTGTATCCTATCTAATTTCTCAAGAAATATGTGTTAAATGACTGAATAAAATAGAAAAGATAGGAAGAAGCAAATGGAACATATTAACAATATTAACAAATTTGAATAAAATGCTAATTCTTGAGAAAATTGGTAATAAATGTCTAAATCATTCTCAAATAGAAAAATGTTATCAAAATTTAATTTTACAGTTTGTATATGAATGTATTATATTCTCTCAGGTACAATTGAAAGAAACTTACTGAAAGTGAATACATCTATTAAGATTAAAATTAAATGAACAAAAACTCTAACAATGTAGAAGTATATGGACTTGCTTGAAATGATGGAAATGCTTCTAAGTATATAAAATGGGAGGTATTATCAGTATTATAAACTAGTAATCATAAGCCCTACCCTCCCCTGTCATGCAGAGTTATAAGTAGGGATCCATAGAAGACAAATAAAGAGCTGCTCATACTCCATTTCGAATTGGACCGCCTGGATTCTGGTGTTGATTGCATATGGCAGTCCCATCATAAACTTACTCAGCCCCTCTGGGCTTCTATATCCTCCCACAGAGAAACTTTGTAACAATGGAAACCTAAAATGTAACAGCTGTTTACTTACATTGAGGGAGTGAATTTCTCACTACAGAAGGGGTTCAAGTCCAAGTAGGTAGGACAGTTCCCCAACTCTCAGTTTATTTCATTTGAAGGAGGTAGTTGGTTTCTCAGACTGCTCCCCTTAGTCCTGCCCATATCTAATAGGTGTGGTATCTGTAATGCTAAAAATTCATACAACGAGTAGCAAAAGTTGTGCCTAGAATTTATATGCATAGTTTGTACCATTATTTTAAAAATGAAGAATAAGGAAAAACTATATTGAAATCAATAATCACCATAATGGTGGTTTTAGAAAGTTGTTCTTGTGACCTAATAATGTGGTGAAGAGATTTTGATAAGTCCCTACACCCAGCGTGTGTGGATATAATGTCATTATGATATGTATTATTATACTGAGATGCAGAGATTCATTTATAATTTACAAATAAATTAATTATGATTGAAAAAGGCAGAATATTTTGGAAGCTGTGTCCCAGTGACTGTACAATTTTCCCAGAATCTCCTAAATGATAAAAGTGACTTATAAAAATCAGTTTTACAAAAGGTGACACTGTTTAGTAACATACATTTGCAAGTTTCACATAATAGAAAAAAATAATGTATTCTTTATTTGAGGAGTGAAGAAATCTATCTGCATGTAAACAGGATATGACATTCCTTGTTGCTAACTTAACAATGTGATTACAGTTTACATATTTCTTCGGATAGTGGTGCTTTACTAGTAAATGACTATTTATCCTTTTGATACACAAACAAGGGCTTATTTTATATGTAGATGCCATAAGGATTACTCATGGAGTTTCAGAAGATTTTGAGCTTTTTTTAATTAGGAAAATGATCAGACATACAGAAATATTGGAAGAATGTATCATCTATATAGTTATCACATAAACTCAGTAGTTGCTAGTATTGTGCCCCATTTGATTCATCCATACATTTATTTCATGAACCATTTGATCACCTGTATTTTCAGTAACTGGAAGGTTAATCTAAATATGTGATAACGACCACTTTGGAAAACAGTTAGCCAGTTTCTTACTAAGCTAAACATCTCTGGGCATTGGTATTTACTCAAACAAGTTGAAAACTCATACTACATGATCACCTGCATACATATATTTAAGGAGCTTTATGCATAATTGCCAAATCTTGGAAGCAACTAATTTACCCTTCAGTATGTAAATGAATAAATAAACTGAGGTACATCTAAGCAATGGAGTATTATTCAGTGCTAAAGAGAAATGAACTGTGAAACCATGGAAAGACATGGAGGGACCTTAAATGCATATTAGTAAGTGAAAGAAATTAATCTGAAAAGGCTACATACAGTGTGATTCCAACTCTCTGACAGAGTACAGAGGGGTTTTAGGCCAGTGAAACTATTCTGTATGATACTAAATAATGGTAGATGCATGTTACTGTAAATTTATCTAAATACATAGAATGCACAACACTAAAAGTGATTCCTAATGTAAACTGTGGGCTTTGGGTGATAGTGATATGTGTCAACATAAGACTCATCAGTTGTAATAAAGATACTACTCTGCATGGGGATATTGATGGCATAAGAAGCTCTGCACATGTGGGGGCAGGAGGTATATGAGAACTCTGTAATGAACATAAACTGCTCTAAAATTAATAAAGATTATTAAAAATAACGACATTTATTATAACATTTTTGAGAAGAATACTTTACAGATGATATTATGTACTTTATTTTATGTTACATTAGAGGATATATGTCGCCTTATCCAACTATTAATGATAGTAAGTGTGAGTGCTTGATGGATCATCTTAATACAACACATAAATATTGATACTGATTTCAATTTCTTTGGTAGCAATTTAAATATCTAATCCTCCAGTTATAATTTCCATAAGCAATAGAAACTAGCCACTGTGAATGTGTGTTCTTTACTGACACAGACCTGCCTTTGACTATTTTGAGTGGTTGGCATTTTAAAGACTTCCAGCTGCATTAGAATGACAGGAATGGGATTTACTCTCCTGCTTTAACTAGAAAATTAATGAAAATATATGGAACAATAGTTTCAGAGATTGAACAATAATAAGCAGGACAGGAGAGAAATTTATGAGAGATGGGAAACAAGGTGAGCTCCGCGACTCCCCAAGCTTACTATCGGGAAGGAATTTCAAAACAGTGCGGGGAAGGGGAGCCCAAACAGAGGTGTAGTATTTTTAAATAGAAGAGAAAGACTTCGAAGTTCAGGGAGGACGAGGCAGCTGGAATTTGAGGGGTAAAATAGCATAGAGGAAGAAACTACCTAGAGACAGCTCTGGAACACTGCAGAGGGGTTCAGTCAAGTGTTTGGTAGATTACTGATCTATGCTTGACTGTGATGAAACTAGGTAAGACGAGGGAATTGATCAATGTAAAGGAGTATGTAGAGCAACTTCAAGAGTTCATGCAGGAAGAGAATGACTTTGTTCTTACCAGCAATAGGACAAAACCCTTTTATGCAAGACAGCAGGTAGAGTCCTCAGAAAAGTATTACCTCAGTAGTATGGTCAAATTAGTCCCAGATCAAATGCTCTTCTGGACTTCCCTTAACAAATCTTATAAGCATTTCTCAAAATGAATAAACAAATCCAAATTGCTTAGCTATATCCCAGAATATAGTCCTATAATATTTAAAAGGATAAACCAAAAGTCCCCAAACCAACATTGTACAAATTGCAGTATCTTACATGCAATAAAAAATTACTAAACATGCAAGGAAGCAGGAAATAAGACCCATAAACAGAGGAAGTAAAAATCAATAGAAAAAGTTTCAGATAGCACTGAATAGAAGAATAAGAGACAAAGATGATAATTAGGTATTGTAATTATACTCCACATGTAGGACATGGAGGAAAACATGAGCTTGATGAGGAGAAAAATGAAAGATAAGAAAAGATGCAAGTCAGTCTCAACAGATGAAAAATATATAAAAATTAAAAATACACTGTATGTGAGCAGTAATAGATAAACACTTAAGAAGAAAAAGTTAGTGACTTGAAGACATTACACTAGAAAATAAAAAAATGAAGCAGAAAAAAGTACTGAAAAGAAAATGAACAAAGTATCTTCTGTGGGAAGATGTTATGGTGGCATATCATACATGCAGTTGAGGTTCCAGGAAATAAGGGGGACAAGCAGAAAAATAATAAAATACGTGTAAAAATTTTTTCCAAATGTATTGACAATTACAAACCCCCAAACTAATAAACTCAATGAACAAGAAACAGAAGAAACATGAAGAAAACCATAACCAAAGCACATCAAAATAAAATTGCTGGCTGGGTGTGATGGCCCACTCCTGTAATCCCAGCACTTTGGGAGGCCTAGGCGGGTGGATCACCTGAAGTCAGGAGTTCAAGACCAGCCTGGCCAACATGGCGAAACCCCGTCTCTACTAAAAATACAAAAATTAGCTGAGAGTGGTGGTAACGCCTGTAATCGTAGCTACTCGAGAGGCTGATGCAAGAGAATCACTTGAACCCGGGATTCGGAGGTTGCAGTGAGCTGAGGTTGCGCAACTGGGCTCCAGCTTGGGTGACAGGTGAAACTCCATCTCAAAAAATAAAAAAAAACAAATAAAATTGCTGAAAACCAGTGATGAAGAGAATATTTTAAAAGCAGGCAGAGAAATCAATGCACAAATCATACAGAATAATAAATATAAGAATAGCAGATTTCTTGTCAGAAACTACACAAGCCATAAGACAATGGAGTGACTATTAAGTAAATTTCTTGGTCAACACAGTTTTAGCTGTATTTTACAAACTGTAATGTATTTTCGTTTTCATGTTCAGTTTGAACAACTTCTGATTTCCCTTTTTTCATGTCTTCTCTGTTCCATGGATAATTTAGAAATATGTTACTTACTTTTCCTGATACCTTTCTCTTGTTAGAAATCTCAATTTTCCAAAAATAGATAGCATGTAGTATAACCTGTATTGATTAAATAAATTTCATAGTTTAAAATCTTTCTACCAAACAAACTAACAAAACTAACAAATGATGAGCAAACAAACTTCAAGGCTGTATGTCTTCATTGGTGAATTCTGCTAACATTTAAAGAAAGTATAATGTCAAGTCTACACAGATTTTTTTAGAAAATAGAAAAGGAGAGAATACTTCTCAATGTATTTTATGATACAAAAATCAGAAAAATTCATAACAAAAACATAAAACTCCAGACCAATATCCTTCATAAATACATAATACATATGTATTTGTATAAATACATATGTATTTATGCATAAATACAAAACTGTATTTATTTATACATAAATACAAAACTCCTTTTTAAAAATTTAATAAATCAGTATATCAATAAATAAAAAATGTGATACATCATGACCAAATAGGATTTATCCCAAAAATGCAAGGTTGGCTTTAAGATTTGAGAAATCAAGCATTGAAATTCAATATATTAACAGATTTTTTTCAAAAGGAAAAAGGATTTGACTAAATTTAGGACCCATCCATGATCAAAGTTCTGAGCAAACTAGAAATAGAAGGGAACTTCTGCAAACTGACAAAGGGCATTATTGAAAAACATGTAGTTAACATCCTCCAATATGGTGAAATGCTTTTCCTCCAAGTTCAGGAACAAGACAAGGATGTGCACTCCTATCTAGCATTTTTCCAGATGTCCTAGCCTGCCTAGTAAGTTTTTAAATAACTAATACAGCTTGAAAAAGAAGCAGTAGAGCCTTCTAACATGATCGTTTTTGTAGAAAATCTTGAGGAATTACCCAAAATCTACTCAGACCTACAAATCGGTTTACCAAGTTAGCAGTATGCAAGATTAATGTATAAAAAATATATTTTTGTGTGCTAGCAATGTAATTAAAAATTTAAAAATCACCATTGACAATAGGATCAGAGAATACGAAATATATACACATAAATGTAATAGAATATATATTCAGTCTGAACACTGAAAACAGCATTGCTGCGAAAGGTTAGAAAAGTTTCAAATAAATAGAAAAATATAGCATACTATGAGTTGGAAGACTCAATACTGTATCAGTTCTGTACCAAGTGATCTATTGATTCAATGCACTTCCACTCAAAATATCCACAAGTTTTTCTGTGGAAATTGACAAACTAAGTATAAAATTGATATGGAGATGAAATACAAAGTTTGAATAGCCAAAGTAATTTGAAAAAAATAAAATAAAATTGGAGGATGTACAAAACTGATTTTAAGACTTAATGTAAAGCTGCAGTACTCTACACAGTGTGGCTCTGGCATAAGGTAGACATAGATTAGTGGAATAGAAAAGAGAGTCAAGAAATAGCTCATATATAACCACATACATGGTTAGTCAATTTTCAAGAAATTACCAAAGTAATTAAGTAAGGAAATAATAACCATTTGAAATGATGTTGAATAATTGCCATCCACATCTGGAAAATAAACCTTGATTCTAATGTCACACCATATGCAAATATGGGTAGCTAAAACCTTGCAACTTCTAGTAGAAATAATGGAAGAAAATCTTAACTTTGGTTATAGCAAAGATTTCTTAAATAGAACACAGAAAGCAGAAACATTAAACATTCGTCCTCTCCAAAAGACACAGGTTAAACAAAATAAAAGCCACAGACTAGGAGGAAGTATTTTAAAAATACATATCTGATAAAGGATTTGTGTTCAGAATATGTAAAGAACTCTTTCAACTCAATGATAAAAAGATAAATGACTCAATAAACCAGTGGGCAAAATATTTGAACAGGTATTTCACCAAAGGGGATACAAACAAACACCTGAAAATATGCTTAACATATTACTCACTAGGAAAATGAAAGTTACAAATGCAATGATATACCACTAAGCACACACTTGAATGGCTAAGCTTAAAAAGACTTCCAGTCCCCAGGGTTAGCAACCATGTGAAACAACTGGAACTCTCACATATCACTAAGGGGAGTGCAAAAATGGTTCATTTATATTGGAAGACATTTCAGCAGTGTCTTATAAAATGAAACATATACTTCCTATATGACCAGTGTTACTATTCTTTTTTTTTAAGCTGGAGCCTCACTCTGTGTTGCCCAGGCTGGAGTACAGTGGCACAATCTCGGCTCACTGCAATCTCCATCTCCCGGATTCAAGTGATTCTCCTGCCTCAGCCTCCAGTGTAGCTGGGATTACAGGCGCTGGCCACCATGCCTGGCTAATTTTTTTAGTATTTTTGATAGAGATGGGGTTTCACCATGTTGGCCAGGCTGGTCTCAAACTCCTGACCTCAAGTGATCCACTCACCTAGGCCTCCCAAAGTGCTGGGATTACTGGCATGATCCATCACACCCAGCCAGTGTTCCTATTCTTAAGTGTTTTTCCAACAGAAAAGAAATTTTTATTCACACCAAGGCTTATATGCAAATATTCAGAGCAGCTTTTTTTTTTTTTAACAAAAAATAATAGTCAAAAACCAGAAAAGAACTCAATTGTTCATTAGCTTTTTGCTGTGGTAAGCAAATGTGATATGTATGTACAATGGAATACTGCTCAGCAATTAATAAAAAACAACTATCAATACAGATAACTCTCAAAAGCATTATGTTATGTGAAAGCAGCTAGCTGCAAAAGATCCCAGGTTGCATTTTCATGTATATAATATTCCAGGAAAATCAAAATTATTCTGATAAAAAACAAATCCCTGGTTGTCAAGGGTTGGAGAGAGATTAAGAGCAAACAGATGCAATGGAACTTTTTGGGGTGACAGAAGAATTCTGCATCATGACAGTTTTAGTGGTTACATGACTTGTAAACTTAACATTCATTAATTTTACTGCTCATAAATTATACCGCAGGAAAACCGACTAAAAATAAGATATAAGAATCTATCTTCAGACAAATCCTAACAATTATACTGACAGTTGTGTCACTAAGAATATTTCTCACTAATTGGTTCAGAGTTGTGGGCTGCTAAATGGATTAAAGCAAACCAAGAAAAGAGCTTAATATTATTTTAGAAAGGAACCGTTGAAAGATAATCCTGGAATATAGCCACATAAGGAGATTAGCACATACTCGCCAAAAATTTAAATCTTTTGCTATTTAATGAAATCAGGCCAAGCAGCAGCACTTGTCAGTAATTATACCGGTGGTGACAATTCATATGTATATGCTTTATGGTTTTGAAAGTAAGTTAAAATATGTAAGCTGAAAGACTCAAGGGCCTGAGACACATTCTGGCCATAGGAGCAAGTAAACAAAACATTTTCATGGGTGCAAGATAGATGGCATCAAAAATTGGAATGCCGTTCAGAATGCAAAAGAACTTCCAAAATCTTTACAGTCATTCTGCTGGTCTGTCTGCTTTTCCTGCTCCTACTTTCTGACGATCTCTTCTTGGGTATCTTACAGTCTTAACTCACTGAGACTAGATTTGCTGGACTAAGTAAGTCACTGTGATATAGAGGACCTCATTGGGAAGAGTTCTTGGATTAGATCACCTTTGCCAGGGTTAGGGGTTGTTTGGGGCCAACAGTCCTCTCTGGTCTACACTGTTGTAATGAAAATCAAATGGCGAATGAACAAACAAGGAAATATACTAGCATTTTATAATCTACAAACTATTTGTAAATTATTTCATCTAATTCCTCTAACAGATATTATAAACTTTTCTTTAACAGTTGTGTATTTTCAGCTCTTTGCACAGTGAGCTAGTCTTGGTAGATGCTCAGTAAATATTTGTTAAATGAATTCATTAGGAGATTAATGAATGGATTGAGGGAGATGTGAATATATCAGTGATGTCCTCAAAAGTTGTATAGCTTGGCCAAGTTCAGAGAGCTTGGCACATGTTAAAGGAAAGGCAGTGGAGGACAGTAAGCAACTAATTATACAGGTTTTGCAGTCATATCTGCACCTTCACTTGCTGAGCCTCTGTTTATTTCATCGGTGAAATAAAGTCAGTTGCATTTCTCTTCAGGATTTTAAGAAGTTTTAGGTGATAAAGGGTTGCTGTTTGCAAACCCAAGAGCACATACCAGCACTTAGGAACTTCTTAATTAAAATTCAGGATCTCTGATTATAATTCCTGTGATTCTTGTCATTACACTGTGCTTCTGAAATATGAGTGTTCATTTAGTATATCAAAAGAAGAAAATGAACACAATTTTCATCTTGGGAGAAATAAAACCATACAGTTTCTTTATTTCATGTTTCTTCTGCAAATTTTGCTTATTACTGTTTTTCTACTTGTGGTTGCTTATGTAATTCTCTTCTTTGATAACTGAATGATGTATCTTCCCAAATTTAGTAAAATATAACTTATCTAGAAACTACATACATTTAATTTCAACTAGTTATAACGGCCAAAGTCCAGGATGTGAAGAAAATAAGCAAAATACACTTTCACCTCCCCCCACCAAAAATGCCATAATGTGTATGATATATGTATAAGTGTATAAAAGCTCATGCATTTGACTCATAAGAGAATAATTTGGGCTTTACTTAGAGCTTGTTGACTCTTTTTGCATGTAATTGTATTAAGCTGAATGATCTGATTTTCCCACAAAGAGCAGATTAAAACTAGCCAATTAAAAGGAAGCAAGAGAATTGACAGCAGTGAGAATTAACAATAATTTCCCACAGGTATTACTCTTCAGTAACTTTACAATACAATGTTTATGGCTTCATCTAAGATGTAAAATATTAATTATGCTAAAAATGCTTCTTTAATAACGGGTTGTGTTTGTGTGACACAAGTGTGTCACACAAGTGACACATTGTATCTTCTTAAACTATCTTAAACATAAATAACTCAGAAAATATTCCTTTGTTGAGCAGCATTTATGAAGCCCTGCAAATTGAATTAGACTTGTTGAAATATGGATAATGATGATTCTGCAATAATACCAATGTGCAAGCCTCACTTTTTGATTTTTCAGAACATACTGAAATTCTATTATTCAGTCCTCAACCACTGATTTATTGAGAGCTATTTATATGTGTCATACAGTCCAGTCTCTCCTTAGCACAGATATTGGGACAGACTGATTCCAAGGCATACTCTAGAAATGGGAAAATATAAATGTTTAATAGAATAATCTGTAATTTATAACCTACAAGGAACAAATAGCTATGTGATGCATGATGACCTCTCTTGTATGCAGATGGTTTTTGTTCTAACTGGAAGAACGGAATTGTAGCATTTTCTAAATAATGAAACATGCTCCCATGAACCACGGGGTATGTGGTGGGCTTTTATTATAGTTTTAACTTCTCAGCCTCTTATGCACATTTCCTTTGGGGGATTCCTCTCAGTATGATTTGTGGTAGAGACGGGGTGTGGCTTCAGCAGTGGTTATCAGTGCTGTTCTCTTAGTATTTCCAGCTTTCTGTCTTACAGGACGGAATTACCTGACCGCCTTCTGGTAGGGTGAGCCTGTGACTGCTGTGGGTCAGTGAGATGTGAACAGCAGTGATGGGTTTTTTCCAGCTGGATTATCCGAGTGCTGGTGTGAGACCCACTAGAGCAGTACTTAACCTTTATTGTTGTTCTCAGGGCTCCTTTACACTGTTAAACATTTTTGAGGATTCTAAAAGGATGTAGTTTACGTTAGTTATATCTATTGATATTTATTGTATTGGAACTTAAAACTGAAATTATAAAAATATTTATTAAATTATTTAGAAGAGTAAAATAAACCCATTCCACATCAATGTCAGTAACATATTCATATAAAAATAATTATGTTCTCAAAAAAAAACAGTGAAAAGAATAGTATTGTTTACCATTTTTGGAAATCTTAATTTTTAACTCAAAAGAAGACAGCTAGATTTTCGTATCAGCTTCTGCATTCAATCTTGAAATATCTCAGTGTCATGAAGCCTCTGGAAAACTCCACTGTGTGTTAATTAGAAAGCTAATGGAGAAAGTGCCATGGGAAAATACTAGGTACAGCAGCAAAAGAGGCCAAAGAGCTGTGGTAAAACGAGAGGAACTTGGCCAGCCAGTGCCGGTTCCCAGATGGAGGCCCACGGGCAACAAAAAGAGAGGCCTCTGAGAGCAGAGGGTGGCCACCAGCCGACAGCAGCAAGACAATGAAGACCTCCATCCTAGAACCACGTATAACTGAATTCTGCCAACAACCTGGATGGGCCTGGAAGTGGGTTCTCCCCTATGCCTCCAGTAGGGTATGCAGCTTTACTGACACCCTGATTTCAACCCTGGATCTACAGGGTTGTAAGGTAAGAAAGAGGTGTTGTTTTAAGCCACTTCTACCCCAAAGCAAGCAATGTATAATAATTTATCATATTAATAAACTAAAAAACAAAAAAACACGTTTCATCTCTATACATGTAGAAAAAGCATTTGACAAAACACCAAATCCTTCCTTCATAAAAATCTTCATGAAACTAGGAAGTGAAGGGAATTTCCAAAAACTGATAATATGACATCTATGAAAACCCGACATAGAACATCATATTTGCTGGTAAAAAATGCAAAGTTTTCTTAAATATGGTATCAAAAGCACAGTTCTAAAAAACTAAACTGAAACCTTGGGCTTCATTAAAATTTAAATCTTCTAGTCTTTGAATGACACTGTTAAAATTTAAGCCACAGACTACAATAAAATATTTGCATATCTTATATTTGATAAAAGACTTGTATCCAGAATATATAAAGAATCTGCAAAACTCACAAATAAGAGCAAATAAGCCAAGGAAACTCAATGACTTGAGCTAAATTTTAAAATAGGGTTAGGTTATGGACTGAAAAACCAAGCTTAAAGGGAGAAGTGAATTATAAGGAAGAGGAGCAGCATTAAAAATATTACGGAGATACGGCCAGGCATGGTGGCTCATGCCTGTAATCCCAGCACTTTGGGAGGCCGAGGCATGTGGATCACCTGAGGTCAGGAGCTTGAGGCCAGCCTGGCCAACATGGCAAAACCCCATCTCTACTACAAATACAAAAATTAACCAGGCGTGGTGGCGTGTGCCTGTAGTCCCAACTACTTGGGAGGCTGAAGGAGGAGAATCGTTTGAACCCAGGAGGCAGAGGTTGCACTGAGTGGAGATCATGCTCCTGCACTCCAGCCTGGGTGACAGAGCGAGACTCCGTCTCAGGGGAAAAAAAAAAAAAAATATATATATATATAACATATGTAAAATATATATAATATATAATATATATAAAATATGTATTATATATAAAATATAATATATAATATATATAAAACATAATATATATAATATATACATATAATATATATAATATATAATATATACACACATACATGTATATATGTCAAAAAATATATGTCAAAATATATATATGTATATAGGAGATATGAACAAAGTCAAAGTTTAAAAATATATAGTTAGTTCACCATAGTTTATGCTTAAAATATCTGTTCTTAGTCTTGTTATCCATAAAGTTAATGGGTATTTGTGGTGGGTAGACATTACTATTTATTTTTCAAGCGTATGATAATCAAATGAGATCATTTCTTTCAGTTTATAACTGTAAATTGCCATTAGAGATATTATCATCACTAATATGTTATTGTAATTATTATAGGGTATTATTATCATCAATATATTATTGTAATTATTATTATTGAAGAACTAGCATATCATTATAAAAATGCAACAGAAACAGGCAAATAACATCTAAATATTATTATGAAAATAGTTTTGAACTTGCAGATATCCAGGAATTCCCAGACTCCACTTTGAGGACTGCTACGCCAGGAGTTGTTCTTTCTGACATGATAACTAGATAGAGTGGCTATCTCTTCTGGAGTGAACACAACGTGTGGCAGAGTTCCCAGCTAATGTATAATGGGACATTTAAAGAGAGTGAGAAATTAAGTTGTTATGTGTTTTTTTTTTTAACCACCGAGATTTTGAGAGTGTTTTGTGGCTACAGAATAATCTAGTTTTTCCTTTTATAGTTTCCAAAACAAAAATGCAAAGGGCCAGACACTCACTTTTTTGAAGCTTTAGCAACCAGAGGTGAGCATAAGACTTATCTGCAGCCAATTACATACTCCTATCTGGTACTTTGAATGAGGAGCAGATGTGAAGAGGAGGTACAGATGAGAGTTTATTCTAGTAGTTGTGGTAGCTGTAGAAACACCCAGGTACCAGTGGCAGCAAAGTCAGTTATCATTAGCAATGGAGGCTCTATTGCCAGACATGTATTAATGTCTGATATTTGACAAAACAAGTATCTTCTCTTAGTTCTTATCTGCTTGTGACCTTGGTTTTCCAATCATCCGATAAATACTCTCCTTGCTTACATTATCCAGCTTTCTATTCTTTGCATCTAAGAATCTCAGCTAGCTTTGTGCAGTCCGATAAATGAGGTTTTGCTCTATAAGAAGTTAAAATTCAGAACTCTCCAGGGGTCTCCAGACTTCTTTGATCATAGTCCGTATCAAGAAAGAATGTGTACATGTAACTCCAATATATTTCTCTGCTAGAGACTTGGATCACTTTTATAGGTCAGACAAGTCTTGCTGCATCAGAATACCTTATTCTAAAATGTAACCTCACTATTCTAATTAAATGCAAAGTCAGCTGTCTGATGGAAATGTAAAATATTGTATATAAGTAATATACAAAAAAAATTGCCGTGCATTGAATAATTGACACTATTGATTTTGCTTCACCAATAAGCATCTTAAAATATAAATTACAAACATGCGTGAGGCAAGTACTATCACAGAATTTTCAAGACTGATGCTTTGCAGTGGATGATAGGAAAAATAATACAGAGATAACATTAGGATGCAAGCTGTATAGGCTTTGATATTTTCTGACAGAGGGGTTCTGGGGCATGGAGTGAGTTCCTAAAACCACTAGTAGTTTGAGTTGAAACGTCATTTGAAAAAGACATCACAAAGTTCCTATGGCACTGTCGGCCTGCTGCATTGAAGAATGACTAGTTTCCTTTTTTGTTGTATTCTTCATTTAGAAGTAGTGCTGCTTTAATTGGCATTTTAGGATTAAAATTTATTAAAAGGAGTATGATTAAATGTAAAAGAAAATATCAACACATTATTTTTCAAAGTCATTATTTTCAACATTTTAGAAAAAGATCTTATTTTTTTTTTTTAAAAAAAAATATATATATACTAAGACAATTAGACTTCCCCAAATACCATAAAACAGACCTTTGGTTTTTTACTTCATTGTAAATTACTGAAATTCATTACTTAATTGTATGCTATGAAATTCTTTGAAAGTTCATGATTACTTTCAAGTTAAATTTCAAGTTCATTGGAAAAAATACACAAAGTATCTGAATGCATAATCTTACATAATTTTTTCCAGAATTTTAATTTTACGGTGCCCATAAATAATCCACTTAAAGATGGAAAACATACTGTGCTTCAGGGAAGTATGCATACAAGTTGCTTTTATCATAAATATCTATTTGACTCTAAAGGCCAAAGAGCCTTTTTGTAAAAACGGTTAGAATTGTCGGGGTAAATCCTTTTACCTATGTAAATTACAGAACTTGTTGCAGAATAATGTATATGTTTCTCCAGGCTTCTCTGGTGGGTGATAACCTGATAGTTTTTAAAAGTGCATCAGCCACAATGCACATAACCCATCTCAAAAGCATCTTGATATTCCTGATGCATGAAATAACTGTTTTGAATGACTGGCAAAGTGTATGAGATGGAGATACAACAGTCAGGGAAATACACACGAACAGAAACCACCAAGAGGACTGCCAGCAATTTCATTGCACCAAGTGTTTATTCAACTGTGGAAAGATCATATTTGGCATAGAAAGTACATTCTTTACAGAAGCTGACTATATTGTTCAACAGATAATTTGCCTTTATGGCTGATCCATTTAGACTTAAGCTGGAATTTTCATGACACAATTCATTTGCTGAAAGCATATTGTTGAAAATGTGAATACTTTGAAGTGCCAGGTTAAAAACATGTTTTAGCACGATTTCTGATTCAACCATACAATACTGGATGGTGGAATAGTTGAGTAAATGATTGGCGACCTGGTTATCTTTCTGAGTTGTAGGTTCTGATGGTTCCTGACTTGACTTATGTTGTCAGAAGAAGTTTCTGAATGAGATTATTTAAAAAGATAGAGTTAGTAAAGATGGCTTGATATCTATATGGTTCTTTTCTTTGTTTTGAAGACAACGTAGTCTTCTTTTGAAAAAAAGTCCTCAAAATGGATATCATTGATAGTACTAGTGTGCCATCTTCTAGAGGAAGAAACCAAGTACTAGGTAAGAGGAGAATGTGGGATTCTCAACGATACCAGAGATCACTCATCAGTTCAGTGCAGAGTACTATACCTATGCTCTTCAGGAGAAATTGATAGTATGCCAGTTGTTAGCATGAGAGAATTTTATATACGGTAATATGACACTTAACGATGGAGATACATTCTGAGAAATGCATCACTAGGCGATTTTGTCATTGTGTGACATCATAGAGGGTACTTACACAAACCTAGATGGAATAGCCCACTCTACACCTAGGCTATATGGAATAGCCTATTGCTCCTAGGCTTCAAACCCATACAGCATGGCACTATATGGAATACTGTAGGCAATTTTAACACAATGGTAAGTATTTATGTATCTGAACATACCGAAATATAGAAAAGGTACAGTGAAAATATGGTGTAAAAGATTTTTTTAAAAAGGTACACCTGTATAGGGTGCTTACCATGAATGAGGCTTGGAGGACTGGAAATTGCATCGTTCATTGAATGAGTGAGTGATGAGTGAATGTGAAGGCCTAGGACATTACTGTACACTGCTGTAGACTTCATAAATATTATATACTTAGGCTACACTGAATTTATTTACAGTTATTTTTCTGCAATAATAAATTAACTCTAGCATACTGTAACTTTTACTTTACAAACTTTTTAATCATTTATAATTTTTGACTCAAGATAACACAGCTTAAAACACAAGTACATTGTACAGCTGTATAAAATGTTTTTCTTTCTTTATATCTTTATAAGTGCTTTTCTATTTTTAATGTTTTTTCTTACTTTTTAAAATTTTGTTAAAAACTAGAACACAAACACATATATTAGCCTAGCCCTACACAGGATCATCAATATCACTGTCTTCTCCCTCCATATCTTGTCCAGCTGGAATGTCTTCAGAAGCGATAACACACAAAGAGCTGTCATCTAGGATAACAATGCCTTCTTCTAGAGTACCTCCTGAAGAACCTGCTTGAGGCCATGTTACAGTTAACTTTTTTTATTAGTAGGAGTACATGCTAAAATAATGATAAATAGTATAGTATAGTAAATACATACACCGTACTGTAAGTACATAATATTAGGTGCTAGATTTTTATATCACTGGTGGCACAGTAGGTTTGTTTACACCAGCATCACCACAGACACTTAAGTAACGCATTACACTAAGACGTCACAATGACTACCACATCACGGGGTGACGGGAATTTTTCAGGTCCATTATAATCTTATAGGACCATCATTGTATATGCGATCCATTATTGACTGAGACGTCTTTATATGGCTCATAACTGTATGATAATTAAAGATACATATGAGAACTTTCTTGCTGATACCGTTTGGATTTCTTCTGATCTCTTCCATTTTGAGAGCCTATGAAGCAGCAAATAGAAGCCTAATTACATTTCTGTTCTCCTCCCATTCCCCCCAGAATCCTGACCCTTGGGAATGGGATCTGGAGCCAGTGGGAAGCATTCTCCGAATATGATAATGTGGTTATCTTCTGACGAGTGCTGGCATTATCACTTGTTGCTAGTGAGCATTTTTTAATAAATAATTTTTGCTCTTGAATCTTAGAAATCTTTAATATCTTTAAAACCTTGACTAATTGATTTTTATCATATGTTCACCCTCTTGGTTGATTTAGAAAAAACACCAGGCTTGTTCTGAGGTTCACCCGACTCCACTGCATGTATTACGTGCATGTGTACCTTGGAATGGAAAATACATGACTAAGCCCTGTAAGTTATGAGCTTTCCAGACACTATAATTCAGGCTGGCATGCTTTCATTTTGTCCCTTCTTTCATTCTTTTCTTTCTGCAAGAGCTTCCTACATAAGAGGATGAAGCCATTGTCATTTTATAGACTTTGAAAGCTTATGCTCATCACTGAAAATTCATGGCTTGTCAAGCTGAACTGCGTGGGTTGTTTTGCCTTGTGAGCCACGTGCATTAACACTGGCTGTATTGGTGATCACAGAGACTGAGGGCAGCATCTTTATTGGGATAGCCAGCAGTGCTGAATCAATCACGTCCTGTTGTGGTTGGATCTGTATGCAGATTGTCTTTGCACAGCATGACTTAATAAAAGCTGGCCATGGTGGTATTTTATTATAATTATGATGACTTAGTTGCATTAGCATCAGCCTCAATCACACAGTAAAAGAATATTTGGTGGCTGAACTAGGAAGTGTGAGAACCTCCATCATTTGACTACTTCAGATGGTGTATTCATGATCCTTGAATTAAAATCAGGCAGGTAAAAGGGTTTTCAATGAAAAAAAAACATGAAAAAGGAGTTTGAAAATATATAACTACTAAGGAAAGGAAAATAAAGCCTTGAAAATTGGTATCGCATAAGCTTACGTGGTATCATTTTGTCGTTTAAAAAAATGTGTCTCTCAGTCTTTACTTAGAAATATGTATGGAACTTTATTTAAAAGTTTCCCTTAAATGTGAACTTATGTAAAATCCTTGTTTAGAGTCTTTGTTAGGCTACCATTTCAGAATAATAAGATTTTACCCCCATGCATGTGATCCAAAGCATTACACCTCTCCAAGCCACCTACTAATCTTGTCTATTCAAATGGGATTTTTTTTTTCTAAATAGGAGACAACTCTGCACTGTATCCTGCTATTCTTCCAACTGCAGGACCTCATGGAGCGAGAGATCCAAACCTTTCTGAAGTACTTTACCTTCTACCTTTTTCATGCTACTCAGGATTGAATCAATTGGAAGCCAACAAAGCCATTCTGTGTTACTGTGCCTCCTGACTGTCAGCACGCTGCACTGTGCATTTAGATAATTCTGCCAGAAGGCATTTTTATAAAAACAGCTTTCAAAATCTATTCTTGAAAAGACATTTGTATACTCATTATGCCATTCTATCATTTATCCATAGGGAGTTCTGTAAATAAAACACTGAGGTCTAATACTATAGTAGCTGATGGCAGTAATCTTGAACAGAGTAATTTCTTTTTCTTTATTTATCTCGATAGTGCACAGCTGGTTATGAAAAAATAATCACAAGGCTTTGTTGTTGGTGGTGGTGGCTGCCTTTTTTGGACAGTAAGCCGTGATGACTCAGAGTCTCTGGTAGAAATAATTGCTTTTTATTTTTTGCATACACCTGTCCCAAACCTCTTTTACTCTAAGATAAACAAGATGGAAATAGATTTACCTTAAATAGATGACCATCCACATATTGCCATTTTAATTACATAATTATGATTTATCTATATCTTCTAAACGTTAAGCATTTGTGAGTGGGTGTTTTGCTATATGACAGAATTAGAAGGTAAATCCTGGGCCGAGATGTGAAGGACGAGCAGAGCTTTGTTGCCCTCTCCCAGCATAAGGAGGAATACACACAGAGATTTGGAGTATGGAAAGGAATGTGGTTAGGGAAATTTAACTTCTTCAGATGGCTGTTTTGTCAGGTACCTGCAGGGGGCAGAGTTGCTGAAGGTTCAAATGCATAGGCAGGAACCTGATTGAGGGCATGGAACAAAGGATATGGATTTTATTCAATAGGATTAGGGACCATTGAGGTATTTTCTTCAGGAGGTATATGATGTGATATAATTTACCTATTTTGAAGAGTGTTCCAGCAACAGTATGGAGGAGAGCTATTATTTAATTATCTTTCCTGGTCAGTTTAAATAATCATAGCATCATTGGCTGAAGTGCAAATAAATAGTATACCAAAAAAGCATTGGGCAAAATGCAAATAAAATACATTACCTTTATAAATAGCTACATGCTAGCTCTTAACACAGATCATTATTTTTTAAAATTTAAACCACTCAACTGATCTCATATAGACCAATCTTTAGCTGTTAAAAATATGAATGTTACAAGCTAACCCCTAACTTATACCTTTATTAAAACACAAGTATTGAAAATTTTAAAAGAAAACTAACAGTAACAAAGACACACATTTTTTCAAGCAATTTATTATGTGATGCTGACATTTTTGAGAGACCTTAGACAATGATTTTTATTTACTAATGTTAAACATTACAAAGTAAAATTAATATAAGTAAAATAGTATTTTTAAAAGGTAGATCACAAGAATATACTATTAGTAGTAAATATTTAAAAGTACCCCCCCAAACTACATTTCATTACTATATTCTGTCATCCAGGTACATACCTTGGAAATGTTTTGGCACAGAGTATATAATAACAAAAACAAAATTGGATAATGGCATTGTTCTACCTTTATATCTCTGATTTTTTAACACAGCAGAATTTAATAAATGCTATGTGTCTGCATATAAATGTATGTGTGTATGTATTTAACAAACACCATGTAGGCCTTATTATGTGCAAGATACTGTCATCAGCACTTTTTTTCAGTTATTCTCATATATTTAAAAGAATAAATGAAGGCACAAATGAAAATAAAGAAGATATGGTAATCATATAGCTCATTAATGTTCAGATATTTTTCTCCACTACCACAAGACTGATCACTTTGTTGTCTGAATTGCCATGCTGTCTACAGACCCCTCATCTAGTTACAAAACTGGATGAAATGCTTTATGCTTGGTTGTTTTCATATACTTGTCATATAATTCTGTTTCTGGGTGTTGTTATTACCAGAAAGGTTGATAATTTGCAAAATAAGTACAGATAAGTGAAAAGAGTTCTTTTAAAAACCTAATCTTTTTTCTTATACCCCAGGGAGAGGCAGGGCTAGAGAAAGAGCAATTCAGGGTCCTCTGAGTGTTCTCTTCATTGCGATACTCATAGAATTAACTGTGCTTTTTTCTCTTTTCTGGATTTTGTATATTGTATGACTGACAAAACCACCCCTATTTATCTCTTTTTTTTTACCCCTTTGTGTATGCATATGTGGTTTTTTTTGTTCTCATATATATGAGAACATATTTCATATATATTTAAATATTTAAATATATACATCTAAAGATATACATATTAAATATACACACCTAATATATAAATACATAAATTATATTTATATTTGTAAATTTATATAAATTTTACTCATGGTAAATATATGATTATCATTCAATCAAAATATGGAATATTAAATGATTAATTTACGCATATATTTCCATAATATTAGTCATCTAATTATATATTACTCTTTGTTAAAACTTAAAAGGCCTGGAATTAAATCCTGGCTTGATGTATGCATGAAGTGATTAATTAATTCATTTATTAGTTAAACTCATATTTTCTGAAGACTTGTTTCATGCTAGTGGGAGCCCCCAGAGTATCACAAGTTTAGTGGGTAAGACACCCTGTGTATTAAGAATTATTCAAGTGCTCTTGTGCAGGGACCTACCTAACTAACTTTCACAAAATCATTCAAATAATCTAAAGTTCATTGTCTTTGTTTCCCTTTGATAAAGTGAGGATAACAGTATTTGTCCTACTACCTAGGAACAGAGTTCTAATGCTAATTAAATAGGATAACAGATACTACAAAGCACTTCCTAAGCCTGAAAGTGCTGTGTTGTATAAATGATTTAGTAGTTCACTGCTTCTCAAAGCTGATTATCTACTAGTTTGTTCTGCATAAGAAACTGAAGGCTGCTTCCCTGGAGTTTCTTCCAGGGAATGCTGCGTTGTTTTCATGGGGTAAACCACACACATCTTCCTTTTCTTCTACAATTTTGCAAGGCAGTTATAAATTGTCATAATCTTCTCTGTCAAGATGAGCATTTCAGGTGTATATACCTGTTTTATACATAATATAGTTTTAAATATCTTGCAGTTGCCAATAATATCCTCTGATTATTCCTGTTTTAATTTTTTAAATTGAGACTATTTTTAGAGCAGTTTACATTTACAGAAAAATAGAACAGTAAGTGCAGAGAGCTCCCATATACCCACTGTCCTCCCACACACGGCTTCAAGTTTGTTTTTTAATCACATGTGGTTGTCGGAATTGTACACATTATCCCAGATGTGATCTAGAACTAACTTTCTGTGATGCTAAGTAGAGGGAGAAGTCAAAGATGATACCCATGGTGTGCAGTGCCATTGGGATGTCAGTCATTTACTCATTTCAGTCTCCAGGAAAAAGTACAGACGAGTGAGTAGAGAATGATTTCAGTTTTTATATATTATGTTTGAGGCATCTGTGAGATACCCATGAAGTCAGGTACATGAGGTACCTAGTGTGAGATTGTGGCTCTCAGGAAAGAAAGCTCTTAACAGATGAAGTGATGGTGGAGTTATTAGTGCAAAGACAGCTGAGATCCCTGAAAAGTGGGGTTGAGCAAGAGAACAAAGAGGACCCAAGAGAGGGCATAGAAAAAACTGAAGGAACAACAGAAGATGGAGATGTTTCAAGAAAAATCAGAGTTGTATTTGTTTGGTTTGGTTCTCTGCAGAGGCAAAATGAGGAAAAGGGTCTTTGCATTTGATTTGGCCTTACTGGCTTCAGTGGTCTTAGCAGAGCATTAACATCACAGACTGAAGCTGGTTCGAGAGTCCTGAGACATCAAGAAATAGAGACAGTTGCTACAAGTGAGTTCAGAATTTGGAATTTGAAAAAGAGAACAGAGTTATCCGTGTTTGCAAATAGCACTGAAAATCAGGAAGTTAGAAGTTAACTTTATGGCCAGAATTTTGGAGGATGTTTTATCTACTTTCAGCTGGACTCTCTTTTATCATCGCAGGTTTCTTCTTGGCACTTTCCTCGCTAGCTGCCAGACAACATGCTCTGATTTTTACTCAGTCATGTATTGTTTTTGTCTCCCCAATACTAGTAGAAATAAACATCCCATCCATGTTTATATTGATTCTAGGTTTTAATTTTTCTGTTTGAATGTATATTTCATTTGCTTATGTGTGGATTATAGTGTCATTTATCAATTATAATTTCCATTAATTCTGGAATATTTAATTATATTTTGTTAACATTTGTGATATATTTTAACTCTGTATTTAGCTCCGTCAATAATGTCTATCCTTTCGACAATACAAAATTCTAATGATATTATAAATTCATGCAGTTATACTTCAAATTAATTGGACATTTAACCCATGAAAAACCTATATATAAGACAGTCATTGAATTCAAAATACAGAACATTCAATAAAGCGTTAGTTTTAGGATGCTACAAGTGTACGATGATACAAGCGTACTTTGTGGTATTCAAGCAATCTTGTAAAACATGCCAAGCAGCTTAAATGAGCCTACTAAAATAAAAAATATTAAATATGGTAAAAAAATTATTTAAAAAATTATTTATATCAAATGTTGCACTAATGGGGTAAGTAAAACTTTATTCTTTTATGCTATGGCTGGATTATAAAATAATAGTAGCATAATATAATTTTTCACAATTATAATTTATATAAGAAAAATATTTTGTTCAAGTTACAGAAGAATTTTAATTGAGATAATATTACAATAAAAGTGCCTATACCACAGTCTTAAGTCTAGAACCAGTCAGGGTTTCAATCCAGGCTTTGTCATTTAGGAGCTGTGTGTCCCTGGGCGAACCATAAACTCTCTGATCCTCAGTTTCTGCATTTATATAATAGGGCTAATAATGGTAACTACTTCATAGGTATTTGTGAATTTTAATTACGTTAATATATGTAAAGTGATCGGAATAATAATTGAATATGCATTACTTGAATCTAATCTCTCCCCTATTTTTGTTTATTGACTCAGTCTACAAGTGTTCCTTGAGTACCTAATGCATATCAATCATTATAATATGGTCTTAATACTTAAAATGGTTGCAGGTGTACCCTTGAGAAAGCTCACAGTCTGGTAGGTAAGAGTTATATCAAACAATTAATTGCTACAAGGAAAAAGTTACAGTGATATTACACTATGTAAGAGGGTGTCTCTCCTAGAACTTTATCACACAAAAACCACCCTTACTGAAGAGCTATAGTAAACTGAGACCAAAGTATGAAGGTTTTAGCCACCTGAGAGGGATAAGTTCCAGGGAATGTCCCAGGTAGACAGTAGAGTGTCTGAGCATTCAGAAGATGCATCAGAAGATGATGGATGAGGATAATGTTGTTAAAGATAAATGCACTGACTGAAGAGAAATACAGGTGTGATGTGAGGCAGGAGATGGAAAAGAGAATGATCTCATAGAACCCAGAGTTCCTGTTAAGGATAGTAACTTATGTACCCTAAATCATTTTGGTTTTGTTATTGTTCTCCTACTATCATAAAGGTGACATTATTAGATTTGTATCTTTTAATGGAGGGGGACTTTCTACTTTATTGTGTGAATTTGGCTTAATGAGCATATGTATAAATCCTATAAGTCTTATTATGATGGTTATTCTGACTGATATGGTCAGAGTATGATATGGGGAAGATTAATTGAATGGTAAAAGTGGGTGTGGAGAAATGAGGAGGCAATTTAGTAATATAGAAGAGGGATTTTTAGCATCCTGGCATAGAAGGATGGCCATAGAAATGAAGAAAAGAAGATAGATTTTAGAATCCCTAGAAGATGTAATTGGTAAAATGTGGTGATAGGTAGGTAGAAAAAGAGATGAGTATACTATGTTTTCAAGGTTTCTGGTTTACACAAATGAGATAGGAAATATAGGATGAGATATAGCCTTAGCTATAGGGGAGTTCATAAGTTGAGCATGAGACTTTTTTTTTTCAAATTAGTTCTTGATTACTCTAGAACTTAGAGCAAACTATGGACTGTCTACATAAATCTAGGAGTCATAAAATAGAGATGGAAATTGAAAACATAGAACTGGATTGAGTTATGGAGAAGGAAAGAATATGGAATAACAAAGAAAAGCGCTTAAGAGCACCTACTGCCCTAAGGAATGCGGGCATTTAATGATCAGTTAAAGAAGGAGGAACTAATAAAGGAAGCTAAAGAGGAATCCATGGGAATGTGGTGACTTAGATGTCTAAGAAAGAGATCAGAAGTTTGAGAAGAATTGAGAATTTCAGATAAACATGTGGATTGCCATGTGTTAGTATATCCTGCTCAAGGGTGGTATCCATAAATTTTATACAGATATAACTGAACTCTGAGATTTTTCCATAGTACTTAGAAGCTAAGATGATTTGTATCTGTTTAGGGTTGGAGCTACTTAGGGCACATGTAACAAAAGCTTGAAAATATAAACAAGTTTAGGTTAATGGTAGAGATACAGCTGCTTTGATGAACCACTGAATCTAAGTTGATTGGTCTTTCATCATTATTCTCATCCATCATCTTCTGACTAAGGATAGAATTGAAGTCAGAAAGCCTGATAGAAATGAATAAAGTCTAAGTTGTTGGTAAAAGGTGAATGATTTTCCCATCTCATCATGTCTCAATCACCACAAGGACACTGTCTTGAAAGAACGTTGTCTCTCCATTCAGTTCTTGGGAAGAACTATAATTAATCATGTTGATCAGAGCTGGACATTTGTTGAAACAAGTTTTGCTAGCAAGCTAAAATATTGTACCTCCAAAGCAAGAGCCAGTTTGGCTTCTTCCTTTTTAACTATCTGGCTTCCTGCTTTGTGCTTCATTTGCTTCTCCTCTGCCTTTGGTGAATGATATTTTGCATCATGTCTCTCTGTGAGAGACAAAGCTTGTGAAGAGGGCTCTTCAGACACAAAACATGCTGATTCTGACCCCTTCATCCAGCAAATCTGCATGCTTAGCCACGCAGCTGGGTGGGTAGGTTCACTTACCTCTGTGAGCAGTTCCAAGACCTAGATTCAGAGTGGGAAGATCCCTTTCAACCTCAAGTCTAAACTACATTCTACAACTTGACATAATGAAGAGATTATGAATGGTGTTCCTGCCTGTGTATGATCCCAAATAGTGAGACCTTGACTAAGTTACCTAACCTCACGATTCTTCATCTAAAAATGGGAAATGAATAACACTGTCACAGGTTGGTAGTGAACATTGAACAAGTTAATACAGGGAAAGCATTTACGCAGTGCCTACAGCATCACACTTAATAAATCTTAGTTTATAAAAATTATTGTTTTATCAGAGAGCGTTTTATGGCAGTTTAGAGAGTCCTTAGATTTATTTTTAATTTTTTAAAATTTTTATTTAAAGTATTTTGTTTTATTCTTTCTCATTTGATTGGCGATCCTTGAATACGTATTCCTCCTTTGCTCTAGGGGAAAGAGGGATAGTGGGAAGTGTGGACACTCTGAACCTCTAAGAGCAGTGGAAGAACAGGTATCCTAAAGGTAACTGAGCAGATAAAAGGAAAAGACAGGAAGTTGGTCCTGGAAGTATGGGCAGCATGAATACGTACCATGCTAGAGTCATATAGCTGGGAAGACATGGAACCCAAATTTGAACCAAAGACTCAAAAGGCTCCTAAGTCTTACTCTTCCCCCAACACTATTTTTCAGTTGTTTTCAGTGCACCTAAGAAAATTAAGTGGCAGTCATTTATTAAGCCAGAATAAAAAACAAAGTTGATTTATCTGCATGAAACTTGAATTACATCAACTAGCTTAATTTTTTTGTTGGAGTAAAAACAAAGCTATGGAAACAGATGAATTCATCGCTTATTTAAAAAACCAGCTCTTGAAAATTTCATGTTTGTTATATTTATTGTTGTAGTACTTTGTAAGTTGTCTATATTCAGTTATTTAACTGAGTATATTACCTATTCAGCCTAAAGAAATAAAAGGAATATAGTATTATTGTGATAAGGGAGAAAATTTATTTATCTAGGTACAAGGAATAACATGGGATGTTAATTTTAACATGTGCATTACCCAACTAATATAGCTTTTGTTTCCTTTATCACATTTTTCCATACTTCCTACCCTACACAATTTGCCTCGAGTATTTAAATGTGGAAAAATAACGGGGTAATAAGGTAACATATTTTTTCAATTAAAGCGTGGTAAAGGATTTTGAATTTTTTAATAAAGAATTTTACTTTTTTAGTATTAAACAACAAAATATTGAGATACCTAAGAAGGTAATATAAGTTGAAGTACTTTATAAGCTTTAAATAGTGTATAGCTGTAAGATGATACTGCTATTAAAAAAATAAGTAATACTATTTATATAAAATTCTCAAATTTCTCGAGATATATCTAAATTATTTTCATTATAATAGTGCATTTAATAATCATATCAAATTACATTTATATCCAAAGCTTGTTGGTTAAACAAATACATGTTTAAAATAGTTGAGCTTGTGAAAATGAAGTTTGGCTCTATTTAATCTTTTGGGATCCAGATGCAACTTGAAAATGGAAAGAAATCATATTAATTTAAAATATTGCTATGTCATACATTTTTTTAAGTTGATTCAGAAAATCCAAGTGCCATCAAATGAAAAATACATCTAGATTGTAACTATATTAATCTAGATATATAATAAGGCAATGCTGCTTTTATTTTGCCTTACAATGAATCATTGCTCAGTTATCATATATTGAAACATACTATTGGCAAACCATACACCAATTCCCAGCAGTTTTCACTGGAGACAGTGTTACAAGAGGCCATTGAATTTCACTTTTTTGAACCTCCGTTGCTGGGGCATTGGTTGCTGGATTGTTATTCTGTTAGCATGATGAACTAATTGACCTAGCAGGGCTCCCTGTAGAATAACAGCTTCTGCTTAGTTCATCAGGAGTACAATTTGTTGTTTCATTTCCTCTTCTAGTCCCATTGGGGAAATTGAATTGAGAAAAGACTACCTACTGGGAGCGTTCAGTGCTCATGACTGAATAAGTAACTTTATTTATGTATTTATGTATTTATTTATTTGGTACTGTCTTAATTAGCAAAGAAGGAATGACTCTATTAGGCAAGAGTCGACTGTGTTTTTGATACAAATGAATAAGCTCCGTTAGCAAAACATTTGATTCACAGAGACTTGTCATAGTCAGGGCCCCTTGCAGGTGCAGATCTTACATAAAATTTTAATTTGCTATGGTAGAGCAGTTTTCTGTTTTATAATTGTTATTCATTCAATGAAGACATTGAAGACAAGTTAATGGCTGTTAACTGGACTTAAAAAAAAAACAAAAACAAAAGCAAACACCCATAAGTTGGAAGTTTGGAAGATAGATTCATTGGGCCGCATACAAACATGAAATGTCAACTTTGCCTCAATAAAGATGAATTATTTATCTACAGCAGTGTCCAAATGTGGACTTGAACAGTTTGTCATTAAATTTTGAAGCCTTTACAATTTTTCAGTTGCATCATTGTTTCATTAGTGTGTGCATTCTTAGTCAACAACAGAGAACATACTATCTGAATGTAATGAAGAATGAAGTCTGATGATACATTTTACATTTTTTAAGAAGCTATTACTAGTTTCTATTGTGTCTTAGCAAATTCTTAAGTGTATTAAGCAGATGTTCTAGGCTATGATTTAAACGTCCCCTATATTACAATCTCACATATTTTCTAGAACACTGTTCAATTTGTTGCTTAGCCTGAGAGTAGGGGAAGAGTAGCATAGTCATTATAAACTCTTGCTCTGAAATAAGATATCCCTGATTCACATCTCTGCTCTATCCCTCACTTGCTTTGTGACCCTGGACAAGCAGCTTAATTCTCCGAGTTTCATAAGGTTAAGTTTTGGATAATGAGTGTTCCTATAAGGGAAGCTCTTGGAAAAGTGCCTAGCACATAGGAACTGCTCAGTGGGTGTTAGCAGTTATTACATGTATTTCCTAATAATCCAGTGCAAAACCTGGTGCAAGGTGTGTGCTCGAAAAAGTTCACCAACGAATGAATGCATGAATGAATGAACAAGGGGAAATCTTGCCCAGAAAACCTAGAATTATTAGAAATCCTTGTCTGTCCTACATATTTAAACAAAACAGCACATTTCTGTATAGTTATAAAATTATACCCAAATGTAGAAAAGGCTCTAAATAGCTTGGAATCTGTATTTATATAGGAGAAACTTAATATCCACAAAATCATTACAGTATCTTGTAAAGAATTGAGAGTTTACTCACAAGATCGTATGAGTCCAGATGACTAGAAATAGCATTTAAAGGGTCTACCATTAATACAATATTGTGAAATACTGGTATTTTTTTCTGGAGTATGATTTATAACATTTTTATGAACCTCTGTAAAAGATTTTATTTGTATATAATTCTCTGATTTTTGAAGTGAGGGAGAAAGACTCTTCTTGTGCTAAGTTTGTACATGTTCTATGCCAGATATTCTGAATTTAAAAAATACATATAACACATGATTTCTTTGTCCAAAAAGTTTATAATCTATCTACTTGGGTTGGCAGTTGTGATGCATAATAATTAGGATTTAACATATACACTACACTGCCTATTATATATATATATAGCATTAAATAATGTATCACATACTCTAAATCCATACATTAGGAATTTAAGAAAATAAAGAAATTTTCTTCAACCACTGAGTATGTCCTGCTTCCCTTTGGATTGTATTTATGTGAAACTGTTGAAGTAAGATAATTGTCTAATTGGATTTCTTAGAATTCTCAGAAAGTTTTGAAATCTAGGAAAAAAGGTGAAAACACAGAATTTGTATTATGGGAGTTGTTTTATATTATACTAAGAAATAGGAGGACAGAAACATTTTTTTCTTTTCATGATTGTTATTTAAGTAATAAGATGTGTGAGAGTGTAAAGCATAGTGTCTGGCACATAATAATCTTTGTGCTTGCCGTTCTTCACTCCTTTATAAATCCATGATTATCAACAGGAAAACATGGAGGCTATTGTAATCAAATTTAACCCAAATGGAAGGTGGTATTAGTAGACTCAGTGGTCCATGGTGGCCATAATGAAGCTTCCATAAGAGATGTTATTTGGAAACCAACCAGTTATTTCTGTTTTTGGCTAATTCTTCAAAAAAAAATCTCCATTTGGGTTCTTTCTTTTAGAGGAATGTGGTATTTTTAAATTAATTTAATTTAAAAATTTTTCTCAATATTAGGACATAAGATGACTCGAATACATATATTCATATGATAGAAGAGTAATTTTTATCTTTTTAAAATATGACAGCAACAATAATATTCACAAACATTACCTTGGCTGTTCTTGGTCTTCTTACAATTAGTAAGAAGTTGGGCACTGTGACTGGATCTGGACAATAGTATATGATGTGTGTCACTTTTGAGCTAATTCAGCCCTTGTATGATACTACAGTCTCTTTCCCTGCCTTAAGGAAATTATTATCTTCTCAATAATGGTCCCAGGTCAATAGATTTACACAGGTAAACAACTGAATCTTCCTCTTTATCTCAGACCTACAAAAAAATTAATTACATGTAGATTGAATGTTGAAAGATGAAAGACCAAACAATAATATTTCTTGCAGATATCATAGAATAGTTTCCAAATCCTTGGTTAGGCATTATTGTTTTTTATATAAGACATGTGAAACATCAATTATAAATGAAAAGATTGAGAAACTCAACTTTATTAAAGTTTAAAAACTTATCAACGATACTATTTCCTGAATAGGAGTGGGAGAAGGGATTTGTAATATATGTAACCACTGAAGGATTTACATACAGATTCTCTATCTTTAAAACCTCTTACAAATCAATAAGATAAAAGCAAATAACCCAATAAAAACGAAAGAGAGGAACCAAATTATTGAATAGGCACTCAAAATGAGAATATACAAATGGCTCATAAATACATTAAAAAGTGCTCAACATTATTATCCATCAGGAAAATAATTAAAACCATAGTGACATACCATCACTTATCTATTACTATGACTATTAAAACTTTCTTAAAAAATAAACTGACAGCACCAGTGTTAGAAAAGACAATACAACTACAAGGACTCTCAAACATTGCCACTGGGGGCATAAATCAGTACAATTAGTATGGAAAACTGTTTTGTAGTATATACTAAAATTAAACTTATTCATTCCCTATGGTCTAGCAATGCCACTTCTAGGTATACAGTGAACAAAAGCATCAATATTTGTATATCAAACAATGTACTGGATGTTCATTACGGTGGTATTGTTTAAAGCCCAGATGGAAACAATGTAACTGTCCTATCAACAATGAAATACAAAAAAATAAACGAGAATATTCGAACAATGGATTATCATATAACAATAAACAAATATTGCTACATACAGCAACACAAAGTCTTCCAGCATAATGTTGAACAAAAAAATATCCAGGCACAAAATGGCTTCCTTTATATAAATTTTATTTCTTCAAAGTTCAAAAATGGCAGAACTAATCTGTAATAACATCAAAGTTGCTTTTTCCTTTAGGGAGATAAATGACTGAAAAGAGTTATAGGGGAGGGAGTTGCTAGTAATGTTTTGTTTTCTTGCTGCAAAAACACAGATGAGTCCATTTTGTTAAGCTTCATTGAGCTGTATATGTATGATTTGTGCACTTTTAGGTTTGTTTATTACACTGTTCTAAAATTCAACACAGTCTCTAAGCAACTTATTTAAAACAGCTCTTTTAGTAACTATACTAGAAACAGAAACACCGGTCAATATAATCTGGGAAAAATAATTATTTTTCAGTTCATGAAGAACAAAACTAGACTAACAAATGTTCTAGAAACGCCTGCCTTTTGTTATTTATCCTTGACTTACCAAATGATATCTTCCCCCTCCCTGGCCCTGCCATCTCTTCGACTACCCTCCTTCAGCGTTGCTACTTGGCAGGCATTTGTGAGGAACTTGACTTTGGAGTCTCAGTAGCTTAGTCCCAAACAAGCCAGCACAACATCAGCAAACTCAATTGGCAGGAACATAAAAGTATCTTCAGAAGGCCAAGGGATATAATGTGAAATCTCTGTTTGCCTACCTTTTTTGTTTGAGTTAAGCTAAATGGAAGTGATTTCAGCAAAATATGAGATGTCTCAGGCTTTTGATTGAATTCTGGATGTGGAAGTAGCTAGGGAAAACTAAAAATTTTTTTGGAAAGTTCAAGCCCCTAAGTTTCCAATGAAAAATTTGCATAGTGGAGGAAAGCCAAGGACCAAAGATAATATCTACTGCACTGTGAAAGGCCTATTCTGTGATCAAAAGCAAAAATAAAACAAAACACTTTGATTGGCAGTGCTCAAGATAACCAAGTCTTTTCAAGCAGATGCTGTGATAGGGGAACCCATATAGAAAAGCAGAGAAAAAATGCGAGAACCGTGGTGATCAGCAACTATTGTTATCTCCACCTGCATCAAAATAGTGATAAATGTAAGTAAATTATAAAGTTCCATACAAAATACAGTGAGTTGTATGCTTAATATTAACGGGTTTTACTCATTTGTTTAACAGAGGCTTATTAAACAGTTTTTTCATCTCAGCGATTAGCTGGGCTTGTAATATCCAGACCATCAGACATCTAGCTCCAAGGACTCATAACCAGATGATAGGAGAAAGAAGCTGAGATTATAATACTGCGATAAAAACATTTATATAAAAATGTAGTTATTCCACCAGAAGAATGTAAACCACAGCCCCTAAGCCCTTGCCAAACCCCTTCTCAGACCTTGACCTTCCATTAATTTGTCTGTTTGAACCCTAGGATTTTGCACATTTTGATTTTTTGTTCTAGGTGAAAGCTTGAGAGTTCCTTGCCTCTACTATGCCCAGATCTCAGCCCAAAGCCATCCCTGATCCCCTTTCCCCTGCAGGACGAAATTTCAGTTTGCTGACTCTGCTGTGCTCAAAGAACCTTCGTTTTTTGTGATTATGTGCTTATTTTTAGTTTATTTTTTTACCTCCTTCTAGCGCTACTGGATTATAAGTTACTTTGGGATCAAGGCCATTTCTATCTCACTCATTGTGGAAACCCAGCTTCTATCGCTCTAATAGTCCTTGAGTAAATGATGAGTGAGCTGCAGTCTGAGAAGCCTAGGGGACAGAATGACTCAGCTGCTTGGAGGAACCAAGAAAAGCTTGGAACAGAACAGAGTTTGCATCGCTGTGGCTCATGGTGTTGCTCTATAATTACTTAAGTGACAGTTTTCTTATACAGACACTTTGTCCTAGACAATATGTAAATGGAAAGAAAGAATACCATCTACTTCTAAATTAACAGCTCCTGGGGCTGCTTCTCCCACCCCCACCTCCCATATGCACTTGTGCTCATATGCATTTGCATGTAATTTCTGTAGTACCACAGATCTGCTAAAGCCCATCAGAGACTGCAGCTCACGAAAGCTGCCATGTTTTTCCTTTTAATTTCCAACTTTTGTTTTAAGTTTGGGGTACCATGTGCAGGATGTGCAGGTTGGTTACATAAATGCCATGGTGGTTTGCTGCAGAGATCATCCCATCATCTAGATATTAAGCCCAGTATCCATTAGCTAGTCTTCCTGATGCTCTCCTTCCTCTCACTTCTCGCCCTACAACAGGCCCCTGTGTGTGTTGTTCCCCACCATGTGTCCATGTGTTCTCCTCATTCAGCTCCCACTTATAAATGAGAACATGCACTATTTAGTTTTCTGTTCCTGTGTTAGTTTGCTGAGGATAATGGCTTCTGGCTCCATCCATGTCCCTAAAAGGACATGATCTCATTCCCTTTTATGACTGCATAGTATTCCATGGTGTATATGTACCACATTTTCTTTATCCAGTTTATCATTGATGGGCATTTAGGTCGATTCCATGTCTTTGTTAGTGTGAATAGGGCTTCAGTGAATATACATGTGCATGTATCTTTATAATAGAATGATTTATATTCCTTTGACTATATACCCAGTCATGGGATTTCTGGGTCAAATGGTATTTCTGCCTCTAGGTTTTTGAGGAATTACCACACTGTGTTCCACAATGGTTGAACTAATTTACATTCCCATCAACAATGTAAAACCATTCCTTTTTCTCCACAACCTCGCCAGCACCTGTGTTTTTTAACTTTTTAATAATAGCTATTCTTACTGGTGTGAGATGATATCTCATTGTGGTTCTAATTTGCATTTCTCTAATGATCAGTGACGTTGGATTTTTTTTCATATGTTTGCTGGCCGCATGTATGTCTTCTTTTGAGAAGTGTCTATTCATGTCCTTTGACCACTTTTTAATGGGGTTGTTTTACTCTTGTAAGTTTTTTTAAGTTATTTGTAGATGCTGGGTATTAGACCTTTGTCAGATAAATGGATTGCAAAAGATTTCTCCCATTGAGTAGGTTGTCTGTTCACTCTGTTGATAGTTTATTTTGCTGTGCAGAAGCTCTTTAGTTGAATTAGATCCCATTTGTCAAGTTTTGCTTTTGTTGCAATTGCTTTTGGCATCTTCGTCATGAAATCTTTGCCTGTGCCTATGTCCCAAATGGTATTGCCTAGATTTTCTATTAGGGTTTTTATAGTTTTGCGTTTCACATTTAAGTCTTGGTTTTTTTTCTTTTCTTTCTTTTCTTTTTTTTTTTTTTTTTTTTTTTGAGACAGAGTCTTGCTCTGTCACCCAGGCTGGAGTGCAGTGGCGCAATCTTGGTTCACTGCAACCTCCGCCTCCCAGGTTCAAGCGATTCTACTGCCTCAGCCTCCCAAGTAGCTGGGATTACAGGTGCCTGCCACCATGCCCAGCTAATTTTTTTTTTTTGTATTGTTAGTAGAGATGGGGTTTCACCATGTTGGCCAGGCTGGTCTCGAACTCCTGACTAGGTGATCCGCCCACCTCGGCCTCTCAAAGTGCTGGGATTACAGGTGTGAGCCACTGCACCTGGCTCACATTTAAGTCTTTAATCCATCTTGAGTTTATTTTTGTATGTGGTGTAAGGAAGGGGTCCAGTTTCAATTTTCTACATGTGGCTAGCCTGCTCTCCCAGTACCATTTATTAAATAGGGAATTCTTTCCCCACTGCTTGTTTTTCTCAGGTTTGTTAAAGATCAGATGGTTGTAGGTGTGCAGTCTTATTTCTGGGTTCTGTATTCTGTTCCCTTGGTCTTGGAGTCTGTTCTTATACCAGTATCATGCTGTTTTGGTTACTATAGCCTTGTATAATTTGAAGCTGGGTAGTGTGATGCCTCCAGCTTTATTCATTTTGCTTAGGATTGTTGTGACTATAGGGCTCTTTTTTTGGTTCCATATGAATTTTAAAGTATTTTTTTCTAATTCTGTAAAGAATGTCAATGGTAGTTTAATAGGAATAGCATTAAATTTATAAATTGCTTTTGGCAGTATGGCCATTTTCATGATATTGATTCTTCCTATCCATGAGCATGGAATGTTTATTTGTTTGTTTGTTTCATCTCTGATTTCTTTGAGCAGTGGTTTGTAGTTCTCTTTGAAGAAGTCCTTCACTTCCCTTGTTAACTGTAGTCCTAGGTATTTTATTCTTTTTGTGAAAAAGCCTGATGTTTTGAAGCACTGGCTTCCTCATTTTTTGTGTGCCCAGACACAGCTTGTCGAGGCACCACATTCAGCTTCTATGTACCTTTAATTAACTAGCAATATTAGTAGATAACACTTACTATGCATCTAGCATATTGTTTCATTTAACAATGGTAACCAACTTATCATAAGAGAGGTCCACTTATCTTCCCAGTATATAGATGAGGACATTGCACTAGAGAGATTAATAACTTGGCAAACACCCACAGCTTTTAAGGATTGGAGCTGGACTTCAAAGCCAGGGGGTCTGGCTTCTGGGTCCTTGCTCTCATCCAAACCTCTAAACTGACACTCTAGAATCTTGCTGCATTTCAGGCTTTGTGTCTTACTAGGAAATAAGTATGATTATATTCATTTTATAGTCAAAGAAACTTGAACTCAGCAAGGTCCAGTGACTTGTTTTAGGTCACTTACATATTAGTCTGTGATAGAGCTTCAAGATAACCCAGGTGAATCTTACTACAAAATCCATGATCTTTACACTACATTAGAATTCAAAGCATCTGGCACATAGTAGGTGCTCATCTCTGAAAAGGCAAAGCTGGAAAAAGGCAAATGCAGGGTGGATTGAGCCAATATGTTTTAAGATGTTTGGTTTTAGTGTGTCATTTTGACACAAGGAGTTTGAAAACTCTTCGGTGTGCACTCCCTTGCCAGCGCAGGAAAGTGAGGAAGAGAGGACAGCCGCATAAGAGGAGAGTGTGGGAAGGCAAGAAGCTACCCTACTGCAAATGGAGAGTTGTGAGGAACCATCATTAATGTTCTTTCATACAACTGAGAGTTGTGAGAAACCATCATTAATATTCTTTCGTTTTATACTATTTTGGATATGGGCTTTGGAAGACAATATTTTCAGGGTTATTATGACTCAGACCCAGTTTGTGCCATGGCCAAATGCAGGGATGCACACACACTTACATGTCTGCATTTATATTTAACTCTTGAAAGATGGTCAAAAAGATGGTCATTTTCAGCTTGGTTAATTAAAAAAAAAAAGAATGCTCACGTTCTTGATTTTTCAATGTTTTTATCAAGAACAAATTTGCTGACTCTTGATTCTCACCTCTACTATACAGTAGGTTTGATGTATAGCTGAATAAAATGCAATATTTGCTATATGATTGATTTATTCTCTTAACTCATTAAGTGTAGTTTAGTGTAAATTAATCATCTTATAAGAGAAATTGTTTTTCCAACAACAATTTACTGCATATTTTATTTTTATCCTCAACCTATATCAGAACTGCTGATTTAATATAAAAGAAAATCCAAATTAATTGTTTTGTATGCTATGATAAAATCTTTCATATTTATACTGTAAACTAACAGAGTAGATAGGCAAATACTATTTTGTCATGCAAGCATCATTTTATTTCAGATATCTGAGGCCTGATAAGTTACCTTATTACTCATAATTTTTAAATAAAATTTTTAAATAAAAACTTTATTGATATGGAATTCATATAACATAAAAATCATGCTTTTAACTTATACAATTTAGCGATTTTATATTTTCATAGAGTTATGTAATCATCACCACTATCTAATTTTAAGACTATTTTCCATAACCCCAAAAAGAAATCTTCAGCCCATTAGCAATCATTATTAAAAGACAATTATTTTTCTATGGAATTGTCTTGGGACCTTTAGGAAAATCAATCATGAATGTAAGGGCTTATTTCTGTACTATCACTTTCTTCTTCTTTTTCAAGTTTGTTTTGTCAATTCTGGATCTTTTGAATTTACATGTGAACTTTAGGATTAAGATTGTCAATTTCTGCAAAAGCATCAGTTTACATTTTAATAGTGATTATATTGAAACTGTAAATCAGTTTGAGTAGTATTGGTATTGTAATAATGGTAAATATCCTGATTCATGAAAATGAATGTTTTCCATTTATTTACTTTTTTTCTAAGTGCTGCATCCAGTGTTTTGCTTTCTCTGCTATGATTTTGTTTTCATTCACCTTAAAGTATTACATAATTTTCTTTTGTTCTCTTCCCTTAAATCACTGCTTATTTAAGTATGTTGTTGAATTTCACATATTTGTGAATTTCCCAAATTTTCCTTTGTTATTTATTTCTAATTTTATTTCATTGTGTTAAAATAACATATTTCAATATTATTTCAATTCTTTTAAATTGAGACTTGTTCCGGAGATGTTCCAGGTGCATATGGAATTAATGTGTATTTTTATTGCTGTTGCGTAAAGTATTCTATAGATGTCTGTTAGGTTTAGTTGATTTATAGTGTTGTTTGAGTTTCTATTTTGTTACTGATTTTCTGTCCAGGTGTTCCATTCATAGTTGAAAGTTGGCTTTGAAGTCTCCAACTATAATTTATAAATTGTTTATCTCTCATTTCAAGTGTGGCCACTCTTGCTTTTTATTTTGGAGCTCTGTTTTTACGTGTCATGTTAATGATTTTCATGTCTGCCTAATATATTGATCATTTTCTAATTATGAAATATACTTCTTTTTCTATTAACAGATTTTTTCCTATTACTCCAGCTTTCCTATGGGTACTCTTTACACAATAGGTATTTTTCCATCCTTTTATTTTCAATCTATTTGTGTTTTTGAATTTGAAGTTAGTATCTTTATATGGCATCTAGGTATATCATGTTTTTGTTTTGTTTTTCCATTCTGTGAAGCTCTGCCTTTTGATTTCATTATTTAATTCATGTACTTTACTTAGTAAAGTAATATTTGGTCCATTTAATTACTGACAAATTAGGATTTATGTCAGTCATTTTGTAATGAATTTGTCATGTTTTGCTATTTGAATTTGTTTTCCATATGTTTTATGTGTTTTTCTCTCTTATTGCTTCCATAGTCTTTTCTAATGTAAAATATGTATTTTCTAAGGTGCAATTTTAATTCCCTTGTTATGAAATTTGTTTTTATATTTGTTTATTTTGCTTTGTTTGATTTTCTAGCTTCTGCTCTGCAGATTACAATTAACCTCTTCATTTATAATAATTGGGTTTGTTAAATTAATTAAATACCAACTTGATTTCATTTGTATACAAAACCTGTTCCAATACAGCTTGTGTCCCCCTAGCTACTTTATGCTGTCATTGTTATACAGATTACATCCTTACCCATCCTAGGTCTAACAAGGCAACTTGTAACTGTTGCTTTATGCAGTTGTTTTTTAAATTAGATGAAAAAAAGTTGTGAAAATATATTTATACTATCTTTTATATTTACCTATACAGTTACCTCTCTATTTTTTCATGTGATTTGAATTACCCTCTAGTGTCCTTTTATTTCAGCCTGAATGACTCCTTATAGTATTTCTCTTACAGCACATCTACTAGCAACACCTTTTTTAAAAATTTTTTTGTTTTGTTAAATATGGAAATATCCAAGCTTCTCCCTCAATGTTTTGGAGGATAGTATTTTTCTGAATGTAGAATCCTTGCATGACATCTTCCCTCCCACCCTTGAAGAATTTCAAATATGTTATTTCATTGCCTTTTGACCTCCATGGTTTCGGATGAGAAGTAAACTATTAATATTCTTGAAGATCCCTTGTGAATGATGGTCCGCTTTTTTCTTACTGCTTTCAAGAGCCTCTCCTTGCCTTTGTCTTTCAGCAGATTGTCTATGATGGGTCTGTGTGTGGACTTCATTGATTTCATCTTACTTGGAGTTTGTTGAGCTTCTTGGATGTATAGATTTATATTTTTCATCAAATTTTGGAAGTTTTCAGCCAGTATTTATTTAAATATTTTTATTCTATTTTTTCCTCTCCTCTACTTACTGAATTCCCTTTATGCATATTTTTGCTCAGTAATGGTGTTCAGCAGATCTCAAAGATTAATGAATTTTGACTGAATATTTATATAAGTGTGCAGTGGAAGAAGGAAATATTTTGTTTCAGATAATAAAAAGTCTTTATACTGGCTGTGCGCGGTGGCCCGCGCCTGTAATCCCAGCACTTTGGGAGGCCGAGGCGGGCGGATCACGAGGTCAGGAGACAGAGACCATCCTGGCTAACACGGTGAAACCCCGTCTCTACTAAAAATACAAAAAATTAGCTGGGCGTGGTGGCGGGCGCCTGTAGTCCCAGCTACTCAGGAGGCTGAGGCAGGAGAATTGTGTGAAGCCAGGAGGCGGAGCTTGCAGTAAGCCCAGATCGCACCACTGCGCTCCAGCCTGGGTGACAGAGGGAGACTCCGTCTCAAAAAAAAAAAAAAAAAAAAAAAGGCTTTATAAATATTTAGAATGCTGGGAGGTACAGCTTGGAGAAGTGAATATTTAATGTTAAAATGTGTCGTTATTATAATTATAGCAGATATAATTTTGATCACTTAACTAATTTTTTCAATATTACCAAATTTAATTCTTTACATAGGAATAATTACAGAAGCTTTATTAATGGGTTAAGATCCATAAGGCAATTTGTAAATAAACCTATTTGTCTCAAAGTTCCAGGTTGCTTTACTACAGCTTTATTATAGCTATCAATATGTTTTGGCTGAGAGCAGGGTCAGTGCACTCTTTCCAGAGAGCATGAAAGCTTGAACCTTAGTAGTTCATATGTAGAGTGATTCTGTATTCCCATTTTATAGATGAGGAAACTGAAGCTCAAAGAGATTTAACATTTTTAACATAATTTTTGTTATATTATCAAAGATACATAAAATTATGTTCCAGACTGGTAGATTATAAATAGTTTGTGAGCGGGGTCTTTGATTTATTAAATTCTTATCCTCAGTTCCAAGAACATAATAGATACTCAGTTAGTGATGACACAGTATTAGAATCAACCAATTTTACAATATATCCTGGCCATTGTTGAGGCATTTATTTCCTGTACTCTATAGATTTTATGTGTATAAATCTTTGGAAAATGTATCAACATGATATTTGTATATTGAAAATGTCACTCTTGAATGTATTATTGTCATTCTTTCTGGATTCGTCCACTAGGGCTACCATAGCAAAATACCACAGACTGGGAAGCTTCAAGAACAGCATTTATTTTCTCATAGTTCTGGAGGCTGGAAATCCAAGTTCAAGGCACCAGCAGATTTGGTTTGACATCGGGTTCCTGACTTTGGCTTGCAGATGGCTGTCTTCTTGCTGTGTCCTCACATGGCCTTTTCTCTGTGCAAGCACTCTATACCATTCCTATTGGATTAGGGCCACATACTTATTATCTCATTACTTATTATCTCATTTAATGTAGTTACCTCCTTAAAGGTCCTATCACCAAATACATTTACGCTGGAGGTGAGAACTTCAACATATGAATTTTGGGGAGACACAATTTAATCCATAAAACCCTCTTTTGTGTAATGATTCTGAGATACTGAGAAAAATGCTCCATTTCAGGTATTTTTAAATGAAAAAAAAAATCGTATCAACTCCTGCCCTTTAACTTTCAAAGTTAAAATTCATGTTAGATGATTATTTGTTTTAAAAGTGCTTACTCTGGTGTGCTTTTTAAAAGACTATAAATCCCATTAATAAAGTCGAACAGAAGCTTGAAAACAATTAAGAAATTTAAGAATGAGCTAAATTGTTCTCACAAAAAGAGGAAAACTACAATTCCTGCTGAACAAGTCTTTCATTCAGTTCTTCATTCAATTCACATTAGCCTCAATTGGAAAAATGTCCCTGTTCAGTTAAACAAGTTAAGCCTGATCTTAAGTGTATCTGACTTGCCTTCTATGTTCTTCCAGCCACAGGAAATTCCTCCATGCCAATTTTTTAAAACTGCTATCAAATCTTTTTTTTTTTTTTTTCACTCAAGTGCGACACATTTAAATGTGACCACAGGAACAAATGGAAAGAGATTGAAGCCTTGACTTGAAATGTGAGCTTTCCTCTTTACTAGTCAGTAAGGTATTGAGAAAGTTACTTGACCTCATCCTTCATTACCTTGTCTCTAGAATTAGGAGATCAGCATGTATGGTGATCATGGAAATTAAATAAAATTATATGTCAGGGCCTATTGCATTTATTGTCTGACTCATCCTAATCCCCTTATTCCTTTCTTAGTGTTTCTTTGTTTGTTGATTTATTTTTGTCCATAGTCTCATGATTTGGAGATAGGGCTCCAGCTTTCTCTGCTAATGTATTTCCTACCCCTCTCTTCCTCTGTCAGTGACTGGAGAACTATCTTCTTCTGACATGCCCAGCTAGCTTCTACTTCAGGACTTTATATGCCTGCTTCCCGCAATCATATATATATGTGTGTGTGTATATATATATATATATATATACGTATATATATGTGTGTGTACATATACGTATATATACATATACATATATAGATATGTGTGTGTGTATATATATATATGTATATATATAGAGTCTTGCTCTGTCACCAGGCTGGAGTGCAGTGGTGCGATCTCAGCTCACTGTAGCCTCTGCCTCCTAAGTTCAAGCTATTCCCCTGCTTCAGCCTCCCGAGTAGCTGGGACTATAGGCGCACCACCACGCCCAGCTAATTTTTTTACTTTTAGTAGAGAAGAGCTTTCACTATGTTGGCCAGGATGGTCTCGATCTCTTGAGCTTGTGATCCGCCCGCCTCAGCCTCCCAAAGTGCTGGGATTACAGCCTGCTTCCCACAATCTTAACCAGTCTTGTCTCATCTTCACATAGCCAACTCCTTCTTATCCCTTTGATGTGTACAAAAATCACTTCTTCTTGTGGCCCTTATAATCACTCACATCCTAAATGGCATATGTGTTCCTACTATGCTCCACTGTAGCCCATAACTATCTTTCACCTTGTTAAATTTTCAGCACTTTCCACTGTATGAAATGATCTTAAGGGGTTGTCCTGTCTCTCCTATAGTAGAGTGTACCACTGGAAGAGGCAGAGACATTTTCTGTCTTAATGTTGGTATGTAGTGGGGTCTGACCATCAATATCAGTTGAATTGGCATGGGAATGGATGACTCTGTACATAGGAGGCCAAACAAATAAAAATTTTAAAACCGCTTATCTGACAGGATCACGCTTTTTTCACTTCGGCTGTTGTTAGTTTTAATTCTCTGAAGTTATACATGGTTAGATAAAATGGTCTATGAAAGTCCTGGGTGGTGATGGGACTAGAGACAAGGATTCAAAATGTATTATAGCAAATTTATGTGTAGAAAAAAACACGTGGTTAATTAAGACTTGCTTTCTGTCATTTTATGAAGGTATCTATGTAAGGTCCTAGTTTTCTCCATTATACATAGCTGAAAGAAACACCAGTAATGAAACGTTTTTGTATTATTCTCACTCCAAAAGCCTAGTTATACTGAGGGCGGCCAATAGATCTACTATGGGATACAATGAATATTTAATTTACTTTGATGAAAAGGTGTCATAAGAGCCTTTGACAACCCACAGTGAAAACTTGAGGATGATTTTATTAACTCAAACCCGATAGCATATGTTGTGCAAACTAAGACATCAAAGACTTTTTAAATTAATACCTGGGAATTTCTTGGGAGAAGTAACTGCATATTAGGATTGAGAACAACTCTAAGTTGTCACATATTGAAATTTGTTTTTAATTACTGAAAAGTCATTTTCTCTTATTTCTGGCTCGGGTAAATAGTAGGAAAAATAACACACACATACACATACACAAATGATATCAAATTAAAAGAGAGAAAACAAATGTGAAAGGATTATGGTGTGAACTGTTTGCTTTCCAGCATATTAACTGTACCCATGAACTCTCATCTCCCGCCCCACAGAAAAAAACTAATTATTGGAATTTTTTAGTGAACAGGAAGGATATCAGAGTACGATACTTTCTGTTTCCCTTAAATGCATACCATTTTCTCTATTTTCATAGTTTACCAGTTTCCCAGTAGATGGCACCATTGTGACTCACAATGTTGCTCCACCTTGTAAGGAAGTATTATACACACTTTCAATTTCAAAACATTTGTAAATAGTGCAGTATAGTAACACTTGCGGTGGTGTCTTAGAACACAAATACTTCTACAGTATCTAGAAGACATGTCAACTGTTGAAAGCCAATAAATGTCACAAGAACCCCCGTAATTCCTTTGTATATGTGTGATTTCATATCTTATAATTTTTATACATTTAAATTATTTTAATAAAAATGTGCTTACATACATGTACACACATATGTGTATGTATGCTTATAAATGTCTAAAACTGTATAATTATTTAATGATTTACTTACTACTCTTACTATTTCTTTCTACCTGGATTAATGTGACAAGCCACTCAGAGAAACTGAAAATTCCCATGGGCTTCTCCAGTTGTTCTTGGGAAAAAGGAGACTAGAACAGTGATTTCAGATCTGGAATACACTGGACTCCAACCTCAGATTTTCTCTTTGCTGCCTGTATTACCTAAAGCAATTGACATAACCTCTCTGATATTCAATTTTCCCACCTTTAAAATGGGGAAGATGGCATATACCTGGCTGTGTTGCTGTTAAGGGTAAGTTTTAAGCTGTGTGTGTGTGTGTGTGTGTGTGTGTGTGTGTGTGTGTGTGTTGCAAAAATAAATACAGTGACTGTTATAGAGTAGAAGTTCAAAAATGGTGGCTGCATTCCGATTACAGCTTGCATTAAAGTTGAATATTAAGAACAGGAGAGATCGATGATGGTGTGTTTTGTAACCTTCACACGGTTTTCTATATCATAGGATGAGTCCTAGCTTTCAGAGATTTCCTTGCGCCTATGTCTACCCTTTCTTTTGGTCCTAGAAAAGGTCACAGATTTAAAGTAAGTCAATGTGGAACATTAACATGGCTCATGCAGGTTCTGTGCAGCTGTCTCTATGGGTTCTTGAAATAAAATAGGGCCAAACCAGGCACTTCAAATGGTAGATTTGAACAATAAATGATAACCACTGTCTCTAATATCCAAATCATTCCCTACTCATCCTTCTTTAGGCTCATAGTTCATTGCACTGTCTTCTTAAATAACTACCCGAACACAACTCCACTTTTCTCACTTCTAATGCGTACATTTTTAGCAATAGGTTTTGGTTAGGGTCTTCTCTGTCCACATACTACAACTGTGAGTACATGACTGACCCACACTTTTAACTTGGTGCTTTTGGATTCAGGCAGATGTTTAGTTCCAAGAAGCCTTTGAGAATCATGTTGTACTTACAGAAGCACTCACTATGCTTCCTTTTCCAAGTGATTAGTCTTTCACTATTAATTCATTCAACAAATATTGATGCAACACTTTGTATGCCAGTTACTATGCAGACACTAAGTTGTGCCCTCATGGTCCTTCAACTTTACCTGAAAATAATATATTTTATTTATTTAACCAATATTAGGTATCAAGTGTTTTACAAACATTGCCTAATTTTATCCTTGTAGAACCCTAGGAACTAGAGGCCATAGATTAAAGATGTGGAAACTAAGACACAGAGAATAAGACATTTACAGAAAAAGAAGTGAAGGAAGGAGGGAAGGAAAAGGAGAGAGAAAGGGAGGGAGAGAAAGAAAAAAGGGAGGAAGAAAGGGAGGAAGAGATTCAAATGTTGACACCCTAACCTCCAATGCAGTGGTATTTAGAGGGGGGTACTTGGGAGGCAATTTGATTTAGATGAGGTAATGGGCCAGGGGCTCTCATGATGGGATCGATGTCTTTATAAGAGGAGACACCAGAGAGCTTGTTCTTTCTGTCTGCTGTGTGAGGATACAGCAAGAAGAAAGCCAGGAAGAAAGCCCTTGCCAGAAACAGATCATGCTGGCACCCTAATCTTGGACTTCTTAGCCTCCAGAACTATGAGAGAATAAATTTCTGTTCTTAAAGCCACCTAGTCTGTGGTATTTTCTGATGGCATCCCTAGCAAGTTAAAACACCATTTTTTGATTTTCTGAAACTGGTACCTGGAGGTAGAATGGAGGGAATTAAAAGAAAAGGTAATTAGTAGTGTCAGCATTTTAGCCCAGATATTAAAATGGGGATGACCTTCAGTTTCCTAAATTTGATGAAGGATTTGGTGAAGGATGAGGGATGTCATTATTGAAAAATATGTATCAGACTTTCGCCTTTTCCAAGAAGTCAGTCACAGCTTTCAGATCCCAGGTATGTTTGAAAGTGACTTTAGTCTGATCTTTTCATGCCACTTAGAATTCCCAGGCTTGCCAGTGGAACATTTTGTAGTAACATTTAAAAATATAAACTTTTCATTTCTTGCCTGCAGTGGAGAGAGCTGATTCACGATGAGTTCCTCTGTCCCTCCCTTCACCATATGTCTCTTCTTCATTGTTGATTTCCTGTTGACATTAAAAGGAGCAACATATGAAGGAGTTAGAAGGAAAGCTTTAAATTTAACGATAAACTTTTTTGAAAGCATGGATCAGATTTTCTTACAAAGCCATTTAAAATGCATTGTAAATCATTTCTTTCATATTTTGTAGAGACTTGTTTTGGAAGTATCGATATTCCCTTCTCCCCAGCCCCCAAAAGATTAAGAAAAATATAAATAGATTTATTTTTACAATGTAATGAGATGAGAGGGATCCTGTGAGCAAGCTGATAAGTCTTGCAATTCACTAACATAGCCCATGAAATCCAGCTCTGATGTCAAGAGGCTCTAAGCATTTTGCAATTCTTAACGGAATGTTTTCTTTGCCTCCCTCCTTCCCTTTCTCCATTTGACAGCACCTGTGCATGTGCATGCAAGATTGCTTTTCAGATCTATGCTTTGGTTTTTTGTTCATTTTTGTCAGAAAAGTCAGCCTATGCTTATTAGGGATCTACAGGAATTGTTTCCACATGGTTCTAATGGATGCATGGACGGAACACCTCCACAACATGTTGCTGTTGGCCTGGTGCTCTGTCACTACCAAGATTTCAGAGTTCATTTCTTGGCTCCTTTTTGTTCTTCCTCGATCCAAGTTCACACTTCATAATACGTTTTAATTGTCATCTCAATGAGATGACTCAAATTTATATATTGATATATCTGTATCACAAAAAAATTGCAAATTGCGTGCATTGTCAATGTGAATTATAGATAGTATGCTATGAAAACAAAAATATTTTCTAATCTGTCTGACTTTTAGTAGAGAAGTCAAGATGAGATCATAATTAATCCAGGCTTGAATTAACATAGCTGGAATAGTTAACATGGGCATAGTCCCTCATCTGTCTTTGGCTATTTGGGGGAAAAGAAATACATGTTAAAGTGAAAATTAGTGGAGGAACTTTTAATTAGTCATACATTTTTACTCAGTTTCATACACAAGAATATTCATTTTGGCCATAGGAAATTGCCACTATTTGATCATTTTGATTGACCAAAAAAAGCTGGCAATTTCAAATGATGCAATACAGGTCACCATCACTGCTTCCAGGAAGCTTACATCCTAATGTTAACAGGTAAATAACGAAATAATTAAGATGGCTTTAGTGTAATGAGAGGCAGTGGGCAGAAGGGGGCATGAGAGGCTCTTTCAGATGGTCTGATCAGGGCAAGTCTCTCTGAGAAGACATTTGCACAGTGGCCTGAATGAGATGGAGCCAGACTGCCATAAAGGTGACTTTACATCTGGGAGATCTGAGGCAGCAACGAGGCAGGATTTTTGAGCAGCAGAAAGGAGGCCAGCATCAATGAAGGAAAGAAGGGTGGAAAATGAGAATGGAAATAGAGGTCGGAGTGAAGTGGATGTGCAGAATACTCAATATCATTCTGATTTTTTTCCCCATGTGGCACTATTAACTTTAGCCACTCTATTTAAAATTGCTTATTGTGGTGGGGGGTGGGAGGAGGTGGTTAGAAAATGTATGTTTAACCTATTCACTTGCCTTTATTTCTTGTTCCTTAAGTTTTTTAATGCTTTCTATGACATCGCTATCCCAATCTCTACTATGCTTGTGTCTTCTGGTTTACCCCCATGTTTCTTTCATGCCTTCTCCCAGAGGAGTGACTCACAGTTTGCATATACTAGACCCAAATTTTTAGACTACAGCCAAAGTAAATCCACGTACAGACATAGGGGAAACACTGAGATTGGGGATGATCTTATTTTGTTTAATTTCTAGAAAACCAAGTTAATTGAGATAAAGGAGGCATATTTAAAAACCAGAAAAGGAGACTTAGGACAATGGAAAGATTTAAATAGATACCCTTAGTGAACATAATTGAAATACTCATTATTTACATTTTCTGCAACATCCCCGAATATTTACCAAAGTAAAGAACTTATTAAAAAGTATACTATAATTTATAATTTCAGGAAATTATAAATTATAATTTATAATTTTAGTGTGACTAAATTAGAATTTGAGAAATACAAAGTTTAACATGTTTACACAAATTTGTCGTTTAGGATTTAAATTATATTTCAAGGTGGAAGAAGAGAGTGCTCCTGATTACAAATGGAGAAGTGGTAGAATTCTCACTGACCACAAGAGGTCTGCCTTTGATTCTCACAATTTCACATGGGACCTTTCTCTTAAACCTTCAGTACTATGATTGGCATTTAAGGGTCAGACAGTAAACATTTGTATACCGAATGACGGAATCAAATATTGAAGGTAGAACTCATAAACATAATGCAAATATAAATGTTATATGTTAAAATTATCTTTATGAGTAAGGAAAATTCTAAGCTTACTCTGTATTTACACCACTAAGAATGGATGATTATGAGTTCATTTAAATGTTTGAGTTTTAAGTGTCACTTTGCATTACATGTGTTTCCTTAAAGGAATGTAATTTTGGCTCATGTGATCAACTTGATATACGAATTTCATATGGTTAAAGAATCTATTGGCAATCTCTCTCTTCATTGGTTTACTTTTAAAGATTGATTCTTCTAGAAAAGGGAATATTTTAGATTGCTTCATAAAATTAGTAAATTAAATGTGTAAATGAAACCATTTGTTCATTGTCATGTTACTCAGAGTTGGCATAGAACATACGTGGAACTAATGTTTTTATTGGCACACTTTTCCATCAACTACTGCCACCTTCCAGGAATGTTAAATTGATCAAGTTAGTACAAACTAACCATAAAACACTTTTATCTGCTTATCAATTTCAAAGCACCTTAACTTCATGAAAATGACAAAGTTTTATTGTTCTCTGACAGGTCTTCTTTCTGAATTAGATTACTTACCCATCATAATACCTATGGAATTCCAGAATAAAATTCTAGTGTAGAAAAAATGTTTAAAGTAATTTGAGAAAATACATCAAGAAGTTCAAATGATTCAAAAAGCCCATGAGTTTTTCCATAAACTTCAAAAATACCAGGCATGTTATAACATCTCATACAATAAAATTTCACATGTATGGGTTTTTCTCAAATACTGTAGTAACCATTTATTCACAGAACATACATGTCATTTTCTATTTGTCGTCTAATTTTTTTAAAATGCTTAGATTTGACAATCAAAATACAGAAATCTAGCATGATTCCATAGAAATCTATTTTCTAGTTGAAATTGTTTTAATGCCAAGTGTGTCACTAAGAAACAAAGTCAATGTGCACATCTGCTTTTGGGCATTTGTATATTTTTATAAACAGTCACAGAAGCATTTGTTAACATTCTGTGAGAGGCCCCCCTGCTTTCAGAGATTTACCAGGTGTTCATTACCTTTTGTTTTCATCTCTATATATCCCTTAGTGGATATTTCTGTATTTATCAATCCACCTCAGTACCGTGGTAACTCAAATTTTAAAGTAACAATGAATGAGACTTTACTAATATCAGATTTGCAAGTCCAAATAAAGTGTGTCTATATATTTTTGGTTTACATATTTATTCTTTCTAAATATTTCAGTTGATTGATAAGGCATAATTTGTCTCATGAAAACCCTTGTCTTTTTCCCAAAGGATGGTGTTTGCTTATTTTCCCTGAACTTTTGGTATGTTTTAAACAGTGTTTGAAGTTTATTATGAGTGCTCATGAAGTTTTAGTTTAGCTGTAGCAATTTCTGGATTGTTTTTGACCTTCAGACTTTGTGGATACAGGCAAACCTTATTTTTTTAATTAATGACTTTGTATTTAAACAATAAGTTTTAATTTTTTCACAAAGTTTTATGCTTTGTCCTATTTTGTTGTATTTTTGCAGAGTTATTGTTACTGTTTTGTTTAAGGTTTTTTAAATGTCATTTTTAAAAAACTCATTGTCCACATTCCAGCCTGGGAGATAGAGCGAGACACTATCAAAAAAATAAATAAATAAACAAATAAAACCATTGTCCATTTCTCCTGAGCTTTCACCAAGTCTTTTTTTCTATAAATACCTTCCAAGTTTCTAATGGCTATTATTTATATGAATGAAATAGTCTCAGAAAAAATAAGTTTATACACGTGTGTGGTGTATATCTACTGTAGAGAACAAGGATCCCGTTTAAAGAAATGTCATATTGATTAGATACAATTTTAACTTGCTGGAAATTACTTTCTAAAAATATTATTTTCCAAATCTTCCTGTCCATAAATCCGTTTGTAAAGGGAAAAGCCACTCTTAATACATAGAAATTCCTTTTAGTGAGTTCAACTTTAAGCCCCTAGGAAATGCTTTAGTCTTTCAAATATCCAAAAAGTTAACAGATTTTATATGAACACTTTACATGAGAAAGTGGTACTTTTGCTGAAAACTTAAAGTAGTAAATGGAGAAAACTCAAGTGTAGCATTATTTCCAGCTGCTGCAGATTCCATGCTTTTTCATATGTCCCTTTCTCTGCCTGCCTCTCCCTCCTATGCCAATCCTTTGTATGACCATGAGTTTTTCAAGACTCTTCTGTGCTATCCCTGACAATTCAGTTTGGGATTTGCTGTCACCTTAGGAGCTTCTCTGTAAACCTGTGATTTTTTTCCTATTAGACTAATGTGTGAATGAGTGTTTTGCTCAGTGCTCCCTTATAGACTGTGAGCTTCTTGAGAACAGGGTTGCTCCTTCTTCACCATTGCATCCTCAGTGTGTAGTGTGGTACCTAACACATGGCAGCTGACTTTGGCTTAACCAACACATGCTTGAATGAAGCAGCTCCAAACCTGGAATGCGGAGGCAGTAGGGAAGGAAAGGATATCACCAGGACTGCTGGCAGATGAGCACAGAGTTGAGTACAACTTTCACTGTGTAGGAGGCAGCATAGAAGGGGAAGATTTATAAATGATGTATACAAAAACAAATTCAAAGCTAGTAAAAGAATGAGTGGAGAGGCTGGGGAATCAGATTCTTTAGAAAATAGGGAGTTTTGTATAAGAAAAGGTGGTAGGGGAAAAACAGTTTTGCAAAATAGTCATATTTCACTAGATTTAGCAGTGTGTTATCCAATCACAGATGACCTGAAAAGATGCACTGTGTAAGATGCTATTAATGAGAAAGGATCTAGAGGTTGACAGGTACGGCCATTTGCATGCTGATGATAACTAAAATTGTAAGGAACACATATTTAGAGTAGCTTTAGGTTTTGGAAATTGATTGAAGAGGGACAGAAAAAGAAGGAGAACCTTAAACCGTAACTTAAGAAATGAGAGCTGGGATCTACAGAGCAGGAAATGATACTTGGCTGAAAAGCTACAGATGCATAATAAAAAGATTACCTGTTATTTGATAATGATGATAAAAAAATACAATGATAAGTAGTGCATATGGGCTGGGCTTATATTCTTTCATTTAAACCCCAAAACAACTGTCTGGGGAAGATTTCATTGTTTTTCCCAGAGAAATAACAGTTACAGAGAGGCAGGTAAATTGCCCAGGGTCTCAGAACTGGTAAATTTAAGAGTTAGGAGTAGAGTCCAGGTAGAGGCACTCCAGGATCTGAATCTTACCTGCCCTCTATAGTCTAAGCTTTAACCAAACACTATGTAACATTTATGGTATAGCTGTCCTGAGCTTAAGAAGTATGTTTATCTCATTTGATCCTTAGAAAATCTGCAAGATAAGCAGACTTCAATCCTCAATTGAAAGGCAAAGACAGGCTTAAAGAAAACAGAGATTTTCCCTGAGAATCCACAGCCTGTAAATGGTTGTGATCCGGCCTGAACCAATAGCTTTTAGTTTTAATAACATCACAGGTTCTGTGAAACCATGCTACTTCCTTAGATGGTGCTCCTTCAGGAAAAGGATATCAATGTTGGTATTTTTATATAAAACATTAAGAGTATGTGTTTCTGTTAATGTACATATACATGTCCTGTAGCCTGTTAGAACCCATTTTTTTCATTTTCAAAGGTCATAGGAAAAATTATATTCTTACACAATAAGTCTGTACATCCACAGAATCAAAGATATTTGGTCAAAAGTTTGTCATTATGGATTCTAAAAGTTGAAAGCATATGGCTGCATTTTAAAAACCTATCTATATGATGTGCTTATGAGTATGGTATTTTGTGTCCAAAGTTAATTAATAACGGCTGCAGGCCAGTGTTCTTGTAGGAGCTCTCATTTTTTCCAACATTGCTGGTGTCTTTGAACAAGTGAAGTGAAGCCATCCAGGGAAAGCTATGAATTTGCATTCTTTTTTTTTTTTTTTTTGAAACCTTTCTAACAATGGCTGATAATCACTACTGTCAATAGTCTTCTAAAAACTTCCCAGTAATGATTAGATACTATGAATAGATTATTGCTTTTTCTCTTCAGGTCTTTTTCCCCCAACTACATATAGAATGTTATTGAAATTCATGTGTCTTAATCAGTTGTTCTCTATGCTTTTTACCATGCCTCTCTTCATTTCTAAGTCTTCTGACCTAAATTACAAACCTGAAGGACTGAGAAGAGAAGAAAACCCATTTTGAGTTCCTACCCTGTGATCCATACTGTGCTAATTACTTCTCACTCATCTCATCCACACTACCACAATGCAAAGTCAGCACGTTCATAATTGTTCACAGCAAAGAGAAAACTGAGGACTAAGTCTCACAGGGAGTAAAAGAAGTAGATTTAAACCCATGTTTGACTCTTAATGTCATGTGTTTGATCTCCGTACTTACAGCTCTTGGATTCAAATTTTAGTATGTGTTTTTAAAGTCCATATTGTAAATGTAACCATGATCAGAAGTAATTACTATTTTGCAGAGCACACACACATGTACACAGAATATCAAACATAAATATACAGAGTAAAAGAAATGCCCGCATGCCTGCCACTCAGGGCGAGATGGAGCCCTGCCATCATGCCACATGAGTCCCCTGGTGCCTTTTCTGTCATACCCGCTCTTGTCTACCTAGGGGAAAATACTATCTTGACTCATGGTAGTCACTTACTTGCTTTTCTTTTCCTCAAAATGTGTTTTGAGGTTTTTTGTTATTGTGAACTAAGAAAACGTAGTTGTATTTGTGTGAGGGGAATTGATACTCAATAGGAAGATATGCCGAGATATACTTATTATATATTGTTTGCTGTTCTCACACTAAAAAGGTTGGGTTCTATAATTTGGACTCAAAAGACCATTTCTAGGCCTTTGAGTGCCCCTAAGTGGCCATAATAGAAAATACAGTATTTTACAACTCTTGGATGATCTCTCCTTCCATCTAACAGCTAGACTTTCCACTGGGTTCCTGGCCTGACTTCTGTAGTATTCTGCATCGTTTTTTCCATTAAACAAGGGCTTCCAGGACTATAATTTGACTCTGCTAATGGAAGGGCATTTGTACAGTATTAATTTTAAATGGGAAATTGCTGACACGTTAAAGTGGCATCTGTCCTGCTCCCCACTTGAACTCCGCTTTAGCCCTGGTCACTGCAGTTGTCAGTATCAATTGGGGATTAGGAGGGCCTGTGGCCTGAGAGCTGCTGGCCAGCAAATGACATCACTTTTCCTCCATACTCACAGAGCTTTGTGTCTTAGGAAGTAAGTCCATTTGCTGTGGTTTTGTTATGAGCTGTCACGTCCTCTATGGCACAGATGGACGTTTCGACTTTGACTTTCTTTTGAAGCTGCTTCATGGGGATCAGGCTGCCTCTTAAACACATGAAGTTTGTGGACATATCCTGGGCACACAGAGGTGCTTTTCAAAATAGACGGAAAGTAATTTAATATCATTAAAAGACTTGTTCTCGGTGCGAGTTTATCGGTTCCTCTGCTTGATTCATAATCAAGGCAGAAATTATTTTTTTCATATGTTTCAATGAAGTTTCCTATGCAATCCCAATTTTTGTAAATGTTAAAATGTGGATTATAATTTAAGTCCTTATTCTATATTTGGAAAGACACTGTCTTTTCTAACGGTAAATTTAGTTCATTCACATTTCCAGCAAATATTTATGGAAGACCCTATTCTATTTCACAGTTATTGACATAAATGAAGCAACAAGTTTTCTGTCTTCTTGGCTCTTAACATTTGATGATGGAGAACCTGGAAGTAATGATTACGTACACAAATAAATTTTTAAGAGGCAAATGAGATCATTTCAGATAACAGGAAGTAACAGGAAGTAAATAAAAGAGGGTCATGGGATGGAGTGGGAAAAGGGGAGAGCTATTTCAGATGGGAGGATCAGAGACAGCCTCTTTGAGAATTGAGTATTTCAGCTGAGTCCCAAATGCAGAGAAGGAACAAAGAATCAACTGCATTTGAGAGAGAGAAATCAGGAAATGGAAAATCCCTGTGCCATAAATTTATATTGTTGTATCTGAGTAACAGAAATAGCAGTGAGTGAAGAAGAGGGTAGCAAGAAATGAAGCTGGAGGGTGAAGAGGAACCAGGTCTACTCGATCTCTTTAGGCCATGCTTGGATTTCATCTGCTGGCAGAGGACATCAGTGGAGAGTATTAAAATCAATCTATGATGTTCTAAATAAATAAGGATAACAAATTATATTTTCATTTAGTGCTTTTTAATAAAAACTAAAATTAAGCTAACCAGGAAAAGTTTATATGAGTTTTTTTACAATTGTATAGAACATAAGATGTTGGCTGTATCATACTGAAAAAAACACAGACTAAGCAGTCCAGGAAGTACATTGTAAGAATTACTATTTTTAGATTAGTATACATGTTTTAAAAATTCTTTTTTTCTTATTGCTTTTCACATGTTCCGTGTTGTCATATATTACAGTAATAATTTTCAGATTTAGGGTATATCTTACAAGCTAGACCATTGGAGTTGCAGGCTCATGCTTAGCTATGTGAATTTGGTCCTAACATAATTACTTGCTATTATGCCCTTGACTTTCTTGAGGGATATTCTAAGATGCTGCTGGGACATTTACTCTTGTATTTATGTAGAAATGTTTTTGAAGACATTATGCACTGTTTTCTCATGTGGCCTCTCAGGCAGATGCACTCTCTACTGCAGCGTCAGGGAAAAAAATGTGTTTTTCCTGGATAGCTGGTATGTTTTAATATCAAAGACAGAACATGTTTTCTCTTTGCCAAGAACACAACTAAATTTATAGTTCACCTCTTACTTGGGACAAGGCTTACTGTGAATGAATAACCCTTAACCTTCACCACAAGTTACTTACCTATTTATTTATGTATCCTGTTGTATAAAACACATTTCCTTAAACTACCTAGAATCATTTCTGCATCCAATAACACATTGTATAAATACCATACAACTTGCTCATCCTCCCGCCCATGGGGCCTCGTATTCTCATTACAGTTTACTGCTAACAATGACATCACACTTTCTATAGGCCTTTGCCTTCCTTAAAGCAGCAGGCCATGTGTATCCCAGGAGTGATACACACTTCCTTTTTACCACAGGCTCTACATTGAGATCCATATCTACATGTATACCATCGACACACACGCTTGACACTCACTAACTCTTTCCTGTATGCCAAGTAACTGTCCAGAAGAAACCCAACTTTCTGTGTCTTAACAGACTGTTTGGTTGCTAAAGATGGCGACAGATCAAAATAGAAGCACTTAGTATTTGAACCGTGTTACGTTGGCAGCCTGAGATCCGATCTAAGGAATCTACACTTTCCTCATGTTTGTAATATTTTTCTCAGGCCCCAGAAATAATGTTAATGAATGGGTTTTCCTCTAACTCATATCGTATCTTCTTCAAGGTCGTTTCTAAAACAATACTTTCTTTTACTATCAGAAACAAATAATGCAATAAGGAGACACTTTTACTAATGGAAAAAAGTTGACTTTACATGTCAAGAACATAGACTTTTTTGGAAGGGGATGGAGTAGGAAGGCAAGGTAGACTAGGAAAATTAGATGCTAGGAGGTAACAGTGTGCCTCTATATTTAAAGTAAATATTTGTGTTTTATTTTTATTTTTATTTTTATTTTTTTTAAAGACAGAGCAGCTATCCCCAGAGCAGCCTGCCTGGCAAAAGCAGGAATGGAAGGGCTGAACGCATCTTTTATGGAAGTCAGATAAATTTCATGCTCTTTAACATCGACTCTGACTGCAGGCCTTTCGCTGCAGTCTGGCTCCTTCCCCAGTGGGAACAAAAAAGGAAAAGTGATTAAAGTTCCCTCAGTAATAGACAGCAGGAGGCAGTGGTCTTGGCATCTTCTACAGAGACAGAGAGAGAGTGCTTTAACAAGACTTGCGAGAGTTCTTTGAAGAAAAGAAGTTAAGACTGGAAGGGCTGGTCGAGGTCCGCTGTAACATTTGTTCATTTCCTCTACTTCATATAGCTTATTTGACTTCTTGGAATAGCGTCACCCTCTTCGTTAAAATGTCCCTGATAAAAGGAGGAAAGTGAAGTTGAGCTCCTGGCCGGGGCCAGGGTTCAGCATGTTCTACTGTGAGTAGGAGTGTTTGGAACTTGATTATTGTAAGACATTCCAACTGATACAAATGATAACTAAATCTCTCTCTCTCTCTTTCTCTTTCTCTGTGTGTGTTTGTGTGTGTGTGTGTAAATCTCTCACTCTCTGTGTGTGTGTGTGCTTGTGTGTGTGAGAGAGAGAGAGACAGACAGACACACAAAATGTGAATGAATGAAGGAAGGAAGGAAGGAAGGAATACAGGAGAGAAATTTTTCTGTATGTTAGGTGGCTGCGATTTTGGCTGGCCAAAACTGCCTTTTGCCTTCGGTGAACTGGCTAGAGCTGCTCACTACAACCCCTCCCCATCCCCTAGGACAAAACCACTGGACCTTTCTCTCTTTTTGTCTCTCTCTTTAAAAAGACAGAAAGGAAAATAAGGTTTGCAATCAGTATTCAGACATTCTTATGACTAATAGGATTAGGGGCGTTACGAAGGGATTTGAACAAGATAATTAGTTTACTGCTTAGTCCACAGTGAAGCAAGAAAAATACTTCTGAGAAAAGGCAGACAAAATAGGTCAGAAAATGTGTGGGAAATGAGGTAAGACCTCTCAACAAGGACCACGATCAACTGGAATATTATGAAAGGACTCCTGAGCCTTCATTCATAGCTGCAGACTGTCTGCCTTTTTTTTTTTTTTTTTAATACTTGGCCACCAGAGGTGTGAAGCAAAGTGACTTACTTAATTTTAGAGTTAATAGGTGTTGTTCCTGGACCCTGAGTATCCTGTTCCAAGTGCATAAATGCTGCCTTCAAAGTATTTCTCACAACGTGATGTAAGGGGAATGTTTTGGAAAATCTGAAGAGCTCTTATCGGGCATTTTACAAGCTGGAAAAAATTATACAATTAGGAGAACTCTTTAAAAACTAAAATTTTCTTGAATAGATTCATTACTTTAATTGCAAAAATAAATCTTGAAAACATAAATGTGAGGGGTGTGTTCTTTGCTTAATTAAAGTACTTAAGTGTTTGTGCTCTAATTTGCACAGTTTTCACTGCGGTAGAATATGCTTAAGAAGAATCATTTGAATTTTAAAAATTCACAAAGATGATATTTTTTTCCTTCATAGCCACATTACATTCTCACACTTCCTCCTCCACTTCCTAAAAGCTAGTGCTGTCAACTGTACTGTTGCTATCTGTGAGTTAAGGTATGCTTCCAAAGGAATGCTAGAAAAAAAAAATACCTTCAAACTCTGTGTATGTGTATACCACATACTTTATTTAGTTAGCTTCTGAATCTTACAGCAACCACCAGCCAGATGAAAGCCACTAGAAGCTGTTAGAATGCCTTTGGCTTGGTATGGGCACTGTGTTGACTTAAGACTGGTAGAGGAAACAGTCGGCATTTCTGCCTAATGAACTACCGAGTGACACAACAGAGGTGGCCTTTCATTATCTATCTGTGGGTGAAAGGTTAACTGACAAGAGAACTTGTTAGACACAAAAGCAATTAAACCCTATAATAACATATTGTTAACATATGACATAATGATTAACTTAAATAAAGAAGCCCAGATACATGTTTTCAGATTCCCGGAGTGTGGTGTGTTTATATTCCTGTCTCCCATTTAGAATGGTAGGCTGCACAGTGTTGGACAAGATACATTGCATATTCTTTTCATGTCACAATAAAACGTCATGTTATTTTCCTTCTGTAAATATACGAAGCTATTTTTTGCCATTGTATCCTGAGACTGTGGTTTAGTTTTAGGAAACAGTTTGAAACTAACCTCTTAAAAAGGGAATAGTAATTCAGGGCCATGTTCTGTTGGTGGGCAAGTTACTCCCTGAACAAAGGTGCCCAACCAGCCAGTGAGTTTTTAACTCTGGTTTTCCCTCTGTTTGCAGAATCATCTTTGCAATTTATCTGCCTCTTCGTAATTAACTCACACATGCTCTATATACTATGGTGGATTTTAAGTTATAGGTACTCATCTTTAATTACTGTGAGTGATACATACGTTTAGAGGGTCAAGTTCCCTAAAAGACTAATTCTGACCCCCCCAAATCTTTCTATTAATAGATGGTTTTAGAAAGATTTTTTTAAAGCTTCACTTAGTGAAGACTCAGGACATAAAATTTGCTTATCTAAAATTTTAATTGAATTAAAAGGTTCTAGACTCCCTTTAGGATAAAGCTTTGTGTCCCATTTGGAGAAATACTAATATGAATAACAGTGTTTCTGATCTCCAGGGAATGGCCGTCATCGGGGGAAGGCAGGTACCGACCCTAAAGGGTATGACACAGCACAGGTTGGGATGCATGCAGGGAGTGGGAAGAAGTGAAATACGAAAATGGGGAAGGAGGCTGGGCGTGGAGGCTCACACCTGTAATCCCAGCACTTTGGGAGGCCAAGGCCAGCAGATCACGTGAGGTCGGGAGTTTGAGACCAGCCTGACCAACATGGAGAACCCTATCTCTACTAAAAATACAAAATTAGCTGGGCGTGGTGGCGCATGCCTGTAATCCCAGCTACTCAGGAGGCTGAGGCAGGAGAATCACTTGAACCCGGGAGGCAGAGGTTGTGGTGAGCCAAGATCGCACCACTGCACCTCCAGCTTGGGCAACAAGAGCGAAACTCTGTCTCAAAAAAAGAAAAAGAAGAAGAAAATGGGGAAGGGATGGCTTTTATAGTGTCTCAGGAAAATTGCACTTCACCATTAAAACAAGAAAAGAGTCTTACGACTACAGGTAGATGAGCAGAAAATGTTGAGGGGTATGGGGACAGTGGAAAGTATTTTCAGTAAATGGTTGGAATGGATCATAGATGGAAACTGGCAAGATATAAGTGGAAACGTAGGTAGATGTTTTAATTGGGGGCTGAACCATAGAGATTTGAAGAAATAAATAGGAACTAGAAAGTCTGTTTAGAAAGCTAATATGGTAGCCCAGGGGAAATGTGATAAGGCCTGACCAAGAGGAGTGATGGTTGAAATGCAAAGAAATGTATGAAAGCAAGGTGCATGTCAAAGTTATCTAAATTCCAAAAATTGAGAACATATGGCATATAGAATTATCTTCCACATATTTGCTTACCACTGTACCATGAGAATATTTCCATATTATTCATTATTTATAGAATTATTAATTTAGTTACTGATGGTACTGAACTACAATCTACATATCCTATCTTCTATTAGTGGACATTTAACTTGTTTTATACATTTATTAAAATAAAAAGTTTTTTTGCTCATAAAAATGTTTGGCAACATTGCTCCTTATTTTCTTGGGCTAAATTCCTGAGATCATTCATTCACTTTTTCACTCATTAGTTGTGAGAAAGTGCTGTATGTGCAACCTTTTGCTAGGGAAAGGATTATAAATGCTCTCTGGAGTGTAGGTGGCTACAATTTCTAGTTGGTATGACAACCAGTGGTCCTTGCACACAGCAGATATTGATTGATCCCCTGCATTCAAGGCACTATCCTTAACTCCACTGGGAGAAAAATTAAAAACATATGGTCTTGGACTTCAAGGAGTTTGCAGTTTAATAAGACAGTACAATTTAATAATAAAATGAGTATGGCTAAGAGAATACATGCTTAAGGCTTTTGAGATTAGTGTTAAAAAAACTGTAATTAAATGAGTGTAGTTCAAAGGATAGTGCTGTAAGATTTTAGAGAAGGGACTAAACATCATGGACTGGAGTGGTTGAGAAGGGCCACATTGAATTGGCTCTGGAAAAAACAGACATGCCTTCATTTAGTACAGGACAGGAAATTTCGTTTAGTGCAGGCGAAGGAAATTTCATATGAAAAGAACATGAATAAAATCTTAAGAAATTTTCCTAGAAAGTTTTTATTTGAAGAATAACAGGGTGTTGACTCTAGCTAGATCAGAGCATTCCAAATGAAGTCATAGGTGTAAGCAAATAGGTAAAAATGGATTGTGGCATGCCTAGAAGGTCAGGCTAAATGTTAACTTTATCCTGTCATGAAAAGTCGACCAATGTAGATATTGTGCAGATAAATTTAACTTGCATTTGTGGGATGACTAGGAGTACATGTGAGGATTTATAAAGGTCTGAATTATAGAGTGAATTAAAGAGTTGAATACAAGATAGTTTTTGAATGAGTGAGTGAATGAGCTGATGTTTACTGAGTGCCTGCCTTGTACCAGGCTATGTGCCATGCTTCTTACAAAGTATAATGCACTCAGTTGAACTTAGTCAATTTTGTTACCTTGGAATCTTCTTGAATTTGGTAAACATCCAAAAGACAAAAGTCCAGATGTTGTAAGACTTCAGTTAAGTAGATTATCAGAAACAATTATTTTCCAGAGTAAAGGATTAAGAATCAAAATAATAAGATTACTCTCCTTGCACAAAATCTGCAGTAACTTCCCCCAAAGTCACACTACCTCTTTAAACATACAATCTAAGTAAAAACTATATGCTTGTTAGGCAAACAGTGCTTCAGTACATGTACCTAGCCTGCTTCCTTCTACCGTATTTCCATGGCTAGGCCTCTAATGTATAGAAAATCTGGAGTCATCCCAGGTGAGGGCCACCAGGCCATGTGTTTTCCGGAATTTCCTAGATTTGAGGATGCTCTAAATTTTAAGACCACTGTAATATGAAATCTGTAAGCATCAAAACTTATTACCCAGAGTGGCTTGCTTACTGGAAAATGTTGCACTTTTTAGGGTATTTGTCTTCGATTTTATCAACATAAAACATCAAATTAATTCAAATCACGTATTTAGATTGAGGTCTACAAACTGTAACCTAAAGTGAAATCCAGCCTTTTTCCTGGATTTGTAAATAAAGTTAAATTGGAACACAGCAACAGTAATTTCTTCATGAGTAGTTGATGACTGCTTTCAAGGTACAACCATGAAGCGGAGAAATTGCTACAAAAATATGGCCTGCAAAGCCTAGCATATTTACTGTCTGGCCCTTTTCAGAAAAACTTTGCTGACCTTTGATTTAGGGGCAAGATAATTTTGTTGCACTCTTTTGGTCATGATCAATAATACTTAAATTGATGAGTAACAGCCTCCTTTGTAAAACTAGGCAAAGTCCAAAAATTAGAGGGAATGGAAAATGCAAACTATTCAATCACCACAGAGTTAGTTACAAGGATTAATGAGATAACATATGTAAAACATTTAGAAAATTGCTTGGAATGCAGTAAGCACTTAATAAATGTAAGCATTTTGTCTCATTCACTTAGTGATCTCATATAATTTCTTGATTTTTAATTCTGTAATGACTCCCAAATTTATCTTTAGTCAGGACCTGCTCTCTAAAATCCAGACTCATATACCATTGCCTCCCCCGCATCTCCATTTGGATGTCTGCTCGGCAGAATCTCCATCTTAACATGTGCAAAACTGAATTTCTGGTGCCATCTCCCAAGCTGGCTTCTCCTGCAAATTTCCTTCTCATGAATGTCATCCTCTCCTTGTTGAAGGCAAAAAACTAGGAGTCAGGTCAGATGCAGTGGCTCACACCTGTATTCTTAACACTTTAGGAGGCCAAGGCCTGAGGATCACTTGAGCCCAGGAGTTTGAGACCAGCCTGGGCAACATAGGGAGACCCTGTCTCTACAAAAAAATTAAAAATTATCTGTGTGTCGATGTGTGCCTCTGGGGTCCCAGCACCCAGAGAAGCTGGGGTGGGAGGATCACCTAAGCCAGGAAGGTAGAGGCTGCAGTGAGCCATGATCACAGCACTGCATCCCAGCCTGGGTGACAGAGTGAGACCTTATCTTATAAAAACCCAAAACAGGCCGAGCGTGGTGGCTCATGCCTGTAATCCCAGCACTTTGGGATGCTGAGGCGGGCGGATCACGAGGTCAGGAGATCGAGACTATCCTGGCTAACATGGTGAAACCCTGTCTCTACTGAAAAATACAAAAAAAATTAGCTGGGCATGGTGGCGGGCACCTGTAGTCCCAGCTACTTGGGAGGTTGAGGCAGGAGAATGGCGTGAACCCAAGAGGCAGAGCTTGCAGTGAGCTGAGATCACGCCACTGCACTCCAGCCTGGGTGACAGAGCGAGACTCCGTCTCAAAAAAAAAAAAAAAAAAAAAAGTAAAAACTAAGAGTTATCCTTGACTCCCCTCTTTACCTCATACCCCATGCCCAATTCTGAAGCTAGTCCTGAATACTCTACATTCACAATATATCCAGAATCATTTCTCAACATCTCCATTGCCTGATTCAAGCTACCTACAGCACTCACCCCGTTTCTGGAATACTCTCTTTTCTGGTCTTTCTACTTCCAATTTACCTCCCTTCTTATGATTCTCCAAACAGTATCCAGGGTGATCCTGTTTAAAACATAAGTTAGACCATGTTACCACTCTGCTCATAACTTTGCAGTTGCCTCTGTATTAGTCCATTTTCATGGTGTTGATAAAGACATATCCAACACTGGGCAATTTACACAAGAAAGGTTTATTGGACTTACAGTTCCACATGGCTGGGGAGGCCTCACAATCATGGCAGAAGGCAAGGAGGAGTAAGTCACATCTTACGTGAATGGCCACAGGCAAAGAGAGAGTTTGTGTGGCGAAATTCCCATTTTTAAAACCATCAGATCTCGTGAGACCCATTCACAATCATGAAAACAGTACAGGAAAGACCCACTCCCATGATTCAATCATCTCCCACTGGTTCCCTCCCATAACACATGGGAATTATGGGAGCTACAAGATGAGATTTGGGTGGGGACACAGAGCCAAACCATATCAGCCTTCAAGCAGCCTACTGGCTCCCACACCAGCCCTTACCTTGATCTTGGCTCCCACAGTCTCCCTGAATTCCCCCTCTGATTTCATTTCCTGCTGTTAACTCTCTGATCTCTCTGTTCAACAACACTTGCCCCCTTTCTGTTATCACAACATGTCAGGAATATTTCCACCCTGGGGCCTTTGCACTGGCCATTCGTTCTGTCTAGAATATTCTTCCCTATGCAATGTGCTACCTACTTAATGCGGTTTATGTGTCATTTTCCAGATGTCATCACTGCTGACAAGTCTATATAAAATTATATTCCTTCAACCCCTTATTTTATATTCACCTTCCCTGTGTTTCTCTCCATAGTTTCTTATTGTCTGACATACTATATTGTTTACTTATCTGCTGTTGTCTCTCTTCTCTCATTAGAATGTTAGCTCTGTAAGGGCAAGTCTTAACAGCTATTTCCCCAAAAAATAGAGCAGGGCGTTGCACATGAAATGTACTTAATAAATATTTCTTGGATGAGTTATTATTTCCTTTGTCATTTTCAGGAAGCTTTAATTGAACATTTACTATGTTTTAAACACAGTTCCGAGGTATTAATTATATCTTACATGTAAGACACATAGAGGTGAAATGCCTTGGTCTAGGCCATTGTATTACTTTGCTAGACGTTCCATAACAAAGCACAATAAGCTTTGTAACTTAAACAAAAGAAATTTATTGTCTCACAGTTCTGGAGTCTGAAGTCCAAGATCAAGGTGTCCACAGGGTTGTCTCCTTCTGAGGGCTTGGAGGAGGACTCTGTCCTATGCCTCTCTCTTAGCTGCTGGTGGTTTGCCAGCAATCTGTGGTCTTCCTTGGCTCATAGAAAAATAATTTCAATTTCTGCCTTCATCTTCATGTGATGTTCTGTCTGTGGTATCTGGCTCTGTGTCCGAATTATCCCATTTTATAAGGACACCGATAATATCGGATTAAGGCCCACCCTAATGACCTTGTTTTGACTTGATTACTTCTGCAAAGACCCATTTAAATAAGGAGATACGGGGAGAGCAAGTCAAGTGATGTGAATTGGGAGGTGTGAGGGGAGCACAATTCCATTTATCATAGCCATTGACTTCATTAATGGTAGGCCTTTGATTCAAACTTGGATTCTAAAACTCACAATCTACTAATATCTGAACCCGTACAAAGATTTAGTAATATGTATTAAGTGCCTGCTTTGTGCTGTGAACTCCGTTAAGAACCATAGATAAATAGAGTTCAGCTCCTGCCCTTGAGGAACTCACCACATAGCAGGAGAAAAAGACATCATAGAGTTAAGACCTATTGACTTAAAAGCACACAGAAAGCAGATCACTTGCCATTTTTAATTATATAAAGTTTTCCATCTATTAGGTTTATTTTGCCAAAGCCTTCTAATGAAATAGTTACACCATTTAATTTAAATTTCAGTGGGGTTGCCAGAAGTGCAATTAATTGTTAAAAGTTCCAACTATGAAATTTTGCTTTGGAAAGCAGTCTGCCGTATCTTTATATACCATTAAATTTGATCATATGCTTGTCATTCTGGCAGAACATCTTGATATACTTGAAGAAACATAGTTAGGGGAAATAAAAAAAAAATTGTTGGTACTACACTGTAGGGTTTCCAAATACAAATGTTAGCATGATTGGGTTATACCAATTCATCATTACGTTGCATTTCCCTGGAGTTGAAACTACATCTGGGCTTGGCAGGGATGCATTATCACCAGTCAGAGTGGGGACCATGTGTCAGTCTCTCAAAGAAGATATATGGTCTTGTGTACCATTAGGATTGGATATGCTTATGTTGCAGACTTTAAATCAACTTCTGAATCCTTTCTACAGATGTTGACTGCTGCAGGTCTGTAAATAGCACAGTATATTCTGAACTTCAGCTGATATATACGGCCCTAAAAAAAAAGCAACACTGAGATACACGGCAATAGAAAACAACGCAATGAATAAAAATGGGACAGCTCCAAATTTGCTGAAATAATCTCATCTGTTTAATGACATTGTTTAAACAAAATTACCTCTGAATTTGAAGTTGCCATTTTCTCAGATCAGTGTGGAATTGTAGTAATTTTAAAATTCTAGAAGTTTCTTTTGTAACCTTTATTATTTGATATGTATTGGATTTATTTGTAAGATGTCAATAGATTCCATTTCTTAAATATCCAACTAGAAAGCATTTAATTGTTCTTTTAACATTTGCGAGTGTGGTGGGCATAATTTTTAAGAGACTCACCTATTGAGGAGTCATCGTACCCAAACACTGATGACCAGGCCTTTACAAAGCATTTTGGCCTTTATTTACATTCTGGGTACAAGATTTTTCACTGCAATTAAAACTATAACCCCAACTTCACTGAATTATCTTTCTGTTACCAAGACTTTTTATTCAGAGCCACAACGGGATTAAATGAAAATGACCGAAGCCTCCAAAAAAAAAAAAAATTCCTTCATAAACAGCAAACTTTTAACTAATACACAATGTGCTTTTAATACTGACTTTAAATCCTCCCTCAACCAGGAACTCGTGAAAACATGTGGTCAGTGTGGCAAAAGGGAACTGCTGGGTCCTGATTTAGTTGACATTCTCTTTTTTTACAACCTGGATTTTATATCATTCACTGATGCCTTTCTTTAAGCTCATACATTTCGTGCTTGTGGCACAGGATACTGTTTTCTTAACATCAAATCTTTATGGCACTGGCAAAAAATTTTCAATCTCCTACTTAAATTTGGTTCAACTACACAGTTTCACTATAGCCAACAGTTTGTCTGGATAAGCTTGCTTGCCCCCAGTGTGGATTTGCTGCAAAATAATGACTGCATTAAGCTGAGGAACGTGTTCCCTCATCCAATCTCTCTCTCTCTCTCTCGCCCCCCCCCACTTCTGTCTCTCTCTCTCTCTCTCTCTCTCTCTCTGTCTCTACCCAGCCATCCCAGATCCAACCCGCACTTGCAAAAATACATACATACACACAGTATGCAAACACATACCCATAGTCAGCACCCTTTCTGTCTTTCTGAGTTAAGGCTGTGATGGCCCTTGGGGTTTGCTCGGAAACAGTCACTTCCAAGATCCAGAAAGGCTTTGTAAACATGGGTCCTACCTGCACACAAGTCAGACTGTGATCATTCCCTTGTAGATTATCAAACATTCCATCTACTATACAGCAGCCCAGAACTTTATACTTTAACCATTTTATTCTCACTCTATGAGGTCTATAAAGTATTTTTACTGGGGAAAAAACATTATCTATGTAATTATCATGACCTATGCAAAATTTAGCCTAATAAGAGAGCCCAACACATATTTTTTTAAAGTAATTTTAATAAAACAAGAATATGGTAGCTACAATAAAAAACATTTAATCAAGGTATGAATAGATTGCTGTGTGAGAACAGAAAGAAAAATATAAATGTTATAGTTGGGGGTAGGAGAGGAAAAAGGTTGGGGAAAGGCAAACTGGGTTCAAATGAGATCTTGGTGAGTTTCTGTTTCTCCACCAATGGAGAACAGATTGCGGTGGTGGGCAGGAAGGCAAGGGAGTGTGTACAAGGCTCCTTGCCAGGTGAGGGAGGCAGAGTGCGTTTAGAAAGGGGGACTGGTTGGCCGGGCGCGGTGGCTCACGCCTGTAATCCCAGCACTTTGGAAGGCCGAGGCGGGCGGATCATGAGGTCAGGAGATCGAGACCATCCTGGCTAACATGGTGAAACCCTGTCCCTACTAAAAATACACACAAAAAAATTAGCTAGGTGTGGTGGCGGGCGCCTGTAGTCCCAGCTACTTGGGAAGCTGAGGCGGGAGAATGGTGTGAGCCCAGGAGGCGGAGCTTGCAGTGAGCTGAGATCGCGCCACTGCGCTCCAGCCTGGGCGACAGAGGGAGACTCTGTCTCAAAAAAAAAAAAAAAAAAAAGGGGGGGGAGGGACCGATTTTATGAAGGTTATGGAACAAGGAGGAAGCTATGATGTGAAACTCGGAAAGGAGCGAATTGTAGACTTTGAAAGCAGCATAGGAATGTCGTGATGTTACTCTCAGTGAGTAACATGGAGGATGAGTTGGAGAGGGTGTGGACTGGAGCAGAGTTTTCGTGTTCGGTGATGAGATTTACCTTGAGAGTAAAGACGAAAGACTGGGAGGCCTTGCTCTATTGCCAGCAAACTCTATGGAATTTTCCTTTCAGTTGGAAGGCTAAAGTTTCACATCTACTTAATATGTTTCTACGGAGTGTTTAGATGTGTTTTAGATTGAGAGTTTTTCAGATGAGGAAGATGACTAAGTAAAATAAATGAAAGAGAAAATTTTGCTATTTCATAGTGAAATAGAAAAGGGCTTTTTTCCCCCTTTTGCTAGTAGTTTAAAAGTGACGAGAATAAGTCACATGAATACAAATCTTAAAACTGAATAGAATTTTGTTTCTCATAGGTCATATCATGCCTGGGAAATCTCCAAGTTCTTTATGGCAATATATCAGGGAATGCAGTGACATTTTCAGCATATACTGTTGCCATTATTTGTGTGTGCATATGTGTAGCTTTGGTGATTAGAAAGTCTTTTATTAAAAGATGAAGTGTGGGGTATGGCACAAAGGATTTACTTTGCCTCATAAAAAGGCTACTGGAATTTTGACTTACATTTTACTGTGTGCAGACACAAGCAGACTGGATTTAATTTCTTTCCACATGAGAGATAGCTAACTTCTTGGAACAGGCACAGGCTTACAATATTTCTCTGGGACAAAACCTTGAGGACTAAAAGTTCAAGGGATTGGTGCTTTAGGGGACAAGGCATGGAAATGATACATTTTCTCATAAACTTTAAATTCATTTTGGCCCAAGCAGATAACTTTTAGCTCAGGGCACTTGGGTTTATTAGTCATTCATTCATTCATCACAAGTTTATTGAACCATAGCTGAAGTATCAAGTCACCAGCTATTAGCAGAGGAGAAAATCTAAAAAAAAAAAAAAAAAAAAAAAAAAAGAGTAATTTGGAACTAGACCAGGAATGGCTTTATAACAATGATTACCTTGTATGGATTGAACACTTACTAAGTACCAAGCGGTCTTAGGTGCTGGAAATATTTATTTTAGAAATTATCCTGGAATGTTTGAGCTTAACTATAGCCTTGAAAGTAAATGAGATAACTTAATAACTTCTGAAGAGCCTCATCATGTAATAATTTCCCTGGAGAAGAAGAACAAGATGTTAGATTGAAATGGACCACTCAGCATGGCGTAAGAACCAGGAGACACAGCCAGAGATTCAAGGAGGAGAAAGGAGTCAAAATGACAGATGCTGGATTGAAAAGTCTACTGGTTTGGCAGGTACAATACCATTTGACTAGAAAGGAGAAAAGAAATACGAGTTAAACAAATGCTGGAAGGGGTATGTATTAATATGCACTCAAAGGATGTTATCCTTGGAGAGGAGGGTACCTGGGACAAAGATTACTGTGGATATTATAGATACTAATACAGAGGTGGAAAGAAGGAAAGGCTCCTTCCTAGAGGGTTTCCATTTTCTGAGTTGAGAAGACAGACTTAACTTTCCTAGACTCGAGGCTAAGCATAGATTGGGACGCTTGAAAAGAATGATAAAATGAAGCATTGCCACCAATTGCCATTGTGGCAAATGGAAACGGATAAAAATAGGCTCATTTAAGGAGAATTATTGGGGCCCAGCTGAAAGTGAACACCCTAATGTGTAAGAATGTCATCTTGTTTTATTTGTATTCTCCTGTTTTGTTGAAGGTTGTTTCTTAAAAAAAAAAAAATTCAACTTAATTGATATTCAGGTGTAACTGTCTTGTGGGTTTTACTGTAGTTGTGGTAGGTTTCCTAATAAGTGAAATTCCTTGTCTCCAGGCTTAGGGGTCACACAAACCTATGTTAAAATCCTGTCAAAAGCAGTAACTTGGGAAGCTTCATCAACTGTAAACAGAGAACATTTTGACCGTATCACAGTATTCATTTTAGAATTAGTAGTAATGCAGCAGTGGATAGCCCAGTGCAGTATCGGTGCAATAAATCCTTGCTATTGCCACTGTCATTTTTATAACTTTCTTTTAAAAACATAGTGCTTGCTTTTAAATTCCATTTTTAAGATAAAAATTCTTTAAAGTTTTCTTGGCCTGCCAGTTTCACAATTCTCCACCTCTACCTCCCACTGCATTGCAACACCATTTAATTGTCAGATCCACCTATTCCAGGAAGCTTTCTCAAATACTTCAGGGCTACAGATCTCTGCATGTGCTGCCCAATGCCTTTTTCTCTGTTACATACTTTGCGACTTAATTGCATTCTGTCTAGAAACCCTAACCCATACTTTCTTTGTATTTATAATAATATCAGACCTTTTATTTGTATACATAATAAGTGTCTTCTCAATATCTCATGCATCAAATGGAGCCGCAATGGGGTGATTCAGCTGAGCCCTAGCTGCACTGATCAGTCCTGTCCTGCTAACAATCATGTCAGTTTCTGCCATTCCCCTCACCCCTCTCCTGGCCATTAATTCAGAGAGGTCTGCACCCAACCCTGTTATTAAATTATCTGCTATTAAAATGATAAATTGGTTTCTACTTCAGTAATTGAATGTGCTTGCAGACTATTCTTTCCAGTCTTGTTTTTATATTAATGTGTTACCTTAAATGGAGATGTTTCTTACATGAGCATCATATTTTCAAGAATTCATTATTTTATGAATTTGGATCCATTTAAAAAGAATCTTAAGTGATCTTTAAAAATCAAATGAATTTTCCACAAATACAAACTCTGTAGGGATGCTCATTAAAGAAGACGTTTAAAAGGATATATAGAGGGTCAGAAAACTGAACGAGAATTAGGCCTGTCTCCTCTTTGTTAGACATTGTCATTTCTGCTTCAGAGTATTGTTTTTATGCTGTAATCAGACTCAGTTTTTGCTGTTATTTCTTGATCCCCAGCACACTTTAATACAGAGGATCTATTAGGGCTCCCTACTTTAGGAACCAGATAAAAGCATGTATCTAATCTTGTGGGTATGTGCATGTATATTTTTCCAAGAAAGTGTCCACAGATTTCAAGAGTATCCAAGGGTTCTAAGCTCTCTTTTTTCTCTTAAAATATAAGAAACATTGCGGTAGTGGAAAGGACTTTTTGATTCTATAACATTAAGCTCAAATACAAGTTTTACCAATTACTACCTCTGCAACTTTGGACAAATGAAGCGACTCTCTTAATTATGGTTTCCTTGAGTTCCTGAGCGTGTCAAGTGGGCTAAAAGCGGCAAAGTATGCAAAGCCCTGGCCCACAGTGGATGCATAATACATGTTACTGAGGCTTCTTCCTTCTTGCCTAAAAGTCATCATTCCTACCAAAGCACTGTTCATTTCCTCTTGTTCATTCTCCATCAGAGATAGAAACCAGCTGTTCCCATCTCTGTGCACAACAACTGTCTGTGTGCTTAAAGTACTTAAGCACACCCTTGCCCCCTTAACTACGGGTTAATTCCTTTGACCTTTCTTCGAAGACAGTTGTCAGATGGGAATTTTCTCAGTGGTTTGCCCACTTAAGGCAGTTTGTCTCTGGAGGCAAGCTGTTGAAGAGGGAAGCTGAGAATTGTTAACAACAGAGCTCAGCCATGAGCTTGATTTCTTCTATTTTTCCATGGGAGCCCATATTATCTCTACTTTGCGGTAAGGGATCAGCTCAATGTGATGTTATATGGTTCCCATCCGGCCTGAACACCACTTCCACATAAAAATGGGGAGTAAGTCTGAGAAATCACCACTTTTTAAACGACAGATGATGTAGAAAAAAGAGAGAAGCAGCAATAGTAGGGGAAGCTTAGAGAAAGTGTTTGGAATTGTATCCAGATTTTCTAGTGTCTGTAGCCAAGAAAAGCCAAAAATCAGTATTTGAGACTAACTTTTCAGATGTCTCTTCCCTTACTATCAAAATGAGTCAGGCAGTGTTTAAAAGCACAGGCTTGGCAATTTCAAAATTGCAAATTAAGGAGAAATAAAAGAAAATATGCATCACTGAAAAATAAATGGCTATGTCAGAGAACATCCCTCTGCATATCTCTCTGTTCAAATAATTAACTAAGTTTTAGGTACAGAATATTGCAATCCTGAGTTCAAGACCAGCTATTCACATTATTAACTATTAACTCTATGTACAGACGGATAATAGGAAACTTCATCAAAATAGATAGATGTTCAGAAAATCCCATGTACCCCAACTTCTCTGTGTTGTAGCAAATGAGATAATGTAAATGATATTATATGTTTATGAATGAAATGAAATTATATTTTTGTTTAGGATCTGATTTATTGTGAATATTTTCACTGAACAAAGGCAGCAGAGAAAGTGAAAGGCACAATCTAGGAATCCGTGCTATATGTGGATTGTGAGCAGGATAGAAACGTCACAGAAGAGTGGCCCTGATCAATGCTTGCCTCGAGGGTGTACCTTGCAGAAGGGAGAGCGATTCTTCAGCAGACCATCCTTTGGATGGAAAACATCAACCCTCTTCCTTGTTAGTCACACATTATCCATAAGATTCTGACTTCCTCAGGCAATTAATAATGAAAACCCCTAAATCTCTTGGCAACAACTTTCAAGCCTAACAGTTTTCTTTGTCAGATGGGAAGGAAGCAGGATCTGCGAGGACCAGGGCAGACAGTGAGGAATTCCTGAGGCTGGTGAGCAAGGGACAAGGATCACACAGATGCATTGCCTTCCTAGAGGAGGCAGAGGTTCTCACTGGGCTCTGCAGTGATCAGTTGTGAGGGACGCCCTGAGTTATAATAGCAGGAGTAGCTTTATTTCAAAAGAGGCCATTGTTGAAAGTCTGTTCAAGGTTACACTTATTCTAACATTGCTCTCCTTTGAATTTTAACGTCTTTTTTTGATACAAGGAGAAAAAGATGAAGTTAAAAAGTAAGAAGTTATCACAGGAGCAGGCTGTAGCCTGTGTTTCATGTAAGGAAAACGGTTGCAAACTGTTTGAGAAGGTCATGAGACCTGCAGCCTGTCTGCAGGAGAGGGGATGGAGTGGAAGAGCTCGGCATCCATATTGTCTGCGTTTGTCAAGGCCTGGCTAGGTTGAAGTTTCAGAAAAAAAGTAAAACCTAAAAGAACCGCTCTCTGTTTCTCCTAAACACACGGACACACGCAAGTGCCCACATGAAAACAGTCAGTGAATGCAAAAGTAATTGCTTTGTGTTAGCAATAAATTGAGAATCATTGGAGTTTTTCAGCTACTTTACTCATTGGATATTTGAGGAGAAAAAAGGAAATGAAAAGTAGTGTTAAGAGGTATTCACAGATTTTCCTCAGTAGAAAGATGTGGAAACTGAATCTGAAGAAAGAGAAAAGATTGGTTAAAAAGAAATGGATACTTCATAGGCTAGGATTTTACCAAGCTTGTATCTACATGGTAATACTTGGAGCTCAAAAAGTCCATGTGTCAGTCTATTTCTAACTACTTAACTGTCGTTCATTGTGTTTTTGAAACACTTAAGGAATATATTTATTTCCTAATCCTTCGAGATATTAACTCATACTGATATGCTAATAATGCCCTAGTTTAAAGGTACTAAATATACTGATTGTGTGTTTAAAAGCCTGCACTTTTATATGACCCAATGGTAATTTAAAGCATCCCAAGGTAATATTATTATTATTTATGAGTTTATTTTTTTTTGAGACAGAGCCTCGCTCTGTCACTCAGGCCGGAGTGCAGTGCACCAGGCTGGAGGGCAGCAGCGCGATCTTGGCTCACTGCAAACTGTGCTTCCAGGTTCAAGTGATTCTTGTGCCTCAGCCTCCCAAGTGGCTGGGATTACCAACATGAGCAACTACACCCAGCCAATTTTTGTATTTTTAGTAGAGATGGGGTTTTGCCATGTTGGAGAGGTTGGTCTTGAATTCCCGACCTCAGGTGATCCACCCACCTCAGCCTCCCAGAGTGCTGGGATTACAGGCATGAGCCACTGCAGCTGGCCCCAAAGTATTATTATTATTTATTTATTTTATTTTGTGAGACAGGGTCTTGCTCTGTTGCCAGGCTGGAGTGCAGTGGCGTGATCTTCGCTCACTGCAACCTCCACCTCCCAAGTTCAAGTGATTCTCCTGCTTCAGCCTCCCGAGTAGCTGGGATTACAGGCGCACACCACCACACCCAGCTAATTTTTGTATTTTTAGTAGAGACAGGGTTTCACCATGTTAGCCAGGATGGTCTCGATCTCTTGACCTCGTGATCCACCTGCCTCAGACTCCCAAAGGGCTGGGATTACAGGCGTGGGCCACAGCGCCTGGCCCCAAAGTATTATTTTTAAGAGTTACTTCTACTTCAAGAGTGACAGGAAAAAATATTCCAATCATTTCTAGAGGGACTTACATTTTTCTCTATTGAATTGTGAATGTTTGTTGCTTTTCTTGAAAATTAATTTTTTGTTATACTATTATTTCAATATTATTAAATAAATAATTATACTACTACCAATTAAAAACAATTAAATCAATTGTTTTCAATTAAAGTGATTAATTTTACTATGAAAAGAGTAATAGTTATATGCTCAGGGACTGGAAGAAATCCAGGTAGGATTATTTGGAAACTTAGTTTCATTTTTCTATTTATGCTTACCATTTTTTACTTATGGGGACACTTTGCCCATGGGAAATTATTGAATGTTTTAATTGAGTTAGATTATTTAAAAACTGGAGACAATGTATTGGTTTTGTTCTATTCCATTGTTGTTTAATTGACAGAGAAAAAACAGGGTTTTTGTTTTGTTTCGTTTTGATTTTTATGAGGGAGTCTCACTCTGTCGCATAGACTGGAGTGCAGTGGTGCAATCTCGGCTCACTGCAACCTCCGCCTCCCAGGTTCAAGTGATTCTCCTGCCTCAGCCTCCTGAGCAGCTGGGATTACAGGCACACACCACCACGCCCAGCTAATTTTTGTATTTTTAGTAGAGACAGGGTTTCACCATGTTGGTCAGGCTGGTCTCAAACTCCTGACCTCGTGATCCACCCACCTCGGCCTCTCAAAGTGCTGGGATTACACGCGTGAGCCACCGCACCCGGCCAAAAAAACATTTTTTTTATTTTTATTTGCTTAAAAAAATAGAACATCAACAGTATAAGTATTAACTAGACTATTGAGGAATTAAAACTAACTGATAATTAGAAACTTTATGGGGAAAACTCAAGAGGTATGAAAGCTGGAGTACTTACATTAAAAAGTAATACTGTTGAAACTATTCGATTTATAACAGTTGCAAGGAAAATTAAAATACAGTGTGTAATCCACTGCAATGATTTCAAGATTGACAGCTCAGTGTTTTTTTTTTCCCAGATTACTGAAAACATTATTTAAAACATCTAACTTGGCAAGAGTATAGTTAGTAACTAAGAACCTGCATTCTTTTTTTCAGTGTCATTAACTTTAGTTTCCTAGTTAAAGGAAGATTACCTTTGATAATGTTATGAACTTGATCAAAATATAGTTGAATAACTTTGAATCTTCATGGTATTTTGATGATGCTTCTTTTATCTTCAGACAATCATTAGAGAATCAAGCACATTTCTGTCTCTCCATAGTAAAATGAGAACAGTGTTGCATATCCTCTCTAAAGCTGTGACAAGAATGAGTATTAAATCCTATTCCAACTGCCTTAGCCATGTGGATGCCCTATGGTTTGGGGCTACATTTTTTTATTGGGACATTAAAAACAGTTTTTCTTATATTGGAATTTTGTATTTTGTCACATTATAGATATTTGCAGTTCCATTCCATTTTATTCCACATGCATTTCCAATGGTATATAACTTTAATATCAGAAAAAGTCAATCCATGATTACCATTGAAGTAGAAGGGACCCTTACGTTCTGCCAGAGAACACATGACTCACTCCAGATGGACAAGACCATATCCTATTTTTAAAGATCTACTCTACTGAAAAACTTTACCTAGCAATATTTCTGATGAAGGAAAACTTCAATCCAACTGGGTACACTATTTTTAACTATGCAGGTAATACAAATAGTATATCTTTCCACCCTCTTCCAATTTTAGACAGCTTTTCTGTGAGTCAAAATGCTATGAAGAATTGCATAAGGTATTTATTCATTAGGTGTATTTGGAAAAGCCATAGTGTAAATCCAACACTTGGTTTGGAGTTATATCCCTTCGTATGTAACACAATGAAAGTTGTGTTGTGGTACTTTACAGTTAAGATCTAGTCGGTCCCAGCATCTGTATCCATGTTTAGGATGAAAAAGTTAACTTGAGTAACAAAGTAAAAAGAAAAAGGAGACCCTAATATCTGGCTCAGAATGATCTATCTTACAACAAATGACAATATGCAAATTCAGTCAAAGCAGAAGGATAAGAACTTTATAATATGCAGGTTTGTGGGTATGTCTACAGCCACATTGTTTTTAAACCTCCACTAAGGACTTTATTTTTCTTCAATATTATAAGTCACCCAGCAGCCCTAGCCAAGGACAGAGGTCACTGTTGTCCCAGTTCCAGCTCTGATGCTCTCTGAGCATCATCTCCGTTACACCTTCCTGAAGTTCATTCCACTGTCAGTAGCTGTCACTCAGTCACACTTAGTGATGTGACCGATGTGACATTTTCCATGGGGGATAAATAAAAACTTTACATTTCCCTCCCCAATGTTAATGTTATGACTTCTTTGGAGTTAATCGACTGACTTCTTTTTCCTTCAACTTTCAGTCAGTTCCTACTAATTCCTTAAAGGATGTCTCCTTTGTTCCAGCTAATGCAGCTAAAAGGAATGCTATAAGTCAGAAAAGGCTATATTGAATTCTTTTAAGATATAAAAAAATTTCCAACCCTTATAAAATGAAATGTATTCATATGTTGTTGGTTAATTTCCTACTAATGCACACATAACATATATGTTGGAGTTATTTCATCAGTGAATATCTCTCAAAAAGATATACTGAGACAGAGAACTCTGTTCAAATATGAGCCTTGAATCTACTGGGGCTAATTATCAGTGTAGAATGGCTAAGTAGAATTTTTGCATATATCATTTTATGCAGTACCTTTGTAACAAATTGATTTAAGTGCCTTTTTGGAACAGTAGTTGGGCAGAATTGATTTGGTGTCTAGGAGATTGACTTACACAGCAAAACTGTGTCTAGGTTTATTCTGGCATCTAAATCGAGTTTCAAGCAAGTGGAAGGGTTGGTGGTGCTGGAATGCAGTTCTCCACCAATTTATATTGTGAAGTGCTATGACATACATTATTAAAAGAGATTCAGTGTAAGTATGATGAGTTAAAATACCCATTGACAGCTGGCAAAACAACCAAAGCATTTGCGTTACGTTAAAAATGTTAAAAGTAAATTTTGTCTCATTGAAATCATATGATCTGACATGGTCAAGGTAGAATTGATGAGATGTTTTAATTGCAAAACTTTTTGTTCCACAAGATAAAGAAGCATTTGTGCAAAGTGGATAAATAGGGATGGTGTGTTAAATGTGCATATTCAATGGATTTGTACTTTCTTCTCATTCAAACTCCAAGCATCTTTTTAAGCCAGAGCAAATCCAGCCTGTGTCATTTTGTTTAGCTTCCTGAGGGCAGGGACTTTGTTCTGTCTACTGGCATCTCCCTATACTTGTTAAATGCTTGGGGCAAATGTGTTCATCTTTCTAAGCTTCCATTTCCTCGTCTGTGTGTTGGAGAATCGATTACTTCTTCTTAGTGTTGTGAATATTAAATGAATAATAGGTGTAAAGCATTTAAAAATGTCTGAGAATAGAAGCACCTTCCTACTAATTATATCAGAGAAATAAAATGGACAGTTTCAAAACTCTCTGCTTTAAAAACCGTCCTCTTATTCCTTCTTTTGCACAAGTTGTTCTTTGTTGTATGTTCTGCATCTGCTATCTTTTTTCCTCTTATTCCGTTCCTCTCTCACTTAGTCCCCCTTTCTCCCCATCACCCTTTCTTTCTCTTTTGTCTTTTGTTTCCTAGGATATGGCCTGGGTATGGAAAGAAACCCTTCTCTTTCTTTCTTACTCCAACACAGCTTTCAGCCATTTCTTTGATTTTTCATATTGTGTTGAATGCTCTCTGCACTTCAGCCATTTTCCTTCTGCCCATCAAGGTGGTGTGCTTGGGAGAGCAGGCAGCCTGCATTGAGAAGCACTCTCTGCTGCTGTGGGAACCGAGGCCTTTCTGCTGACAGAGCAGGTGGCAGGGATGCTGGAATTGCAGGTGCTCACCCCCAAGACCTCTATTCATGAGGGCCCACCCAGGGTAGCCCACCAAATTTAAAACCAGAAGTTGCCTTTCAGCTTTTATATCTGTGCCCAACTCTCTTTTACATACAGTTCAGAAATTATGATATCATGAAAATGTGACTTCAGTTCCCTCAAAATATCTGCTAGCTGCATAATCAAGGGTGGTTTGTGCATTTTGTGGAAAGATTAGCTTAAGATTGCCTTTCAAAAATTATAATATGACTTTTTGCATTCAGAACATTATGATACATCCGGATATGGGTTTTGAACCTATTATCCTTCTTTGTAATTCAGAAACTGTATATGATGGATTTAAATTTTCTGAATTTAAGATGTATCTTAAAATAGCTTAATGCTTACTGGGATTGTTTAAAGTATTTATTGATAATGACAGCAATATAATTCACAAATACTATGTTTAACTGTGAAAAAGCGTTTTCTATTTTATCTTAAATTGTACTTTGATAGATATAATTGGTGTGTAAAATTTTACCTAAATTTTAATGCATCTCCCAAAACGTTATTTGTTGGTATGTATTTCCACATTAAAATGGTAATATGTAACATTTATTGAATGTTATTAATATGTGTAAGGCCCTGTGCTTAATATCTCATATAATTTTCCCAGCAGCCCTATGAAATGTGTTCTAAATGTTAGTCTTAATTTATAGATTAGGAAATTGAAGCTTAGAGAAGTTTAAAAGAGAAAGAAAAACTGGCTCAAGGTCATAACACTAATAAATGACACAACTGGGATGAAATTCTTATATAATTAAAGCAAAGGCCCAGTCCTCAAGTTATCCCCAAAGTAGAGGGAGCAAACAGAAATATGCAGTATTGCACACAGGCTTGGCAAGTCTAGCATCTGTCAGGCACTTATTCTATGCTGAGCACTTCACCAAGCATTGTACAAGCTCTAGTCGAACATGAGGTAGGCAGTTTTATTATGCCCGTTTTACACATGAAGAGGTATAGGTACGGAGAGGTTGAATGGCTTGGCCAGAAAGTGGCAGAGCCAGATGTGGATTCAGGCACTCTGGTTTGAGTGGCATGGATCTTAAACCCACACTGTACTCTCTTTGTTCACAGGAAGGCATACGATCTTAAGTCACATTGAATTAACATTGAAATGTACTAATTTCCACCCTTCATAACTGTGCTTCCCCTTTAGTTTTTTAGAAATAGCTTCCCTGTAGGGAATTCTAAAGGATAGAAAGCATTGATGGTGAACACTTCTCCCAAGGCTTCAAACCTCTCCCCAGTCTTCCCTGAGTTTCATGCTGCATAACCTGTGTGGTACCTGATTATTCTATGCAAGACTGTACTACGTATAACTAGTCTTTCTCTTGAATGAATACAAATATCTCTCTTTTATGTGAAACTCATTTTTTTCTAACACATACTGTTATTAGGATCTTCAAATACATGAAAATAATTCTTTTCCCTGATATATATTATTTACCTGGATATAGGAACAAAAAGAGTTTCATTAAGTAAATATACTTTTAATCAAATTAGGAATTTAATCTGTAATGACATTTACAAGTTGGCATACTCATTTACCGTCCACATTTACATTTCTTTGCTTTTCTAAAGTTAAAATCTGGCAAATACTCATTTATCATTACTCAGTAGTTTCCAAAGTACTCCATGGAAGTACAGATTTATGATATTTCTCAGTCAGACTCTAAGAGAGGTTAAACCATGAAGGAAAATAAAATTACCAGTAATTAAATTTACAGGCAGGTTTGCCATCTAAAGCAAATTTATTGCTTCACAGTGAAACATAGTTTAGACACTTTCACATAAAGTGAATCCATTTTTACATGATATAGGTATTATACATTGCTGTTTCAATTTATATAATTAAAATTATATCATTGCACTCTAAGGTTAATGGGATACTCAACTGGAAACCATACGTCGTGGGCAATAAAATAGCAGCATTGCAGTATTGGCTCTTTTGTTAAAAGCTGATGCAATATTTCAACACCATTACATTCTACCTTTTAAAAATCTTTAGAACAAATAAGAAGCAAAGACATGCCAATTTAAAAAAAAAATGCTCTTTTTCTCTGTCTTTCTCTCTATTCCCCACTCCACTTCTTGTCAAACATATAGAAACACATACATGTTTAGGATATATACATTATATATTATGGAAAATGTACATTCAGCTCTGTTATTAGCATGGATACACATATGTGGTGATAGACATGACAGGAAAATACATCAATACCCATTTTGAAAACAGTTTTTTCTCAAATTCAAAACAAATTAAAAGGTGTTCCTATAGTCTGTTCAAATTCTAGCATGATCAAAAGAATGTATCATGCATTGCAGAGCTGTTGTGGGTATATGGAGGTAGAATTAAGGGAAGAACAATATAATCTAATGTCTAGAGGTGAACCAGAACAGACAAGACTTCTAAGAGAAGTGTGGTATCTAAAAAGGGTTGAGACATCCAAAGTAGTAGGCATTCTTTGATAGCCATGCTCTAATAAATGGACTCTTATTACACTAAGAAATATTAGACCAAATACAAAAGAGCTGCAAAGGAACCAAAGAGAATAGTAAATATGCTAGTCCCCAACAGAGATAGATATTGATTTTAAAATTGCTTTACAGAGTCTGCTGCATTCATCAGCCAAGAAATAAACAAAAATGTGTTATATTTATACAATGGAATATTATTGAGCGATAAAAATAAATGGAGTACAGATACATGCTACAACCTGGGGGTTAGAAAAGGGAGAACTGCTAATGAGTACACAGCTTTTTTGGGGGGGTAATGAAAATGTCCTGAGATTATGGTGATGGTTGCACAACTGCATAAATAATCTAAAAAACTATGAATTGTACAGTTTACACAGGTAAACTTTTTGGTATGTTAATTATATCTCAATAAAGCTGATAAAGTCATTTGCAATATTTTCTGTCTCTCGGCCATTTTCTTGTGAAGATTTGATGTTTTACAGTTTTATTTATGAAGTCTTTATTTCTAGGCATTTTTTCAACTGAAGTTGAACACATTTTTTATCATGATCAAGAATCATATTTTAGTTGAAGTCTGTAAATTCTAGAAGGAAGTCATAGTGATTGGCTATATTTATAGACCACTTTTACAAAGTCAGAATTGAGTATATACATCGACATGAAAAACCTGGGTTCAGGGGACAGAAAACAACAAGCCTTGCTGTTCTCAAACAGTTAGATGTTGTGCTCTAGTTGTTCTTGCACAAAGATTCCTAAATCCTTTGTTATAATAGGTCTTGTGAATGAAGGGTCCTCTTAATTTTTGCTCTTATTAACTGAAAACTTCTTAGTCCTCTAGTCAGTGTTTTAGAATCCCAACACAACCTCTTTTTTTCCTTCTAATTGTTAAATGCAGCAAACACTATTTTCTTAGCCCTCATCCCCAGCAATGTCACCCATAACCTTTGTCTCTTCTTTCCATTGTGGTCTCCTTTTTAGAAATAATTGTCCATTTCTTCTTACCAGACCATCCCCATCACTGTCCCTAAGAGCCAGCTTAATGCCCTCCTCTTTGAAAAGCACTTCCTGATTTGCATGCCACCTCACTCTTGTTAAATCCCATTATTTTATTTACACATGCATTCCATGCATGTCATCCTGGGTTGATGTCTGCTCTTTACTCACATATGCATGGCTGATCTTCCTCAGTATATTGCAGTCATTTTGATGAGAAAAATAGGATCACATTTTTTATGTGTCTTCATAAATGAGTAATGCAATTCCTGACACAAAGTCATGGAGTCAGGTGTTCAGGAAATGATTATTTCCTGGTTAGTATCCATGCTATGTTGACTAAATATGAAACTCACATATATCCCTGGACACAGTATTGAGAGAATAAAAGGATTTTAAAGTCCATCAGCCAAGACTGAGACTGAGACTATAGTTTAGGCTGAATAAAGGCTTTCAAAGACTGTTTACCACTTAAAATTCACGGTATTTATATTAACTTACATTAACACAACTTTGACATCACCTTTATCTTACCTGATTTCATTAAAGATATTTGGATCATGAAAAAAAATATCTCTACCCTATCTTAGGGAACCAAAGAGCAAGTCATCATTGTTTTAATTTGCCAAAGTATTAGATGACATTTTCATATAATATTCCCTAAGAAAGACACCAAGTACCTGGTAAATAGGTAATTTTCTTGAGAATTGTAATGTCCATAAGTATAATACCAATTTTCTAATCATTGATGGGCATTTTAATTTCATGTTTTATTGACCACAACCAGGCATAGCATTAGGATACAATGATGAATTTTGCACTGTTCCTAGGGAAATTTCAGCTCTTATGGGATATGTCAACAAGGCAGCTAATGATTACAATCCAGTATGCTATCAGTTGAGTATAATATTCTACCAGGGTGCAAGGAAGGAAGACTACTCCAGTATTAACACATTTCAAAGAAAATTGCTAGAAAAAAGAATGTTCAAGCCCCGCCCCAGAGGATGAGTAGGAGGATTAACCAATTAAAAGACATCATGTGAATATTCCAAGCAGAGAGAGAAGCATGTGCAAACCCTTGGCAAGAAAAAATGTATAGATACTAAAGATATTATATATATAAATTTAAACTCTATTGCAAGGTCTTTTTTGATGATCATCTGCTGTCCCCAACACTTCAAGCAGTAACAGAGTACATTTCCCCCTTTATTATTTCAAAACTTTCTATATTTTCTTAGTGATTTTTATTTTAATCAGTGCAGTGGCATAATGATCACTTTACCTATCTACTTTTCCTTTCTGGATCTGAACTTCTTGAGAGCAGAGACTATGCTATTTTTAACTTTTCATTTCTAAGTGTGTTCGGCACATACTGCCTTCATAAATAATTCTTGAAGTGAGCTAAATTGAATGAATGGAAGTGCAGAAAGTAAGATGGGCCAGTGCCTTTTTGTGCTCTGATGAAGCACTTCATAGCTTCACAAGGAATAGATCGGAGCATTTGATCTTCATGGGAACCATGACACAACAGTGCTTGGTATTATTTTTTCCTAGTTAGAGAAAATGAAACATGAGTCAAAGAATCTCAGTAACTTGACTAAGATCACTTGGTCACCAGTTTTAATTTTTGTGGAATGGAGCCAAGGATTTCTATTCAAAATTACCTGTTCCAGACCTGTCCCAGTACACATTATGCAAAAAAAAAAAAAAAAAAGAGGTTTTAGAGTGACCTCTCAAAAAGTACGGCTTTGATGGTCACACAACAGTGTGAACGTACTTAACACCAGTGAACTGTACACTTCAAAGTGGGTGAAATGGTAAATTTCATGTTATAAAATAGTGGACTTTCTTATCCAGCTCTCTCCTTTGTCCAGAGAGTGTATACACTCTTCTTGCCTTTAATGGGGCTTCCTAGTTTTTATTTTCTGTTGGCATCTACAATTTCCAACTAGATGCAAATAAACAAATGCCATGTTTGTAAACCAAACAAAAGCTAGAAGGTACCATTTATCAGAGGAGTTCCAGTGGGTTACCAACATGGGGTTCAAAGACCATGGGCATAACAGTTACCAGGCAGACTTGTTAAAAATATAGATTCCTGGACCTCTTCCCTAGCGATTCTGCCTAATATTTCTGGAGTGGCGCTCAGAAGTCTGTTTTTTAAAACAATGTCCCTAGGTATTTTTTATGGGTGATCTTCAAATAACATTTTGAAACCACAGCTCCAGGGTGATTGAACTGTAATATCAGAGAGCCAGACCTCTATAGAAGCTACCTCTTACCTCCTGTAAGAAGCAGGATAGCAGTGCTTCAGAATAGGAGGTTTGAGAAACAACAGAGCAAGTTCAAATCCCAGCTCCGCTGCTTACTAGCTGTATGGCCACAGGTAAATAATGTAACCTCTCCAAACCCCAGTTCCTCATCTCCAAAATAAAAATAGGAGAATACATCCCGACTTGGTTATAGAAACAATACAATGTGTTCCCTGGAAGTTAGTAGTTGCTCAATAAATGTTAGCTTTGAGTATTACCTTATTTTATCAGTTGTAAATTGCATACTTTTTCACACTTCCATCTGTGGAATTTTACAGTTATTGTCAGTAAGTTATTGACACTTTTTATTAACAGCAAGAAGTGCTAGGATCAAGACATATTAGAGATTATATGAAAGAGATTATTATTACTGTGTTCAACAAAACTGTTGCTGAGAACTAGAAGTTCCTGAGGGTTTCCAGTGGGAGAAAAAAAAAAACAGTTTTGGTGTAGGAACAGTCCCAATAATCCCTAAAAAAAACCTCATTAATACATCCAACAAAGAAAGCCCAAAGTACTTATTCCATATCGAATTTTATTAAGATTTGCAAGAGGAAAGACATACATAGAAGAGATGCATATAAATCAAGAAGCAACAGTCAAGGTGGTGATAAAAACATACCCTGAAAGAAACAGAATTATCATAAAGCAATGATCACATCAGATATTATGCTATCAGTAAATGCTTTTGAATACATGAATGAGAAAATAGGAGTGAGGGTGAGAAAAGACCACAGCAGACTTTCTCACTTGCAAATATTAAAATCTTGAGTAAACTAAGCATAAGTTTCTTGGGGATAATAACCTGCAAATCTGAAATATATTGATGTATATCACCTGAAAGGAGATTTATGTATGCAGCGTGTAGTTCAGTTCCCACCATGATACAAAGACTTTAATCTGTGTTTCTGTCTCTGATCCGTTCATTGAGCTGTAGTCTCTTATCTCCAACATTTTATAAAACATTGCCATTCTCCTCTCCTGTGTTGCCTTGATACCATTATGTTTAAAAGTCCTCTCAGAAGTCCAGTTTTCTTTTCTAATTTCCCTGGTTATGTCTATAATGCCAGATTTTGTTACTTATCAGGCCTCAAACCACAGACTTCTACTTAACAGGAGTGTCCCTTGCCTTACATCTTGCAAATTGCCATGTTTGGAATTTTTTTTTTTTTTTTTGAGATGGGAATCTTGCTCTGTCACCCAGGCTGGGGTGCAGTGGCACAATTTTGGCTCACTGCAACCTCTGCCTCCCAGTTTCAAGCGATTCTCCTGCCTCAGCCTCCCAAGTAGCTGAGATTGCAAGTACTTGCCACCATGACCGGCTAATTTTTGTATTTTTAGTAGAGACGAGTTTTCACCATGTTGGCCAGTCTGGTCTCGAACTCCTGACCTCAGGTGATCCACCCACCTCAGCCTCCCAAAGGCTGAGATTACAGGCATGAGCCACTGCGCCTGGCCATAAATATTTTTTCTTTTTTTTTCCCTGCCTCCCTTGCGCAAACATTTGGCGATGGTGTACCACATGCCAGTAATTCTGCAGAAATAAGATGAGTTAACATCCCTGCCTTTGTTTATCATATTGTCTAACAGGAGAGAAAGTTATTTAGGAAAGGAATTCAATTAAAACTATTTTTTCAAATTTATTTATTTTAAAAATTAACATAAATTTGTAGATATTCATTGCAAACATGATGTTTTGAAGTATATATGCATTGTGGAATGTTTAAGTGAGCTGATTAACAAATCAATTCCTCACATAGTCATCATTTCTGTACTGAGAACCTAATCCACTCTCTTAGCGTTTGTCAGGAATATGATATATTGTCATTAACTATAGTCATCCTGCTGTACAATAGATCTCTGGAACTTATTCCTCCTGTGTAATTGTAAATAGCTATTATTTGACCAACGTCTCCCCAACCTGCTTCACCTTAACTGCCCCAGCCGCTGGTAGGCACCATTTTACCCTCTACTTCTATGAGATCAGGTAGGCACCATTTTAACCTCTACTTCTATGAGATCAACTTTTTTAGAACCTGGAGGACATCATGTTAAGTGAAATAAGCCAGGTACAGAAAGACAAATTCCACATGATCTCACTTGTATGTGGAACCTAAAAATGTCAACTTAAATTACAGAATTTTACTAAATAACAGCACAAGTCACCTTAAGAGTTCAAAAGAGGGAACAAGGGACTCCCCAATAATGAAAATAATTCTGCAATAATTTTATTATCTAATAATGTAAACACTAATTTATATTGTTAATACAAACCTTATTTATAACTAGGTAAAACAATTCTAAGATATATTTAATATGAGTTCATCTTACAGATAAGCAAATGGAGAGAGAGGCTTAGTACTTTGCACAGCATCACATAGTTGATAGGTTATGGAGATTTTAGCACTAGGCTCAGCTGAGGAGTTGGTCTGCGTCTTGAACAATGTTTAACTCTCCATCTCACGGTGATAGGAAGTAGGTGCTTGAGGCAAAAAGAAAATGTGCAAAAGCTGAACGATATGGAAGATCATATAAAAGGAGAATTAAGAGCATGAAATTCATGAGTGAAGGAATGAGGTGGAAATAGAGGCACAGCAGTTATCAAGGAAGATCCTGAAGTAAGAGAATGAGAGTTTGCAGGTAACCCTAAGGAGGCCAATGTGGCTGAAATAGAGAGAATGAAAGAAAGGATAAAAATAGATAAGGTCAAAAAGGGTGTGCTGATCAGATTTTGGGGGGAATTTGTAAACCTTTATGACACTTTGAGCTTTCCTTTGTAATGAGGCAAGATATCTGTAGTTTTCATGAGAAATGTGACAAGATATGGCTCTAAGAAGGCAAGGGCAGAAGCAGAGAGATGGTTGGGAGACTATTAGGTAACTCAGACAAGATGAGATGGTAGGTGCGATCAGGGGACTAGACGTGCAGGTAGGTCAGATTCTGGATATATTTTGAAAACAGAGCTGAGAGGATTTGCTAGTGGTTTGGACGCAGATTGTAGAAGATTGTGATATGTCAGTGAGAACTCCAGAGTTTTTGGTCTGAATGTCAGTATGGATGGTGTATCCTTAACTGAGATGAGAAGGCTTCAGGAAGATGTGTTTTGATATAAACTCAAATTTGGAAATACAATTCTGGTACCAGTGTGGGAGATGCCTTGGAAGGAATCATAAGTCAAAGCAGGGAAATCAGTTTGGAGTCTCAGTCATCCATGAAGAGTGTTGATGAGGTTTCTACCAGTGACCATGGCAGTGGAGAATGGAGAAAGGGACTTGACTGGGGACACTGCTGGGGTGGTTTTGGGAATGAATTGGATATAGTAGAAGGGGGAGGGTCTAAAATGGTAATCTACATGGTTTCTTGACTGGCCAGTAAGACACTTCTCAGACTTGGCTCTGGGAGGCCTGTATCTTTCCAATCGGTCAAATACTGGAAATTAACACCTTTCCTATTTGAAGATGCTTACATTCACCGTTCTTCATATCTTTTCTTTGGGATGAGCTTCAGAATGGGGAAGCCTTTCCAGCTCCCCTCATTTCTCTATGATCTTAAAAAATGAATAAACCAGGTTTTCAAGTTTAAGGTGCTCAATATTTTTAATTTCTTTGGAAAATTCCGTAGTGTCATGCCTGAGCATTTGCAGTATCCTCTTAACAAAACTAACCTAGTTTTCTTGTCTTCAATCCTAACTCTCCAAAATCCTGTGCATTGTTAGCATGCTCCTCTTTTCCAAACAGTTTTTCCATTGTTGTTTGCTTATTCAGCAAACTTGAATGGCTGTAAGTTCTCCCTGAGATGACCCCATGTTAAATTCCATTGAAGATTTTACATTTGCACCAGATGCTAACTCCTAACTTTATTACGTAGTGTTCTCTAAAAACATTGCCTACTTCACTGGTGACCCACTGACTCTCTGACACACTGATAACAGCTGTCTGCCCATTTTCCCTGTCTGCTCTGAAACTCAATTTCCAGATTAATCTTCCTAAAAATCAACCCCAATCAAGCTATTTCCTTCCTCTGAAACACATTTTTACACTCTATTACCTAGTGATATAATTACAAACTCCTCCATCCCACTGACACAGTAGTTCTGACTCATTTTGCTCATTCCACACAGGTCATAGAACAGTACACTCCTAGAAATGTCTCACATCGACTACAATGATCTTTGGGGAATTTAGCAGGTATACTCAGGAGCACATAAAAGAGTCTCCAAGTAGAATAATTATAACATGTATGAAACCATCACCTCTCTAGTCCCTACTATGTGCCAAGTCGTTTTTGAACATTTTAAAAGTATGAACTCATTGAATCCACCTAACAATCCTATGAAATATAAACTATTATTGTTTCATTTTATAGATGAAGCAACTCAAGCACAATGATGGTAAGCACCGTGACCCAAGGTCCCATGACTAATAAATGGTAGAACTAGAATTTAATTTCAGATAATCTGGCCCTGAAGTCAGTGTTCTCAATTGCTCTGACAAGCTGCCTCCCTCCTTCAATTCCTGCCACCCACCACCTCCCACCTCTTTCCCCAGCGTTGAAGGCTGAAAATTACCAAGCTTAATCAGTTTTAAACAAGTTTCACATAAGATCTCATTTGATTTGGAAGGTGGCCTGGGTCAACCAAGCCGCCAATGACTGTTCCTTCTTTGATCTGTGTCCTTGATTATCTTTCTCAGATACCACTCATAATTTACTTACCATAAACTATCTTCATTGACCTCAAACTGTGATATATATATATATATATATATATATATATATATATATATATATGTGTGTGTGCGTATATCCATATATGTGTGTGTGTGTGTGTGTGTGTGTGTGTGTATATGTATATCTCACATCTCTCCAACTAGATTTAAAAAATTTTCAAGGCCGGGCACGGTGGTTCACGCCTGTAATCCTAGTATTTTGGGAGGCCGAGGCGGGTGGATCACAAGGTCAGGAGATTGAGACCATCCTGGCTAACAAGGCAAAACCCCATCTGTACTAAAAATACAAAAAAAATTAGCCGGGCTTGGTGGCGGGTGCCTGTAGTCCCAGCTACTTGGGAGGCTGAGGAAGGAGAATGTCGTGAACCCAGGAGGTGGAGCTTGCAGTGAGCCGAGATGGCGTCACTGCACTCCAGCCTGGGAGACAGGGCAAGACTTTGTCTCAAAAAAAAAAAAAAAAAATTTCAAAACCATAATCATAATTAGCACTCCAAATTGCTCTTTTGATTTCCCAACTTCATTAATGGTCCTCTCATCTAACTTCAGAGTGACCCCTGTGACCTCTCTGTCCCTTACCTAATCCATCTTTACTTGCAGTCTGTTTCTAAGTTTTGGTTCTTCATGCATCCCTAATATCACTGTTAGTCTTCTCTATTTTTTCTGTTTATAGTGTGGACATGCCTCATGCACTGTCCCAGAGTAAGGAAGCAATGAATTGATGGTTGATGGTTGCTTTAGGTTCTCATTGTCTTTTCCCCTGCTGTCATATAAGTCTTTATCTAGTCTTCCAAATTCAATAAACTAAATTTGAACCTTTGACCCCATGTATCTGTCCTAAATTCCATTGCCAGTTTAGTTAATCTAAGGAAGAACCCGTGTCCTCCTCCCGACTATCACCTTCCTCTCCACATCATTGTCTGCTGAAATAAGGATGCATTCCCCAGTTGGTATGAAAAAATCTGAAACTCAATTTCCAGATTAATCTTCCAAAAAATCAACTCCAATCAAGCCATTTTCTTCCTCTGAAACACACTGTTACACTCTATTACCTGGTGATATAATTACAGACTCCTCCCTCGGCAGCTCCATCCCACTGACTCAGTAGTTCTGACTCATTTTGCTCATTCCACACAGTTCACAGAACAGCACACTGCTGTCAGTAATGTCTCACTCAGCGCACCATTGATTTGTCCTTTCCACCCCTTCTCCTGTTATTCCACTGCATACGTTGTACCCTCTTAGGAAACCAGACCACAAACTACTGGCATAAAAAATGCAGTGTGTTTCCACCTCCATTCCCTGATTTTTGCCGTTCCTCCCCTGCCCATCCGCTTTTATGTGTTGACACATTCACATAATCTTTTTTTTCTTATTCCAAGTGCTTTCTTGCTTTTTTTGACTGTCAGTATTTTTTTTAATTCACTTTATTCATCCTTCTGTTTGATATTCGCCTCATCTTCTTTACTCGATTTGAAAATTCTTAAAGACAGGAAATTGGCCTTACCCAACTCAGTAGCCCTTGCAACATAGAGTAGATATTAAATAACAGTATGTTGGATTGCAATAACTGCTAACCTTCAGTTGACTATATATAGAAAATATAGATCATTGTTCAAACATAGTCTAATGCATCATTTTGCAAATAACAATTAAGTCGGAGGCTAGGATGAGTTAGGGAAAAGCCTTCTAAATTTCAGACTATAGGAAGGACATACTGAGATTAAGTAGCTCCTGGAATCATCTTTAGAAATCCCTAAATCTTGGCTAAATATTTACCTATGTTTTCCACATATGTATTTTAACAATTTGTCTCATTGTTTAGCATGAACACCAAACATCTCTGAAACTCAGTTTCCTTTCCTTTAAAACCAAGAAACAGTATCTATTTTACAAGGTGGTTATGAGGAATAAAGGAAATAAGAGTTTAAGTAAGGGAATAATTTCTGCTTAAAAAGCAACTATTGCATTTAGTAGGTACTAAAAATTTGTTAGTTTCTTCCTCCTGTTGTGGGTACACATGGCCCACTTAACTGAAGGAGTCTGGGATCCACAATTAATCCTTGGCATCAGAGCTGAGACCCCATAGTGTGGCCTGTGGAGCCATCTACTCAGGGGACAACCACACATAAACCATTAGCCTTAAGAGAATAAGGAGGCTCTGAGCAAGACACTCTAACACTTTTGCAAACAAAAAATTTCTATTATCAGGATTTAGCTATTTGATGCCCTAGGATTCTGTCAAGGTAATTTGAAGGACTAAAATCAAATTTAAAAGGAACGGCATTCTGACTGTGCATTTCACAATTTTTTCTACAAACCACCTAAAATCATCTCCCTGACTTTCCGCCCAGCCCACTCTACTTCCATGACTCTAAGACAAAACTGTGCCTAGGGACTGAGCAGAACTGAGGTTATAGGTGGGGAATGACATAGCCCCAGCTGTTGGGAAGGGGAAGGCTGCAGAGCCTAGGAGCAGGTAAAGTCTGGAGCAAACACCTCTGCCGTTTTTATTCATCTACACACTCTTTGAGGCTTTTTTTTTTTTGTCTTTGAAGTGGAAAATTATAAGCGATTAGAAAACATGGAATTGGCGAAGACAGAATAGTAGAAACACTACTAAATGGTTTTTAGGAGGCATTGTAAACAGATTCAAATTTTCTTGAATGCAAAGTTTTCCTCCTCATTTCTTATTACTTTCTTATTTTTGTGTCTTCTATCTCTCTTTGCTTTCTCTTTGTTCTGTAGCCTTCTCTGAACACTGTTTCTGTCATCGAGGCTTTTAAATATATATTGTTAAATATTATTAACTTGATGTAATTAAGCAAAGGAAGGAAGTCAGTCTAAATCAATGGCAAACTGGAGAAATAAGCAATTTTTTAGGAAATGAAGGATTAATACTCTTAGGGATATACTGAAACTATTGAAAGCAGTAACACACTACATCACTAAGGAAGTGGAAGGCTGCCTTAACTCCTACATAAGCACATTTTGGAAATTTATTGTTTGAAATAATTTGTTGTGCTACAGACCTTTACTGTTTAAATAGACTAGTATTTATTTTTTTTACGAATTGCTTAGCAAAAAAACATTGAGGATATTGAGATATAAATGCAATTCTTCGTTGCTTAAAACTTGGTGCTAATAAGGTCAAGACCACACACTAAATCTCCGTATCTGCCGGTTCTCTCTCTCTCTGTTGCGTGGCCACAAATGTATGAACAAGAAACTCAGATCATAAGCAGCAGTGGGGGAGAGGATGTGGATGAGTCTGTCCAATATGCCTTCTCATATTGGAAAATGGCTCTGTTTTCATCTGATATGCACCTGTGGTTAGTAGCTTCGTATTTCTTTGTGAGCATCAGTTATCCTAGAATTTTAAAGATAATTTTAATACCATCATTGTTGCTTTAATAATTTATTTTATTTGCTATTTCAACTCTACTATGTGGTAATATTACTTAAAACTAGATGAGAATTTTCTGCTTTCATTGATATTTCTTGCACGTATATTTATATTCTTCTCATTAAGGCTAATAATACTATGTGAGCTCATAGAATTGGCATTGGAATTCTCTGAAGGAAAAATAATGATCCATTTCATGAGATGAGCGATTTTTACAAACTGCTGTTTCCAGCTCAGAGTGCTTTGTTCAGTGATTAAAATGTATTTCTCAATTAAATTAAAATGCAAATATAGACAGTCTATTTTATGATTATAATAGAATTATTTAAAGAAGGTTTTATGTAAACCTGCTATTAATATTTTATGCATAAACTGTTCGTTTTATTGTTGGGCCGGTTCTGCCATGTTCCATTTTCAAGATTACTAGAAGTGCTATGAAAACTTAATCATACTGTCCAGGTTTTATCAGTTTTTACCCACTCTACTCTGGGAAATTAAGTAGGATGCTTTCCTATATACTTTATAAGTTATGCCAGGGGTGTTGGAGAAATATAAACTACTAAAACCTCAGAATCCCCTGAAACTGAATTATGAACAATTTACTATTCTTTAAAGAAATGTTTTTGTTACACAGATACAGTGACTCTTAAATTTACGAGTACCATATTTTATAGTTTCTCATGAAATTAAAGATCTAGAAGCATACTTCAAGAAGCCATTATTCCAACTTTTTAATTTATATTAGAAATATAAAATATTTATATTAGAAACTGCATATAATGCTATGGATTTAATTATGATCCTTTTAGGGTTTTCTTTTTTCTTTCTGGTGTCCTATAACTTCTCAAACATTTGGATTAAAATAATCTTTAAATAATATTTTCTAACGTGATCCTTTTTGTTGTTGTTGTTTTTAGTGATCTCAGTGAAAACCAAATTCAGGCAATCCCAAGGAAAGCTTTCCGTGGGGCAGTTGACATAAAAAATTTGTAAGTATCTATTTTTAAATTTATAGTGTTTTAAGTCATTATCTATTTTCAAAGTCAAGTTTATATTAAATAAAGTGTCAGAAAGAAATGGTGAAAACCCTGTGTATATTTATGCTTGCGTAGGAGACCTTGTAACAGTAAGTTGTCAATTGTTTTCACAAGCTGTTTGACGAGATGCTCATTTAGAAGATGTCTGGAAACAAGCCATCATTAAATTCATTCTTTAATCCTTGTGATTAATCTTTTGAAACCTATGAAGTGATTTGATTCGCAGATATTTGTGTTTTTTCCCCACTTTTTCTATCAGCTTACTTCAGTAACTATGTATTCAGTTGCTGTTGGTGTTTATTAGAAACAAAACTGTTAGTTTTATTGTTGGGCCAGTTCTGCCATGTTCCATTTTCAAGATTACTAGAAGTGCTATGAGAATATGGACTATTATTTTCTGGAAATAGTAGATAATATTTTCTTCTTAGAGACACCTGTAGCCTAGAGCTACAGCTTTTTCCAGAGTTTTAAGATCACCCTTTGCATTAAATACCAAAAGCATGAGAATGACAAAATTATGTCTTTCCCTTTGTGTGAGTGTATTTCTTACACTTTCCCTCATATCCTCATGAAAGAATGTATTTATAGCATCCTTTAAAAAAATGAAAGTGCATTTCTGTATTTTCCTTTGATAAATCTTTAGTCTGGTGTTTCAATTATAAGCATTTTTTAAGTGCCTTTATTTCTAAGGATGCATATCAGATTTAAGATCTCAGTGACAATCATAATATCAATATCTCTCTAAATTTTAAAATACTATATTAGCTTCTAAAAATGATGGTTTTTGATAGACTATGAATCCTAGGACATAAATGTTTTTCTTAGCTTTTACATTAGTTTGGAATGTAGGGGAGAAAAGCCCCTGTATGCTGAGATTAACTGTCAGGAATTTAATATTTCTTAGCTAGTAATAAACAGGGCAGGCACTTTTTCAAGAATTAACTTATATTCAGAATTCTCCATGGTTGGATCCAATGCCTTTTTTTTTTTTTCAGTAGCAAAAGTAAGACAGATGTTTTCCCTTGTCAAAGAAGACAACTGTTTGTAAAGCCACAGATTTTGGCCTCTATGTGTTCTCCTTAATGTAAATGATTTTTTGAACTTGCACTTTCTAAATGTACAGGTAAAGACAGACAACTACAGGCTTCTAAGGTATAAATGTATAAAGCCATTAAAACTATGGCTGTAAGGTTTTTATGGGTGCTCAATTTAATATGATTTTATTTGCTTTCTTTTTACTTTTGCTAGTTAGGGCTTCAAGAAGTCTTCAGGTAGACTCAATGATACACAGTGTTCAAATCTACCTGGATAGAACAGTGTGCAAGAATTCCTATGTAGCATTTACTTAAGTTGCCTTCACTTAGCTGTAAAAATACGGCAATAGCTGCAGTTGACCATCCCTTAGTAATGCTATTTGCAGTCTTACAGTAGTATTACCTCTAATTCCTTAAAACAGGTGGCTTTTAATCTTCTTAGTTAAGATATTCAGGGAATCCAAGTAAAAAAGTGGCCCTCCTCCCACATTTAAGGATACGCATGGAAATAGGGACCAGTCAGTCATGATAGAATTCTTCTTTATATATTTTATATTTATCCTTAAAACATGTGATTTCAAAAGTTTAGCGATAACAGAAGCTAGTCAGTGTTCTATCTAATGGGATGTTGATTTAGCAAAGTTTTCAAATCTTTTCTCCCCCACAGGCATAATTTTTTCTCAGAATTTAAAGATTTTTTATTATCATTTATGCAGTTAGATGAGTTTTTTTAAAATTATTAATGCAGTTAGTTGAGTTTAAGACTGGAGTCTCAGAATGTTTTGTTATTTTTTGGACTTGCAGATATGAGCAAATTAGTCAGCTTCATTAAGCCTTAGTTTTTACTTTTTTTTTTTTTTTTTTTTTTGAGATGGTGTCTCGCTCTCTCACCCAGGCTGGAGTGCAGTGGTACAATCTCAGCTCACTGCAACCTCCACCCCCCGGGTTCAAGCGATTCTTCTGCCTCAGCCTCCTGAGGACCTGGGATTATAGGCACTCGCCACCATGCCTGGCCAATTTTTTGTATTTAGTAGAGATGGGATTTCATCATGTTGGTCAGGCTGGTCTCGAACTCCTGACCTCAGGTGATCCACCCTCCTCAGCCTCCCAAAGTGCTGAGATTACAGGTGTGAGCCACTGTGCCTGGCCAGTTTTTACTTTTATAAAGTAAACAATAGTTATTTGGGTTTGGTATGGTTATTAGGGAAAGAAGATGTATGAAAGACCTTTCGAAACAGTAAAATGCTATGAAAATACAGTATTTCATTTGCAAGTATTTGACTAATCAAATGCTAAAAGTTAACCCTAAAAAATGCATCATAAGGGGAGACAGGAAAGTGTAACATGAAATGATTAGCAATATTGACTAGAAATGACTATTCTATTGTGGGTCATTTTGACATGAAGTTACAAAATGGAAAAAGAAAATATAATAGAAAGTGCTAAATGAATATGCACAAGACCTTGATTTGTGAACAAGGCATTAAAGGCTGTAGGTGCTGAGGAAACAGAAAAGTATCGCTTGAAGTTATCAGGGAATGGTTAGATTGGAAGAGTAAAACCATAGTGCAGTGGAGTCTGTGTGTGTGTGTGTGTGTGTGTGTGTGTGTGTGTGTGTGTGTGTGTGTAATGTAAGGGATGGAATGTGCCCAACCCCAGTTTGTTTTTTTTGTTTTGTTTTGTTTTTTGAGACACAGTCTCGCTCTGTCACCCAGGCTGGAGTGCAGTGGCACAATCTCAGCTCACTGCAACCTCTGCCTCCCAGGTTCAAGCAATTCTCCCACCTCAGCCCCCTGAGTAGCTGGGATTATGGGTGCCCGCCACCATACCTGGCTAATTTTTGTATTTTTAGTAGAGATGGGGTTTCACCATGTTGGCCAGGCTGGTGTTGAACTCCTGACCTCAGATGATCCACCCGCGTTGGCCTCACAAAGTGCTGGGATTATGCACCTGGCCATCCCTGTTTTTTAAAGGCAAAGCAGTATGTGTCTTGAATAGCCGCAGTGGTAAGAATTATAGGGATCTGAATATGGGGGGAGCTGAGTATTGTGGCATCTACATTATTTCAACTTTGGAAGCTTATGTTTCTACAGAAGAAAAGGGGCTTCAGAAACTATGTGGATGATGAGTGATGTTGATCAAAAGAACAATTTATTCCCACTATTCTCATTGCCTTCCATGTAACAATGTGAAAGACAATGAGGGAAATATTAAAATATCACAATGAATGTATAGGTTTATTTTATGAATTAGGATCACAGCTGCAATATTATAAAAATTTTACATTAAAAGGCATTTTCTAGGATTAAAAAATAGTTCAAACTACATTGTTCAAGAAAAGTTCCAATCTCATGGGGTTTGTATGAAGTTTAATCATGAAAACTTACGAAGGCTATCTGGTAAAATATATTATAACTGAGGGTAAATTTAATTCCTATTATTGTGAAACTGGTGAACATAAGTCATCGTCATGGCTCAATACATTTCCATTAATATTAGCATTATTAATATTATTAGTATTTGGTGTAAGAAGAAGGTACAGTACTTCATCCCATGTGTCATGCTAGTATGTCCATTTACAAGTTGAAAAACCCTGCATGATGCCATTGTGGCTACTGTTCAGTGTTACTCAGAGAGTAAAAGAGAAAAAAAAGAAGCTGCCCAGGCCATATTTTGTATAGCACTATGTAAAAGCCCAGTCTGATGCACTGTAACAGGTTTATGGGATTTGGCACATTCAGGCCTTAGAGCAAATTCCAGTGTTCACAAGATTTTCACTAAAAGCATTTGCTTTAATCTTGTGGATTGGCTAAATATGCTCAAGGCGGTATCCCAACAATATGAAATTGATGCTGTGGAAATTTTGCAGATTAGCAGATCTCATTCCCCTTCCTCCAGGCAAGCCACACTAAAACTATTCTAAACAGATGGACAGTTATCTTGCTCTTAAACATCTCCAGGGAGGACTTCCCATAACTTTTTTGCTTCTCTCTATTCATTTCTTAACTCGATTAAATTTTTTTACATTTTATTTTGCTACCTTATTTTCTCCAGCCACAATTTAAACTACTTTTTCCCTTGACATTTTACACAATGAGATATGCTGTGAGAATAGCAAGGTCATATGAAAATATCAACTAAATTATACTGTTTATAATGGTCACTGGTGGTACATTTCTGTAGGATTTACATTTGTGTTTTTAAACTCCCAAAACAAATATGAATTAAGTATTGATAGCATATCATTATCAACTGATGCTTTGCCAAAATGTAACCAATATTTAGGAAAAATTGCTTTAGAAATGTGTGTGTGTGTGTATATATATATAGATCTATATATCTATATATAGATCTATATATAGATATATATCTATATATATAGATATATAGATATATAGATCTATATATAGATATATATATCTATATATAGATCTATATATAGATATAGATATCTATATAGATATCTATATCTATATATATGTAGATATATAGATATAGATATCTATATATCTATATATATAGATATCTATAGATATATATCTATATAGATATATCTATATCTATATATAGATATATATCTATATATAGATATATATCTATATATAGATAGATATATATCTATATATAGATATATCTATATCTATATATAGATATATATCTATATATAGATATATCTATATATAGATATATATCTATAGATATATCTATATATATCGATATATCTATATATATCGATATATATATTTAAAAGCCTTAACACTGATGCAGTAAAGCCTTTGCTGTCTTCTAAACAAATATTGAACAGGGTCATGTTACATTGTGCCACTGATTTGTTTTCAAGTATCTATTAGGCATTTCCATTAATTGAGAATTTAGAAAAATGTTAAAATTAAATCTCACTTTACTGCCAAGAATTGTGAGCTTATTCTTGAAGAACTAATAGTACTTAGTAAGTACCAGAATATTTCAAAAGTCTTTTGTTTTTATGATAAAACATTCTTAGTTATAGTTATCCTAGGATTAAAGAAAAAAGGTACAAATATATAAACTTTAAAATTACCTAGATCACTAGTTTTTAGTCACATCACAAAAACAAAATCTAATTTACTTTACCGTTGGTTTTTTAGTGAGTTCAATATGATTACTTAAATTAATTAAATTCAAAAAGGACATATTTTAAATGTACTATGTGAGGTAAACCACACCTGCTTTCTGCTGCTTTAATTTTGCAATACATCCACAAAGTGCATCCTCTATTCCAATCAAACTTTACTATTCTTTCTTCATAAATAAATATATATTTTTCCAGTTTGCTTGCATTATCTCAATTCCATTAACCCTATGTCTGTCATGAGTCTTATAATCCTTTTCCAGGAACAAAATGCTTCTTGGTTAAAAAATATGTTGGGGAAAATATTTGTATTTATCCTTTTTTGTACATGCATTACTTTTTAGACAAGGCTTTAAGTCAGTAGATGATTCAGTATGATTCTCTTTAGGTAAGCAAAAATATCATTTGGAAAATAAATATATATATTCCTATGACATTTTAGGAAGGAAGTCACCCAATTTGGAATACATTATTTATTAGCATAAAACGATTTGGCAAACAGGATAGAGAGAGTTCACCTATGTGTTGTTACAGAGCTATTTACATTAGTTAGAAATTTTGTTTTTCTGCTGGAACTGTGTCATTTTCAAGTTTTGTATCGATGGCTCCATTAGAACCCATAGAAGGAAAACTCACAGTTCTATCCCAGAGGCACAGAGCTGCTTACATATTTCATCATATTTTTAATTTTTTCTCATTTCAAATATCTGTTTTCTAGTTTTCACTGTCATCTACATAATTCCTAATGATAAGAGAGCAAGGGTTGCTCACTTGATATAGAATCAATATGTAACAAACAGAGAAAAGAGGGTATGTAAATTTTACCAGGCAAATGCAAGACCTCATTAGGTTTGTCATATAAGTTAGGTCATAATTGCAAAATGTCTTCTTTAATCTGTTAGTTTTTCTGTTTAGTTCATTGGATTTTATTTCAAATCCATTGATATCAGATTGCAGCTGTACATGTCCGTGCCCCTAGCTCTTTCCTAGAGTATTTTCAGTAAACCTGAAGCTGAAGAGACTGCAAATGGTAGGTTGGTTTCTCATTTATAGGGATTGCTATCCTTACTCTTAAATTCCAGAGGTCTTCAGTGTGGTATAGAACCTTCTGAACAAACCTGTAGGGAGGGCTTTTTACTTAGATAGATAGTAAATGAAGGTAAGGTCTTTTATTGCCTTTCTGAAATGAAACTTACCTTCATTTCCTATGTAACTAAATAAAAAGGGGTTGTCTCAGGCATTCATATATATAAAAAAATTAGTAGCTCAGCAGATGTCCCCATCAGTACTATGGGAACTGTCCATGGTTCTGTATTTTGCTTGGTTGCACTGCCTCTGAAAGCACAATGAATTGTGATAATCCCCAACAACTATGACAAAGTTTGCTACCAATAACCTCTCCATCTTTGCATTTTTCTTTGTCTTCAGAGTGCTTTCAGCAGTTTTTCTTCAATAATGCATTTTGTCATGTAAAGATGTAATCTAACAATATTTCTTCATAAATGCCTTCTAGAACAAAACAAAATAACACAAAACACAAGATAGTCTGATTCAGCAATTGGGAATCCAATTCACATACTTACAAAATATGAATTGGCATAATCATGCCATGGCTGCTGTGTCTTCTTATGATACAGAATGGACCTTTGATTTTTTGCATCTTTAACACTGAACAGTACACTTTCTCACCTCTGAACTCTTAAAATAGCCTGCTAATTGAATTTTGACCTCTAGTTTATATTCTCATTAGATAATTTTAACAAGGTTGCCAGATTTTTTCCCATAAAACATTGTTTATTATCTATTACTACAGGGTTTAAAAGTATTCAGTTTATTTAAAAAGTTGTTTTAAAGTACCTTTGTTATAGACACTATGGCAAAGCCCTGGGAATAGAGCAGAATGTTGCCAGTTCTATAGTGTCTATAGTATACTAGATACAGAAACTCTAGGACTAGGCAGAATGTTGCCTAGTTCTACAGTATCTGTAGGAATTACAGACTCTTTCCTGAAAGAGCAGAGATGATTATTAAATGCTGTAACATCCAGTCTCTTTAGGCATTCTGACTACTCCTAGCATTCTGACTTTGATCCAGGCTCCTAGCTCCTTCTTCCCTTCAATCTGTACAGAAGCTCTTTGCTCAAGCCAGAATGGCCTCTCTGTTGCAGATATTCACTGTGAACATTGTAGTGCCTCTGCTCACAACTCTTCTTTGATAGACCCATTACCTCCATAGGAAATACCCACTTTATTTTCTGTCTAATTAGATTCTATCCATTTTTTGAGGATCTGAGGTTTTGGTTTTTTTTTTTTTTTCCTTTCTTTCATGACTACATCAGCCTAGAGTAATCTCTGTCTTTTCTGACATTCTATAGTGCTTTTCATCTGCTGGTCTCTTCCATAGTAATCATTGATTTAGCTGAAACCTCCATTTGGAGAACAAAAAGTTCCTGAGTCTTTTTCCTGAGTCACTATGTATTGAGAGGGAGTTATGGCAATACATACATCTACATTCCAATGAAAACTTCACAGACTATTTGCTACATACCATGTATAACTTATTGAACTTCTGTGAGACTCATAGTCTCAAAATCCGGATGATGCTAATTTCTCCTTCCCAAGTTATCATGAGGAATAATAAGATGACGTATCTACAGACCCTGCCATATGCTATGAATTTATTAAACGTTAGCAATTATTATTATCATTTTCAGTTTCTACCACTTTTGATTAGTTCACTTACAATTCCCAGGACTTAATGTCAATGTAGTTGTCCTTCCCTCAATTGATGTTAAAGCAGGTTCCCTCCCCATCTCTACTACTGCTATCTGTTGCTTCTTCCCCCCAAATTGACAAACATATAACTTTATACCATAGGCTACTCCTATAAAAACTGAAATTCTTTATTCCTGTGAGAAAAGCAAATTGTTGCCTGAAATATTGTAAAAGGATTAAATTCTCACATAATGTAAATTACTTTGGGGTCCTCAGAATGGTCCATACCTTAATTGCTTTCTTTACCAGTTTTGAAGTTAATACTGATGTGCTTTTATGCAGAGGTAAAGGATATAGTTGCTGAAACTTATGTCAAGGATGTACATGTATATGGATCAATTTTTATTCTTATACTCTATATCATAATTTATATCTGGGGCTACTCTTTAAAAGCATGATTGGCATAAATATTGATATATAGACATTTGTATTGACTTGAAGTTTATACACATATGGAAAGAAGGAGAAGAGACCACGCTCATATATGTACAGCTTTTTTATTCTTTTTCTCCCATGTGGTTTATATGTTTTATTTGGTTTCTTTACAATAGTGAAAAATTGTTATTCCCTCATATTGATTTTAGCCATTTCGATGTGTCTTAAGTCAACTAAATTTTTGGAGTTTTCTATCTTACAATAATAATAATACGAACATAAAGTAAACTATTTCTAGCACTTTAAATGAAACAAAACAATACAAAATTGGAGCATAGTTATAATAATTTTGTTGAGACATTGAGAGATCCAGATTGACTTAGAAATTATTAAAGATTGTTATGTTCTATATTGTTAAGCACATTTTATGTGTCTTCTAATTCTTACCAAAAAAACCTATTAGTTATAAGAACTTATAACTTGGATGCTGCAGTAGAACATGAATTTGCTATGGGTAGGAACACACTAATTGAAATTACTGCAGTTTTATATAGTTATTAACCTAAGTGTTGTATATGTAATTCAAACTCAGTGTGATATCCATATTTTAAAAGAATAAAGCAGGAAATTCTTTAAGAAAACCTAAATGATGGACTAGCATCTCTGTTTCAGGATGCCAAGTAAGCAAATGTTTAACCTTTTTGTCATTTAATATACCTATTTTTAAAACTTATATTTAGCAACATTGTATATTGTCCCCCATACCTAGAATAAATCAAAATTTGAAACTAGGATAAATTATTTTTAGTATTAAAGAGAATCAGATGAGCTTCAGAACTTTTTGCACGTGAGGCATACAGTGGTATCTCTTAATATATGGAGCCCATCGACACACTGCATTATGTGAGACTAAATTTACCAGCGCTGGTAAAAACCAAAATGAACTATCTAGAGTTATTCTAGGGCATCAGAAGATATACCTCCTACCATAAAAAAAAAAAAAAAGAATGTTAATACCGAGAGATCATGATTTTTTTTTTTTTTAAGACATGGAGTTTTGCTCTTGTTGCCCAGGTGGGAGTGCAATGTCATGAGTTGCGATTTTGGCGCGCTGCAACCTCCACCTCCTGGGTTCAAGCAATTATCCTGCCTCCTCCCATGTAGCTGGGATTACAGGTGCCCACCGCCACGCCTGGCTAATTTTTGTATTTTTAGTAGAGATGGGGTTTCACCATGTTGGCCAGGCTGGTCTCAAACCCCTGACCTCGGGTCATCCACCTGCCTCGGCCTCCCAAGGTGCTGGGATTACAGGCATGAGCCACCACGCCTAGCCGAGGTCATGAATGTTATTCTTGACCCCATCATTTCCGTGAGATTAAAGCAGTTCTTCAAAACACAAATTTACTTGGACAGCAAAGGATCACATAGAGAGGTAATTTGGAATTTGAACAGAAGCCAAAGGGAAGATTGGAGTCAGCAAATAAGGGAGAAGACACAAAAGTATGTGCTAAGTTAGGTCAGCTGAAGGTCTGAAATAAACCACTTATGATACTTCTGCCCTTAGCATCCAACTGTCTTTAATGATCTGCAAATTTACACTATGTCTTAGTGAATAGTTGGAGCATAATATTTTTTTTGAAGAAGTGAAAAAGTCTCCTCTGGCTATTTTCTTAATTCAGAATAATTTCGTAGCACAATTGCAAATCACATCTGAAGAAGGCCAGCCTGTCACTAAAGGTATGGCAGAGAACAGATCCTTTCCTGTTTACAGAAGCCAGAAGTACCCAGGGCTTGAAAGGTAGTGGAGAAGGGAGTGAGCAGGGTGAAACAAAAAGAGTGCAGCTAAGTAGTCCAGAAACCCTGAAATAAATTACATTGTTGCATAGTTTTGACACTGTTTATCTTGAACCATATACAGACAAATGAAGGTCTGTTGGGAGAGATTTTCTCATGAGCAGTGATACCAGCACAACACTTTATGTAAACCTTCCTTTGAATATCAAAAAATTGACAGGTTAATGAAAGAATTATTCACTTGTTTAACTTGGATTGCCCCTTCATATGAGTAACCTCATGAAATACCTTCATGTTCAGGAAATATGTGGACTCAGATATAACAGTATTCAGAGAACTTTTAAGGAAAACCTCAGTCCTATGGAAACCAAACATTCTTAATGTTTTAGCACCAATAAGGGCTTAGATTTCTGTTAAGAATATGAAGAAGCGTATAACCATGAGCAATATTAAAGAACAATGAAATTACCAAAGTTTCCAGCAGCATCTCAACTTCTGCTCCTGTAAGGAAAGTAGTTGGCCTTCCATTCCTTGTAGGACAAGGTTTGCTTGAGTGCTTTCTGGCATGCTGGAGGTTCCCCTTTGTGTATTGTGTGCATGATTTAGAAGAAGCTGTGTCAGCATTGATTTATACATTGACAGCTAAGGATAATAAGATATGGGCAAACATACAGCTCACCCTTTTACAGATTAACCTGGAGACTGCATTAGGCAAATTTGATAGCATTAAAAGATTTTGCCGATTTGTCTGGAAACAATTTCTCTTTTGTAGTGTGTCAGGGGTAACACTTCATGCCATTGTACTAATTTAAATGGCTTTGATAAATTGTTCAAGAGGTTAGAGAATAGTAGTGTAGATATATATATAGCACTTTAAAATAAAAAAGGCTATTAACTTAATTGTTAAATGAATTTAATCTGTAAAAATCAAAAGTGCTCAAGAATGTAAGTGTTTTCTTGGAACCACAGCAGCCATATTACATCATGAGACTTTAAATGTCTTCTTCGAAAATAAAATACTTCTGCATTATGTCTTAATAAGTAGAAATTATTTAGGCTATTATAATAGCATGGATGTTAGCTATGATTTGGGGAAAACTTTAGTTTTATAAACTAAGGCTTATACAGGCAATAAAATTGTATCTTCTTTGGGGTGCACCTTTGTTAATAGTGCACGTCCTAAATTGTACCATTTGCATGACATCAAGGTAGCCTTGTGTATGATTGTGTCCCCTAGAGAACTTCTTATAAATGAGATGTGTATTTCATGAGACATTGTCTATATACATAATTTCTAAAGTAAGGAACTTGAAGAGGCCCATCTGAAAGTCACTGGATTAAATCATTGCACCTTTATTCAGTAGTCTTGTGGGAGAAACAGCTATTTTATAGAAATGTTCAAACGGTTCTTTATGAACAGACCTCAAATATGAATTAGCCCTTTCAGTGAATGCTGAACTTGAAACGAGGACAGGATGCATTTGTATTACGATCATAATCTTACTCCTGTTCATCCACATTCTCTCACCCAGTGCGTGCAGAGCTGAAAACTCGCCTCTTCCATGAAACATTTTGTTTCTATCTCAAGTGAAACGTCAAAATACTTTTTTAACTGAAATAATAGCATCTCTAATATTCAAGCTACTGTATTTAAACAACTGCTTGTTCAGAAAAAAAAAAAGAGTGTGGTACAGATACAATATAGTACTTCACTGTTAATTTCAACCAAGTAGAAGGCTCAATATGAACAAGAAAATTTTAATTCTAGAACAAGCAGCAGGAAAAGCAGACATAACCAAGTTTGGAGCATTCTTTTTTTGTACTATGAATTTTAACAAATAAGTGCTTAAGATATTGGAGAAGATTCATTTACTTCAATTATGCATTATTTAGAATTTCACTGATACAGCTTTTAGGCTTTTTACCATAGATACATGTAGTGTTTTTATGATGTGCCTGTAGTATATGTTTCTTAGTGGCTTTAACCAAAATTAGCATCTTTTTAAAAAGCAAAATTGTTATTTAATACTTAAAAACCTATTTTCTGGAGAGCGATATAATTCTGGAAGTTCCTTAACTCAAAAGTATGCTGTATTTACAATGCAGAGCATTTGCATATAATGATAAAGAATGTGAATTAGTAGGATAGTGACACTTAATATAGAACAAATACTAGCTTTCTAAAGTGTATTTCTGGTTGGGAATAAGAGCAAGCTATATGGGACATCAGTTCCCTTTCTCGATTTGGAGTCCTTGAAGGAAAACTGCTTTTAAAAGAAGGAAACCTAAAAGTAGTCTTGCTCTCTCATGCCAAGGATAGTGAAATTAACATGCAGCTGGGCTTCTCTGATAAATGGATTCTGTTAGGTCACTGAGGGGGTGCATGTGACATTAAGTGATTTACAGTCCTTTACCTTAATGAAATTGTTTCAGCAAGATGACGCTGAAAGCTCTTAATGGATAGCTTTTCTTGATCTAATGAAATTGCATTCCTATGGCATTTAATATAAGGTGCAGTTATTATTTACTGGAGCTTTCCAAGGGCTGCTATTTGCACAGACAGTTCAGAACAAAAAGATTTCAGTGGCGGCATAGAGGCGAGAATGGCTTATGACATTCGTAAGCAGATGAGTGTGTTTGTGAGGGCACTTCAGTGAGTGTGTCCAGGGTATCATAGACCCTTCAGGAAACTTCTCATCACCTACCCCAGCTACTGTCCATCCCTTCTACATATATTCTTCTAATCTTTTTAACAGGCAACTGGATTACAACCAGATCAGCTGTATTGAAGATGGGGCATTCAGGGCTCTCCGGGACCTGGAAGTGCTGTAAGTACTGCTATTTCTCTTGCTCTTTTAACGGGGGCTTTGTGTCTGGACAGGACTAATGTGGAAGCTTATCTGCTAGCTTAAAACCTTGTTGTCAAAATAGTCTCTCAAGAGATACCTTAAATAACTCATGGTGAATACAGAGAAGAGTCTAAATGTGTGTGTGCAAAACCTTGCGTACCATATCTGTATATTTAGGTAAAATTGTGTAAGGTCACTCAAATGTTCTCCTTATAAATGTTTTTATGAGATTCATAGAATTTGTCATTGCTAAATATTGAGATAAAATCAACTTTATAGGAAAAATAACATAAAAAAAAACCTCTTAGTAGCTGATATCTTGGAATAATTTGTCGTTGTTAGGCAATGGAAACACAGTTTCTCATTAAAAAAATAAATTTTTTAACCAGCTGATTTAACATTATTTTTGTAAGAATACTTTGAAATCTGCTTCCTAAGGTTAATAAGCCACCCATTAGATCCATTTTCAAGTCTTCACCACTGACTTTGTAATGTACAACACGCAGACTTGAATTATAATTGGCAACCTCCTTTCCTCCCTGGGTAGGCATGACTGACAAAATTGGTTAGAGGCAACTAAGTAACCTCTATTGACCAATGACTTAGTAATTTTAATGAAATTACAAATTTTAATGAAAACTGTGGTTACTAAAGCATTATATGCCGCCTATACATTTTTCGAATTTTTTCAGCCAAAATTCACATTTGTAGGTTTTTTAATACACTTACAATTCCTCCACCAATTAAAATATTTTTCTCTGCTTTATTTCATCCTTGAGAAAATTTAGTCAGAAATCTATAATTGAATTAAATGTTAGGGTGTTTTTAGTCAATTTATTAAAAGTTATCGAGAAATCATAAAATCCTTCCTTTTCCCCACAAAAAAGGAATTCATTACTTTATAAATCTAGTTTCAGGAATGGAATATCATTCTGAAAAATTAATCTTTCAGCTAAAATGGCTTATTTTATCAGTATTTTTATATGGTTTTGGTTTTAATTGCAAGAAAATAGAATTTCCAGCTGTGTAATGTACTGTTATTAATTATTTTAAAAGATTGTATGAATGAATTGATTGGGATAAAATGTGAAATATAAAAATATAGACTACTCTCTAACAACAGGAGAGGCCACCTTTGTTTCTATTGATAATGGTCTAAGTTTCTATCGGAAAAATATTCAAAGTGCTTATCATATACATTTTAGCTTTAAGACCACTATTTAAATTGTATACCAGAACCATTTTTAATATACGAAACTCACTGATGGTATCTCAGAGTCAGAATAATTAGAATGATTTCACAGTAGTGGTTTCATGGCAAAACCATAGTCAGTGTCACTAAAATTCATAGATGAGGAGACTACCAAATTTAATCAAACAGCTGATCAAGCCAAAAATGTATTATTAAACCAGTGTTCCTAACTAGAAATATGAATGATACCAATCATTTTATGCAAAGTTTGCTATCTTGGATGAATTAAATCCCATAAATTACCTTGTTATTAAGTTTTCAGATGTAGTTCTTCACTGTATTTATTCAATATATGTATATATACACATAAATGTATCGAATACCTACTGTGTATATTTTACAAGGTAGAGTGAACACTATGCTAGGCACTGAAATCTTTTACCCACAAATACAATAACTACATTTGATTATTTTCTATAAACTAATATCGTTGTCTTCAGAAGCAGTACGTTTATGAAAACACAATCATCTCATACATTTTGATCGTCATGATTAATCAAAATATCTAAAAAGTGACTTTAGCAAGAATGAGGCAACACACCAAAGGGTGACATTTTATGGTTCATGGAATTAAAATAGAAATCCAAAATCTTGGAAACTCTTTTGAGGACCTTAATATATACATCTTATAGAAGTATATATTGGTCAGAGTTTGTTTGTTGAAGAAATAATAAAAATTAGCATATGATAGAAGACAATGTAAATTTCTTCTAAAAAGATTGAAATATTTTATATTAAAATTTTATAAAGTTGATCAGACATTACTTTAAATGTTTTTTTTTCAATCCTCATACTTTAAACAACCCCTAGAAAAATCAGTTGATAAATAACTTAAGGCAAAATTGGAGCACTGAAAAGACGATAATTTATGAAGCCCAAATCACTTGTGAAATACAACAAAAGTTTACCTATTACAAATGTTTGGTCAAGAGCTTAAGAGAGGTTGCATGAAGAAGGGTTCTAGAAAGATGACTGTCTGTTTTGCTTATTTTTACCATTCGTGACTCTTTAGGATGTACTGTCTTATGTGGAAATAATGAAGGAACATTAACTTACACATTGCCTTAAATTTCAGATTCCAAGGGTTTTAGATTTTTTAAAATTTTAATTCCTTGAGCCATTTGTGAATGTATGACTATACTGAAGCTAGATGGGAGAAAATGAGGTAATGGCCCTTGGTCATTGATGAAAAGTATCAAATTAGGATATATATGAGCGTACAAAGAGTGAACAGAGTCCAAGAAGTCAAGTGAAAATCTAAGGTGGATGAAAGCAAGGAAGCAGTTTAACACTTGCACGTTCACGGAGAACTGGTTTATTGTCAGATTCTGATTTGTAGAACTTAGAAGTAACTGCATATTTTCTTAATATTTAGATACCATCTCAAAAATAACATTGGAAACTAAATCTTGATCAGTATTTTCCCTTCTTTGGACACTGGCCTCAGAAATGAAATATATCCCTTGAATTGCTGCTTTTACATGTTTATTTTTCTTTTTCACAGAATGAACATAATTTAGTGTAATTTAATTGTAGTGATTCATATCCACTAAATACCAAACTCTGCCAAACGATATGCATGGTGGTAAGGGAATAAGATGACTAAATCAACATACAAGTGTGAGAGGTGCTCCATGATTATACAGGCTAATATTTATACATCAAGATGTCTTTTGTATTAGAATACTCATTACAAAGAAAATCTTGAAGTTGAGCACAGAAATAGACTTACACATGGGAGAAAATGTTCACAACTAAATAATTACAATATATAAATTTCCATTATTTCAGAATGGAAGTTGACCATAACCATAACATACACAAGTAATCATACTTAACACTTATATTTATTATTAATTTTAAAAATAATTTTGTTGGTTCTGCATATTTTTCAGTCATTGAGTATCAGTATCAGTACTTCTTTCCAGCATCAGTACAGAATAAAATACTAAGATAATGTATTCCTTTAGTTGCATTATGTGAACTAACATTTTGAGAAAAGACTTCAAATTGATAACTGAAGTTTTTGGCATTCAATGAAAGTTTTCCTTTGCATGGAGATATAAGAAACTATAGTTCAAAATTAATGCATGTCTGCTCTCTGTGTAGTACTTAAAACAATTTATTCCCAAAGTCATATTTCAGAATGCTATATACTATAAAGATTTTAGCCATATTAAGTCAGCATAAATTTTGAGGATGGGAAAAGGGATCATTTGAAAGCAAATCCCATTGAGAAGTTTAACCTTTGCATTCAAACATCAGGATATATTTTAATGGCATTTGAAAAAGACATCTCATTTCACCTGCACATAGGAAAATGCTAAAAGCTCTTAGGTAAACTGAGCCAACAAATCCAGTGCTCTGTAGGTCCCCCATAAAGTGGTTTATTTTTTGTGACTTAATTCAAATGACTTAGAATAGTTCTTATATAATTCAATACATTGCAAAACAAGGTGGTAAAGAGGGTCCATGCATGATCTGGGTCTCTAGCTGACATGCCCTGTTTTACTGAAAAGTTTTTGTCAATCTCTTGACCTCTGAACGCACCATCAATAACCGCAGCCACCAACTGGCCCAGAGTGGCCTCAAAAATATATTTTGTGTAGCTCAAACATAAGCGGTCTACAGACTGTTTGAAATGTTTTAATTAGTTGCCACTATTTAAACATTAGAAAGATCTAAAAATTTTTATCTCTAGCTTCCCTTGGAAAATCTGATTGTTTGACAGCCCTCCCTTACAGCAGGTCAGTAGTCCATTGGAGCTGGAGATTATCTGCCACAAGAGAGACTATCATTGCTAGCTTACCATATTCTTCACATTCCCCAAATGTCTGCTTTCTTCCATCTCTCTTGCCCATCATTGTATATTTTTGCACGTGGCCTGCTTCGCTCATTTCTGTTCTCTGCTCAGGCCCTGCAGTGAACTTGCAACCCCTAATTCAAATCCTTGTCCAGTATCAACTTCATCCAACAGGACCACTGATGCTCTTTCTCCTACCTCCTTCAGAGGAACTTGCCTTCTTTAGTCAACACCTCAATGTGTACCTTTAGTCTCTCCCAGTCTTAGAATTGCTTTCCATGTCTACACTTTACTTGTATACCCCCCGGGATAACTTCTACCACTTTCTTATCACAACCAGATTTTTCTGAAGGGTGATGAAAGCTCATATGTTAGCCTTATTAGTTTTTGTAATTTGTCCAATCATCTCCCCAGCTGGACTGTATGCTATCTTAGGACAGAGTATATGCCTGATTTATTTTTATAATACTCCATGTTACCATAAAATAATAGCCATTTGGGAAATATTTGATGAATGAATGAGTAGTAATAGAAGTAGTAATAATCAATAATAATAATAATAAAACTAACAAAGTTGCACTGGGGGAAAAGTAAGGATGTTATTTATTTTCACAATAACTCTTCACCACACATATTCCTGGATCTGCTACCTCAAGAAAGCATGACTGCTGCCACACAGCAGTAAACAAAGGTGAATATGCTACTGCAACTAAAAACCATTAGAATGGATTAATCTTTTAACACGGTGCTACAGCAAGTTACTTCATCCCCACCTGGTGCAAGTACCAGATGTAGATATAGCTGTTTCCACTCAAATTTCAGCAGTGGCTGATGTCTGCGGTAAATAATAGTTATCAGGACTCTGTTCCAAAGCCTGACACGAATGATTCTGTATTGTTGCTATGAGAAATCAGTAAAAGAATATTAATTCAAATACGTTCATTGACTCATGGACACTAATTACACATAATGCCACTCTACGGAAATGTAATTGGGCATATTTTCCAACTGTAACTATCCCGTGTTTATTTCTTAACCAATATCCTAAATAGACATGCATGCACAAGGTACATAAAGTAGAATGTAAATAGTCAAACATGCTATGAATGAAGCCATAAATTTGTAGTAAATGTTGAATAAAACAAAATGTACAGTAATATGTTAAATTATGAAATTATTTATCAACTTGTCTATAGAGTAGTGCATTCTCTATGTCATCTCTACCAGGTAGCTGTCCTGCATAAGCATAGTACAAGACGTTTTCTCTATGTTAATATATAAAATGATCAATCAATTTTGTATCTAAAAATTCTAACTTTTCTTTTTAATTCTACAGCACTCTCAACAATAACAACATTACTAGACTTTCTGTGGCAAGTTTCAACCATATGCCTAAACTTAGGACTTTGTAAGTAGTCACAATATATGTAAAAGTCATATTAATCAATTAAAGCTTCCCCTTAAATAGCATGTTCAGTAAGCAAAGGACAGGACCACTGGTTTACAAGGTAGACAAGGAAAACCCAACTTTGGAAAAGACTAGATATGATATTTGTGGGAATGAGCTATTATTCTAGAAACTGGAAAGATTTCTTTTAACTGATATGCATTATGGAAACTTTGGAGTTAAAAAAAAACAACATTTACTTTGAGCTATTGTGGAGGTCACATTTCATTAAGAAATGGAAGACTCCTTGATTGGCTGTCAGAAATGATAAATGGGAAATCTTTATGATTTTATTACTGTACTGCAAGCAGACCTAATAAAGCTAAACTGGTTCTTCAACATTCCTTATAACGTGAAATTATAGCATCACCCTCTAGTACTTCTATAATTAAGATTGTGTCAGCATTTATATTTAAAAATATCTTTCTGGGTTACAGATGGACATTAAGATATTTTTGGTCTAATAAAGTATTGACTACAGCTGTTTCTTTTCTCTTGAAGAAAAAGTAATCCTTAAAGCCCAGAGTAGCCTTTAAAATCTTTAAAGCCCAGGGTGGACTTTAAGTTATAGAATATCAGAGGTAAATCTCATTTGAACTGAATTTCAGAATCACCTTGACCTAAAAAAATATATTACATATAACGTGTAGGACATGATTGGAAGCAAAACCAAAGCATCAAACTTCTTGAAAAAAAAGTGTTTTTAAGTTGGGTAAATATATTTTGATTAGATTTTCAAAATACTCCTCATTTTCTGATAGCTTGTAACTGGAAAATATTAATTTTATTTTCTTAATAAAAATTTTGAATTACCATCTTTTTAATGAACTAGGTAATACCAATTTTAATGTCATTTTTTTCTTACTGAAATCCAACTCTGTACATAATAACACATCATTATAATTTCCTTGGAATATTATTTAGCAAAATAAAGGAATTCTACAAGTATACAGACATAGCTAAATTTTGCATTCTTGGGGCTATCAGAATAAGACTAATCTGACAGAATTAACAGCCTAGTTCACTCAAAACTATAATTTCCCAGTAACTTCAGGTATTTTTTTTAAAAAGAAATTGATTCAAGCTTTCAATCTTTGCAAAAACAAAGCCAATGAAATTGTAAAAACATTCATCTGAATTTTTGACAGTGTCCCTTATTTTCTTGTAGAAATTCGTGAGTTTGTCTTACTAATCAGGTTTTTCCATTTTTACATTCTTTTCTCATTTCAAGTTCCTAATTGGAATTTTTATAATGTGCTTGGTTTAGACGGAAATATTTAGAGTACAAGGATATGGAATGTGCCTCTGTGGCTTCCAAAGGCCAGAACTTCAACTTCCAAGCAAACCGAGCAAGAGGTCACCCATCTTTCCCAAAATGTAGCTTTTTGTTCTGTGGTACGCCTTCTAGTTGTGAAGCAAAACATTGTGTTCCTTATCTATAAGCTCAAGGAGAATGCAAAGCAGCCATTTTACTTGAAATTCCTTTGCTTTGGTTGGGTCATTATTCTATAGTATCATTGCTACTTAAAAATTCCATTTTTATAGCCTAATTATCTTTCTGGACTGAGTTCCATGTTTTAATATCCATTACTGTTATTGGGTTAGAATTGAACACATCAGCTTAAAAGGACTAAAATGGTATTACTGTGTCATAGATGGTTCTGGGAATGGTGCTTTGATTTATAGCTTTGGATGTCCTTTTCTTTAGTTTGAGAAAACATAAAAGCCAGTTTGAAGTCATTTACCTAATTTAGTGGATACATTTGTCTGATATTTTATTAATGGAGAAGTGCTATTTGCCACTTGGAAGCAATCCATGATCTTGTGTGGATCCTGCCAACATAGAGCGACTCACTTAATTCCTTCACTCCCAGACATTTGTGCCTTTTAATTTCAGTCCCTGCTCTTTGAGGCTAGGTCTCCAGGAGCCAAAGGAGCTAATCCCTTTTCTGTGATTAAACAACAAAAGAAGGAAATGAGAATAAGGGTGTGAAAAAAGTGTTTTATATTGAATTATTATTCTGTCTTGTTCAGCAAAAAATGCAAGTGTCCTGCTGCAAAGGTTTTATAAGCGGTTTCTATAGAGACTCATAATGGCAGGAATTATTGATATTTCAAACTGGGAGCCACAACTTTTACTAACTTGCCCCTCGCCCAGTCTCCCCATTCTCCCACCCCACCCCCATTGGCTCTCAGGATGTTGGAACTGTGGAGCAATTTGCATTGGACTTATTTTTTTCTCTTTCCTCTTTTAAATGAACGTAAGTGAAATATGTTCGTTTAAAACATAATTTTATGGACATATTCAAGCTTCTATAAATTGCTCAGTTCAGACTAAATGAAGAGAGACTTGATTCTGTGATTGTACATCAGTTTAATTTTTAGGAAAAATAATTATATTGGAATCTGCTTAGCTTTATCTACTTCTATGTTAAGAAATACAGGTATATATTAATGAAATAACGACTTTCTGTTTTCTTGCTTTACACTTCTTTTTTTCTCATTTAGTCGACTGCATTCAAACAACCTGTATTGTGACTGCCACCTGGCCTGGCTCTCCGACTGGCTTCGCCAAAGGCCTCGGGTTGGTCTGTACACTCAGTGTATGGGCCCCTCCCACCTGAGAGGCCATAATGTAGCCGAGGTTCAAAAACGAGAATTTGTCTGCAGTGGTAAGGGAGAAGGAAGAGTGATGTTATTGTGTTTATTGTATCCTGTTATGTAACAGAATGTGAGGGCTGCATGCGTCAAAGGTTTCAGTATTGTTCACTAATGTTCAATTGTGCACTAATCACTCTACAGAGATCCTCTTTTTCAGTGAAAATATGTTCTGAGACCTCACTATATCGGTTGGCAAGTACTGGTTACTTGTATCTAAATTATGATAAAACACTTTTCAGTTTTCACTCCAGGGGAAAATATGGAAAATCGCTAAATGATGATTCTACTTTTGATTTTTTATTTTCCCATTAAGTAACAATTTATAGCTACTTTTATGTTAACAATTGAAAAAAAATGATTAGCTAATCCTGGATCCCTGCTATGAAATTCAAAGAGCAATTCAGCCATAGTTGCAAAGTAACAAAATACTTTTCATGCATACATGTATACTAATGGTTCAGTTTTACTTAAAACAAATATTAAATGACCAGCTTTAATAACAAACATCTAAAAACAAAAATAAGACATAGGGTCAGGCACTGTGGCCCACGCCTGTAATCCCAGCATTTTGGGAGGCAGAGGTGGGCAGATCTCCAGAGGTCAAGAGTTCCAGACCAGCCTGACCAACATGGCAAAACCCCGTCCTTTCTAAAAATACAAAAACTAGCTGGGCATGGTGGTGCATGCCTGTAATTCTAGCTACTTGGGAGGCTGAGGCAGGAGAATCACTTGAATCTGGGAGGCGGAGATTGCAGTGAGCTGAGATCACACCAGTGCACTCCAGCATGGGTGACAAGAGAGAAACTCCATTTCAAAAAATAAAAATAAAAAATAGGCCGGGGTGTGGTGGCTCACGCCTGTAATCCCAGCACTTTGGGAGGCTGAGGCGGGCGGATCACAAGGTCAGGAGATTGAGACCATCCTGGGTAACATGGTGAAACCCTGTCTCTATTAAAAATACAAAAAATTAGCCAGGCATGGTGGTGGGCGCCTGTAGTCCCAGCTACTCGGGAGGCTGAGGCAGGAGAATGGCGTGAACCCCGGAGGTGGAGCTTGCAGTGAGCCGAGATCGCGCCATTGCGCTCCAGCCTGGGCAACAGAGTGAGACTCTGTCTCAAAAAATAAATAAATCAATAAAATAAATAAATAAATAAATAAGACATAGGCTGTGTCTAATATCAATCAATAGCTAACGTTTACTGAGTTTTTTAATATGCTTAAGCACCAACCTAAGTATTTCACATATATTTACCTCACTTCACCTCCCTTATAACAACTGTATGAGAAATGTAATATTATCTCTATATTTGGAGATTCAAATGCTGTGAAAAAGAATATCCTTGCCAAAGTTTATGTAGTTGAGTCCAGGGATCTCAATAGAAGTGGTTTGATTACATATATACACACACACGTGCATGCACACACACACCCCCATACATAGTATCTTATTTGTATATGTGTATATATATGTGTGGGTGTGTGTGTATATATATATATGTATGGTTGGTTCTGCTTCAGCTTCAGAAGTATCTGTTCAAAATACAACAAAACAAAATTTTAAGAAACGTATAATGCATCGTAAGTAGTTCACAGATTTTTAAAGGCAGGGTAGGGAGACATGACTAGTACTTGATGCTATTAAATGGTTATATTTTAGACCCTTGTTTGTGTTTTTTCACATGTTTTATAACCTAAGAAAAATTTTTGTATAATATCATGGAATGTTCTCAATATGTCTGATTGCTTTTTTAAAAAATTAAATAATGAAATGACTAACAGTTCGTTACTAACCACTTTTTTCTCTCTTCACTTTTTCCTTTCTGTTTTCTAGATGAGGAAGAAGGCAAGTTCACATTTCTTTTTTAGACCGAGGATATTTTTGTAGTTTAAGAGCTTGTTTAGAGGGATAGAATTAGCAGCTGGCTTGCAGCCTCTTCCTGGCACGTCACCACCACTAGGGCCCTTTCCTGGCAGGTTGGAAAGGGCAGTCCCCACTGTCTTCCAGAAACCATGCATGTCCAGATGCTTATTTAATACAACTGTGCTGATATTCTGTTGCTCACCTTTCAACCATTAATGTCTCATTTAAAAATTGTTCCAAATATTGAGTAATAAAAGTACACACAGGAAGGGAGCTACTTATACCAAAATTTAAAATTACCCAAAGCCCCCAAAAGAATAATTTTTTATTAACAATAAGATGACTTTATACAAATTATTATTATGATTTCAGATAAATTGATAATTTTGAACCTATCAAGACATCAAATTCTGGCTTATCTAATTTTTCCCCACATTTATTGGCATATGATTATTTAATTTGAGCAACAATTATCTTCTGATGGAAGTACTACTGTTTTGTTTTCTTTTTTAAAAGAAATTACAAAGTAAATAAAGCTGCATGAATTTGATAAAGACCAAGCTCTATTTAATCTTATTAGGAATGAAGATAAATTAGTCTGAAGTTGCTGGGCTTTTGGAAATTAGAATAGTTTTGAATGTAATTCTGATTTTAAAACTGAATTTAGCTTTTCTCACAAGTTTTAAAAATTAGCAGTCTTATGACCAGTTTTTAGAATCTCATTTACTTCCTCTCATTTGCTTTATTGACCTGAATATATAAATGCATGCCTCCTAAAATATATTTTAGAAATATAGGACCATTTTATCATCATGTATTTAAAGAGATTTATTTATGTGAAATGCTTTGTTACTTGAGCTAAGTTTGTCTGTTTCACAATTATGATATTCAGGAGGAAAAATATAATTCCTGTTTATTTCTTTTTTAGGTCACCAGTCATTTATGGCTCCTTCTTGTAGTGTTTTGCACTGCCCTGCCGCCTGTACCTGTAGCAACAATATCGTAGACTGTCGTGGGAAAGGTCTCACTGAGATCCCCACAAATCTTCCAGAGACCATCACAGAAATGTATGTGCCTGAAATTCTTTCTTATCTCCCCACCTTCCCGGTGAACCAAACTTTGATTTTCTTTGGGAAATTCTGAGTTTATCGAAGGCACATCTGATCAATTGGCTTAGACAAATGTTCTCTTCAGAAATGTATTGATTCTTACTCTGATTGTTTAAAAACATACCATGTTAAAGTGGCTGTGATGTTTTTTCTTCCACAGATAGAATTAAAAGGAATACATTTTTTAGGAAAAACAAGGCAAACAGGATTGTTTATACCTGGTTCCACCCTTTGGGCCTGTACATCTGTGGTTGTCCATTTCTCAGTTTGGAGCAGTAGGAATATAAAAAGGGACCAAGCTGGGGTTAGTAAACCACAGAAACAATACAGTTAGGTGATGCTCTGCCTCCTCGAGAGCTCATGTTTTAAAAGGCAGTTTCACTGTTTTGTTTGAATTGATAGTTCAATGCAAAGTGAAGAAAGGATAACATAAAGTCAAATGTAAAGATTTTTTATATAGTGCATGTTTTAGCCTATTTGAAGCAGTGTCTACCTCCATTAAAAGTTAAATTCTTATGACAAACTATTGCACACGTATTTTGTATGCAGCTGCTGAATGCATTTCTATGTCCTCACCAAATATAAGTCATGTGGATAAAACAAGGTCACATAAGATGTAAAATGGAATGCTTTTACCATCTTGAAAAGTAAGCACTAGGGAAAATTGTTACCTCAATATTCATTGACAAAACCCCTTTTAACCACCCAGCCCATTATATTATTATGTTATAGGCCAATTCTAAATTGTAACTAAATAAATTATCTTGGATTTTTGGTTGAAATAATAGGAACAACTTCTTAGAATAGGCCTACATAGTATGCGAAAAAGTTGTTTTTAAAGCGCTCATTTTTAACCAATTTATTTAATTATGATAATAAAGTAACTTATCTAATGTACCTTATATGAGAATAATTTTAGTTCACAGGACTCACTGCCATTAGTTTAAAGTATCTACCATGTGCTTAATAATGTGCTTAGAGCTTTGCAGTATAAGACATGAACCTCTGCAGGAATTCTAGACTCTGTGAAGATTTGACACTGAATAACATATAAACATAATAATATCATTCTCATCAAAATTTTAATTGATAGAACATTACTTTACCTCTAGAAGACATCTTTTAGTATTTTTTGGCTGAACCTTGAAAGAAGAATAAGTTATAACTTGGGAAGAGACAGATGACATTACTGAAAAAGAAACATTGGCAGCAAAGAACAGAGGTGGCAGTAAGCATTGTTTGAGAGATTGTAGTTGAACCTAATTAGAATAACAGGATAATGTTGAGGCATCGTGAAATATAATGCCCTAAAGAATACATCTCCATTTGATTTTAAAACTACAGATTACTGAAGATGTTGACACTTGATGGGAAGATATTAGATGTGATAAAGTAAAGAGTAGAACGAAATACTAAATTTTCTCATAAGGGAACTATATAGTCATCTATGCAGGCACAAACATTTATTAAGTGACTATTTACTACCTAAAGGCACCATTAATTTTCCTGAGATCATCCATCAAGTGGTTAGCAAATGTGACATGCAAATTGAAAACTATTAAATGAGATACACAGTGAAAAACATAATAAGAGATGAACACATCAAGTTCAAGGTCTTACAAAGGGCATGAAGTTGAGGGCAAGGTACGATGGTTAACTAGAGTCAGAAAGTTTTAGTTGGAACCCCAGGTTTACCTATCATTTACTATTTGTGAGACCATGGACAAGTTACTTATCCTCTGAGACCCTGTATCCCATCTAAAACTAAGGGCGGTTGTCAGTTTGATGTGAAATAATTAACACACATAGAGCTATGTGTGCTTTGCATATAGTAATCATTCCAGAAATGATAACTCAAGCATAGAAGTCTTTGTGTAGAAATAACACTGAGCTAGAGCTTGAAAGATGGGTAGTGAATGAAACTACAGAGATGAGGACAAGGCTTTCAGAATTAATGCAACATCATGAGCTAGGCAGTAGGAATGAAAGTACAAGATGTAATCAAATAGGAATTCAGCTTGCCTGATACATGAGATAGTACCAGGAAACAAGTTGTAAATATACATTGGAGTCAGTTCATGGATGGTCATGTTGATATAAGGATCTTGGATTTTATTTGGAATGCATTTGAGCATAGGAGTTTTAATCTGACTTTTCTAGAATAATTGGTCTGATGGCTGTGTGCCAGTGATTTGACAAAAGGAGAGAATGCAAGGCAGAAGGCCTCTTCGGAGGCTATTTCTTTGGTCCAGTGGAGATGTCAGAAGAGTAGGAGCTAGTCAGTGACAGTAGGAATGGTGATATGGAAACAGCTATGATAGCAAACATAGTAGCAGAATTCATGGGATTTGGCATTTGATGAGATAAAGGAGTAATGGAGAAAAATAAACCAGACTCTGCCAGAGTTTCAAGTATGAGTGATGCGGAGGTTGTGGTTACATCATTGTGTATAAGAAAGTGAGAAGCGGGACCAAAACTGGAAAGGAAGATGACAGTGAACTCAATTTGTGAAATACTAAAGGACCAGTGACACATTTATAAGTACAAAAATTGGGCTGGGTGCAGTGGCTCACGCCTGTAATCCCAGCACTTTGGGAGGCCGAGGCAGGCAGATCATGAGGTCAGGAGATCCAGACCATCCTGGCTAACACAGTGAAACCCTGTCTCTACTAAAAAATACAACAAAAATTAGCCGGGCGTGGTCGTGGATGCCTGTAGTCTCATCTACTCGGGAGGCTGAGGCAGGAGAATGGCATGAACCCGGGGACAATGCTTGTAGTGAGCCGAGATAGCGCCACTGCACTCCAGCCTGGGTGACAGAGCTAGACTCCGTCTCAAAAAAAAAAAAAAAGTACTAAAATAATACAGACTATAATAATTTTGGAGCAAGCAAGACAAGGACTTGAGGCAAAAATTTTGGAGTAATTAACATAATAGAAAACAGTCAATATTTGAAACCATCAACTGTCTAATGAAAAGGAGAGTAAGAGAGGAGAAGCTCAAGAACCTAAATAAAAACAGCAGAGGGCTCTAATAAGTAAGGGAGGAAGAGACTTCTAGGAAAAATGATCTCCGGAGGCAAATACTGCTGCCAGTTAACCAAGCTGGGGTCTGAGAGAAGGTCTTGGAATTTGACCTGCATATTGTTCTTAGAAGGTTCCATTTTGATAGAGTGGTAGGTCAATGAGCCACCTTTCAGACTGTAAAGAAAAGAAGTATTGATTAATATTCAAGAGAGTAGATAAGCCGCAGTTTGAATAGTTTGGCTGAGAAAGGATTTTTTGAAAAAGACAATTGTTGCTCTGTAATGGACAAATTTGGGTTAATTCTAAGATGCAGAAACCTGTCATCATTAGAAAGTCAGAATGAGTTTAGAGAGAAACGAGAGTGTGAGAGTTATATAAGATACATGTGGGAGCAAGATCAGTCTGGACACAGGAGCGAATTGGTCAAATCCAGATCATAGGGAAGGGGAACAAAAAGCTGTTACAGGTTGATAAAAGGAGAAGAGTAAGATGGAGACATAACATATTCATATAGCAATATGAAACATTTAAAATGATTTTCTTATGTAGTCTATTTTATTTCTTATGATCGTGATTTTCTTCTACTTTGTATGTGCTATAGATTTTGTATAATGGTGGGATTTAGTTGCATTAAAGTTATACTAAATAATATGTCCCGTGGACTTTGCCTAAATTGAGAAGGTGGTGTATCAGGTAAAGCTACAATAAATTAAATTTATGAGGAGAGATGAAAACGTGTGAAACTGCTTGTGAATTTTACTTCCCTGATTATTACATTATCAGCTTTATCAGTAGAGCATCTGGTAATAAATAATATTGATCCTCAACTCAACAAGATAATTCCATTTTCATTCATTATAGTGGCATAACTTACTAGCTTAGTAATTTATTTCTTTTATTACTCTTTTATTTTTTATAAGAACAAAGAACATCACTAAGATTATTAAATGTGGAAATATCTTTATAGATGGCAGGTTTTTATTCCATGATGAACTGAAAATTATAAACTCTCCCCATTTTATTCAAATATATTTTCATATCTGAATTTTACCATAAATTGTTGGTTGAGTTTCTTTATTGCAAGTTATGAGATATTTCATTCAATAATTTTGACTTGATTCTCCACTGTGTGATATGTCTTTATTCTTACAACTGTCTCATGATATAATTCTAATGAAAAGAAAGTATATGTATGCCATATATGAGTGATCAACTGCCTATAAATCTAAGTAGAAAATAATGACTCATTTTTTCTGCTTTCTGTTTCCAACTACAAATTCATACTTCTGCTATTTGGTAACTTCAATTATTTGTTAAGCAATAGAAGGAAAATATTCCTTTAAAGTCAGAATTAGAATAATTTGGAGAAGGAATAATAGAAAGAGACTGACATTTATTAAATACTTGCAATGTTGGATTGCAGTTGGATCGCAATGTTGGCTTGTGCACATTTGATCTTCTCATTGACCTGGTGATGGGGATATTTATGAAATTAAATAAAATAGTAAAACTAATGCAGAAGCACAGGTCAGATAAAGGCTGGTGGTTTTCTCCAACAGGCCTCATTATACTGATCATGTTACCACAGTGCAGAAGCTCCCCTCTTGTTTACAGGTTAGAATCTGCTTTTGACTGTCCCTAATTATCGTATTTTGTAATTATATACTATTGTGTGTTTATTTTTAAATATCTATCTCTTCTACTGAAGTAAACGTTCTATGAAGGCAGGAACCAGTTCTGTTCTTATCACTACTGATGACCCAGCAAAAAATCTAGTACCTTGGCACATAGTAGGCACTTGATAAATATTTATTGGGTAAATGGAATAATTTAAAAATTAATCAGACATTTGGAACAGATTTGTCTCTGAAAAGATGAAGCTGTATTAACCAAATTTGATAAATAGAACCAGAGGAACAGCCTATTATCTCCCTGTAGACAAACTGGTAATTTTTAAGCATAAAATCAGCAAGAGAAAAAGTAAATGCATAGAATTTTTAATAGCATGGGCCAAAATGGGTCTAGAATGCTAAAAATTCATTAAATTTCCCTGTTCTGCATACTTACTTGGATTTCCACTCTTTAAATATTTCTGAGATTTTTTTTTTTTCTATTCTCGGCTGACCAACTCAGCATTTAATAGGTACCCTATTATGGAGCTATATTAATTTAATCATCTTACAGATGTCTTAGACATCTTTCTCTACAGTCATATTCCCTCTCTAATGAAGCCTGTAGACATTTAACTCAAATCTTTCAAAGACTGAGAACTTTGTTGTTTAAAAAAAACTTGGGAAAAAAAAAAACAGGCTCAAAAAACTTAGAAATTTTGTAAAAACCTTCAATTGTGAAGTGGCTAAAATGGCTTCAATCATACATTTGCTTGACTCTCAAGCCCATGGTCCTAACTTGATCAAGCTATAAAAGAGGTAGGCATAGCTTGGTCTTGTTGGAATGTCATTAAAGGAAAAATTTTCAAAATCATGAAGAGAGAATGACTAATACTCCGACAAAAAGGACAAGAGAAATTTTAAGAAACTTACCTATGAAGAGAACGTAGACAAGGCATTAAGATACAGGATTGTTTGCAAAACTAAGAGCTGTTTTATATTACTTTATATCTGTAACTATTACAATGTCATCTTTCCTATTCTCCGTTAAATGTTCTCTTATTTCCCCGAATCTTCTCCACACAGCACTTACCACAGTTTAACTTGTTATTTGAAAATGAAAAACTCTCCTATTAAACTGCAGACTGGGTAAAGGTAGACCATGACTTTCCCTCACCATTTCTGCCCCAATACTTAGCATACCATGGGTGGGGAAGACAGTGTTGGGAGCAGGGGAAGGAGATCTTGGACACACAATCTAGAGAGCTTGCAGGCCTCCATTCTTTATACTAAAACAAAACAAAACAAAACAAAAAACGGGCGTGCTGGATCACGCCTGTAATCTCAGCACTTTTAGAGGCCGAGGCGGGCAGATCACGAGGTCAAGAGATCAACACCATCCTGGCCAAAATGGTGAAACCCTGTCTCTACTAAAAATACAAAAAATTAGCCAGGCGTGGCAGTGCGTGCCTGTAGTCCCAGCTACTTGGGAGGCTGAGGCAGGAGAATTGCTTGAACCTGGGAGGCGGAGGCAGCAGTCAGCCGAGATGGCGCCACTGGACTCCAGCCTGGGCAACAGAGCGAGGCTCCGTCTCAAAAATAAATAAATAAAATAAAAAATAAAATGTGACAAAGCAGTGTGGACTAATGAAGAAAATATAGAAGGGGAAAAAGTAGAACATATAATGTAAGCTAAACCTAGCTGTAAAAGGGAAAGCTGTTTGCTGCCTTGGGGTCATCCCAGCACTTTGCTGCGTTGAACTATGCTAGTTGAAAACCTTATTCTTCAATAGTTGCAATGCCTCCTGTGAGTCTGTACATGATCTGGTCTATGGCAACACAATCATTAATAGCAAATTGATTCTGACTATCAAATCTTAAGAATTAATTACTTAGATCACCTTTTGAGGTATACAATTTTGAATGTGATGTGATAGATTGCTATGAAGTTAGTATTTAGTTCTCTTCAATCTAGTTATAGATTTCCTGTGGCATATTGCCTTTTCAAACCATTATACAGAAATTTCATAAATCATGGAGAATATTTAGTAAGAATGTAAGTTATAACAATTTGGTTTGTTGTGTTTGCTCCTATGTCCTCCTGCCTTTACTCTTTGCTGCCTTTTTCAGGGGCTCCAGCTCCATCCATGTTGCTGGAGAGGACATGATTTCATTCATTTTTATGGCTGTATATTCTACCGTGTCACATATGTTCCACATTTTCTTTATTCAGTCAACCATTGATGGACACTTAGGTTAGTTCCATGGCTTTGCTATTGTGAATACTGCTACGATAAACATATGAGTGAAAGTGTCTTATATAATGATTTCTTTTCCTTTGGGTAGATACCCAGTAGTAGGATTGATAGGTCAAATAATAGTTTTATTTTTTGTTCTTTGAGAAATCTCTGTACTGTCTTCCATAGAGGTTGAATGTTGAACTAACTTGCATTCCTACCAACAGTGTATAAGCATTCCCTTTTCTCTGCATCCACACCATCATCTTACACAAGTCAGAATGGCTGTTATTAACAATTGCTATTATTTATCTGATGATTAGTAATGTTGAGCATTTTTTTGTTTGTTGGCTGCTTACATGTCTTCTTTTGAGAAATACTTGTTCATATCATTTGCACACATTTTAATGGGATTGTTTATTTTTTCTTGTTGAGTTGTTAGAGTTCCTTGTAGATTCTGGATATTAGTTCTTTGTTGTAGGTATATGTTGCAAATACAATTTTAAAAGTGTCTTTTTCTGTTCATTTCTGTTTAGATAACTACCTCCCATATACGCTTAAACTTTTTGCTTGCTATTTCTGCATTTGTCCCACTCAAAATATTGAATCCTTAATTTATTAAATAATACTCAATTTTGAATCCACATATTTCAAAGTCATCTGACTTTGTTTTTTGTTTGTTTGTTTGTTTTTGAGACAGAGTCTCGCTCTGTCATCCAGGCTGGAGTGCAGTGGCACCTTCTTGGCTTACTGCAAGGTCCGCCTCCTGGGTTCACGCCATTCTCCTGCTCAGCCTCCTGAGTAGCTGGGACTACAGGCGCCCCCCAGCATACCCAGCTAGTTCTTTGTATTTTTAGTAGAGATGGGGTTTCACTGTGTTAGCCAGGATGGTCTGGATCTCCTGACCTCGTGATCTGCCTGCCTCAGCCTCCCAAAGTGCTGGGATTACAGGGACATCACGCCATGCCCAGAGTCATCTGACTTTTTATATGTAAAGATATGCAAGTTAGATTTGACCAACTTGCCTTGAGCCTATTATGTACTGGCTGATTTAAAATAATTATAAGTACTCATCAAAGTATGAATTTTTGATTGATTAGCATGTATTTAGTAATATTTCAATCAGCAGAATATCTATCATGCTATGCAAGTAGTTTATTTTAAATATGCTAAATGTTAAAAAATACAGTACAAAACTTGACTAATTTTTTTACAGCACATATGGATGAACTTGACTACTATTCAGACAATATTGATAAAATAAGTAAGGCAAATGATACCATTTTTTAAATGTAACATGGTATGAAAGAAATAGTCAATATTCTGAGTTTGCCTTGTTAAATAACAAGTAGGTTGGCAATTTCAAAGTGCAATTGTTTTCACTTTGACAGAACTTTATTGTTTCATTGTGAAAATATTTTAAAACATAAACATATTCAACTTAAGGATAATAAAATGTAATGGAAATCGGCATAATTTAGAAAATGTTATAAAAGTTAAAATTTGAGCAATTCTACTTTAGTTCATAATTTTATTAGAGCACTTCTTAACACATGGAGCATTTGTTAGCATTTTGCAGTTTTACACATTCCTGATATTATTGCTACTTCAAATCCACTCACAAATTAGCTAGCCTACAACATTACTTTCACTTCACATTTTATGTTTTTATAACTTTGTGCTTTTCAGGCAAGCTAATATGAAAACACCCTCAATATTTTATGCCTGTTAGAAATATAGATGACATAGTACTCTTAAAAAGTGTCTTGTATCATACATAATAAAAACCTTCTTTATGATAAAAAAAATTTTCAAAAATGTTAAATTATTTATTTCACTTAATTCCCATGGAAACACTATGTAGGAAACTATACGTCTCCTAAAGGTTAGGAAAATTCTTTTAATTTTTTTGTAGTGTAGAAAATAGTTTTGTTAGTTTTTAAAGTGAAAACCTGGTTTGAGATAAGAAGCTATCATGCCGATGCAGGCAATTAGAATTGCGTTCTCAAATTTTCTTCTGAGATCCTCACAATAGCAGAAACTACATATGTATCTCCTATGTACTATGAAAGTACTAGTTTTTCCTCTATCAAATACAACTTGCCTAGAAATGTCATTAAATAAACAATCCTATGATTAAACAAGTCAGTATTATTTTATCTCTGATTCTGTGCTAATATATATATGGTTAGAAAAACAAAATGCAATGATTCTTCTCTAGATTATTTTTATGTGAGTTTAGTAGTCTTAATGTCATTGTATGTGAATTTTTTATGTAAACATCATTCATTATTATTTTTATTTTCTTGTGTTTTTGGATTATATTTTCCCAAGTTTTCATATTATGATTTCATCAGGTAATCCCAGAAAAAGAAAATATTTTGGCTTCCTACAGACACAGAGCACCTCATTACTCAGCATACAAAATAGTGTTCTACAATGTGTTTCCACAGAAGAAGCTTCTCATGTTAATTTTTTTTGGGGGGAGGAGGTTGAGATCTCACTCTGTCACCTAGGCTGGAGTGCAGTGGCGTGATCTCGGCTCACTGCAACCTCCGCCTCCAGGGCTCAAGCAATCCTCCCACCTCAGCCTCCCATGTAGCTGGGACTACAAGTGCATGCCACCACACCCGGCTTTTTTGTCTTTTGGGTAGAAGTGGGGTTTCACCTTGTTGCCTGGGTTGGTCTTGAACTCCTGAGCTCCAGTGATCTGCCTGCCTCGGCCTCTCAAAGTGCTGGAATTACAAGTGTGACTCACCACACCCGGCAGATTCTCATGTTAATTCTTAGTTATCATTAGCCACACTCAGTGTACTCCTTATAGCAACTTTGATAGCTCCACAGCAAAACAGTGTAAAAAGAATTATGTAAAATACATTTATAGATGAAACCATGCATGTAGTTCCGCAGGCCATTATTGAGTTCACTATTAATCATTTGAGTGTTTTCATCTATATTTTGGTAAAATTCCTAATTGTATATGCGTATCTTGAGCAGCCTTTAATTGTCATTGAAAGAATAATTGAAGAGAAAGAATTATACTATTGAAAGAATAGTAGAAAAATTATCTTCAAAAGGCTTCATATATCCACTATGTGCAGAGAAACCATTTTCATGAAGACTTTGTGTTCATGATAAGAAAATTCTTCATTTATATTTTTTTTTTGCAACTTATTTCTTTCTTGTACCTAATTTCCCAAGAAGTTATTTAGGTAACATACATGTTATACATACATATACTCACACACACACAAATGTTGTACATGTGTTTTTGTTAAATCGTGTGATAACTTAAGCAGAAAACTATATAATGCCTTTCTCAAAAGAAAAATGTAGAAGATAGAATCAAACTTTTGTAATATTAGTTGAGAAGTAAAACTGAATATAATAACATTATAAATAAATTGGAGAAAAAGAAATATTAAAATAAGCACAGAGATTAAAATGGTAAGGACAGACAGAAACTCCAACTGGTTTCTCTTCAAAAGTCCAAGGAATCTAGTGAGTACTATTGCAACACAAGAAGCACATGCAGAAAAGTGGCGTTTTAAAAAAGTACTTCTACATACTCAACAAAGATTTCTGAGTGCTTGCTCTGCATCAGGCATTATGGATGAAAGGGGACAGTCTCAACCTTCAAAATGTTTGCAGTGCAGAGAATTGAAGCTTTACACAAACAGAATTTTAAACATGAGATAAATAGTAAAATATGTGTGCACAAAAAACAAAGAGAGAGGGCTACCTTGATCTGCCTTGGAGAATCAAATAATCTTCAGGAATTAGGATGTGTTTTGCAGGTAGAGAACTTGAGGGCTTTTTTAGACATAAGAAGCTGCATGTGCAGAGTCCCAGGAAAATGATAGAGTAGTGTGTTTTTGGAAAAATTAAAATTTGCAGTTGTTAGAATATAAAGTGGAAGTCAAATCTTGAAGAAGAGACTGTCCCGATGGCGATAGAATATGAGGGAAATTTTCTAGCAAGGTAGTAGCATGATTAGATTTCCATGATAGAAAAATCACTAACATGGAATGGAGGGTGGTTTGAAAGAAAGGAGCCCACTGAGAATGCACTAGCAGCAGACTCTATAGGGGATAATGAAGGCAGGCCTAGCAGCAGATAGTGATGGGAAGTTATTCCAAGAGGTGGCTCTAGTGCTCATGCAGTTCATTCCCCTAAAACTTCTATGGGAAAAAAATGCAGGCCCCCTCAAATGTAAAATAAGACTCATGTAGCCTCTAACATAAGACTGAAGACATCTGGGGCATAGTCACAATGTTATTTATTCTCATAATTGGTAAAAGTGTCATTTGCATTTTAGCAATTATGTTATAGATTGATGATTAATCAGCTAGAATGACAGGTGAAAAATTATGTAGTTCATATTTTACTAGTGATCAGCATTATTTAAATTTTAGGAAAAAGATGTTATACAATGTGGAGAATAACTCAGTGCAGGGGTGGAGAATAATGAGAACTACTGTCTGCTTATTGAATAATACTGTTAAACAAGTGATACGAAAGATGATTTTTGTAATTTTTTAAAACTAAAATAATTAGCAAGCTGGAGAGTTAGCTCAGTGTCTAATTCATAGTAAGTGTCTAAAATTTTTGTTATTAATGAGAAATAAAACAACAAAACTTCTAAGTGTTTTTCTTTCTTGGGTTGATTTAAAAATATATATATGAAAACATAATGATAGTGACATATTCTCTCCCCCTGAAATCTGTGGGCCATGTGCCTAAGCCCATTTTTTTTCCCCGAGTCTACACCATTTGGTTGCATCTATTGAGTGTATCTTTGTATTTGAATATGTGTCCTTGTGAATATATGCATGAAAATTTTAACACTTAGTCAAAAGGTGCACACATAGATATTTTTGTCTTGCCTTAAATGCTTAAAGACCAAATGGAAAATGAGGCGTTTCTCTCCTATAAAAACACCAATTGAATTTACACTCGGGAATGTATTTTAGAATGACATCACAAAATGTAAAATAAAATTTAAAAATGAGTACTTTTGAGGAACAAGAAATCCCAAGACAGAAACTGATGAGAATCAATTAGTATTGACACAATCCTAAGGCAAAACTTCTAGCTGTATGCCCAGAAGTATCACTCTAGGGCTAATATTCATTAAGCTGCTGAAGATATTTATTAAATTTGCAAAGTTCTGGAAACTGCAATTATAAAACAAATAATGCTGTAGGCTAAAATATGTTGGATCATTTTATGTAGAAATATATGAAAGATTTTAATGACATGATTTACTGCTAAAGTTGGAAGTAGCATTCCAAAAATAGAAAGTACTTACTTTACAATTATATGTAATAGGCAAGATAATCCTTAACATCAAAGAAAAGGAATATTGTCTTCCTCCTTTTCAAATGATGGGCCAATCTTACCTATGAGGAGAATGTGTTGGCTACAGTGGACAACTTAAGATTCAGAAGCTAGTCATTCTGCCTCCCCTTCCCTTACCCCATTAAGACTATGCTCTATTCTGTGGCAGCTGCTTTTGCCATTTACGTTAAAAGCAGATGGAGAAAACGCGAAGAAGTGTCAGTTTTATTGCCATGTATAATCAGCATCTGGGCTGTATGTTACAGACACAATCAATCCAAAGACATATTTTACTGGGTATTATAAAAACTTTTTGTGTTTCTGAGGCAGTCCCCAAATTACAGATAGTGCTATATTTTAATCCTGTTGATCACAGAGATTGCAGCCAGTTATGTTGTTTCAGCTTCAATGTGAATGATGTATGTGTGTATGTGTTTATTATACAGTTACGGAGTTATCTGCAAAACTGTACTGCTAATTTGTTTAAAAACATGATTTGGGACCATATATATTTATTTCACACTAGAAATCAAATCATGTGTGAGATTTATATATACACATATAATTTTATAGTGTATGTGTGGGGGTGTGTGGGTGACGTTGCAATAGTCCCCCCTCTTCCACAGTTTTGCTCTACATGGTTTCCGTTACCCATGGTCAACCTCAGTCTGAAAATATTAATGTATTTTGAGAGAGACCACATTCACATAACATTTATTATAGTATATTGTAATAATTGTTGTATTTTATTATTATTGTTAATCTCTTTAAACTTGATCACAGGCATATAGGAAAAAAAAGTGTATATAGGGTTCAGTACAATCTGTGGTTTCAGACATTCAGGGGGTCTTGGAATGCATCCCCTGTGGGTAAGGGGAGTCTACCATATATGCTGTAGACTTTTTATTATTTAATATATTGTGCTATATATTCTATTTTTGATTGCATATACATATTTTTATTACTTCACTATTTTTGTATAAGAAATAAAATACCATATTTTTTTCTACATCTCATGTAATTTTTAGAAAACATTTATGGTAAGTTCTATTCTCCCCATTTTTCAGGAAGAGAAACTGAGACACAGCGAAAGAAAATAGCTTTTGTAAGGTCCAGAGAGCTAATCAGCTGCAGATCCAGAATTTAGTCCATGTCTATATAAGTGCAAAGCTCATACTTTTAATTGCTAAGTGACACACCTTGAAAAATTCTATGTATGTCTATAAAATGTAGAAATATCTCTTGAGGAGGGCTATTGAAGATTTGGCATGTGGATGTTATTTTATATAGTTTGTCAAAATAACACGATTTTAAAACATTGAAAATAATGTCTACGAATTGAACGCTAGAGAGCTGAAAATGTCATTTAAAGTGCTAATACTGTTTAATATCTTGTAAATGTCTTTAGAACTAGTTTTTTAATTGCCCAGTCATACACACTGCATGTTGTGTAGTCTACTTATGTAAGATCTGCTCACCAAAACCATTAGTTTATTTTATGTGTTACAGAGCCCATCAGTCCACAAGTGGCAGAATTAGACTTCATTGAGCTAAAAGATAGCTGCACATAATTAACATATTCTAAGGGTCTTGTGTTTTAAAGCAGAGGGATATTTCACCATTTTTTATTTTCTATAATTTTTGAAATAGACACCAGAACGTGTTATATATTGTTGGTAGTTCATTCTTTAAGAGCTTTAAAGTCGTGAAGACATGTATAATGAGGTAGCAGTAATTAGAGAGCAAGAGAAAAAAATTGTAGAAGTGGAGACAGAATGGGAAGAAGTTTTTTATTGGATAAACATACTTTTGAGTTATTTTTATTAGTGCAGTTAGAAAACTGTCTTCATCTTCTCATATACTGAGCATGTAACTAAAATTTCCTTCTACATTTGAAAGAGTAGTAACAGCCATTGCTTTGGTTTCATGTGTGTGTATATGTAAACACACAAACACATACAGTGATAAAATGTTATGCAATCATTTACATAAGTTATGTGGAGAAAAAGGTGTTGGCTCCTTTTACATGGAAAAGTCTTTCTTGTAGTATGTGATTTACAGTACTTTCTTCCCCTAATCACTTTCTAAATCTATTTTTACTTTGAAACTCAAGATATTGAATTTTCTCCGAAGGACTGACATTTGAAAATCTCTTAATTATGGTGGATTTTATCCATGGCATGCAAATATATCTTAGCGATTATACTATCTATTTTTGGAATCCCAGAATGTTTTTAATTAGGTTCTTTATGGAACAATGGATTCAAATTTGCACTCTATAAAATTCAGCAGCTTCTATGCTATTAAAGCACAGATTACAGGACAGCAATGCTAGAAAATGTAAATTTTATTTGCCCTTTCTTTTTACCTCAACCTGAAAACTTTATTATTTCACTTCTTTATTTTTTATAATCTGATTTAAATATGTTTTCCTCTTTTTGTAGGACAAAGGACATCATTTGAGATGTGTGTTGGGTTTAGTTTATCAAATATATTCTAAAATTCTTACAATGAAAAGGAAAACCCCTTTATTCTAAAGACCCAAAAGTTTGCAATAAGTACACATTAGTTTATTGTTTCTCCACTAAATAAGAGAGAACAGACATTTTATAATATATTAAAATTTATTGTTTGACATCTGTCCATGGTAGAATATTTTCCTGCTTGAGAATCTGTCCCTCTGAATGAAGGATGCAATTACGTTTTGCCTTAATGAACTGCTGAGACAGTGCAATAAAAACCAGTTCGCTGCTGAGTCAGTGTGAATAACAACATAAACTCTGTTTCAAATACTTTTTTTGGAACAAGATTGAAAATAGATAAATGAATAAAAGTAAACAAGTCCATGGTACATGTCATTGTACAGCTTTCTGTGGTACATGTAAATGCAATAGTTTGCAATGTGAAGATCAGGTCCTTGGTACATTGCAATAACAGATGATTCATGCAGCATGACTCAAGTGTGTCTGAAATATTGTTTTTGCATATAAAAATATAATGCCATTTTATCATGACTCTTCTTTGTTTTATAACTTTCTGAGTATGCAGCATTTTCAAAAAACAAGGCCTTATTTATTGTATAATTTGGGTTTTTTTGGTGACAATCATTGAAATTAGTTGTAGATTAATTACAGAAATTATCATAACATATATTTGAGTGTCATTAGAAAAATTAGTGATCATTACGAGTATTCTAGTTTGAGACTTTAAAATAATAAATGAATTTTAAATTTTCCAGGGAAAATCTTCAGTTATATTAAATTATAGAATTAGTTTGGTCACATTTGTGAGTTAAGGTTATTGACATTTCAGAAGTCTCTATGCTGAATATAGCATTTAAAAATACTTACATTGGAGAAATTCATTTTGAAATCTAACTGCAAAATAAGATTATTTATCAATAAAACTTTCACAAATGTATGAACATCTCTGTTTTTTGATTATCATTGAATTCCAGTTATACAGCTTAATATTTTGTACAGAGTAGACATTAAATATTTATAGGGTGAATGAATGAATTAATGATTATTGGTTTCTTTAGATTATTTTCAAGAACCTGAAATAATATCTATGAAAAGTAGTATATGAACTAGCTTTGCATTACTATTAAAAGAAATCTACTAGTCACTGAGAGCTATTAATTTTTTCTCATCATAGCACTACGTTATTGTGAGCAAATCTTTAATACATTGAAATAATACTTAATTGACCAAGACATGAAGAATCTTCCAGCGAATCAATATTATTTCATCTATAGCTCGTATTCTCTGTATTTTTATTGATTACATTTTAAGCTTAAAATTTTACTATAAGAATGAGTAAAGGCCAAAAAGAATTACTCTTAACTGTCAATCAAAACATTCTAATCAATAAAGTAACAGGCAAATGATTTACATGTCCTTCACTCTATTTAGAGCTTTTGAAAAAAAACTCCCTTTCTTATGACCTAGATAAATAATACAGAAGACAAATTCATATTTCCATCATACAGTTTATTTACTGTCTTCTGGAGTAAATCCACCTATTAGGAGCCAAAAACCCAGTTAGCAGGGATATGTGAAAACGAATAGAATATAGTGGAATAAGAACAGAGGAGTTAAGAGGATGTCCTTGGGTATGTAGGAAAAGGCACAACTTATTATACCTAAGAAAATAAGGAAAGGATTTAAAAGGAGGCCATGCTTTCACTGTCTTAAAATAACTAAGCATTGTTAATATCAATACTAGTATAAAAGTATCACTAATATATACATGTCCAATAATAAGAAAGAATTAAGGAAATAGGGTATTTTTCAACAGTGGAATATTATGAAGGCATTAAAAGTAATGTCTTACAAAATGTTAAATGATATAGCAATACATGTATGATATGTTATTGGATGTAAAGACAATACACCCAATTCTATTTGTAGTAATACCTCAATTACATAAAATATGCTCAAAATTCTATATGCAGTAATACCTCAATTATATAAAATAAATATGCATAAATAAATATGCAAGCAAAAAAACACTAAAGTAAAACTCCCTGATCTGAGTAGGGCATTATGGATTTAGTTCTTTTAATCATATTTTTACTTTTTCCAAGTACAGTGAGCACCAAGGAGATAGAGTGTCTCATCAAAGGGAAAAAAGATTGTTAGTAATATCAAATGTTACAGTGAGTTCAAGAGCAACGAAAACTGAGGAAACCCATTGAATGGTGAAATAAAGAGGTCAGAGAATGAACCCTGATACTGTTGAAGAAAAACCGTAGCACCATGAGAAGGGCTTTGAAATCAGAAAAGACCAAAATTTTGGCAATTTCATTTAATGTCCTAGGGATAATTTGTTTTGATTTTATTTCCATTAAATGTTACGCGTGTGTGTGTGCATGTGTGTGTGTGTGTATGCGTTAAAGTATTACCAACGTTCAATAAAAATGAATTAATGTATATGACACATATATGGTCAGTATGTTGTCATGATATTTATTCATATTTAAATATATACACATATGTATACATACATATATATATAATATATATGCATATATTTTTTCAAATCCGGGCGGGAAAGTGGAGCTCATGCCAGTTGAGCTTTATTTTCCTATTGAAAGTGAACTCTATTTTTCTGTTGAAAAACAGAGGGATTTAATGTAGAGAATAGACTGAACAGTTGAAGGAAGGTAACAGGGAAAAAACTGCTACCAACCCAGGGCTATAAGGACAGAAGAAGCTGGTATTTTATAAAATTAGGAGGTGGCACCAACAGAAAGTAAAATTAGGAAGGAGATGAGACCACTGCTGTGGACATCCCCTGAGACAGAGAAGGGAAGAAATATCCTGGCTTCTTCTCCCCGCCAACCTTTCACCACCCTCCCAGTGTCTGTCACTGGCAAATCTCACAGTAGCCTGTTGGCAAATGAGCCTGGGATATATGGTTCACTGGAGTCAGCTCTTTGGGAGACAGAGCAGAACAGAGGAGAAGGGGATGGGAAATGATCATAACGATGTTTGTTTGGAGTGAAAGGAGGCTGAGAAGCAACATTTTTTTGATAGACTAAAATATGTACCAAAAGACTTCATGCAATCTACTTATTTGTGCGTTTCATAACTAGGTGGGTAAAATCTTGTCTTTCTCTGTTAGCAGGACCATAGAATAGATGATATCAGTTATTTTCAACTCTGTGATTTTAGTATACCATAAAAATACTTCAGTTGTGCTCAAATGCACTTTGCTGCAGTGGTTTTTATGTGAAATATTCACAAAATGAATCCACAGAGTCTAGACTGTCTTACTGAAAATATCTGTAGCATATATGGATTTATAATTTAACATTTTGCCTCATAAGAAGCTTCAAAATTAATTTTGTGAGTATAAAATTATTTTTTAACCGATCATATGCTTTCCATAGAGGAAATAAAAGGCTTATAAAATTTAATATTCAACAGTAATCTTCTTTGTGGAAGAGTTATGATTGTATCTAAAATATGTAATAGATCTATTCAGTATTTCTACCTATTTCTCTAACTTATATTAAGTTAATTAAAATGTACTCCTAAGTTAGTTTCTTAAAGGTATTATTTCTTTTGTACAAAGTCCAGACTTAAATATTGATGGATATGTAGTACTTAAAAATCTGAATATTTTAATTATGTTTATAATTGCTTAGTTTTTAATCCCAATTTGCTTCACATTTAGGGACAGAAAAATTAAATTTAGTACTTATTTTTCAGGAAAAAAATATATCACTCATGAAGAACATCAACTTTACTTCTTGACATGAATCCTGAGCTTGAATTAAACATGTCCGAAGGTTCACATTTCCATTTAAAAGTTGAATTTTTTTTCATTGCAGACGTTTGGAACAGAACACAATCAAAGTCATCCCTCCTGGAGCTTTCTCACCATATAAAAAGCTTAGACGAATGTGAGTGAACAATATTCTACAATATATGTAATTTTAAAAATTATAGAGGTCATGAGACCATGCAAAGAAACTTAAGTATGAGTATATAAGTGTTTGACAGCTTAAATATTAAGTGATGTGACTGTCTGATTACTAGCTCTGTAATAATATTTTAATCTTAATATCTAAACTATGTAATTTTTAAAGGTCTGTAATTTAGCATATTGATTCATACAAATGTGAATGTTTATGGTCAATATATTTTGCATATGAACATATGTTCAGGTGTTCTATTGTCAAAAATAAGACATAGCATCTTATATGGGAAAGTAGACAATGGTTATTTTAAAAAGTATGATTTCTTTTTTAAATTTCTGATCCTTCAGATGTTCAATGTTGCACGTTTTGGACATGTCTTGATAAGTACAAAACCAACATTTAAAAGCCATACATAGCTTTTTCCGCAGTAAATCTCACTGACATTTGATTGAATGTAACCTAACCCTATTTCTAATCTTAGTGACCTGAGCAATAATCAGATCTCTGAACTTGCACCAGATGCTTTCCAAGGACTACGCTCTCTGAATTCACTGTAAGTATTCACTGTGTCACTGAAGGAAAAGAGAAGCCACAACAAAGAGTGGCTACCTTTTTTAAATTGGGGTTTAAAAAATGCTCTCAGGTTTTTATTATGAATAATGAATTATTAATAATGTTAATTATTATTAACCACTTCTGGGTCCCATTATTTTTATGGAGGACTGCTACCCATCACTAAAATTAGCCAATTTTTAGGGGTGTATATTTTATAGTTTGATCATTTTGCTGTTAGGAGAGCAAGAGTTAGATCCCCTTTTTGACCATTTTTTTATTTCTTTTTTTTTTTTTTTTTTTGAGACGGAGTCTTGCTCTGTCGCCCAGACTGGAGTGCAGTGGCGCCATCTCGGCTCACTGCAAGCTTCACCTCCTGGGTTCATGCCATTCTCCTGCCTCAGCCTCCCGGTAGCTGGGACTACAGGCGCCTGCCACCACATCCAGCTAATTTTTTTTTTTTTTTTATTTTTGGTAGAGATGGAATTTCACAATGTTAGCCAGGATGGTCTGGATCTCCTGACCTCGTGATCCGCCCGTCTCGGCCTCCCAAAGTGCTGGGATTACAGGCATGAGCCACCGTGCCCGGCCCATTTTTTTATTTCTAAAAGAAAAAGAAAATATTTATTTTGGAAAGCATGTAGCTAGTATCTGGAGACAATATCAGTCTCCTTTGAAATGCTAGGCAAAATCTTGCTGAGAACACTTGAAGATGACCACTGAGAGGAAACCTCCACTCTTTTTCATCACCTTAATACTTTCCTAAAAGAATAAGCTTTTAATCTCTCAAAGAACAAAGATTTTAAAATATGACAGCTTTTTAATGTCAAGAGAACCTTCGAAAGATAGCTATGTAAATTAAAGAAGTTTAAAAATAAATGTATAGCAGCTGTTATTAATATTACTTCACACTTGTAAAAAAATCTTCAGAAGTCCACCAAGTAACCTTTAGATCAGATTTAAATATTCGAAAGTGGAAGTCGGCACATTTTTATTTTTTAAGAGCCGAAACTCAGAGAAGGGTTCTTATTGATGTCAATTCCTGCCAAAATATTTCAGATATCAGAGGTCAGGGGTAGCCAATGAGAATGCCAAGATACACATGTGCGAGACCCAGATAAACCCCTGGAGTTTGTGGAACAACTTGCTGGCACTCTTTCCAAGGGGAGAACTAGATCGGAGTGCTCATCTGGGCACATGAGTGTTCCAGTTGCTATGTTAGTCTGTTTAAAAACAAAAACAAAAACAAAAAACACTACAGTTTTCTTTAAAAAGGAAAATGGAAAACTGTTACTTAAATGGCAGTATCTGCTTGGGTTCACTTTTGCTTCTTTTTGACTTGGAGGGTTTTGACTAGAAGAAGCACGAGATTAAAGGAACAATTGTTGGCAGAAAATATAGCGTGTAGTCATGTATTGCTCTCAGGCTGTACTGTCAGGTTCTAAAGTAACTAGGTTCAGTGTAAAACTCAGATCACCCAGTCAGATTGTCCATAAAGTACTGTTAGCACCATTCTGAACAGTAATACTATCCAGAGTAAACATTGACAAACTCCCTGTCATACAGAAGGACAAAAGGCAAATCAGCATGTCAGTTCCTGATTCTCCACAATTTTGGTCCTCAAAGATAACCATTAAATGTCAAGAAGAAGAGAAATCAGTGGGAAATTCTTATTTATATCGGCTTGCTTGCAGAGTTTGATATTAAGCTCTTCCCTTAATAATGTTAATTGACACTTCTGTGGTTGTGAGAATTAAAAGAAAATATATAAAGATATTTACAAGTAAATTATAAATAGAACAGTTTATTATAATTTGTTACTTCTTTCAATAAATTACATTATGTTTGTTGATAAACAGGGTTCCTGTAATTAATGATTATAAATTATGTAATCTAATAAACAATAAAATAGTGTGTTGTCACTCCTTTTGCTATTTGCTAACACATGTAAAATAACATGCTTGCTACATTGAAATCTAAGGCCTCATGATGAGAGCACTCACGCACACAGTTGTTTTAGAAGGCCGTAGAAAAGCTTTATCTTTACTTGCAGATAAAGTAAACTGCAGTTAAGTCAGGGAGTTAAGTCACTGGGGTTTTTCCAGTTCAAAATGTAGCAACGTGTGGAAGATCACAAACTGTTTGCCAAAAGTGGAATACCTGCATAATACTGTAAAACAGATAAACTGGAAAAGAATCAAATAACTGAGTTATTTTAGAGAAAGCCCACGTGTTATAACACGTATCATTTTCCTGGTCACGTTCACAGTTTGAGTTCACTTTCCAAAGATTAAGTTATTTTCCCCTCCATAAAATATATAACTACACACATTTGCAATAGCTCTTTTCTTCATTGAACCACAGTTAATATGTTCAAAAGAAATGTATTGGGCCCGATTATGTACTAGGCCCTAGTAGAGGGTCTAGAGATGCAGAGTGACCAGAACACAAAAATCCCTGCCTCATGGAGGAGACCAGTGATAAACTGGCAAATGTATAGTATACATAAAATTTACCTATATTTATAGTATTACATCTATCTGTAGATGAAAATGCTATGAATAAAAATTACAGAACAAGGGATAAGGATAGCTGTGGTTGGCGGGGGGAAGCTAAAACCTTAAATAAGATGATCAACAAAGACCTGAAGATTTGAGCTATGGGAGTGAACTGTGTAGATAATGCAGATATATAGAGGAAAGGCATTCAAGACAGAGGGAACGGTTAAGTACTAAGGACGTTTAGCAGGAGTATGCTAGATGTTTCAAGAATTAGCAAAAAATATCACTGCTACTGGAGAGTAGTGGGTGCTTGAAACTGAAATGATGAAGAGAATGCAATTGTAACTACAGGTCTGAGACACTATAATTAGGGTGGGAGAGGAAAGCCAGTGAAAGCTAGATTTGCAGAGAAGAATTGTGCTGGAGATCATGATAGTGACCAGGAGTTAAAATCTTCCAGAAGGGAGCAGAGTACTTGGGAGTATGTAGTTTACTACAAAAACCATGCAAGTACAAGGCAACACCTCTTTTTATTTAAATAAAAATTTTGCTTACAAGTTTTGCTTACACCTGATATTTTAATACCATGTCTTTCTAGAACTGTACTCAAGAATATAGCCAGATTAATATAATCACTACAATTGCTAAATAAATAAAACTATTTAAAGGTGATATGATGCCAAGCACCTCTACTGCATTCTACTTAAAAAATAAAAATTTCAGCCAGGCGTGGTGGCTCATGCCTGTAATTCCAGCACTTTGGGAGGCCTAGGCAGGCGGATCACTTGAAGTCAGGAGTTCAAGACTGGCCTGGCCAACATGGTGAAACCCCGTCTCTACTGAAAATACAAAAATTAGTCAGTCAGACATGGTGGTGCATGCCTGTAATCCCAGCTACTCGGAGAGTTGAGGCACGAGAATCTCTTGAACCCGGGAGACGAATGTTGTAGTGAGCCAAGATTGCACCACTGCACTCCAGCCTGGGCAACCAAGTGAGTCTCTGTCTCAAAAAAATAAATAAATAAAAATTTCAAGTTATTAGATCACCAAATTTCATCTCTTAGAGATAAGTGGACTTGATTTACCTAATGTTTTTTAAGGCCTCTCCTACTAAGAAATCCTATACTTTTTTTTATTAACATTATCATTTATTTTTATTACGTATTATATAAAATTATAATGTTATACTAATATATTGTTACATAGTATAATATGCAATATATTAACAAAACAAAAAACATTCATGTCGTTTTCAGGGATTTTAAAATTTCTTTCAATGTGACATCAACAAGATTTCTATAATATTTAGTAACAATTTCTTAAGAATTCAGCATACTAGTATTTTTAGCATTGTCTGTAAACAGTTTTTATTGTTTTCTGCTTATTACTTGGAAACTTCCTTCTATAGTAACAAAACGTTTTAAGTGTAGTATCATTGTAGCATACTGCTAAGCATATGACCTTTAGGACACTAGGTGGCTGTGTTCAAATCCTGGCTCTAGTACTTACTAGTTAGAGGCTGAGCTAGTTACTAAATTCCCTGGGTATTAGTTCTTCCATCTCTAAAATGAGGATAAAGTTACTTCCCTGCTGGCTTTGTTACGGAGTAAACATCAAGAAATAATATGTATGGCCATGGCAAATTCATCTCTTGATAGAAAGCAATTTGTATGTTTCTGGATCTCAATTATCCCAGAGAATCTTTCTTTATGCCAAAGGTCCTCAATATATGATTTTTCTCTTTTCCCATTCTTTTCATTAGCCCTTTGTAAACTATTTTAATTCACTTACTCTAATTTCCTTATTTCCTTAACTAGCTCCCAAATTCCACAGGGGTCTACAGTGGAAGACTTTAACACTGTACTTAAATTTCTGGCAACCTTTTCCTAAACTGCTGTTAACTCTCCTGCCCAGTATCTTGCATTTTACTATAGGTTTTCAATGAAAATTAAAAGGTAGCACCTCTGTTTTGTCCTCTGCTTTATCTTTACTGTACTCTTCTAAAAATCACTGAAGAGTTATAATTTTCAAATGTATACATTTAAAAAAATTTATAAGTATAATTTCCTTGACATTTTTTTGAATAATAAAGTATCTGCCCATAACACCTTTTTCATGATAGTCATCTTATAGGTTGCTGTTTTGGACATTTTTTTTCTCTTCAGTAGGAGTTGTCTTCTGCCAGCTTTCTTTTTTGAGACGGAGTCTCGCACTGTCACCGAGGCTGGAGTACAATGGCGCAATCTCGGCTCACTGCAACCTCCGCCTCCCAGATGCAACTGATTCTCCTGCCTCAGCCTCTCATGTAGCTGGGATTACAGGCGCCTGCTACCACACTCGGCTAATTTTTTGTATTTTTAGTAGAGACAGGGTTTCACTGCGTTGGCCAGGCTGGTCTTGAACTCCTGACCTGGTGATCCGGCCGCCTGGGCCTCCCAAAGTGCTGGGACTACAGGCGTGAGCCACTGCGCCTGGCCTCTGCCAACTTTCAATAAGAGCACAAGAGCTCAAACACTGGTCACCAGCTATTGCTGCCTCTTACTGTCCTAATGCTGAAACTCACAAGGGCTAAATTGTGTTTAACGTTCTTGGCCTTCCTTATAGCAGCAGGTACAAGAGCTACCTTAAAATTTCCCTATTGTTCAAAAAGACTAGCAACAACAACAACAAAAAAATCTCTATCAGAGTATATGTATATTGTACACATATAATAGTACGTATGTATATACTATCTATGTGGTATGCTGAACATAAGTCATGTATAAGAAACTGTAGAAAAGATACTCAATTAGTCATTCTTGGTATTTGGATGATATTATCCACATCCCTCATGTATTGATTTTCTTTTCAGCTGATACCACTTTTTTCTTTCAGTTTCTTTTAAAAATTTCTTTTCCTCCAACAGTGTAGGACAAATTCTCACTGGCCTTCTCTTAGTTTATATCTTTATGTGATGATATTTCTTTCCCTCATTTTTATAGATTTTGGCCCTATTTCCTGGGCTGTCATCCAACTTCTCTATCCTGGTCTTTGGATTTTGGTATATTTTAACTAATTTTCCTTGCTGTCATTTTGATCTCATTGCTATGTAAAATACTGTACCCAGCCCTAGTCCTGCTAAACCTTTCTGGAGAAATGTCATTCCCATTACATTGAGTATTTCTTTATTATTTTTATGGTTGATACTCCATATAGCAATAATTCCTATACACATAGATTTCCTGTATCCTAGTGTAATTTCCTCCTTTTTTGCCGTTTACCCACTTTGTCTCATTAACAATAGCATCTGTTACTTTTTAACATGGTCTTAAAGAAAGCAGTGATTTATTGAAAAAAATAATTACACAATATAAATACGATGCATCTCCTAGCTTGTTCTCCTTTCATGCTATTTGGGCCAACCTTCAAAGCAGAAGTCTCAAGTGAACAACCTACTAAATTGTCCACCCCTTGATACTCATGCAGGTCCTCCACAATTTATATACATCTTTGTTCCTTTCTAAATTGCAGTGGATTCACAATATCAGACTCTTTGACTATTCAAAATTACTCTTTTGGATTGCCCTTTGAAGCCATACCTTCTTTATCTCAGTCATATCAGTGCCTGAGACATGGGCAGATGATGGGCATTCAAAAATGACAGACTCAATTGAATTGAGCACCAACCTTAGAATCTGGCAAAGTTACAGGCACATAGTAAGTGCACAATCTCTATTGTTGAATGAATGAATTGAAAGATATTGAATTGAATATCCCAGACTGGTGCCATCTTAATCTACTCATTTGTGTTTCCTAATGCCCTCTCTTCTCTTAATCTTGACCTCAAAATATATATTTATTCATGCCTTATCTTTTCTAATTCCCTTTCTACCTTGTTCTGGACAATATAGAATCCTCTCTTTTGTTCTTTGATTTTTAAAATGGTTTCTTCTCTAATTGATGTACTTTTCTAAAGAAATCTATGTTTTCTACAAACAAAATTTCATGTTCTATTTTATAGTTATATCATGGAATCTAAAGAGACAAATGGAATATCTCTTTACACTATAATAGCACCCGGCTTTATTTATTCCTTTGAGGATTTTCTTCACATTTTATAATATACCTTACCTCTCTCTGACATCTTGAAAGAGGAACAGCTTTTCTCTCACGTATTCATCTCTCTTGTATAGTTATTTTCTTCCTTTTCAAAAAGAGATTATATACTGCTGCCAAACGTATCAATTATTTAGATTCACATTTCAGCTTTTTCTTTATATGTTATGGCAGCCATTTGTTTATTTCCCAAAAGAATATATCTCTGATCTTTGAAAATGATATATGCTTATTTTAGAGATATATTAAAATACACAAAAATATGTAGATGTAAGTTCAAATCACCTCTGGATGGCAAATCATCTGCCATCTAAATATGTTTCCCTTTTATTTTGTGCATATATGTGTGTGTATATATATATACACACACATATATATACATATACATATATATACATATACATATATTTATATATATACATATACATACATATACATATATTTATATATATACATATACATACATATACATATATTTATATATATATACATATATATGTGTGTGTGTATATATATATATATATTTTTTTTTTTTTTTGAGACAGAGTCTCGCTCTGTCGCCCAAGCTGGAGTGCAGTGGCGCGATCTCGGCTCATTGCAAGCTCCGCCTCCCTGGTTCATGCCATTCTCCTGCCTCAGCCTCCCAAGTAGCTGGGACTACAGGTGCCCACCACCATGCCTGGCTAATTTTTTGTATTTTTAGTAGAGATGGGGTTTCACTGTGTTAGCCAGGATGATCTCGATCTCCTGACCTCGTGATCCGCCGGCCTCGGCCTCCCAAAGTGCTGGGATTACAGGCATGAGCCACTGTGCCCAGCCTATATGTATATATATATATATATATATATATATATATTTTTTTTTTTTTTTTTTTTTTTTTTTTTTTTTTTGAGACGGAGTCTCGCTCTGTCGCCCAGGCTGGAGTGCAGTGGCGCGATCTCGGCTCACTGCAAGCTCCGCCTCCCGGGTTCACGCCATTCTCCTGCCTCAGCCTCCCGCGCAGCTGGGACTACAGGCGCCCGCCACCACGCCCGGCTAATTTTTTTGTGTTTTTTAGTAGAGACGGGGTTTCACTGTGTTAGCCAGGATGGTCTCGATCTCCTGACCTCGTGATCCGCCCGCCTCGGCCTCCCAAAGTGCTGGGATTACAGGCGTGAGCCACCGCGCCCGGCCATGTATATATTTTTAAAACAAAACTAACATAATACTTTAACATGCTTCTTTTTTACTTAATGTTGTATCTTGAGGACTTTTATGTCACTGTATACTCTTCTATACTTGATTCTACACTTAGCATTCTTCTTTGTCATATATAGTGTGCTCTCATTACATATGAACTGTGTATGCGTGTGAGTAGAAAAACAACTTAAAAGGAAACATTTCTATGAAACGGCAATGCAAGTGGAAATGATATATACATATATAAAATGTTCTTTATTTTTCTGTTTTCCAAATGTTCTACAGTAAGCATATATCTGATCTGTAATCAGGCAAAAGACATTTGCAAATGGAGTTTGTTTACTCAGCTATAACTTTTATGATGTATTGATTGCCTACTAGCTTCCTGTATGCCTGAGTAAATATGTATTAGATGAATTTGTTATGCAGGTTTGGTGTCTAATTTTTTTCATTTAAAATATTTTTTTCAGTGTCCTCTATGGAAATAAAATCACAGAACTCCCCAAAAGTTTATTTGAAGGACTGTTTTCCTTACAGCTCCTGTAAGTATTTGATTGTTTTGGATCTCTCGAGCCTAATAATATATATTAGCCATTTTGTTGTCTCATATTTTTATGGAGGCCTTGGAAAAATTTGACTCAAAATGATACAGTTTAACAAAATAGAAAAGAGTAGTCCAGTCAAGCTAGTATTCGTGATTATTTACTTGAAGACACAACTTTTTGGAATAGTCCCCAAACCAATTTTATCTACACTATCATGAATGTATGCATTCTGGCTTCTCTATCATTTAAAGCTTCTACAATCCCTGTCTTTGTAAAACATCTCTGTTTTAATGTAACCAGTAGTTGGAACCGAGAAAAATATGGTGATCACTTTGGGAGGCCGAGGCAGGTGGATCACGAGGTCAGGAGATCCAGACCATCCTGGCTAACACGGTGAAACCCCATCTCTACTAACAAACAAAAAATTAGCCGGGCGTGGTGGTGGTGGGCCCCTGTAGTCCCAGCTACTCAGGAGGCTGAGGCAGGAGAATGGCGTGAACCAGGGAGGTGGAGCTTGCAATGAGCAGAGATCGCGCCACTGCACTCCAGCCCGGGCGACAGAGTGAGACTCCGTCTCAAAAAAAAAAAAAAAAAAAAAAAAAGATATGGTGATATACTCAGCAACTTTTGTCCAGAGAATCTGCAGGAGCGACAGTGCTGCAATAATTTCCTCAAACGGATGGTGTGCGGTGAGCTGTAACACACAATAGTCCTCAGACTAAACCTTTAGAGAGATAATTACCTGTAAATCAAAGACCACTCTGATTAGACAATAGATACTACTCATTTGTCTCAAAAGAAGTATTTACCATACATATTTGCAAAAAGGAGATTTAACACCATGTGTTTTAATGCATGCCCATATGAAAAGTAAAGTTGGAAAAAAATGCAAATATTAAAACTTGGTGGTTAATCATCAAATTCTATTCATATCATCAGAGGACCTCATTTGGGGCACACACTGGCCTATATGCTTTAGATACAAAGATAATTGTGTTGTAATTTTTTTCTTAGTAAATCTCCCTTAAAATCCTTACGCATACAATGTTATTTTCCCTCTGGAGTGTATTTATTTCTTGGCATTTATTTGGTAACGATTTATTCCTAATCCCACAATCTTCATGTATATATATAAATATATTCCTGAATTTATAAACTTACGTTCTTAAGTACATCCTATTATCCATGTCTTAAACTTTTTCACCATTATGCAGAAATGTATTTTACATTACACCTTAGCACACACACACCCAAACAAATGAAACAAAATGTTAATGAAACAATAATGAACCTTATTATATGTAGTGCTCTCTTTTCTGTTCATCCCCACCCCAATTCTCTCTTTATTTTCTCAGTGCTACATAACCCAGTAAATTTATTTTACAATAGACCAATGAGTCATGAGAAATACTGATTTTGTAACTTAATGACTTTATTTGGGTTTCAGATTTTTCTAAGCTTTCCATTTCTGTTATTAAATATTGCTACTAATTTGATAAAATTATGCTATTCACAGCCTAGATGTCTGTACCCATTGTAGATATAGCTTGATGCTGTAACCAAGTATTGCCTACTTGTGACTCACCTCTCTGCCATTCTTCCACATTCCCCTAGACTTACTCTCCATGCCAGTTATTCACAATCACTCTATCACTGCCCTATCTACTACAAATACGTGAAGTGTCACCTTCTTTTTCTTTCCATCCACACTTATTGGTAGTTGATGTAACACACATGCTAATAAAATATGGAGATCTATATAGATAAACCTTACTTCTAAAGCCATCTTTATAAAGTTTCATTTCTACACTAAGGCTCATTCTTAAGCCTGCCAGAGGGAAAGAACGGCATGATTATCTCTTTACAGCTAGCTGAGAACTTGGTAAAATTAAGTGTCTTAGTTTTGGTTGGTCAGAGATTAGAGAGAAGAGGCAGGGAAATAAAAGAAACAAAACAGATTGTTGTTTAATATTTATTTACTGTTCCTTGGGCCACACTGAGTTAAAGTGAGTACAAACTGCATAGATGCAAGATGATGCAAAACAACATCTTTCAGTTTCCTCAGGCTCCACACAATTTCATTGTCCTTGTTTGCTCTCTAACTGCTTCACTCAATTAGATTATTAAGTAAAGAACAGGTCAGCATTACTTGAGTTGTGGCCCAGGGAGGAGAGGTGTGGGGTTAATCAGCCCCTGTCACCCACCATTTCTTGAAGGCTTTTAAGAAGGTATTACATATACCGGAGGGAAGATGAAGCTTCAGCTCCTGATGGGGAATCAAAGAGCACAGCCAATTGAGTCACCGTGAGAAAGTCATCACTTTGCATGTTGCTGATGTAGCACCTTTAAAAAAAAATCAAGTAAAATGGAAATAACCCATGTTAACATAGAGATTGTTTTATTGTCAAAGGAGAAAATATTTTTTAGTATGTTAGATAATGAGGCATACCCAAACCACATTACACATATTTTTTGAGCTGTTACAAATTTGTTAAAAGTTCTAAGTATCAAAGCACTGAACTAAATATAGCTAGATATAGCTTGATGCTGTATCCAAGTATTGCCTACAGTTTCTCCCTCTTAAGGCGGGAATTTAAAAAAATTTCTCCATTCCTATGGAGAAAAATATTCTTTCTCTCCTTATATAATAACACGCTTCAGACCATCACCAAAGGGACCTTTTCACCTCTTCGGGCCATTCAAACTATGTATGTATAAGTGATTTGGATCACAGTTGATGACATTGTTTCCACTCTGAATGTAAGAGTTGAGTCCATTGCAACTCATCTATAAAACTGTCCTGTATGTGTTTCCAAAGGCATTAGGCCCAGCACCCCTTTATTTGTGACTGCCATCTCAAGTGGCCAGTGGATTATCTCCATACCAACCCTATTGAGACCAGTGGTGCCTGTTAGGGATGGAGAAAAAGAATATTATTTAAAAAAATTGTCCTTCCTGAAGAGGGAGAAACTGTCATTGGACAAATAAGCAGGTCTGCATAAAACAGTTGACAAGACTGCATAGCATGGAATGACATTTTGAGGAACCCAGAGGGAGGAGTACTCTGTTGGGTGAAAGTTGAGTTCAGAAGATGGTTGAGGAAAGTAGAGAGCAGAGTACATGCTGAAGAATAAACCTAAGCTCACACACAGTCACATCACCGAGAATGATGTTTGCCAAAGTATAATCCATAAACTACAGTTCCACAGAATATTGATATAATACATAGGGGAAAAAGGAGTTTGTGGGGAATTATGTTAAAAAGTTAAACAGGTATTTATAATATAAGACTACAGCCTATACTAATGTACCATGTGACTCTCCAAGAGGGTTGTAAAGTATTCATTCAACAACTGATATTTATTGAGCTCCCAGTATGTGCTGGGCAGTCTGGGAAAGGAAGGGAAATGAAATAGACATATGGATGATTTACTGTGGGGGTAGGGAGGCAGGCATATAGATGACAGTCAGCAGTAACATAGTAAGTTGTGTAGCAGAAAAAAAATGTATATATTTTAGAAAATAGAAATAGATCAAAGTAAAAGGAATTGAGAGTGCTAGGGGTTGGGAAGGGGTCAAAGACAGCCTGCATGTATTAAGGAGAGGGGTGCGGGAGGCTGGATTGAGAAGGCAGTATTAGAGCAGGCTTGACATCTGGGAGATGAACATTTCAGACAAAGAATAGGAGAGCCTGGTGTGTTTAAGAAAGGCAAGGAGATCAGTGATTGGAGCTCAAACAGCCAGGAGGAGAGAACTGGGAAGATTGCAGAGTTCTGAAGAGTGGGCTACAGGTCAGGCTGTTGTGACGACTTAGGTTTCTGCTCAGAGCCAATTGGGAGCTGTCGCATGGTTCTGAGAAAGGGGTGACATGATCTATTCCATGTTTAGAAGGATCACACTAGCTACTGTTTTGAGAATAGCCTGAACTACTTTTGCACAGAGTGTCCTGAGGGATTAATGATGTCTTAGAGCATTTTTATGGTGTCCTTGCCAGTGGAGGCTGGGTCTCACCCACCTTTGTGTACTATCCCACCTTTGTATCTTCCAGAGGAAATGGTTAATAATGTGTATTGAATACATGTATAAATACCACTAGATTTAGGTTCATTTGATCACATGACTTTTGTTATGTGGTAAAACCCCACATCTCTAGCCTCTAATTCCTAAATTATTAAAGTTAAAATGTTAGTGTTGAGGTGAAAAGAAATATATTTCTTGACTGGGTTTCCTTAAAAAGCACAAAATCTTGCAGGTGAGTTAATAAGATGCTACACTTTAATTCTACAACTATTTAATCAAACAGATTATTGAATGCCAACAAGATAAACTGCCTTCGGGTAGATGCTTTTCAGGATCTCCACAACTTGAACCTTCTCTCCCTATATGACAACAAGCTTCAGACCATCGCCAAGGGGACCTTTTCACCTCTTCGGGCCATTCAAACTATGTATGTATAAGTGATTTGGATCACTTTTGATGACATTGTTTCCTCTCTGAATGTAAGAGCTGAGTCCATTGCAAGTCATCTATAAAACTGTTCTGTATGTGTTTCCAAAGGCATTTGGCCCAGAACCCCTTTATTTGTGACTGCCATCTCAAGTGGCTAGCGGATTATCTCCATACCAACCCGATTGAGACCAGTGGTGCCCGTTGCACCAGCCCCCGCCGCCTGGCAAACAAAAGAATTGGACAGATCAAAAGCAAGAAATTCCGTTGTTCAGGTAATTTCTTCACGTGTTATTTCCCCTGTGACCAACAACAATGGTTACATGAGACCTAACAAAAGCAGCTGGCCTTCGGCTGATTAGTGAACACTGTAGAATCATATTTCTTTTTCTTCTGCCCATGAATAATAAAATAAAGAGGACTGTAGACCCAATTCAAATAATACTTCTATATGTAACATTTTAACACCATATACAGCAGAAGAAATAGGCAATTGACCAAGTTAAAAAGATGCCTAGATACTTCATAGTACCTTTCCAAAATTCAAACTTAACCAGAGCCTTATAGCTAACTCAGAATACCTTTAAAGTATGTTAAGTCTCATGTTTGTTGAATTGACCAGCCTCAAGTAATTAACTGTGTTTTCATTTCTTCAGAAAGTGAATTGAGACTTGGTTACATGATTTGTTTGGGCTCAGAAGTACAGGGGCGCCAGGAGGGACTCCAGATCCCTTGCTTCTTACTCTGAATGCACTTTCTCAGTTTGCATTCTCTTATTTTGCATACAACCGTGAGGATGCGTTTTTTCCAAAAGCTATTTTTAAAAATATTGTGGGAATATTGCATTTATTTGTAAAAAGCTAAATATGAATGCATTGTATTGATATTAAATGAAAGGCTGCCATCATTCAAATTTACTGTTTGCTTTGATCTAATATTTTCCTTTTTTATGATAGAATATTTTATGTCTTTTTGGTACTATGCTACCTAACTATTCCAGGCGTATTTCACATTCGGCAGTTAATTTCATACTAAAAAGCTAATATAAGAACCAAGCTGGTTATTGTCCATAATTATAGATGCATTTACTACTCACTGTACATTATTGTACTTCAGTCACAGCTGTGAATATACATTTTTCACTTAATTGCAGTAACTTTAGTCCATTCTTAATCTAATATAACTCATATCTCTGCTTGCTGACATTCAGGTGCATCTTCTATTTTTTGTCTCTTTTTTTATTTAGCTAAAGAACAGTATTTCATTCCAGGTAGGTTTTGCTCGGTAGTAGGACTAACTACAGACACCCTTTCCTCACCTTATAAAATATAGCTTCTAAAACTGATATGCATGCTTCTGAAAGTACAGTGGATACTCTATAGATAGATTGACTTATGCATATATCACTTGTAGCTGTTTCCTGAAATCCTGACCTTTGCATGCAGCTTCTGATGTTAAACATATATTATTAAACTCCACCTTTTCTTCTCTTTCTTTTACTTTGGCGCATTATCTAAAATTTCTCACAGTAGCTAAAATGTTTGAAGCTATGGCTTTCTACTTAAATCATTTTCTCTCCTTACATTGTATATCTGATCTTCCAACCTGTTTTTAAAATATAGCTAATTGAGCTGGTTTTAAAGACAGAGATCTTTCTGATGTCAAAGAGCTAGTTCTACATGAAATCAGTTACACACAGAATTTCATTTTCAATCATGAAAATTACTTTTTTATAGATTCTTATATTTAAAAACTGTACTTATTGCTTTACTTTTGCTTCACTGTTTATAGAAAAACAGCAACTCCCTGCTGAATTATATGCAGTTGTTTCTTATTTGTTTATGACTTTACATTCTTCTATATCCAGAATTACAATATAACTCCATAAAAAAGAATATTTATGTGTGATGTGAAAGCATCAGAAGTTCATGGGCACAAAATGCCTTGAATAATTTAGGCAGATGGATAAAATGTTTCTAAGAAAAGTAATCGCAATGTTTTACCACTTCAATCGTAACACTATCAAGACTGATGATTCTAGAACTAGCTCTTTAAAATACGTTTCTTTACTTATTTTTCCTTGCCTGCCAATTGTGTAAAATGCCTCTTGACTTGTTTGTTTTAAACCATTATGTTAAGTATCGATTGGCCACATTCACCGTCTCTTGGGTATATTCTAGACTATAAAAAATTTTAAGAGCTATAGATTAAAAGATATTTCTACAGCGTTAGTGTACAGAGTTAGTCTAACTTTCCATATTTTCTTAAGAAGAACTCTGGGTTTAGTCTCTATTTTAAGGAGATATTTGTTAGCTTGCCATTATTGAATTACAATTTGTATAATTTTATGGATTTAGTAGATTTGGTGATATGACTTATTTTGAGCTTGAATGATCAATAGCATTGTATATTATTATACTGGCTGCATAACAAGTAACATGTTGAAAAGAACAGTTGATTGGCCTTCATTGACAATGTTTAATATTAATTACTTTACCCAATTAAGTGGAAAGTAATCTGATAGCTATTATTTAACCAGAAAAAGCCATATTCTAAACACCAGACTACCTATAGAATAAAACATTAATATGATTTAAATCCTAAAATTATGGCAGTAATGTAATTGGTATCAAATTATTCAAACTATTTCATTTAAATATACTTAATTAATAATTGGTAAGTTTAATATTTCCAATTCACTAAATAAAGAACAAAAGTCAGGTTGTTTTCATATATTCTGATATAGTTTTTCCCTGTTACTGACAGCAGCCAAAATAGGATTTGGAAATTATCTTTTATATCAAATATCATGTCTTAAGTTTCAATTTATGATAATTTAATTTACATTCTTTAAACATGATAATTGTAGAAGCCAGGACTCAAAAGGATCATTTGGGCTTCCTCCCCTTTTTTCCAAAAATTTTAATTAAAATTTGAGTCCACCTAACAAGCCACCATAAAATAAGCATTATTACTGTTCCGTTGAATGCAGATTATTTGAATTGCAAGATATCCAGTGTACCTGTCACTTAGACTTTGTGCACTCTTATTTCATTTTGGAGTGAAGCATAAATCATAAGACACCAGATCCTCAGTAAATATCATGGCATTAACTGCCAAATGTAATGAAACGATTATATTTACCATCGCAAACTTCTTATGAGATTCTGATTCCATTTCCACTAAGACACATTATTTATAAGTTGAAAAGTTCATTAAAAAGTGTACATCACAACATAAGGATTAATCCAAATGTTGTAATGATTGTCCTTGAGGATCTCCATGATTAGTTTTTCATTCACTTTTACGTGTGTACCTCGCTACTACCATTTTATATGGCACTCTACATATTACAGTGATAAAAGAAAATCTGTCTTGCAGAGAGTTCATCTTTTTTTTTTTGGAGATGGAGTCTCGCTGTCTCCCAGGCTGGAGTGCAGTGGCATGATCTCGGCTCACTGCAAGTTCCGCCTCCCGAGTTCATGCCATTCTCCTGCCTCAGCCTCACCGAGTAGCTGGGACTACAGGCGCCCGCAACCATGCCCAGCTAATTTTTTGTATTTTTACTGGAGATGGGTTTTCACCCGTCAGGTGAAATGGTCTTGACTTCCTGACCTTGTGATCCGCCCGCCTTGGCCTCCCGAAGTGCTAGTATTACAGGCGTGAGCCACCACACCCGGCCTTGAGAGTTCATCTTTTAAAGGAATCAAGAACTTAATTTGCACTATGCATCTTTTATTACATTGGTTTTCTTGTGAGACCACCGTGCTTCAAAATATTATTTATAAAATTTTACAAAGCATGACAATTCCCATCACATCATGCTATTTTTTCAATAATTCCCATAATAAAGAAAGAAGGAAGAGAGCTTAGTTTTATAAATATGTATATTAATCTTAATTGGGATTACTCTTTCTTTCCTTCTTGGTGATCTTTACTTTTGCAGGAATTCACCATTTTGGCTGTAAGTAAAAGTGTCTGATCTGAAACATAATACCCTCCCTTTTCAATCCTGATGTACCTTCTTCTAGTCTTGGTCTTTGGCACCTTTTTTTCAAGAAGAAACCACAGATCTTTTGAGCTTCTCTGTTGTCCTTGTAGCTCACCTTCAACTTCTTCCTGGATGTTGTTCCCGAAAGCTGTTGTTTCCATTCTGCAGTTCTGAGGAATGGTGGAGGCACCTTTTCCATATAGCCCCTTCTTTGTGTTTCCAGGAAATCATCGGTAGTAATACTCTTACTGTGGTCATAAACATTCTGCGGGAAGAATGCATGTCATGTAAACAGTATTACGTTTCCAGAACGTCTGTAGCTTTTCTCCTCCTTCCCTCCATTTTCCTCTTGGTCTTACCTTTGGCCTAGTGGTTGGTGTAGTGATAATGTAGCGAGATTTTCTGTTGTGCTTGATCTAACCATGTGGTTGCGAGGTATGAGTAAAACATGGTTCCGTCAAGCACCATGGAACGTCACGCAGCTTTCTACAGCATGACAAGCTGCTGAGGCTTAAATCAGGATTTTCCTGTCTCTTTCTACAAAATCAAAATGAAAAAAGAGGGCTTTTTAGGCATCTCCGAGATTATGTGAGAGGGAGAGAATAGTAAAAAGTCCATAGAAAATTTAAAAGCCTGAGTATATCTATTTGCCTTGAAAGCCCTAATTTACAATGAGATATAGGATCATGTTTATTACTGGATATATTTTCAATTCTTGACTCCGAGAAAAAAAATAAACTTTTTAATAATTAATATCCATTGTGTGACTAGCTGTGAAGTAGGCTAGAATGACTCAGAATTGGATCAGCAGAAAGTACAGCTGTGAAAAGCTCAACTTTATTAATGTTTTCCTGTCATGTGAATCTGGTCACTCTTTTTTCCAGAAAATTCCAAGCCTTTCTTTTAACCTTTCTCCTGACATCCATTGACCAAAATACCCCAAGTTGTCTCCCTGCTACATAATCTATAGTTATCTTACTTTTTTCTTCCTACAAACTAATAAATTTTCTAACCTTTAGACTCAGTATCTTTTTTTTGGTTTGAATTCTCAATAGGTACAGAAGATTATCGATCAAAATTAAGTGGAGACTGCTTTGCGGATCTGGCTTGCCCTGAAAAGTGTCGCTGTGAAGGAACCACAGTAGATTGCTCTAATCAAAAGCTCAACAAAATCCCGGAGCACATTCCCCAGTACACTGCAGAGTTGTAAGTTCATCCCCCAACAAAATTCTGGTTGGGATGGAGGGAATGAAAGCATTAAAGCATAAGAATGTTTGTCTTGCCATTTTTATTATTAATAATTGCATTAATTTTAATTAATATGCATTACATTGGCATAACTCTATTTTGTACAAGAATATATTAGAGGCTACCTTCATTCATCTTTCTAGCCAACCATACGATTAAGTACAGAAACTAATTTATCTCTCAAAATTCAGTAAGCACTTCATACTAATAACAATGGTATTTATTTGATGCTTATTTATTGGGTATTATTTATTCCCAATTTGTTTTCTAAGTACTTAGTTTTTAACGTATTTAATTCTTATAGCAACTAAATAAAGTAGTTTGAGAGCCTCCATTTTCAATCTCTGTAAACTATCAATAGATTCAAGGAGTCTGTCTTACCTAATTTACTACTTCATTGACTTACGGGCAGAAGGATTCAGTGGTTATCAAGTATTAAAGTAGAAAGGATAGCTTTTTCTGAACAATGCAAGAAAAGCTGAAAAGGCAGAATATGATGGTATTTACACTTAACAGCCTTAACATAGGACCTTGCACATACTAAGTGCTAAGGTGTTTGTTGGAGCACTTACAGATTCTATGCCCATGCATGGTTTGCCTTTACTGACTTTATTTATAAGAAGAGGACCTTTAATGTTAGTGTTCTAACAATTCAGGGAAAAAACTAGCAAAACCTCATCATTCTCTAAACATCTTAGCCATGTTTATATATAGCACCATCTGGTATTTGTCATTTACTGCTTTGCAAAGTTCGTTGTCTGTTTGTTTGTATATAATCCTTCCATCTTTAACTAGATTATAGCTCCTTGATGACAGGGATTGTGTGTTATTGTTTATCTCTCACTGTGCCTATACTCATGCCTGTACTTAATTAATTTTTAGCAATTTGAATAACTAAAAATAAAGTAATGCCTTTCAAAGAGTTGACAGAAACCCACTATCTTGTAGTTATAGTGATTTTTTTTTTTTTACTCCTATTAGTTGATGAAGCTATTTCACAGCTCCAGGAATTTTAGAAATGCATGGAGTCCATGCAACCAAGGCCCTGAACTTTATTTTTTATAGACATATAGGGATTTATGCTTATTACCTATAATACTACAAACAAGTGATACCTTCCAGCACAATAGTACTTTTTTTTTTTTTGAGACAGAGTCTCACTATCTCACCCAGGCAGGAGTGCAGTGGCACAATCACAGCTCCCTGTAGCCTTGGCCTCCTGGGCGCAAGGGATCCTCCCACCTCAGTCCCCCACCCCCATCTCCCCAAGAAGCTGGGACCTCAGGCATGCACCACCACACCCAGCTAATTTTGTACTTTTTGTAGAGATGGGATTTTGCCCTGTTGTCCAGGCTGGTCTTGAACTCCTGAGCTCAAGCAATCCTCCTGCCTCTGCCTCTCAAAGTGCCAGGGTTACAGGCATGAGACACTGCCCCTGGCCTAGCACTTTAAATAAGTTTGTTTGTCATGGAGGAATTATAGTGGAAACTAGCCTCCAATTTAGACTTCAGCAAATGTGTGTAATGTAAGAGATTTATAATTTTTTTAATTATATAATAAAATCAGTACTGAGAATAAAATATTTGCAAGTCATGTATCTAATAAGGCACATAATTCAGAATATATACAGAACTCTTATAATTTAGATTAAAAGGTATTTTACTCAGCTAATGAATGGTTAAATTATTCATATTGACCTTTCTCCAAAGAACATATACAAATGTCCAATAAACACATGAAAAACTGCTCAATATCATTAGTTATTAGGGACATTCCAATCAAAACCACAATGAGATACCATTTTAGACCCACTGGAATGGCTAAAAAAAAAAAACAAAAACAAAAAGGGAGAGTAACATAGTGGAAGAAATTGAAACCCTCATACATTGCTGGTCTGAATGTAAAGCTTCTATGGAAATCTTTTTTGCTATTTCTCAAAGAGTTAATCACGATTTACCATGTGATCCAGCAATGCCCCTCCTATGTATATGTCCAAAAAACGACAACATATATCCAGGCAGAAACGTGCACACCATGTTCATAGCAGCATTATTTATAGCCATCAAAGAATGGAAGCAACACAAATGCCTCCTAACTGATAAATGGATAAACAAATGTGTCATGCCTGTGTAATGAAATATCATTCAGTCTTAAAAAATAATGAAGCACTGCCATATGCTACAACAGGAATAAGACATTACACAAAGCAAAAGAAGCCAGACAGAAAAGGCTACATCTTACATGATTCCGTTTATGCAAAATGCCCAGACTAGGAAAATTAGTAAAAGCAAAAAGTAACCTAGTGGTTGCCAAGGACTGTGGGGGAACAGCCACCAGGAGTGACTGGTAGTAAGTATGGGGTTTCTTTTGGGGGTAATGAAAATGTTCTGGAATTAGATAGCAAAGATGGTTCCACAACTGAATTGTATGACTTTTAAAGGGTAAATGTTCTGGCATGTGGTTTGCATTCTAATAAAGCTGTAATTTTTGTTCCAATTGTGAAGCAAACGATTAGGGAAAAAACAGTCTAGAAATCCTTTTTAGTGGGGACGATAGTGGAAAAAATTAGAGAAAATTTGTTCTAGAGATTACTGAGAGCTGGTTTTGATCTTTGTGTTTTTTTTTTTTTACTGTGTGCTTCCTAACATTTTATTTTGATGATTAAAATTTGAATAAAATGAGAAAAAATATCAGTATGTTCCACAAATCTTCTGTGATTTATGTATTTCCTTTTATTTTCCTGGTATCATTAAATAATGTTAGAATTCATTTTGAGAAATCAAATTTAATCCTTTCCTAACTATTGGTAATAAAACTTCTCTATTCCTTCTTTTTTCTTCAGGCGTCTCAATAATAATGAATTTACCGTGTTGGAAGCCACAGGAATCTTTAAGAAACTTCCTCAATTACGTAAAATGTAAGTCACTTGTTAGCTATTTTTTTTATTTCTGTAGCATTTTTTGGGTGTTCATTTCAGTTAAGTTTCTTAGAAAATTAGAAAATACTAAAAATCCTGGGAAATTTCCCTATGATGATGACCTGTAACATGAATTTAGGGTAATCTCTGCAAGGGACTTTTCTGTGTGTTCAGCAGTGTCAATCACATTTTCTGTAGCAGAGCCTAAGCATCTTACTTTAACTCAGACAGCTGGTCTGTTATGTGGCCACAGCAGGAATCCAGCAATCTAAGCACATTAAAATGGGTTCAGTAATGTTTTGTAACTTCCTTTACTATTCCCCAAACCATGCTGTTATTTTTTTTTTCATGTCAACTATTGGACTTTTTTGCTTCATTAAACTTTCATTAGAAGATAGTCAAAATTAATGATTGGTAAACTGGCTTGATAGCTCATCTGTGTTACTACATGTCCACAACTCATATTTTAAAATAAGTTCATAAGCTCAGCAGTTTCAGCAACACTCAGTGGGTTACTCCATGCCCCTGGGGAGGTGTGACGGGGAGACAGGACATAGGTCAATAGCATGGGACCAATGGAGCGCCCTCACACATGCAGAAACATCAGCATCAGCTCACTTTAGCTGTGTGTCCATATATGTAACTGGCCCATAGTCACATAGACTGTAAGTTACCGAACAGACTACTTGTACAGATGGCATCCATATTAGCCTACCTCCCAAATGGTTTCTGATATCTTAATTGCCCTCCTTTTTCACTGTTATGAAATGTACTTTCTTTTTAGCCATAAGATGATTTCCCATGCAACAAATATTTATTAAGAAGCTACTGTGTGCAATTCTCTCAGAGAAATTAAAATATGCATAAAAATGATCCTTGTTTGGGAGACACTCCTGGTCTTGGAGTGATCAGTGAGAAAGAGAAAGAAAAAGCCTATAAACAGTTGACCTCAACTAGATACTCTTGCCTTCTGGCAAGCATTGTAGTAGTTGGTATCATACGTAGTACTGACAGTTAATTTGGTTGTTTCAACACATTATTACATGAGACATTCTTCTGGGAATAAACCCATATTCAAATACATTCCTGATGCTATATATAAAACACTAACACATTTTAGCCCATCTATCTCCACCTAGTTGCCTTCTTTTAGTCATTAACATTTGACAATTTTAATCAGGGACTTTTTTTGAAAAGTTTCTTGTTAGGTTTTATAGATGGCATAAAGGTTTGTGTAACCCAATACCTGACCTCAAGAATTTTATACTCCTGGAGACCCTTGGAGAGTATGACATGAGTCACGCTGGCATTTTTTACCACAGACATTCCCTGTTAGTATTATTGTCCCTTTGTCTTGATGGTGTAAGGAAGTGGAATCTTTTCAGAGCCCTGGCAGTGCTGGGCAGTGAAAAGTTGGAAAACTTGGATCATTAGAAGAAAATTATCAACTATGTTTCAATTCCCACCTTGTTAGAAATTATTTAAAACCTTTGTTCCAACAATTTTTATTTAGAAACTTTAGCAACAATAAGATCACAGATATTGAGGAGGGAGCATTTGAAGGAGCATCTGGTGTAAATGAAATACTTCTTACGAGTAATCGTTTGGAAAATGTGCAGCATAAGATGTTCAAGGGATTGGAAAGCCTCAAAACTTTGTAAGTATTTGTACTTGCATTGCAGTTCTTCTACCAAAGGATTGCAGCTCATTGTTCATTATAATCCTGGGAGAGAGAAACACCTACTTTTACCCACCCCACTCCCTCTATCTCTTTCACATTCTCTGTTACACACACATACACACCGCTACACACACACACATGTATTGTGAATTCAGATGGTCCCTTACCCCAATATTCCTGCCTTCGATGTGTGTTACACACACACACACACACACACGTATTGTGAATGCAAATGGTCCTTTACCCCAATATTCCTGCCTTCGATGTGTTCATAGCAGATGATCAGGAGCGTCCCCCATGGCTTCTGTCTCTTCTACAAAATAGATCATCCTTGTTCCAGTGCTTATATGGATCTGACTACCCTGTCCTGCCTCAAAATGGTCATTTTATTTCTTTGTCTTCAAACACCTCTCTATACTATACTTCTTCTTGGCCCAATGACTGTAAGCTTTAGAATCCCCTTGAATCTCTGCAGTAGAATAATTCTAACAGCTTATCTGGAGACTACTGTTTTTTGCCCCTGCAAGGTCTCAGTGTAAAAGAAAGACAGGCTGGTGATACATCTTCCACTGTTTTTTCAAAGAAAACATGCTAAGAGTTATGTCTACTTGCTCAGGGGTAGGGTGTTTGGGGGAAAAAATTATATATGTTTCCAAAGAGTTGTTGTCCAAGAAATATGGGGATTAGATTGAGGTATTTCAATCAAACATACTTACAACACTTTTGTATTACTTGAATTTTTCATGTGGCATACAAACACGCATATACACACATATACATTGTATCTAAAAAGTATATAATTATGTTTGACAAAAGTGGTAGCCTAAAAATTGGAAGAAAGACAAACCAAACTCTGAAGCCTTTAGAAGGCAGAAAGGAAAATATTTGTAACCAAGAAGCAGTCCTTGGTGATTGTAGTGGGGAGTCTGTCTCCCTCAAACCCACGATCCTGCCCCGCACAGCCTGTGAGAGCCATGTATGACCAGTGGGCTGAAGGCTGAGTCCATTGTCTGCTCTTTATCAGATACGGAGGGAGAAGGGCATTCCCACAGCCAGCAAGATGTGTTTATAGCATCCCAAATTCAAATCCCCACCCGCAAAGCCCTCCCTGCACCTAAGAGCAGAAGTGCATTCCTTGAGTTTTGCAGGAATAGCCTGAAACCTGACCACCCAGCAGGACCAGTCTGGGACCTGCTGACCCATCCCAAGGGCTAACTTGGTGCCCTTTCAAAATGATAGGCAAACATTCACTCAGCCTTGTGATGAAAGAGATACTGAGGACTGGGCGCGGTGGCTCATGCCTGTAATCCCAGCACTTTGGGAGGCCAAGGTGGGCAGATCACGAGGTCAGGAGTTCAAGACCAGCCTGGCCAATATGATGACATCCGGTCTCTACTACAAATACAAAAATTAGCCAGTCATGGTGGTACATGCCTGTAGTCCCAGCTACTCGGGAGGCTGAGGCAGAAGAATCGCTTGATCCCGGGAGGCGGAGATTGCAGTGAGCCGAGATTGCTCCACTACACTCCAGCCTGGGTGACATAGTGAGATTCTGTCTCATAAAAAAGAAAAGAAAAGAAAGATACTGAGGAATGTGTAGGAAGAGGATAGAAAAGAGACCACAGGCGGCTGCATCTAACCTTTTCCAGAGTTGTCTCAGGTAAAATACAAATATTATAACAAGCAGAAGGCTCCCTTTTCAAACAGCAGTTAAAAGGCTTTCTTGATACTGGAACCTTCTCCTGGCAGGGAAGTACCTTGGAGTGGGAGGAAGGCGGTAGGCTGTAACTCCACCTGTATGCATGTCTTCAGGCGGCCATAATGAGCTTCCACAGACTGGATTGCTTACACAACAGAAACTGATTTTCTCATCATTCTGGAGGCTAGAAGTTCAAGATGGAAGTGCTGACAGGGTGGGTTTCTGATGAGGCCTCGCTTCTGGGCTTGTAAACAGTCACCTTCTCACTGTTTCTTCAAATGAGTTTTCTTCTATCTGCTCATAGGGAGAGAGAATGAGCTGCCTGGTATCATTTTCTTCTTGTAAGGATGGCAGTCCGTCAGGATGGGATCCACACAATCTCACTCAACCTCAATCACCTCCCTAAAGTCCCTCTTTCCAAATATACGTATGTTCTGATAAATGTGTCATTAGGCAACGTTGCCATTGTGCGAACATCCTAGAGTGGACTTACACAAACCTAGATGATATGGCCTACCACATACCTAGGCTATATGGCACAGCCTATTGCTCCTGGGCTACAAACCTGTGCAGCATGTTACTGTACTGAATACTGTAGGCAATTGTTACTAACACAATGTAAAGTATTTGTGTATCTAAACATACTAAACAGAAAAGAGCAATAAAAAAGATGGTACAAAATATTTAAAATACTTCACCTGTGTAGGGCACTTAACAAGAATGGAGCTTGCAGAACTGGAAGTTTCTCTGGGTGAGTGAATGAGTGAGTGGTGAGTGAACGTGAGGGCATAAGACATTACTGTACACTAACATAGGCTTTATAAACACTGTACACGGCCTGGCACGGAGGCTCACACCTGTAATTCCAGCACTTTGGGAGGCCAAGGCGGGTGGATTACTTGAGGTCAGGAGTTCCAGGACCAGCCTGGCCAATATGGTGAAACCCCATCTCTACTAAAAAATACAAAAATTAGCCGGGCATAGTGGCAGGCACTTGTAATCCCAGCTACTTGGGAGGCTGAGACAGAAGAATTGCTTGAACCCGGGAGGCGGAGGTTGCAGTGAGCAGAGATCGCACCATTGCCCTCCAGCCTGGGTGACAAGAGTGAAACTCTGTCGCAAAAAAAAAAAAAAAAAAAAACAAAAACCACTGTACAACTGTACACTTAGGCTTCACTAAATTTATTTTTTAAATGTATTTCTTCAGTAATAAATTAAGGTTAGCTTACTGTGACTTTTTTACTTTATGAACTTTTTAATGTTTTAACTTTTTTTACTCTTTTGTAATAACACTTAGCTTAAACACATTGTTCAGCTGTATAAATTTTTTTACTCTTATATTTATATAAGAATTTTTTATTTTCTATTATTCTTTTCTTTATTCTTTTCTGTTTTTTAAATTGTTTGATTTACTTACTTTTGCATTTTTAAACTGTTTTGTTAAAAACTAAGAAACAAACACATACATTAGCCTAGGCCTGCCCAGTGTCAGGATAATCAATATATCAATATTACTGTCATCTCCCTCCACACCTTGTCCCAGTGGAAGGTCTTCAGGGGCAATAACATGCAAGGAGCTATCATCTCCTAGGATAGCAATACCTTCTTCTGGAATACCTCCGGAAGGACCTGCCTGAGGCTGTTTTATAGTTAACTTTTTGTTAATAAGTAGAAGTACACTCTAAAATAACAATAGTATAGTAAATACATAAACCAATAATATAGTTGTTTATTGTCATTATGGAGTATTATGTGCTGTACATAAGTGTTTGCTATACTTTTATACAACTGGCAGCACGGTAGGTTTATTTACACCAGTATCACCACAAACATGAGTAGTGTGTTGGGCTATGGCATTATGATGGCCATGACATCTCGAGGCAATAGGAAATTTTCAGCTTCCTTGCAATCTTATTGGACAACTTTTGTATAGCTCTGCTTGACCAAAATATTGTTCTATGGTGCATGACTGTACAGTCACATTTGGGGGTTAGGGCTTCAAAATACGAATTTGAGGGGGACACAGTTGAACCCGAAACACCACCTCAAGGAACTTATATCAAAGTATTTCTTCTTGTTTTGTTTTTCATTCACAGGACTCTCCCTGTGAAAAGTTATCTAAATTCCACTTTCTCCTTTCATTGTATTTCTGTGGATGTTTTTGAAGTGCTTACATTTTAGCACCTGAGACAGATATTCACGGACTCCCTCCTTAATCTAGTTAGGTTTCAACAAGCGTCATAGAGCATTTTAGAACCAAACTCAGGGTAGTTAATCCTAGAATAGTTTTATCTGAACATACCTATTCTTGGTGTCTTTTGTCTTGGAGCTATGAAGATTTTGAGAGCACATTTCCATTCCCCCTAGGCTTCTTAACCCTAATAGGCCACTTACTAATTCATATACATATTTCAGCCAGTCATTGAATTCCTTGACATTGCAGGTGAAATTTGTGCATATGTGTGCTTATGGATTTTTCTAGCAACAGAGATCAAACTTTTCTCTTTTTTAAAATTTTTATCTATTTATTTATTTATTTGAGACGGAGTCTCGCTCTGTCGCCCAGGCTGGAGTGCTGTGATGCTATCTCAGCTCACTGCAAGCTCCACCTCCCGGGTTCACGCCAGTCTCCTGCCTCAGCCTCCTGAGTAGCTGGGACTACAGGTGCCCGCCACCACGCTAGGCTAATTTTTTTGTATTTTTAGTAGAGACCAGGTTTCACTGTGTTAGCCAGGATGGTCTTGATCTCCTGACCTCGTGATCCGCCCGCCTCGGCCTCCCAAAGTCCTGGGATTACAGGCATGAGCCACTGGACCTGGCGCTCAAACTTGTCTTCAACTTCCCCCAGGGGCATGTGACTCCAGCAAGATTAAGACCCAGTGCTCTTCATCATTTATGACAAAGGAAAGCACTGATAGGAATGCTTTTCTGTAGTGCATTTGTTTTCTAACATAAAACGATCCCTTCATAAGGAGAGCATCATCTTATCTGTGACTTCGCAGAATGCAAACGTTTATATTTCTTATTTATTATAGGGCAACCTAGAATTTTAAAGTGACACTTTGTTTCTTTATTTTTACCTCTCTTTTTCACATTCTTCAATATTTTAGTAGCCAACTTATGTTTAGAAAAATTAAGGAATAATTTAATTTTTCAGGAATTCTGAATACGATTTATGGCAACTATTCATATACTCATAACTATTTTCACATGGGACTTTGAGCTTTTTGTTCAGTTTTTAAGCCAGACAAATAAATAATTAGCAAAGAATTGATAATTGAGCCAAAACTTTAGCAGTAACAAGGAAATGACAATAGTGTTAATCCTATAATGACAATGACTAAAAAAAAAAAAAAAAAGGTATTTTTTCATGGTAAACCTTTTAAAACTTTATTGTGGATATGGGATCTGTTACCGTTGCCTCTTTTTAAGTTCTCAATTTAAAACAATGAGCTAATTTTCATAAATAAAATTATTCGTGTAGTCTTTGTGGATATTCTGTCCATTTTGGCGCCCCTGGACCATGTTTGACATTGACTCAGTGTGTAAGTCCCTGAGATGCCCTCAGTTCTTCATCTGCAGTGGCTATTGATTCTTTTCTGCCTCCCTTCTGTTCAACCTCAAATGTAATACTACCCTGAATACACAAATCACAGGGCTCCGAGGACTCAGAGAGCTGTAGGTGAATTAGGACATTATGCAATCACGCAAACATAATTGTAGCATCAAAGGAAAACATTCTTCCCTCATCATGGGATTATAAATCCATGCCTAGACTCACCGTGCCTTTTGTAACTGAGATTAATCATTGGCAACTCAAAGCATTTTATTCTTGCAAGATATTCCCAGTATATATTCATAGCAATATCTAATAGCAAGAGAACATTTTTAAAAAGTAGTAATGAATGCTACATATTTGCAAGGATCATTTCGATCCTCAGATAGGCAAAATTGATTGCCTGATGCTTTGTCTCCATAACAATGTCCTTTTTTTCCCCTCAGGATGTTGAGAAGCAATCGAATAACCTGTGTGGGGAATGACAGTTTCATAGGACTCAGTTCTGTGCGTTTGCTTTCTTTGTATGATAATCAAATTACTACAGTTGCACCAGGGGCATTTGATACTCTCCATTCTTTATCTACTCTGTAAGTATGAAAAATAGCCCTTATGTATTACTTGAGCCATTTATTATATTTGTTAATGTATTTAATATATTATTAAGCATTTCATTAAAATGTGATCAAGGGTTTTAGGACTTAAAAAAGGACAAACTTGTTCACATCAAATTTATTTAAATTTTTTAAAAAATATTACCTACTATCTTAGATTAAATTTTAACAAAAAATTATAGTATTGTTCAGTGAATTATTTTTCATAGTGATATGATCAATAATGTAGCTTAATTCCAAATTTTAGAATTATTATAACTTGATAGTGCTGCATATAAAAGAAATGTTATAGATTTTTGCCAGTGTTCTCACATTGGAGTATTTTCAGTATAAGTATTATAAAAGGAGAATTGATAGAGTTATTGCCAACAAACTTGCTCAAAAGGATCAGCTGGGCACAGTGGCTCACGTCTGTAATTCCAGCACTTTGGGAGGTTGAGGCGGGCGGATTACTTGATCAAGGTCAGGCGTTCGAGACCAGCCTGGCCAACATGGCGAATCCCTGTGTTTACTAAAAATACAAAAAAAAATTAACCAGGCATGGTGACAGGTGCCTGTAGTCCCAGCTACTCGGGAGGGTGAGGCAGGAGAATTGCTTGAACTGGGGAGGCGGAGGTGGCAGTGATCCAAGATCGCATCACTGCACTCCAGCCTGTATGACAGAGCGAGACTCCATCTCAAGGAAAAAAAAAAAAAGAATCATTTGAAATGACAGTAGATATATTAGGATGACCAGATCAAAAATAAAAGCTGTTTACTAGAGGGGGTCTACTATGATATTAGCAAAATATTGAAGAAATAGGTTGAGCTGATCCAAGAGAATATTTTTTGTAGACAGCTTAAAAATAAAGAGTATTTGTAGGCCTATAGACAGAATTCAAGAAAAGTAAATAAATAAATAAATAAAATTTAAAAGTAAAAAAAGCCACACACCTCCAAACAATGTATTTCAGGTCTCTTATATGTCAGTATCTAAAAAGCAGCATTTGAAATTATTAATTATCTAACTGATAAGATTTCTCAGTAACGGTGGCATGCAAATCTACTAATCTAACTTAAAAGGAGGGGAATAAAGATAGAGAAAAAAGTTCATAGCTCAAGTCAGTGAAGAAATAATTTGAGAGAAGCATCCATCCATCAGGAAAGTACTTAATCCTCTTTTTGCATAAAATGTGACATTTTACATCGAGTGGCTAATTTGCACATATTAAAGATGGCATGTTTATAAATAATGAGATTGTCAATAGGTTTATGCTGAAGTGGTGAGATGCCAGAAGTATTGAAATTTGTAGAAGTAAATTCATTTTTATAACTGGCATTTAATCAACTCAGCTGTCAGTTTAGATGGGAAACCTATTCTCTAGAGCAAATAAGAGATGGAAATCTTGAGATGACAAATTAATGAATTAGCTGTTGTCAGGTTAAACTCAATAATATAAGGTAATCAGCCTTCATCTTTATATTAAATTACTGCATTATCAGTGCGAAGTTTGACAGCAAGTCAGATTTCTGACAAGTTTAAATTATTTCTAAATGAAATATCTATCAGGATCCACTGTATAAACCCCAAATTCTACCTTACCTTATTTTTTGCATGAAATCATGTGAAGAATTACCTTATGTAAAAGTGTTGTTACTGCTTAAGTTCCAAGCATAAATATTTTATCAAAAAAAAAATGCATCTCATATACTGCATGTGATTCTGAGTAAGAATGGGGACAGGGAATGCAAAGAAGAAGGAATCATTCCAGCGGAAATAGCGTGGAGAAGGGTAGCTGGGGTTTAGAGAAGGAAGAAGATGAAACCCCAGGCTAAACTGTGCATCGTTTGCCTGTGGCTCTTAGAAACCTCTTGGCCAATCCTTTTAACTGTAACTGCTACCTGGCTTGGTTGGGAGAGTGGCTGAGAAAGAAGAGAATTGTCACGGGAAATCCTAGATGTCAAAAACCATACTTCCTGAAAGAAATACCCATCCAGGATGTGGCCATTCAGGACTTCACTTGTGATGACGGTAAGAAATACTTATCAACTCTTTGATTGTCAGGCATTCACATGCCTGTTCTGATGCAGCTTTGCACAAATCTACAGCATAGTTCAGCTCAGCAAATAATGATCGTGTATCTTTTGCTTTGTCGTTTGGGTTTTGTTTTAGTGCCAGGACACTTACTTTCTTAGACTTGCCTTCCACATTTGAGTCTACTTGATGTGCATTTCTGAATGTTTTAGATTTTCTAGTTTCCAACTTGTGGTTGGTCTTACTTATATAGCTTCATTTTAACTTTTCTTTATTACCCTAGGCATGTTTTTTAGTACCTACCATTTTCAAAGGAGAAAAGAAATTAACTTACAGAAGTTTTAGTAAATCTGACAAAAATACTAGTTGTCACTTTTTAATGCTCTTTCTATATCATCACATTTGATTCTCATATAGCCCTATCAGGTACATAGAACAAGTTCTATTATTATTGCCAATGAACAGAGAGCTAATTTGAGCTTTATAAATGAGGAACCTAAACTTTTAAGTTAATATATTCCCTTATGTCTCTTCATATCTGTTTCCGTGCCGTTTCTCTGTAATTCACTTTGCATTTACATATTGTAATTAAAAATATAATTTGTACAAATAACTATTTTCCATTGTATTGGTAATTGTAATTACAGTTTACAAATTGCAAGCCATTTTCCAGAATTCTTCCCTAGGCAGTCTGAAAACAGTGCTATATAGAACTTACGGTATCAATTAGTAAATACTGAATGTCCCGCAAATAAATGATTATGTAGCTTAAGACTCTTGTGTTTGTTAAGTTAATTTAAAGGCATAAAATCCCTTCTAGCACCTTCAAGACCACAAATCTTGGTTTTCCTGTATTTCCTCTGCGATTTAGGAAATGATGACAATAGTTGCTCCCCACTTTCTCGCTGTCCTACTGAATGTACTTGCTTGGATACAGTCGTCCGATGTAGCAACAAGGGTTTGAAGGTCTTGCCGAAAGGTATTCCAAGAGATGTCACAGAGTTGTAAGTAGAGCTTGTCTTTCTTTTCTTTTCTTTTTCCTTGATGATAAATGTTTCATACACCCAGAGGAATGGACAAAAATCTTTACAATCTTCTTTACAAATCATATTCTAAGGCCAGTTAATTATTATCCTGTAAAATGGTAAATAAGTAATGCAAAAGCTACTTTAGAGGCCCTTGGGAATTGCTGTGTGTGTGTGTGTGTGTGTGTGTGTGTGTGTGTGTGTGTGTGTGTGTGCGCTATAAGATTTCTCAGTGCCTTTACTATGCTAAAGTGTACTATGACTCTTCAAGAAACAATGGTAAAATATAAGGTATCTTTCACATTTATTTGTTCCTATACCCCTTTTCTCATGGAGCATCTTACAAGACTAATGGCCCATGGAATGCACTTTGGGAAATGCTTTATATTTCATTTACTTACAGTCTAGGATATTCTGTACAGGAAACTTTTTTTTTTACCTCTGTGACCCCTAGGAGAAAATTTTACCACATGGGATAAATAACTATCTGGTATATGGAAGAAACTAGCATAATCTCTTCCCTTAAGAAGAGATGCTGCTTTTGGAGGCTTGAATCAAAGTCCTTTAGATCCTAAAGGGTATGGGACCAATTATCCTTGACATTTTCATAACTGATATTTAACCACAAATTATATGGCCAGGATATACACATCTCGACCTTCTTCTGCACTGCCCACGCTCCCTTGGCTGCCTCATGCTACAGTTGCAGAATGGAATTCATTAGAGAATATGCTGCCAGAATAATGATGCTTCCATGCCCCATTCATTCCATTCCTTTGTCTCTAAACTGTCATATTCTGGATATGCTTGTTCTGAATACAATTGAGTCACTTTGCCTGTTTATTTTTTATCTATGTGGAACTATGGATCAATAATGATTTAAACCCAAATGTAATTTATGCAGATGTGTATCAGTTATTTGTGCAGATGCACACACATATTCCAAATGAGCAGGTTTGACAAACTTTTGACAGTGTGCAACATAGGTAATGAGGTTCAAGGGCATGTCATTTCAATTTTTAAGGATCTTATTTTCAAATCACATGCAATTCTTTAAACCCTAAGTTTGATCCTGAATAGAACACTTAGAGGAAAAAGGCACAAACTTAGCACATGTGCTTAGAACACGGCTCTTAGATTTGAACTGCTGTTAAGTGCTTAGGTCCTCTCTCACTACCAATCACATTGGTTAATCAACTGGAAGGACTATTTTATATGTATATGTGTGTAATTAAATATTTAATTCTTATAGTAATGTTTTTTATTTCAGAAGATCACATAGGGATATTCCGAAACCCTCCTCTGTGGGAAAGCTAGATGCCTATAGAATATTCTGTGTCCACAGGATGGGGAACATCACACACCGGGGCCTGTCTTGGTGTGGGGGGATGGGGGAGGGATAGCATTAGGAGAAATACCTAATGTAAATGGCAAGTTAGTGGGTGCAGCAAACCAGCATGGCACATGTATACATACGTAACAAACCTGCATGTTGTGCACATGTACCCTAGAATTTAAAGTATAGTAAAAAAATAAAATATAAAGCAGAGATAGTTAAAATAAAAAATAAAAAAAGAATATTCTGTGTCCAAAGCATTAATTTTAGGAGTACACCAATGAAGAACTTACACTCAGACCACCTTTGATGCTAAATCCCTTCTTCTACAATTTTAACTGGACTATGTATTGGTCACTTTACTCTATTCCCATTAAATAACTTTAAACATTTCTTACTAAGCTCCATTGGACATCCTGCTTGGTGCATACCCTGTGCTATCTACAGCATATTTCAACTATTCAAAAAGTTGAATTTTCAATCTATTTTACTACAAATTATTAAAAAGTAGTCTTTTTTTCCAAAGAAAGTTTGTCATAGAGATGAGAAAAATATTAGCTTATCTGTTTTGAATTCAAGTTTTACCCCCTGGAGAGCTTATTCTTGTAACCTTACCAAGTCAGCAGAATCCTTCTTAGCAGTAACATATATGCATGTATTAGAAGAATTTCATATGTGTATTACATTAAATAATTAAAGACTTTGGCAAAAATTAGTATTATTGGTGGACTAGTTTTAACAAATGGTATCCATTATTTTTAATCAGTTCCATATAACTTCCGCCTTAGATTATTTTACATATAAACATTCATAGCGCACATTCTGAATCTTGACCTTCTGCTGTGTTTTCTGGAATAAAGGGAGAGTGCTGAACTATATAGGGTGATGCTTCCCTCTAGTGGTATCAAGAAAAACTTAGGTAGAGGAAAGAAAAAAATGGAGAGGGGTCGAAGAAGAAATATCAAGTCAGAAAATTTAGGTAGACATGATGAGTCATAACATAGACCCAATTATTTATCAAACATTAATTATATTTTCTGATAACTGGTGCCTTTTATATCATTGTTTTTATTTTGAAATATTGGGAATAAATTATCATCTTAGACAACTTCTCAGCTATTTCTATATCCAGAAAAAATACCAACTTCAACCTGGAATCTTGAAATGGACCACAACATTGGGGTAGGAACGGCCACATGTTTAATGTCCCAGAAGTGTCTGTGGGCACATGTATAGCCAGATGGCCCCAGTTTCTGAATGACATTTGCACCCTTCACCATCTACGTTCTAGGAAAAACAGCCTTGGAAGGAGATGAAATTTATTTTCCTTATTGTGACATAATAGATATAACTTCAGGCATTCGATTATCTCTCTGTCCTGCCAGTTAGCCCAAAACCTATTTTCTGATTATTCTTCTGACTCTAATAAGAAGGGAAAGTTTACTTATATATGGTTATTTGATTATTGCTGTTACATATATATATATATATATATTTATACACTTCATCAATTTATATTCTATAAAATCTCCTAATGTTATCATCACCAAGAAGATATATGCTGGTTACAACTATTTTTAAACTTAAACCTAATATGTTCAAATCCGCAAATATGCCTTTAATGTGTCCATTGTTATTCACTAAGTGTATTGACACATATTAAGGCAGCAATGAGTGGTCTTGGCCACAGCAGCAAGGTTTTGTTACTAGTTAATGAATTTCATGGTATTGTGTCCACATAAACACAAGCAAACTGAAGGCTGACTAAAAGTACGGTTAATTGAATGAATCTCCTTGCTTGCACACAGATGGCTAAATGCTGGGCTTGCCTTGTTAGATAAACCACAAAGAACTGGACTCGTGGACAACTCTGCTTTTTTTTTTTCTTTACTTCTCTTAAATAATAATCCATGCTTGGAACACGACATCTTAAAGCAAAAATTGCCAAGGGGTTCCTTGCCTCAGTTAAGAGTGAAGTACTGTTTACTTATTTTATTCAAGGCCACCATTACTTTGTAAGAAGATAATATTGTTCCATTGTTTTTAGGTATCTGGATGGAAACCAATTTACACTGGTTCCCAAGGAACTCTCCAACTACAAACATTTAACACTTATGTGAGTAACATATTGCACTTTTCTTTGACTTACTCTATTTCCAGAAAATGGGGATGGCAAGGGACAGAAGATTTAGTGAACCTTCCAGATAATACAAATCATTCACAGTTAGATGCTTCCCTCCTTGCTCATTGCGGTTCTGGACCCCTGGCTACATCTTCATTGAATATCGATCAGGCGATGGAGTGTCTTAGCAAGAGGTCCTCCTCTATTCAAAAAAGCACAAATACAACGAAGTCTGAGTAGTCAGAGAATTATGAAAATGTATAAACCTGCAGATTTTTATTGATAATGAATATGGGTTATTTTATGACAAACTAAGGAAGGAAAGATAGAAAACGATGCCTTTATTCTTGACTTTAAGCGAAAGATGGTAGGTGGTAATGACTTTCCCAAAAATGTAAATGTAGTTTATTATGTTTGTTTCTTATACAAAGCATTGTTAAATAAGTTATGGGTTTCCAGTATTAAAATGTATTTTAGAAAATCCATATATATTCATGTAGTGTTTAAGTAAACTTGACAAAGATACTAACATTTTGAGTATAAATTTCAAAATTTTGATTTTTTAGCTTAAAATAACATCTCTTTTTTTATTAATGTAAACAACCTTTGACAACCCTTAAGTTGTAAATACAAGAAGATATTTAAATATACAAACATTTGATCTAGTTACATGCACAATGTTTAAAAATTGATATAATCTTTTACATATAATACTATACTTTTAAAGTAGCCTTATTGGTAATTGAGAAAACTTTTCAGAACACAAAAAATCAGGAAAAAGATAGTAGATATTAATAGAAAGTACCGTATCATTTGTTTAAGTCTATCTAATTTTAGAGTAAATATTACTAGCGTAAGAAGCAGATTACTGGTTAACGAATTAGAAGGTTTATTTCTAAGTGAATTCTACAAACCTAAGTAGCAAAAAATATTACATGCCCCAATGTAAACTAGGTACATTGAAGCTAGTTAAAATTGCTGCTGATCACTTTCCTTGAAAGTATGGGTAAATCAAACACTTTATAGAAAGTAAATAGGAGTATTTAAATGACAAATGATTAAACAATGGAAAAAGATATCCTCTAAGATGTCTTGTTCTGCTTCTAGTTATTTATTTGATAGCAGCAAGAACTGATTACATACATTTTGTTCTGTTAAATAAACCATTAAATTGCTGCAATTTCCAAAGGGTCACTTTAGCAGAATTGGGTCATTTGTGGGACAGCATGTGATTACTTTCAAGCCAGCTCGAAATGACAAATGAGGATTTGTGGATCCAAAAATGGTTTTACTAGTGACTCATGATACAACTCTAGGCAAGTTACTTCTGCTAATACAGATACTTTTATTTTTAAAATTTAGGAATAGTTCTTCAGCAGTTAAAAATATGAGTATAAAGCTCCTCTCAGATTCTTAACATTTTCACAATTTCATGGGTCCATTTTACTGACATTTTGATATTTTAATAAAGGAATAGATTATCCTCGGTTTTTCTGAATCTTCCATTTATTCATATATTTTGCATTTTGCTTCAGAAAAAAATTAGTGAATATATTTAGTTATTATAAATGGTGAATATATATTAGTATTACATATTGTATATATATTTTAATATATTTTTTACATATATAGTGTGTGTATATATACACTATATATATAATGAGAATAAGATCAAGTTCATGAAATGTAAATTACGACCCATAGTACAAACTATACATATAAGTAGCCATTTAACATTGGTAAAAATTCAACGTCTCTCCCATTTACTTAACATTCATTAAACAAATATTTATTGAGGACCTACTGTGTGACCATGACTCAGCCAGGGGCAGGAGCACAGACGTTTTTATTGATGACATTTTGAATGTAATTAATCAGGGGTTCTTTCAGTGATCAAATTTGAGTCTGTGTATCAGTGAACATATGTATCAATGAGGGTAAAGTATGTGTATCTGATAGGACTTTTGAAGATAAGGGTTTATTTCCCACCGGCAAAATTTTGTCTATCGCAAGTCACCTCCAAGGAAGCTCCCTGTAAAATATCAAAAGCCTTATGGAGATGGGCGCAGAGGGATAAGGGCAAATAAACTCTGCTCTGAAGCTGCTGCTTTGAAGTGAACCAACCCCTTGCACGTACACTACATTGGCTAAAGCAATGCATATATATATAATCACTCCTAATTTCAAAACAGTGAGGTGTAAATAATCATGAATAACATTGCAATCTACTCCAGTGGGTCGTTCACTGTTTTATTGTTTTCAGATAACAGCTGAATGCTAACAATACTGCTATGACTATAAGAAGACCCTTCTCCTTCTAAGAATCACTAATATTTTCATTTCTGTGGTTAATAGTGTACTCCATTTCTTTTTCTCTTTTAGAGACTTAAGTAACAACAGAATAAGCACGCTTTCTAATCAGAGCTTCAGCAACATGACCCAGCTCCTCACCTTGTGAGTGTGAAAGTGTGGTACTGAGTATTCATTAATTCAATGGACAAAAGGCAGTCTCTAGATGCTGGACATTGCTATTGAACAAGACAGTCTCTACCCTCAAGGAATGTTTCTATTGGGAGAAACAGACAAAACCACGATACGTGAACAATGTAGACATTAGGAAAAGTATTGCGTTCTATTAAAAAAAACAAAGAATAATTTGTGTTTGTGGGGGGCTTAGGGGAGATCCCTAAGATAGGGAAAATCCACCTTAGGGAAGGGACGGCTGACGCACCAAAGTTGGGCAGGAGTAGGCAGCGGGAAGCATTCTAGGTTGTATTTAGGAAATAAGTATGTTGTGTTAGGGAGACAACACACAAAAAATAACAATATATTGTGTGTTAACACTATCAGTTAATAAGATGCTTTAATAAGCCTTAACTGCTTTATTTTTGGAAGTATTTGGCCATTTTTGGATTTCTGAATAAAACAAATTGACATATGTATGCTTTCAGAATTCTTAGTTACAACCGTCTGAGATGTATTCCTCCTCGCACCTTTGATGGATTAAAGTCTCTTCGATTACTGTAAGCATCTTGTGTTCAACAGAATATCTCTTTTCTCAGAGATCTGAGTTTGGGGTTGTCTTTTTAAGGATGTAACTGCTTTGTTGATTCTTGGTGCTTGAAGATACATGCATTAGGATTTATTATAAATTAGGAAATAGAAAAATCATTTCTTACAGTATCATTGTCCAACAGCTTTGCTTTGGACAATATAACTTCCTTTTTAGTAATACTGATTGTTGTTATAGTCATTTATTTGATTATATGTAACATTAAGACATATGGTTTATAGAGTTTCAATTAACTTTGAAAGAAACTTTCAAAATTGAGAAACTTTCAAAATTAATTTCTTTAGAAATTACATAGTATATGAAAACATTTTTACTGTGAAATGTCCTTTAAAATATGTGAAATAAAACATGATCCTTGATCCTACTCTCCTGCCTCAGAATTTACAGTTTGATGTGCTCTCTGGTCCTTTTTCAGATGCATTTTTTTCTATTCTAATAGATGTAGGCCCATGGCTATATAGCTTTTAAAAGCCACAGATATTAATAGGATCTGTTTTTGTTCTGCCATTGTCTATTTTTGTTTAACATATGCTTTTGAATATTTCAAGTCTATCATATATATGAATAAAAATATATATATAAGAATGGAATAGATATATATTTATACATATATATAACTCAACTGTTTAACTGGTAGAGACTGTTGTATTGGTGGGAGGAACCAGAACTGATTCAATCATCTTCATCTTTACTGTGATTTGGTTTAATTTCAAATTTTAATGAGTACTATACAGTACTCTAATGAACATCCTATACATTCCTCTTGGTGCAAATGTGCTGGCATTTCAGCAAGAATTTAGGGTGTGTGGGAAGGTACTGTCAAGTATATTGGAAGGATTCCAAAAGTAACTGTCTTGTTATTCCCCAGACAAGACTTTGTCCATTTAGAAGTTAATTTTTCCACCAACTATTTAAGAGTACCTTTTTCAAAACACTCTTGCAAACACTGAATATTATTTATTCTTTTATTTTTGTCCATATGACAGATTCAAAGTTATTCTGCGTTCCTGTCTTAATTTGCACTTCCAATTAGTAGAGCATTTGAATATATTTTATTTGTTTACTAAGCACTCGTGCTTTTTATTCTAATGAGCTTGATCTATCATTTCCCCATTTTCTGTTGGGTACTTTATATTTTCCTTATTAATGTAGATATCTTTATGCATATACTACTTTACTCTATGCTTGCAGGGGTTTTTTTTAAATGAAAGAATTAATCCTTATATCTTATATAAGTTGCAAATATATATTATTCTATTTCTTATATGGAATATTTTATTGTTTGGATATATTTTATGTTGTCAAAAATTTCTCCCTCTTTTCCTTGATGGTTTCTGGATGTTATAACTGAGCCTGTGAAAGCCTTCCTCACTCCACATTTATAAAAGGAAGATCTTCTTTATTTTCTTTTAATACATTTTTATTTTTACATTTAATTCTTCATTCTGGAATTTATTTTGTACACATAATGTGAGGTGGAAGCCATTTGCTTTCTCAGGTATCCAGTTGTACCAAAACTGTTTATTTTATAGACCGTCTTTTCTGCACTCATTTAAAATGCTTATTATAAACTAAAGTCTCGGAATTTCTCTGGAGTCTATGAGTTCAGAAATATAGGAAGTTTAATTTTTCTTTTTCTTTCTTTTAGTTCTCTACATGGAAATGACATTTCTGTTGTGCCTGAAGGTGCTTTCAATGATCTTTCTGCATTATCACATCTGTGAGTACCTAGTTTATGAATATAGGTTTAGGGTCAAACACTTCCTAATGAGTGACTTGGAACATTCCTCTGCCAGTTATTTTACTGTAACATCATAAGATGTAATTGGTTTCATCTTTAAAGAAAATGTGAAGATTTTCAAACTGGATATGATGCCTTCTGCAAGATGGCTTTAATTTTCCCTTCTGGCTCTTATTTTCCAGTAGTCGAATTATCTTTGCTTAGCTAAACATGTCTCTTCTACAAATATGGCTCTCCAACTTTACTAGCCTATGCTTTTTCTCTCATTATTATCTGATTCTAGAACATCAGCTCCCTTTTAATTATCTATCCTAACCCTGCTTTTCTAAGTCACATCTCAAGTATCACCTTCTCTATGAAGCCTCTCCTGATTTGCTCAAAGTGGATTTACTTATTCAGCATCAACTGTGGCACCACACAAAAATAAATTCAACATGGTTCGAGACTATAGTTTGGAAGTAAGACACAGCCAAATACTTAGATTGGGTGAAATGGCTTTTCCTTTATGTTTTCTCTGATCACAACTTGTTTGTACCTCCATAGTTTTTGGAAGTACAGTATAACCATTTGAAAATATGTGATAAGTGTGGTCCAAAAAACTCATTTGGGTCAAATTCCATGATTTTATTATTACTAGGTGTAATGTTAAGATCATGGCAAACCTAGAAGGAAGTTCAGCCAGCAGCCTTAGGATCCAAAGCCTCCTTGGCTGATGCTGAGTTGGGTGCTTGGTGGCAACTATCTATTTAACTATGCCTAAACAGCAATGTCAGTTGTGCCCCAGTTTCCTAGAAGAGATTGCCTGCCATATCCTCTCCTGGTTTTGCACTTCTCTCGAAAACCCACAAACTCCAAGAAGATACGATTTTACAAAATTGAGAAAGGAATAATCATTTTTCACTCCAAAAATATACATATGATTGGAATTTTAAAATTTGCCACCCAAAAGTCTACGCTTTTACATCTTCTTTGAATTGAATTGAAGATCCAATGTTCAATCACATTATGTCTGCATTTGCCTTATAGAGTCTGTGTTATCAATTGATGTTTTGTACATCAGTCTATCAGACTGGTGCCTATTAATATTCCTTCCACTAAACTACTAGGTCCAGGAAGGCAGAGCCTTTACATTTTCGTGTTTGAGCCAAGAACCTACCTCTAAGTCACTCCTTTACAAACTCCATGGCTGCCACGTGCATGAGCTGCAATATGAAGGAAGCTACTAGCTCAGAGATGCAGGGCTGTGGTGCCCTCAGGCAGAGAATGCAGGCTGAATGAGGAGGTAGCCGTTCTGCTAGTGTTATGGTCAGGCATCAGAAAAGGCTTCACAGGAAAGGTGCTGCTTGAGCTGAGCGGAACTTCCCTTCATGTTACCAGCCTCCTCCCGCAACAGTGAGAGCAAGTAGAGTCTTCCTTGTTCTGTGCCCTGCTCTGCCTTGCATTTCTTTTTTTTTTTTTCTTTATATATATAAAGAAATTTTATATTTTATATTTTATTATACTTTAAGTTCTAGTGTACATGTGCACAACGTGCAGGTTTGTTTGTGCCTTGTCTTTTACCCCCTAGATCATAAAGAGCTCTGCTTTTTCACTTTTCCCACTTCCTCCCCTGTCACATCAAGGACTTAAATGTTGATAGAGATGAGATCAAATGACTAAAAAACATCATTTTGCTCATTTTTAATTTGGAAGGGTTTGAATCTGACATACATATGCAGGTAACATTCACTACATTCTGATTCTTAAACGGGGCATTAAAACTTCCACAGTATCGAGTATTATGATTCTACACATATATTTCAGGGGCTACCTAAAAAAAATAAGATAACTATCCTGACGGTAGACCTAGTAGGATTACTAGTTAGAAGCTAATTGTAAATCAGAAGTAAGCAGTTTTTAAATGCCATTGTATGCATCTACGGCTTCAATCCAACCTTTATAAGGTTATGAGTCCAGGTCTCAGTTTCTTAATCTGTAAAGTCAATTATTAATTAAATGGACCTTATAAAGTTACTATTTAGGATAAAATGAAGTAATTCTTATAAATGGCTTATCCCAGCTCCTGCATATAGTAATAGTGCAATAAATGTTAGCTATTACCTTGATTACTTTCCTGTCACTACTTCTAATGAACAACCGTAAAATGAACGATCTTGAAAAGTGACAGACAGCACCCAGTGCAGGTCCAGCTCAGCTCTGGTGAGCTAGCTCTAGACATCTTCAGTATTTTATGTTCTTTCTTTGTACTTACCTGTCCTTTATCTGTATCATTATTCCCAACCTTTCTTTCTACTTAACTCTAACTATCCTACACAGCTTAGACTTTCTTAACCACCAGCCTCCCAGAAAAGTTAATCTGTTTGTTCACCATCATCTTGTAAATACTTCTCCTACATCACTTCTAATGAAACTTCTTTGCATCTGTGAGTATATCCCAATGCTAATGCTAATCTCCTCTGCAGCAGGGGTTCTTTGGAGGTAAGAATAATGCATTATTTATATTTGGGTCCTCAGAACCTTGCATTGTGACTTAAGTCATCAGTAAATAATTGGTGAATGAAATAGTAATGCACTCGGTGTGTTTACACTCAATATAAACACGTCTCTGAAAATATTAGGAGACCTTCTAAAGCAACATGAGTGTTGACACCAGTGACAACTCACTAAATCCCAGTGCACATCATTCAGGAAAATGGGGAATCCCCAGTGTCTCTATTTTTTTGCTAAATTGTTATCCTCAATAAATCTATGGGGATTTTCTGCTGAGCATCACTTTGAATTCTTTTGCCCTTAGGAAATAACAATACTTCCATACTTGTGTGTGTGTGTGTGTGTGTATGTGTGTGTGTGTATGTGTGTGTGCTTCTGTGGTGTTGTTTTTCCAGAGCAATTGGAGCCAACCCTCTTTACTGTGATTGTAACATGCAGTGGTTATCCGACTGGGTGAAGTCGGAATATAAGGAGCCTGGAATTGCTCGTTGTGCTGGTCCTGGAGAAATGGCAGATAAACTTTTACTCACAACTCCCTCCAAAAAATTTACCTGTCAAGGTATGGTTTTTAATCATTTGTATTTCTTTTAAGAATTACTATATTAAGTAAAAAAGAAAAAGACAACCAATTGTCAATCCAAAGGTATGGTTGAAATGCCCAGTAAATGATTATTTTTTCAGCCCATGCTTGGACAAGACAGAGCAGTTACCTGAGGTGCCCAAGTAAAGAATTAGGCTTTTCAAATAAATCTCAGAAATAGTCCATTGGTAATGACCAAGTTTTCTTGAAAGTGTATCAAAAAACGTAGAGTTCACAATTTCTGGAAATTCCTTTCATAGCCTCTAACAAGTCAAATGTTTTGCTTTTGCCCTGTCTGAACATGTGCCCTGCTCCTAGGGCTGCCAGGGCCCTGTGGCTTCCTCATACCAGGTAAGGAGAAACAGGCCCTCCCCAGTGTTCAGCCCAAACCTTCTGACTCGCCTTATGTGCTGCAGCCTTCCTGTGTTGATGTTCTTGTTTCTTGCTTGTTTGTATCCCTTTCTTTTCCCTTTGTTTGATGTATTTGTGAATCTAAATATTGTCAGAATAACAAATATTATTTTCCTTTTTATTACAAGAATAATACATGCCCCTAAATAGAAAAATATGAATAATAAGAAACAATTTATTTTCTGCAAGAAGAAATAAAATTAACCATTAGTCAGCATACCTGGAGATAACGACTACTAAAGTTATTGTGTAAATATTTCCACTGATGGTAGTCAACTATATGGATTTAGGTTCCTTATAAAAAGTGGGATAAAGTTTACTATTATTCTTAGATTGTGGGGTTTTGGGGGGGCTTTTGTTTTGTTTTTTTTTTGTTTGTTTGAGACAGAGTTTCCCTCTGTAGCCCAGGCTGGAGTGCAGTGGCACGATCTCAGCTCACTGCAACCTCCACCTCCCGGGTCCCGGCTCAAGCAATTCTCCTGCCTCAGCCTCCCGAGTAGCTGGGATTACAGGCATGTGCCAACATACCCAGCTAATTTTTGTATTTTTAGTAGAGACGGGGTTTCACCATGTTGGCCAGGCTGGTCTTGAACTCCTGACCTCATGATCCACACCCCCTTGGCCTCCCAAAGTGCTGGGATTACAGGTGTGAGCCACCACGCCTGGCCAGATTGTGTGTATTTTAAGAAGGTCACTCATCATTATTAGATGGAGGAGAGAAATTCTTGAAAATGTTAAATGTCTAATCAGAAAATATTGATTAAGCATGTTTTATGTGCAAAACTCAATCCTAGGTGTTATGGAGCATAGAGAACTTCATGGTATGGCCTTGCCTTCCATGATTTGAAAACCTAACTAAAAAGATAAGCTTTCAACATTTGAATATTTATGGAGGAAAAACGTACTTAAGTAGGTAATGCTGTGCGGTGGGTTGCAGTGTGAGCTCTGAAGCCCAGCCTGGCTGGAGCCAAATTCCAGCTTCACTTTTTGGTAAGAGTTAACTGTAGTTTAATTACTTTACTAGTCTGTGCCTCGGTTTCCTCATTGTAAGCAAAGGTGGTGATGGTTACAGTCTGAAAGGATTTTGTTAAGATTAGATAATATAGATAAAAGACTGCCTCAAACACAGAAACATTCAATATGTTAGCTGCTGATTGTATTGTTATAACATTTCAAAACACCAAAAAAAGGTGATGTAGGACACTTCATGGTTTATTAATAAAAAAGTAATTTTCAAATCCTATACATACCCTCAACGTTTTTAATTTGGCCTCTAATCTATTTCATGGTGGTAAATGTTTGCAAAAGGTAATTTGCACCACATTGTAAATATTGACATTTTAAAACAAAACTCATCTGAGATTTTTTTTAAATGTATCTGGTGGAATCTAAATATCAGAGCTAATTTTATAAAAGGAAAAAAACAAGATCCCCCTTAATATATTGCATTGTTTTTTTCTTAAACTGTATTTTCTCCTTGAATTCCTATTTTCAATACCCCAGAAAATTGTGTCATTTTTTTGCTCCAAAAACTATGTATACAATTGAAATTTTAAAATTTCCTGCCACCAAAAGGCTGTAAGTTTTTACATCTTCTTTGAATTGAATTATTGCTGTTAATATTAGTGCATCACTGATTGAAACTACATAATTATTTATCAATATTTTATTTTATTTAAAGTTGAAAGTGAAATTTTATTGCAGTGCCTCTCTGGGATTATGTGCATTGATTGCAAGAATTTTTGCAATAATCTTTCCTTTACGATCCTAGATCTTTATTGGGACAGTGTCCTGTGATAAGTTTCTGGTGGGCTGAGAAGTATATCATTATTTTGTAAAGTGAGAGAGAGATGATTGTCAAAGGGGAGGAAAGGAAGGTGAAACTGGCATAAAACCTTCTACTCAGCACATTATCAGGCAAATTTCATGGGGAAGTTGACAAACTGCAAACTGATTCTGTTACACCTTTCTGTGCCCAGCGATACTCATACTTTATTTTCAATAATGCTAATGCTTATCTGTATTTCTTAAAGTTTATAATTCCCTACAGGTATTTCTTGAAAAAAAATTATAACACAAATCTGAAAAAAGTTGCATATTTGTACTCCACTCTTAGAGCATCACAGTTTACACTAATTTGTGAAATGCTCTTGGAAGTCCAAGATAAGTCCCCTGTCTCTCTCTCTCTCTTTCACCTTGGGAATCCCAATTCTCTGAGACCCAACAATACTGAAATTAGGCCAGACATAACACTACAGTGGTCTCTAAGTGTTCAAGTGAAAGAAAGAGTCTCATATCTCTCACATTAAATCAAAAGCTAGAAATTATTAACAACAACAACAACAACAAAAATGTAGCAAGGAAGGCCACGTTGAAAGCCGAGAGAGACCCAAAGCTAAGCCTCTTGTGCCAAACAGTTAGCCAAGTTGTGAATACAAAGCAAAAGTTCTTGAAGGAAATTAAAAGTGTTATTCCAGCAAACAGACCAATGATAAGAAAATGAAACAGCCTTATTGCTGATATGGAGAAAGTGTTAGTGATCCAAATGGAAGACCAAACCAGCCACAAAATTCCTTTAAACAAAACCCTAACCTAAAGCAAGGCCCCAACTCTCTTTATTTTTATGAAGGCTCAGAGAAGTGAGGAAGCTGTAGAAGAAAAGTTGGAAGCTAGCAGAGGTTGATTCTTGAGGTTTAAGGAAACAAGCCTTCTCTGTCACATGAAAGTGCAAGGTGAAGCTCCAAGTACTGATGTAGAAGCTACAGCAAGTTACCCAGAAGATCTAAGATAATTGATGAAGGTGGTGACACTGTTAAACAACAGATTTTCAATGTAGATGAAACAGACTTTATTGGAAGCAGATGTCATCTAGGATTTTCATAGCTAAAGAGAAGTCAGTGCCTGGCTTCAAAGTTTCAGAGGACAGGCTGACTGTCTTGTTAGGGGCTAAGAAGTTGAAGCCAATGCTCATTTACCATTCCGAAAATCCTAGAGCCCTTGATAATTACGGTAAATCTACTCTGCTTATGCTCTATAAATGGAACAACAGAGCCTAGATGAGAGTACACCTGTTTACAGCATGGTTTCCTGAATAATTTAAGCCCATTCTTGAGACTTGTTGCTCAGAATGATTTGTTTCATAATATTACTGCTTCTTCACAGTGCACCTAGTCACCCAAGAGCTCTGATGGAAATACACAAGGAGAATGATGTTTATATGCCTGCTGATGCAATATCCATTCTGCAGCCCATGGATAAAGGAATAATTTTGATTTTCAAGTCTTATTTCAGAAATACATTTTATAAGGCTACAGCAGCTGTACATAGTGGTTCTTCTGATGGATTTGGGCATAGTAAATTGAAATCCTTCTGGAAAAGATTCACCATTCTAGATGACATTAAGAACATTTGTGATTCATGGGAGGAGAGCAAAATATCCATATTAACAGGAGTTTGGAAGAAGTTGATTCCAATCTGCATAGATGACTTTGAAGAGTTGAAAACTTCAATAGAGTAGGTAACTACACATGTGGTAGAAATAGCAAGAGATTAGAATTAGAAGTGGAGCCTGAAGATGTGACTGAATTGCTGCAGTCTCATGATAAAACTTCAATGAATAAGGAGATGCTTCTTACGGATGAGCAAACAAAGTGGTTTATTGAGATGAAGTCCACTCCTGGTGAAGATGCTGTGAACATTGTTGAAATAGCCACAAAGGATTTAGAATATTATATAAACTTAGTTGATAACACAATGGCAGAGTTTGAGAGGATTGACTCCAATTTTGAAAAAATGTTCTACTGTGGATAAAAGGCTATCAAACAGCATCACATACTACAGAGAAATATCTGGTGAAAGGAAGAGTCAATTGAGGCAGCAAAATTCATTGTTGTCTTATTTTAAGAAATTGCTACAGCCACCCCAACCTTCAGCAACCATTACCCTGATCAGTCTCACCAGCCACTAACTCCAAGGAGACAACCTTGGCTAGCAGAAAGATTACAACTAACTGAAGGCTCAGATGATCATTCACATTTTTTAGCAATAAAATATTTTATAATTAAGGTATTGCATTTTAAGACACATTTAACATATAATAGTATAGTTAAAAATAACTTTTATATGCACTGGCAAACCAAAAAATTTGTTTGACTGTCTTTATTGCAATATTCACTTTATTGCGGTAGTCTGGAACCAAACCCACAATATCTCCAAGGTCTGCCTGTACATACATTCATACCTACGTACATCTTTGTGTAACTCAGTATTTATCTGACTAACTTGAGCTTTTTTTACATTTAATGACTATAGAATCTCATATACTTAATGTAGCATGAATGGAAATATGTTTCAGGGAAAATTAGCACTTTTCAGCACTGCCCAATACAACTTTCTATAGTAATAGAAATGTTCCAAATCTGCACTATTCAATGTGGTAGCCACTAGTTACATAGGATTATAGAGCACTTACAATATGGCTAATGCAATTGAGAAAAATAATTGTTATTTTATTTTATTTACCTTTAAACTGAAATATACATGCATGTCTAGTGGCTACCATAGTGGATAGTGTAGTTGCTACAAGAACTCAGAGGGATAATTTGTGTAAAAGAAGGAGGGCTGTGAAAGATGTAATGACATAAGTGGACAAGCAGACAAGTGTGAGGATAATGCTACAGGTGGGCATAACTGTGGGAGCAGAGCTTGCACGTAGGAAACTTCTGGACCTGTTCCAGGGCCACCAAAAACAGTTGAGCTAAAACTTGTTAATTGTCAGATGATGTAAAGCCTAAATTTATCATTTCAACTGTGGAAGTTCAGTTTAATATTCACTAAACTATAAGATCAATAGATTGCACGTATTTCAAAGTATACCTTAAATAGCAAACAGCATGCGTGTAAGCCAGTTGGCAAGCAGAGTAGACATTCAAGACTCAATCAATATAGTTGCAGTTGCGTTTAGAAGACTTAAGAGTTTACTCAGTTTTTCTGTAACTGAATTTTAGAGTGATAGGCACTGAAACTTACAGTGCCCTTTGCCAGCATTTGTCTCAGCATTTGTCAAGCTATTTTGAAGTTTCATTGTCCTATTAATGAAGACTCTGCTAGTTCAAGGTTTATGACAGTTTAGACTGGATAGTTGCCAATACTACTACCACTACAAATAATAATAACAATAATAGCTAAGTTCTATTGAATAGTTTACCTAATGCTGAGTACTTTACATAGATTTTTATCTCTTTTAATCTTTCCGCCATTCTTATAGTGAAAACTATCATTTCCCCATTTGAGATATGAAAATATTGTATTTTAGAGTTATTAAGCAATTTTTAAAAATCACTCAGCTGCCGACTGGAGTCAGAATTTGAACCTTGACTCTGATTCCAAAGCTTACTGCTTAAGTTTATTTTAAAGTTTTTAATAAAAGTATTTTCAAAATAAATTTTCAGTGTAAATAAGATTGCCACCCTATTATTGAAACATACTTAGAAAATGAAAATTCTGAACTACCCTCAAAAGCTTTACTAGAAATATTTACTTGTAAAAATGGATTGGTAGAAGGCCAAGTATTTTAATCTATTAATTAAAATAATTCATTCAAGGAAATCCACTGAGTACTATACTATTAAGCATATATGCTTTTTGAGTTTTAAAGCAGCAAAGTCATGTTTCTTTAAATGTTTTATAATTGAGGTTTACATATTTTAACTTAACTTTCCCTCTAGTTATGCCAGTCTAATGTATTTTTATTTTATTCATGAAAATTATGTAAGTACAAACTCTCAATATTAAGGTTTGTCAATGTATAATTTCAAAATATAGCAGGAAGACAAATATTTTTAATTGAATGCATGTTTACATAGCTATATTTAAATACAATTTAAATGTTTTTTTCTGCTAAAGGATGCCATGCTGTTATTTTGAGTCATTAACTATTTTAATAAAGACAAAAGTGTTTTCTTTATGGTAAACTCTCATCATTTTGATGCATAACAGAAATAAATGAACAGGAAGAAATTGATTATCAGATCATATTTAATTAATACCCAGATAGAGCATCCCTGAGTGGGAAGCAGATGGCCATGACTTGTCTTTATAACCCAAATGTCCTGACCTCATCTTTTAAATATAAGATGACGTTAGAGTGATTAAGCAGTCTGCAATAAAACAGTTTTTGTCCTCTCCAGATAGTCATTGAGAAAGTCAGTGTGGAAAGTGGAACATTGTTAATTTCTAATATTCCCTTTATTTCTCTTGGTTCAGGAAGTTTTAGCTATGGAGGCAACTAAATTATTTTTTTATTTGAAAGACATTTATTAAATAATTACATATGCTAATGAGTGAACAATCTAATGGAGATGACTTACATGTGCTGAAGAGTGAACAGACTCATGGAGATGAATGATATGTTTATTCATTAATTAAACAAATATTATTCAAGTTCGTACAATGTTCAAGGCACTGTGTCTAGGTGATAAGAATACAACAATAAACAATTCAGAGTAAAACCTCTGTCCTCATGGACCTGATACTCTACTGATAGATACTTTTAAATAGATAATTCTAAAAAATGGTATGGAAGTCTGGTGATAGAAATATGTGTAAGATGCTAATAATATATCTATACCAGATGACTATGGAATTGTAACTGATACTGTCAGGTCCAAGAGGCCAACAGGAAATTCTTCTTTTGAATCAAATGGAGTATAACACAAAGAGGGGAGGAGGCCCAAAAGGGGAGGGGTCTGGTAGCCATGAGCTCAAAAGAAAGGCCAGGATACGATGCTGAATGTACCTCATTACTTCATTTGTAAAGGCCAGCTGAAGGATCAAAGAAACCTGAAACATTGGCATAACCCATGATAATCAACATTTAGCATGCTGTGGTTGATCTCTTCCTCTAATTTTATATGTTAGGAATCCTCTAGATTCTGGAATTCCTGTGAAAAACTTCACAATTCTCAGCAATAACATTGTAATATTATTGTTTTTCTTAGCAAGTTGATGTTTTCCATTTTGGACGAGTTTTTGATAGGCTTGAGTGGGAGCTTTTGTTCTGTGTCTTAAAATTATTGATATTGTCGTTAGTCGTTGAATTAAGCATGAAGGTGATTAAATAATTGAGCCCAACCTAAAGCAATGAAAAATTCAGTTTTGAAGCATTATTTAGATCAGTTTTGAAGCATTATTTAGAATAATAATTATTCAAAACTGATCAGTTAGATCAGTTTTGAAGCATTATTTAGAACTTGGTCAAATCTTTTTTACATTTTCAGATTTAGTATTACTAGTACATAGTTGTATCTTGGAAATTACCTTAGATTTTGGAGGTTTTGATTTGCTTATTGGCTAAAGAGAACATTCAGGTTTGGATATGGTAGTATGCTAAACGTACCATTTAAAAAAGGGGGGGCTCTTTTATTATACTTTTTAAAACTTAAAACACTGGGAAAAACTTAACAGATATTTATTTTAATAGGTAAAGAGAACTAGCAATTAATGCTCTGTTCTTATATGTTTTACATCCATATTCTCTCCAATGCAAAGATTTTATAAAATAATTATTGCCCTTTCCATGTAATTTTGGCTCAGGAAGTTCATTTAGTGGCCCAAAGTCACATGTAGGTGTTGCGAATGGCCAAGCCTGGTAATCCAAAAGGTGTAGTAATTTAGCCTTTGTGTTTTTAGCTAACGATTTTTACAATGCAAATTTACAGGATTTTAACCTCTGTCATCTGGAGATCATCTCCACCCCTCCACTGAAACTAGAACACCAGTATCTTCTATCTTGCCAATTTAGTGGCTTCTTTTTACTTATCTTTATTTGCTGTCTTTACATCTTCGACATTGGTGGCCACTTCTCCTTCCTCTACAATCTCTTGGCTTCCTCATTCCTTTTATTTTTTCACCCACTTTTTCATGTAGACATGTAGCATTCTATCTTTAGCCCTATCAAATTCTCAGTAGATTTCAATCCATGCCTTTAAATTTCTAGCCATGGCTTTTCTTAAGAACTTCACATTCATATTTCCATTCACTTAGTGGATTCTTCTCCCTTGATGGCTTGCAGAAACTTGAAACACATATTCTAAGACATGCATTCTCATTCCCCACATCCACTCTCTAATTGATACATGTATGTCTCTCCTGCTAAACTGTAAGTTTTTTCAGAAATTCAGGCATTTCACTTGTCTTTGGTCTCTGAAAATCTGGCCTAGTCCCTGGCACAATGTAGATGCTCAGTAAATATTTGATAAATTAATGATGGAATGTTGTTAACAAATATGCATTTGGTATTATTAATAAAACTTGAGAAATGCCATAATGTAATTGCAAGTGGAGCGTAAAAGCATTGGTTTTAAATAAAAACCTTCTTTTAGTTAATTATACCCAACATCAAATATCCCCAGGATGTTTTCCTGAGTTGCCTTTGATGTACCTCTGGCTTGATAGAAGGGCAGTGCTAGAGGATTTTGTTATTTGACCCATGTTTCCAAGGGATGCCAGAATGAAGGCAGATTCTAGAATATAGCTAGAAGTTTTTGTCTGGAGCTTTTGGTAATAAATCAAAATGAGATACAGTACTCACTGGGTAGCAATAGTGGTGTCAGGTGCGTAACTAGTGATTTTAGTCAAGTAAGCTAGTCTGCCTACAGGCTTTAATGGAATCGAGGTCCAACAGTTCTTCCATTAAAGATTAAAGTAACTGACAGAGACAGATTGTTAACCAAACTTTCTTCTCATTTTCTCTTTGAATTATTAAGCTAACCACACCTCCACCCATATAGCTAATGCTATAGTGCTCTCTTAATCAAAACCAAATCTTAAATCAATCCAGTTCACCTCGACTGTTCTCCTTCATTTTAGTGATGTTAGTAAAGATCTTTATCCCTGAAGCTACGTTTCCTTTCCCCTCCGTGGCACACATCTCATGAAAGCTAATTTGTTAATAATATGTTAACATTTCTTGGAACCAGTTAGCTTTAGAAAGGAGAAAAGCTTAAAGATTGCAGTTCTTTACCAAGCAGCAATGAAAGAACAAAGAGAACCTCTTCTGTTTCTTAAAGGTGTACTATTATTTCTGGTGCTTGTCCACACCTAATTTGTAAATCACAGTTGCTTTCCCTAACAGCTTAAAGTCATTAACTCTCAGTGTTGTACCCGGTGCCCACTTCTATTTCCCATGGGTTTCCTAATAGTCCCTGTAGTTTCCCCAAATTTGAGCAGCTCCTAGCATATATAGAAGGCTCTCAGGGAGACTGTGATGAATAGATAAACAGCAAGATCTAATTTGCCTTTGTCTGTGTTGAAATTTGGACAAACAAGAAAATGACTGCTTTTCTCCTTTTAAATAAAACACTTTTTGTTCCTCCTACCTATTCCAACTCTCTGGAAGTCTAAGAAAGAGTGTCAGTACTTGCCGTAATTTTGTATTTGATCTCACTAGGTTCCCTCCTTGACATTCATTGACATCTTAAAACAACCTATTGGAATGGCTGCCATTATCCTAATACCACACACTTAAGTAGTAAATCTGGGTTTAACTTGGGTTGGTGGATTTCAGATCCTATGCCCAAGATTGCTACATATTATGGACATCTTTTCACCTAGGACTGATCAAGTGTGGAAAATTCTGCCAAGTGTTGGCTTGCTCGTGGAGAGGTGTGCTTCTTCCCTCATTTTATGACTTTATTTGGCATCTCTTTTTAGCTCTGATATTATCTCCTTATTGTATAAACAGATTAAAGTTGTCATTCTCCTTGATTAAGAAGATTTCAGGAGAGGTGCTCTGAGAAAGTGTAGTGGATAGAAAATGAATCACAAGTTGAATGCAAACAGAAGACAGAAGATGGACTTAGAAGGGCAAAATATGGACAGGGAGATGAATGGGAGGAGAGCCAGATGCAAAGAATATTATTTCAAGAGATTAGACTATAGAAACAAGTGGATTTAGATAAACCAGGTAGATGTAAAAATCACATTCTGAAAAGGATTTTTGGTTAAGGAGAATTACAAGCTACATAAAATAGGAAAAGAAATTATATCATATTTAGACCTTTAGAGATATGAGAGGAGGCTGCTATGTGGAATTTGTTTGACTTACAAACATCTTTTGTATTACCCTTCACTCAAACTCAAGTGCTAGAAATAAGAAATGATTGTTGAATAACTGGGTTTTAAAAGATATGAAAAACAAGAAGCAAATAGAATGATAGCTAACTTTACCATTTTGGTAAAGTTGGTAGTCATGAGCTTTACCAACCTGAAGAAGTTGGAACTCAGTATTTTGCTATATTCCCAAACCCTATGCCACAATCAGTTCAGCAGGTTTAAGAAATTGTTAAAAGAGTCCTGAGTGTATGAGAATGCTTGTTATCTTGATTTTTTTTTTTTAGCTAAACTGAACATATATGAGGAGGCAACAATCTCCCATAACAAATTCCAGATATGAAAATAATTCAGCATAATTATCGCTGTGGAAAACCAAATTTGGTCTGGAATAAAATGCAAAGAAATTAGATAGTGATTATTAATCAGATATGGTCCGGTGGACATTTATTAAATAAATCCCCACTACGTGGTAAAATGAACATGAACTACTTCAGCCAGGCAATGATGCTGCCAGTATACTCGATTAAATTCTTCAAAGTGTATTCCATTTTCTTCCCTAAGACAATCTCTTTAATTTCTCATCTAATTACTCAAACATAATTTTTGGAACATGTCACATTCCACAGGATGAACTTACAAACTGCCAACCCCAAACTCCTTTTATTTAAACCACAGCCTTACAAGGTTGAAAGCACAGTAACAGGCCAAAAGACATTTTTTCTCGAGGCCGTGGGATGTGGCCAGATAAATGCTTATAGTCGTTGCATTTGCTGACTTGCTGTTTTGCTGGCATACGTTCTTCACCGTTCCATCCTACGCCTTTGTTCTGAGTTAGGTTCTTTCCTGTAAACTATTAAGGGATCTGCTAGCAATGAGCTATTTTCTTTCCTCTTGCTGACTCATATATAACTTTAGCAAACTCAAAACCATTTATTGTTAGGTATTATGCTAATTTAACTAACTGCTTTCACTGTCACCATTCATTTCTGCAGTGTGCTGAACAGCTAAGTTTTTTGCCCTTAATTGATAAATAAATTGGGGAGGGCGGAGAGAAATTAAATTTCTATGGAGCTTACTTTACTTCAGAATTAATGCCAGCAGTTTCCCAGCTGTAATTTGATATAGAGACTCCTTTAGTTATTGTAGTTACCAAGACAAAATGTAAGGGACATTAGCACTGGCACAGTCTCTCCTAGTGACTGAGGCATCACTAGAAGAAGTAAGCACCACCTCTTTCCCTTAATACGGTCATCCTAGGAACAGTTAATTTTCTCCTAATGGTTAAAAACAAACAAACAAAAAACAATTTCTATGTGGATACATTTCAAGAGTTTTTTAATCGATAGGAAAGCTAAACACTACAGGACACTATCATTTTCATGGATTTTAATTCAATACTGTTACTTGAATATGTGCTAGTATTTCCCAGGGTAAAGGATATGAAGAGATACAATGAATCTCTGTGGCCACCATATTTATTCATGTTCTCTTACATACATGAGTTTCTTTCAGTAGATCAACAACGCAAGCGTGGGCTGTAATCTGTAGAATAATTTGATGCAGGTAGTTTATGTGAGTAGAAGTTATATAGCTTTTTGGTGAAGGCACCTTAGAAGGTTAGAGCAGTAACGGTGGGGGTGCAGAGCTGCTCTGTAATTATCCACATAACTTTGCTAGAAATTGCTTGTGATAAAATGTTCAATTAGAATTATTGCTGCTTGTTCCAGTGAAGATAAAGAACTACAGAGAAATACTACAGAGTGAAATATAATTAATGTTGACAGTAAGAAATGTATGTGTTTTATGTATAAAGATGTCAGTGTCCTTTTCAGACACATTTGCCAAAAGGCCTTGTGGTGAGCTCTCACACAGAATGCACAAAGTATCATAGGTGGAACATACTTTTATTGAGGACAGTACAATTTCCACATTGTTAGTCATTTGTCCAATAAGTATTTGTGAACAAAGGAAAATGGCTGTGGCTAAATATGCATTTAATCGAGACCTTACAGCTCTTGAAGTCTTTTAAAGATGTCTCCCAAAACATGATTTTGCAAGTAAAGATCGTTTCAAAGATGTTTTCTTTTTGGAGAGGAAGATACAGAAACATCACCCATCACATATTGTGCAAATGAACCAACAAATAAACCGAATCAAAAGGAAATGAGGGAGATGATAATGAAGGTTACACTTTTGGTTTATTTCTATATGCATAAAGTGGCACTGTTTTGTATCTCCTATATGAAAGTCGTACTACTGAGTCAATGTTACCTGGGCAGGTGCATTGTATTGTGTATTTAATTACAGTGTTAAATTTCTACTTATTTCTAAAATTTGCTCACCCCACACCACACCCACACACGTAGTCTTCTCTGGGACTGACAATAGGCATGTCCATGAAGCAGGAGGAGGTTAAAGTACAGACAATGACCAAGAAACACATCCACATAAACTAGTCAGCCCATGAGGGGACTCTGTGACACTGGCACCATTAACATCAGATACCAACTCAGAGTCCCACACTGACTTCAGAGAGGCTCACAGTACATCCAATTGAGAAGGCCTCCTGTTGCATTCTTGAACATCATCGGAGGATGCTGATTTCTGGCTTGTCATGGATGAGAGACACATATAGATATGTGACCAATAATAATTTTATATGAAATTTACCATTACATTAAGGCATACAAGTAATTAAAAGTAAACTGGAAGAGCGTCAGTTGCTTATATTTTTGAATTAATTTTCAGGTCCTGTGGATGTCAATATTCTAGCTAAGTGTAACCCCTGCCTATCAAATCCGTGTAAAAATGATGGCACATGTAATAGTGATCCAGTTGACTTTTACCGATGCACCTGTCCATATGGTTTCAAGGTAAGTAAAAGCACTTTAAGAGTCACAGTTTGAGAGCATAACTTTTCTTGGTGTGCCTTTATTATTCTACTGTGCTTTCTGTATGTGCCAAGAACTACTTCACTCGACTATACTTGCCCCTTCTTCTCCAGGGGCAGGACTGTGATGTCCCAATTCATGCCTGCATCAGTAACCCATGTAAACATGGAGGAACTTGCCACTTAAAGGAAGGAGAAGAAGATGGATTCTGGTAGGTCATTAGTCTATGACCATCTGTGTCTGAAGTATTGGAGCAAAGATAACTAAGCCAACATACATTTTCCTTTTCAAATCAAAGGACAGTATTTTTCAAAGAATTTGAGAGAAATGGCAATATGTATTGGTCCCTCTCGTAGATATTGCAATATAAAAAATAAATGGAGACACTACAGCATTCTCAGCACAGGATGCTACAAAACCAAAACTAATTTACAAACATACACATGTGCACATTATGGTTAATCAGGTCAGATTAGGGCAAGACAAAGTATTAATATTGGCTCCATTATACTAATTAATAGCCAACTAGTCCCCTACTGCTAGTCATATATTCATCTGTTGTTTTGCTTATTGCTTTAACAGACAGTGTGTAATGACAAGATATAGGTCCCACTGAAACAGAAAATTAACGATTTATTTCCAAGACACAATGTAAGTAGACAGACTTGCTGTGAACGATTTTAATCTGGAGTTATTTAATCATATGGTACAATTACTTCAGATGTACTTCATGAATTATGAACTGGAGCTCTTTATTAAATGACACTAATAATGTCACATAAGAATGCTAATATACTACTAAAACTTGTTAGAATTTCACTTTTTAGAAGAAATAGACTTCACTGCTGCATTCTATTATGAAGTTCTCTCTTATTCATCTAGACTTTACTCAAAAATTATTCGATACATACTCAAGATAGTTTTATGCCAGAGGAAGGATTGTATTTAAGACAAAGAGAACATTCACATTTTGTAATTGCAAGGAAGACAAAATTTTGTTTTCGGATTTTTTTTTTCAAAACATCAAGGACATTATAAGTATGTTAGTAGATATTGCAATTTTAAAGATCAGAACCAGTTCCTCTTCATTTATGAGCAAAGAAGCCTGAATTATTTTATTAGAGCACAACTCAAGATTAAGATATCTAGGGCTGTGGAATAAAACTGCTTGTGTTTTAGACCTGCAAATACAGTGGGTTTGTTGACTTTTAAGACCATGGAACCATTTGCCTTCTTGCAACCGGCATAAATTTTATTTTTTGAAGGGTTTCTGCTTTGGTGGATATTACCTTAAATTGATGTTTACAACATGTCAGTTAAAAGCATTTTAAAAAATCAATTTCTGGTAGTTAAAAGCTCTATGGTTGATGAGTGTAATTATGCTTTTTTCAATATTTAGACCACATGACTTTAAAATGCAACAAAAAGATGTTTTTTGCCTTTTCTCCTCTGGCATTCAGGTGTATTTGTGCTGATGGATTTGAAGGAGAAAATTGTGAAGTCAACGTTGATGATTGTGAAGATAATGACTGTGAAAATAATTCTACATGTGTCGATGGCATTAATAACTACACATGCCTTTGCCCACCTGAGTATACAGGTACAAATAATAGGAAATATTTTGCCTTCCATCAGTATATCTGTTTGAAAGCATCATTGGAACTATGTTATATATGTTTAGTAAATCTTTTTTTATTTGATAAATGGTAGGTGTCTTGAAAATCAGATGTAATGTAAATAACATAAGGACTTAAAGATAGTTTCAGCTAACCAAATAAAAGACCCAGGAATCTCTGTTCAAACATACGCATCTATTATAAAGCCATGCTATCCAGTAATAAAAGAAGCTATTTTGCTAAAGCTTTTAGTCCCACAATTAAATGGCATTTTTGTGCAAACCATTTTCCCTGTGCAAACCAATCCCCAGTACCTGTGTGTAAAGAGGACATTTATTTAATAGCCAAAACATAATTAAGCTTTTGAGATCATTTGTCTTCATACTTGTGTCTTCGCTAGTGAGTATTTGCCTCTAGTAACCCATGTCCCTCAAAATAAAAGTCAGGAAGATATTGAGCACTTTGGATAGTCTTATAAGACTATCACCTTTTTTCTAACACTTTTGTTTCTTTGGATGACACATCTCATTAGAGTATTAATTGCTAAACTTCCTCCCTATTCAAACCAATTTGCTCTAAAGTCAACATCAAGTTTATGACTTGTCTGTTTTGTCAGAATTGATTTTTTATTTTTATTTTTTGTGGCTCCGAATTAGAAACTTCATAGATATGCTCTTTTTCCTTTAATAAATTACTTAACATTGACAAAGGAAAAACAAGAAAGTTGTACATTTTATTTGTAAGAAAAAAAATGGAGAAGTAATTTTGATCACTCTACTCAAAGTTGCCGTTTTCATTTTCTGGGTGCATTTCATTTACTATGTCTGTTTTCATATAATTTAATACATAGCGAGAAAATCAAAGGATGAAATTACAATGCAGGTGACTGGAGTTAACATCTCATAACATGAAAGATGAACATACATCTGTATAATTAAATTTTCCCAGGGATTTGTTGGAAAATTATTAAAACGGAAGCTTTTATGGAATACCCAAACTGAACTTTACTAGGTACCTTTCTTGATGGGAAAATGCTAGGTAGAATAATGAGGCTCGGTTTTGGCAACCCAGATCTGTTTGAGTGACTCTGAAGGCTGCCTTTTCTAGGGTCTTATTTTTAATTTTTATTTTTTTGGCACCAATAAAGCACCCAATGTCATGTAAAGCAGTAATAGCATATTAAGTTTCCAGTAGAAATTTGAACGTGCTGTATTACCAAGTCTTCTAGTAGTTGTCTATGGCCCTTCGACTGCTTAGTGGGTGGAATTTTAGCATTATTTGATATTTTACATAAACAAAGAATAGCAAGTATATTCAACATGCACCTTTCTAGAGTATCTGGAAAGAATGTAAATGTTATGTAGCTTTGATTTTCACACTAATATTACCAATATTATCACACCTCAGAAACTTGACTTGGAGCCCTTTGAGCTGCCTAAGAATTTAACTTCATTGGATGGGCTAATTTAGACTTCTCCAAGAAGCCCGATGTTTGCACTAAAATCTGCTACCTGGTACCTTCTTAGGATAGAATAATTCTCTTTTCCATCATTTTCCTGATCATTATAGACAGGGCTTAAGAACCCAGTTAATTTTGGAGGCCTCCTTAAACCAAGCCACTGTCACTGCACCAGACAAATTGGACCCAAGCATTTCAAGCAAGCTTTGCCTAACCAATGCACAGAACCAGGAATATATATATATATATATGTATATATATATATATATATATATATATATATTTCCTGATGAAAACCTAGGCTTTGGAGCACAACTGCAATCAGGTTCTTATGTGTCTTTTTGACAATAAAATTTCTAGAAGGTGGTTGAGGACTCTTGAGTTGGTTTGGAGGAGTCCTCCTGCTTTGACTTTAGATTTGCTATTCCTTATTCTTATCCATTTCTTTTGAGTCTTTGTCTCACCTGCTCACCCTTCATTTCCCCAGCTCCCTCCCTACACCTGCTCCTCTTGAACACATGTTTTCTCCTATTCTAAGTGTCAGTTCAGAGCAGTTTCCTTGGAGAAGTGTTATGAAGCCTCACTTCCCCAACTATGTCAGATCTCTTTCTTTGAAACATATCATAAATACCTAAAGCTTAGCCAAACCATTTTTTAGCCAAAATGTGACATCTATAAAAGCTGTCATCTGGGAACTTGCCATGAGTATCTGTCAAGAGCCATTTGGCTCTCCACAAGAACTGGGACTGTTTTAGTCTTTTTACTTATAACTATTGCAAATGTCAGTTTGCCTTAATTTGGGCAAAGAATCAACAAAAATACTAAACAGAAAGTGCATGGCGTACAGAACATGAAGATATGACCATTTTATCTTTGGAATGGGTCTTGTGGGCCATGAAGAGTTTGACAATTTGGCATGAGAGAAGGTATCTAAATGGGGCAAATGTATAACTCATCTATTAATTGTAGTATTTTTGTGCACACATGAAATGAGCTCATTTACAAAATTTCTAACAACCATCTGCGGATTTTGAAATCATTGACACATAAGTGACCTTTAATTATGGGGAAGTATGAATGAGGCTCTAGAGTTTTATATCCTACTTCATCCAAGTCTGCAGTTAAGGAGGAATTTTCTTATAATGTGATTATATGGTTTTAAATTTGAGTTTGGAATCTGATTAATGAGCATGAGATCTGGGAGCAGAAGCCCTGCTATGCTCAGGGAATATAATAGTGTTGTCAGTGTTTAAAAATCATCCTAGTAACAAGTTGATTTTTCCTTTGAAAATTTTTTATTCTATATCCCGAAAGCATACAATGAGAAGTGAACTCTGTTTAATAAGAACAAATAATGACTTACAGAAAAAAAGCTTGTAAATTATTATGGTGACAGTTTTTGTATTTGACACCTATGTCAAGAGTCAGAACGGACATTATGTCAATGGAAACAAATTCAGAGATCTGAGAGCAATCTGACAGAGAAGTTATGATGTGATGAACAGACTACAAAACGTGACTAGAAATATTTAAAATAAAATGAGCCACCAATGGGGAATTTATTAAACATTGTTTAAGCCCTATGTGACCAAAATATCACAGTAAGTAGTTACTGATTTGTTAGAGGAGAAAATTCTCTGCTCTTTCCTGCTCCAGGGATTGACAGCATGAATTGTAAGGACAAGTACTGTTTTTCTGTTATTTAAATATTGCTGTAACTTCACCACCCTAGTCACCAAAACCATTCTCCATATACTCCAGTTATCATCTGTGCTTCCAGTTGTGTAATGCATGACTGCCGATTACTAGTATATTTTAGGTAAGATTAACTTTTGAAAAGTTGAATTCACTATGAATCTAAATTAACATCCCTATACTATTAAGAAAGTAGGACTTCAGAATTGTTAAACAAATAATTTTAAAATTAAATTTAAGGTTTTAATTGTAGCTTGAGAGAATTTTGTTGATTTTGATTTTTTGTTTGGTTATTTTTTTAAAATCATGATCATCTTCTTTCTAAAGACAAGACATTTCTTGGAGCTAAATTTCCAAGGAATTCCTGAAATAACATAAACCTAACACCTATGCAAATAAAAACTATAAATGTGGCACCCCTGTTTTTTTAAAAAATGGACACTTTTTTTAGGCTGTAGTGTTAACTTAGGTGTTTAATTCAAAAATGTGCTTTTGTATATTTCCCAACAGTCAGAACCCTGGATCTGCTGTATCAAGACTGTGTGTCTTAATTAACTTTTATTCTTACAGGACCACATACAAGTATGACACAGTTGATCACATTTTAAGCCCTTCTTTCACTTAATGGGATTACTTAAATTCCATAAAGTGAACATCTCCATGCAGATTGGGTGTGTAAAGCCTTAGAACACATTTTGTGGAAAATATTCAGACCACTTTAAATTTTCCATTGTGTACCCATTTTCTCTTTGTTTTCCGAATCTCTGACGCCCATGCACAAGCCATTCAGTGTCCATCTTAAACAGTAAAACTGCTGGTTGTTCCATCACCTGGTTTAGACGCAGACCTCTAGCTCCCTGTGATGGCATTTACCTTTTGCCTCATTTTCTCCATGTTTGTGCGTGTGGCCCGGCTGTAGGTAAGAAATCCAAGCCTTGCTTCAGCTTGCTCGCCCACCCCTGCTTCTCTGTTGTGAACGCTGCGCATTGGCTTCCTGTGCTCTGCTGTTGTATTGCAATGTAAAAAGTCTTTTGTCTCTTCTGTCTTTGTCGCTGCCAGCTGCTAATCTGAATGAGGTGGAAAAAGGTTAGTTGCCTTTTAAGTCTATTATGATTTTCATTTTAGTCTCCCTCTTTCTTGTAAAGTTACATAGATTTCACTGCGGGTACACAGTAAAAAGGAATGTTGACAAAATATAAAATCTGAAAACAATATGCCAAATCAGTCATTCAGATGTTTAATCTATGCATCGCTATGACAAACAGTATAAAATGGGCCTCTGAAATGCAATTTATCTATTGTTAGAAGACAATGAATAGAAACTTTTTGAGTGGGAAGAAGGGGTGGCTAGAATAAGGGACTAATATAAATTTTTTTAATTTTCTACTTGTCTATATTCTTTCACTTTTTAAATATATCACAAACATATTATTTTTGGAATGAAAAACATAGGTTATTTAGTACTGTAGATAAGGCTGTAGATAGAAAAATTTTTAAGTAAGACTGTTCCCATAACTTTAAGCAAATATCTTTAGTAACATGTAACATGAAAAATATTTGAAGGTGTATACATTTATTGAAACACTTTATGAAATAAATATTATAAAGCCCAAGAAGTTGACTTATAAATTTGTGTTATAGGATACCGTGACTACTAGGTAGTATGTTTAAGCATAAAAATGCCATATTTAATTATTGGCGTCAATATGGGCCACCAGGCTCCCAAAATACATCAGGGCCCAAGAACGTGAGTCATAGAATTATTTTATTTATTTATTTATTTATTTATTTATTTATTGAGATGGAGTCTCACTCTGTCACCCAGGCTGGAGTGCAGTGGCGCAATCTCGGCTCACTGCAAGCTCCACCTCCCAGGTTCACGCCATTCTCCTGCCTCAGCCTCCCAAGTAGCTGGGACTACAGGTGTCCGCCGCCATGCTTGGCTAATTTTTTGTATTTTTAGTAGAGACGGGATTTCACTGTGTTAGCCAGGATGGTCTCGATCTCCTGACCTCATGATTCACCCGCCTCAATCTCCCCAAGTGCTGGGATTACAGGTGTGAGCCACCACACCTGGCCTGAGTCATAGAATTATTAGAGTGATAGCCATGTCTGGGAAATCATCATGGAATATTTATGAAATGTTATCTTAAAGACTCAGAGTTTTAACTAATTACATTGGATTTTTAATTATTCAGCTTACCAAAAGTCTTCAAGTACCAAATGCTGGCACAGTGTCCTAAAAGGAACACAACGTGTGCTTGTCTTGATAGCTCCAGTTGTATCTGAAGCATTTGCAGTTGGATTATGAGGATAATAAGGAAGTTATAGACTGGGCACAGTGGCTTACGCCTGCAATCCCAGCATTTTGGGAGGCCGAGGCAGGTGGATCCTTTGAGCCCAGGAGTTTGAGACCAGCCTGGGCAACATGGTGAAACCCTGTCTCTACTAAAAATACAAAAATGAGCAGGGCGTTGCGGCACAAGCTTGTAGTCCCAGCCACTTGGGAGGCTGAAGCAGGAGAATCGCTTGAACCTAGGAGGCAGAGGTTGCAGTGAGCCGAGATTGTGCCAGTGCACTGCAGCCTGGGCAAGAGAGTGAGACTCGCTTTCAAAAAAAAAAAAAAAAAAAAACAAAGGTTATTATATAGCAGGTCTCTCTGTCTTCTCTTGCTATGGGCTTCATTTCCTCTGTTGCATTGTTTGGATGATTTACTGTGTTTGCTGACTTACTCTTACAGTGTGCAGAGTTAAGTTGAAAACAAATGGTTTCATATTTTAGAATGTAACAGTATAACATGTGCTATTCTCTGTGGATTAATGCATCTAATACCTTCCTGGGTCAAATGGCTTCTTTTCTCTTTACAAGTACTAAGCAATTGGTGGCCTGGGTCAGGGATGTCTAAGGTCTGAGTCTATCTCAGAAACATAATAGCAATTATTCCATCACAGGAATATGTCCTTAAATTGTTGTGTATACTCTTAGAAACAATCTTGGCAGTACAAGTGTTTTAAATCGCCATGTGGTTTCATGTGTTGACTAAATTTCATGCTTATGTTTATAAAAGCTCCCTTTTATTTCCAAGAATTTGCTGCTGACTGAATTTGCTTTTAAAAGCAGTCAAATCATTCTCTATATTTTCAATTCAAAACTTAATTGGAAATAGAATTTCCATTTTTTTCTAGCACCTGGGGGAATTGTCTTAAATAAAAAGAATGTATATCATTAGTCGATACATTGTTAATTTAAAAGAACTCTGCAGTTTATGTGAACAACACAAAGGTGGGAAAAAACTTCTATGAAACAACGATAAACCACTTATTCAAGGATATGCACCTTGTAAGTAGAGGCCCAGATGCAAACCCATGTCTCATTGGCCCCAAAGCATGCACTTTGAGGTGGGGGCCTCTGCTGGAGCCTGTCCCTTCTGCCTTGCTGCCTCCTTCCAGGCACGGCTTCTTTTCTATCTCACAATAGCTTATTTCTCATTCATGATTTATGCCAAACAAGCTTTCCTTCTGCTCTCCTGCTGTCTCTTCAGCTCGCTGTGCACAATTGTCCTTATGTAAGGAAAGCTGTACCCACAAAATTCAAGTGCAGCCAAGCCGTCTATTTTATCTAGATAGGAAAAAAGCACCGAATGAATGCCTGTACAATTAATGAATAAATTCCCCCCGAGAACTAGGCTACCTTTTATCCCATAAGGCAGGTGGTTAGTTTGTGTAGGTAAGGGGAAAAGTTCGGGTTTCTCTTCCTGGCACGAATATTTATAAACTCTGGGACACCTCCCAGTCTTTTATTTTTCTTCTGTGAAAGAGGAATAATGATATCTGTCATATAATTCACATAGACATTTGAGAGTAACATGTAACTATGTATCGGAAAACACTTTGAATTGGTAAATGTCTATACTCTGGAAATATCGAAGGCTGCCCTGTAAGACAGGTTTAAATTTTGCATCATTTAATTCCAGCCATCATCACTACAGTGACATGGTTCAGATATATTTGATGCCATTCCTCATGGCAGAAGAATTCTTATGGGAATTCTTTATTCAATTTTTTATAAAGAAAATTACCTAAGGTAAATTATGTATAGAATGGAAATTTCTCTCCCCATATTGTTCAGTATTGTCTGTCTTTATTATTATTGTTTTTAATTGTACTTTGTATGCTCACTTCGTATAGAAAGATTTTATTTAGGGATAGGTCTTTGGTTCTCTTTGCCCCCATACACTACTTTGAAACATAAAGAAATACACAATGCTGAAGAGCTCTTGGATTTGGCTGAGTTGGATTTGTAGATTTTGTGTATATTTTTAGATTTTCATGATCTCTTAGTAACAGTGACTTCTGTTTTTAATTCTGCTTCGAGATGTGTAAGGTCTTTATATCAAGGTCGTTATAGTTGCGGACACACTTGTGAGCCTCAAATAAGGGAAACGTTAAGTTGCCATCTGTTTTTACTAGAGAGAATACTTTGGCAGCCTAATGATACTATGTGGTTTGTATTCATCCTCCAACCTTTCAAAACTTTCTTAAATGCACTTTAATCTCAAAAAAAAGTTTTAAAGATCTTGTTTGCTCTTTAGTTAATAGGCAGTGCCCATTGAGCCCAGAACAACAATTTAGCCTAAGCAAGTCTTATTCAATCTAATTTGAATTTATTTATTTTGAAAACTGAGTTAAATATTTTCTGAAGTTTCAGTAGCTGCTGGAATTGGCTATATTATTTAGCCTCAGTGTTCCAATAAGGAAATGCTGAAAAACACTTCATTTTCTGTTTGTTTATTTGGAGAGGTAAGTTTTTTTTTTTTCATTTAAAAATATACCAGATGCTTATTGAGAAAATATATTATGCAGGACACCATGCTAAGTATTGAAAGTGATACAAAAATCCATAAGACATTACCCTGATCTACTGAGCAAAAACTCTTTGGCTTTGATTCTTTACTGCAAGATCAGATCAGTTCAAATATTTCTCAGTACATAACCATCACTTCTCACATTCCAAGAACATTAATAATATAATATAGCTACTTTACTAGTTTGTAAGTAAAGAAAAACACTCCTTCTGAATATGGACACCGACCAATCTCCCTGACAGAGTCAAGCAACTCATTTCATACCACTTAGAAAACAAAAATAGGAACCGAAAACTGATTTTCCTTCTTTGAAATGTCTTAACACCTACATTTATAGCATATTTTCTTGAACCTTCCTATTTTGAATTATGATAAACTTTTATCTCACAGGGTTTCTCTATGGCAGCATTCCGATTATGTACGTGTCCCATTTTGCACCTATTGCACACAAAGATCACATCTGTTAATGGCTAATGTATCTTACTGGGCATCTGCCTGTGTTACTGTGTTGTGGTGCCTGGGATTATAACCTTGAGTATGTAACAAATAGGGCCTGCCTGGTTTAGCAAAAGAGGAGAAAATATACATACTTTTCTTTCAGGTCCAACTTAATGAAGCTGCCCTGTGATGACTCCCATAATCTCATCAGCTATATCCACCCTGTGCTATAGATCATCAGTCTCTCTGCCACACTGCATGGTCTGTAGGAGTAGAGAGAATGTTTCTGTTTCTATAAATAAAGAACAAATGGGAAATGTATACTTTTTAAAATCAGAATTGGATCGAATTTATAAAATTTGGTAATGATAAACATTCAGGTCCATTCATCTTAACCTTCCTCAAACATTCCACTTAAGTGCTGACAAGTGCAATTTCTTGATAATGGAGCTCATAGTCTCCATCCTCCATTGGAATGGTAATTGTTAGGCATAAAAATACAGTAGGGAAATCTGGAAATGAACAGTCTACCCATCTCATCCAGCCTGCAAGGGCACACCTCGGGCTCACATCTCAGAACACAAATCTGCTATCAGTTTTTTAATTCTCTCTTTGCTTCCTTACATTGTTCTTTATGTGATCTGGGTCTCCATTAACATTTAAAAAGCATTTGCCTGCAAGAAGCAATCAAATAAGTGCTATCTTTCCTATTTTTTTATCCAGCACTAGTTTGTGCCACTTTACTAGCGAATGCAATGGGAATGGAGAAATACAAAAATATAAATATAAAGGTATCCCATGCCCTCAAGTAGTGTACTTTTAAGAAACTAAATCATATTTTTTATCTATTAGGTTGCTTATTTTGATATCTTCCCTTGCTGAGTTAATTCAAAGAGAATAAAATTAGTACATTTATTCAAATCTTTCTTGAGTTTGACTGATTACATTTAACACTAGAATTCTGGTCCAGTTATTCAGATTGCCATCCTAAATTTCTCCTTCATTATTATCAATATTAATAATTATTTCTTATAAAAAACAGTTTGTTACAAGTTACAGTAGGAATAAAAATGGGCTGCAGTATCAGCTCCAGTACCCTCGCCACCTCTTTCGTACATCTATGATATCCAGAATGGACTCAGATTTTTATCTATTTCAAAGAGAGAAGAAGCTAATCTAGTTACATTAGCAGAAGGTAGCAACAGTAGCAAGAGTTACGTGTGCCAGCAACACCATGTACTGCTATCTAAAATTATTTTGTTGTAGACATGCCCAATTTGAATTTAAAAAGCTAACTTTGGGGAAAATTAAAGAGAGATACTCAACATCCATTTAGTGTAAAACAAATTAATATTTTTAACAGTGATTTGAGTTGGAAAATTTCAGAAATCTTAATCTGGGGACAAAATGACCCACTTTTTTGATAAGCAGGCTTCCACCTTTTTGATAAGCAGGCTTTGAGGACTAAATAAGCCTAGATGAGACATCCCATTGCCCAGATTTCTTGGTAGATAGAAAGCAATTAATAGTCCAGCCAAGGTGGGCACAGTAGCTCATGCCTATAATCCTGGCACTTTGGGAGGCCGAGGCAGGTGGATCACGAGGTCAGGAGTTTGAGACCAGCCTTGCCAATATGGTGAAACCTTGTCTCTACTGAAAATACAAAAAAAAAAATCAGCTGGGCGTGGTGGTGCGTGCCTGTAATCCCAGCTACTCAGGAGGCTGAGGCAGGAGATTACTCAAACCCAGGAGGCGGAGGTTACACTGAGCTGAGATTGCACCACTGCACTTTAGCCTGGGTGACAGAACAAGACTCCGTCTAGGGAAAAAAAAAAAAAATAGCCCAGCCAACAATTCTTCAAAACTTTCCTGTCTGTAATTAACACAGCTTATTTAGCAAAGAGAACAAATCTCTTTGGGGTAATAATGTATTTCGGAACTGTATAATATAGTTTTTAATAATAATTAAAAATAAAAATTTCATTCAGCCCAGTTTCTAGGCCGGGATGCTACACATATGTCAGTCATTAAGGAAACTTAACGGACAGTAGGAAATTAGATGTTGATCTTATTTCTCTAAATTTTCCATATAGGAACTTCTCCAGGGTAAAGCTTTGTCATACTCATCCTTCAATCATTTGCTAGATCTAGCACAAAAAATTTCTCCCAAGATGTGTAATGAAAATTACACTAAAGCAGCTTTTGTTGGCGAAATAAAAAAACCTCACTCTGAGAGAGTACATGTAAACTAATTATATAATCAGTAAATTTATTTTTAAACTATTCTTACTCATTTCGGGAAACATTTATTGTTAACTCTCATGGACCATATACTATCTTCATTATTCATTCATTTGTCAAAAAATTACTATAGTTAAGAAATTTCAACAATGCTTAATGAGTTAAAGCAGTATTTTTTAAAGAAAAAGTACATTTAAGAAATTTGACAGTATGTACAGGAAATGTAAATCAACTCAAATATTCTCCAAATAATATATATTATATATATATTTAATATGTAATATATCATATATAATATATTATTATATATAATATATATTATGTATATATTATATATTATGTATATATTATATATATATATATATATTTGAGACCGTGTCTGGCCTAGGCTGGAGTGCAGTGGCATGATCTCAGCTCACTGCAACCTCCGCCTCTCAGGTTCAAGCGATTCTCTTGCCTCAGCCTCCCAAGTAGCTGGGATTACAGATGCGCACCACCATACCCAGTTATTTTTTGTATTTTCAGTAGAGACAGGGTTTCACCATGTTGACCTCAGGTGATCCACGCACCTCGGCCTCCTGTAGTGCTAGGATTACAGGCATGAGCCACTGTGCCCGGTTGATATAATGTAAAGTAATAAAACACTTTCAGGATTATTTTTATACTTAATGATAGTATATATATATATTATACGTGTGTGTGTGTGTGTGTGTGTGTGTATGCACATAAGTAGTTAATAATTGCAGCTGTTAAAGTTCAAGATCATCTGCAAACTTACCATAAAGCTGATGGCACAGGCATTCGACTCACTTTCTCTTCTTCAAGACACAGTAGTCTATGATTCTCTTGCCTTTGCTGTCTTTAAGACCTTGAAGAGGAGAATTGTTGTTATTATTTGGTGGATAGCCTGTCCTGCAAGCCCTAACTGCTAACACCAGCTCCCCTCCAACAGAGGAGTAAGTGATGATTGGTCCAAGTCAAGCACAACTCACAGTGCTTTGCAGAGAGACATCTGGCCACAGCAGCAAATGTAGAGCTAATCTACACTACTGTGCTCCACTTACATCTTGACTCTCTTGAAGCACGGGGAGCCTTGTCATGGAGCACTCCTTCTCCTTTGTGCACCGCTTATTACAGACTGACTGTTGGAGAAGCTTATAGTCCTAAAAGAAAACTTGAGACAAAGGAGAGGACAGCTACATGAAATAAAATGAGAGGAAAGAGACGTAAAAATGAAAAAAAGAAAAAGAAAAAGGAAGAAATAGTGGCATAAGTTGAAAGTTTTATTCCCCGCTGTAAACTTCCAGTGATTTGGAATTTACTACCTGTATTGTTTTGCTAGGGCTGCCATAACAAATTACTGCAAACTGGAGGCTTAAACAACAGAGTTTTATTGTCTTACAGTTCTGGAGGCTAGAGGTCTGAAATCAAGGTGTTGATTCCTGCCAAGGATTGTGAGGGAAATGTCTCTTCCAGGCCTGTCTAGTTGGCTTCTCCCTGTTTTTCATATCATCTTCCCTCTATGCCTGTCTTTCTTGGTATCCAGGTTTCCCTTTTTGATAACACAAGCCATATTGGATTAGGGCCTATCCTAATGACTTTATTTTAACTTGATTTCCTCAGTAAAAACTCTATCTCAAAATAAGGTCACAACCTGGGGTACTAGAGGACTCACACATATTTTGTTTTGAGGGGCACAATTGAATCCTCAACACCACATCACTGTATTTTAAACTCTGTTTGCACCAGAAAACCTGGTCTTCTTCCACTGTTCTCCATGTCACCAAAAGGTAATTCCCAATATAGGTACCCAAATCATAGACATTCTAGACAACTCCCTTTCTCTCTTTCCCCCATGCTTATTCAGTCCATCACAAAGTCCCATCTGTTTTGCTTCCTAAACACTGCTTTGGGCCATGTATATCTCCACCCCACCCCTACCCTGTACAAGTGGTCACCTCTCATGTGCACTTGTATCCCCACTTATGCAATCTGCCATCCTCCACTGGAGACAGAGTTCTCTCTTTCTCTCTCTTTCTTTCTTTCCAGAATTTCGCTCTTCATTGCCCAGGCTAGAGTAGTGCAGTGGTGCAATCTCTGCTCACTGCAACCTCCACCTCCCGGGTTCAAGCAATTCTCCTGTCTCAGCCTTCCAAAGAGCTGGGATTATAGGCACCCACTACCACACCTGGCTAATTTTTGTATTTTTAGTAGAGACGGGGTTTCACCATCTTGGCCAGGCTTGTCTCAAACTCCTGACCTCAGGTGATCTGCTCGCCTTGGCCTCCCAAAGTGCTGGGATTACAGGCGTGAGCCACTGTGCCCAGCCAGAGTGCTCTTTTCAAAGTGCAGATGTCATCTGGCCATGCCCCGACTCAAAACCTTTCAGTGGGAGCCTATTATTCATAGAATGAAGACCTTCGACCCTGTGGCCCAGCCAGCCTCTGGGGCTCCTCTGGCACCATGTTTTCCCGGGCTCACTCCCCATCTCTTAGGGCTCCTGTTCTTCATGCTGCCTCCTGCAGAAGCCTCTGTCAGAGCTCTTCATTCTCCACTTCACCCTTGCCTCTGAGTCTCACCTCTTCAGAAGAATCTCTCCTGTCCTTCTTCAGAGGAAACAGTCCCTTTCTAGGGCCCCATAAAATGTTCCTGCTTAGCATTCAGCACAGAGGCAATTTTATGCATATAGTAGTCCCCTCGTTATCTGCGGGTGATACGTTCCAAGACCCTCAGTAGATGCCTGAAACCACAAATAGTACTGAAGCCAGTTGCTATCAATCAGAACATGTTTCTGTTCATGTCTTTCAACCCACACACTGAATCCCTCTTCATCCCAAGTAAGCCCTTAGCATGCATGGTGGCTGTAACTTTTGCAGTTTGAGGTATGACAGCAAAACTAGTATGAATTTCTTTTTCCCTTGTTCACAACTTTGCAGAGATAGGAGATTCATTTTTGCGGTAGATCTTAGCATCCTCAGTGTACAATTTTTCTCTCTTTCCTTATTAAGTTAAGAACTTTTACCTTTTCACTTAAAGGAAGCACTTGACAGTTTCTCTTGGGCTTGTCCAAATTACCAACATCACTACTCTTGCACTTTGGGGCCATTATTAAGTAAAATAAGGTTTCCTTGAACAGGATGACTGTGATACCACGACAACAGATTTGATAACTGAGATGGCTCATAAGTGACTGATGGGCAGGAGGCTTCTTCAGCCAGATACCCTGGATAGAGATAATTTACGTGCTGGGTGTGATGGAGCAGAATGGAACAAGATTTCACCAAGCTACTCAGAACTCATGCAATTCAAGACTTACGAATTGTTTATTTCTGGAATTTTCCATTTAATATGTTTTGGCCGCTGTTAACAGTGGGGAACTGAAACCACAGAAAACAAAACTGCCGATAAAGGGGGACTACTTTACTTGGGAAATTACTGAATTAATATCTTTCTCCTCCTCCTCTCATACATAAACTCTGTGGAAATAGGAATAGTTTGTTGTTGTTGTTGTTGTTGTTTACCATTATACTTCTAGCATTGGTAGAGGTCCCCATTCATAGTTGGGACTCAAAATATATGGTGATGTTAAAAATCTGATTTGCTGTTTTAATTATTTGAAAAAGCTATAGGCAGATCATTCTGTAAGTATCAGGGAAGAGCTTTGTAGAATAGTTCTAAAACTATTTCAGTAAGTATGGTAACAAATTTAAACACAAAGATAACAAGATACTAGGAAGGAAGTAGAAATGAAGGCAATAGGAAGGGCCCCTTTGTGTTAAACAAGGAAGGAGCATTAAAAACAGTTAGGTTCAGGCCGGGCACAGTGGCTCACGCCTGTAATCCCAAGACTTTGGGAGGCTGAGGTGGGTGGATCACAGGGTCAAGAGATGAGACCATCCTGGCCAACATGGTGACACCTCATCTCTACTAAAAGTACAAAATTTAGCTGGGCATGGTGGTGCGCACCTGTAGTCCCAGCTACTGGGGAGGCTGAGACAGGAGAATCGTTTGAACCCAGGAGGCAGAGGTTGCAGTGAGCCAAGATCATGCCACTGCACTCCAGCCTGGGCGACAGAATGAGACTCCATCACAAAAATAATAATAATAATAATAAAAATAAAATAAAAATAAAAAAGTTAGGTTCATAGATCTAAAATGAAGCAGAAGGTAAGGCCAAACTCCAGGTATTATTTCTCATAAAAACCATCAAAGTGCATTGAGGTTTCTTCCTCAGTGCAATAATACTCACAATATCAGTACCACAGGGGGCTCTGAACATATGCTGGCACTTTATTTTTACCGCTGAATGAAGTAATGTTATTTTGTACAGCTAAGTGTGATACTCCCTCTGGTAACTTGCTGTCTGCATGATCCATATCTTCAGAAGCATTTTCCTTTTTATTGAAAAAAAGGGATTTTTTTAGAGCCACAGTTAACCTTACACATCTCTAATTCCAGAGCCTCAGTTTACTGATGAAGAACTGAGGCTGAGAACAATAAAATAGTTCTGCAACCAGTCAACTCTCGTATATTGCATACAACCGTAGAAGGCCATCCTAGACAATAATACAACTAACCAAATGTCATTTTCCCCAATAAGAACAGTTACTTCCTGAGGTCTCTTTATGCTGATTCACTCTTCACTCCAGAGTATTATCAACTCTGATGATCCAGCTTTTTACTGTTCCACCTAGAAGGTGACCCATAACATTTATCATCCAAATCAGGGTAGTTATGTGAGTGCCCAGGCACACTATTGACAATTACGTTGGGACAACGGGTATAAACCAGGACGGTTGTACAAGCAAGAATGAATGGGCACATTACCACTCCATGAAATTTTTCAGAAGAAACACATTCACAGATATTCAGTAAGTAGCATTTTATCTCCCCTTCAAGAGTGAGTCTGAAAAATCATTCCCATTTAGAAGAGTGGGTATCACTTTTGGCATGCTCTTTCACAAGTTGTAATAGTGTTACTGTAGAACTTGGTCATTTCTTGTCCTGTTGTGTCCCATATATAACCGACAGACAAAATCAGGAAGAGGTGATCTAAGAAACAGATAAAACTCTATACCTGTAATCCCAGCACTTTGGGAGGCCAAGGTGGGAGGATCAGTTGAGGTCAGGAGTTTGAGACCAGCATGCCCAACATGGTGAAACCCCGTCTCTACTTAAAATACAAAAATTAGCTGGGCATGGTGGCATGTGCCTGTAATCCCAGCTACTCAGGAGGCTGAGGCAGGAGAATCACTTGAGCCTGGGAGGCAGAGGTTACAGTGAGCCAAGATCACGACACTGCACTCCAGCCTGACTGACAGAGCAAGACTCTATCTCAAAAAAAACAAAAAACAAAAAACAACAAAAAAAAACAACCTCTATGTCAAAAAGATTCCTCTGTTTACAACATGTAGCACTTTTTCTTAAGAAAGTTCTGGCATTCGCAGATATTGGTTACCAGCAATATTTATTACCAGTTACAGTAGATCATTTACTAACCTCTCTTATCCTGAAGAGGTAACCATAGACCCCTTGATGGACCACTCTTTGTTTTCTCGCCAAAACATACACAACCAACATATATACGTACACTCAGAATGCTTCAACCTCTTATCAACAAGAGATGAAAACTAGAATCATAAGGAAAATTAATTTGCTCATCTGATCAAAAGTGAAATCACAAATGCCAGGCAATGACTGTGTTCCACACTATTGGGAAATTTTAAGGGCCCATGGCTGAAAATAAATAAATAGGATTTCCTGGGATTTAGAGGAATGGGTTGAAGCCAGATCATGGAGTCAAGGCTTGCCTAGGCTCCTATCTCTTGAGAGGCTCATAGACACCAACATTTAACCTATATTCAACCACATTGCCCCAAACCACTCCAATGGATTGACTTATCTTTCTTGATGTCAGTTTAAACGTATTAAGACCTGCTTATAGGGTAATCATTTACAACACTAACTCTGTATAGTCGAATAAAGAATATTTCCAGTTTTCCTTTCTGTCACCTCACACTTTATCATCTCTGAAAGGGAGGCAGCCATTGATAATATTATCTCAGGACCTGAGCCATCACAAAAGCAAACTCAATTCCCCTATTTTTTATTATTTTTCCACTAACTCAGTACTAGCTCTGACTACACTTAAAATAAAAACCAAGTAAAAATGGCATCATGTCCTCACAATACTATGAGGTTTGGGGGAACTTTTCAATATTGGTAACTAAAAATACATTAGCTGACTAATGTTAGTCATTTTATCTCTATTCTTCCTGGAAAACCAGTGCAGCTTTTAGCTGTCTAATTTCCTCTTACTGGTTGAGAAGTAGACATGCAGGCCAGTATTCATCTAAGGAGCTTGCTAAGTTTCCCTTCTTATATTGAGCTCCTGAATCTCGCCACTGTTGCACTCTTTTGAAAGCGGTCCTTCCCTCAAGTATAGCAGAATCCAATATAATTAAGGAAAATTAAAGAAACAGTCCAATGAAAACATTCATGTTAATATTTAGTCAGGGAAAATTCACAGTAATGTTTAAAGAGAATAGCATAAGCTATGTTATTACTAATCATGAGTGAGTAATTAAGCAAAAAATTACACTAATCTCTAAAGGCTAGAATGAAATCTGAGTTGATTACAGGTCAACAAGATAGAGCTCTTGCCTTAAAAAGCATGATTCCTCCTTTTAATGACTATTATTTGAGTATGTCAGCATACCACACTCTGGAAAAAACACAAAAGCAAATGTGGCAAGAATTCTACTCTTAGTGATTTTACAGTCGAGAAAAGAGAGTCAGATAAACACCAGTAATATAAAATGCACACATAACAGTGCAACCCTAAAACCTTACCTTATATGCTTGTAATGAATATTAAGTGACTGCATATTTATACAGTGTTTAAAACTGTTTAGCATACAGTAGTAAGCATGATATAAATGCTCATTAAGTACATAAACAAATATATACCATGTATATGTCATAAGATAGGCATAGTCAAACACAATATAAAATTAGAGATAGAGAAGAAATAGTTGAAAAGATCTGGCATGATTCCATAAAGAAGGGAACATATAATGGATGAGAAAAGTGACAACAGAATTGTGAAAGGTTGTTATTAAAGCAAAAGGAGAAACCATTAGCCCTGGCATGGAGTTGAAATAAATTCAGGAAATAGTAAACAGACCCAGGTGATATGAATGTCGGGTGGAAGATTGGTCTTTAAAGCAAGTTAGGCAGTAATTGGATGCAGAAAATGTTTTTGTAATATTTGTTAGCATTATAATGTTCGGTGATAATAAAGAAAATCAAATCTTTTTTTTTTTTTGACTGCTCTTGTCACCCAGACCGGAGTGCAGTGGCACAATCTCGGCTCATGGCAACCTCCGCCTCCTGGGTTCAAGCGATTCTCCTGCCTCAGCCTCCCGAGTAGCTGGGATTACAGGCCCCCGCCACCACACCCAGCTAATTTTTGTATTTTTAGTAGAGACAGGGTTTCACCATGTTGGCCAAGCTGGTCTCGAACTCCTGACCTCAGGCAATCCGCCCTCCTCAGCCTCCTAAGTTCGGGGATTACAGGCATGAGCCACCATGCCTGGCCAAAAATCAAATCATTTTTGACGTTGTCAACCTATCTTACTAAGGTCAGGTGTATAGCTATGTAATGGTCACAAAGAAGTACCATATACAATCTCAGTAATGATTATTGCTATTTTGCTACTCTTGGAGAGGTAAGGAATACTTGACATTGATGTAGTTTTTTATGTTCAAGTTGGCATGCTTAATCTTAAAGCTGTTGATTAGAGATTTAACAATCTGGTTAGCTAACAGTTTCTTGGAACTTTGTCCTTGTTCACTCCTTTACATTATCAAGTCTGTGGAGTAATTCCTTTTAGACAAGGGTCAACTCTCAGTTTTATTTTTTTAGAGATGAAATTCTCTGTCTCTGTTCTTTCCCTAGCTCAAGACTTTCTCTGCTGGTAGATTAAGAACTGATTAGGAGCAGAGTCCATTACATTCATCCTTGTAGCTCCAGCCTCTAGCACAACATCACGTAGTAAATCCTTATGGACTGTGACTTAGATTGGATGAATTGGGTTGGATTGTATCAGAGTAAATAAAGAATAAAACATTTCCCTTTATTATAATTTTAAAACAGTTTCTTATTTAGGCATAAAGTGAAAAGTACATAAAATGACATTTATTATGTATCTCAAATGGTCCTTCTTTACTATCAGTTTTTACAAACTGTCTTGGATAGATACTACTATAAACAGCCTATATCTCCATCAGATAGATTTGGTTAGAAACTGAAAGTGATTTCATCATAGTAGGCTGATAAAATATGATGAATGCATTTCATCAAGGTATCCAACTTAGAGTAATACTATTTGAAATCACAAGCCTTTAAATAAAACCTGTTTAAAAATAGTTCATCATGCATATGTTGCTAAAAATCTTTTGTATCCCAGAAAACTTATAGAAGCAATATATGAGACTTACTGTGCAATTAGTTCTTTTTAAGAGACAGATAAAAACTAATATCATACACCAGATTGATGTAATAACTAGATGAATACATTTATTAATTTGCATCACGGGAAAAGACTCTTGAAGTCTAAATAATATGCCACATTTAGTTGTCAAGCAATGATTTCTACCAACTAGCAGTGTATTATTTTAAAAGGATCATCTTGTAACAAAGGGGTGCTGTTACAAGGTGCACAAGCCTGAAATTTTAACCGATGCTGTTACAAATGACAGTTTTAGTAGTTTCCTGGAAATGAACAGCTGCCTATAGATGTGTCACTTTATTTGTCCATTTATTGCATATAAAACAATTCAAAAGTAGGAGTAAAGTAGAAAAGGTAAAAATAACTTAAAATGTATTATGTAAGTTAATATATATTATGTATATGAATACCTTTCCAGTCACCTTAATACTTTATGCCACAATTGGGAAAGTCTTCTAAATGAAAATTACATTTGGTCTAATGTATGTGAAATAATAACCATGTTATTTTTATCAGAAGAAATTTTCTAAAGAAATTATCAGTCATGTGATTCAACAAAGAGTACCTAGAATCTGCGTGGTTATGCCTTCAGCTCTCATTTGTTGATAGAAGTTCTATTTCATGAGTTAGCTGACTTTCATGGAAAAAATATATGTTCCCTGTCTCTGTATTGAGTCTCCTTTTACTTTTTTCTTTATATGTCAGAGGATGTGGCTCTAAGAAGTTTTCTGTTGAGCTGCGGCAATGATCCACAAGAAGGAAACCAAGTGTTTTTCTTATAGACTTTTAAGACCAGAGACTATGAAGATTTGAGAATATTTTTTTCAAACATAAAACTATAGAATAAGCCAGGCATAAAAGGGTACATATGGAATGATTTCATTTATGTCAAGCTCAAAAACAGTCACAGCTAGCCTATGGTCTTGTCATGATAGTGATCCTCTTTGCAGGGACCGGGGGGAAGGCTTCTGGGGTGCTGGTACATGGTGTGTTTCTAGATGTGGGTGCTGGTGACCTGAGTGGGTTCAGTTTGTGAATAATCATTACCAATTTATTCATCCTTTGGGTCTATGCTATATATCAAGAAAAAAAATCCAAAATAAACAACGCCATTGAAAAGCATTCAGATTTCCTTTTCCTAATTCCCATAGTATATTCTGAGGGTGCTCATATTAGTCACAGATCACAATAGTCCTGTTGTCCAAAATCACAACACTACTTAGCAGCAGACTCAGAATTGGATAATGGACCACCTGGTTCCATGCCTTGTGGCTTTTGTTTTGGGTTTTTTGCTTTGTTTTGTTTTAAATCACAAGCTGCCCTAACCTCTAAGACCCATGACAATGACACAGTCTGCTGGCAGGAAGCCTGTTGACCTTTTTCTATGAGCTAACACTGTTTGCCCTGTTGCAGGTGAGTTGTGTGAGGAGAAGCTGGACTTCTGTGCCCAGGACCTGAACCCCTGCCAGCACGATTCAAAGTGCATCCTAACTCCAAAGGGATTCAAGTAAGTCAAAAGCTACCTTTTTGCTCACAGTCAGGGTAGGGGACCCATTATTTTAGGAGCCCTTCTCCTCCTTCATCCTTAGCTTCACACCTCTGCTCAGGATTAAAGGGACCTATTCACTAGTATCAGTGACATTTTTTAAATGTCGATATACAATATGGACTTTTTTTTTTTTTTTTTTTTTTTTGAGATGGAGTCTGGCCCTGTTGCCCAGCTGGAGTGCAGTGGCACGATCTCGGCTCACTACAACCTCCTCCTCCCAGGTTCACGCCATTCTCCTGCCTCAGCCTCCCAAGTAGCTGGGACTACAGGCGCCCGCCACCACGCCTGGCTAATTTTTTGTATTTTTAGTAGAGACGGGGTTTCACCGTGTTAGCCAGGATGGTCTCGATCTCCTGACATCATGATCCGCCCACCTCGGCCTCCCAAAGTGCTGGGATTACAGGCGTGAGCCACCGCGCCCAGCCCCAGACTTTTTGTTTAGTACACTAAAGAAAAATGAAAAAGTGTTTCCTTTTCATCCATGATTTTTTTTGTGAAGTCACCTAAGGCAATGAGCAGCCTTTGAAAATGCTTACTTAAATTTATTTGAAGGCCCAACCGGTGACATTTGTAATGTCTTCTATGTGCTTCATTGTCTGAAGGTAAGTCTGTGGTAAAATAGAGAATTTGACTTTAATGTAATTGAAGATGTTACGGTCTGAAACAATGATTGGACTATCCAAGGTGAGAAAGATAGAGTGACCATATATCTCAGGCTGCCCCAGGGAGTCCCAGGCTATGCCTGTGATGATCACTGTAGTTATTGATAGTGTCTCTTCCAACTTAAATATTTTTTGCATGGGGTGACAAAGCATTATAATCCCGCTAAGTGTACTCCCTTAAGTGAACACAGAACTTCAAAAAACACTTCCTTTTTCCTCCCCAGCAATATTCCTGAAATATGTTTGCTATGAAATTACGTGATTTCTTTGCCACCATCCTGTAATATTTTAAGGGTCTTTCAACAGCAACTTCTCTTTTTAGAGCTGGCAGTAGTTTAGAGATCATCTAGTCTTCATTTAAACATGAGGAAACCATGGCCCGGAGAGGTTAGTTGACTGTCCAGAGATCTTAAGGTTATTTATTGGCAGAGCTAGAGCTAGGATTTATACTTACCAGTTGGGTGATTTTTCTACTATGTGTTACCTATAAGAAATTTTATAGTTTATTAACATTACAGTTGGTATTGTGTAGCAAATAGGCTGGATTCTTAGGAATTACACAGTCGGGTACAGGGGTTGAGCTGTGCTTTCATCAGACAGCTAGCAAATAGCATTATCTGTTCCTTCAAGCAATATTTATTGAGTGCCTGCCATGGCCACAGCACATGGTAATAATACCATCTTATGATTTTGTAGTCCTTTATAGCTATTCACCTTCACTTAATTCATCTTCTTAGAGAAATGACCCAAGCTCAATTGCCATAGAATTCAGGGAATTAACAATTACACAGGTCGGGATGAATTTTATAAGAGAAGATGGAATTTGAGCTGGATTGCTAAGATATTTGTACTTACCGAACAGATCATCAGATATTTTAAGTCGGGTGGGAGAGTGGGGTCAGAATCGCCAGATCCCCACTGCTTTTCAAATATCAATCTAAATTAAATATTTATTCTCAAGCTTTCTTTTGACAATGTGCTTTTGCTTTAATTTGGTTTAAAATCCAAAAATGTAGAATATGTAGGTACAGTTGTAGCACCTGCTAATTCCCTACAATGTCTTTTTGAAAAAGGAAAGAATAAATTTGATTCTATTTTGCATTATATTTTAGTTTACAACCCTAGGCAAAAACCCAGTGTTATTCCATTTTCACTTTATACAAAACTTTACATTATATTTTATTCAACCAAACACTGTAGGTAAGTTGTTTTTAGTCTTCATATCAATGATGCGCTCACAATTTAATTTGGCAAATTGAAAACACATCACTTACATAATAAATATCATTTCTTAGAGAAATTAGCTAGTAAGGAAAGTTTTCCAGAACTGCTCATCTGCTGAACAGATGTCACAGTACTTTGTGTATTGTAAGTATAAGATAAAGTATTAGTAAGACTTAACTGAAACTATTAGAAAGTGAGTTTGTCTGCAAAAAGACTAATCCTTAATTAAATATCTCCTCTCGCCATCAAATAAATTAGACACTCTTAAAAGTGCATTTTGCTGCATTATGGACTAACTCATTTGGAAACCCACTGTTTTCCATTATAGTTTGTAAGCTCGTTTCATAGCTGTATGTAGGTAGTTTAGCAGAAAACGGTTAGGTCAGTGTGTGTGCTGTTACTCCCGACATTGTGGGAAAGGTAGCTGTGGAAAGAAAATAGACGTAAAAATCAAATTCTGTGAAGCTGCTAAAGAAAATCTCTACTGACAAATGTTGTTTAGACAAGTTATGCTATGCTACTTCAACTTCATTTTCTTATTACTAAGCTAACAGAGCTGGTTTTACTTTTATTGCTTTATTATATACCTCATAAATCTCCCAAATTGCTTTGAGATATTTTTAGACTATGATATGCCATAAGCAGTATTTTCAAACCTGCATCTTACATAGCCAGCTTTGGGCTTCTAAACAGTGTATTTTATATTCTTTGCTTCTTCCTCTCTCCTTGTCAGATAATAGAGTTGAAGGAATGTGATAGGTTTTATTGATAATACAAACTCAGGAATTCTTATTTAAATTTTTCTTTCTGTTTTGAAACTCAGTCTGAGGAGCAAAAGAAAGACAAAAATGTTGGACATAATGTAACTCCAAGCTCTAATGGTCTTGAAAAATAGTATTTGGAGAGAAGGGAATATAAAATAGCTCTTAGACAGCCGCTATGGTGGATGTGTTGTTCTCTTATCTTTCACTTTGATTTCTTTTTTCAGATAAATAATTCAGAGTGTTTCAAAGCATTTCTTCTTTTTTTTAATGCTTGGCACTTCAACAGCTCTGCTCACATTAACATTGATGGAAGTTCTCTTCTCGGGCCTTGTCCATCTCTTTGAGAATGTATATGGCCACTTAGAGTCTATTTAACTTCAGACTTGTTGTTTACTTTGCTTTGCTATGATTTAGCATTAAAACCAACTGGCTGCAAAGCAAGCATGCTTATGCAGTGAGCTCATTTTATTTCTTAATTCATACATGCAGAGCTGAAAGTCTGTTTGCTACTCTTAGAGGCTATATACTCCCATTTGTTTTAATTCTTCCGCTCTCCAGCAACTCTCAAATCCTGATTTAGCATTTTCAGACAAAACCTTAGGCATTCAGTAATGCCACATTCACTTGGGTGTTTTTAATTATCCTTACTTCAAATCCTAATAGCTTTGAAATAGAAAAGTGGATAATTAATACAGACTAAACCATAAAAGCTTTTATAGAATTATAAAGACTATATAGAGAATTATTTTAAAAACCAGCCATTTATAGAACGTGCATTATATATAAAAACTATACTAATTAATTTACAGATGGATGCGTTTAATCTTTAAATAAACCTGTGAGGTGGAATTATATACGTGTTAAAGATGAGGAAAATAACACTTACAGAGATTAAGTAATTTAGTCAGTATTATATATACTTTATGCTAAGTGAAATAGGCCAGACATAGTAAGACAAATACCGGATGATCTCACCTATATGTGGAATTTTAAAAAGTCAAACTTATAGAAAAAGAGAGTACAAGAGTGGTTACCAGGAATTGGGGTGGGGAAAATGGGAAGATGTTGGTCAGTGGCACAAATTTTCAGTTACAAGATGAATAATAAGTTCTAGAGATCTAATATCACAGCATGGTCACTATAGTTCATACTGTATTATATACTTGAAATTTGCTCAGAGAGCAGATCTGAAATATTTTCACCACAAAAGGAAAAGGGTAACTATGGGAGGTGATGGATATGTTAATTAGCTTGACTGTGGTAATTATTTCACAATGTATGTATGTATAAAACATTACCATGTACATCTTTAAAATATAAAGATTTTATTTTTCAATTATACCTCAGTAAATCTAGAATAAAATAAAGTTGATAACATACAATTAAGAATGAAGCCGGGGTACAAACACAGTTCTGTAAAACCTGAATTCTGCAAAGCCTGAATTCTGCAGAGCTAAGTTATAGTTTTCTCATATATACACACATATATATACACATATATACATACACTGCTACATACACAATACATATGTGTGTATGTATATGTATATACACATGTACATACATATACACACACATACATATGTATGTGTGTATATATGTGTATATATGTACATATGTACATATTCTGCAAAGCCTGAATTCTGCAGAGCTAAGTTATACTTTTCTCATATATACACATATATATACACATGTGCATATATATACATATATACACACATACATATGTATGTGTGTATATATGTATGTACATGTGTGTATATACATATGTATGTATGTGTGTATATATGTATATGTATGTACATGTGTATATACATATACATATACATACACGCATATGTATGTGTGTATGTATATGTGTGTATATATATATATGTGTGTGTATATATGAGAAAACTATGACCTAGCTCTGCAGAATTCAGGCTTTGCAGTTATGTGTATATGTATGTATATATGTATGTGTATGTGTGTGTATATATATATATAAAGTCAGTGAACCCTCTCTTAAACTCAAATCAAAAACACTCTTGGAAGCCAATGTGTAAGCCTAATAAATCACAACAGGAGAGTGTTGAGGAAAAGGTGGAGGGTAGAGGGAGGCTTCCAGAAGACCCCTCCTCATAGATGGCCATACCTGTAGGGATTCTATGGTCCCCTATAGGTCCACAGTGCAGTTTGAAAACTGCTGCACGTGCCACACTGCCTTTCTTCATGCAGCTATAAAATCCTGCATCCTTGGTATCATAACTAGAGATCCCAGTGGTCAGCACTAGAGAAGTACAGGTTTAAAGGGAGCCTGTGGAATTAATTATTCAACAGCATAGTGCAGTGGTTAGAAATACAAGCTTTCTTGTTAGATTGCTTGAGTTTGATTCCTGGCTGTGGCACTTAGAAGTTGAGTGTTTGGGGGCAAAGTACTTCACCTCTTTGTTCCTTAGTCTCCTCACCTGTAGAGTGGGCAAAGTAATACCACGAATATCACAGGACTGTGGAGAGGATTCAGTGAATCCATAGAAGCCACATGGTTAGAGCAGGGCCAGAGGAAGTGCTCAGTGAATGTCAGCTGTATTATTACTCCTGGTTCCTCACCATCAATGCAGCCAAGACCCTTTACCACCATGGTGAACAGGCTGAAAACTGTCCGTGGGATTGGCCCCGTGAATTTTCTATCAGTTCTTCTATCCTAACCCATTATGTCAGTCCCGTTCTTCTATAATGAGTATCTGGATTCATTGTGAATTAGGGTATTTAATATTAATATATTTGCTTTTCTTAAAATAATACCTTGTTCTGATGTATCTAGTCTCTATTGTAAAATTAAAAATGTTAATCTTTTTTTAAATATGTTTAATATTTCCAGTAAATTTTACAACATAGCACTTTTATAATCTCAATGATCAAATGGATTAGGCCAAACTGAAAATATAGGGCACTGTAAGCAAACAAAATGGGGAAAAAGAAAGGAAGGAAGAGGGAGGAGAGTGGGTGGGAGGGAGTGACCCTGCTACAATTACCCTGTTCTTATTTGGGCTGTGGATGTTCACTATCAAGGAGATAAAATCACTATTTCTCTGGTAGATCACAGTGATAGAACATGGAACATACTGCAGAACAGTTCGATTTTCTAGGTATCCATTAATGTGGGGGCTCTATGAGCCTATTCTAAATAAGTATTTTAAAGATGGTGCCATTGTGTCTAGATAAAATGCATTGTTTACTTATTTTGGCTCAGTTGGGTTTGAAACCATTACCTGCTTGTTCCAACAGATGTGACTGCACACCAGGGTACGTAGGTGAACACTGCGACATCGATTTTGACGACTGCCAAGACAACAAGTGTAAAAACGGAGCCCACTGCACAGATGCAGTGAACGGCTATACGTGCATATGCCCCGAAGGTTACAGGTAAAAGCAGAAATGAATAAGACCTAGTGTTCAATAAGACCTAGCACAACAGGGTGACTATAGTCAGTAATAGTGTAATCGTACATTTTAAAATAACTAAAAGAGTATAACTGGATTGTTTGTAACACAAGGATAAATACTTGAGGGGATGGATACCCCATTTAACATGATGTGATTATTATGCATTACATGCCTGTATCAAAATACCTCATTTACCCCATAAATATATACACTTACTAGGTACCCACAAAAATTAAAATAAAAAAATTTTAAGACAAAAAACGTAGAACTTACAGAAGCAAAGAGTAGAATGAGGGTTACCAAAGAGGAGGACAGAGGGATGGTGTTTGGGGAGATGTTGGTCAAAGGGTACAAAATGTCATTTAGACAGGATGAGTAAGTTTGGAATATCTGTTGTACAGCACAGTGATGATTTTGTTTAATAGTTAAGAATACTTGAAAACTGGAAAAACAAGGAAGTGCACATATATAATATACAGTTATGTTATACAGCTCTCAATTCAGATTGGCAATTAAGTAAAATCGTATTAACTAATTTTTTTTTCTCCTTATTCTTCAGTGGCTTGTTCTGTGAGTTTTCTCCACCCATGGTCCTCCCTCGTACCAGCCCCTGTGATAATTTTGATTGTCAGAATGGAGCTCAGTGTATCGTCAGAATAAATGAGCCAATATGTCAGTGTTTGCCTGGCTATCAGGGAGAAAAGTGTGAAAAATTGGTTAGTGTGAATTTTATAAACAAAGAGTCTTATCTTCAGATTCCTTCAGCCAAGGTTCGGCCTCAGACGAACATAACACTTCAGGTAAGAGATCTCTCTCTATGGAGAGATGATCGGATCTTAAAATTCAGCTTCAGAGAATAAACATTTGTGGTAGCTTCTGAATGATTGATAGTATGTCTTAAATAGACAGTTAAAAACAGAAAATGCTCCTTGTGTGGACAGCGTTAGTAATTTTTCTCTTCAACATTTGTATTTTCAAGACAAAATGAAAAACAAATATTTTTATTCATTACTTGATAAGCAGACAGTAAAAAAAAAAATATGTCTCTTTGTTTTGTGCTCAGACAAAAACATTTGATTCATTTGCTTTTATGGCTCTGCAGTTCAGCCTCTGCATGGGGGAGGCTTTTCTTAGGAAATCTGCAGCTAGGAAGGGTGCAGGCGAGAAAGAACACCTGGATTCAACCACCAGCACCTTTTTTTTTGTTTTGTTGTTTTTTTTTTTTTTTGAGACAGAGTCTTGCTCTGTCGCCCAGGCTGGAGTTCAGTGGCGTGATCTCAGCTCACTACAACCTCTGTCTCCCAGGCTCAAGCGATTCTCCTGCCTCAGCCTCCCGAGTAGCTGGGACGACAAGCATGTGCCACTATGTCTGGCTAATTTTTTTGTATTTTTGATAGAGACAGGGTTTCACCATGTTGGCCAGGATGGTCTCGAACTCCTAACCTCATGTGATCTACCCACTTCGGCCTCCCAAAGTGCTGGGATTACAGGCGTGAGCCACTGCGCTCAGCCAACCAGCACCTTTTAACTCTTCACCCAGAACTTTGAAGAATTGACATGAAATTAACAAACTCAAATTTTAAGTCTTTCCACCAACTCACTGTATACCTTTAAGCAAGTCATTCAGATCCCTATGGAAGAAGCTGCACTAGATTAAAGATAATAAATATAGTGTACATGGGGCAAATTATGTCTACATATTTGTTTTATCTGATAAGCAAAATCATTTAATATATTTTTAATTCAAATGACTTTAGCCAGTTTCATGTAGACACCACCCCTTTTTTGGTTTACCCTGATACTCTAGTGAGGGACAGGGGATCCTTTTGAAGTCAGGAAGAAGAGAATCCTGGAAGGCATGATTCTCTACCTTCCAGTGTTTGCCCCACCAAATTGTTATGAGAACCACACAGTGATGTTGGGGCTTAAGTCTTAACTTAGCTAATTAATCCTTTAAAAGCCAAAATGGGCCAAAGAGCAGGATAAAAACAAAGATTTCCCCCTACACATGGCATAACTGTGAAGAATTTGTTGTTTTTAAATATGAGATATAAAAATCCATCTTTGACAATGTAGTCATTTTTCACAGATGCTATAAATAAAGCTTATAACGGGAGCAAAAGGAGCAGTTTAGCGAAAATCTGCAGCAAAGAAAGTTCTAAGCACATCCAACATGTTTACTTGAGGATTTCTTATTGTTCTTTTTAAGTTTCTTCATGGATTTATTTGCAACAAAGCAATTTAAGAACAAGTCACCTTTCAAGGAATAATTTCAGCATCGTTTTCTCATAGCCATCAGGAAAACATAAACCATAGTAAAACCTGTTCACCTCACTTAGCAGTCTCTTTCTGATCAAATACGTTTGGTTGCGTACACATCCTAGTAATGCCAGGGTTACTTTCTACTAGATTGCCACAGATGAAGACAGCGGAATCCTCCTGTATAAGGGTGACAAAGACCATATCGCGGTAGAACTCTATCGGGGGCGTGTTCGTGCCAGCTATGACACCGGCTCTCATCCAGCTTCTGCCATTTACAGGTGAAGATCTCTCAGTTACGGGTAAAGGTGAAAAAAATTGCTTAATGAAGAACTGCTTCTCCTCTATCATTTTATTATGGAGAGGAGAGAGACTAAGTTGGCCCCAGCAGGTTTTAGGATGAGGGTATTAGTGAAAAACCTGGCAGGAACAGAGGGCATACTCAAACTGGAGAGTGTGAGGAGGGATTTGTAAGGGGACTGCTATGCACAAAGAGGTGACTGGGATAGTATAGTAACCTGGGGCTGGAAACAAGGGATGCAGGGAGGTGTTGCTACCCATATGCCTGAAGGATCAAGAGGAGGGAGCAGTTATGGAAACTCATGCTCTGTAAAGGCTTTGTAGAGAGGCTTGCCTGCCAGAAGCCTCGACCTTTAATAGACGTTTGCAGTAAGTTCTCAAGGAAACAACCAGCTTTTGAAATACACAACCTCACTCTCTTTCCTCCCAACAATCTCCTGTCTGTGTTCCCCACGGGCCACACTGCATGCCGGGAAAGAAGGAATCTATAGACTCTAGTAATGTAGCTTGCACATGAGCTTCCTGGGGCTCAGAGCTGGGTAAAGAAAGTTGGAAGGGAGCTCCAGAGAATCAAATGAAGATATCCAGCACTGTGAGTAACTTCAGGTTGCCATTCATACCTCAGAGGTTTATTGAGCACTTACTATGTGCCAGACCTGTCCTGAGCTTTAAGGAACAAAGCCCCTGCTCATTTGGAACTTACGCAGAATAAGCAAATGGATTCATACAATGTTGTCTTAGGGAATCTTGACCATCCATTTTGGAAGTTTTCTAATGATTAATGATATTAATAATATACTGGAGACGTGAAATGGGTGGTATTCGTGGGGTATAATTTTTAGTCCTTATTGCATAAGACTAACTATCAGAGCCCCTCTGTTGGAACCCAACACCAATTCCCTAACATCCTGCAGACAATTTAGCTATTTAATTTTTTCACATGTAGAAATTCACCCTTTAGAGAAGGGATCACAAACTCCTAAGTAGTCAATTTTTCCAGATAAGTAACATAAATGATTAAAGAGGTCAAGTGCAAGAAAATAATATGCTCTCACCCTTTTATTCTGTAAAAGATCTAAATTTTTACATAAGTATTATTTTATTATAAATAGCCTTGATGTTGGCAATATAAAAGAAGTGGTTGTGACTGGAATGAACCAATAGTAAATATTTGTCAAAACAGGATTTCATCTACTCAGTTCTTCGTGGAGAAAATATGGACTTAGGTTTTTCCAAACTCTTGACTTTTCAGGAAAAAGGCAGAAATCTGGGGTTTTTTTAATATAAATTTTCTCTCCTTTAGATATCAGTGTGCATTTTTAATACTATATATAATGAACAAAACATATCTGTAGGTCAGACACACTTGGCAACAAAAGAATAGGCATTGATTATGACATAAAGTGGAGACACTGGCCTGCATGTTATTGATATTCTCATATGTATCAATGTGCTTTAAAAGTCTGCACATCTTATTTGATGCTTCATAATAGTTCTGGGAAAGTACAAGCCACTTGTAGCCATGAATGGAATTTGATATCCACCACTTGTGAATATTTGGAGCATGGAAACAAACACATAATTATTGGTTTCCAAGTTGAATACAATACTTATTTTATCTCCAAATGGTGATGAATTAGTGCCAAGATTTTAGATATTACGAGGCCTTAAATTTTCTTGCCTCAATGTGTTTCAGCCCATAAAAAGATTTCAGAAATTTGTGGTTCATTTTTTTTAATTTTTTTTTAATTTATTTTATGTAATGGTGCAGCACAGAACTCTCAGAAGCCATAGTAAAGGTTTTTGGTTTGGCTTATTAAAGCTAGCATTCATATCACATATGGCAAAATATTTCTAAATACTTTGTAGAAACCCAAGTGATTATATCCAAACAAGGACCTACCATAACGAGTTTGTTTGAGTTTATGTTCATTGCCATTTCACCTAACAAAGGATGGAGTGTATCTTGTGACATTTATAAAGGGACTATTATGTTGCATTTTTTTTTTTTTTTTTTTTTTTTTTGGAGACAGAGTCTCACTCAGTCACCCAGGCTGGAGTGCAGTGGTGCGATCTTGGCTCACTGCAAGCTCCGCCTCCTGGGTTCATGCCATTCTCCTGCCTCGGCCTCCCAAGTAGCTGGGACTACGGGCACCCACCACTATGCCTGGCTAATCTTTTTTGTATTTTTAGTAAAGACGTGGTTTCACCGTGTTAGCCAGGATGGACTCGATCTCCAACCTCGTGATCCGTCCATTTCATATTCTTTATTAGAAGCTGCAAGCCCATGTTTCTGGTGGTGGATCATCTAATAGAGATACAAAATGTGAGGCCTAGAGCAAATACAGCTTTAATTTAATTATTGCCTTTTGGCTTATGACCAAAAAAATTTTCTTGATTTTCCAATCCAGAAAAGCTATGACCTTATTTTTTAATAAAAGAGGCAACAATTACCAAGAATTCAGATATGTAGATATGTATAATACATTTTATTAACATATTAAATATAGAATATTATTTTTATATTGAGAAAATAATATAAGAAAAAAGGAAGAAAGAAAGGAAGCAATGAAGAAAAAAGAAGGAAGACAGGAAGGAAATGTAAGGAAGAACAAGTTCAAAGGAGATAAATATAAGCACTTACATTTTCATGTATTTGCACAAAGAAAAACTAGACACAAAGAAATAGAAACAAGACTTCTGCATGAATACCATTTTATATCCATTTGATTTTTGAGCCATTTCAATGTCATTACCACTCAAAAATAAAATTGAAATAATAGAAAAAGCTGCTGTTCTAGAGATAGTCTGGCTTGATTCAAGTCCAGCTCTGTTATCAACTAACTGTGTGTCTTGGACAGATTGCTTCAGCTCCCTGGGCCTCATCTGGCAAATGGGGATAACAAATAATAGTGTCCTTTTTGTGAGATTACGGTAAGAATTGTACGACATGATAAATGTAAAATATTTGCAACAATGCTAGGTAAACCATAAACAATGATGGCTACTGGTATCACAAATTCAGGATGTCCAAAACTGAATTTATTTCATTTGCTTCACCCAAACCTGTGTTCCCATTGCATTCCTTCTTTCATTGAAAGGCATGACAGGTGCAATGGATCTACTCTTAATCCTCTCCTTTCCTTTACCTTCAATTTGCAGTTTTACATAACTCTTAGCTCTGATACGGCTAATTTTTTGGCCTTTTTTCAAATGCCAGAAAATGCCAAGCAAGGCAACCTCTGTCCTGGGCCAGGCCTTTACTACAGTGTAAAATCTTTGATGAAAGATAGTACTTCTCCATCCCTGTAGTAAAATCTATCAATAACAGTGTTGCAATCAGCTGTCCCATTAGTTGCTAATAAATATTTTGTCTGGGTGAAGTACATTTTCAAATTTTGATTTGTTTCCACTTAAGTTCAGTTTTATTGCCATAATTCTATGTTATATAAAATTTACTTTGGTAAAACATTGTTTTCCAAATTTTGCATTATTTAATATATTATTGGGCCTTGCACTTGGAAATAATTTTATACCTCAGGTGCATCATTTCAATTGCCTGCTTAATTCTCCACATTGAAGAAAATTGATTTTATTTTAGCAAAATGAAACCTAATAAAATGAGGGGAAAGTAATAATACACTTATTAATTCTATAGGGTATTTTTGGTTAAAATTTATTTTATATGTCAACTATTGTTTCACATAAATCAGTATGAAGACAATTATTTTATGAAATTATCTCTAGACTGGTAATTTGCTGCCCTTCAAAAAGACTTTCTTTTAATCTAGATAAGGGGAAACATTTTTTACAAAAGTTAATGAAAAATATGTGCTTCTTTCTTTAAATTCAAATTAATGTCATTTTCCAAACCAGACAGCCTCTTTGAAAACACAGCCAACTATGTTAAAAGTTAAAAGACAGTAGTTAACATAGCTTGAAGTGTGTTTAAGAAAACTCAAGATGTAGTAATTATTCTTTTAGCGTAGAAATAAAGTAGTATGCATATTTTCTCATCTTATCTGTTACATCTGGATAGAAGATCATGGCTTCTTGTAGACATGCCTGCTGTTAACAGCACCAAGCATACAGGCAGTAGTGTAGAATGGTTGTTTCCAAAAGTCTGCATTGGAATCACCTGAAAAACATGTTAAAATACAGGCGTTGGGCACCACCCCTAGTTTCTGATTCTGAAGCTCTTAGCTAGACCCGAAAATTTGCATTTTTAACAAGTTTCCAGGAGATCTTGTACTCCAGGGACTACACTTTGAGAACCCCTTGCGTAAAAGGAATATGTACTTTGAGAGCTGATTGTCTGCATGTCTTCTCATATCCAAGTTCTACAACATCATGCTTGATGCTCACATTGAAATCAGCCATATTGGGAATATTCGCACCACAAAAATCAGCAAAGCCTACAAATCCAGGTTTTTGTTCTTGTTTTTTTTTTAACAGTACCAGTTGTTAAACATTTGCCAGCAACCTACTGCCTAAAGGACTCTAACCAGCAACATAGATGAAATGAGCTGCCTAATAAGGGAATGGATTTGGAATATGGCGCACGGGCCTAATATTTACAGCACTTAGAGAATAGCATAAAGAGGGACTTAGTAATTGTATTAGCCTGTTTTCACACTGCTGATAAAGGCATACCTGAGACTGGGTAATTTATAAAGAAAAAGAGGTTTAATTGACTCACAGTTCCACATGGCTAGGGAGGCCTCACAATCATAGCAGAAGGCGAAAGGAATGTCTTACATGGTGGCAGACAAGAGAGAATTGAGAACTAAGCGAAAGGGGAAAACTCCAGTAAAACCATCACATCTCGTGAGACTCATTCGCTACCATGATAACAGTATGGGGAAAACCGCCCCCATAATTCGATTATCTCCCACTGGGTCCCTCCCATAACACGGGGAATTATGGGAACTACAATTCAAGATGAGCCAAACCATATCAGTAATAGTGCCATGAATGAATGGAAAAATGAATGGCAGCCTAAATTTAAGCAGTAGGTCCTCAGACAGGGCTGGAGTATTAAATTTTTATTCTCAAGTAGGCTAATAATCTGCTCTTTCAAAGTGAGTTTCTTTTCATCTAGAAAAACATAAACTTTTTTTAACAAAAGTTATTATTGAAAAATATATGCTTCTTTTTTTAGATTCAAATTAATGTCATTTTCCAAACCAGGCAGTTTCTTTGGAAACACAGCTAGCTACTGTTTAAAAATAAGAAAATCAGATGGACCACCTTACTAGTGTACAGTTTTTCATATTTAGGCAACCTGCTCAAATTCAGGGGACTTTCTGTCACCTACTGTTACATTTGGTTGGCTACATACACTCTGGGTTGTGCAATTTACAGGCTTACATTTCAACAAAAATACAAAAGAAACTCAACAAAGATTATCTTTGTATCTGAGAAGTTCAGTCTCATTGGGGAGACAGAGAGTAGACAGAATCTATATGGTATTCTTGTTTTCAAGATGTTTATTCAGCCATTCTTGATATGCCATATGGAAAGTTCCCCCTGTTTACTAGCTTATAACCTTGGGCAGATTGCTTCATTTCTTTGTGCTTTATTTTCCTTATCTCAGTAAATGCAATTAGCTCTGCTTTTCATGTTTGGTTATGAGAATTGAATGAATGTAAAGCACCTAACATCGTGCTTGGCACAGAGTCGGCTCACGATATTGAGTAATGCTGATGATTCATGGATACTCTTCCTGCTCAAATATCTGGATACTGAAGAATAAATACCCAAGTGGGAATTTTATAGCCTGACATCTCACTGTACAGTATGTTCAAGTTTAGAGAAGCCTTTCTAGTTTAGTGAATTTTATTCATGTTAATCTGTTTTAAAAGTACTGATTAAAATATTACTTGAACAACTATTTTCTAAAGCTTTCTTTTGAAAAATTCTTACAGGTATATTTAGATATCTTTTCTTTTTGGAGACAGAGTCTTGCTCTGTCGCCCAGGCTGGAGTGCAGTGGCGCGATCTCGGCTCACTGCAAGCTCTGCCACCCGGGTTCATGCCATCCTCCTGCCTCAGCCTCCTGAGTAGCTGGGACTACAGGCGCTCACCCCTACGCCTAGCTTTTTTTGTATTTTTAATAGAGATGGGGTTTCACCATGTTAGCCAGGATGGTCTCCATTTCCTGACCTTGTGATCCGTCCACTTCAGCCTCCCAAAGTGCTGGGATTACAGGCGTGAGCCACTGCGCCCAGCCTACATAGATATCTTTAATCTCATTTGGCTTCCCATTCCTTTTGACTAAAGAGATAGGCAAGAATACTTTTAGTATCACTCCCACTTCACAGGTGAAGTATCATCAGGCCAGAAACACCAAAATGAGATGACCAGTTGAGTTTGGGTTCCAGTTCCTATTCCAAAGCGTGGAATATGTCACCAGATACTTTAATTTTTTTTTTTTTTTTAGATGGAGTATTGCTCTGTCGCCCAGGCTAGAGGGCAGTGGCACAATCTCGCCTCACTGCAACCTCCACCTCCCGGGTTCAAGCGATTCTCCTGCCTCAGCCTCCAGAGTAGCTGGGATTACAGGCATGCACTACCATGCCCAGCTAATTTTTGTTTTTTTACTAGAGACGGGGTTTCGCCATCTTGGCCAGGCTAGACTCGAACTCCTGACATCGAGATCCACCCACCTTGGCCTCCCAAAGTGCTGGAATTACAGGCGTGAGCCACCGCACCCAGCCCAGATACTTTAAAATTTTAAGGCAAGAAGTTGAAGCTCACATAAGGAAAAACAGTCTTTTATTAAACTACAGAAATACATTATGTTTATCATTGTTAGTGTGTTGTGTGTATGCAAAATAGAGAAAGAAAATCAGAGACATTTTAAAGCCCCTCTTTTAAGCCCCAAGTTTCTGAATTATTTTTCTGTAGCAGACCACAAACAGTTGGGGAACTGCTTTGTTTTCATGTATCCACTTCCAGTATATAAACTCAAGAAAACAAATCTCAGGAAATAGGTGAGCGTAGTAAAACTAAACCTTATAGTAACAGTAATAAATGCAATTCAAATTCCCAGTGGAAAGGCCCAAAGTTAAGTGGTTCGCTTGTAGTTTTTGTGAATCATAAAATATATTGTTCCCTAGGGAGTGGTGAAAGAGAGTTTATCAATACTTATCAGAACCCAAAAGGATGCCATGCATTACATGTGGGTATGTAGGAGACAGCTGCTATAGACTGAAAAGTGGATTATGGCTTTCTAGCTCAGGCAGTCTTACTATGTAGCAACTGATGTGTCGATCACTGCTTTTATTTTATTTTATATTTTATTTTATTTTATTTTATTTTATTTTATTTTATTTTATTTTATTTTTTGAGACAGAGTTTCACTTTGTTGCCCAGGCTGGACTGCAGTGGCACGGTCTCGGCTCACTGCAACCTCTGCCTCCCGGGTTCAAGCAATCCTCATGCCTCAGCCTCCCACATAGCTAGGATTACAGGCACCCGCCACCACGCCCAGATGATTTTGTTTGTATTTTAGTAGAGACAGGGTTTCACCATATTGCCCAGGCTGGTCTCAAACTCCTGAGCTCAAGCAATCCGCCCATCTTGGCCTCCCAAAGTGCTAGGATTACAGGCGTGAGCCACCACGCCTGGCCCACTGCTTTAATTTTAAACGAATGTGTAGACAAAGGATTCCTGGACATCCTCCAGTTTATCTCATGCTAGAAAAGACAGCAAGAAATACCAAGTTAGAATGTTATTAACTCTGAAAAATTCTCTTTAGGTCCCATGTGTAAAATACTATCTTAAAAACCAAATTGGCCAGTCATGGTGGTTTACATCTGTAATCTCAGCACTTTGGGAGGCCAAGCCAGGAAGATCACTTGAGACCAGCCTGGGAAACATGGCAATACCCTATCTCTACAGAAAAATTTAAGAAGTAGCTGGGCATGGTGGCATGCAGCTGTGGTCCTAGCTACTTAGGAAGCTGAGGCAGCAGGATCACTTGAGTCCAGGAGGCTGAGGCTGCAGTGAGCCGTAATTATGTCACCGTACTCCAGCCTGGCTGACAGAGCGAGACTCTGTCTCAAAAAAAAAAAAGGAATCTAAAATCATGAACTTTACTGTACTTACCTGTTAAGAGGTCAAGATGAGGCTTCATTTAATTCCAGGGAGATATAAATGGAATTAATCTCAATGATAAGTCTTGTGGAAGTTCTGGTGTGATCAGATTAGACATTTAAAGCTTTTAGGGAGAGAAAAGTATAGTCAGTCTATCTCACTCATAATCTCACTCATAATTGGGAAAATAAAATCCAAACTCAGTTTTTAAATCCATATAATTTATATGCATTCTTCAAACTCTTATTGTAAGATCATTACTTTTATTAACAATTCAGTGTTTTTTAGTAAATGAATCAAGTTTTGCTATCATACAAGGTAATTTACTATAGAACTTTATTCCCAGGCTATTTGGGACAGAAATCATGTATTAAAAGCTTGTTAGTGGTGAAAACACACGCCATTTGTCTAGGAATAGGTATTCCTCAGGTTTTTGATTGTAAAAGTAGTGCATAATAATTAAGAGCACATACACTTGAGCTGGACAACCTGGCTTCAGAACTGTTTAGCCACTAACTAGATGTGTCACCTTGGATGTCCTCAGTGCTCACCTCTTGTTGTGAAGCTTACATGAGGTAATACTTGTAAAGTTCTTAGTACCTGGCCCTTAGTATGTGATATATAATCCTTTGCTCTTCCTATTTGCACTTCTCTTAAAAGGAAGAAAAATCACCTAAGGTCACACTAACCAAAGATGACATGTCTAATGAGAGCTAGGACAAGCTGAGCAAGATTTATCTCTCAGCATTATCCTTGACGATACTGCCACTGAAACTTCCAACTATGTTTTATGAAATGAATTTTCAGAGGTCTTGTCTTAAACATGCTTGAAGTGTAATGATTATCTATAGATATCATCTAGGAGTATTGCTAAAAACAATTGATATATGTTATTCCTAATACATCTCTCTTGTATTTACTTACCACATATTTTCAGAAATAAATAATACATGGATGATATTTTAAATTAGCTTACAATTAGCAAGAGTTTAAGACATGTACTCCAAAAAAGAGTAAAAAGGAACAGAGGAGGGAATAAAGGAGCAATAAGCAAAGTGAGTTGATGATGAAACTACCTACCTCCAAGTTCCCATCTGACACACTGCATTAGGGTGTTTAAAACTGTAAAGTGTGTTAACTTAAACCACACAATTGTACTGCATCAAACACCATCATTGATGATGACATGACTGAATTGACTAAGACCAATATGTGACCAAGAATCCATTCCTTGGTAATATATGGGTCTTTTCTTTGCAATTTTAAAGAGAAATGGGGGGCCTCATTATTAAGATTTATTAAGGTTGATGTTGATAGGACATCCATATAAAACTACTTGGAAAGCTGTGTATAACCTCAAAGTAAAAAGGAATTCACTTCTACTCTCTCCATGTCTGTCTTTATTTTAATGTTTTACTTTAAAACTTTTAGTAACTTGAACAAGATGTGCCCCCAAAGAAGTTGTTATATTTCTGCCAGCCTTTAACATTATCTTACAATCAATATTTAAAATAAAGCTAAATTCTTTACTAAAAAAGATTCAGAAATGGTATTGAATTATTTGTATCATGATGATCGTGGTTGGGTGGGGGACCGATATGATAGTGATGGTGATACTAATATCTAACATTAATTTTTGCTATGCTGGGTATCTTTCAGTCATTTTACATAGTCCTCAAATTAACCATGGAAGGCAGAAATATTTATTAGCATTTACTGAAGAGAAAACTGAAATATATTAGTAATAAAGTAACTTATCTAAAACAAACACTTAATAAATGCAGGACCACGATTCGAATCCAGGATTATCTGACTACAGAGTCTATATGCTTAACCATTAGCCAATGTTACTACTTGGCATACCCTCTTAGAAGAGAGTCATATTTAAAACCACTAATGGTGTGCAACTATACTTATAAAATAATTTTCTGGTCTATTTTTTCCTCTGCCAATTGTATTGATGTTAAGTGTTAGGATAATTAAATGTGTAAAAGGCAAAAATATTGATTGACATATCTAACATTTAGTTTTATAAAGTTGTTTCCTGAGACAGGCTATCAAAGATTCCTGTACACGTGGACTCTTCTAACCACCTAAACAGAAAGAATGTCAAGTGTTTTCACAATTCTGCAGAGTGATTTCTCTTGTTCTCAAATCAAAAAAACGTTTTATTACCTGTCAGCATACAACGGAAGATGATTAGACTCCAGTGGTGAGAACCATGCAGAAATATGTTAATGCATTTTTCTATCATTCCCTAGACTTTGCCATTTTACAAATTTAAATATCAGTGCCTAGAAATTTAAGCAGTCATCTTGTATACAGAGTATTAAGTATTCACATTTAGGAATAATCTATCACATGCTCCCATGTTTCCATGTTGGAGCCTTTTTCAGTCTTCCCAGTATCCCAGCATGTTAGATCTTTAATAATCACCATTAACTTTTTGATCTCAACTTCCATTATGCCATGTTTTTCCTGTATAGGGAAAGGTAAGTACGTTCTTAACACTGCACCGTGTATTGGTCCTATTTCTTCTTTGGTCCTGTTTCATTGGTCTGGTTTGCTTTTTTGCCTGCTGTAACACCAGAGTTAGATATGCAACTACACTTTAAAACCATGTAAAACATATTTACTAATTGCACTCAACTTCATCTTATTTTTTAATCCTCATTTTCCATTTACCTTTCTTCATCTTTTTGTCTTTATTCACTTCATCAATTTCTATAAGCCCTTCCAAGGTTTTTAGAAGGTGACAGTAATAATTGTTAGACCTGGCCCTTGAAAATTATAGAAAAGAATCCAGACAGCCACTGTCATTGCAATATTTCCTAGATATCACTATGTTAAGCATTTTATTTAATCTGTTATTCCCATGTCTCCACTGAGCATAGATAACTTCTTCACAGCAATATCAGTTGATGAAAATGCACAGAAAGTAAGAGGATATTATTAACAAATTTCAAAAAGTACTGAGATCCCACCAAGTTGTTTCTCCTTGCATTTGTGTGTGTGTTTGATTCTGGTAAGTCCTAATCTACAGTTTTTTTTAAGAGCAGAAGCCAGCAGTTGCCTAAGGTCGATGTGTTAGGGTGTTTTTGGCACAGGCCTAGTTTCCTTGTCTTTTCGTACAATTTGAAGTAATAGTATCTTGGTAAATGGACCTTTTATGGAAGTTAAAAGCAAATGTATAAATTATCCTTTGAAATTGTTACATATTGAGAGAATGTGGCTGGATGATGATGAAATGTAGTTATTTCTACTTCTTGTCATAAAAGAACAAACTTATTTTGTATTCAGTTCCTGAGAAACTGAAATCAATCACATCTCCTTGAAAATGCCTATTTTTGAAAAAAAATTCAACTACTCGTCTTTATCTTCATTAGTGTTAGATTGCCATCTCTTTTCCCAAGGAGCACTTATCAAAGTTTGTAATTTAACTACCTTGCTTTAATGAAAAGAAAATGGAAGAATCAGCCATTTTTTTTTCCGTTGTAGTGTGGAGACAATCAATGATGGAAACTTCCACATTGTGGAACTACTTGCCTTGGATCAGAGTCTCTCTTTGTCCGTGGATGGTGGGAACCCCAAAATCATCACTAACTTGTCAAAGCAGTCCACTCTGAATTTTGACTCTCCACTCTATGTAGGAGGTAAGCTGTCTTCCAAATTCAGGTGGTCCTGAAACCCTGTGATTCTCATTATGGACGAATTCTGAAGTTTGTTAATGCCTAATATATCAGGATTTGTCATTGACCAATAGTGATCAATCATTGAAAGATGGATGGCAAAGACAGAACAGAAAGATCTCTAGGTGGGTGTTAAGGGATCATTTTATTATCCCATCTCTCTTTCTAACAAATGTGTCATCTGGGTAGAGAAAGACATTAATTAATATTTCTTTTGTGTCAATCACATATGCTAGGTGATTTATACATTATATAATTTAATCTTATATTTGATCTGGTCTATGGAAAAGGAAAGTTGGTTAGAGATTAAATCATACAATCAAGAAAATGATAAAACAAGCTTAATGCAAACTGGAAAGTAGATGACCCCACCCCAGCTCCCTTAAGGAGGCAAACCCTATCAGCTCAGTCAAATGTTACCATGCTGGAGCTTCTGCACTACCAGTTGCTAATTCATCTGGATGATAGGATAAGTATCACTGTAATCCAATGACTGACTGAATGAATGAATGAATGAACAAATTAAATGTACAAATTGTATTAGAATAACAATAAATAGTTCTGTTCCACTAAGACCTTAAGGTGAATGAACAAGAGAGAGGGTTGGAAAGGTAGGTTAGGACTTGAAATCATAGAGTGAAGACCCTGGGCTTTATTTTTAAGTGAAAAGAAGGCAGATGAGTGAATAAATGAGGGACAGAGATATAAGCAAAGTTCTGTAGGAGCCCATCGGAGAGGACCCGCAAAGGAGAGAGGTCCCAATCTTGCCTCTATTTGGAGGAACAAATATAAACTGGAGGCATAGAGTTTCAAAATTCTGGTAAAGGAGCCAGAAAGCAGTTAATGCTGAATTGAGAAGCATTGGATTAAATTACATTGAATTTATTTGAATTGACTGATTAACTTATTTTACAGATAAATAAGTAAAAGCTTTGAACAGGTTAGTGTACAATTTCATCACCATGACAGATATTTTCATGAGTTTCACATCATTTTCTGAAAAATAATAACCTATGCTACACCATTATCTCAACCACTCAAAGCCTTCTTTTCAGTGCCTCTAAGCCTAGGACATTTCTGTTTTAATAATTTCAGTAGTAGACAGTCTTAACATTTTGACAGAGTTGGATTGTTTTAGAAACAGTTGGAAGTCTTTGGTTCAATTCTGTAAATATTTATTGAGTACTTACCACATACTAGGAACTAAGTAAATGGATACATAAAGGATATAAAGTTGAAGAAGAAATGTCCATTCTACTCCCTAAAAAGTCAAGAATGCAGAGGCATCTTCAAGTAACTATAATGCATTATAAATAAAGTATTGCATAGTGAGTCTACTCAGCAAGTTGACTTATCTGATTGCTTCATGGGAATCACAGCAGAGAGTCTCATTAAAAACCAAATCTTCCATTCTTGCCAGCACTCCAGTTTACAGGGTTGCTTTTGGATGGGTGAAGCCAAGTCACAAGCATACCTGTGATTTGAGAGAAAATAAATTATATTTATTGAGCACATGCTATGTGCCCAACACAGTGCTCCTTTTATAGCCTTAATGTGCAGAGATCTTAGGAAATAGGTATGATTTTCTCTGTTTTGTAGTCCCTGAAGAGCAATCTCAAGGATTTTATATAACTTGTCCAAGTACACAAAGCTATTATGTAGTAGACACCTCATTTAAGTCCAGATCTGGCTGACTCCAAAGCCACCTGCATTGCCATTCACTTCTTCACATAAAGCAGAAAGGGAACAAATCTAAGTGCTGTGGCCTTTTGTTGTTTATTTATGGACTTTTCGTTCACTTGATTTTATTATGTTTTCATTAGAATCCACTTCATTAAATCTTTCGAAGCCCCTTTAGAATATAGTATAAAACCAATTTTAAAAATACAGGGGGCTGGGCATGGTGGCTCACACCCATAATCTCAGCACTTTGGGAGGCTGAGGAGGGAGGATCATGTGAGCCCAGGAGGTTGAGGCTGCAGTGAAACATAATTGCACCATTGCAGTACAGCCTGGGAAACAGAGCCAGACACTATCTCAAGAAAAAAAAAAAAAAAAAGAATACAGGATGAGACTGTTTAAGTCAGAACATTCCCCCGCCCCCCGCCAAAAAAAAAAAAGAGGAAAAAAAGTTTTAAATTTCAAAATGAAAAGTATTTATCCTTCTGAAGGTAGAGGGCCTGGAAAAATTCAAACAACACCTCTGTCCACCCAGGCCTCAAGGAAACCACTTTCATCCCAGTCCCACTGCCAGAGATCACCATGGGCCCACTTTCTCCCCGCTTAGAGTGCAGTCTCAAGGGTGACTCAGATTTTCAAACCACAAGGAACCTGTAAGACCACAGCCTTGAATGCTGTATGGCAAAGGCATGAGAAGCAGAGGGAGAAAAGGAGAGCAAGGTAACTAAGTTCTCTTTAAAAATAGTGACTACAGCTGGGCGCGGTGGCTCACGTCCGTAATCCCAGCACTTTGGGAGGCCAAGGCGGGTGGATCACGAGGTCAGGAGATTGAGACCATCCTGGTTAACACGGTGAAACCCCGTCTCTACTAAAAACTACAAAAAATTAGCCGGGCATGGTGGCGGGCACCTTTGGTCCCAGCTACTTGGGAGACTGAGGCAGGAGAATGGCATGAACCCAGTAGGTGGAGCTTGCAGTGAGCCGAGATCGCACCACTGCACTCCAGCCTGGGCGACAATGGGAGACTCCATCTCCAAAAAAAAAAAAAAAAAATTATGTCTACAGTGAGATACCATCTCACACCAGTGAGAATGGCTATTATTAAAAAGTCAAAAAATAACAGCTGCTGGCAAGGTTGTGGAGAAAAAGGAACACTTATATACTGTTGGCAGAAATGTAAATTAATTCAGCCATTGTGGAAAACAGTGTGGCGATTCCTAAAGACCTAAAAATAGAGCTACCATTCAACCCAGCAATCCCATGACTGAGCATATAGTCAAAGGAATCTCAATCATTCTATCATAAAGACACAGGCATGCATATGTTCATTGTAGCACCATTCATAATGGCAAAGACATGGAATCAACCTAAATGCCCATCAATTCTAGACTGGATAAAGAAAATGTGGTACATATAAACCATGAAATACCATGCAGCCACAAAAAAAGAATTGAGCTGATGCCCTTGGCAGGAACATGGATGGAGCTGGAGGCCATTATCCTTAGCAAACTAACACAGGAACAGAAAAACACATACTGCATGTTTCTCACCTATAAGTGGGAGCCAAATGATGAGAACACATGGACACAGAGAGGGGAACAACACACACTGGGGCCTAGCAGAGGGCGGAGGGTGGGAGGAGGGAGAGGACCAGGAAAAATCACTAATGGACATTAAGCTTAATTCCTGGGTGCTGAAATAGTCCGTACAACAAACCCCTCGTGACATGAGTTTACCCGGTTTGTTATACGGTAACACATAATACACTGTTGGTGGGGAGTGTAACCCTCATATACCCCTGAACTTAAGATAAAAGTTAAAAAACAAAACAAAAAACAAAAAAAACCAGGGATGCTGCCCAAGGAGGACTGCCTGAAGGTGTTGCCTCAGCATCTGGGGAGAGGCAGCCCCTTGGTGAGTATATGGAGAGGCAGCTTAACCTACCCTTGGGTTATCAACTACCCATGATATGTGCTTTACTTGACACAATTTTTTTTGTTTTTCTGAGATGGAGTTTCGCTCTTGTTGCCCAGGCTGGAGCGCAATGGCACGATTTTGGCTCACTGCAACCTCCACCTCCCGAGTTCAAGTGATTCTCCTGCCTCAGCCTCCCAAGTAGCTGGGATTACAGGCGCCTGCTACCACGCCCAGCTAATTTTTTATACTTTTAGTAGAGACGGGGTTTCATCATGTTTGGCAGGCTGGTCTCAAACTCCTGACCTCATGTGATCCACCCACCTCGGCCTCCCAAAGTGCTGGGATTACATGCATGAGCCACTGCGCTCGGCCGACACAAAATAATTTAGTTTTCATGTTTTTCTGTCTGTAGTCCAACTGAACCCTTATTACCTAATGGGGAAGAAAATCAAAAAATAAGCCCCATGCATGGAAATCCATGTATATGCAACAAATGTCCTCCTTGTCCTGCCACGGGACAGAGGACCTAGGCTTGATACTTGGTCTCTTTATTGCCATTTTGAGGCCTGTAGAAATAAGGCTAAAAGCTGTTTGCTAAGTTATCTGTTGGTTGATTGATTGATTGGCTGATTGATTGAATGATTTCCAACTAGGCCAATAGCATAGAGGAAAGGCTTAAAAAAAATCATGGATCTGGCCAGGCGTGGTGGCTCATACCTGTAATCCCAGCACTTTGGGAGGCTGAGGCGGGTGGATCACCTGAGGTCGGGAGTTGGAGACCAGCCTGACCAATATGGAGAAACCTGGTCTCTACTAAAATTACAAAATAAGCCAGGCGTGGTGGTGCATGCCTGTAATCCCAGCTTCTCGGGAGGCTGAAGCAGGAGAATCGCTTGAACCCAGGAGGCGGGGGTTGCAGTGAGCCAAGGCTGCGTTCATGGCACTCCAGCCTGGGCGACAAGAGTGAAACTCCGTCTCAAAAAAAAAAAAAAAAAATTCATGTATCTACTTCTGTTTGTCAATGAAGACCTAGCACGTGAAAAGATTGACTCAGAATAATTCCTGATTTTATGATAGCCTATTGAAACTCAAATATACGTATGATGTCTAAACATTTTCATTTACAAATTACTCTAGTCAAAGCTGGGCTTTTTCTAATTGTTAGCTTTGGAACAAAAAGGAACAGATTTACTAATTGTTTCTCTGTGCTGTGGAACTTTGCCAATCTGTATTTATTCTTGACATGTGCACATATGTGTGTTGTGCCTATATCAAAATGAGCTATTAAAAATAGTTTTGGAAGAAGTTCATTTTTAACCACTGAAAAAAGGACCATAAATATGTGGTCATTAAAGTCCTTATGATGGATGGATATGGTTAAATTAGAAAAACTTACCCCAGGGCAAGGAATTTTCTGTCACCAGTCCTTTCCTGGAAATGGTAAGTTTCATCCTTTTGACCCTGCTCTAGAAAGCAACCCACAGCGAGATGGACATAGACTAAAGGCCTGTACTCACAGAACTTCACAGCCAAGAGACTTCATTCAATACCTGTCAGAGTGTAACCATGGACTACCCAAATCACCTGAGCTGCATGTAGATATTTAGATTTCTGCACCTCTCCTGTTCCTACAGGATCAGAACCTCAGAAGGAGGGGAGAGAGGAGCCTGTAAAGCTGCCTTTGAGCATGCACTGCTGTTGGTTCTTATGTATGACAAACTTAGGACAACTTCTCTGGTCCATATGCTCATGGTGTATAGATGACAATACTAAGCCCCAGAGAGAAGAAATAACTGCTCCAAGTGCACGCAGAACCAGAAATCCTTACCGTATAACCTAGTGGTTTCGTACACCTAGCTGTCTGACTGATGCCTGCTTTGAATGCCAATGGATGAGTCATTTCCTATGAATGGGAAAGGAGAAGGTGGCATAAGTTCAGACCCAGAGTGTGCTACAGTTCTTGGTCTTTAGAACCAACAGACCCCCTGAAGAGTGAGAAACTGGGTCTTCCTCAGCCTAGAACTTCCAGCCAGTAGTCCAGAGTTTAGGCACAGCTAAAGCATAATTACGGGGTTGTGGGGATGTGGTGGTATAGCCAGCACTCTGAAAGCTTCCAGCACCCTCCCCCCTTCCCTGGATGGGTGCCTTCTGCAGGATGCCTTCCACGGACTAAGGGTCTGGCTTAGGCCATGGAAAGATTCTTCCGTTTTGCCAAAATGAGTGTTACCAGATAACTGTCACTAGTGGAATGTATATATACAAAGATTGCAAATACTCTGTTTTTGAAGGGATTTCATTTTTATTTCTGATTTCTTGGACTATGAAGTCTTCACTCTTAATTAGCAAGAAAGAAAAAATGATGTGAATGAGGTGCTGTCCTGAAAAGAATCAGGAGTGAGTTTTTAGGCATTGACATCATTGACCAAGCTTAGGGACGTTGCCAGGAGTGAGCTGAATTAGTTGCTAACTTCGAATGTGGGAGGGCTGGGGTGAATGGTCACTGTGAACCCCAGCTGTCAGCCCCTGAAACCTGGTGGACCTAACCCTGACTCCAGAGATAGAGGAGTTCTTCTCATCAGCCTAACTCTAACCTGAACTCACTGGGTCACCTTGAGCATGTCACCAGGGCTTTCTGAGCCCTAGCCCCTTGTCTTTAAGATAAGGGGTAGAATTAGAGCACCATAAACTGAGCTTTATGGAGCTCCAGACTTCCAGGAGTGTGTGCCTGGAGGTGGAGGGTGGAGGACAAACAGAGAGGGAACATTCCCTTCCCCCAGTCTTGCCTTTAAGGACAGTAGCTCTGCCTCTAGGTTTTATATATTTGTGTACATGTAAAGTTTTCTTTGAAGCAAATTTTAAAGATTAACCACCAATCAACTAGGTATTTTATTCTAGTTGTGGATTAGAATTTCCTGGAGCATCTTCCAATACAGAACAAAACAAAAACACACATCTCTACATCTCTTCTCCACTTCACTTCCCTACCACCCTGCCCAAATATCCTGCCATAATAGGTTGGCAGTGAGGTCCCAAGCATCAGTATTTCTGAGTAGCAAATGGCTCAGAAATCCCCAGAGAGCCTGACCTCTGACCTGGTGTTCCTCCCCAGGCATGCCAGGGAAGAGTAACGTGGCATCTCTGCGCCAGGCCCCTGGGCAGAACGGAACCAGCTTCCACGGCTGCATCCGGAACCTTTACATCAACAGTGAGCTGCAGGACTTCCAGAAGGTGCCGATGCAAACAGGCATTTTGCCTGGCTGTGAGCCATGCCACAAGAAGGTGTGTGCCCATGGCACATGCCAGCCCAGCAGCCAGGCAGGCTTCACCTGCGAGTGCCAGGAAGGATGGATGGGGCCCCTCTGTGACCAACGGACCAATGACCCTTGCCTTGGAAATAAGTAAGTTCCTGCTGCTTGGGAGTTGAGCACACACCTGAAAGCCTCAAAGCCAAACCAAAGGAAGGAAGGAAAGAAGAAGGGGAGGGGACGGGAAGGGAGGGGAGGGGAGGGGAGGTTCGTTAGGCATTAGCACTCTGTCCCTCATATTTTCTCAATCATCCTCCATTCTTATATCACCTCCGTTCATTCTTACCTCCTCTTCTGAATGCATTCCCACTCCTGTGTTCCTCCTCCCTGTAGATGCGTACATGGCACCTGCTTGCCCATCAATGCGTTCTCCTACAGCTGTAAGTGCTTGGAGGGCCATGGAGGTGTCCTCTGTGATGAAGAGGAGGATCTGTTTAACCCATGCCAGGCGATCAAGTGCAAGCATGGGAAGTGCAGGCTTTCAGGTCTGGGGCAGCCCTACTGTGAATGCAGCAGTGGATACACGGGGGACAGCTGTGATCGAGGTAAGCCAGCCCCACTGGGCACCTCATTCTCTTGGCAAAGCAAGAGGGGTCCCATGTCTTTGAAAAGAGAGGGAGAAAAAGTGAAAAAAAAAAAAAAAACAGGAGCAACAGAGACAGAGAGAGGGGAGTGACAGGAGAGAATACTAGGTCTTCTCACTACTTGCAGTTGCTGCTATTGATTTATTTTCAAGTATTTTGAAGGCACCAGCTGTGAAATGACCTTAAACCTCCACCGCAAGATTGTATACAGCCTTCAGATGCTTCTCACAAGTTGATTTGTTGTAAAAGAAATGCTCCTTTTTACCTGATGGAGAAGCACATTTACTTTACTCCTGTCTTACCTTTACCGGCTGTTCTCATCCGTATATATTATTAATTCATCTTCTGGCACAGAGAAGATGGTCCTCTTAATTCTGCTCTAGTTTTAGTACAAAATGACCTTTGGCCTTAGAATCGACTGATTTATCACAGCAAATCATGTGGGTGAGAGGAACGGAAACAGGCTGACTTCTTAGTTCACCTTCCTCCTTCTCCTTTGTCTGCGTGATCAGAGCTCGCCTGGCCTCCAGCTGGCACGGATTTTGTTTTGTGTGTCCAAGGGACGAGACAAGAGGAACGTGCCCATGGAAGCTTTTAGCAGATGTCTCTTTTTTGAACTACATACTTCATACTGGGGTAATTTATGAAGTTAATGGAATGTTACTTGTATTAAGTAACAGATTGGATAATATTAAACTCCAGGTCTAATAAATAAAATGGCATACTCTCTGAAACTGCTCCCTGTGGTAAACAAAACCAGCTGTTAGTAGTGTAAAAACAGAAGATGTGTACTTTTTTTCCTTTTTTGCAATGAAAGAAAATATTTAGGAATCCAATTTTCTTGTCACTGCAATAGCATTGTATTTATACTCTACATAATAGCATTCACTTTGCTGAAAATAGAGACTAAAAAGAAGTATTTTTCAAAGAATAGGAGGCCGTGCCACCAGCTAATAATATGTAAAGCAAGTTACAAAGGGGAAGCAAAGGCTTCTGAATTAAGTTGTGGATTCACAGTCACTCTGCATGACTTACAGTGACTGTTCTTAAAATGCTTGTGCTTTTTGTTCTTTTCTAGAAATCTCTTGTCGAGGGGAAAGGATAAGAGATTATTACCAAAAGCAGCAGGGCTATGCTGCTTGCCAAACAACCAAGAAGGTGTCCCGATTAGAGTGCAGAGGTGGGTGTGCAGGAGGGCAGTGCTGTGGACCGCTGAGGAGCAAGCGGCGGAAATACTCTTTCGAATGCACTGACGGCTCCTCCTTTGTGGACGAGGTTGAGAAAGTGGTGAAGTGCGGCTGTACGAGGTGTGTGTCCTAAACACACTCCCGGCAGCTCTGTCTTTGGAAAAGGTTGTATACTTCTTGACCGTGTGGGACTAATGAATGCTTCATAGTGGAAATATTTGAAATATATTGTAAAATACAGAACAGACTTATTTTTATTATGAGAATAAAGACTTTTTTTCTGCATTTGGAAAAAAAAAAAAAGAAATGCTTGAACTAAAGCTTCCCCTATGCTGGAGAAGTATGAAGAAAGATATACCTGGAGACATTAGAACAGCGATGGGAACCATTGCAACTCGGGTCCATCTTTGTAACATGCTGAAGACAAGCAGAAGCACATGCACGAGGGACAGAGGAGCTACTGTGCACTGCTGTGAAATTGCCCAGAGCATAAAACCTGTGTACCCTCCTTCACATCAACCAAGTTCACTAGGACATACCAAGCACATGCGTGTGAATGAGGATGCAAGGCAAGAGAATGGAACTCCAGAATTCACAGATAGAACAAATGGATGAGAAATATTTCATGCAAAATATAAAGTGTCCTGAGGATCTGGGTTCCATTTACGAGAGGAAATGAAAGTGCTAAAATAAATTTTATCTTCCTTTTAAATGTCAGCATGTCAGCAGAAGCAGCACACAAAAGTCTTTACCATTTTCCAGTATTAATTTTTTTGTAATATAAATGATAAAGGAGATGATAAAGAACCAATAGATTATTGATAAATAAATTAGTAATAATATGATTTTTTGTTTCTATGAGTTCTAAACAGCCCTATACAGTATTCAGTTTCCATGAGAAATATTTATTGTATCAAAGTACATTGTACTTAACATTTTAGGCCATCCTTTTACTGTTCCTTGATGCTTTAATATATATTAATTTATAATTATCCTGATATTTTTGTACATTTTTCAAACTTAAAAATCAGGATTTTTTTTTTTTTTTTTTTGGCAATAGTACTAACATAGGGTTTTATCTTGGGATACATATGTATTGGTCTGTTTGTTGACCTTGACATCTGATCACTGATGTCAATGACCTACTGGCCTCATTCAGGACACCTGCAGAGAGTATGCAAAGTCCGAGAGAGGAAAACAGAAATCTGTATGTGAGATGGTCATTGTACAGAAAGAAGTGGCCCCTCTGCAACATGTCCTCACAGAAACGAAATGGTGTGTAGCAATCAACACTAGAAAGTAGACCTTTTGCAAATTAATATGTCCTTGACCTTTTTTGCCCTTTTGTGGGGGTGAGGTGGGGATAAAAAGACTGTCATATCAAGAACTGTGACTTTTCTTTCCCTCAAACAATAAAACTCCTTTATTATCTTAATGCTCCCATGTTAACATGTTTGCTGCTAAATTACAATGTAGAATTGATAATGGTTTATAGTGAACTGTGCTCTTCCCTCATTAAAATCCCAGGGTGCCCTGTAAAGATGCAGATGTTTCTTCCTGAAAACTTCTTTTTTTACAAAGAAAATTAGATGTACATGTATAATTCAGTGTGCTTTGTCTTTCTCCAGATTAATATCGGTTACACTGCTGATGTTTGTAAATTAAACAGATATTTACTTCATTAACAGCTTGGTGGTGTTCTTAGAAATTGCACAATAGGCCACTCCTTAAGAATTTTTTAATCAAAATGATACAGAAAGAATAAGGAAGAAAACCTATACCTTTTTGTTGCCAAAAAATTGGTTTGAGATTCACACATCGTTATTTCTGGGGACTGATATTGGAATGGCCACATAAGAGAGATGGATATAAAAACATACTATTTGCCTGAAAAAAGATATTCAATTATTTTTTTCAAAAAAATTGTAAGATGAAGTCTATCTAAGATGAAATGTTTTTGTTTTTGTTCTTCTTTGTTTCTCCCTCCCCAATAGAACCAGGTAGAAAACAATAAAAGACAGCCACTCTTAGGCCAGGGTTGGTAACATGAAGGTGTACTATCCAGGACAGAGAAACAACATTGTCTGGGAGGAATAATCCTCATCAACCATGATAAGATTTTGTCTTTGTTTCCCTGTAAACAAACAAACAAACAAAAAACCATGCACACACACACACACATACACACTCGGTCTCTCTCACAGACACAGACATCCAACTATTTATTCATTCTTGTTTAAAATGTCTAAATTGTAATTATAGAGACAATTGTATAGCTATTGTAAATTATTTATTCCCATTGATTACTTCTTTTTTCCAAGGGGTTTAAATCATTCATTAAACAAAGAAACATCTGTGACGATGACGTGATTTAGATTTGTGTTTACAGACATGTATTATCCATATAGCCACTGTTTTTTGAGTGCTTCTTATATGCCAGGTACTATGCTCAGGGTTTTCTATGAAATATCTCATTAATGTATATAAAACCATGAGATTATTGCACTTTCTGCTTTATACATGCATACAGGGCTCATAAACAGAGGAGCTGGATCCACCTCAGTCAGGTGTTCCAGACCACATTGTCTGTAATTAGGGCAACAGCTTAGTAACTACTACCTCTACTTGGGGACTTTCAAGCCTTGGAGCCTTATTCCACAGCCCAATAATTTTTCCTTCTTGATTATGTAGTTTTAAGTAATCCAGACTAGAGACTTTACATTTGCTATTTCATTTTTTAAGGAAAACAAAAGTGAAACCTTCATAGCTTCCAGACTGTGTTTTTTCTCCTTCCTGCTTATAAAGACACAAAATAAAATGACGGCTGTCTGAGATATGAGCTGAATTAGCAAGTTTCTTAGGGGATTGTTTGCCTTGAGATGTCACTGTCTCCTGTGCATGCACCCTTTAAAAATAAATCCAATAGCCAAGTAATTACTAACAAACAAGATAAATTTAGGGTAATTATTCATATTATAAAAGGTTCCTTACTTAGAAGGTCTTGCCAATAGGATTACTTTAAATAGGAAACTATTCCAGAGCATATCCAACAGAACTCTATGCATTAAAAACAAAAAAAAAATCATGCATTTTAGAATCAAAGCTATACATGGAATAATGTGCATTGTAATATGAAATGATAAAGTGGCTAAACATCTCTAATGTATTTTAATTTAAATTCTCACATGAATGAGGCACCATCAGGAAATGCCATAGGGGTCTGACATGTGTTTGATTTAAAATGTGTTCATTGAATAACAACCATCTCAGTCATCTTTGGAATTTGTTTTCACTACAGATTTTCTGAAATTATTTCTAAGCAATATAGATGAACCCCTATTTTTAAATTGCTCTGAGAGTTTTCTTTTTTGGGTGATTTGCTTTGTCAGCAGCAATTCTTTCTGGAGAAATGATCAAAAGACTGTTGAAATTGATTCAGTCCTTAAAGACCTCAAGCTTTATGGTGTCATCTACCTCATGGAGTGACCATTATTTCAAAAATAACATTCACAAGAAAGGAAGCTATACAAGGATAGGAAGCTTCATACAAAGTTTTACATACTTATCTTCATTTTTATTCCTATGTATTCAAAAATCAGTTAACAACACATCTATATTTCCTATCTCCTATCATGTGCAAGAAGCTACACTAAACTTTTGATATACAGTTTCACATGAAACAGACATCACTTCAGCCATTTTAGAGCTTACACTCTATGCAGTTGGGGTTGAAGTTGAAGTGGATAATAGATATTATACAAATGGTCACACTGATACATAATTCCAGATTGTGATAAGCATCCTGAAGGAAGTTATGTGATATTAGAAGAAAGAATAGCAGAGGAATCCAATCAAATAAGTGTAAGGAGGTTTGGGAATGCCTCTCTGAGGAAGTGACATTTAAACCAAGTCATGAAGGATCAAATAGAGTCTAGGATGGAGGCAGATGGAAGCTTGTGTAAGGATAGGGGTTGGGAGTTCACGCAGAGAGAGCAGCCTGTGTGTAGGCCAGAGGAGGAAAATAACTCATGTGGTCAAGGAAACAAAAGAACTTAGTGTGGCTGCTGTGAGGTATACAATTGCTTCTTGTGTGTAACACAACAGTGACCATTTTCAGGATTTCTTAATTCACCATATAGTCCATATTTTTCTTCTGAGCATCTGTTTGCAGTGAGGTCTCAAAACATCAACAAGAAGGGATTTCCATTTTAAAATAGCAGCTATTTGGCTGTGCCTAATGTAGCTCCTCTAAACTTCCAAATGAAATATCTCTGAGGATATGGAAAATAGAAATACTTGAAGTAGCACTGAAAATTAAGAATAGTAGTGAATATTCATGAACTGAGGGCTGATAAAGCTGGATTGAAAAAAAACAACCGCTGGCCAATGCATGCTTTGAATCTCATGTGCATTTTTCCTGCCCTGTTCATACCAAGACCAGAGACTTGGGAAATGAATCAACTGGAAACGTAGCAGAAAATATCTGTTCATTAGGTGTCAATTAAAATCTGAGTTTTAGTGACATCATGGTGACTGCATTGGGCTGGGAAACCCTAGCCTTCTGACCTCCAACCCACCCTCTGCTCTGTTGAGTGAAAACAATGTATTCCTCTAGATTATTTGAAAACATATCTCTAACTCCCACTGTAAGATAAAATCCAAACTCTTTAGTTTGGTATTCCAGATTACTCACATAGTGGTCTCAAATCGGCCTTCAGTATGTGCTCTTAGATTGACAAATGCTAGGGAGGGATATTGGAAAGCAATTTCTGGGCTGGAATGGCCACCTTGTGGATATGAGATTCATCCACATACAGGTGGTAGTTGAAGCTAAGAAAACGGGCAAGCTAAATTAGAAACACAACAGAATGAACTTAACCAGAAAACTAACCCCACTTTAGATGATCCATTTCTGGAATGAAGCAGTCCCAGAATAGAGAGAAAGAAAGGGGAAGAAAGAAAGAAAGCAATGAGGTAGTCACTGGCTAGTCGTGGGTAAGGAATAATAGACTGTTCTCTTAATAAGTCTGATAACAAAAGAAGAAGAGGGAATGGCAGCTGGAAAAGTTGGTGAGGTCACAGGGTTGTCATTCAATGAATCAATAAGTATTGGTTTATCACCTATAGTAACAGCTTGTAAAGAAGTGGGGCAAGCACTTGAGGTATACTCTGGGGACCATCCTGAGAACCAGGCTGGAAGAGCAAGACCAACCTAAGTCATCCCTTACATAAGCTTGTTGATCAGTGGATGTAAAAAGCAGAAGCCAGATACAGTGAGGTTGAGGAAACAGGATGCCTGAGAGTAAGAAGTCACAAAATCACTCAGAGTGAAGAGAGCAATGTATATGCAAGAATTCTTTACCAAATGGAGTTCTCCATTGCCTTCCTCCTCTTCCCCTCACAAAGGGGATACAGCATTTCAAGGGCTTTGTCCAGAGATATTAAATTCAGCTGAGCAGAGGCATCACCATCGGCATTGGGAATTAGCTTTGTCATTGTGTCAATAAGTGGCCAGCTGAATTTAGATTCAAAAGAGAATCAAAAATTAAAAAGCACACACAAGAAAACAGGGAGTGTAAGAAACAGCCACAGAGACGATTGTCTAGAAAATCTGCTATGATTAATCTAACTCTCCCTTCTTGAAGTGGCTAGAATTATTTTCATTGTTTTTTTCACATAGATGGTTGCAGAGAGATTAAGTGACTTGCCCAAGGTCGCACAATCCAGGTCTCCTGACTCCAGCCATAATGCAATATTGATTTCACTGGAATTGAAAGGCAAACTCTATCAACAACCCCGTGAGATAATGCTGGAGGAGTAAGTATTTCTCAAGGGGAGTTATTTTGGTTTGAAAAAATGCCCATGAATAGCACTCACTTTCCCAATAAAAATGCATTTTTTAAATATCTCCCACTGGGTAAAGGAAAATAAATAGTGCTTTTTAGTGAAATTTGCTTCCAAAAAATGAAAACGGAGGGATGGGAATGTACATGGTTGCTTCAGTATTTTTGGTCATTTTTCTGGTCAGATATGCCTTGATTGAGTGGGCTGACCTGGAGCAATTGAATTCCATTGCTAAGATAGTCACAAGGACAGGACCAAACATGCCGTAGTCCAGTTATATCAGCTGCAAAGTCACATTCTTGGACTCAATCCAGCTCACAGATATTCTTTGTAAGGAAAAAAGAGACAAAGATAAAAAAAAAAAAAGCTATAGAGGAATTTCTATTTGAATGAGCATGTTTGATAATGTCCCTTAACCATAATCTCAGGGGCCTGTGTTATCTCAGAAAGGAGAAAGATGAACATCTTTGAATTGCCTAATCTTGCACTTGCTTGATCCTGCTTGCTCTCTGCTCACAATATTACCATTCAATTACCTCTACCACTTTCAATTACATCTTACCTTCAATTACATCTCTACATTGATTTTTTTCTTCCTATTATTTCTGCGTTAGCCACAATTCTCCTCTGATGTTTGTCAACTCTTTTTCAGAGCTCTGAATGAGCAGGAACACATTTCTGAATGACACGTACAATACCCTGTTTGATTGGGAAATAAATCACTTATCATTTGGCAAAAAAGCACCTGCTGGTCTAACAGTTCAGTAAAGGAAGTAGAAATCATTATATCTCTGTTTCCTCATTTAAACTTGTTTTCCTTTTTTCCCTTTTCTTGTAAATGCTTCCATATTTTAGAAAATTGACACACAATTGTACCAATAGAAAAGACAGTTTGAGAATGAGGAAGTGCAGTATAGCAATTCACATCCTGCTCTTTCCCAACTGAGCACACCCAGGAGGCACGAGACCCAGGCAGCGCAGCGGAGTCAAACCTAGGGCTGATCCTCTAGACCCTGATGTATACACATACACAAACATGCAGAGACACACACACATACACATAGGAATGTGGAATAATGTAGAAATAAAGGAAAAAAATTAAGTCACTCAAAGAATTGACTGATTTCCAAATCTAAAAGGGTAATAGTTACAGCTTTGTGTAGTACTCTCATCTCCTTCACTTGAATTCTATTCCTTTTAAAAGCAGAATGTCAGTACACAGAAAACCAGTTTCAGTATGGCACCTGACCAGTGGGTCCATAATGGGAAAAACATCTTTGGCCTAAGAACACTGGGGGAGTTACCTTTCCAGGTTCCTTTTCTCACCCCAGGTTAGGTCTTACTTCTTTTACATTACAATGTAATAGAAGTGTGTATCCACCCCATTTCTCAGGAGACACTAGCATGCCCTAGACAGTCTTCTATGGACACTGTGATATATCTGCCAGGAAAACATCAGGACCAAAGGACTTATCCTGCCAGCTTCTGGGGCCTCTCCCAGTGGACAGTCCTCAGCTCTCGGCCAACTGTGGAATTACCTGGCTGAAGTAAAATCTTGCCCAACGTCTTGCCCAATATCATACACCTTTCCTAGGGCAGTCTGATGCAGGGATATAAAGATCTGACCCCTCTCCCTAGTTCAGGACATTAATGAAGGGCTATCCCAGTTCACAGGTCCTCGTGGGATGAGCTGAAACCTTCTTTAACACAGCATCACAGCACAACTTTTCCTTCTGCCCAAGCCTGCTTCTTTTCCTTCCATCCACAGATGGTAACCTTTAGAGCACTCCCTCATAAACCTCATGTACGCAGCATCAGTGTCCGAGGGAACACACCTGGAATCCACCTGTCTCTGAGTTACATAGAGAGCAGGAGACTGCAGTGAAGAAATTAGCTGTCCCTCTGAGATTCAGAACGCAGCAAACTTATACCTCACAGGGAATTTGGGGACTTAATGGTAACATTTCTAAAATAAAATGTGATGACCAGGTGGCAGCCTCTTTGGATGAGACTGTGAGCCCTGAATATCTGAGACATGCTCAGTTATTTTAGAAAGTTTATTTTGCCAAGGTTGAGGACACACCCCTGTGACACAGCCTCAGGAGGTGTGCCCAGGGAGGTCAGAGAACAGCTGGGTTTTATACATTTTGGGGAGACATGAGACATCAATCAACATATGTAATATGAACATTGGTTGAGCCCAGAAAGGCAGGACAACTCGAAGTGGAAAGGGGGGCTTCCAGGTCATAGGTAGATAAGAGACAAATGATTGCATTCTTTTGAGTTTCTGATTAGCCTCTGCAAAAGAGGCAATCAGATATGTATTTATCTCAATGCACAGAGGGGTGACTTTGAATAGAATGGGAAGCAGGTTTGCCTTAAACAGTTCCCAGCAAGACTTTTCCCTGTAGCTTGGTGATTTGGGGGCCCCGAGATTTATTGTCCTTTCATATTTCCCCCCTTTTTCTTTTTTAAAATATTTGGAGAAAACATTTTAGAAGAAGATGAGTCTCTGATCTCAGGTTTTGTCTGACTTTTCATGGCTAGGATAGTGTACTCCTAGACAAGTAGGTCCCAAGTTACTAGGAAAGATCATTTTTAGCAGGCTGTCTCATGTCCTATGAAGAGAAAATATGGGGAGAAAGGGAGAAAAACAACAAACAGAAGAACCACCCTGGAAAATTGATATAGGCCGCATTACACTGAAATCCACACATCAGTAGGCAAGTATGAAAGGGAATTATGTATGTAAATAGGTTGCTGTTATTTTCTTCTGAAGTTTAAGTTGTCCAGCTTCAGTTCACACAGCTTTAAGAAAGCACAGGTTACTTTTCAGTGACTCCAAATTAGGAAAATTGAGAGAGAAAAAGAAGGAAAAAATTGAAAACATGATTTTAAAGACTTATAGTCAAGAAAAATTAGAATTTGGTCCCAACTGTATAAAATAATAAAAATTGAAAAACATTAGGCAAGACTAGAATCTGACAACAGGTGTACTATAGTTTTTGAAACATAATTTTTCTCTCTCTAATTTCCCATTTTCACTCAAGACAAATCATGGTAGGACTAATTTGCTTTATTATACTTGGCCTAATTATTTGTCTACAGTGTAGCAAGAATAATTATTTTTATTATATAGGCTTTTAAAAATTGGCTTTGATGGAACTTTGTTCCATAGAAGGAATCTCAGACAGGACTTTTTAAAAGCTGAGCTGAGCCATGGGTTTGTACCATCAAATACCTATGAGTTGGGTGAATTCCTCTTATCTTGAGGTGCCAAGATAAACTTGGGGGCTCCTGGGCCTGTCAGAAAGTTACATTCTTTACTTATCACAGGTCAGGAACCCTGTACTGGGACTGTGCAGACAAGATATGAGGCCAGTTTTCCCAAAGGAGCTTTATTGGTTCCATAAGTCAAGTTTCATTCCTTAAAGGAAAGCACACCATTCCAGTCAAAGCCTTGGAAATAACCAGCTTGTCCGATTGTGTACTGTTGCAAATGAAAACAGATTCTTATTCTTAATAACTGTATTGCCCTAAGTTAAGAATTCTCACAAATAGTTTCCAAATTTTGGAGAAATCAGGTAGAGAGAAACTTAGTTTATAGTTTAGATTTGAAACAAAAATTGTAACAGTTCGTTCCCAAAACAAACCTTATTTCCCTGTGGACTAGACTGCCTAAAGCCAAAAGATTAGAAATTATGGTAATCTTACTAAATTCAAGATGTAGCTATTTTCATTAAACCATTATTAATGTCTTATTTATTTAAAATTACATAAGCAAGGATCATTCTGTTTTGGACTGGGTTTATAGTTTTGTAACATGCCAAATTTTAACACCTTATAGTATTTGGCAGTGATAAATATAAAATTTCTTGATCAATAAATGCAAACAAAAATGTATCCTGGCAATTCTTAAGACATTTCTAATATTACTTTACCAATAATTTAAAGCTAGCTTATTTATTCAATATTTTACTTGTTATGTAAACTAGAAAAAGCATTTGACTAGTCTTTTCTTTTTCCCTGATGAGGTATTTGATTCAAGCACTTTTATTTTCTTAAGCCAATGAATTAGAGCTCTTTTATATATTTTCAGTAGTGAAATATTGTGTACAGAACACATAAATACATAGATGTATTAGGTATGTTGATAGAAGTACATCTTATGGATTCACAAAGACCTTCTTGTTTTTCCTTAGACTTTCAAATTCTTGATAACATGCTTCATTACCCTAGGCAGTTGTCAGCTAAATAACCTAAACTTGCATATTAAAGGAAACAACTCAGGTGAAAATCAAATAGCAAAATTTACATCATAAGGTACAGAAAGAAAAAGTCTGTTGTGCTGGAGGGAAATTAAAATGAATTTAATTGCCAATTAAACATAAAATTATAGAAATTATAAAGGCCTTTTAAACATACACACACACACACACACACACACACACACACACACACACATACACACACACACATAGAGAAAGATCCTATAGTTTTTACTTCAGAACTTTAGGCATGAGATAAATATAAATTCACTGGCTTTCAAAAAAAGACCCTGCTGGACCCAAACAGTGGTTTTTATCTTAGTAGAAAAATAACAGCTGATTTGAAACAGACAGAAAAGAAACTAGAGAAAAAGGGAACTTAGGAACTCCACAGTCTGCAGGTCGACCTTAGGGCTCTTTTTCCTTAATGTAAATGTGCACAAAGACCATATTGCTTCTATTTTACATTAAACTCTGGCAAGTAGAGGTGCCATAAAACTTACAGAGTCATTGAAAGAGGGTCATTCTCCTTTTTTTTTTTTTCCTTATTCTTAGGTTGTTTCCCACTTTTTTTTTTTTTTTTTAAAGGAGGAACTGAGCTGTGGCCTGGGGTTTAAGTGTGGTGGATTGATATGTGCTGCTTTTGGGCAGGACTCCTCAGCATGTCACCACTGAGTTGTTTCCACTCTCTTACATGTTTCAGTTTCTCTCTCCAGAGGTCTATAACCTCTGAGAGGGATTAAAACGCTGAGTGATCAGCCCTTATATGCATTTCCTGGATTTCATGTACGTCCATGTGAAGAGACCACCAAACAGGCTTTGTGTGAGCAATAAAGCTTTTAATCACCTGGGTATAGGCGGGCTAAGTCCGAAAAGAGAGTCAGCAAAGGGAGATGGGGTGGGGCTGTTTTATAAGATTTGAGTAAGTAAAGGAAAATTACAGTCAAAGGGCGGTTGTTCTCTGGTGGGCAGGGATGGAGGTCACAAGGTGCTCAGTAGGGGAGCTTTTGAGCCAGAATGAGCCAGGAGAAGGAATTTCACAAGACAATGTCATCAGTTAAGGCAGGAACAGGCCATTTTCATTTCTTTTGTGGTGGAAAGTCATCAGTTAAGGCAGGAACCGGCCATCTTGATGTGTACATGCAGGTCACAGGGGATATGATGGCTTAGCTTGGGCTCAGAGGCCTGACATTCCTGTCTTCTTATATTAACAAGAAAAATAAAATGAAATAGTGGTAAAGTGTTGGGGCAGCGAAAATTTTGGGGGATGATATGGAGAGATAATGGGCGATGTTTCTCAGGGCTGCTTCGAGTGGGATTAGGGGTGGCGTGGGAACTTAGAGTGGGAGAGATTAAGCTGAAGGAAGATTTTGTGGTAAGGGGTGATATTGTGGGGTTGTTAGAAGAAACATTTGTCATTTAGAATTATTGGTGATGGCCTGGATACGGTTTTGTATGAATTGAAAAACTAAACGGAATAAGAGAGGAGAAAAACAGGTATTAAAGATCTAAGAATTGGGAGGACCCAGGACATCTAATTAGAGAGTGCCTAAGGAGATTCAGCATAGTCCTGCCAGCAAAGATTATTTATTTACTTCAAGAGTTAAGAGTGGCAGTTTGAGGATAGCACCAGGAGATATCAGCTGTGATGGCTTGGAGAAACAGTGTAAACCAGCAGTGTAAACAAGAGCAGGGCATGTATGAGTAGTTGAGAATGGTGAATAGGAGTACGACTAGACAGAAGATAGGATGACAAGATTTTTGGGGCACAGTCCAAGTTGGTCTGGTGTCTGGAATGAGACTGGGGCTTAATAAAAAGGAGCGTCCATACAGGAGCTCAAATGGGCTGTACCCTGTAGCATTCCAAGGACAGGCCTGAATTCTGAGAAGGGAAAGTTCTAAAAGTATTGTCCAGTCCTTTTTAAGTTGGTGGCCGAGCTTGTTGAGGTGTGTTTTTAAAAAACCATTTGTCCATTCTACCTTTCCTGAAGACTGAGGACCGTAAGGGATATAAAGGTTTCACTGAATACCAAGAGCCTGAAAAAATGCTTGGCTGATTTGAGTAATAAAGGCCGGTCTGCTATCGGACTGTATAGAGGTGGGAAGGCCAAACAGAGGAATTATGTCTGACAGTAGGGAAGAAATGACTGCAGTGGCCTTCTTAGACCCTGTAGGAGAGGCCTCTACCCATCCAGTGGAAGTGCCTACCCAGACTAAGAGATATTTTAGTTTTCTGACTCGGGGCATGTGAATAAAGTCAATTTGCCAGTCCTGGGCTGGGGCAAATCCCCGAGCTTGATGTGTAAGAAAGGGAGGAGGCCTGAACAATCCCTGAGGGGTAGTAGAATAGCAAATGGAACACTGAGAAGTGATCTCCTTCAAGATAGATTTCCAGGATGGAAAGGAAATGAGAGGTTCTAAGAGACGGGCTAGTGGCTTGTAACCTATGTGGAAGAGGTTATGAAATGATGACAGAATAGAATGGGACTGTGAGGCTGGAAGGAGATATTTTCTTTGGTCTAAGAACCATTTGCCTTGTGTGGGAAGAGATTGATAGGTGGAAGTTTCAGCAGGGGAGTAGGTGGGAGTGACTGATGTGAAGGAGAAAAACTGGCGTGACATACAGAAGTTGGAAAGCTAGCTGCTTGTCTAGCCATCTTATCAGCATAAGCGTTGTCTAGAGCAATGGGATCTGACGCCTTTTGATGGCCTTTGCAGTGAATGACTCCAGCTTCCTTTGGAACTAAAGCGGCCTTGAGCAGAGTTTTTATTAAAGAGGCATTAATAATGGAGGACCATTGCATAGTTAGGAAACCTCTTTCAGCCTATATAACAGCATGGTGGTGCAGAATATGAAAGGCATATTTAGAGTCACTATAAATATTGATGTGTAGTCCTTTTGCAAGAGTGAGGGCTTGAGTTAAGGCAACTAGTTTGGCTTGCTGAGAGGTAGTGGAGGGGGGGCAGAGCGATAGACTCAGTGATAGATGTGGAAGATACTCTAGCATAGCCTGCCTTTGCTGGTGAGTGGCGATTAGGCCTGGCAGAACTGCCATGAATAAACTAAATGTGATCAGGGTGAGGAACAGGAAAGAAGGAAATATGGGGAAATGGGGTGAATGTCAGGTGGATCAGAGAGATACAGTCATGAGGGTCAGGTGTGGTATCCAGAATAATGTGGGAGGCCAGATCGAAGTCCATGCCAGGAACAATGGTAATTGTGGGAGACTCAACAAAGAGTATGGCTGAAGGAGCGGGGGAGCAGAAAGTATATGTGTCAGGTATGAGGAAGAAAATAGATTTTGGAAGTTATGAGAAATGTAGAGAGTGAGTTGAGCATAGTTTGTGATTTTTAGGGCCTCTAAAAGTATTAAAGCAGCGGCAGCTGCTGCACGCAGACATGAGGGCTAGGCTGAAACAGTAAGGTCAAGTTGTTTGGACAGAAACGCTACAGGGTGCGGTCCCGGCTCTTTTGTAAGAATTCTGACCGCGCTAACCATGCCTAGGAAGGAAAGGAGTTGTTGTTTTGTAAGGGATTGAGGTTTGGGAGATTAGTCGGACACAATTGGCAGGGACAGCACGTGTGTTTTTACGAGAATTATGCAGAGAAAGGTAACAGGTGAGGATGAAATTTGAGCTTGACTGAAGTAATGGGGGCTGTCTGTGAAGCCTTGCGGCAGTACAGCCCAGGTAATTTGCTGAGCCTAATGGGTGTCAGGGTCAGTCCAAGTGAAAGCGAAGAGAGGCTGGGATGAAGGGTGCAAAGGAATGGTAAAGAAAGCAATGTTTGAGATCCAGAACAGAAGAATGGGTTGTAGAGGGAGGTATTGAGGATAGGAGAGTATATGGGTTTGGCACCACGGGGTGGATAGGCAAAACAATTTGGTTGATAAGGTGCAGATCCTGAACTAACCTGTAAGTCTTGTCTGGTTTTAGGACGGGTAAAATGGGGGAATTGTAAGGAGAGTTTATAGGCTTTAAAAGGCCATACTGTAACAGGTGAGTGATAACAGACTTTAATCCTTTTAAAGTGTGCTATGGGATGGGATATTGGCATTGAGCAAGGTAAGCGTAATTAGGTTTTAATGGGATGGTAAGGGGTGCATGATCGGTCGCTAAGGAGGGAGTAGAGGTGTCTTATACTTGTGGGTTAAGATGGGGAGATACAAGGGGAGGATATGAAGGAGGCTTTGAATGGGGGAAAAGGCGGCAATGAGGTGTGGCTGTAGCCCAGGAATAATCAGGGAAGCAGATAATTTAGTTAAAGTGTCTCAGCCTAATAAAGGAACTGGGCAGGTGGGGATAACTAAAAAGGAGTGCTTAAAAGAGTATTGTCTAAGTTGGCACCAGAGTTGGGGAGTTTTAAGAGGTTTAGAAGCCTGGCCATCAATACCCACAACAGTTACGGAGGCAAGGGAAACAGGCCCTTGAAAAGAAGGTAATGTGGAGTGGATAGCTTTCGTATTGATTAAGAAGGGGATGGACTTACCTTCCACTGTGAGAGTTACCTGAAACTCGGCATCCGTGATGGTTTAGGGGGCTTCCGAGGCGATCAGGCAGTGTCAGTCTTCAGCCGTTAAGCTGAGAAGATCTGGGAAGGAGTCAGTCAGAGAGCCTTGGGCCAGAGTCCCAGGAGCTCTTGGAGTGGCTGCCAGGTAAGTTGAACAGTCAGATTTTCAGGGGGGGTCCCACACAGATGGAATGTGGCTTAGGAAGAATCCTGGGCTGCAGGCATTCCTTTGCCCAGTAGCCAGATTTCCAGCACTTGTAGCAAGCTCCTGTGGGAGGAGGTTCTGGAGGAACACCTGGCTGCTGCGGTTCAGGCGTTTGGAAGTTCTTGTGTGCTGGAGATGTGGCTGGGGTTTGTCTCACAGTGGAGGCAAGGAATTGCAACTTTTTTCTATTATTGTACACCTTGAAGGCGAGGTTAATTAAATCCTGTTGTGGGGTTTGAGGGCCGGAATTTAATTTTTGGAGCTTTATTTAAAGTCGGGAGTGGATTGGGTAATAAAATGTATATTGAGAACAAGACGGCCTTTTGACTTTTTAGGGTCTAGGGCTGTAAAGCGTCTCAGGGTTGCTGCCAAATGAGCCATGAACTGGGCTGGGTTTTTCCTGTTTGATGAAAAAGAGCCTAAACGCTAACTGATCTGGGAGAGGTCAAATAAAGAAAAAGAAGCATTAACCTTGACTATGCCTTTAGCTCCAGCCACCTTTTTAAGAGGAAATTGCTGGGCAGGTGGGGGAGAGCTAGTTGAGGAAAGAAACTGTAAGCCAGACCGGGTGTGAAGAGGGGAGGTGATAAAAGGATTATAGGGTGGAGGAGGGGAGGCTGAGGAAGAATTGGGAGGGGAGATGTCAGATGGGTCTGTAGAAAAGGAAGATTAGAAAGACTCAGCGACGCTTGGGGTTGGGATTGAGGGGACAGGCGGGAGGGAAAGAAGGAAGATTTGGGATGAGTTGCATTGGGAACAGAGACTAGGAAGGGACTGATGTGTAAAAGAGTGCCTGGACATCAGGCACCTCAGACCATTTGCCCATTTTACAACAAGAGTTATCTAGATCTTGTAGGATGGAAAAAATGAAAGTGCCATTTTCTGGCTGTTTGGAACCACTGTCGAGTTTGTATTGGGGTCAACTGGCATTGCAGAAGAAAATAAGGCATTTAGGTTTTAGGTCAGGTGAGAGTTGAAGAGGTTTTAAGTTCTTAAGAACACAGGCTAAGGGAGAAGAAGGAGGAATGGAAAGTGGAAGGTTGCCTATAGTGAAGGAGGCAAGTCTAAAGAAAAGGGGGAGTAGAGACATGGAGGGAAGGGGTTCGGGGGTTCTTACCATCCAGAAAAGCGGGAAAGGGGTCAGGATGCAGAAATAAGGGGTTGGGGTGCAGAGATAAGAGGTCGGGGCACAGAAATAAGGGATCTGGGAGTGGATGTGGAAATAAGGGATCGGGGTGCAGAGATAAGGGGTCAGGACATGGAAATAAGGGATCGGGGCACAGAGATAAGGGGTCGGTGTGGAAATAAGGGATCAGGGGGTTCTTGCCCCCCAGAAAAGTAGAAAAGGGGTAGAGACAGGGAGAGAAGGGGTCAGGGATCCTGCCCCTCCCCCAGAAAAGCGGGACTTGCCGCTAAGGGTGAAAGACCAAGGCAGGCGTCGCTGCATGGTCAGACACCTCTGAAACGTGGGTGAATAATCAGAGAGGCGTCCCTGCAATGATTAAACACCAAGGGAAGGCTACCTTCCCGAGTCCGTGACTAGCGCCGGAGTTTTGGGTCCACAGATAAAATGTGTCTCCTTTGTCTCTACCAGAAAATGAAAGGAATTGAAATTAAGAGAAGGGAGAGATTGAAGGGTGGCACCAAGATTGAAAGGAGAAAGTGGCTGAGGGATAGTGAGAGAGGTTGGAGAAGAGAGTAAGAAGAGGCCGCTTACTCAATTTAAAATTGGTGAGATGTTCCTTGGGCTGGTGGGTCTGAGGACCCGAGGTCGTAGGTGGATCTTTTTCACGGAGCAAAGAGCAGGAGGAAAGGGGATTGATCTCTGAAGGGAGGTCCCCCGATCCGAGTCACGGCACCAAATTTCATACACATCCATGTGAAGAGACCATCAAACAGGCTTTGTGTGAGCAATAAAGCTTTTAATCACCTGGGTGCAGGCGGGCTGAGTCTGAAAAGAGAGTCAGCGAAGGGAGATAGGGGTGGGGCCGTTTTATAAGATTTGGATAGGTAAAGGAAAATTACAGTCAAAGCCGGGTTGTTCTCTGGCAGGCAGGGGTGGGGGTCACAAGGTGCTCAGTAGGGGAGCTTTTGAGCCAGGATGAGCCAGGAGAAGGAATTTCACAAGATAATGTCATCAGTTAAGGCAGGAACAGGCCATTTTCATTTCTTTTGTGGTGGAATGTCATTAGTTAAGGCAGGAACCGGCCATCTGGATGTGTACGTGCAGGTCACAGGGGATATGATGGCTTAGCTTGGGCTCAGAGGCCTGACACTGAATGAGCCATTTTTTTTTAATTTTTGGGATTTTCCTGTTGGGCCACTGCACATTATTGGGAGTCAAACCCGCAGACACTCCCACCAGGTCCTCAGTCACCCAGGGGTGCCTTTTGTCTGGGAGGAGCAAAATGCCCTTTTTCTTTGGAGCCGAGAAAGCTCAGTCTCTCATTTATCTATGAAAACAACAGTTCAGTTCCTCGAGCAAATGCGCACAGACAAGCTGAATCAAGATTAATTTTGGGAGAAAAGACAATAGAGAAGATCCTTTAGAATGCATCTCTGAACTAGAATTAGGATCCTTAAAAAACAACTTCCTAGGAGAAAGTAAACAACAGCCAAGACCACTTTCTGTAAACTGTGCTCAGCCACCCCTAGCTTTGTAGCTCTTGTCTGCCATTATACACACCAACGTCAAATCCTGTCACAGTACAAGGTCATCTCTGGTACCTCCAAAGCCAAAGGGGTCAGGTCATGCAATAGAGGAAAACAGAGCTGCCTATGGCTCTTGAAACTCAACAAAGAAAATAGAACACCCGCAGAGGGGCGAGTGACACCTTTGTTCTGAACTCTTTAAAGGGGTTCAGCTGGGCGCGGTGGCTCACACCTGTAATCCCAGGACTTTGGGAGGCCAAGACGGGCAGATCACGAGGTCAGGAGATCGAGACCATCCTGGTTTTAGTGAAACCCCGTCTCTACTAAAAATATAGAAAAGTAGCCGGGCTTGGTGGCCGGTGCCTGTAGTCCCAGCTACTCGGGAGGCTGAGGTAGGAGAGTGGCATGAACCCGGGAGGCAGAGCTTGCAGTGAGCCGAGATCATGCCACTGCACTCCAGCCTGGGGGACAGAGTGATACTCTGTCTCAAAAAAAAAAAGAGGGGGGGTGGTTCAAGTCATTTGAAGCTTTCTCTAGATTTTTTGGTACTACAGATGGCAAAGGGGGAAGAAAGTACGAGGTGGAAGAAAAGTAAATAAAAGAACATTTGTGGTTTTTTTTAAGACAGGAAGCAAACACAGAAACCAAGCACATGTTTTTTGTTTCTTTGTTTTTTCCTCTTTTGCAGCTATCCAAATTAGAGATGCTTTGTTACCCATAATTTGGAATTCTCACTCAGATTTGACCAAGTCAGGTCGAGTTGGTCAAATCAGATGAGAGAAAGAACAGAACAAACAACAACAACAAAAAATTCCAACAATATTACATTGAGTGCTCTAATGGTAAGGAGAAATTAAGACCAGCTGGTTCTTAACTTACCTTCAAATGGGTCTCAGGCTGAAGACTGTTCTCTGCCATCCTAGAAGCAGGAAAAAACACTCAAACTCATCTCCCCTGTTGGGAGCGAGCTCAAACTCCAGAAAGGAGTTACCTGCCTTCCATCGTCATAGAAGCAGGAAATCTTGTCTTGCTTGTTGGAAGCAAGTAAAACTCTAAAGAAAAAGGAAGTTGTACAGCAAAATCAACTTTAGATCTCAACTACATTTGGGGAGATCAGGGATTCTCTGAAGGGGATACTCCCAGACCTCAACAAATTGTCCTATTGGTTTGAGCCATAAAGTTAGCTCATGCTGGTACCAAATCTCCAGATAGATTTGTCAAAGGTCAGGGGCACCTGCACTCAGAATCCCTTCATGGTTGCTGAAATGTGAACCCCAAATATCTGAGACAAGTCTCAGTTATTTTAGAAATTTTATTTTGCCACGGCTGAGGATACGGGCCTGTGACACAGCCTCAGGAGGTCCTGATGACATGTGCCCAAGGTGGTCAGAGCACAGCTTGGTTTTATATTTTAGGGAAACATGAGACATCAATTAACATGTAATATGAACATTGGTTTGGTCCAGAAAGGTAGGACAACTCGAAGCGGGAGGGGGTTTCCACATCACAGGTAGATGGGAGACAAATGGGAGGCAATCAGATGTGCATTCATCTCAGTGAACAGAGGGGTGAGTTTGAATAGAATGGGAGGCAGGTTTGCCCTAAGCAGTTCCCAGCTCGACTTTTTCCTTTAGCTTAGTGATTTTGGGGATCCAAAGTTTATTTTCCTTTCACAAGACCATCATTGCTGCCTGAGCCCCATGTGGCTAGTGTTCTAGAAACTTCCAGAAAGTTCCTTCACAGCTGTCCTTACATGCATTCCTCAGCCAGGAGCCCAGCCTGCTGTCTTACAGAACCTGAACCCCTTTCTTTCCCTTTTGTGCTCTTCCTTCAAGATCCTGCAGTCTCTGCTCTCAGCCTCTCAAACATAAAAAGAGATTATTATCACCCCTGTACTGGAGAACAGAGCTTCATCTTTCCCAAGAGGTCTTAACATTGATACCCTAAAGGCCTCCTATGGCTCGGGACTTTCCATTTTTAAAAGACCCAGAAAAAAATTACCCAGTGTCTTAGTTACTTTGGGCTACTATTAAAAAAAAAAAAATAGACCGGGTAACTTAAACAATAGAAATTTATTCTCACAGGCATGGAATCTGGAAAGTTCTGGGTCAAGGTGCTACCTGATTTGGTTTCTGATGGGGGCTCTCCTGACTTGCAGATGGTACCTTCTCACTACATCCTCACATGGTGTTATGGGGTAAATGTTTATGCCCCCTCAAAGTTTATATGTTGGAATTATAACCCCCAAAATAGAAGGTGGGATGTTTTGGAGGTGATTAGGTCATGAGGGTAGAGTTCTCATGAATGGGATTAGTGCCCTTTTATTTATTTTATTTTTAATTTTTATGGAGGCAGAATCTTGCTGTGTTGCCCAGGCTGGTCTGCAACTCCTGGCCTCAAGCAATCCTCCTGCCTTGGCCTCCCAAAGTGCTGGGATTACAGACTTGCCTCCTTTCCACCATGTGAGGTGTAAGAAACTGGCAGTCTTTAACCTGTGAGGCATCACTAGAACCATACTATGCTGGTACCCTGATCTCAGACTTCTAGCTTCTAAAATTATAGAAATAAATTTCCATTGTTCATAAACCACCCAGTCTATGGCACTTTGTTATAGCAGTCTGAACTGACTATGACTCATGGTCTTTGCTTGGCACTTACACTTGGATTGGGGGAAAGTTGAGTGGTGGGGAAATATCTGTTCCTTTTATTATAAGGCCAATAATCCCATCAGGAAGCCTCCACCCACATGACATAATCTAACTCTAATTGCCTCCTATCCTAAGCTCTGATAAGGGACAGGCTGCCTCCTCAAGCGGGTCCCCAACCCCGGTTTTTCCTGACTGGGAGAAACCTCCCATAAGGGGCCGACAGACACCTCATACAGGAGACCTCTCACTGGCATCTGGCAGGTGACCCCCTGGGACAAAGCTTCCAGAGGAAGGAAAAGGCAGCAATTTTTGCTGTTCTGCAGGCTCCGCTGGTGATACCCATGAAATTTATATTTCATATATAATTTTCATTGTCATGTATCATAAATTATTACTCTTTTGATTTCTTTCAAGCATTTAAGGATGTGAAAACCATTCTTAGCTCATAGGCCATATAAAAATAGGCAGCAAGCTAAATTTGGCCCAGAAGCCATAGTTTACCAACCCCTATGCTAGATAATTGAGAGCCAAAATAAATAAGCTATTGTGCTCTGTCCTGGAAGAACAAACAATCACGGTGGAGACTTGGGCATTCAATGAAGTAAATGTCCCATAAAATGGTAAGTACCATAACTGCAACAGGGAGCTATGGAAGACTAGAAAAATTTTAAAAAAAGAAGAAAAATATGCTAGAATGACAATTTAAATAAATAAATAAAAAAGAAGAAGGAAAATAATTCAATTCAATGGAAATTTCCTGCCACTGCATCTTCTTACTGCTGTAGCTCTGGGATATCATGATATCTTGTAAAGGGCTGGTGCTCTGTAAACATTAATTGAATAAATTAATGCTTAATGAATTCATTAATTAATAAAAAAATCTCAAGGACCCTTCCTAGGAATTAAATAAACATAAATGAATACACTGGATACAAGTCATTAAGTAATTGCTACTTTGAGAAGAGAGGCAGGTACTTAGGAAATTAATAATGGCATAGTGTGATAGGTGTAAGTAACATAATTAGCAGTAGCAGAGAAAAGGGAGTGATATAATCAGTTGGATCAAAGGGAATTAAAAGAGGATTTCTGGAGAAGGTGGCATTTAGTCGGGCAGAAATTATGGGAAAAAGAAAATCCAAGTCATTATTCTGTTGTGGTACTGAGAAGAAGAGCAGGTCATAGGTAGCTGGGGTTGGGAATGACAACTTGGAGAAGACAGATACCCACTCAAGGCTAACATAAAAGCTCTTCACCTGGGGATGCCAAACACAAAACAGGTGGGCACACCCCAGGTGGTACTTCTAGGGAATTGTTAGCCACATTTCCCAAGCAAAATTAACTGACAAATAAGAGAGCTGTTGGCTTTCTATTGACCTTACCCTCCCTCAAGTTCTTACCCACACATCTGGCCACTGCTGCCAAGTTGGAGCCTAGAAATTCAGTCTGAAGGAGTTGCAGAATACATCCAGTGCCTTTATGAAAGAGTGGAAAATTAATACAGCAAACATGAACTTCATATCTATCATTTCCAGAAGTATTTCAGAAAAAAAAATATTTTTATTTCAATAGTTTTGGGGAAACAGGTAGTTTTTGGTTACATGGATAAGTTCTTTAGTGGTGCTTTCTGACATCTTGGTGGATCATCACCCAAGCAGTATACATTGTACCCAATATGCAGTGTTTAATCCTTCACCTCCACCCCAACCTTCCTCTCTGCCCTGTTCCCAAAGTCCATTATATTATTATTATTATGCCTTTGCATCCTCATATCTTAACTCGCACTTATAAATGAGAACATATAACATTTGGTTTTCCATTCCTGAGTTGCCTCACTTAGAATAATGGCTCCAGCTCCATCCAAATTGCTGCAAAAGACATTATTTCATTCCTTTTTATGGATGAGTAGTATTCCATGGTGTATATATACCACATTTTCTTTATCCACTCATTAGTTGATGGACACTTAAGTTGGTTCCATATGTTTGCATTTGTACTGCTACAAACGTGCATGTGCATGTGTCTTTTTCATATAATCTCTTATTTTCCATTGGGTAGATACCCAATAGTGGGATTGCTGGATCAAATGGTAGTTCTATTTTTAGTTCTTCACGGAATCTCCATACTGTTTTCCATAATTGTTGTACTATTTTACATTCCCACCAACAGTGTAAATGTGTTCCCTTTTCACCATATCTATGTCAACATCTTTTATTTTTTGACTTTTTAATTATTGCTATTCTTGCAGGAATAGGGTGGCATCTCACTGTGGTTTTAATTTGCATTTCCCTGATAATTAGTGATGTTGAAATTTTTTTCACATGCTTGTTGGCTGTTTGTATATCTTCTTTTGAGAATTGTTTATTCATGTCCTTTCCCTGCTTTTTGATGGGATTATTTATTTTTTTCTTGCTGAGTTGTTTGAGTTCCTTGTAGATTCTGGATATTGGTCCTTTGTCAAATGCATAGTTTGCAAATATTTCCCTCCATTCTATGGGTTGTCTGCTTACTCTGCTGATTATTTCTGTTGCTATGTAGAAGCTTTTTAGCTTAATTAGGTCCCATCTATTTATTTTTGTTTTTGTTGCATTTACTTTGGGTTCTTGATCATGAACTCTGCCTAGGCCAATGTCTAGAAGAGTTTTTGCAATGTTATCTTCCCGAATTTTTATAGTTTTAGGTCTTAGGTTTAAGTCTTTGATCCATCTCGAGTTGATTTTTGTATTAGGTGAGAGATGAGGACCCCTCATTCTTCTACATGTAGCTTGCCAGTTTTCCCAGCACCATTTATTGAATAGGGTGTCATTTCCCCAATCTACATTTTTGTATGTTTTGTCAATGATCAGTTGGCTGTAAATATTTGGATTTATTTCTGGATTCTCTATTCTGTTCAGTTGGTCTACATGACTATTTTTATACCAGTACCATGCTGTTTTCGTAACTATAGCATTGTAGTATAGCTTGAAGTCAGGAAATATGATGCCTCCAGATTTGTTCTTTTTGCTTAGTATTGCTTTGGCTATGTGGGCTCTTTTTTGGTTCCATATGAGTTTTAGGATTCTTTAGAAAATATATCTTTTAAATCCCTTTTGTCAAAAAATACCCGGATATAATAGAAAAATAAGACAGTTCCCCTTTTAAAGTCATAGTCAAGTATGTAAGAAAGTGGAGGAAATTACCACGGACCAAAACCAAAGAGGAAGCTGGAAAAATCTGTAACCATAGGTTCTCCTTTGTGTGGGTTTGAGATTTAAATTTACATTACCTCTCAATAAATCAAAGTGATCCAAGGTTGATAGCCCTCAGGGGACCTGGCAGAAGCAAACGCAAATACTCTCTGGAGGATGAATACTAGAAATTGAAATATTGGCTAAAAATCCATAGTTATAGAATATAAAACACTGAAGGAAATAAGCCAGCGTAAGTAAGATCAACAGGAATTTATCAGATATAAAATATCAAAAAGTATATTTAAATATTTAAGGAAATAAGAAAAAATTAAAATATGAGCCAGGAACAAGACCAAGTAGGTTTAAAAAAAGAATGAGAGAAATATGAAAAATATAATGGTTGGACTTAAGCATCTATGAGTTAAAGAGCATATAGATACAACTGAAAAGAAAATTTAGGAACCAGAAAATAGATTTGAAGAAATTATTAATGCAATAGAGGCCATGTATGGTGGCTCATGCCTATAATCCCAGTGCTTTGGACGGTCAAAGTGGGAGGACACCTTAAGGCCAGAAATTTGAGGCCAGCCTGGGTATTATAGCAAGATCCTGTATCTTTAAAAAAAATTAAAAATAATAATAATGAAATAAACAAAGAGAAATATTTCTTACAAGAAGAGGTGACAATAAATTGATGAAAGGATGAGAAAGTCTAATGTACATCTATTAAAGTTTCCAGGAAAAAAGATAGATGGAATTAGAGCAAATATTAAAAGAGATAATGGTTAAGAATTTTCCAGAATGGATCAAAAGTATGATGCTTTTAATAAGAATGATACAATGGACTTTGGGGTCATCGGGGGGAGAGTGGGAGGAGGCAAGGGATAATAATAATTAGTACTCATATGTTTGCTGTTATTAGTTATGATTGTGTATTATAGTGGAAAGCACATAAAAGTTGGAGACAAACAGCTGTTTTCAAATTGAAGTATGTTTCCTATTAGTTGAGTGATCTTCTCTGTGTTAATATTTAGACTTTCTGATCCTCAATCCTTTCTCTAAAAATAGATGCTTGCAGTCTCTCTCATACTATGGTTTAATGATAAAACTAAGGTATTATTATATGTGCAACTCAGGATAGTGTCAAGATTAAAACCAACACTCTGTAGACATCACATTTCATGGCTCTACTTGCTTTATTTTTAGCTTTTTTCTTGAAATGGCATTGATTTCTCTGAGCTTAAATTTCTTTATCTGAAAAAAATTAACAGTAACCTCTGCTTCATATGAATCATTAGTTTATTCAATTTAGTCATTCAACACTCATTTGCTGAGGATGTACTCTGTGCCAAGCACTGTGCTTTGTTCTGGAGATACAAATATGATTACGTAAACTGACAGCTTGTGGGTTGGGAGAAGGATTAAATAAATTAAGGCATGTGAAATAATTAGCCCCATGCCTGTAGCTCAGGAAGCCCACATTCCAGGCTGAACCATCCATCCTTCCTTTCCCTGACTTGGTGTATCAGGCATTGTGTCCACTATCAGCAGATAAAATAAGTGAGGTACACGTCTCACTCTGAGGACTTAGGGAAATTGTGCCCCATGATTAAGAGGCAAGTCTGGATGCTGCCAGCCAAGTTCAGATTCTGGTTCCTCTATTTACTAACTGTAACTTAATTAGTTTCAGTGACCAAACACAGAACCTAAGACGGATTTAGATGCAAGCAGTTCATTTAGGAGGTGATCCCATGAAGCCTATGAGAGAATGGAGAAGTGAGAGGGAGCTTAGAAAGATAATAGATGGTATATTAATGAGCAAGTTATTTCTAGGTGCACTTGGGGGTAATTCCCATGGAAGGACCTGTGACTTTGTGGAACACATCTTAGAACTGTGCCACAGAGAGAGAAAAAGTCTTTGGTAATTTATCCACTAACTCATGCCCTTCATTGGTTAGGGCTTGCTCATTAGCCCCCACAAGCTGGCCAATCTTGCCCTATGATTGGAAATCTCTCTTAGGCAGAGACTCCCAGAAATTGGTGTATACAGGAACTTTCTGGTAGGATTAGGCCTGTAGATCAGGCACTGACAGATTCCCTTATGGTGATTTAATCTATCTAAGCCTATTTCCCCATGCTGTAAAATAGTGAATAATTACTTACCTATATTACCTATATTTCCTCTAATACTTGTAACTCCCAGTGCCTGGTGAAATCTGTTCTCCACTTCACCCATAGAAGAAACTTGTGCTCAGCTAGACTACACTTTTCCAGCCTCCCTTTGTGTTAGGTGTGTCTGTGTGAATAAGTTCTGGCCAGTGGAATGCAATGGGAGGAGTGCGGGCCTCTTTCAGGTCTGGGAATTAAGATGTTGGGCATATCTTCTCCATGTCCTCTGTCCCTGTCTGCACGACTAAAACACACCCATGGCAGCTATCAAGCTCCAAATGTGGAGGATGATGTCCTGGAAGCGGCTGAGAGACTCAGACAAAAGGAGCTGGGTGTCTGAACAGCACATAGAGCACAGCTGTCACAGCTGACCTGGACCACTGGCATCAGAACCATTATAAGAGAGAGACATAAGCTTCGGTGCCCTCTACATCATAATATTTGGGGTTCCTCTGTGACAGCACCTTTCCTACCCTCTCCAGTACACTTCTTTATAGGTAGTGTACAAATGAGATAATCCAGGAAAAGTGCTTAGAACAATGTCTGGCATCTGGTAAAGTTCTGTTAAATAATTAATTGTTATTATTACTGTTTGCTAAGGTCTGATCTTCTCAATGGTATCTGAACAACTTAAAGTCAGAGTGGGGGAGGAATGGAACTCCAAAGAAAATTAGAGGTTTTGCTATAAGAATTACAGAAACTGGATTCTGAATAGTCCAAAATGTCAATGTTCATCCCACAGAATGATGACAATAATGCCTACAGTTTTGAGGGTCTACTTTGTGTTAGTCCCCGCATGAGAAAGTTCACCTACGTTATTTTATTCACTCTTACAGCATTCTTACAGGATAACTCTTAGCATCCATATTTTACTGTTGAAACAGAGACTCATGAAAATATTAGAGCATTAATCTCAAGGCAATCATCATTAGGAAAAAAGAAAGAAAAGAAGACCTCCTTCAATCAAGATTCTCACTGAACTCTGGGATACTTGAAAATGGAACTGACTTTTTAAAAGATAGAATAAATGACAAAGGTGCAGGGAGTGTCTGAGTCATCTGAGGGAATGTAAAGTAACATGCAACATTTCAATTCCATTTGTCTGTCTCCTCTATGCCTCCACTCTTCAGAGAGTCTAATCATTAATCACCCAGAGACTTTTTGTCTATGCTCAGGCTGTCTTTACTGGGGGGGAAGTAATATATCTTGAATTTTTAAAGTCACAGTAATGGTCCCGAAACAAGGCCAGGGTACCAATTTTTACCATTATCCATACAGTCAACGTTTCTAGACTTACACAACGGTAGCAGTTTTCTCTCCTGGGTGATGACTTTATATAAATATGCATGCAAACAAAATCAGAGTTTATTTGGAGGAAGTTTCTGCAGGATCACTTCACAGACTCTGTATTTTTATTAAGGAGATATCCTGGGGCATGAAGCCAGTTCTCAACTTTGTGAATTCCCTGATATTCAGAACTAAGGATATGTTTTTTCCAGAAAAAAAAAAATGTACACCACGTGGGTAGATTCCCAGCTAATCCTGCTCTCTCTCCAGACACCATTAACCATCCTCAGCTCCAACTCCCCTTTCTCTAATCCTCTTCTTCCTGGCCTTGAACCAGCCCAGGGACAAATGGAACAGCTGCCAAAGGAAGTGATCACTCCAGACTTCTCAGCTTCCAGAAGCAAGGGATGTGAAAAAGGAGAAAACTTTCACTCTCAGGTACAGAGAACCAAGGTGAGTCCAGGGCCACTTTAGGACTTACCATGGCCGACTTTATGGCAGTGGCCATGGCAAGGATTCTTTCCTTGACTGAACTTTAGTCAGACTCCTTGGTGCACTCTTCTTGACTAGGTCTGGTCCTTGGTGTGCTGAGTGCATTTTAGCAAAAAATTCTAAGCCAGTTTATTGAAAATCCCCCCACCCTTGATAACCTATCAAGCTCTTCTTCCCTTTTCACATTTGATTTTTAATCAAGTTTCTCTTACCTTCATCTTTAATACCCAACAAAGTTCCCATAAGTAATATTCCATCCACTTCATCATGCTGTATGTTGGCTATAAATCTCCAATAGTCCCTGTTGTATTCAGAGTAAAGTTCAGCCTCTCTACTCTATTACAAAAATCTTGTCCCCTATTGCAATAGTTTGGAATTTTTGGCAAATGTAGCCTTTGCTTGGTCAAACTTTAGTCAGGCTCCTGAACCTTCTGCTAGGCATATTTGTATACTTCCTTGTAAAATCCAGTTTCAGCAAAGAACTCCACTAAGTGAGTTTAGCAAGAACCCCCTGCCCTGGATATATATCTGATCATCCTCAATATTTGATTAGGTTCCTCATTCTCCACCATCCTGCAGGTGATGTCTGATCACCATGACTGTGGCCTATCTTCAGCAAGAATTGTGTTAGGTCAGTTCAGTCAGAATCACAATTACCCCTGATGTTTCTTAGTAATTTTCCATCCACTGGCCTACACCCTGCTCCCTGCTATACGTTCCCATATGTCCATGCTGTATTTGGAGTTGAGCACAATCTCCCTCCCCTACTGCAAGACCCCATTGCAGTGGTCCCTATACCTATCATAAGAGCCCTGAATAGTCTTTTTAAATGTGCTTTCGCAAATCATTGAATAAAACTTTCTTTAACAGTAGGAGTCAAAATATTTGGAAAAAGTGTAATCAGAAGATTATTTTCTTGGTGATAAATGGTATTGTGGAGCAGGTTAGAAGTCACACAGCCAGGGTTCAAATCCCAGCCCTGCTGTAGCTGAGGCTGTGAAGTTGATTGAGTTACTCAAGCTTCTTGTGCTTGTCTGATTAAGTGTGGGCTATTTTTAAATCCCTGGGGTAGGACTGTTTCGGCTAAAGCTACTGGTTAAAGATTTAGGTAGCTTTCCTGGGAGAAATAGGGCTATTAGAGGGAAAGATGAATTTAGAGGTTGGGTAAATATTGAGTAGCCACCCATCTTGGAAAGTACATTTAGCACCAAACAGGTGAAAATATACTCCAATTACCATTCTCCTACCAGTCCCTAATATTGTCTAAATACCCCAATTAGACATTACTTAGAGCTGATAGGAGAATGGTAATAGGTCCCTTAAGTAATATAAACAAGTGTGATTTTTTCTTTTGGAGTTAGGGTGTGCCATTTACCCCCATTACCCCACAGGAGTTGAAGGACAGTTGCTCTGAGATTAGTATAGAGCAGGCAGCTCTTGCACCCAAAAGGGAAATTTATAATTTTACTTGACACCTCCAGAATTGCTCTTTGCTTTGCCTTATTGATGATGATGTCTGATTTGCAAGCCAGCCAGAGCAGAGAGCCCCTTCAGCTCAAGGCCATCAGGGGTTGGGACTCTGTCCCAGGGGCCCTGGTCCTCAGGGCAGTTCCATTTTCAGTGGCCAAACTTCTGGCAGAGGGAGCAAGCTTTGTAGGGCTTTTTCCCATTTATCCCATTGGGGCAGTTTGCCTTCCAGTGGCCTAACCTTCTGCACAAATGGCAGGTACCTGGAAGAGTGTTCTTAGAGAAATCTAGAGGGGGATGGGGGTTTGTAAAGCAGCCAACAGTTGAGCATGCCTCTTGTCCCTGCATTTTTCTTTATCCTTAGCCCTGTCCTCCTTACTCTTCTCTCAGTTATAAAAGACTGAGGAGGCTAATGGGATTTTTTGCACAGGGACCATGCTGCATTACACAAGAAAATTCACTGTTTCTTTTTGAGAGTCTGAGGGTTAAATATATCCCAATGCTTTAAAATGCAGCCCAGGGGTGAGTCTGAGGGATGAATGAGCTTTTTCTCATGGTGGGACCAGGAAGAAAACATCTACTGGGGACACAAACTGCAATTTCTCTTGGGGTGTCCTGCTGAGGGGAAACGGTTCAACTCACATCTGCAGAGGGACTCTGAGATGCACTTTCAAAAGGTGCATCTTACCTATTGGGAAGATGGCACTAGGGCTTTATGCTGAATGAATCCTGGATGAGCTACTCCAGGTTAGTCTAGGTGCAAATTATGCTGGGGAGCCAGCCCAGGTACAAGTTATGCTGGTGCTCAATCCAGCTACAAGGGGAAAGAGTTGAGGAAAGACTCACCATCCTTATGCTGTTTGAAATCATTTGGCTTAAGATTTCTGGACTGGGAGGTCCAGTGGGCATCACAGGAGAACTTCGAGTGAGAAAGAAGGGGTCTGATTTCCCTAAAACATGTGTAGGTTCACCCTGGTTAAGCTTCCACTACCAATCATACTACATGTAGGGATTGGGGACTTTTGATCGGAAAGGATAGGAGACAGCCTCTGCCCTTCCAGCAAGGCAGCCAAACCTGTTCACTCCCTGACCTTCAGGCTACACCAGGGAGTGGCCCTGGCAGGTGATGCTAAATTACCAGAGGGATACTAAAATTTGTCTGACAGAAGACTGAAAAGGAAAGCAAACTCTGAACTCTCACCCAATTGGGTAACAGTGGTCAGACATCTTTCCTCTAGAAGCTTCTGGTCCCCAAGCAGTGGCCCCAGCTGGGGACCTTTAATTGCCTCTGGGCTTGGATGCTGTCTACTGAGGGGTTAGAGTTGGAGAAAAGGGAGAGAGTAAGGGAAGACAGTCCCCAATCACTCACTGATCAGTCCCTGAGCACTTCTAGGCACTCCCCGGATGGGCCACCAAAATGTCATGGGTGCGATTAGATGGGGCTGGCATTGGGGGTAGTGAAAGAATTTACCAAGACAGTCATAGGTAAAGAAAGGCAGATTTATTAGAGGGAAAGTACAAAGATACATTGCAAGCATGCCACAGGAAGCAAAGCAGAGAAGTGCTGTCTACAAAGAGGCAGGGGCTGGAGAGAAGTTTTACAGGGTCATTCTACATGCAGAATGAGGTCGTGCTGCTGGGGCTATGTGTGAAGTGAGGCAGTTGTGCTAGCGGCTTTTCTATGATTAGCTGTCTCTTGGAAGAATTGTTCCCCCCACCTGAGACCCCTTCCTTGTTGCTGCTTACTTATTAGTACTCAATAATGGGGTAGTCCTTCATGAATGGTTTAGCATCATCCTCTTGGTGCTCTTCTTTTGAAAGTGAGTGAGTCAACATGAAATCTGGTTGTTTAAAAGTATGCAATGCCTTTCCATCCCCCTCTCTTGCTCCTATTCCAGCCACATGAAGTGCTGGCTTACTTTTTGCCTTCCATCATGGTTGTAAGTTTCCTAAGGCCTCCTGAGAAGCTGAGCAGGTGCCAGCATTATGGCTTCTGTACAGCCTATGAAACTGTGAGCCAATTAAACTCTTTTAAATAAATTACCCCATCTTGGGTATTTCTGTATAGCAATGCAAGAACAGATTAATACAGAAGCCTTACTATTTTCTTCTTCTATGTCCCTTTATAGAGCCGTCACTTGTAGAGGAATCTTCTATTCACAGAAATTCAAGAGTAATAATGACCACTTCATGCCTATTCAACTGCTAACTCAATTAGATAATGTGATACTTAGAATTCATTCACTTCAAGGCTCTATTGTTGACTGTGTTGATTTCAGTATGTTGTAAGCATTTGCTGTAAAGGTCTAGATTTAAGGGTAACATGTGTTTCCACGGAGGAATATAAAACATACCTGGTGAGTTCAGATGATGTGTCTTGGAGTCTTCACCACCAACTGTTAGAGGACTGAGATCCCTGCAAGTGTCCCTCTTCAGCAATTTTTGGCAGTCTAGGAAGGAGCATAGTCCTCTCCACTTCCACCCTTTCAAGGTGCCACAAAACTGTAGTTCCATCTTTGCATCTCCTATCAATGCATAGCAGCTGAAGATGAAATGCCGTGCCTGGGGAGGGCTGCAGTTTTAACCAGTGAGCCTACTCCATGATTTAAAGGGCTCTGACAGCAAACCAAAATGGAAGGTATATCAGTTTGTTCTCAGGTTGATATAAAGAACTGTCTGGGGCTGGGGAATTTACACAAGAAAAAGGTTTAATTGACTCACAGTTTCGCAGAGCTGGGAAGGCCTCAGGAAACTTACAATCATGGTGGAAGGGGAAACAAACACGTCCTTCTTCACGTGGCAGCAGGAAGAAGAGGGTCCAAGCAAAAGGGGGAAAAGCCCCTTATAAAACCATCAGATCTTGTGAGAACTCACTCACTATCATGAGAACAGCATGAGGGTAACCACCCCCATGATTCAATAACCTCCCACTAGTCCCTTCCATGACACGTGGGGATTATGGGAATTACAATTCAAGATGAGATTTGGGTGAAGACACAGCCAAACCATATCAGGTGGAATTCTTCAAGTCTTACCTATACCATCCCCTTGTTTCACTCACTCTCTCACTCACTCATCCATTGTTCATCCAGTCAAGCAGTATTTCCTGTAGCCCTCCCATGTACCATGGAAACACCAGCTGTGTGGCTACAGAGGCTATAACTCAGTGCCAACTTAGACTGTTGGTGTCTCTCTCACAGAAATTTTACATATTTATTCACCCATTATTGTAAACCCCTCATTACTGCTACAGTATAATTCTGAAGAAAGGTAAATGCAAGTCTCCCATACAAGTATAAAATAGACATATAACAAATATTTCATTTATAGCTTCCAACTGACAAGGCACAAATTTTCTTGAGCAGAACCCAGGGGATCAAAAAGGAACTGCTGCAGATTCAAGTGCAGGAGCTGCCACTGACAGTGTGGACTGATGGAAAGGGGTGAGGCCCCAAGGCCTTCCTTGCTTTCTCAATGGGGAAGCTCCTAGCCTGGGGCAAGGTCTGAGTAGGGGGCAGGAGTGCTGTGGGAGTGAAACTGATCTCACCAACTGCATGGGAGTTGGGTGAGGGCTGTCACTACTGGCTATCCCACACTTTGCTGGTGAACGATATAAAACAGAGACACAGCCATAATTCCCTCTGAAACATAACCCTGTTGGCCTGAGAACCACCCCCAAACCCCCACAGCGGCTGCAGCAAGCCCCACTCAGGGTAAGTCTGAGCCCAGACCCGCCTAACCCTGCCCCAACCTGATGGTATTTCATTACATAACCTGGTAGCCAAACACAAAAGACAGAAAGTCTTGGGAGATTTATGGCCCTGCTCATCACCTGGGAAACCAAAATACTTACCCTGGGCAACTTAGAGAAAGCTTAGATCCCCCTACTACTACTGCAACTGGTGCTCTCTTGAAAGTGCCACCTCCTGATTGGCAGCCAACCAACTCAGGCCATTACAGCAACTCAGGATGGAACAATCCTGATCCCAGGAAGGAGAAAACAACAACTAATTCTACTACCTGCAACATCCCAGCTAACCAGAGGTTCTGAGTGTGTCCAACATATAACCAACATTTGAGAAAACATATCTACAACCAAGGACTCTCATTGAGTCTACTTCACTCCCCTGCCACCTCCACCAGAGCAGGTGCTGGCATCCGTGGCTGGGAGACCTGAAGACAAATTACATCACAGGACGTTTTGTAGACATTCCACAGCACCAGCCCAGAACCTGGTATCCCCATTGGGTGTCTAGATCCAGAAGAGTAATAACAATCACTGAAATCCAGCTCTCAAAAAGCCCCATCCCTATGAGAAGGGAGGAGAGCACCACATCGAGGGATCACCCCATGGGACAAAAGAATCTGAACAGCAGGCCTTGAGTTCCAGACCTTTCCACTGAAATAGTCTACCCAAATGAGAAGGAACCAGAAAAGTAATTCCGATAATACGACAAAACAGGGTTGTAAAACACCACCAAAAGATTACACTGGTTCCCCAGCAATGAATTCAAACCATGAGGAAATCTCTTAATTGCCAGGTAAAGAATTCAGAAGGTGGATTATTGAACTACTCAAGGAGATGCTAGAGAAAGGTGAAAACCAACTTACAGAAATTTAAAAAACAATACAGGGTATGAATAAAAAATTCTCCAGGGAGAGAGATATCATAAAGAAAAAACAATTACAACTGCTGGAAATAAAAGACACACTTAGAGAACTACAAAATGCACTGGAAAGTTTTAAAAATAGACTAGAACAAATAGAAACCATGAAACCATTTCTCTCTCCTAGATATCTGGGCCTGTGATGGGAGGGGCTGCTACAAAAGCCTCTGAAATGCCCTGGGGACATTCTTCCCATTGCCTTTGCTATTAACATTTGGTTCCTCTTTACTTATGAAAATTTATGCAGCTGTCTTGAATTTCTCCTTAGAACATGGGTTTTTGTTTTTGAACACATGAACAGGCTGTACATTTTCCAAACTTTTACTTTGCAAGCAAGCGTATGTTACCATGTTAGAGCAGGAGAGGGAGTGAAGGGGGAAGTGCTACATACTTTTAAACAACCAACTTTTGCTTCCCTTTTATAAGTTCTCTTTGCTTATGCAAACTAGCATAGGCTTTTAGAAGCAGCTGGGTCACATCTTGAACACTTTACTTCTTATAAATTTCTTCTACCAGATACCCTAAATCATCTCTCTCAAGTTCAAAGTTCCACAGATCCCTAGAGCATGTGCAGAATGTCACCAGTCTTCTTTGCTTAAGCATAGCAAAAGTGACCTTTGCTCCAGTTCCCAATAATTTCCTTATCTCTGTCTGAGACCACTTAAGCCTGGAATTCATTGTCCGTATCACTCAGCATTTTGGTCAAAACCATTCAACAAGTCTCTATGAAGTTCCAAAACATTTTCCTCAACTTCCTATATTCTTCTGAGTTCTCAAAACTGTTACAACCTCTGCCCATTACCCAGTTTCAGAGTTGCTTCCAAATTTTCAGGTGTCTGTACAGCAATGCCCACTCCTTGTACCAATTTCTGTATTTGTTCATTCTCACGCTGCTATAAAAAACTGCCTGAGACTGGGTAATTTATAAAGGAAAGAGGTTTAATCGACTCATTGTTCCACAGGCTGTACAGAAAACGTGGCTGGGAGGTCTCAGGAAACTTATAATCATGGCAGAAGGTAAAGGGGAAGCAAGCACATCTTACCATGCTGGAGTGGGAGAGAGAGCAAAGGGGGAAATGCTACACACTTTCAAACAACCAGATCTCATGAGAGCTCACTCACCATCATAAGGACAGCAAGGTGGAAGTCTGCTCTCATGATTCAATCACCTCCCACCTGGCCCCTCCCTTAACATGTGGAGATTAGAATTCAGCATGAGATTTATGTGGGAACACAGAGAGAAAGATCATATCAATAACACAATAAGAAAAGCAGGGTATTAAGGCAACAACTAGCATAATGAATAAAACAGTACCTCACATCTCAATACTAACATTGAATGTAAATGGCCTAAATGCTCCACTTAAAAGATACAAAATGGCAAAATGAATAAAAATCCACCAACCAAGTAACTGCTGTCTTCAAGAGACTCACCTAACACATGAGGACTCACATAAACTTAAGGTAAAGGGGTGGAAAAAAATATATTTCATACAAATGGAAATCAAAAGCAAGCAGGTGTAGCTATTCTTATATCAGACAAAACAGACTTTAAAGTGAAAACAGTTAAAAAGAGACAAGGTGGGACATTATATAATGATAAAAGGATTAGACTTACAGAAAAATATTACAATCATAAATATATGTGCACCTAACACTGGAGCTCCCAAATTTATAAAACCATCACTACTAGACCTAAGAAATGAGACAGACGGCAACACAGTAATAGAGGGGGACTTCAGTGCTCCACTGACAGCACCAGATAGGTTGTCAAGACAGAAAGTCAACAAAGAAACAATGGACTTGAACTATAGAACAAATAGTCTTAGCACATATTTATAGAACATTCTATCAAACAACTGCAGAATATACATTCTTTTAATCAGCACATGAAAAATTCTCCAAGATACACCATATGATAGGCTATGAAACAAGTCTCAATACAGTGAAGAAAATCAAAATTATATCAAGTATCCTCTCAGACTACAGTGGAATAAAACTAAAAATTAACTCTAAAAGGAACCTTCAAACTATATAAATACATGGAAATTGAATAATCTGCTCTTGAATGATCTTTGAGTCAACAATGAAATCAAGATGGAAATTTAAAAATTCTTTGAACTGAACAATAATAGTTACACAACTTATCAAAACCTCTGCAATACAGCAAAAGCAGTGCTAAGAGAAAAGACATAAAAAAGTCTGAAAGGGCACAAATAGAAAATCTAAGGTCACACCTCAAGGAACAAGAGAAACAGAACAAATCCAGCAGAAGACAAGAAATACTCAAGATTAGAGCAGAATTAAATGAAATTGAAACAAGGAAATACAAAGGTAAATGAAATAAAAAGCTGATTCTTTGAAAAGATAAACAAAATTAATAGACCATTAATGAGATTAACCAAGAAAAGAAGAGAGAAAACCCGAAAAAACTCACTTAGAAAGAAAATAGGAGATATTACAACTGATACCACAGAAATACAAAAGATTATTCAAGGCTATTATGAACACCTTTTATGTGCAAAAACTAGAAAATCTACAGGAGATTGATAAATTCCTGGAAATTACAACCCTCTTAGATTAAATCAGGAAGAAATAGAAACTCTGAACAGACCAATAACAAGTAGCAAGATTGAAACAGTAATAAAAAAAATGCCAATAAAAAAAGTCCAGGACCAGATGGAATCGCAGCTGAATTCTATCAGGCGTTCAAAGAAGAATTGGTACCAATACTACTGAAAGTATTCCAAAAAACAGAAAAAGAGAAAATCTTCTCTAAATAATTCTATAAAACCAGTATCACCCTAATACCAAAACCAGGAAAGGACATAACAAAAAAAAGAAAACTATAGACCAATATTCCTGAAGAATATAGATACAAAAATCCTCAACAAAATACTAACTGAATCCAACAGCACATTAAAAAGATAATACACCATGATGAAGTATGTTTCACACTAGGGATGCAGAAATGACTTATCATTCACAAGTCAATACATGTGATACATCACATAAACAGAATTAGAAACAAATATCATATGATCATCTCAATAGACATAGAAAAAACAAACACTGGACAAAATCCAGCATCCCTTTGTAAATAAAATCCTCAGCAAAATTGGCAATAGAAGGGACATACCTCAAGGTGATACAAGCCATCTATGACAAACCACAGCCAACATTATACTAAATGGGGATGATATGGTTTGGCTCTGTGTCCCCACCCAAATCTCATCTTGAATTGTAATTCCCATGTATTGAGGGAGGGACCTAGTGGGAGGTGAGTGGATCATGGAGGTGATTTCCCCCATGCTGTTCTCATGATAACAAGTAAGTTCCCAGGAGATCTGATGGTTTGAAAGTGGCACTTTTTCCTTCATCCTGTCTCTCTCCTGCTCTTCTGTAAGATGTGCCTTGCTTCTCCTTCACCTTCTGCCATGATTGTAAGTTTCCTGAGGCATCCCCAGCCATGAGGAACTGTGAGTCAATTAAACCTCTTTCCTTTATAAATTACCCAGTCTCAGCTAGTTCTTTATAGCAGTGTGAAAATAGACTAATACAGGGGAAAAGTTGAAGGCATTCTCCCTGAGAACTGGAACAAGACAAGGATGCCCACTTTCACCACTTCTATTCAACATAGTACTGGAAGTCCTAGACAGAGCAATCGGAGAAGTGAAAGAAATAAAGGGCATCCAAATCGGTACAGAGGAAGTAAAACTGTCACTGTTTGCTGATTATATGATCGTATACCTAGAAAACCCTAAAAATGAATCCCCAAAAGCTTCTAGATCTGATAGATGAATTCAGCAACGTTTCAGGATACAAAAATCAATGTACAAAAATTAGTGTGCTAGAGAAGTTCCTCTGAACCTGTAGAGCACTGGAAAAAAAATTAGTAGCACTACTGTACACCAACAGTGACCAAACGGAGAATCAAATCAAGAGCTCAATCTCTTTTACAATAGCTGTCAAAACAAACAAACAAAAACAAAACAAAACAAAATCTTAGGAATATACCTAACCAAGGAAGTGAAAGATCTCTACAAGGAAAACTACAAAACACTGCTGAAAGAAATCATTGATGACACAAACAAATGGAAATATATTTCATGTTTATGGATGGGTATAATCAATATTGTGAAAATGACCATACTGCCAAAAGCAATCTACAGATTCAATGCAATTCAAATCAGAGTACTATCATCATTCCTCACAGAACTAGATAAAACAATCCTAAAATTCACATGGAACCAAAAAGGAGCCTACATAGCCAAGGCAAGCAAAAAGAACAAATCTGGAGGCATCACATTACCTGACTTCCCACTGTACTACAAGGGTATAGTTACCAAAACAGCATGGTACTGGTATAAAATAGGCATATATACTAATCGAACAGAATAGAGAATGCAGAAATAAACCCAAATACTTACAGCCAACAGATCTTTGACAAAGCAAACAAAAACATAAATTGGGGAAAGGACACCTTATTCATCAAATGGTGCTGGGATAATTGACAAGCCACATGTAGAAGAATGAAACTGGATCCTCATCTCTCACCATATATAAAAATCAACTCAATGTGGATAAAAGACTTAAAGCTAAGACTTAAAGCCCTAAAAATTCTAGAAGATACCAATGGAAGAACTCTTCTAGGCATTGGCTTAGGCAAAGAGTTCATAACCAAGAACCTAAAAGCAAATGAAACAAAAACAAAAATAAGTAGATGGGACCTAATTAAACTAAAAAGCTTCTTCACAGCAACAGAAATAATCAGCAAACAGACAACCCAAAGAATGGGAGAAAATATTTGCAAACCATGCATTCAACAAAGGAATAATATCCAGAATCTACAAGGAATTCAAATCTGCAAGAAAAATAAAATAATCCCATCAAAATGTAGGCAAAGGACATGAATAGAAAATTCTCAAAAGAAGATATACAAATGACCAACAAACATATGAAAAAATGCTCAACATCACTAATTATCAGGGAAATGGAAATTAATACCACAATGGGATACCACCTTACTCCTGCAAGAAGGCCGTAATTTAAAAATAAAAAAAAATAGATGTTGGTGTGGATATGGTAAAAAGGGGACAGTTTTACACTGCTGATGGGAATGTAAACTAGTATGACCACTATGGAAAACATGGAGATTCCTTAAAGAACTAAAAGTAGAACTAACATTTGATCCAGCAATCTCACTACTGGGTATGTACCCAGAAGAAAAATAAGTCATTATATAAAAGTACACTTGCACACATATGTTTATAGTGGCACAGTTCGCAATAGCAAAAATATGGAACCAGCCAAAATGCCCATCAACCAAGGAGCACATAAAGAAAATTTGGTTTATATACAGCATGGAATACTACTCATCCATAAAAAGAAACAAAATAATAGCATTTGCCACAACCTGGATGGAGTCGGAGACCATTATTCGAAGTGAAGTAACTCACGAATGGAAAACCAAATATCGTGTGTTCTCATGTATAAGTGGGAGATAAGCTATGAGGATGCAAAGGCATAAGAATGACACAATGCACTTTGGGACTCAGAGGGAAGAGTGGAAAGGGATTGAGGGATGAAAGACTATACACTGGGTACAGTGTAAACTGCTTGGTTGATGGGTACACCAAAATCTCAGAAAGCACCACTAAAGAAATTATCCAAGTAAGCAAAAATCACCTGTTCCCAAAAACTATTGAAATAAAACAAAAAAAAATTTTTAAGATTCCATTCATGTGGGTTAATGACAGGACCCATAAAAAAGCCAGCACATTTCAAGTGCTCCCTAGCCATGTGTGGCTTATAGCTTTCATATTGGTGCAGATTAAGAGCAGTTCCATAATTACAGAAAATTCCACTGGACAGTGCTGCTCTAGATAATGGTAGGTACTATAGAAAACAAGCTGGTAAAAATGTTCAGGGTGCATAAAGTCTGGGCAGGTTGGGGAGATTTGTGTTTACTTAGCAAGAATGGTGTTGCCATGGTTTCTCTAGGAAGGCAGCATTTGTACTGAATGACAAAGAGTCATATTTGCAACCTAATGACAGATTTTTTTAGGCTGATAGCTTGTGTTAAAGTTCTAAGGCAAAAAGAACTGGAGAATTGGAAGAATAGAAGGCAGGTAGACACAAGGACAAAAGGAAGATTCTAGAACTATAGGGTATTTGCTTGTCACTCTAAAATTGGAAGCCAAGTTTTTCTTCCCCTTTTTCCGGAAGGGATCGCTTTGGTAAATCCTCCTGTCATGAACATGTAAGTCAGGGGTCTATTCTCTCACTTTGTGGTAGCCTTGCCTTTTGATGAGGAAACCCTAATTCAAATACCGCAAACTAGAATGTGATATTTAATCATGTGAAAAGGCTGGGAGGGCAGACAGAGATAGTAGTTTTTCTGGTTAGGGTGGATTTTTCTGTGCTTAGAGATTTGTGATTGTTAAGATACTTCTATTTTTTTTTTCTCCAGAGGTCAGGCATAGCGTTTTAAGGGCCTTGACCTTGGGAAGAAACTGTAAGGCAGAGGACTCTGATTTGAATAATACTGTAGACCAAGTTCTAAAGACAGACATGACCCAAAGAAAACCTGTGAGATGGAACCTGGCTAAGAAATGTTCAGAGAAATGAAGTCCAACAACCATCTGAAAGTTTTCTGAGTTGTGATCTATTCCCTTACCCAATTCTAAAGTCTTCAGTGATACACAGTATCAGCTTTATGTTAGCACTGCCTTTCTGAATAAAGTGTAGGATAAGGCAAACTAAGGAAGGCTAAAGCATTAGGAAGTGAAGTAAGGATGTGACCCAAGGTAATCAGGAAGAAATGTGGGAAGGACAATTTATAAGAAAATTCAAATGCAGATTCCCCTACAGATACTCAGGAATCCTGGGAGGAGACTAGATTTCCTGAAAGACAGAGGGCTACTCAGAAAGCTGTACAACATGAGGATACTTGAGTTACATAAAAATCATCACAATAATTACAATAACTAATGGAACACCTACTAGATCCCAGACACCATATTTACATACATTGTCTCACTTAATCTTCACAATAACCCTGTGGAATAAATACTGAATCTCTAATTTATAGAAAAGGAAATTAGCCACCATAATAATAATAAAAAAAAAAACTCCACATCTCAGAGGCTTTCCAAAATAGAACTCAGTTTCCTACTCAGGTAAAACAGCAACAACAAAAAAGGGTGTTCTTCATCAGCGTGTGTCAAAGGCATTAGAACCAGAGTCAGCCACTTCATCTTGAACAGGGGCTATGTACAAGGAGTCTGAAATCTGCTGGGCTGCATTTTCAGGAGGTTTAGGCATTCTTAGGCACAGGATGAGGTCAGAGGTCAGGACAAGATACAGGTCACAAGGACCCCACTGATAAAACAGGATGCGGTGAAGGAGCCAGCTGAAACCTGCCAAAACCAAGATGGCAATGAAAGTGACCTGTGGTTGTCCTCACTGCTAACTATATGCCAATTATAATGCATTAGCATGCTAAAAGGCACTCCCACCAGGAGCCATGACAGTTGACGAATGCCATGGCAATGCCCAGAAGTATATGGTCTAAAAAGGGGAGGAACCCTCAGTTAAGAGAGGGGAATCCTCACCCCTTTCTGAAAAAACTCATGAATAATCCAAAACTTGTTTAGCATATAATCAGGAAATAACAATAAAAATAGCCAACCAGCAGCCCTCAGGGTTGCTCTGTATGGAGTAGCTATTCTTTTGTTTCTTCTCTTTTTTTTTATTACTTCTTTTTTCTTTTTTTTTTAATTATTATTATACTTTAAGTTTTAGGGTACATGCGCACAATGTGCAGGTTAGTTACATATGTATACATGTGCCATGCTGGTGTGCTGTACCCATTAACTCGTCATTTAGCATTAGGTATATCTCCTAATGCTATCTCTCCCCCCTCCCCCCACCCCACAACAGTCCCCAGAGTGTGATGTTCCCTTTCCTGTGTCCATGTGTTCTCATTGTTCAATTCCCATCTATGAGTGAGAACATGTGGTGTTTGGTTTTTTGTCCTTGCGATAGTTTACTGAGAATGATGATTTCCAATTTCATCCATGTCCCTACAAAGGACATGGACTCATCATTTTTTATGGCTGCATATATGTGTATATGCATGTGTATATCATATATGTGTATATGCATGTATATATGTGTATATCCATGGTGTATATGTGCCACATTTTCTTAATCCAGTCTATCATTGTTGGACATTTGAGTTGGTTCCAAGTCTTTGCTATTGTGAATACTGCCGCGATAAACATACGTGTGCATGTGTCTTTATAGCAGCATGATTTATAGTCCTTTGGGTATATACCCAGTAATGGGATGGCTGGGTCAAATGGTATTTCTAGTTCTAGATCCCTGAGGAATCACCAAACTGACTTCCACAATGGTTGAACTAGTTTACAGTCCCACCAACAGTGTAAAAGTGTTCCTATTTCTCCACATCCTCTCCAGCACCTGTTGTTTCCTGACTTTTTAATGATTGCCATTCTAACTGGTGTGAGATGGTATCTCATTGTGGTTTTGACTTGCGTTTCTCTGATGGCCAGTGATGATGACCATTTTTTCATGTGTCTTTTGGCTCCATAAATGTCTTCTTTTGAGAATTGTCTGTTCATATCCTTTGCCCACTTTTTGATGGGGTTGTTTGTTTTTTTTCTTGTAAATTTGAGTTCATTGTAGATTCTGGATATTAGCCCTTTGTCAGATGAGTAGATTGCGAAAATTTTCTCCCATTTTGTAGGTTGCCTGTTCACTCTGATGGTAGTTTCTTTTGCTGTGCAGAAGCTCTTTAGTTTAATTAGATCCCATTTGTCAATTTTGGCTTTTGTTGCCATTGCTTTTGGTGTTTTAGACATGAAGTCCTTGCCCATGCCTATGTCCTGAATGGTAATGCCTAGGTTTTCTTCTAGGGTTTTTATGGTTTTAGGTCTAACGTTTAAGTCTTTAATCCATCTTGAATTGATTTTTGTATAAGGTGTAAGGAAGGGATCCAGTTTCAGCTTTCTCCATATGGCTAGCCAGTTTTCCCAGCACCATTTATTAAATAGGGAATCCTTTCCCCATTGCTTGTTTTTCTCAGGTTTGTCAAAGATCAGATAGTTGTAGATATGCGGCGTTATTTCTGAGGGCTCTGTTCTGTTCCATTGATCTATATCTCTGTTTTGGTACCAGTACCATGCTGTTTTGGTTACTGTAGCCTTATAGTATAGTTTGGTAAGTCAGGTAGTGTGATGCCTCCAGCTTTGTTCTTTTGGCTTAGGATTGACTTGGCGATGCGGGCTCTTTTTTTGTTCCATATGAACTTTAAAGTAGTTTTTTCCAATTCTGTGAAGAAAGTCATTGGTAGCTTGATGGGGATGGCATTGAATCTGTAAATTACCTTGGGCAGTATGGCCATTTTCACGATATTGATTCTTCCTACCCATGAGCATGGAATGTTCTTCCATTTGTTTGTATCATCTTTTATTTCATTGAGCAGTGGTTTGTAGTTCTCCTTGAAGAGATCCTTCACATCCCTTGTAAGTTGGATTCCTAAGCATTTTATTTTCTTTGAAGCAATTGTGAATGGGAGTTCCCTCATGACTTGGCTCTCTGTTTGTCTGTTATTGGTGTATAAGAATGCTTGTGATTTTTGTACATTGATTTTGTATCCTGAGACTTTGCTGAAGTTGCTTATCAGCTTAAGGAGATTTTGGGCTGAGACAATGGGGTTTTCTAGATATACAATAACTAAACTTGTTTTCACTTTACTCAGTGAACTTACCCTGAATTCTTTCCTGTGTGAAATCCAAGAACTTTCTCTTGGGGTCTGGATTGGGACCCCTTTGTGGTAACACATGGATTTCAAAGCCAGTGAGAAGCCAAGACCCGGGCTCCTTCTACCCTGTGGCTCCATCATTCTCTATAGATTTTGGTGACAATGTGTGTCTCCCTGGAGGAAGAAGAGGAAGCACAGAGTATGTCCAGGGAGGGCTTTATGGGACATCTAATTAGCTAGAACTCAGTCACATGGCCACACCTGCAGCAAGGGAAGCTGGGAAAGGAAATTTAGCTGTTTCCTGGGAGATACAGGAAATGAGTTTGGAAATAGGTAGCTAGTCTTTGCCTTGTTTGGAATTGTCCTGGTGGCTGGTCTAGGAATGTCAGAGGAGGGATTTAAAATGATTTTTTTGTTTGTTTGTTTCTATAGTCCATGAGACACTGTTTATGCACATAGAGTCTAGAATTTGGGAATTGTTAGATTTATCCTCCTTGATTCATTGATTTATAAGGCTTGGTTTCTAAACTGCACCTGTGGTAGAAGTGGGTTACCAAATGACATCTATGATAATAAGCGGATAGCAAACACTAGCTTTGGAGTCAAACATATCTGGTTTTCCTCATCACTAAAATTTAGAAAATAGTATGTGTCTTAGAATGTAATTGTTAGAAATAAGTAATACATGCAAAGTCCCCCAAAATATGCCTGGTACATAGTACAAGCTCAATGAATAGTAGCTCTCTTAATGTGATTTGTCTAATGAGATAAATAAGAGTAAAATGAAATGAGGTTTGACCAACAAGAGAAAATCAGAGTATTTAATGCACAGCTGTCTTAAGGTCTTGAAAAAATGGTAAGGAAGCTGATACATTAAATTCTGAGCAATGGAATGGCCCCAAAAGTGGATAATGTGATCATAGCTCACATACAGAAAATGAAAACATATCAGGTGTCCAGAGAAACCCAGAATTTCCTGACACTGAAACTTGAGAGAAATTTTATAAAAGAGACAATGGTTTAGGAAGTGAGTCACATTCTCAACCAAAGTAACCTCAAATGAGTAACAAATTTTCTAGAACTGTCTCTTGTTGTAATTTCCTTCAGCGACATACAACCAAAATAAAATTTGAAAAAAGTTCAGTTCTATAAGGGTCAACAAAATGAAGGCCAAATAACCAGCTCTCTGATTATTTAACTTGACCAAAGAATAACATTCAAAGATCCACAGGAATGAATGAACACATCCTTGGTGCCTGTGTCCCCCAAGAAGGGAATCAAACACCCCAAGATATGTGCAAAATAATCCAGGAAAAAAGGGGAGACAATATTTACAACTTTCAGCAATATTTATTTTTATTTCATACTTTTGTGTTTTTACTTGGTTCCCAAATGTATGTATTTTCCTAGTCAACATACATAAAATCAATTTAAAAATAAGTATATCCATAAAAATAAAATATACTACAATATTTATTTAACTTATATCAGAAAACAGGAATAGCCAAAAGGTGGAAGGAACCCAAGTCCATATACAGATGAATAGAAAAGCGAGATGTATATACAACATACAATGGAATACTATCAGCCTCAAAAAGGAAAGAATTTCTCATACCTGCTTTAACATAGATGAACTTTGAAGACACTATGCTACATGAATAATTCAGACCCAAAAGATCAAGTATTGTATAATTCTACTTATATGAGGTACCCAGAAGAGTCAAATTCATAGAGACAAAAAATAGAGTAGTGGTTACCAGGAGCTGGTAGAAGGCAGAAATGGGGAGTTATGTAATGGATACATAGACTCACTGGGGAAGATGAAAAAGTTCTGGAGATGGATGGAAGTGATGGTTGTACAACAATCTAAATATATTTAATGCCACTGGATTACACACTTAAAATAGTTAAAATGTTAAATTTTATATTATGTATATTTTACCACAATAAACAAAATTTAACTTTGAGAGACCTCTGCTTTAGTTTATCATCCATGAATATTGAATTCCTTTTTTGTCACAGTTGAACTTTCAGTGAGAATTGAAGAACAGGATACTAAGGTCATGTGCTCTGACCAGAGCCTACGAAGTTTCCATTTTTAAATTTTCTTTTGCCTTTGTGTGATACTATGATACGTGGAAAAGGTACCCATATGAGAATAAAATAGACCCATGTTTGAATGGTGATGCCATCCCAGTTCTCTTTTCCTCAGGGGGTGGGTGACCTTGATATTGATGTGGGTAATGCCCTAATCTGGGTGCTTGATGCCTAGTAGCTGCCCAGGTAGGTACTCACCTCACCTTTAGAGCTAACCTTAAGGAATCAGCTGCTTTGTCTCAGTGTCTGAGTCTCCAGTTTATTCATCTGTGGGGCAGCTCCTTCCCAGAGAAATCTAAGTTCAGCGAAATTTGGTTAATATAATTCATTTAAGGCAATCACATAGTCATTATATCAGAACTGTGCTCCAATCCCTAATTTTTATGTTTTTGAGAAGTATATTCACATTAAGCAAAAATTAAACACAATGATAAGGAAATACCCAATTGTCTTCCTCACCCTGGAGTAAAATTCCCTAACCTACTGAAAAGAATGTAGATTGAACAGCAGCTGTGTGACTGCATTAGGGCTCTAATATGCAGTGGAAGTCACTGAAATACAGTGGCTTAGTGAACTACCTCTGATGTCCAGGGCCTGACTGTCAAACCTCAACTCTAGCATATGTCTATCATGTGACCTTAGGCAGGTCAATTTGCCAGTCTTAGTGTCTCAGTTTCCTCATCTACAGTGTTCACGTCACAGGGTTACTATGAGGGTATAATGGCTTCAACTATATCCAGTGATTAGAATCAGCACTTATTAAACACTCAATAGCTATTAGCTATTATTGATGGTTCTGTCCCATTTCCTATGTGCAGCACTTAAGCTGAAGATGAATTTCTTTTTGGTTCAAGATGCTGCTGTCTCCTCAAAAGAGAGATTCCAAACCCAACCAGAGCAGTGAGAGCATCCTCATCCCATGGTTTGGTTCCTATATCGGAAACACCTCCCTTCGCTGGTTTCCTACTGGATCATAAGCCAAAACTACCTTCTTATTTTTCAGAATTCTTGACCAACTAAGTTGCCCCCTGACCACACAGACATCTGCTTTTCCTAGTTCACTCAGTGCTTCTAACCCTGGTCCCTACCACATGTGCTGTTAAGAATGACATGATGTAGGGGGCTCTTTCCATACCCAGCTCTCTGGACCACAATCTCCAAGCCACAGAACCAGGCTCTCTTCCTTTCCAAAGCTCACCCCAAACTTTCCACTTTGCTTTGTATAATGATTGTGGCTCAGCTCTGCACATGTGGACTCTGGATATGTTTCCAGCTTCTTGACTTTTCTTGGAACTGAATTGAAAGTTTATTTTACTTTGCTCTTTCATAATTTTTATTTTTCTGAGTTTGACAGTATATAGAGTCACTTATTTTTTAAAGCTTCTAAATTCTTGTTGTTGTTGTTGTTTTCCTATTGGAACCAGCATTAGGAGATACTTTCATATGAAATAAGAATTCAACTTAATGGTTCACTAACTGCTTTGGTGCTGGCTTCACGAAGCTTCTCAGGTTGGGAATCCACTGGTCATTCACATCCAGCCAAGGGCCACACCACAGTAGCTCAGTGAGATCTCTCTACCCTGCAGAAATGTTCAAATGTTGGAAGAGCCTTTTAAGAGTATCACATTTTCTTCAAAGTAGTAATAGCACCTCCTACATTTAAGCCTTCATAGTCTGTATTCTCAAACTCTGGGATTCTAAGAAGATAATTAATAAAGATTAAGAAGTTGTATGAAAGGAACTAGAAATTCAAATCCCAGTTACTAGCTGAGAAACACTAAGTCTTTCTCCTTCTTCTTTATCCATCATATATATAAAGTGGGGATAGGGATGTCTGTGTCACAGGACCATAGGAAAGATTAATGATAATATGAGCAAGGTGCCCACAGCCATGAGTGGTCCATAAAAGGTGCTTAATCAAGAATTATAATTATTAATATTTTCCATCTTTCAGGTAGGTGTAACTTATTTTCCTGTGGTGAGTCTGCACTTCCTTTGCTTTTGACTGGCAATTTATGAGCTGAGTATCCTGACACTGGTTAGCTCATGCTGACCGAGAGCTCTGATCAACAGTTATAGATGTCTGTACTTGAAATCAAGAAAATAAATTATTTCAGGGGGTATGGTGGACCAAATATTTCACAAGATGAAGCCCACAGGTGAAAGATTACACAAGTGTGTGATGACAAGTAGGTATTATTAAAGAGGTGGGGTTTGGAGGTCAGTGTCTGACCACCAGTAAGCCTGTGAACTGCTCTCAGATTTGGGCTCATCATCTGAGAAATGAAGATAATATATTCTGCCTTCCCCAGAGTTATTGTGATGACAGACATTTAGATAATACATAAAATTCCTAGCACTAGCCCAAGACACAGTAGGGTCACCACAAATGATCATTCTCAACTTTCCCTTTGTGGTAAAATGGTGGGAAGCACAGTTCCACCCCCACACTTGCTCACTAATGCACACACACATGGGAAGGAGTTTTATTCCCGAGAATGACGGTGCCATATATCACTAATAGCGGGTGATTAGGTTAGGCTGCAATCCTGAGTCCAGGGGATTCAGTGCCTGCTTCCAGAGATCTAAATCTCATAACTAAACAGGAGGCCACTCTTCAAATTACTTCAGAAAGCATTTTTCATTTTTTTCTTCTATGGGCATTATTAACTTTTAAAATGTACTTTGTTTTAGCTGAGTGCATCCCAGCCTCCTCTGCTAGCCACCACCTCGCCTCTTGTACTGATGGTCTCCTCACATCCTCACGAAGCTCGTTTTTTTGTCCATCAGCATTCAAAATCTCCCCTTTCTGACCTTGCAAGAAAAGTGCTTCTAAGAGCTGGGAGAGGAGTGGGCTGGGAAAAAAGGCTCAGAATTATCCTGGCTGAATTTGGCATTTGCTACAGTCTTTGATCTCGGATGCAGTAACGTGTCAGCCAGACCAAAGTCATTTTATATAGAGGTCTGCATAAGCGAAGTGGAGGGACTTCATGGTTAATTGATTAAAATGGTCCAAAGAAGGTGTGAGATCAAAGGGCTGCTCACTGGTTTTATGTTTCCCTGGGGTCCCGCAGGCCAAGTGGGTGACACAAATGACCTTGGGCGTGAGGGTATTCAAATGCTGGTGTTTGTTTGTTTTATTCCAAAACACAATTTGTGTTTCCCAGGGCTTCCTGATGACAGGTTGTATTGTGGGCTCCCCATGGCCCTCATCTATGTTTAGGGGGGCCTCAAGTGGAACAGCAACCATGAGCAGGAGGGCATGACCCTGTCATGCTGCCACCAGTGCCTCTTTCTGCCAAACCCCAAGGAAAAAGACTCCATTACATTACTGGAAGGCGAAGACCACAATTTTCTCTTTATCTTTTTTTTTTCTTATTTCCAGTAAGGGTCAAGAAAATGTTGTCACAGTGCAGGATCAGTGCCTGGACCTGAGACAAAAGGGAGGCTAGAAAATGTTTCATTGTTCCAAACTGTCCTGATAAGAGCCAGAGGAATCTGCTGGGCAAACGTGTCTATCAAAAGGCTCCAGGGATTAAAAACGTAGCACAGAAGGAAGAAGTAATAGTAAGAGAGGATCTGCTGCCCAGAGAAGCATCATCAACTATCATTGGTGACACTGAGCATTAGCAATGGAATAACTGTTACCGTTTATCAAGTTGCTGCAATTTATCAGGCACTAGCTAGTGCTAAGTGTAGCACATCCCTCGCAAATTCTCATTAATCTTACTTCCTAATAGACAGAACTGAGGCCAGAGACCATAAAGATCCCTTCAGATCACAACTTGAGCTTGGATTTGAAATCGTGTTGGTCTGGCTCTGAAGTACACACCTCCATCATCCTGTGATGGGCCTAATTGTGTCCACCAAAAATTCATGGGTTGAAGCACCAATCCCAAGTTCCTCAGAATGTGACTGCAATTACAGGGAAGGCTTTAAAGAGGTAATTAAGTTAGGATGAGGTCCCTAGAGTGGTCCTACTTCATTACAACTGGCATCCTTAGAAGAAGAGAAAATTTGGACACAAACTGGTACAGAAGGAAGACCCTGTGAAGGCAGAGAGGAGACAACCATCTACAAGCCAAGGAGAGAAGCCTCAGAAGATATCGACCCTGCTGAAACCTTGATCTTAGACTTCTAGCCTCCAGAACTTTGAGAAAGTAAGTTTCATCCTCCTTCAAATGGCTTCCAGATTGCGAGGTGGCTGCCATCCACTCCATGTCTGCATGCCATGGAGCAACAAGGGAGCAGGAAAAGGGTGAAGTGTGTTTATTTGGTAAAAGACACTGTATTCGTTTCCTATTGCTGCCGTACTGAATTTTCACAAAACTTAAAGCAAAACAACAGCGGCTAAAAACAATGCACATTTGTTATCTTACTGTTCTGGAGACAGGAAGTGCTTTGTTAGGAGGAATGGACTCCCTCTGGAGGCCTTAGGGGAGAATCTGGTTCCTTGCCTTTTCCAGCTCTAGAAGCCACCCTCATTTGTTGGCTTGTGGACCTTTTTTGTCTTTTTTTAATTTATTTATTTTTTTTTTTTAGTATTATACTTTAAGTTTTAGGGTACATGTGCACAATGTGCAGGTTAGTTACATATGTATACATGTGCCATGCTGGTGCGCTGCACCCACTACCTCATCATCTAGCATGAGGTATATCTCCCAATGCTATCCCTCACCCCTCCCCCCACCCCACAACAGTCCCCAGAATGTGATGTTCCCCTTCCTGTGTCCATATGTTCTCATTGTTCAGTTCCCACCTATGAGTGAGAATATGCGGTGTTTGGTTTTTTGTTCTTGAGATAGTTTACTGAGAATGATGATTTCCAATTTCATCCATGTCCCTACAAAGGACATGAACTCATCATTTTTTATGGCTGCATAGTATTCCATGGTGTATATGTGTCACATTTTCTTAATCCAGTCTATCATTGTTGGACATTTGGGTTGGTTCCAAGTCGTTGCTATTGTGAATAGTGCCGCAATAAACATACGTGTGCATGTGTCTTTATAGCAGCATGATTTATAGTCTTTGGGTATATACCCAGTAATGGGATGGCTGGGTCAAATGGTATTTCTAGTTCTAGATCCCTGAGGAATCACCACACTGACTTCCACAATGGTTGAACTAGTTTACAGTCCCACCAACAGTGTAAAAGTGTTCCTATTTCTCCACATCCTCTCCAGCACCTGTTGTTTCCTGACTTTTTAATGATTGCCATTCTAACTGGTGTGAGATGGTATCTCATTGTGGTTTTGATTTGCATTTCTCTGATGGCCAGTGATAGTGAGCATTTTTTCATGGGTCTTTTGGCTGCATAAATGTCTTATTTTGAGAGGTGTCTGTTCATGTCCTTCCCCCACTTTTTGATGGGGTTGTTTGTTTTTTTCTTGTAAATTTGTTTGAGTTCATTGTAGATTCTGGATATTAGCCCTTTGTCAGATGAGTAGGTTGTGAAAATTTTCTCCCATTTTGTAGGTTGCCTGTTCACTCTGATGGTAGTTTCTTTTGCTGTGCAGAAGCTCTTTAGTTTAATTAGATCCCATTTGTCAATTTTGTCTTTTGTTGCCATTGCTTTTGGTGTTTTAGACATGAAGTCCTTGCCCATGCCTATGTCCTGAATGGTAATGCCTAGGTTTTCTTCTAGGGTTTTTATGGTTTTAGGTCTAACGTTTAAGTCTTCAATCCATCTTGAATTGATTTTTGTATAAGGTGTAAGGAAGGGATCCAGTTTCAGCTTTCTCCATATGGCTAGCCAGTTTTCCCAGCACCATTTATTAAATAGGGAGTCCTTTCCCCATTGCTTGTTTTTCTCAGGTTTGTCAAAGATCAGATAGTTGTAGATACGTGGCATTATTTCTGAGGGCTCTGTTCTGTTCCATTGATCTATATCTCTGTTTTGGTACCAGTACCATGCTGTTTTGGTTACTGTAGCCTTATAGTATAGTTTGGTAAGTCAGGTAGCGTGATGCCTCCAGCTTTGTTCTTTTGGCTTAGGATTGACTTGGCGACGCGGCCTCTTTTTTGGTTCCATATGAACTTGAAAGCAGTTTTTTCCAATTCTGTGAAGAAAGTCATTGGTAGCTTGATGGGGATGGCATTGAATCTATAAATTACCTTGGGCAGTATGGCCATTTTCACGATATTGATTCTTCCTACCCATGAGCATGGAATGTTCTTCCATTTGTTTGTATCCTCTTTTATTTCATTGAGCAGTGGTTTGTAGTTCTCCTTGAGGTCCTTCATGTCCCTTGTATGGTGGATTCCTAGGTATTTTATTCTCTTTGAAGCAATTGTGAATGGGAGTTCACTCATGATTTGGCTCTCTGTTTGTCTGTTATTGGTGTATAAGAATGCTTGTGATTTTTGTACATTGATTTTGTATCCTGAGACTTTGCTGAAGTTGCTTATCAGCTTAAGGAGATTTTGGGCTGAGACAATGGGGTTTTCTAGATATACAATCATGTCATCTGCAAACAGGGACAATTTGACTTCCTCTTTTCCTAATTGAATACCCTTTATTTCCTTCTCCTGCCTAATTGCCCTGGCCAGAACTTCCAACACTATGTTGAATAGGAGTGGTGAGAGAGGGCATCCCTGTCTTGTGCCAGTTTTCAAAGGGAATGCTTCCAGTTTTTGCCCATTCAGTATGATATTGGCTGTGGGTTTGTCATAGATAGCTCTTATTATTTTGAGATACGTCCCATCAATACCTAATCTATTGAGAGTTTTTAGCATGAAGCATTGTTGAATTTTGTCAAAGGCCTTTTCTGCATCTATTGAGATAATCATGTGGTTTTTGTCTTTGGTTCTGTTTATATGCTGGATTACATTTATTGATTTGTGTATATTGAACCAGCCTCGCATCCCAGGGATGAAGCCCACTTGATCATGGTGGATAAGCTTTTTGATGTGCTTCTGGATTCGGTTTGCCAGTATTTTATTGAGGATTTTTGCATCAATGTTCATCAAGGATATTGGTCTAAAATTCTCTTTTTTGGTTGTGTCTCTGCCCGGCTTTGGTATCAGGATGATGCTGGCCTCATAAAATGAGTTAGGGAGGATTCCCTCTTTTTCTATTGATTGGAATAGTTTCAGAAGGAATGGTACCAGTTCCTCCTTGTACCTCTGTTAGAATTCGGCTGTGAATCCATCTGGTCCTGGACTCTTTTTGGTTGGTAAGCTATTGATTATTGCCACAATTTCAGCTCTTGTTATTGGTCTATTCAGAGATTCAACTTCTTCCTGGTTTAGTCTTGGGAGAGTGTATGTGTCGAGGAATTTATCCATTTCTTCTAGATTTTCTAGTTTATTTGCATAGAGGTGTGTGTAGTAATCTCTGATGGTAGTTTGTATTTCTGTGGGATCGGTGGTGATATTGTGCTTGGGACATCAGAGCAGAAGAAAAGAGTCTTGGTTCCTGATGAGCCACCAGCCCTCAGATGCTCATCCCTGAACTTCCTGTCACACAAAACAAAGGAAATGTGTTGTGTTTAAGTCACTATACTAGGATTTTGTGTAGTAATGTGTCAGAGCTGACTCTCATCAACTTCTGAAAGGTAATTGTTAAATTTTTCAGAACTTTATAGTCAATTGTTAACACAGACGTTATTAAAAATTAAGTTGTGGAATCTTACAATTAAATTATATTTAAAATGAAAAAAAAAAAAGAAAGTAAGTTTCTGTTGCTAAGCCACCCAGTCTGTGGTCCTTTGTTATGGCAGCCCTGAGAAAAGCTAATGCATACCCTTAGGCTATGTCTAATTTCCCAGAGGAATGACCCAGGAAGGCAGGTGCTTAAGAAATGCCCTTACATTTCCAACTTGCTGGGTGTAAGACACAAACAATGCAGTTATCAAAGAATTATGTTTGTGCGGTTTTTTTGGGGGGAGTGGTAATCGAGTACATTTCCTGCTGAAATAATATTGTTTTTTCTATGTGTGAAACATAGTGAGAATTTTACATCCTTTTAGAAGCCGTCTATAACCCCACAGCACCCGAATAATTTAGACGAGTCTTTTTTTGCTATCTGAATATCTGATGTGTCTCTCCTCCCTAACACTTAGCACCGCTCTCTATAGTTACTAACTCTCTGCATCCTACACTGTAAATACTTTGAGATCTTGAATTTGTCTTTTTCAGCTTTATGTTCCCAGGAACAAGTAACAAGCTTTATTCAGGAGAGTTACATGAAACAATGAAGGTAGAAAGACAGACATATCTGAATGAGGACATACATTACCATGATTATCTAGTCAGAGCCACTGTCCTGCCAGTCAACTCAAGATGACATTCCTAGAGTTAAGAACACAAAGAAAGGGCTCGGGTTACTAAATGAATGAGCATGTGGATTTTTTATCTTGTTGGAAGAAATGACAATCTAGGTACTTAACACTCAGAAAGCAGGAAAAAAAAAAAAGGCAGTAAGTAGGCAGAAAGGAGCTGGGAGAAGGGAAGCCAGGCAACATGGCTGCCAAGGGCCCCAGTCCAAAGTGGGCAAGATGTGGGTGAGGTGATGACCAGGGTGGGTCCCTCAGCCTGGCAAGGCTGACACCAAAGCCCATGCTAACACCCACCACTCTGTCATCTTCCAGGGCACTGTAATTTTAGAGACTTATATACACCTCACACTTTTCCCTTTTCTTCTTTTCTCTTGTCCTTTTCTCTCTTTTTTCCTCCAGTTTTGCCTTTTTATATCCCTTAGAATTTAGTGAACACTCTGTTGGAAACACCAGCCTTCTTCATTTGTGCTCAGATAAAACTGTGGACTGTAGCTGTGTTGATGTAGAGTCTGGCATTTTCTACAAAGAGCAGGCTTCTTGTACGGGAAGAGAGCTATGAATCCCCAAAGCAAAAGGCCCACCTTGCTTCTTCAACAGCCACACCAAACTTGTCCTGCTTTGCTAAAAACTACAGAGAGCTATGTGTTTTGTCTTAATAAAAGTGACCCTGTTCTTCTGTGTGAATCTTAAAGATCAGTGTTACAAGTTCTCAACAGTTGTCTGTGGGTGGGGTGTCAGCTAAGGAAGGGCTATTTTTAGATTTTAGTCAGGTAAATATATGAATAAGGTTACCACATAGCTTCTAGGACCCCTTTCCTTCTCACTTGGCTCTTGTTCCTCTGTTACCCAAGCTGGAACATTTGGACTGTGGATTTCACTATGACAGTCTGTATCTGTGATGGTTAATACTGAACTTGATTGGATTGAAGGGTACAAAGTATTGATTCTGGGTGTGTCTCTGAGGATGTTGCCAAAGGAGATTAACATTTGAGTCAGTGGGCTGGGAAAGGCAGACCCACCCTTAAACTGGGTGGGCACCATCTAATCAGCTGCCAGCATGGCTATAATATAAAGCAGGCAGAAAAACGTGAAAAGACTAGACTGGCCTAGCCTTCCAGCCTACATCTTTCTCCTGTGCTGGATGCTTCCTGCCCTTGAACATTGGACTCCAAGTTCTTCAGTTTTGGGACTCAGACTGGCTCTCCTTGCTCCTCAGCTTGCAGACGGCATATGGTGTGACCTTGTGATCCTGTGAGTTAATACTTAATATACTCATATATATATATACATATATATATATATCCTATTAGTATATATATTAGTGTATATATATATCCTATCATATATATATGTATGTATATATTTTATTAGTTCTTTCCCTCTAGAGAATCCAGACTAATACAGTATCTTCTCTTTTACAGTTTTAGAACCTGCCAAGGAAGGGTATGCAGAATTTTGCAGTGCCTTTTACAAGCTGTGCTAAATCCAGTGTCCATGCCACATTCCTTTTCATTGATATAAAGGCAACTCGAAGATGGGATACTATTGACAAGGGGTCACAAGTACCCTCCACTCATTTCTCTATGCGGCCATCCCATGAACAGTCACTGCACAAGAACTCCATTGGCTCTGTTGGATGCCATGCTAAGAACAGGATGGACACCAAAGAGTAAAGCTCAACAGATCCAGATCCAAAGTAGCAAACAAGCCAGGGGTGGAGACTTCAAATCCTAAACAGTAATGCAAGGGTTCCACAGACATAAAATATCACAAACATAAGTCTTTAGACGCAACTTTTGATTCTGTACCAAGAAAATGACATGGACAAGAAATAAAACATTTCATGATAGAGTCAGGTTTAAAGCTGCTGTTTGTGTGGATCAGCAGAAGGAACATTTTTAACAGGGGTAATAGTAAATGGGCAAAGGAAGTCCCGCAAGAAATAATTTTTTTTTTCTTTTGAGATGGAGTCACCCAGGCTGGAGTGCAGTGGTGCCATCTCAGCTCACTGTAACCTCCGTCTCCTGGATTCAAGAGATTCTCCTGCTGGCTGGGACTACAGGTGTGTGCCACCACACTTGGCTAATTTTTGTATTTTTAGTGGAGATGGGGTTCCTCCCTGTTGGCCAAGCTGGTCTCAAACTCCTGACCTCAAGTGATCCACCTGCCTCAGCCTCCCAAAGTGCTGGGATTACAGGCATGAGCCACCATGTCCAGCCCAGCAAGAAATAATTCTGTCAGGAAAGAAGGATGCTCAGATGAGAGGCTTATCTTAGTCTGTTTGGGCTGCTATAACATAACACCATAAACTGGGTAGCTTGTAAACAACAGACATTTATTTCTGACTGTTCTAGACGCTGGGAAGTCCAAGATCAAGGAAGACTTCATGTCTGATGAGGGCCTGCTCTCTGGCTCATAGATGGTGCCTTCTTGCTGCATCTGCATGGTAAAAGGGGTGAGAATTTTCTAGTCCTTTTAAATAAGAGCATTAATCTCATTCATGAGGGCTCTACTTCCATGTCCTAATCATCCTCCAAAAGCCCCACCCCCTATTATCATCACACTGGGGGTTAAGATTTCAACATATAAATTTTAGGGAGACACAAATACAGTAAAAATGGAAGAAAATGAGGTGAAATGGTTCATGTAGTGGGCTGAATAGTGTGCCCTCCACCAAACTCATTCAAGTGAATCTCAGAAAGTGACCTTATTTGGAAAAAAAAGGCTTTGCAAACTTAAGTAGTTAAGATGAGGTCATAATGGACTATAGTGGGCTCTAAATCCAATGAATGATATTATTGGGGGGGAAAAAAAGAAGAGAGGATACATAAAGAGACACAGGTCAGAAGGCCATGTGAAGATGGAGGAAGAGATTTGAGCAAAGCTCAGGAGTGCCAAGAGATGCTGGGAGCCCCCAAGAGTTAGGAAGACTCAAGGAAGGATTCTTCCCTAGAGCCTCCAGATGGAGCATGGTCCTGCTGACACCTCGATTCTAGCCTCAAAAGCTGTGAAAAATGAATTTATCTTGTTTTAAGTCCCGTGTTTCTAATAATTTGTTATGGAAACCTTGGTAAACTAATGCAGTTAGGATCATGCAGATTAAGAGTCTCACTCTGTAATTAGATGCACCAGGAGTTATATCACAGCTCTGCCACTTCCTAGCTGGGAGACTTTGGACAGGTCAACTTCTCCACACTTTAACTTCCTTAGCTATAATATGGATAGATAATACCTATCACATGTGGCTTCTGTGAGAATTAAATGAACTAAAATATACAATGTGCTTCACATTGTACCTGACACAGAGTAAGCACTCCAACCATGTTTCTTATAATCTCTACTCTCATTATTTTTAATAATATCACACTGAGTTTTCTCTGTATTTGAAGTACTATGATGGATGCTACAGGCAATATAAAATTTAATAAAATATTTCTTACCCTTAAATTACTTTCTTAGTCAGCTCAGGCTACTATAAAAAATACCACAGACTAGGTAGATTAACAACAGATATTTATTGCTCACAGTTTTGGAGGCTCAAAGTCCAAGATCAAAATGCTGGCAGATTTGGTTCCTGGTGGAGGCCAGATTCCTGGTTTGTAAATAACCACCTTCTCACTTCCAGCTCACATGGCTTTTTCAATGCTTGGGCATATGGAGAGATAGGGAGAGAGGGAGAGAGGAGTGAGAGGAGAAAGAGGAGGGAGAGAGGGAGAGAAGAGAGGGACAGTGGACAAGAGGGAGAGAAGAAGGAGAGAGGGAGACGAGAGAAAGAAGGAGATACCTCTGTCTTCGTTATCTTATAAGGGCACAAATCCTATCATGCAAGTCACACCCTCATGATCTAATCTAAACCTAATCACCTCCCAAAGTCTCCACCTCCCAATACCATCCCATTGGCGGGTAGGGCTTCGACATATGAATTTAGGGGGTGGACACATTCAGCCCATAACAATTGCTAAAACTAAAAAGAATTCGATCATCCACACCTCCACAGGGCACTACAGTGAAAACTTCAACAGAATGTTATCTATTGATCTTTTACGATAAATGTTAGATTTTCTAAAATAAAACCCATAAAATGACATTTCCTTTTCTCTAACATTCTCACTTCTATTTTATGCAGGAGGCTGCAAGGGTATGCAGACACTTGAGGGACCTCTTGTGTTAGAAAATGCAGGAAATGTTTGGCTCTAAGACTAGTTTTACTGGCAAAGAGCAAGTTGAGACACAGCTGAATACATCCAGTGGGGGAACAAAAAAAAAAAAAAAAATGTCTGGCAGGCCAGCATCACCCAGACCAGGTTGGATCTTGATTGGTTTCTTAGGGTCATTGTTCAACTCTTGCCAGACTGTGCCTTTATGGATAAAGTCAAACTAAATATTTTAACAAGTGATTAAAAAACTGAATTTTCAAACCTGTTAAGTCATTGCTTCTTCCCATCCGGAAGAGACTGGGAGGCAGCTCTCCTGTCAAAGTCTGGCTGGTGAATTCCTCAGGGTCGCTCTCACAGCGCGCAGAGCTATTCATCATTTTAGCGAGCATCCTCAGAGGGGAGCCGCAGTGATTTACATGCTACAGATAAATTATGATGCCTCTCATGATGTTATCATCATTTCAGCTCACGGATTTGAACACTTTCTGGGAGAGGACTTTTTTCACCCTTTCTTAAATGATGAACAACCCCCAGACAGATTATATTGTAGTTGTCAAGTTAAAAGATATAGGTAGGTATGTTTTCTTAAAGATAAACAGCTCAGCCACCACCGCTAGTCAGCCTAGCAACAGGAAAACATTGTCTACTGAGAGTTAACTGTTTATCCCACCTGGAAAAGATCAAACTTTCCTGGTCTTTTATTCTATTTAATGATACATTTTCTCCTGTAGTTTTGCCTGGCTATTTTGTTTCTAACAGGATATAAGCTAGATCAAGCAAAAAGCCTGCTTCTTTATTCCAGTAAATTTGCAAAGTAGCACTGCTCAGCTTTAACTTCATTTTAACTTGAATAGTTCCAGTCTCCCATTCTGTCCCGTGCCACAAGCCAGTGGATGGAACAAAGATTTTCCTCTCTTCAACGCTATCTTGTAAGATTCACGTGGCTTCTGTGGATGGTGCACTCTACCAGGGTCTTGGGTACTAGAACATGCATTTCTAAAACCAGTATGGTAGGCCAAATAATACCTCCTTCTCAATTATGCTCTAATCCCTGGAACCTGTGGAATGTGCTACCTGGCAGGAGGGAATTAAGGTTTCAGGTGGAATTAAGTTTGCTAATCACCTGTCCTTGAAGTGAAAAGATGAGCCTGGATTATCCAGGTGGGCCCAGTGTAATCACAGGAATCCTTAAAAGTGGAAGAGAGAGGCAGGACTTTCCCTTTGGAGGGATGTGATATGAGAAAGGTTCTACTGACCATTACTGCCTTTGATGATGACAGGACAGCCACAAGCCAAGGAAAGTGAGCAGCCTCTAGTAGCTGCAAAAGGAAGGAAAATGGATTTTTCCTGAGAACCTCCAGAAAGGAATGCAGCCCTGCCGACGCCTTGATTGCAGCCCAGTGAGAAACATTTCACGCTACTGACCCCCAGAACAGTAAAATAATGAATGTGTGTTGTTTTAAGCCACACGTTTGTGATAATTTGTTAAAGCAGAAATAGGAAACATAGCAGAAAAGGAAGCATAAGATTTTAATTTTCTTTCATTTTGAACAACCAGCGTATCTTTGTTTGTGCTGCTATAACTAAATACCAATGACTGGGTAATGCATAAAGAACACAAATTTATTGTTTACAGTTCTGGAGGCTGAGAAGTCCAAGATCGAGGCACTGGCAGGTTCAATTGTCTCATGAGGGCAGCTCCTCCAGAGGGGAGGAACGCTGTGTGTTCACATGGCAGAAGGGCAAGTGAGTGAACTGTGTGAAGCTTCCTCTATAGGGGACTTAATACCATTCACAAGGGAGGAGCCCTAGCGGCCTCATTACCTCTTAAAGTCCCCATTGCTTAGTACTATCACATTGGCAATGCCTGCAGTTTGGCTGAACGAAATGTTGTGTGTTGGCTGAATGAATGATTTGTGTCCAAATATCCCAAGGCAAACTCCCTCTCACTGTCAAAGTCACCGATTCCTCTTCAGTGCCCTGGCTTCTGAGTTCCCCTCTGTAGGGACTTCTCATTCTCCCTTCACTTGCACAACAGTTCACGACTAATATTTCTTAAGCTCCATTGAGCCAATCTGCTCACTTTGCCAGCTCAGCCCCTGCTCTGATTTTCTTAGTTGATCCTGCAGTACTTCAAAAGGAAGCAGTAAGGTATTTCCCACTTCCCTAGCCTCATTCCTACTCTTTGCTTTATACTTGGTGTTCAAACCCTCAAAAATGCTTGGGGCTTCCAAATACATCATTTGTTTCATACAGTCATAACATGTGTGCTGATTGGAGGAGGGAGGTTGTTTGCTTTTTTAAGTGTGTGCTGGGAATGTTCCTGTTCTTTTGGTTCAGGTGACAAACTCATATTTGTCCTTCAAAAATTACACCATCGGCCGAGGGTGGTGGCTCACACCTGTAATCCCAGCACTTTGGGAAGCCAAGGTGGGCAGATCACCTGAAGTCAGGAGTTTGAGACCAGCCTGGCCAACATGGTGAAACCCCGTCTCTACTAAAAATACAAAAATTAGCCAGATGCAGTGGGGTGCACCTGTAGTCCCAGCTACTTGGGAGGCTGAGGCTGGAGAATTGCCTGAACTTGGGAGGTGGAGGTTGCAGTGAGCCGAGATCGTGCTACTGCATTCCAGCCTGGGTGACAGAGTGAGAATCCATCTCAGAAAAAAAAAAAAAAAAAAAAAAAAATTAAACCATGTAGTACTCCCAGGAAAATTCTTTGATTTGTTAATGTTATTCAAATCTTCTACTTTTAAGCTTCTTTACTATGTTATTGGCACACTTATTGCTCACTGTCTGTATAACTGTGCTTCCTCCTTTTCTACCCTCATTTTAGTGTCTACAACCTCATGTCTAAAAACAATGTGTATTACAGTAGGCTTGTATCCACTGTGTCATGAGTTAGTGAATAGGTCATATTTAAGAATTTTGTCTTTGGAATTTTAAAGTAAGAAGGCACTTGCACTTCATTAAGGAGAAAATACATAATTTTCACATAGGAGAAAAGAGACTTCTGTCATAGTGCCCTGAAATATAGGAAGGCAAAACATCTGTATTTTTTAATAGTATATATTTTTCACGAACAAAGGTATCAGTATAGTGTTAGGAAAAAAATGTGTCTAAGTGTTTCCAGTTGTGAGGTTGGGGCTGAATTACTTAGTGTCTGGTATTCAATTCAGAGTAGATGTTTTATATGATTAAGATTTTATAATGTGTGTTCTTTAGTATAAAGAAAAGAGGAAAAACAAAAGAATTCCTAAAGCTAGTTAATTACATTTAATGGAATCGCTTAAATTACTGACTTGTTAGACAGTAGATTTTGAGGAAAACATTACTACTATTACTTCCCCCTACCCACATATCTGCTAAAATCTCTTTGAAATGAACATAGGTTGAGAGGCAGAGGTTAAGGTCAAGTTTATATAACTGAATCATCTGACTAGATGATTATTTTGGCTGTCCTCATGATTGATTTTTCTGTGTCATTCAGAATTAATCAGGAGAAAACTCAGGTAATCAGATCAGCTGAGCCAAGCCTGGTTCGATGACCATATGTGACATGGCTAAGGAGTTATTTCTTCACATGCCATGTCCACTGATCATCAACCAAAAGGGGAATCATTGGGTTTTCCTCTGGGACCTGTGATTAAGTGGAGAGAGGGGAACTCAGTTTTAGTTGCATTAGAGTCTAAAGGAAACAGCAACTATGCACTTTGCAAATGGTCAAGATCATGGAACTTGTTTTCAGGATATTCTGGGTTGATAATTTGAAACCAGAGTTCATGACTGCTTTATTTTCAGTGAGGTAAATATTCCTAGAGATTCTAATTATTTTGTGAGTATCTCTTCATTAGAGAAGAACAGTCCATGAATCACAAAGAAAATATTCTTGCTAATATTATTTAAAAGAAATCCTGTATTAAAAGAGTTTGCAAAGATGTAAACCTTGACAGACGAGCACTAGGTTGTCAGATTTAGCAAATAAAAATATAGGACATTCAGTTAAACTTGAATTTCAGATAAACCACAAGTTTTCAAGTACAAAGCTTTCCCATATATTGCATGAGAGATACTTTTGCTTAAAACCATGTGGTTTATCTGATATTTAAATTTAGCTGGACATCTCCGTGTTATCTGGCAAACTTCACAGGTATCCTCTGGGACACACTATCTTTAATGTCTTTAAACAACTGCAATTTTAGCAGCAAGTATGTGAAACCAACTAAATGTTCTTTTAATGACCATCTTTAATTATTTGATTAGAGGAGTTATAATTTAAAGATGATGAATATGGGTGAAAGCTCAAATGTGTTTACTAAAAAAGTTAGTAAGTATAGTTTGGAAAGAAGATGACACTGAGTAGTGACTCTGGGAATTGTGCCAGAAAAATTTATAACAGTTGTATAGTACTTTGTATTCCACTTGATGTATTAGATGGGATTGCTGCCATACACTGAGAAGAAAAATATACCTTGTGGATATTTTGGTAGCTAAGATGATAGAATGAACTTGTTCAAGGAAATGTGGGCGTAGAAGAGGAAGCTTAGGGTTGGAGTTCATCAGAATAGCAATTACCCAAGCAGGTCAATTTTTTAGGAAAATATATTTTGATAATTGAAGTCCAGGAGGAGATCACCTGGCTCATCCACAATGACCTTCAAAATGTAAATACCCAAGTGATTTATGTCATTTTTAAACTCTGTGTCTCCAGTTAATGGCTATTCTTTGGATTATTTGGGAGAAAAACAGCTGGTTCTTATAATTATTATTAGGGGATTTGGATCAATAGAAAGAAGACACTCTGTTCTTTTAAACATTTCTTATGCAACATCATATACAACCCACTGCCTGCCCTCACCCCTCCCCTGGCCCTCTGGCTATCATATTGCTCTCTGACTTTTAATCACAGACTCTGTCTGTATAACTCTACAAAAGTCCAGCCAAAGAGCCAAATATTTAGCCAGTCCTCCGGATATTCTGTTCTCAGCATTTCAAATATCATTTTGTTGAAAAACATCTGGGTCCTTGGCCATGACAAAAACAGTTGTATCTTTCTTCATCAAGGATACTTGGCCTTATATAGCCAGAGAAATAAATTAACAGGACCAAAAGATGCCTAAAAGTATCATCTGAGGAATCTCTTGTTTCTAAACAGTTAACATCGAAATCAGGGTTTCTTAATAGCAACAGCGGCATGGTTGACATTTTGGACTGGATGATTCCTGGTCATGGGGGGCTGTTCTGCACATGGATGGACATTTTGCAGCCTCCCTGCAAAATAGATGCCAGAGGGACATTTGCCTCCTAGTCGTGACGATGAAAGTGGTCTCCAGACATTGCCGGGGATAACAGTTGAGAACCACTAACCTAAAGTATCCAATTTCGATAGTCTTATCCAGTGCCAGCTAGCCTAGAAGGTACCTATAGAAGCTGAATTTAGTTTAGAGAGAGTAACAGAGTGCCAAGAATGGACATGGGATAGGACAGCGGAGAGCGGAAGCATAAAGCCGTAGAAATAACCAGAGCCAGCCGAGCGCGGTGGCTCCCACCTGTAATCCCAGCAATTTGGGAGGCTGAGGTGGGCGGATCACGAGGTCAAGAGATCAAGACCATTCTGGCCAACATGGTGAAACCCTGTCTCTACTAAAAGTACAAAAATTAGCCGAGTGTGGTGGTGTGCGCCTGTAGTCCCAGCTACTCGGGAGGCTGAGGTAGGAGAATCGCTCCACCCGGGAGGTGGAGATTGCAGTGAGCCGAGATCATGCCACTGCACTCCAGCCTGGTGACACAGCAAGACTCCATCTAAAAAAAAAAAAAAAACCATTTATTTCATTTGTTCATTCTACACCCATTCATTCATTCATTTGTTCTTTTGACAGATACATATTGAAGGCATACCTAATAGAAGAAACTGTTCTGAAGTCTGGGTATTCAACAAGAAAGAAAACACAAATTTTATGTTCTCATGGAGCTTATATTCAAATGGAGTGTGGGGGACTTGAATAAGAAGGCATCTAAAGTACCTAGTGTTCGCAGATGCTAAGATGAGAAGTAGTGCGAGAAAAAGAGAAAGGCTCATGAGGGAGGGTATTCCTCAGGGTCTGGTTAGGAAAACACCCAGCAATTTTAGGAGTAGAATGTTACAGAGGGAATGGGTTAACAAGGTATAGGAGGAACACAAAGGCTGCAAAAGTGAAAAGAGAATGCAGAGATAATACAGAGATAGTAGCTTCAGAAAGTTGCTGCCACTCCCTCCCAGGGCTGGGGGTACAAAGGCAACAGGATCAAGTTGTTAGAGCCTAGAAACTTAGTAAAGATTCTGGTGGCACTGGGATACAGACCACTGAGGAGGTGGAGATGGCCCTGCCTGCCATTGTTTGCGGCTATGGAACTGAAGTTAAAAGTCCTGGAGCAGCTGGGTGGCTGACCAACTGGGGATGGTATCTCTGAGGAACACGCTAAGACTGCTGCAGAAAGTTTGGAACACATCTGTTTACCGTAACCACCTGCTGAGCTGGCCTGACACCAGCAGGACCAGCAAGCCAACAAAAAGGAAGAAAATGTTCTCAGAAGCTCACCTACCTCCCAGTCTGCTTCCAGCACCCTATTGGCAGAGTTTATTAGGGAGTCAGCAGCATAGGGGAAATGCTGTCTACAGAGACCCAGGACCAGCATTACAAAGTAGAGTGTGAAAGGGAGGGTTGAGACTGAGAAACAGAGCTTCATAACCAGTGCTGGGAGGCTACTCTTTTATATAGGAGGCCCTTCAAGCCTACCCCACCCTGATTGGGAGAATGTCTGGGTCATTTTGCTCTGTGCATGAAAGTGCTTCAGGAGAATCATTCCCCACACCGTGAACTCCTTCATGGTGTGGGGGATATTATTTATCTTATCACAAAATGTGTATTAAGTGAATGAGTGAAATGATACCTTTGATATAATGCTTGTAGCATTAGTGACTTTTTCAGCTTGGGTAATTCTGATTGCTAGTGTGTGTATGTGTGTGTGTGTGTGTATGTGTGTGTGTGTGTACTTGTTCGACATTCAATCTGATTTTAATAAATATTAACTAGGTGCCCACTAAGTGCAGAGCTCTGCATCAGATGCTACATGAGACCTAAAAGAATTAAACCTTGTCCCTAAAGGACTTAGAATATCGATTCCTGTGTGTGCCATCTGGTGCATATCACTATTTTAAAAAGGTTTTTTTTTTTAATTTCTTGAGGTCTTTTGAATCCTATTCTTCTCTGTTTTTAAAGATATTAGCGATGCACGTCTCCTCCTACCCCACTTTAGTCCCCAGCTTTATCTCTTTTATGAACAAAATTAAATAGATTTCCTCCCAGAAGGAATCCTTTGGTAGAAATTGTATAAAGAGAGAAATTAACTCTTTCAGACTCCCAGGGTGCTATTGCTAAATGTTCTATAAAACTCCTTCCTCATTACTACCTGGAGAGAGACTTGGCATCCGGAAAATAGCATCCAATATGTATTCACTTATTTTCCTCCTTGTTATGTGATGGGGGAACATGAGTGCAACACACTGAAGATAAAGAAGGCTAAGGGATGCTTGTTCATAAATAAGAATAAGATAAGGGTATAGGCTGGGGGATTTTAGTCTCCCAACACACTTTGAAGGTTTGGCTCCTTAGATAGCCCGAGCATGGATTCCTGCCTTCTGCTCCTGCAGAAGGTGAAGGGGGTGGAGGCTGCTGTGACTAGGGCTATGACACTAACTTTGGCTGTTAATGGTGGCCTTCCTTAGCCTATCTCCAAGAATACGGATGCTAGTACAAGTCATGTGCTGTTAACCAAGTATTTTGCCCCTTTCCTTCTGAAGTGGCACTCTATTAAACAGTAATATTTTCTTCCCTTGTTGCTTAAAATAAATGTTTTTAAGGCCTATGAATACTTTGGTCAACATTAGTGGTTTTTCATACTTCCTTCTCTAGGTTTTTAGGGAGAAATGCCTACACTGTTCTTTGAATTGCTTCGTTATTATTATTCCCCAGATTTTCTCCATGTATTAAAGATCCTAAGAATTCTAAGCTCAGACTTTTGCCTCTGTAAATATATTTTTTAAATGGCTGCATAATATTACCCATGGACATGATTCCTAGCCATAGCTCTACTTTGCAGTCAGTCCATCCCCAAAAGACCATCATAGACCACACACTGAATGTTCTACATAGGTTGGGAAAATCTAATGTTAAATATAATACAAAGAGACAACCAGTGATAAAGTTTAAATCCTGAGTCTCCAAGCACATTTTCTTCGAGGGATTCCTTTTTCTTTAGTTTGAGGTAAAAGACTCCAGCAGAAACAACCTCTCTTGACATCCACAAGCCCTTCTAGTAGTGCTCCTGGGTGTGGGTGTCATGAAAATGCAGAGGGTCTCTTACATGTGGTCAAAAACGTTTCAAAGCAGCTCAGCAGATGTATTAGGCTGTAGTCATTCTCCTCTGCTTAGCATTTGGTCAAGATAAGCATTTCCAGTCAATGCTGATTGCATTTAGCCTGACCATGTTTTTGTACGTTTCAATGCTGATCCTATTTTCTCCTTTTAATCGTACAAATATATAACAATAAAGAAAATAATTTTGCTAGCAGTTGAATTACAAAATGTGTTCAACACTCCATTAATAAAATCTCTATCTTGTTCAACATCTCCAGTAAATAGCCTTTATATATTTCCTCTTTTCTATTTGCCAGCTGACAATAGAAAACATTAGCTGAGAGTTGAATGCGGGAAAGCAAAATAAGAGATAGTTATCCACTGCCATCTAGTGGCTAAAAACTTAAAATTCAACCAAAGTTTTTGGATCTTTTTCTTCTAAAATAGTGGAAAAATAAATATTGGAGCATATTTGCACATTTTAAAGGTCTTAATTCTTTTAAATTTTTGAATAAGAATCTGAACAGATAATAAACACATTAAAATTAAGTTTATTTTAACTCCATTACTCACATCTCAACAATAAGACAGGTAAGGTAGTTCATGTGGAGCAAAAAATGAAAGCAAGAATTGACAAGTATTGGGTTATCTTCCCAGGGAAGACAGCTAATGAGGAAGGTTTTACCCTAGCTTAGACCTTAATCAGAAAATTATAGATATCACTGAAGGAGCCAACTCGTTAATTTACCTTCATTGTGCTGTTTGGAGCTATCTTATTCCCAGCACTAATCTCTTTCTTTAAACCAACGTGGGGGCCAAAGACCAAAGTCAGCCAATGCCTCTTAGCAGAAAACAAGTATTTTAGAGATTCTAGCATTGAAAGTTAGAGTTTGGGAACACAGATTAACCTTTTTACAGAGTTTTGATATTGCTATTCAAGGCTGCCCTACTGGACAACTAGAATTTACCCCAAATACGGAGAAATCAAGTGTACTATTCTCTAGAGAAACAGAACCAATTGTGTGTGTGTGTGTGGGTGTGTGTGTGTGTATGTGTGTGTGTGTATGAGAGAGATATTTAAGAAATTGGCTCGTGTTTATGGAGGGTGCCATGTCCAAAATTTGCAGAGCAGAGCCTCAGAGCCAATGCTGCAGTTCAAGTCTGAACGCTGTCAGCAGCAGATTTCTCTCTTGCTTCAGGGAAGGTCATTCGTTTGTTCTATTCAGCCTTCAACTGACTGGGTGAAGATTACCCACCTTATGGAGGGCAATCTGCTTTACTCAAAGTCTACTGATGTAAATGTAAGTCCCACACCAAAGCAGCCTCACAAAAACATCCAGAATAATGATTAACCAAGTATCTAGGCACCATGGCCCAGCCAAGTTGACACATAAAATTAACCATCACACCAGGTGAAATGTACAAAGTGTGAAATGAAAGATTTGGGAGAATTTTTGAAAAGTTTCAAAATGTGCTTTATCATTCACCTGAATAAAATGATTGCTTTATGTCAGAGGTTCTAAACAGCACCTCTCTTTACCACTGACACTTCAAACACCATCAGAGGTACTTGATCATATGACCCAAGTGGTACAGCAGCTTGGACAGCAGTCTGGAGCTGTTGTAGAGCCTTCTCTTGCTCTGGGCCCCACTCAAAACTAGTAGCTTTTAGGGTCTCTCGGTAAATGGGCTATGATAACGCACCCAAGTGTCAAGTATGTTTTCTCCAACATCCAAAGAGGCCTACTAGGTGTTGTATCTCTTTTTTTGGTTGTAAGAGAGGACAGATGCAATGTGTCTTCACCTATCTCAACATGCCCTACACCACTGGATCCCTAGAAATTTGACTGCGGTGGAGGTACTTCAATTCTGGTCAGATTTATTTTCCACATTCTGACATGTAAATGTCTTCTCAATAAATATAGAGTAGTTGTTACTTCTTGCTCATTAGGTCCAATCATCATAATATCATCAGTGCAAATAACCAGTGTAACTCGTTATGGAAGGAAAAGACTATCTGACTCTCCATCAATTAAATTATGATGTATGGCAGGAGAGCTGATACACCCCTGAAGTGGGACAGTAAAGGTGTGTTGCTGGCTTTGTCAGATGAAAGCAAACTGCTTCACCTAGTCTTCACAAATGGGTATTGAGCATAAAAGCATTTGCCAGATCAATAGTTGCATACCAGGTACCAGGGAATGTGTTAATTTTCCCAAGCAATGAAACCACACCTGGTACAGTAGCTGTGACTGAAGTCACCACCTAGTTTAGCTTTATGAAAATCCACTGTGCTTCTCCCAGTTTTATCAATTTTCTACACTGGTCAAATAGGTGAGTTGAGTGGAAATGGGATGGCAGTTACCACTTCCATATAATTTAAGTGCTTGTTGTTGGCATTTATCACTGATACCCTTCTAGGCATGTGATGCTGCTTTTGACCTATTATTTTCCTAGGTAAAGATTGTTCTAGTGGTTTTCCCTTGGCCTTTTCTACTACTTTTTTTGCCCTCACTTCACAGGCCAGGGAATGAATGTGAAAATTCTGCCAGTTTCTGAGAATGTCTATTTAAATTATGCATCCCAGAAATGGGGAAATAATCACAGCATGGGTTCAGGGACTCACTGGAGCCACTGTGGGATAGATCTGAGCTAAAACTCCATTGATCACCTGACCTTCATAAGCCCCTATACCAACTGGTAGACCACAGTGACATTTTGGTCTCCTGGACCTAGTGCCAATGTTTGCCAACTCCTATGCTAAAAAAAAAAAAAAATCCAGGGTAGACACATTTGTTCCTTTAAATTATGATTCCTTGTTGCTTAAAGGCTAACATAAAATTATACCCATTTATGCCTTCTTTTTTATAAACTGTGTTTGACAGTCATCTGTCTTGCCCCATGACTTGCTCTGACCAGTGTGGCATTAGCAAACATGGCAAAAGAAGAGCTTGTGAAGGGCTTTAAGACATTGGTGCTCATCCTCTTGGAACATTCCTTCTTGGAAGGAGGCTGGACTACCCTTAGATCACCATGCTGTAAGGAAACCCAAGCTCATCATGTGAAGCATGGAAGGGCACTAAGACAAGTAGCTTTCAGCTAGATGCAGCCAAGTGAAAATCCCTAGCCAACGCTGTGTGGAAAGAAACCACATAGCAAGCTCAGCCCAAATTCCTGACCCATGGATCATGAAAAGTAATAAATCGCCATTGCTTTAAGCCACTAAGTTCTAGGGTGGTTTACTGTATGTAACAAGTAGATGAAACACGTTTTCTTTAGAGTTTTCCATATTAGTTTTCTAATCATTAGTTTTTCAACTGCTGTCTTAATTTTTCTTATCAATTCATTGTAGATTGTGGGCAAATTGTGGATACTTTCTGGGCTTCATTTGTCTGAACTTTGAAATAAGGGATCTCTGCTATTTGGCCCCTGAGTATATCTTTCAACTCTAAGAGATGAAGTATGGAAGGTAAATATTATTTTTAATACACATTGTTTTAGAACATATCAAGTAATTTATTTGGATGATATGTTTTCTTCATCTTTCCCTTTATAATAACTGGCTTTGAGAAACCATACAATTAACTTTATAAATTTCCAAATAGTTACAGGCTTTCTGTAATTAGGACTTACAATGGCATACTCAGTTATAAGAGAATTCCTTTTTACCATATGGGATAGGATAAGATAAGAAATACTCAAATGGAAAATATCTCTGATCAACCTCTTGAGTATTTTAAAACTTAAGCTACATAGTAAAGTGCTTTAAAACCCCACCATAAAAAACTAATTAAAATTCTTCTATCTGAATACAAAACTTCATGTTTGTGTTAAAAATTAAAACAATGCAGAAGTATAGAAAGAATAAAATTAATCTTTCCCCTGCTGTCTATTACACTCTTCAGAAGAAAGCGCTGTTTTAAACATTTCTCTAGACTCCTAGGTAGCACTAGATAGGTTAGATGCATTCATAGATAGACAAGTGGGGATGGATAGGGGCAGACACATGGATACTTAGGTAAATAGATATGTCTATATTTGTATGTTTATATATAAAAATATACATCTATTTTAGTTTAGTTTTAATTTGATTTACAAATAGAAGTCCAATCCATATGCATCACTCTACAACTTCCTTTTTTTCTCTCTTATTTATTTATTTATTTATTTATTTATTTATTTATTTATTATTTTTTTGAGACAGAGTCTTGCTCTGTCGCCCAGGCTGGAGTGCAGTGGCGCAATCTGGGCTCACTGCAAGCTCTGCCTCCCAGGTTCACGCCATTCTCCTGCCTCAGCCTCCTGAGTAGCTGGGACTACAGGCGCCCACCACCATGCCCAGCTAATTTTTTGTATTTTTAGTAGAGACAGGGTTTCACTGTGTTAGCCAGGATGGTCTCGATCTCCTGACCTCTTAATCCACCTGCCTCGGCCTCCCAAAGTGCTGGGATTACAGGCGTGAGCCACTGCAACGGGCCCTTTTTTTCTCTCTTAAAACAGATCGTGGACATCAATGAAACCAATACATTCATCTCTCATTTATTCTTTTTAATAGATGTGTAATGCTTAATAATTATCCAATTATTCTCCCTCTGATGGACATGAAAATTATTTCCTTTATTGCCTGTCTTAGTGAGCCCTACCAAAATAACATTGACTGGGTGGCTTACACACCAGAAATTCACATTCTCACAGTTCTGGAGGCTGGAAGTCTAAGATCAGGGGGCTAGCATGACCAAATCTTGGTAAGGGGGTCTCTTCCTGGCTTATAGAAGGCTACCTTCCTATTGTGTCCTCACTTAGCAGAGAGAGAGAGAGAGAGAGAGAGAGAGAGAACGAGAGAGCACACACACACAAACTCTAGTATCTTTTTGTATAAAAGCACTAATCCCATCATGGAAGCCTCACCCTCATAACCTAATCTCAATTATCTCCTAAGATCCCATCTTCAAATAACAACACATGAAAAAGTTTCGTTGCACAACAATGAGAAAATATTTAACACTACTGGACTGTATACTTCAAAATGGATCTCATTTGGTAAATTTTATGTTATGTGTTTGTGTTTTCTTACCATAATTTAAAAAAGAAAAAGTATGCATTTCAAGCTTGCCTTTATAGAAGATTCTCTTCTCTAGAACTGAACCTATGGATTGAGTTAGGTTCAAACCTATGGATTGAGTTACTGGAAAATAAATGACTGAAATTTAATTAACTTATTTCTTTCACATAACAAGAAGTCAGGAAGAGAAGTGCAGTTTAGAAGTGGTTTGACAGCGACATGAAGTCCAAGTGCCCCAGGTTCCTCTTGCATCGTCATTAGCATATGGCTTTTGTGTTTTTTGTCCACATTTACTCGCGCATTCTAAAATGGATAAGGAATGAAGCCACAAGAAAGTATAGCACTTGCATTATAAGAAAAAAAAAGCACTTTTTCATAAATCTGCAGCATACACTCATTTGTGATAGATCATGTGGCCAGACCTGTGTCACACTAACGACAATGGGAAGTATGTTTTTTATTTTTACTTTTAATATGTATGTATATATTTTATTGTGTTTCATAGCTAAGTCACTGCCCTGAACAAATTGGGTTTCTGTTAATAAGGAAGAAAAGGAGAACATATGTAGGCAACTGGCTATATTTGCATATTGATGAAATGAAAAATGTTTATTTCAAAGACTCAGATGATTATCATAGAATTAGCCTCACATAAACTTCATAATCATCCATTTTTCCTGTTTTTCCTCTACTCTTTTATTCTACTCCATGCTCTTCCTTATTCTGCAGGATCACTTTCTCCTCCTTAACAGCATGCACTTGGCACAAAGCCCTATTGACAGGAGCTCACACAAACTGACACTCATTAATGTTCTTACTGGACACAAATCTATGTCTCTTGGTTCAAATTAATCAAGTAAAAATCTGACTGGGTTGCTGGGAATGAATTGTGTGCCCAATTCTGGCCCAATCAGCTCACCGAATATCCACTTCTGACACCTCTTGCAGTTAGATTGGGGCATGTGACTAGCTCTGGTGAATGTCTGGGAGGCGGAAGTGATTTTGTGTTTCTCCTTTAATTTACCTTGGTATGCCCAGATGGTTTATGTTGGTTTCTTGACTAGAAAGAATTATATTCTTTAAAAACAAACGCAAGTTGTCTTTATAAATTTCTTATTCTAAAAAAAACTATTTAAATTTATCTATCATGTTATTTGATCACTCACTAATTACTCAAATATCAAAATCTGAAATAGAATTAAATTTTAGAAAAATTTGATTACTTTAAATTTTTGAAATTAACTGTTTAAAGTTCCATATACTATATTTTTTAATAACACCAACCCTGTGCATAAACCACATATCAATGAAGATAATATTTTGAGTGATTCCTTTGGTTTTTAAAAATAAACTTTTGTTTTTTGAGACTGAGTCCTGCTCTGTCACCAGGTTGGAGTGCAGTGGTGCGATCTTGGCTCACTGCAACCTCCGACTCCCTGGTTCAAGCGATGCTCCTGCCTCAGCCTCCTGATTAGCTGGGATTACAGGCACGCGCCCCCATGCCCAGCTTATTTTTGTATTTTTTTTTTTTAGTAGAGACAAGGTTTCACCGTGTTAGCCAGGATGGTCTCCGTCTCCTGACCTTGTGATCTGCCTGCCTCGGCCTCCCAAAGTGCTAGGATCACAGGCATGAGCCACTGCATCTGGCCCCCTAAAAATAAACTCTTTAACAAAACATGTATACCTACAGAAAAGTCCCCAAATCATGTATGTTCAGCTGTTGTATTTTTACAATGGAGACACATTCTTGTAACCAACATCCAGATTCTCAGAAGCCCCTTAATGCCCCTTCCTAGGCACTAACTCCACTGAAGATTTGCTCTGATGTTAACCATAAAACTATTTTCCTTAGTGAAATCATTATTTCAACTTCTTCACTTAACACAGGAAGAGATAAAGCCATCATTAGTCCAATGTCTGTGTTGTCCATGTGTGGTAGGCAGAAAAACAGTCCCTCAAAGGTGTTAGCACCCTAGTCCGCAGCTATATGTTACTTTGTATGGCAAAAAGGATTTTGCAAATGCAATTAATGCTGAAGTCTTTGAAATGGAAAGTCTACCCTGGATTATCCAGATGGGCCTAATCTAATCACATGAGTCTTCAGAAGTGAATGAGGAATATGGTGTCCTCTGGAATTTGAGAAAGGCCTTCAGCTTACAGCTAACAAGAAGGGGGAATGGCAGAATCACAAGCAGGTGAAAGTGAATTCTGCCAGCAACTTGAACGAGCCTCTTTGAGCTCCTAGATAGAAATGCAGTGCTACCAACACCTTGGTTTTAGCCCTATGGACCCAAGTTGGGCCTCCAGAACTGTAAAATAATAAATCTGCATTGTATTAAGCCATTAAGTATGATAATTTGTTAAAGCAGTCACAGAAAACGAACACAACATGGTCCCAGGACATTATTTCAATTTTCTCCACAGAAAGGCCAAAACTGCCTTCTGCTCAACTAGCTTCAAGAAATGATCCCATAGTTAAGACAGCAATACTTTTATTGTCTTTCCCAATGAAACTATTAATTAGCTAATCCAACAATCATTTACTGGGTACTTAACTGTGCACTTTGAATATACAGTCTGCTTTGAAGAAGAAATAGCAAAAATTATTCTGTGTTTTTCCTGGATAATAAAATTCTTATATTCTCACTTGAAAGCCTGTTATATTTTGAACATTTTTTTCATTATCTTAAATCTATTTTAACAAAAGGCTCACTTTTGCAAAGTTTAGAGTTTTTAATAATTCTTGTTGTTATGTTGATTTTTACATATATTACTCTGAATCAAACCTGCAATGCTTTGTTATATTTCATATTCTTATAAATTTTGCTCTTTTAACAATATTTTAAAGATTTTCTTTGACAAGTCCACAAGTCCACACCCCCGGTTTAGAATAATGAAACTTTTAGTGTGTCTTTTATGTATAAACTATTTGAGGTGTTTTCTCAACATTTCTGGGTGATGGCAAAGATTTGCTCCCTCATGTGAGTAGGAAGAATGCTAGGAAAAAAAAAAAAAAAGCAGCGGCTCCAGATTTCCAGCTACTCAATACCATAGTGAGAGTTGTTTTTTTTATGACTCCCATAATATGAGAATTAATGAAACAAAAAGGGAATCTCAGCACCCCATGGGATTAATTATACACATATAATTTCAGAATGTTCTCAATATAAACATGTTTCAGCAATTGTATGACTCTCAGATTGCATGGAAGTCTGCTTAAGGCTCACACCTGTAATCCCAGCACTTTGGGAGGCCGAGGCCGGTGGATCACGAGGTCAGGAGATCGAGACCATCCTGGCTAACACAGTGAAACCCCGTCTCTACTAAAGATACAAAAAATTAGTCAGGCATGGTGGCAGGCGCCTGTAGTCCCAGCTGCTCCGGAGGCAGAAGCAGGAGAATGGCGTGAACCCAGGAGGCGGAGCTTGCAGTGAGCCAAGATTGTTCCACTGCATGACAGCCTGGGTGACAGAGCGAGACTCTGCCTCAAAAACAAACAAACAACAACAGCAACAAAAAAACCAAGATCATATGTTCAAAGTCTGACATACTTGTCAACTAACTGATGTTTTACTCAAAAGAAATTATTTCTAGGTTTAATGTAACTTTTCAAGAAAATACAATCATAACATACATTATGTAATGGATTAAAAGGCCCTGAAAATTTTTCAAGACTTGTATTAGTTTGCTAGGACTGCTATAATAAAGTACCACAAACTGGGTGGCTTATACAATAAAAATGTATTGTCTTACAATTCTGGAGACCAGAAGTCTGATATGAAGGAGTTGGCAGGCTTGGTTCCTTTTGAGGATGAGAAATCTGTTCCATGTCACTCTCTTAGTGTCTGGTGGCTTGTTGGCAATATTTGGTGTTCCTTGGCTTCTGCTGTATCAACCGATCTCACATGGTGTTAGCTGCACACGGCCTCCCCACTGTGTGCCTAAATGTGTCCACATTTTCCCTTTTTATGAAGACACAAGTTATATTGAATAGGGATCCCATCCTACTCCAATATTACCTCATCTTAGCTTAACTAATTACATCAATGATGACCCTATTTCCAACTTAACAATACACTCTGAAGTACATGGGGTTAGGACTTCATATCAACTTGGGGGTGGCACAATTCAATCCATAAACAGAATTCATGCTCACAATATGTTCTTACTCTCAGTGCAATCTTTGACTTAATCTCTCTCAAATTATTATGTTATGCCTTAATAGATGACATTCCCCTTCATTCTGATATTATGGTTTCTATAATAATTTAACGGTAATCATTCACTATCATCACAAATTCTCCCTCACACGTTTAAATCAGCACTTCTTAAACTGTAAAGCACATTTCCTCCTCTGGTGAATCTTGGTAGAATGCAAATTTGGATTCAGTGGACCTGAGGTGAGACCTGAGATTCTGCCTTTCTTACAAACTCCCAGGTGGTGATCACAATGCTGACCCGAGAAGAAAATTGCGAGTAGCAATGATGCAGAGGTCTCCCTGCAAGCTACAGTTCAGAAATTTAAGCCTTCTAGAAAGAGAATCTTCAGAACAACCAAACCATTTTCCTCAGCAAAGGACTGTACCAGGTACTCTTAACTATCAATTTACAGAGAAGGAAACTTGAACAGGTTTTTCACTATAACTTGACATTACCGTGGAGACTTGTCAAATCAAGGCTTTCATTTTTATTTTATTTTATTTTTTGGCCCTTTGGCAAATGACTTAGTGATAGAAGACTCAGTAGCCTGAGATCAGCAGAACAGAAATTAATTACTTAACATTTAAGGAACTGATTGAACAATGTTTGATGTTTTGCTTTTTAATGGACATAGGAGAAATGCCATGTCTTTCTTATCTACCTCTAACTGTCAATTTAATTGGTTATACTGAGCTAAGTGGAATAAAATACTCATTAAACAGTATCTTATTCTGACTTAACACCTCAGAATTTTTAAAAAATCTACAGTTGGGGGATGAGGAAAATAAAGAGATCTGGGTTAAAGGTTACAAAGTTTCATTTAGGCTGGAGGGATAAGTCCTGGAGATATATTGTACAGCATAGTACTCTAGTTGACAATGCTGCATTGTACGCTTGAAATTTGGTAAAAGAGTAGATCTTAAATGTTCTCATTATACACACAAAATGGTAACTATGTGAGGTTACCAATAAATGGTATCTATGTGAGGTTACCATTTTGTGGATATATATAAATAATTAATTATATATTACATATAATAATATATATTATATAATTAATATATATTCACAAAATGGTAACCTCATATAGTTACCATTAATATATCCATATAGTGAATATATATGTGGATATATTAATTCACCTGATTGCAGTCATCACTTTACAATGTATGTATAGCAAAACCTCATGTTGTACACCTTGATTTTTTTTTTTTTTTTTTTTTTGAGATGGAGTATCTCTCTGTCACCAGGCTGGAGTGCAGCGGTGCGATGTCAGCTCACTGCAACCTCCACCTCCTGAGTTCAAGTGATTCTCATGCCTCAGCCTCCCAAGTAGCTGGGATTACAGGTACGCACCACCACACCCAGCTAATTTTTGTATTTTTAGTAGAGACGGGGTTTCACCATGTTGGCCAGGATGGTCTCGATCTCCTGTCCTTGTGATCCGCCCACTTCAGCCTCCCAAAGTGCTGAGATTACAGGCGTGAGCCACCGCACCTGGCCATACACCTTAAATATTTACAATTTTTATTTATCAATTGTACTTCAATAAAGTTGGCATCAATTCTATAAAATATTCTAAAATAGATTATAAACTAATGTCATAAAATATTTCGTAAAAACAACATTTCCTGCTACCCCATGACATTTTTTCCATGCAGACTGTAGCTGAACTATTTTATGCTTACTGCCTCAGGGAGGAGTTGTCATCATAAAAGTTCTCATGCTAAAAGTTGAATTCTTGACTTTGGACTTTCAAAAGTTAAGGTCAAGACCAGCCATTATTTGGAAGAGCTAGAAGAATATGTCATCAGTCAGAGTCAAGGTCTAGATCTGAGAGCAAAGAGACAGTATGCTCTGTCCTTCCCATCCTCCATCCTCCCCCCAGGGCAATACCCCAGAGCTAATAAGCCCCTAGATACCCCTGAACCTAGGGTATAGGATGAGAAGAAATGGCCTTGTAGTGTGTCTAGACAAAAGACTCTACGGCAACCTCATAGGTTCCCATGGTTTCTACAAGGTAGAAACCAACAGCTGAATTTCTTAGGCTTCAGATTGGAAGAATAGATTACCTCCTGGATAGTTAAGAGGAGATTGGAATTAGCTCTCAATGAGAACCTGGAATGAAAAACACATGAGCAATCTACAAGAATGAAGGATAAATGACTGAGGACCAGAAAGACCAAAGTACGTATATCCTAGCAGATGACAACAGAGGACCAGATGCCACACTCCTCCAAGCCTCATCCTCTCAACACAATTCCAAGGAGAGAAAGGGTAAAGACATTTGTAAAAGAAATTGAATACTACTATGAACCATAAAGGAAGTTGTTAATTGCACTGACTCTGTAGTCTGAGGTTCATACCCAATTCATGACCTTTACATTTGGATTGATTCTCCAACATCTAATAGTTTGTTGTACAAACAGTATGTACTCTCTAGCTATTTGACACATTTATTGACTTCATTCTATGTTTGCCCAACTGTCAGTGGCCATAGCTTTCTGTACTGTCCAATACAGTAGCCACTAGCCATCTGTGGTTATTGAATATTTGAAATGTGGCTAGTATGGATTTAAATGTGCTATACATGTAAAATACACACCAACTTTTGAAGACTTAGCACAAATAACAAGAATGTAAAATATCACATTAATAGTGTTTATATTTATTCCAAGTTGAAGTGATAATATTTTGGACATATTGGGTTAATAAAAATATACCACTAAAATTACTTTCACATGATTCTTTCCACCTTTAAAAAATATGCCTACTAGGCAATTTAAAATTGTATTATGTGACTTGCATCACTTTTCTATTGGACAATGCTACCTTATATGCTCACTCATGTTGATTTCATTTGCTTTCACCTGAGGAGCCATTATCACTGCTTAATTTGTTCCATGTGCAAGCGGACACTCAATGACTTTATAATGATGATGTCTAACATTTCCTGACAAAGTGTGCTTTGTCAAATTGTACAAATTTCTTGTATCACATTTCTCAATGATAGGACTTGGGAATAATCATTGGGAATGATTGCTTTGTCTGTAATTTGTACAAAAAGGCAGAGATTTTCTTTACAAGAATTAAGACAATATTTTCTTAAAAATGCTTGGTGACTTAAATGTAAGTAAATAAATAATGAATAATTTTTTCACAAGTCAATGAGAACCAGCACAATGAGAAAAAAAATCGTCCTGAGTGGTTTACTTTGGTTAGATTTATTACCTAACTCATAAGGTTATATAATATGGAGTAACAAAAATAGGGCAATTTGAAGAAATTTTATTTATAAAGGTACAGGGTACCACACAGACAGTGCAGTAACCTAGAGATAGTAGCCTCTGAGATTTTGTGCCTAGAACTGAAGTTTGCCATTTAGAAAGTTTTTTAGTCTATTTGGGCTGCTATAGTGAAATACCGTACATTGAGTAGCTTATAAACAACAGAAATTGATTTCTCATGGTTCTGGAGGCTGGAAAGTCCACATCGAAGTATCAACAGATTCAGTGTCTGGTAAGGGACTACTTTCTGGTTCACAGATGAAATTGTTTCACTGTGTCCTCACATAGTGGAAGGAGTGAGTGTTCTCTCTCAGGCCTCTATTATTAGGGCACTAATTCCATTCACGAGTGTTCCAACCCTATGACTTCATCGCCACCCAAAAGCCCCACCTCCAAATACCATCACCTTGGGAGTTAAAATTTCAATCTATGAATTTTGGAGGAACAGAAACAATCAGACTATAGCAGAAAGATGTGATCTTCACTTATGGGTATGACCAGCTTTAGGGAACCCCCTAAGGATAGGAGCAGGAGAATGAATACTCTGACTTCACTCTCCTCTAATTCTCTAATCTCCTATTAGTGTTCTTCAGTAGCCAAACCCAATCAGAAACCAGAGGGCACTGGAGCCTGGGTGATATAGTTTATGCTGATCAGCATCCCAGAGCAAATAACAGGACAAAGGGAAGAGTGTACCTATATGAGAGCAAACAGAAAATATATGGCATATTCTGTCTTTTCAGAATCATTTACTATATTGCTAGGCAAATAGGTCACCTTTTTTCCCTCATCCCATTCTCTCTTAAATAGAAAATTAAACCTTAAAACCTGAATAGAAGACAAAAGTCCACAATCAGTGCTCTGTTTCTCACATATTGTGAGCTTTCCTAGAAGGTATTACTCCTATCGCCCAACTCAGCGTCTACATATGCTGATGGCTCAAAAATCCATAGCTATGCCCAGTTCTCTTTCCTGCCCTCTAGATGAGCAGATCCAACAGCATGCTAGTTAGCTCCCCCTGGATGCCTCACAGGCTTGTCAAACCAGTGTATTCAAGAAAGCACCCACCACTTATTGCATAATATCCTGATAGAGTTGCAATGCCAAGGAGCATGTTTTCTGTTCATTTTCTAAAATGATGACAGAAAGTTTAGAAGAGGCTGTTTTAACTGTGATTAGGAGAAGCTTATACTAATTGTTATTATAAAGATCTGAAAAATCCGTGTCATCGTCCATGGTTCATACACCAACACATAGCATGAGACTTTTGCCACTTACGATGTCCTCCACGTTAGTCTTAATTTGCTTTCACCTGAATAATTGCACTAGCTAATACTTATTGAGTACTTCCTATGTGTCAGGTATTCAATTGTCCTCTTAAATTTAAGTCTCGCAATAACCCAATAATGAAGAGGAAATTGAGGCTTGTAGGAGTCGTCATCCACAAGGACTCATAGCTGATAAGGGGTGGTGAGTTTTAGATAGCTTAACTCCAGAACACATATGCTTGTCATTCCTCTGCGATACTGAATACAAATCATTCTTATAGTCCAGGGAGGAGGGGTTAAAAGGTCACGAACTAGGAGCTCTACTGAGTCTGACACTGGAGATGCTAGGAGTAAGGAAAATATAATAAGTCTTGAGGAAGCTGGAGATGAGAGATTATAAAGTAAAAGTAGCTGAAGATACAGGATATAAGATTTTTTTTTTTAAAAATTTCTTTTTCCTTTTAAAAACGTTAGTTAAGCATGCATTGCGCTAGGCATTGGGGATAGAAAAGCAATAAAGACAATTTCAGTCTAGTGAGAAAGATAGGTAAATACATTATAATAAATTTTAAAACTTAGATTTGTATGCAAGGTTCACAGAACATTAGAGAAATTAGACATAGACAGAATTTATTAATTCATTTTATTCATTCAGAAGACATTAGTTGAATACCCACTGCATTATGCTTGAAGCTGGAGAAATAAAAAGGGCAAAGTTAAAATCCTTATCCTGAGGAAACTCACAATCTAATGAAGATGCTTCTGGGGTGCTGGTCAAGTAGCAAGGATGGAGCTACAGGAGCACAGAAGGATTACACAGCCTCGAGTGCTCAGACAATGCCAATTTAGTGTTACCTAAGCAAAAAGTTAGGGCTTTGGGTTGGCAACAGTAGAGGATGCTAAAGAGGAGTGCAGTGGACAGGTCCAAAGGGCTTGGACTTAACTATGACAACCCAAATTGTTGCTGGTGGAATGCAATACAAGGGAATATGCATTTTCCTGCAGCATCAGTTTTGTTATGATGTGGAGCATAAAATCGTGCTTTTCACTATTAAATATTTTTACTATTAAAAATAATGTAGAGCACAAAATCGTGCTTTTTACTATTTAAATGCGGATATACTGTGAAGAATGCAATAGCATATGAGATTCATAAAATACGACAGGAAACGAATTTCCACAGCTAGGCTTATGATTTAGCCAGATAGAACAGGAAACTACAAGAAAATCCCACAGCTGGGCATGCAGATGGCTTCGGCTCTCACCCCTGAAGACTCGGGGGGAGGAGTTCACAGTCTTCAGTTCTCCGAGTATTGAGGGTAAGATAGCTGAGGAACAATGAGTATTAAGTGTGCGAGAAAAGCGTTTAGGAGTTAAGCACATGGACTGAAGAGAGGCTAGGGCGCAGGCGACTGGGAACCCGTCATCGTCCCTCTGCTCTCCGGACCTCTTATTCGAAAAACATCCTCCACCACGTGCCCCTTTGTCGCCAGAGACAGCGCCTGCAGTGCGTGAGCTGCCCCCTGAACTCCTGGCGCCTGGTTGCCTGGGCAACCCTCTTCTGGGGCGCCTCCGCGACCTCTTACCATTGGTTTAGACGACGCAGCGTGCGTCTGACGTCATTGCGCGGCGCGACCAGGTTCAGGGGCGGGCCGCGCGGAGCCTCATTTCCCCAAACGCAGGCGCTCGGTGGCGGTAGCCGCGGTTGTTGGCCGACCGAGTGCCGGTCATAAGCCCCCCCCGGTGGGGGGCAGCTGGTGTGCGGATCGCGGCGGGAGAGAGGCGCGGTAGGAACGGGTCCCCGGAGCCGTGAACCGCGGGTACAGGTGTCCTGTCTGCGCTCTCTGCCAAGCCGGCTTGCTTCCTGATCTGTTGCTAGGGCCGCTGGACCCCGTTGCTAAGGACCCTTGAGATCGTGAGCGCTTGGAGTGTACCCCTCCTTTCCTGGGGTAGAGGGTCAGTCGAGAGTAGCCTTCGTTAACCTTAATTGAAACTGGTAAACTCCTCCCTCGGCCCCTTTAAAAAATCTCTGTTTTTTCTTTATTTTTTTTCTGTGTCTTCCTCTTTTGCTGACTTTGATAGCATCCTGGCTCTGGACTGGTCTTTAAGTATCTAGAAGTGAGTGTAGGAGGGGTGGCTGGGAAGGTGGAAAATAGATTCTAAGACCCCTAAGCAGATTGTGCGACCCTAATACTGGCCCTTTGAATTTACTTTCTGGTAAAAAAGGGACTGGGATAAGTGACTATTGGGCTCTGGGTCTTTTAGAATTTGACAGAGCTTTACAAATGGAACATGGTTTCTTTAGTGGGGCTCTTACTTACACGTTTGGAACTTTCTAGACCTGGATTAGAAAGCAGGGCTCTGCTGACTGAGAATTGTTTTAGTTCAGTGGTCTTAAAGCTGAGTACGGGAGAAAGTACATACAGGGAAAGAAATAGGCTATATCAGCTGCCCAAACAATGATAGAAAGTACACTTTCCTACCATTGACACAGATACCGGCAGTCCCTTGTAGATAGATGACCTGTAGCAACCAAGGAAGCTTTAAGGGGAATGTGTGGGCTTCATAGGGTGGTTTGTTTGCTTTCTGATATTGTGACATAGTTTAGGTGTTCGAAGTTAAGTGGATTTATGGATTCTAATATCTATAATTAGAATGTTTATCTTGTTTTGTAAAAGAATGAGCGGTGACCTTGATAATATTTGTAACACAAAATAGTTCTTACAGGTTCGCTTCTCCCCATCACTGCCCCTTTACACCATCCTCTACATGTTATTTAATGAAAAACCACTTGAAAGGGTTACCAAGGATAAGATTTTTAAAGCTTGCTTTCACAAACAACTCATGCTCCAGGCTTGTCAGTGGCATGCTTCCAGGTGGATATTATTTTAAAAAATTGACTACATTTCCCGTCGTCCCTTGGTGTCCGTGGAGAATTGGCTCCAGGACTCCCTCCCTCCCCCCAGTCTCTTTCAGATACCCAAATCCACCCATGCCAAAGTCCTCCAGTCTGCTCTCCGTATCCGTGGTTGGGTCAAATCTATAGATGTGGAACCCGCATATACGGAGAGCCAACTGTAATTTGTCGTTAAGGTAAAGGATAAAAATTTTAAGTGAAAAAGCAATTGTTTTGGAAGGAAATTCTCTAATACAGGATTTTGAAAGGGGATGTAGACGTGTTTGCATTACTGTATGTTTAATGCTGAAAATTATATATTGTACATAAAAGTTGTCCTGTATACTCATAAACTGTAGAAGCTCGATTTTCTACCATGTTTAAAACTTTTTCAAATGAGTTTTGGTGACTTTTTGAACTCATTCAAAATATAATGCAACACCTCCCCATTAGTTTGTTACAGGAACAACTTTTTGACGTGAAGGAAGATAGAAATTTAGCCATAAAATTCCATCCAAAACTTCCACTGAATTGGTAGGTAGTATTGAAAAATGTGCATCATAATTTGATATGGCTGCCTGTGCCCTTGTTATGTTTGTGGGTACGCGTCTTTGCTGTGCATCGCTTTTATCTGTTGCAGCTGTTAACAATTGATGATCAAGAGAAATTGGACCTCAGCTGGTCTTCAAATTGATGTAGCCCAAGATGTTAAGCCAGATTTTTTAAAAATGACAAAACATGTGGTTTCACTATTAGTAATAGTAATACTGAAGAACACTTTGTACCATTGTAAAGAAAATTATAATAATAGCTAAGACTCATGTGGCCCTTACTGCATGCCTCCCATTATGGAAATGTTGTTTTACATATATTCTTACTAGTCTTCATCAACACTTAAAGTAGTTCCTGTAATTATGCCCAATTATAGAGTTGAGGAAACTGATGCATTTTTTTTTTCAATAGAAACTTGTGTTGTTCCCCCTCCAGGAGCTTCTCAAAACAGAAGTCAGGCACAATATTAAATACTTGTTGAATGATCACAGAAGTACAATAGTAGGTTAACATATTTAAAGCTTCTCTCAGCTTATTTTAGACTATTATCTGACAACTTTAATGAGATTTTAATTACCGTAGTATTAGAAAATGGCCCTGGGAATGGAGGTGAAGTGTGATACTGGGAAGTAAGTCATCTGCTGGTAGTGGGATGAGATAAATGAGATCAATGTACTAAATCAAGGAAATTGAAATTATTCAGTGTGCAGAAGCAAGCTTACATTTAGGTTATCTTTACATGGTATCAGACTTTAAGCTGGTACATCATGTTTGAGATATCTGGCTAAATTTTATAACATGGAGCTTTGTCCTCCTTTTGAGGATTTCTAACTTGTTAAGTGGATTAAAAGCATTTCATGTGAGGAATCATTTTAAAAAGTATCAGTGTTTATCCTGAAGAAGAAAAAATGAAGGAGTTAAGAGTTAATGCCATCAAATATTTGAAAAAGTGTCATTTGGAGGTGGAAGAGGACTTTACCTGTGTTGTCCTAAGGGAAGATCTTACACTATACTTGAGAGGCAGTCATTATTAAAGGCATTAAAATGAGACGTGTGCTAATAGAATAACTAGATTGTCGTGGAAGTGAGGGAACAGAGTAATCAAGTAGAAATAAGGACACAGGATAGAAATCAATGCCATAGAAATACACATTTGAGAAACCAAGATGAGGAAAGGCTTCATGGAAGTTGGGAATGAAGCTTGGCCTAAAAATACCAGTAGGCACTTGGGTATATGAGTGTGTGTGTGTGTGTGTGTGTGTGTGTGTGTGTTTGTGTGTGTGTATTTCTTGCTAGAGATACAATTGTAGAAATTGATTGGATTAGCTGGAAACCTTGGGGTATGAACTAGAGTCCTCCATTAGCAGAAAAAAAGCAACTGTGTAAGGGAAAAGTGAACCAGTATTCCCTGGGTGAGTAACTTGAGAGATAATTTCATTTGCACCTCCAGAAAACCTTGACAGGCTTTTATTTCCCTCTTTAAACAGGTCAGGAAGTCGAGGTTTAGGGAGGTTAAATAATCTGCCTAAATTCATAAATTTCATAATTGGTAGAACTGAGATGCAGACCCATATTTGAGCCCAAAGCTCTTTCTTTCTCATCACGTGTAGCATTGAGTGTAGGAAATGAAGGAAAAGGAGACAATGGTGATTCTAAGTTTTTCAGTCTGAGGACCAGAAAACTGGTGGTACCCTGGGTTAACAAGGGGTTCATAATAACTTCAGTGTGACAACCTCAGTTTTAGTTACATTCAGTTTAAGGAGCTTGTGATACATTGGGTAGGAGAGTTCATTATGTCACTGGAAAAGTAGAGCTTGATGTGCACATGTTAACATTTGGAGCTTTGGAAATACAGAGGCCAGAGAAGATGGAGAAGATGACAGGGAATGTACCAACCACTCCTTTCAGAAATCTAGTCTGTGTTTTCTAATGTGGTCAGAGAATTGGAAGTGAGTTTCTAACAGTTTATTTTGACAATTTGAATGGAAAAAAAGTTGACTTTTGTACATCATTTCTTGGAGATGATTATTTTGCTGTTATTGATACTATTGAAGTTGACATAATTTCATGTTTTCTCATTAGTCTTTTCCAGTATTTTGCTCCATATCAACTTTTTTGTGTGTCTTTTACTGTATTGTATACTCTGTTCTGGTTTTGTCTTTTTATTGATAACAAATGCCCCTCCAAACAAATTTTGAAATCAACTTTTTTTTTTTTAAACTGCAGGAGTGAAAGGGAAGCAATGCAGAAATCAGAGGGCTCTGGAGGTACACAGTTGAAAAACAGAGCAACAGGTACAGAGCTTTTGTTTTTAAGTGAAGAGGTCAAGTTTGTTCATGGCACTTTCTGTGCTACAGATGGATGCAGGGTGAACTTTATTGCTTGTACCTGGTTTCTATTGATGTTCTGTTTTTTTCCAGGTAACTATGATCAAAGGACATCATCAAGCACACAGTTAAAACACAGGAATGCAGTTCAGGGAAGCAAATCCTCATTGTCAACCAGTTCTCCAGAGTCTGCAAGAAAACTTCATCCTAGACCAAGTGATAAACTGAACCCTAAAACAATTAATCCGGTAGGTCCAAAACTATTCCTAACTCAGTAGATTTTTTAAAGGCATTTCGCACAGTATTGAACAATGCTGGATGCTGTGTTGAGTTTTGTCCCTTTGCTAGTTTTGAGCTAATAATGAGAGAAGGGCATGTGGTTATTATGATGAAGAACTGAGATAATCAGTCACATGTGGGAGTGAGTATGGAGGTAAGGAGACATAGAAGTTAACCTGTTTGGGATATCGCATTGTAGTGCATAGAAAATTGCACTTTAGCTTTAGATTTTATTTGCAGTGTTGTTTTACTTCCCCATATCAATGAATAAACTGTATTCAGTTGCCACAGAATGCTTTTCGTGCTTCTATAGTTGCATAAAGGTCTCTGACCTTTCCTGTGTTCTGTAAATTAGTTCCACCAGAAATCCTAGTTGTAGTACTAACCTCCTTTGCCCTCTCCTAACAATTTAATGAGATTTAATAAACATGGGATTTATGCAGTAAAAATATTCAGAAGTGAACACACCTGTGCAACAACACCAGGTGTTATTTGCCCCATGCCCAACTTTGGTAGGGTGAGATGTTAGTGATTTCAGCCTTCGAAGGGGATTGTGAGGGTGGCTGAAGCTCCTGACTGACTGTGGTGGTAGGTAGGGGTATGGCAGTTACTTAAGGAAGCAAAGGTATAGTGAGCTCTCCAAGACAGAAGGAGTGTCCGACTGGATAAAAGCAAAGTGACAAATAGTTTGAGCGGCTATGTTCCTTTGCTTTTTTCTGTAATCTACAGTGTCAAGGAAATTGAATACCTGAAGAAGGCCCTAATAATCTTGTTGCTCTCACTTCCTTTGCTTATGTTTAGTTGAGGGAGTTTACGGTGACGCTTCAATTTTCTTCCTCTCTTTAAAGAAGTACTTTTTGAATTAATAATATTTAGTGACCTTAGTCCTAAGTTTTAGTAAAAATCGAGGAAAGTTTTGGGAAATAGTTAAATAATTTGACCCGAGAAAAGCATGTGTAAAAGCTACCAATATAAAACAAATGAGTTGGAAGTCAGAATAATGTTCACCTTTGGGGCGAAAGGTGGGCAGGGATTTGGGAGAGGCAGTGGAGGCATCTAGTGTGCTGGAAACTTTCAGATTTTTCAACTCTGTTGATAAACAGGTGTGTTCATTTTTTGTGAATTCACTATTGTGATTTATGCACATTAATATTTTAAATATTTGAGTTAAAAAATTTTTTGAAACGCTAATTCAGTGTAGTATAGTATATAACATTAATACAGAGTTGAAATATGGTCTGAAATTGTTAAAAATTGAATGGGATAACATTTTTCACTTTAGACTTGGTAAAATTTGGTTAAAATCGATAAAAGTAATCTATTCATAAAAAATTCTGATTTTGTGGAACATGGAAGATGAAACCATGATTATCTCTAGAATAAAATTGAAAGGCAAAGAAAGGAATTGTTTAGCATTTCAATCAGAAATTTAGTCTTTGTGGGTATATTGAAATTTTAGGGATTATTTTCATGACCTGTAAGGGCCAAAAAGAAAGATCATTTGCTTGTAGATGGTAGAAGTCAAATATGTTGATAGTATAGTACTAATTTGTCTTAATTTTTTCTCCAATATGTGTAGCACTTTTTCAAACAACTTTCTTATCGGATATGCTTGTTACTTGAAAATAATTTTTAAAACTTGTGTTTCTTTTATAGCAGAAATTATAACTAGATGAGTGAAACATTCCTCTTGTGAATTGTTACACATAACATGGATTGAATTTTGGAAATGAATCTTTTTTTTTTTTTGAGACGGAATCTCGCTCCGTCGCCAGGCTGGAGTGCAGTGGCACAATCTTGGTTCACTGCAAACTCCGCCTCCTGCATTCAAGCCATTCTCCTGCCTCAGCCTCCCGAGTAGCTGGGACTACAGGCACCCGCCACCATCCTGGCTAGTTTTTTGTATTTTTAGTAGAGATGGGGTTTCACCGTGTTAGCCAGGATGGTCTCGATCTCCTGACCTTGTGATCCACCCGCCTCAGCCTCCCAAAGTGCTGGGATTACAGGCTTGAGCCACTGCGCCTGGCCAGATATGAATCTTTTATTGTAATTTAATTTGAACGAATTTTCTCCTATGTGCTTTTACTCAAAACTCATGCTTTTCCAGAGGAAAAAAGAGCTGATTCTAAACTTTTTAAGCACATTTTAAAACTACCACTGTGTGTGACTTAAAAAAAATTATCTAGTTATATCTTTAAAACAGGTCAATTTATATTTTGTAATTTAGACAACTATTTTTCATTTGATTATATATTAAAAGTACCATGTGATAAAATATTTACTTTTTGTTCCTAAATCCTCTGTAAGTCTCTTATCAATTATATTGAAATTATTTATGCTGTAATTGTTTAACTGTTGTGATTGACCATCCCTTAAATCATCTTTAAGAGTAGGTATAAAATCAAGCTATTCATATATAGCAAAACTGAAAGGTTATGAAGTTATATATCTAAGAAAATACATCCAGGCATATATTTGTGAGAATCTTCCCCATCTTCAATTCTCTCCCTCCTGCCCAGCGCAATCCTTTGTTTTTTATAGAAGCCTAAAGCCAGTTTGGAGAAATGTGACTACCTACGCCATCTGTATTTGGCTGAAGCACAAAGTAGGAGATGTGCAGGTGGCAAAAAACAAATATACTTTTTCTGTACTTAACACCCCTTCTCCATAGAGTCCTCACCTTGAAAGGTCACAGTGGGGAAGAAGGTAGAAAGAACTATCATTCCATATGTGGTTTCAGCCGCGTTCAAGCATCCTGAATCGTTAGGGGAAAAAGAGATGTACCAAGTGTGGTCGTGGTATTCTAGTAGAGAGAGGATTGACAGTTTTTCTCAACTGTGTTGCTGAGTAGAAACGGTGCGCTTCGATACCAGCTTGGCGGTTTGAAAAGCAAAATGGCTGTGTGCTTCTGACCTCAGAAGTATAGGTGATAGTAATATTTTCATTTTTTATTTTAGTTTGGTGAACAGTCACGAGTGCCTTCTGCATTTGCAGCTATTTACTCTAAAGGAGGTATTCCTTGCAGGTAAAATCAATATGATTTATAACTGACCAAATTATTCAAAATCATTGAGTAAAATGAATACAATATTTAGTTTAAATGTATTGTAAGTTTTATTTACTAGTGAGGTTGAAATAAAGATGACTTTATTCACACTTTCTTTTGGACTGGTATAGATTCCTGGATGTTGTTGAAGAAAACCATTCTAGTTCCAAAATACAGTTATTGGGATCTATGGATAAACCATCAGTTTAAGAACTTTACTTGAACCCTTTTTCTAAAATAATCAATTTAAGCATTTGCAGGCTTGGGCAAGTTGCAAATTAAAAAATCCTATCTTGTTGGTAAAATGAAAGTTGTCAATTTAATGAAATTGTTTATATTTCATAATAAATACATATGGCTGTTTTTGCTTCATTTTGGATATAATTCTTGCCACCTTTCTAGACAGATGTCAGAACTTTAAAAAAAAAATACTACAGATAATGTATCATTTTACAATTTATTTCTATAAAGCATTTATTTCTTCAGAGTTCATCCAGTTTTAGCCTGTTGTAGATGATAGAAAATTTTATTTTGATTATGGAAATAATCACAACATTTATTTATTTTTGTTCCAAAATTCAAGAAATCTAGTTTTTAATGGTATTTTCGGATTTGGAGTGAAAAATAAGCTCAAGAAATACTCTTCAGTTTATTGTTATTTCATATTTACATTCTGAATTGAAACCCTATTTAAAGTTTCTTAATTCTCTACTCCCCACCCCTCCAAAACTTATTGTTGCAAAAATGTAAAAACAATATTAGAGAGACGTCTTACTCTTATGAAAATAAGCCCAAAGGAGTCAAGAAGTCAAGAACATTACAAAGGAGTTCAAAGAAGCATTTAGGTTGATGGATTAAGTTCACTGTCATGATTGTGATGATAGTTCCTTGAGTGTATTCGTACATAAAAACATACCAAATTGTATACTGTAAATACATGCAGTTTATTGCGTGTTAGTTATTCCTCAGTAAAGGCTGTAATCCCAGCACTTTGGGAGGCCAAGGCGGGTGGATCACCTGAGGTCAGGAGTTCGAGACCAGCCTGACCAACATGGAGGAACCCCATCTCTACTTAAAAAAAAAAAAAAAAATACAAAATTAGCCGGGTGTGGTGGTGCATGCCTGTAATCCCAGCTACTGGGGAGGCTTAGGCAGGAGAATTGCTTGAACCTGGGAGGCGGAGGTTGCGGTGAGCCAAGATCGCGCCATTACACTTGAGCCTGGGCAACAAGAGTGAAACTTCGTCTCAAAAAAAAGCAGTTAAAAGAAGCAGAAATCCTAATTCAGGGGCCACCACTTTGTAACCCTAAATGGGCCATTTTACCTTCCTGGCCTCAGTTTTCTTCTCTTTAACAGAGATGAAACTTGGTTTAGCCTTCAGGTTATTAGTGTTAGGGTTACATGATCTATATCTGAAAAACAATGTTCCTTGTGAAACATTTTTAATAATTACTATGTTTTGTTTGCATTTTTTCATTTCTGTAGATTACCTATTGTGTCATATCACTGAAAGATATCACCTGGCATATCTGTGTTAAGATTCACAGACAGCAACATGCTTAAGCACCAAAACTGTAACCTTAACACATGTGGGTCACTTTTGCTGTAAGACTAGGAATGTGTAGGATTATTGACATTACTTTGTAAAATGTCCTTGTACTATCTTATAAAGTTATGGTATTCCTACATGTTACAAAATAAATCTGATATGGTTATACTGTATGTTAGATTATCCCTGCTTAATATAGAATTATATTTTTCTTGTTGCATTCACTAACTTTTATATTTTAGATTGGTACATGGTTCAGTAAAACACAGATTACAGTGGGAATGTCCTCCTGAAAGTCTTTCATTTGATCCACTTCTTATTACTTTAGCTGAGGTAAATATGCCATCTCTTGAATATTTATCAGAAAATAAACATTAAAAATTGCATTAAATGCTACTTTGTAGCTTGTCAGTAAATTTCATTCTATGCCTTTGAAAAACGAAGCACACAATAGGCATTGAAACACCACACACCCTTAGGAATGAATTATGATTCTTATATAGTTATTTGAAATTGATTAATGAGCTTTATAAACATGGAATTAGTCTGCATAGGGATTTGTAGATAACTAGATGAAATATTTGTACTTACTTCAAAAAAAATATGTGGACTCATAATGAGGAGAGATTTTTTGGTACTAGTGAAATAAGGAAAACATCAGGGATTAAACTGAAAACTGTCAGATAGTGGTAAGTGGTTCTATGTACAACCAATCGTGTTGACATGATGTGTTTCTTAGGGAATTGATACTACCTACCTAAATGTTCTTTTGGAGAATACTCCAGCTCTTTGCTTGTACATTTCCAGTACAATATCATGGAGGTGGTTTTATAGACTATTTTAAAAAAAACTTTTGATAGCTTCCTTTATATAATTTAACATTTGTGTCAGGAAAAATGTTGGTGGAGTCTTAGCTTCAAGTGAATCATTGCTATCTTCTATGAATTTTATTCTTAGAGTTAGAAGTAGAGAAATGAATTAACCAGTTGTCTTGTATTTAAACTTTTAATTACTTTTTAAAAGTTAAGGATCGTTTTGTTGTCATTAGTAAGAAACAAATGATTAGAGTTTGGGTGATATTAGTAATAAAGCACCTGAGTTCTTTCACTGATAGTTTTATTTAGATTAGTTACTACTGTGTAACTTACTCTATAAACATGGCAGTGCCTTTTTAGGTTAATATCATTTGCTTTTCCTATAAAACCAGTGGGGAGGACCAAGTGGGAGCAGAACTGAAAAATGTAATTTTGCCAATTGAGATTCCTTAATTAAAATGAAACATCAAAATCTCTGGTTCCTCATTTAATTCTCCAAATATGTTTACTCTCTTAAGAGTAAACTAACCAGTTACTAGCAAAAACTATAAGTTTTTGTTTTTCTTAATTTATTGCCGAGTATTACAAGCAGTGTATTTTTATAGGTAGCCTATTTTGAAATTCAGTTTTGAGGTTGGCATTAAAGGTTAGGCTGGGTGCTGTGGCTCATGCTTGTAATCCCAGCACTTTAGGAGGCCAAGGTAGGAGGATCACTTGAGCCCAGGAGTTTGAGACCAGCCTGACCTACATAGGGAGACCCTGTCTCTACAAAAAAGAAAAAAAAGAAGATCACATTAGCCAGGCACAGTAGAGTGAGATGCTATCTCAAACACACACACACACAAAATTAGTTATGTTTCCTTATTTTTTAAACCTTAAGCCTTTTAAACCAGGTAGCAAACCATGTTTTTTTTTTTAGACTAGTCAAAACTGGTGATAGCTTTGAAAGTGTAGTGAAGCTAATCATATTGTACAGGGAGTGCTTTAATTTGGGATATCCTTAAAGGGACTCTAACTTCTGCTTAAAGTCAGCCTTTTATATACCTGTTGTCCAAATGTCAATGCTTTTCTTTCTGTATTGAGTAGATTTTTATCTTTCTCCTGGCCTCATTTACTAACAGATAAGTAGTGACAGAAGAACCACTGCTGAAATCCACTTCAGCTTTTAATCTGAGAGTTTTTATCTTGAAAATGAACAGGATACAGGACACTGCTATTTGATCCAAAATGACGCCCATGTGCTTGGCAGGATGGTTTTCAAAAGCATGACAGCTTCAAGGAAAGGAAATGTTTGATTACTATTTGGAAGCAGATATTTAGGTCTGAAGGACAAATTATTTGAAAATTGGTTTTTCTAAGCATGATTTTGCAGCTGATTATATTTCTTCATAGATAATTAGTCAAACTAAAGGAGTTTACTGTTGATTTTGTTTTGCTTTATCATTTCGAAAAAAGTCAGATGGCCCTTTTGACTCACTATGATTGGTTAAATCATAAAAGAGTACTAGCTAATTGTTTCTAATGCATTTAGGGTGAAAGGCATAGTGAGATATGATCTACAGTTTTTTAAAATATTTTCATACTGCATTTCAGTATTACAAATGACATTTAAAATCTTAACATGCCTTTAAAATGCATATAGTATGATACTTGCTTTCTAAATACGTTAATATAAAATACTTAAATATGAAGGAAATTTATTTTAGGAACTTATTAAGTCATAAAATCACTAAATGTAGGGGATCTTATAGCCATGCATTCATAAAGGAGTGGTTATAAACATAGACTAATTTGCTCTGCTTTCAGAAAGTGAGTGTACATAACAAAATCTTTTTATTATCCTAGCGAGTTTCCCTTCTTTTTGTCTATAGTTTCATTTACCTTTCCTTTTCCTCCTTCCATTTCCTGCTTTTTCCTTCCTTCCTATTTTATTTTCTCTTTCTTCTTATATTTTTTCTTGCCTCCCCTGTTTTCCATTTCTTTTCTTTTCCTTTTTCTTATTTTTTTTTTCTTCTCCCTTCCTTCCCTTCTGTGAGTAGAGATTACTCCTGTCTCATGTACAGTTGGCCCTTCCCATCCATGGGTTCCACATCTAGGGTTTTAACTAGCTGCAGATCGAAACTATTAAAAAAAAATACAATGCAAAAATAAAAAATACAAATAATACAATATAAAAATTATTGATGAAGCATTTCCATTGTAATAGGCATTATAAGTAATCTAGAGATTATTTAAAGTATATGGGAGTATGTGCACATACTATGCTCTTTTATATGAAGAACTTTAGTATCCACGGGTTTTGGTATCCATTGGAGGGGGGGCCCTGGAACCAGTTTCCCTTGGGATACCAAGGGACCCTTTGTCCCACAGTTTCTCAATGTAATTGAAATTGTAACTACTGAAATTATAATCATGATTAGGAAAACAATAATGAAATTTTTGATTTTTGTTTAAGCAAGTAAAGACTCAATTTTTCTGTTATTAGCATAATGAAATGGGTAGTAAATCATGTTTCCTCTTGGTCTTTGTCAGGGTCTGAGAGAGACTAAGCATCCATACACTTTTGTGTCAAAGGAGGGTTTTAGAGAATTACTTTTGGTCAAAGGTGCTCCTGAAAAAGCTATTCCTTTGCTACCTAGACTGATTCCTGTGCTAAAGGCAGCTCTGGTATGTCATTTATTTCATTGTACTTTATATTTGAAAACATGATAGAAAAGAAAGCTGTAATATATTTAGAATATTGTATGCCTTTTTCCCTCCATATTATATGCAAAGTAGTCCTTTATCTGTGATTCTGACACATTTACAGAATTAGGCAACTGTTACTCAGGGCCAGATAACTACATACTTGAAGACATCTTTAGAGGATGTACTAAAGGTAAAAAGGGACATTTTAAGTAATTAGAGGAAGTAATGAACCTCAAATCAGCCTTTCTGTATGCTACATATATTTTAGTTAATGCTTCAGTCAGATGGAAAATTTGTTTTTTGCTTCTAGATGTCCTGTGTTGAAGGTTATTTTTAAAATTCTAGGTTTTGTTGACTATCTTCTGATTGTAGATGTTTAATCTTATCCTTTTCTCTACTTGCTTGCCCTTTTTTCTAACCTATCTTTTCTTTCCTTTTCTCCTCTCTTCCCTGATGTCCATACATCCCCCAACTAACCAACCTTACAGGTCCATTCGGATGATGAAGTGTTTGAAAGAGGATTGAATGCTCTAGTTCAGCTAAGTGTCGTTGTTGGTCCTTCTCTAAACGACCATCTGAAGCATCTGCTTACAAGCGTAAGTACTGCAAAGATTAGATAATGATTGACTGTATGTATCATGCACCATCCATATCTCTTCATGATTTAACAATTTCAAATCTTCAACTCAAAACCTTAAAAATCTCCCTCTACACACTGCTTTGAATGTGTCCCAGAGATTCTGGTATGTTGTGTCTTTGTTCTCGTTGGTTTCAAAGAACATCTTTATTTCTGCCTTCATTTCATTATGTACCCAGTAGTCATTCAGGAACAGGTTGTTCAGTTTCCATGTAGCTGAGCGGTTTTGAGTGAGTTTCTTAATCCTGAGTTCTAGTTTGATTGCACTGTGGTCTGAGAGACAAGTTTGTTATGATTTCTGTTCTTTTACATTTGCTGAGGAGAGCTTTACTTCCAACTATGTGGTCAATTTTGGGATAGGTGTGGTGTGGTGCTGAAAAAAATGTATATTCTGTTGATTTGGGGTGGAGAGTTCTGTAGATGTCTATTAGGTCTGCTTGGTGCAGAGGTGAGTTCAATTCCTGGGTATCCTTGTTAACTTTCTGTCTCGTTGATCTGTCTAATGTTGACAGTGGGGTGTTAAAGTCTCCCATTATTATTGTGTGGGAGTCGAAATCTCTTTGTAGGTCACTCAGGACTTGCTTTATGAATCTGGGTGCTCCTGTATTGGGTGCATATATATTTAGGATAGTTAGCTCTTCTTGTTGAATTGATCCCTCTACCATTATGTAATGGCCTTCTTTGTCTCTTTTGATCTTTGTTGGTTTAAAGTCTGTTTTATCCAAGACTAGAACTGCAACCCCTGCCTTTTTTTGTTTTCCATTTGCTTGGTAGATCTTCCTCCATCCTTTTATTTTGAGCCTATGTGTGTCTCTTCATGTGAGATGGATTTCCTGAATACAGCACACTGATGGGTCTTGACTCTTTATCCAATATGCCAGTCTGTGTCTTTTAATTGGAGCATTTTAGTCCATTTACATTTAAAGTTAATATTATGATGTGTGAATTTGATCCCGTCATTATGATATTAGCTGGTTATTTTGCTCGTTAGTTGATGCAGTTTCTTCCTAGCCTCAGTGGTCTTTACAATTTGGCATGATTTTGCAGTGGCTGGTACAGGTTGTTCCTTTCCATGTTTAGTGCTTCCTTCAGGAGCTCTTTTAGGGCAGGCCTGGTGGAAATGCAAATCAAAACCACAATGAGATACCATCTCAGACCAATTAGAATGGCAGTCATTAAAAAGTCAGGAAACAACAGGTGTTGGAGAGGATGTGGAGAAATAGGAACACTTTTACACTGTTGGTGGAACTGTAAAGTAGTTCAACCATTGTGGAAGTCAGTGTGGCGATTCCTCAGGGATCTAGAACTAGAAATACCATTTGACCCAGCCATCCCATTACTGGGTATATACCCAAAGGACTATAAATCATGCTGCTATAAAGACACATGCACACGTATGTTTATCGTGGCACTACTCAAAATAGCAAAGACTTGGAACCAACCCAAATGTCCAACAATGGTAGACTGGATTAAGAAAATGTGGTACATACACACCATGGAATACTATGTAGCCATAAAAAATGATGAGTTCATTCCTTTGTAGGGACATGGATGAAACTGGAAATCATCATTCTCAGTAAACTGTCACAAGGACAAAAAACCAAACACCGCATGTTCTCACTCATAGGTGGGAATTGAACAATGAGAACACATGGACACAGGAAGGGTAACATCACTCTCTGGGGACTGTTGTGGGGTGGGAGTAGTGGGGAGGGATAGCATTAGGAGATATACCTAATGCTAAATGACGAGTTAATGGGTGCAGCACACCAGCATGGCACATGTATACATATGTAACTAACCTGCACATTGTGCACATGTACCCTAAAACTTAAAGTATAATAATAATAAAATAAAATAAAAAAAACCTTAAAAATCTCATCATCCTTAGCAAAAAATATACAGATCGTTCATAAAACATTTTACTAATGGACAGTATTACTATTTTTTTTAAATGGAAAGCACCTACATGAGCAGAGTTCAGGGTTATAATAAAAAGTAAACCACCCGGGCGTAGTGGCTCACACCTGTAATCCTAACACTTTGGAGGCTGAGGTGGGTGGATTGCCTGAGCTCAGGAGTTTGAGACCAGCCTGGGCAACATGGTGAAACCCCATCTCTACTAAAATACAAAATACTAGCCAAGTGTGGTGGCATACACCTGTAGTCCCAGCTTCAGGAGGCTGAGACAGGAGAATTGCTTGAACCTTGGAGGTGGAGGTTGTAGTGGGACAAGATTGTGACAGTGCATGCCAGCCTGGGTAACAGAGCGAGTCTGCACTTCAAAAAAAAACCAAAAGTCGAATGGATAAAAGCTAATGAATGGTAAGATGGTATTATGCTCATGTTGATTAACTATGAATGTAAGCAGTGCCCATACACTGTCTTGTGTAATTATATGTTACCAAACATGTTTAAGTATTTTTGTTTTTCATTGCGATGTTTTAGTGAATCTGTAAATTGCATTCAGGAAGAGACCTTTTCCTGATATGTATAACTTTAATCTTTAATATAAATATTTACTAGGACCCTGTGCAGCTCATGAGGTTCCCAAGACCACTCTTAGGTTTGATGATTTGCCAGAAGGATCCATGGAACTCAGGAAAGCTGTTACTGGCTGTTATGGTTTCTTACAACACACAAAAAATAAAGATTAAAATCAGCAAAGGTAAGAGGCACATAGGGCAGGGTCCATGAGAGACCAGTCATGGAGTTTTCAGTTTTCTTCTCCTAGTGAAGTTATTCATGCAGTGTTTTTTTTTTGTTTGTTTGTTTGTTTTAATTATACTTTAAGTTCTAGGGTACATGTGCACAACGTGCAGGTTTGTTACGTATGTATACGTGTGCCATGTTGGTGTGTTGAACCCAGTAACTCATCATTTACATTAGGTATATCTCCTAATGGTATCCCTCCCCCGACAGGCCCTGGTGTGTGATGTTCCCCTTCCTGTGTCCAAGTATTCTCATTGTTCAATTCCCACCTATGAGTGAGAACATGCCGTGTTTGGTTTTCTGTCCTTGAGCTAGTTTGCTGAGAATAATGGTTTCCAGCTTCATCCGTGTCCCTACAAAGGACATGAACTCATCCTTTTTTATGGCTGCATAGTATTCCATGGTGTATATGTGCCACATTTTCTTAATCCAGTCTATCATTGATGGACATTTGGGTTGGTTCCAAGTCTTTGCTATTGTGAATAGTGCCGCAATAAACATACATGTGCATGTGTCTTTATAGCAACATGTTTTATAATCCTTTGGGTATATACCCAGTAATGGGATGGCTGGGTCAAATGGTATTTCTAGTTCTAGATCCTTGAGGAATCGCCACACTGTCTTACACAATGGTTGAACTGGTTTACAGTCCCACCAACAGTGTAAAAGTGTTCCTATTCCTCCACATCCTCTCCAGCACCTGTTGTTTCCTGACTTTTTAATGATTGCCATTCTAACTGGTGTGAGATGGTATCTCATTGTGGTTTTGATTTGCATTTCTTAATGGCCAGTGATGATGAGCATTTTTTCATGTGTCTGTTGGCTGCATAAATGTCTTCTTTTGAGAAGTGTCTGTTCGTATCCTTCACCCACTTTTTGATGGGGTTGTTTGTTTTTTTCTTGTAAATTTGTTTGAGTTCTTTGTGGATTCTGGATATTAGCCCTTTGTCAGATGAGTAGATTGCAAAAATTTTTTCCCATTCTGTAGGTTGCCTGTTCACTCTGATGGTAGTTTCTTTTGCTGTGCAGAAGCTCTTTAGTTTAATTAGACACCAGTTGTCAATTTTGGCTTTTGTTGCCATTGCTTTTTGTGTTTTAGACATGAAGTCCTTGCCCATGCCTATGTCCTGAATGGTATTGCCTAGGTTTTCTTTTAGGGTTTTTATGGTTTTAGGTCTAACATTTAAGTCTTTAATCCATCTTGAATTAATTTTTGTATAAAGTGTAAGGAAGGGATCCAGTTTCAGCTTTCTCCATATGGCTAGCCAGTTTTCCCAGCACCATTTATTAAATAGGGAATCCTTTCCCCATTGCTTGTTTCTGTCAGGTTTGTCAAAGATCAGATGGTTGTAGATGTGTGGTATTATTTCTGAGGCCTCTGTTCTGTTCCATTGGTCAATATCTCTGTTTAGGTACCAGTACCATGCTGTTCTGGTTACTGTAGCCTTGTAGTATAGTTTGAAGTCAGGTAGTGTGATGCCTCCAGCTTTGTTCTTTTGGCTTAGGATTGTCTTGGCAATGTGGGCTCTTTTTTGTTTCCATATGAACTTTAAAGTAGTTCTTTTCCAATTCTGTGAAGAAAGTCATTGGTAGCTCGATGGGGATGGCATTGATTCTGTAAATTACCTTGGGCAGTATGGCCATTTTCACCATATTGATTCTTCCTATCCATGAGTATGGAATCTTCTTCCATTTGTTTGTGTCCTCTTTTATTTTGTTGAGCAGTGGTTTGTAGTTCTCCTTGAAGAGGTCCTTCACATCCCTTGTAAGTTGGATTCCTAGGTATTTTATTCTCTTTGAGGCAGTTGTGAATGGGAGTTCACTCATGATTTGGCTCTCTGTCTGTTATTGGTGTATAAGAATGCTTGTGATTTTTGCACATTGATTTTGTATCCTGAGACTTTGCTGAGTTGCTTATCAGCTTAAGGAGATTTTGGGCTGAGACGATGGGGTTTTCTAGATATACAATCATGTCATCTGCAAACGGGGACAATTTGACTTCCTCTTTTCGTAATTGAATACCCTTTATTTCTTTCTCCTGCCTGATTGCCCTGGCCAGAACTTCCAACACTATGTTGAATAGGAGTGGTGAGAGAGGGCATCCCTGTCTTGTGCCAGTTTTCAAAGGGAATGCTTCCAGTTTCTACCCATTCAGTATGATATTGGTTGTGGGTGTGTCATAAATAGCTCTTATTATTTTGAGATACGTCCCATCAATACCTAATCTATTGAGAGTTTTTAGCATGAAGGGTTGCTGATTTTGACAAAGTCCTTTTCTGCATCTATCGAGATAATCGTGGTTTTTGTCTTTGGTTCTGTTTATATGCTGGATTACATTTATTAATTTGCATATGTTGAACCAGCCTTGCATCCCAGGGATGAAGCTTATTCACTTGGTCATGGTGGATAAGCTTTTTGATGTGCTGCTGGATTCGGTTTGCCAGTAATTTATTGAGGATTTTTGCATTGATGTTCATCAGGGATATTGGTCTTAAATTCTTTTTTTTGTTGTGTCTCTGCCAGGTTTTGGTATCAGCATGATGCTGGCCTCATAAAATGAGTTAGGGAGGATTCCCTCTTTTTCTATTGATTGGAATAGTTTCAGAAGAATGGTACAAGCTCCTCCTTGTACCTCTGGTGGAATTCAGCTGTGAATCCATCTGGTCCTGGACTTTTTTTGGTTGGTAAGCTATTAACTATTGCCTCAATTTCCGAGCCTGTTATTGGTCTATTCAGAGATTCACCTTCTTCCTGGTTTAGTCTTGGGAGGGTGTATGTGTCCAGGAATTCATCCATTTCTGCAAGATTTTCTAGTTTATTTGCATAGAGGTGTTTATAGTATTCTCTGATGGTAGTTTGTATTTCTGTGGGATTGGTGGTGATATCCCTTGTATCATTTTTTATTGCGTCTATTTGATTCTTCTCTCTTTACTTTATTAGTCTTGCTAGCAGTCTATCAATTTTGTTGATCTTTTCAAAAAAACCAGCTCCTGGAGTCATTGATTTTTTGAAGGGTGTTTTGTGTCTCTATCTCCTTCAATTCTGCTCTGATCTTAGTTATTTCTTGACTTCTGCTAGCTTTTGAATGTGTTTGCTCTTGCTTCTCTAGTTCTTTTAATTGTGATGTTAGGGTATCAGTTTTAGATCTTTCCTGCTTTTCTCTTGTGGGCTTTTAGTGCTATAAATTTCCCTCTACACACTGCTTTAAATATGTCCCAGAGATTCTGGTACATTGTGTCTTTGTTCTCATTGGTTTCAAAGAACATCTTTATTTCTGCCTTCATTTCATTATGTATCCAGCAGTCATTCCGGAGCAGGTTGTTCAGTTTCCATGTAGTTGAGCGGTTTTGAGTGAGTTTCTTAATCCTGAGTTCTAGTTTGATTGCACTGTGGTCTGAGAGACAGTTTGTTATAATTTCTGTTCTTTTACATTTGCTGAGGAGTGCTTTACTTCCAACTATGTGGTCAATTTTGGAATAAGTGTGATGTGGTGCTGAGAAGAATGTATATTCTGTTGATTTGGGGTGGAGAGTTCTGTAGATGTCTATTAGGTCTGCTTGGTGCAGAGGTGAGTTCAATTCCTGGGTATCCTTGTTAACTTTCTGTCTCGTTGATCTGTCTAATGTTGACAGTGGGGTGTTAAAGTCTCCCATTATTATTGTGTGGGAGTCGAAATCTCTTTGTAGGTCACTCAGGACTTGCTTTATGAATCTGGGTGCTCCTGTATTGGGTGCATATATATTTAGGATAGTTAGCCCTTCTTGTTGAATTGATCCCTTTACCATTATGTAATGGCCTTCTTTGTCTCTTTTGATCTTTGTTGGTTTAAAGTCTTTTATCAGAGACTAGGATTGCAACTTCTGCCTTTTTTTTGTTTTCCATTTGCTTGGTAGATCTTCCTCCATCCTTTTATTTTGAGCCTATGTGTGTCTCTGCACATGAGATGGGTCTCCTGAATACAGCACACTGATGGGTCTCGACTCTTTATCCAATCTGCCAGTCTGTGTCTTTTAATTGGAGCATTTAGCCCATTTATATTTAAGGTTAGTATTGTTTTGTGTGAATCTGATCCTGTCATTATGATGTTAGCTGATTATTTTGCTCATTAGTTGATGCAGTTTCTTCCTAGCCTCGATGGTCTTTACAATTTGGCTTGTTTTTGCAGTGGCTGGTACAGGTTGTTCCTTTCCATGTTTAGTGTTTCCTTCAGGAGCTCTTGTAAGGCAGGCCTTGTGGTAACAAAATCAGCATTTGCTTGTCTGTAAAGGATTTTATTTGTCCTTCGCTTATGAAGCTTAGTTTGGCTGGATATGAAATTTTGGGTTGAAAATTCTTTTCTTTAAGGATGTTGAATATTGGCCCCACTCTCTTCTGGCTTGTAGAGTGTCTGCCACGAGTTCTGCTGTTAGTCTGATGGGCTTCCCTTTGTGGGTAACCCAGCCTTTCCTTCTGGCTGCCCTTAATATTTTTTCCTTCATTTCAACCTTGGTGAATCTGACAATTATGTGTCTTGGAGTTGCTCTTCTCAAGAAGTATCTTGGTGGCATTCTCTGTATTTCCTGAATTTCAATGTTGGCCTGCCTTGCTAAGTTGGGAAAGTTCTCCTGGATAATATCCTGCAGCGTGTTTTCCAACTTGGTTCCATTCTCCCTGTCACTTTCAGGTACACCAATCAGACGTAGATTTGGTCTTTTCACATAGTTCCATATTTCTTGGAGGCTTTGTTCCTTTCTTTTTACTCTTTTTTCTCTAAACTTCACTTCTCGCTTCATTTCATTCATTTGATCTTCAATCACTGATACCCTTTCTTCCACTCGATTGAGTCGGCTACTGAAGCTTGTGCATTCGTCATGTAGTTCTCGTGCCATGGTGTTCAGCTCCATCAGGTCATTTAAGGTCCTCTCTACACTGGTTATTCTAGTTAGCCATTCATCTAATCTTTTTTCAATGTTTTTAGCTTCTTTGCAATGGGTTCAAACTTCCTCCTTTTGCTCGCAAAAGTTTGATCGTCTGAAGCCTTCTTTTGTCACCTCGTCAAAGTCATTCTCCGTCCAGCTTAGTTCCGTTTCTGGTGAGGAGTTGTGTTCCTTTGGAGGGGGAGAGGCGCTTTGATTTTTAGAATTTTCAGGTTTTCTGCTCTGTTTTTTCCCCATCTTTGTGGTTTTATGTACCTTTGGTCTTTGATGATGGTGACGTACAAGTGGGGTTTTGGTGTGGATGTCCTTTCTGTTTGTTAGTTTTCCTTCTAACAGTTGGGACGCTCAGCTGCAGGTCTGTTGGAGTTTGCTGGAGGTCCACTCCAGACCCTGTTTGCCTGGGTATCAGCAGTGGAGGCTGCAGAACAGCGAATATTGCTGAACAGCAAATGTTGCTGCCTGATCGTTCCTCTGGAAGTTTCGTCTCAGAGGGGTACTCGGCCGTGTGAGGTGTCAGTCTGCCCCTACTGGGGGGTGCCTCTCAGTTAGGCTACTCACGGGTCAGGGACCCACTTGAGGAGGCAGTCTGTCCGTTCTCAGATCTCAAACTCCGTGCTGGGAGAACCACTACTCTCTTCAAAGCTGTCAGACAGGGACATTTAAGTCTGCAGAGGTTTCTGCTGCCTTTTGTTTGGCTATGCCCTGCCCCCAGAGGTGGAGTCTACAGAGGCAGGCAGGCCTCCTTGAGCTGTGGTGGGCTCCACCCAGTTTGAGCTTCCCAGCTGCTTTGTTTACCTGCTGAAACCTCAGCAATGGCGGGCGCCCCTCTCCCAGCCTTGCTGCCGCCTTGCAGTTCTATCCCAGACTGCTGTGCTAGCAATGAGCGAGGCTCCATGGGCATGGGACTCTCTGAGCCAGGCACAGGATATAATCTCCTGGTGTGCTGTTTGCTAAGACCATTGGAAAAGTGCAGTATTAAGTTGGGAGTGACTCGATATTCCAGGTGCCATCTGTCACAGCTTTGCTTGGCTAGGAAAGGGAATTCCCTGATCCCTTGCGCTTCCCGGGTGAGGCGATGCCTCGCCCTGCTTCGGCTCACACTTGGTGCGCTATACCCGCTGTCCTGCACCCACTGTCCAACAAGCCCCAGTGAGATGAACCCGGTACCTCAGTTGGAAATGCAGAAATCACCTGTGTTTTGCGTCACTCACGCTGGGAGCTGTAGACTGGAGCTCTTCCTATTCGGCCATCTTGGAACCGCCCCCTTCTTCATGCAGTGTTTACTTCTTCCAGCAACAATGTGTGGCAACGTGCATGGAGTATTGCCAACTAGAGAAGCTCATGTGAGCCTTAGTGTCCAGGGTTTTTATTGGTGTCTGTCATGCAGGCAAGACTGCCTGCCTGTGTGGTTGACTTTAGTCTACACCCTCTCTAGAAATCGAGCTAATACCCTGTGAACCAAAGTTCCCATCATAAATCACATTGTATAGACTACCTGGTGTCACCCGAAACTCCCATGTTGACAAGGATACCCTATCCAGGAGGACATTCCAAGAGCTTAGAGGTTATCATTCAAGAGCTAGGGGCAAGGGCCAAACTTTAGGCAAGGGAAGTTCTATACCGCATACTGATAGAAAAATTAAAGAGTTAGATAGGACCTCCCTGTCTGCATTCTTCTGTATTTCACAGCTGAGGTATGATTTTGATAATGGTTCCACTGTTTTTTCTTGGATACATCCATATGAGAGATCCTAGAACTGTATTTTTAACTTCCTATTCCACAACTAGGAACTACCTGTTCCAATACACCCTAGGAACTACCTGGTTAATGGTATAAGAAGTAGGTGCGATGGTGACTCTATCAGGATAGGTATGCTCATAGGTGGTAGATGAAATTCCGTGAGGTTTCAGGTGAGGAGAAGACATAGTGAGAATAGACTTTCAAGCCTTGACATATGAGGAGTCTTATGACAGAAGAAAGAGAATCTTGGCAGATATTTGTAAGCTTCATGTCAGGGGGTGTGGCTGACCAACTACAGGAATTTCACACTAGTATACAAAGTGACTCATTCAAATATTCAGTCGTTTAATAATAATCTCTTGCACTCTGCCCTCCTGTTTTGTGCCAGGTATGCCAAGCAGTGAGAATATAATCTGAGCAGAAACAGGCATGCTCTCAGTCCTTGTGGAGATTATTGGTTTTGGTTTTGGGTTTTTTTTGTTTTTTTGTTTTTGTTTTTGCAGGTGGGTGGGGGATGTAGAAATAAGCAGCAAGGACATCTGCTGAGAAAATTGGGATGGAGTCAAAGGGATGTGATATGTAGAGAAAAGGAATCACACTGGATCCTTCCTCAAAGTCAGTCAAGCAAGGCTTCCTAAATAGCCTCTAAGTCCCACCTCCGATGGCAGAAAGAAAAGACCAGATTAACAGTTGTATACATTTGTTTTGTTTTCTAATCTTTCTGGGTCAGTGGCGTTTATCTTTGGTCACTTGCATTCCTCCTCAGAGCTCTGCTTTTCCTAGACAAGGACTGACTGAACGGGTATCTAGCTTTCCTGGGCTGCCAGCACTTTGGGAAGACCTAGACACCACCCTGACCATCAGATCCTGGTGTTATATAAAGAGTTCTAGAAATAGGTTGTGTGAGGGTTAGTTCCTGGTCTATTACCACTAACTATGAGACAGACACCACTGAGGATGTCAATGAGGTGCTATCGGATCCCCTTCGTCCCTCACCCCCATCTTCCATACATTTCAGCCTCAAAGCCTTCATTTTTATGGGGTTTATAGACTTCTACATTAGAAGTTTATTGGAAGAAAGGGTATTATTCTTCTAGAAAAAGTTTTTCAAAACCAGTTACTGAACCCCTGTATACAACTCATTTTTTCCTCTATGCAAAATAAGCTATACCTTTTCTGAGCTGCAAATGTATGGGACTTTAAAGAGGGAATAAATCACCTGAAAATCTTGCTTAAAAATGTAGATTCTGGGCTTCTGCTCTGGGATTCTGGTTAAGTATGGCGTGAGACCCAAGAATCTGCATTTTTAAACAGCATCTCAAGTGATTCTGAGGCTGATGGCCCATGGATCTGCATGTAAACCTCTGTGCTATACAGAGTGTATACAGATTCAGTAGGGTAATGCAGTCTGAAGAAAGCAACTGGAAGACTAGAGAGGGACCCTGTCCATCCCCAGGGCATTCACTCTTATAAATTACTCATGTAAATCCTCCATCCTTTGTCTTCTCTTCCCTTTTTATTGCAGGAAAATGTGTGTTTTAGAGGCACAGCTTTCCATCATGGTCCTCAATGCTCTTGCAAATTACAGAATCACAAAATATGCTATTTTATAGAAACCTTACTTCAGATAGCATACTGAAGCAGATTTTATAGGATTGGTTTTACCTGAAATAATGTAAATTCATTGTTTTTTAAAACAAATACAGAGGTACCTTATACATGTAAATTTCAATGAGATGCTTCCTAAAAAAAGCCTTGAAATCTAAAACAAGGGGTGCTCCTGAAGATTTACTTATGCGTATGGTGAGCATTGTTAAGTTTAAAGTCATTTCGTTTCCCCCTAATCTTACTTTAAAAGCTTTCCAAGAGATTAATGGACAAGAAATTCAAAGAGCCAATCACCAGCGCATTACAAAAGCTAGAGCAACATGGTGGAAGTGTAAGTAGAATATTATTCCTTAAGTCTTTTTTTTTAACTTTTAGGTGTATTACTAAATTGACATATATATATATTTAACATATACTATCTCATTTCAGCCACAGGTAACTATGTGAAATTGATGCTGTTATTTTCCTTTTAGAACTCAAGAGTTTCTGTCTCTAGGTCACACTGTTCTCAAGCCCTGCGACTCAGACCAGACTCAGGTTGAATAAATATAGGGCTTGTGTACACTTTCACAGTGCTTAATGTGGCACTCAGTGTGGCGCAGTGGTACAGTTTTTTTCTTAAAAGTATTTTCAGTGGTTTAGTTTTGACCATCGAAAAGTTCAGAAAACCGAACGATTAACTTAGCTCTTTGAGGAAAAATACCTTTTTCTCTTTCATTTGCTGCCTTTTCTGACTCAGACGTCCAGATGATTACACTATTCTGTCTGTAAGTGCGTGCATACCCCCATAGGTGTACACACACACACACACACACACACGGACACATATGCACACACAGTGCTGGAATAGTTTAATTGGTTATTCTAACTTTTCAAGGTACAAAAATATGGAGGATTTCATAACTGTATGGTGTCAGATTACTAGACTAATTGAATTTTTAGCATTTGAAAGAAGCATTCAGATAATCTCGTCTTAGAAATATTTCCATAAAAGCAGTCCTTGCTTTTGGAAATTTTGTTTAATCAGATCTTAATGATAGAATTGCATGTGACCATCTTAACATTGTATAACTTAGTTCCATTGTAGGTACTTCTAAAGGAATTAGTTATGAGAAAATTTACCTGATCATATACAATTTTAAAATGGCAGACATAAAGCTTTAGCGAAATACCTCATTTGACCAATCTCAATGAGTTGTTTGATTGATTATATTCTTTCCATGATGGATGCCTAGAATACAGTTGACAAGAGGAAGTAAGTGTCTAAGCCTACTAGATAATGAATTTCTTTGTTGTGTTTGGGTCCTAGGCAGAGTATTAACATTCAGACACCTTGTTGAGGAGATGTGCAGAACTTTCCTCTAGCTAATCCCATGTCTCCTCTGCAGCAAGGAAATTCTTGCTTGCTCTTCTGAGAATTTAAATGCAAAATATATTTCTCCTTTCTTCTTCTGTGGAGTGGAAGTGAACAAATGCTAAATAATGATGCCACAGCTTTTCAGTGGGAAACGCTCCCTAGGTGATTTTCCATATCCTGTGGGCCGGTATGGGAAATGGGACAAGTAGAAAGGGACAGGCCAAGCATGTTAGATTTTGTGGTGGGAGTGGAGGGGGTGTGGAGGAGGAGATAGTATATGTGTAAATAAAGTTTAGAAACGGCACATTAAGATTTGGAAGGGGAACACAGAGCTGTAGTTGAGTAATCCAGGATCCCAGAAATATCAAATTCTTTTTTTACTACTCCATCTTACTAGCTTTGAATGTTGCTAATACAGAATTTTAAAAAAGATTTTGTAGCTACAAGGGCTGTTATTATTTATTTTCTTCTGACTCCTCTTGTTTCCTCCTTCTTATATCCTACATAATATTTTAATAATGATTGATGTAATTGGAATAGAAAATTTCCTATTGCAATTACATACCAAAGACTTTCTCTTGGCTTATTATTGTGCTAATTTCTGTTACTTCGTAATCCTTCATGAAACTAATGAATGTTCTTCTTTCTCTTCTAAGACCTTAAAAGCTTATATATCTCTTTCTTTCTTAAAATATTAGAAATTAAGTCTTTAAAAATGAGTGTTCTCAGTTGTGGTTTCTCATTTCTTGGGACTTGTGTATATCAATGATGGAACTATTCAACTTTTGGATACAGGAAAATATCTGTTACAGATAGTCACAGTGTTACTTTCTTAGAACTGATCTGCCTTAAATTGAAATCAGTTCATTCTTAGCCTGATTTGATTTTTTTTCTAAGTGAAATGCACATTTATTTTGGAAAAGGCACAATGCAAATCCTGATCTTTATTGATTGTGTGGGAACTTATTACATGGCAGGTACTCTGCTGAGTACTTTTTAGACATGAAACCCATTTACTCTTCCTAGTCATCAGAGGGAGATTTTGTTGTTATCTCCCTCTAAAGATCACGGAACTTAGGCACAGAAAAGTAATTAGTCCAGGTTTGACGAATAAGTGACTAGTAGATGCTGAATTCAGATACTGGTAGTCTGGCTTCTAACTACTTCTCTAGTTAGATACTTCAAAAAAAGAGAAAGAAACAGCCTATATTTTATTTAACTCAGCAAAAAGTCCTTCTTATTTCATCATTTTGTTCTTACCCCTTTTTGTTTGAGTTTTAGATACTTTCTAGGCATATTCCTGCAAATATAATACCTATTAGGGGAACTCTGCATGATACTAATGATGCTCAATTTTTTTCTGTTGACAGGGGAGCCTTAGCATCATCAAATCTAAAATTCCAACATACTGCTCCATATGCTGTTGAAGAAGGGAGCCAACAAAAATTGTTTTTTCTACCTGTTGACGTGTCAAGCACTAACTGTGGGTACTCATTTATTTTATTCTTTTGTAAATCACAGCCACCATTCATTATTTACTAGGTTAAGATGAATAGACACTGAATCAAAGTTATTCATCAACAAAAAAGAACAGTTACTAATGGAAAGTTATTAAAATAAGTTCTATAAGAGTACAATTTTGAGGTTTATTTTTTGTATTTTTATTATTTGTGCGAAGAACCATTATTGAGTTTGCAAGATAAGATGTATTTGTATTTTCTAGTGTCTTTTTATTTATAACAACACTTTTTTGGCAATCAGTTTGTAGCTGTGCCCTTATTTTTATAGATAGTTTGCCATTTCTTGGGTTTAATGTTTAACAAGGCTATAGAAGTTTAAAATAGTGGACAAATGTTTGTGAATACACTTTTAAAAAATTGTTTTAAAAGAGAAAAGCGGTCTTGCTTTGTTGCCCAGACTGGAGTGCAGTGGCATAATCATAGCTCACCGCAAGCCTCAAATTTTTGTGCTCAGATGATCCTTTTCATCTCAGCCTCCTGATTAGCTGGGACTATAGGCGTGTGCCACCATGCCCAGCTAATTTTGAAATTTGCTTGTAGAGATGGGATCTCACTCTGTTGTCCAGGCTGGTCTCAGAATTCTGGTGAGTGATCCTCCCACAGTGGACTTCCAAAGTGCTGGGATTACAGGTGTGAGCCACCATGCCTGGCCCCATGAATACACTACTAATATTATTTGTAAATATGTATTTTATAATGTACAATGCTTGGAAAATTTTCAGAGTATTCTAGTTTAAAAAATTTTTTCTAATTCTGTAAATTCTATTACAAGTATGTTGTTTATTACAACTCATTACAACTACCTAAATTTTAGGTGTTAACTGTATTTAAGTAAATGTGTTATTTTTGCATTTCATAGCCAGAAAATACTGATGTTCACTTAAAGATATTCAGCAATTAAAATGTTAAAACTTGTACATGCATTCATTGATTTTGTTGTGCTTATGTTTAGCAATTTTTAAGAAGCTTTTAAAATATAATATAGACATAGTTCAGAATTTTGATGTAATAGAAGCAATTCCCTCTGGCTACAACAGCTGCCTGCCTGCTGGCCTTGCTTTTACCTGTTTTCATTGCATTGAGCACCATCCAGAGCTATCTGCCATCTAGAAAGTACTGTAAGATTTAATTAATTACAAAATTTCTTGGAAAAGACCTGTAACATAGACAGTAGAGTTATAAACATTTTATTTTGCTTTTATTTTTTCTTTTTGAAATACAAAATGTGCACATTGAGTTTACACAAACACGTGATGGCAAATTTCAGTGTACATGTATTGTACTACTCTTAATTTCTACACTGGTGATAGCAGGGCAGCTTTCAACATCCTATCTCTACACCAGAATAGATACCTGATTTATTGTTGCAAAGACAGTTGCAAATTTCCTCCTTCTGTAGCCTCTTGGTCTTTGTGATATTTCTACAAAACAGGGACGATGTGTGTGGCTTTAGTAATGTGGCAACTTTACAGTTTTGGCTAAGATGATTAAAAATAATCTGAATTATGATGAGCTAAATCATACTGTAATCTGGATTAGTTGTTGAGCACTTATTTTCTACTAAATCTTGGTAGTAGTTGTCAATGTAATGGAACCACTGGTGCTTTCAAAGTGAATTTTGCTTGCTAATTTTGCTTGCTGTTTGTTCTTAGTAGACAGTGGGGTAGTCAAGGTTTCTTTCTTTGTCCCTGAATGGCTTGTAATATAAATAAACATGCTGTAAGGAAGTCAGGGGAAAGAGGACAGATTTGGCCTTTAATGCTGTTAGGATTACTTGTTATTAAGCATTACTATATACTGGAGGATAGATATCCTGACCCTTTGCATATGTCTGTAAACATCCTTGTTTTGTTTGATGCCTTCTTCAACTTCCACTTAATGATTGATACTAATGATTGATACAATAGAAAACAGCCTGTAAGAAAGATTGAACAAATCCAAAATTATTATATAGGCCTTGGCTGTAACATATTATGGAAAATTAAATGCTTATTAAAATAAGTTTTATTAGGCATATGCTGATATCTGATAATAAACTAATTTTTAAATGTTTAATAATTTTTAAATGTTTAAAAATGCCAGATAAAACTAATTTCTAACAGAAGGTGGGAAGGCCATAGAAACTGGAACTATGTGTTTTTTTAATTGTTGTAATCTTGTTTCCTTAAAGTATATAAATGGAATTTAAATGGAATTACAGCATTCAAACATGAAAATTAATTTAATTTCTGGAAATTAAATGCAGATGTCACTATATTAGAAAACCATTCAAAATCCTAGGACTGAATACATACAAATGAGTAGCAAAAAACACTGATATTTTAAAATCACTGATATGTGAAAGCCTCAATAATCCCATGGCTAAGGAACCAATAAAACTATATGCCAGATTCTATTACTTTTGAATATTCACAGAGTATGAAATGAGTTAGACCATCCCCTGAACTCAGTGGCATTATGAAAAGGATGCAAATTTATAACTGAAAGCTCAAATCTTTTGGGGATTGCTTTATATTAAAACAAAGCTTGTTTGCATAATATGCTTCAGTGTCAAGCTGAGCAATCTATGCTAAAAGTGGTAGCTCCAACTTTAAGGGTGGTAGAATAGTTCACATTTGTCTGTTGGATTCAGGATCTATTTGACAAGTTAAATCACATTTTCAAAGAGCTGCATGGAGCGCATTATGTTTTCATCCTGTAAGGGAGAAACACAGAGCGATTAAATTCAGCATATCTGCAAGGAAAAGTACACTATTTTGCCCCTGAGTATTGCCTCCTCCCATCAACCACCTCAACCACCTATGCCAAAAGCTCAAATATTAAGTGTTTGCAAATGTAAATGCCATTCTATTCTATCCATTTTCCACATAGATGACTATGAAGGACCCATTTTATATTTTGTGGAGTCTATTGACCAGGCATTAAACCACTTTATTTAAATCTTTACTTGGTATTAATAGAGGATATTTCTCAAATCATAATGCCAAAATGGAAACTACAGAGGTGCAGAGGTGTGTCAAAGCAAATGAGAATTTTGGCATTCTATGTAGATCACAGGCCAAATCACACAGACTTTTATACAGGTACAAGGAAAATTTGTGTGTATGAGCCAGCAGTTCATGAAGATTGGAGGCTGGCGCATAGGAGGCAGGGTGGTGGATTAAGAGGTAACATGTTTGCAGTAATCATCTCTCTTTCTGTCTGCTAGTTATGGCTAAAGCTGCATGGCCTGAAGGAGCCTTTAAAAATGAATGGTCTCTCAATTACAGAGAAAGAATTGGGGAGCAGAAACCACTGCTCAGTGGCTGTGTTCAGTTTAGCATATTCTTTAGAAATGAGTTAGGGGACAGACTTTGGGCATTATTGGAGCACTTGTCAGTTGCATGTGAATAGCACTTACTGAGCTGTTTATGGTAGTGGTAAATGGTGGCTGAACCAATAATGGCTTCCACTGCTAGAAACCAAGTAACATCACCGTCAAGCAGCTTAATGTCACCAAATTAATTCTCTCAAAGACCACTGCATGGAAATCCAAGTTGAGAGACAAGCAGACATCCAGAAAAGTAAGAACAACAATTTAAAAATAAAGAGAAAAACTAAAGAAACAACGGATTTCTTTGTTTTCAGGATTATTTGAAAAATTCTTTTTTTCTTTTTTTAGTTTTGAGGCAGAGTCTATTTCTGTTGCCCATCATTCTGGAGTGCAGTGGCACAATCATGGCTCAACAGGGATCAAGTGATCTTCCTGCCTCAGCCTCCCAAGTAGCTGAGACTTCAGCCACGTGCCACCGTGCCCAGCTAACTTAATTTTTTTTTGTAGAGATAGATAGGGTCTTGCTATGTTGCCCACATTGGACTCAAAATCCTGGCCTTAAGTTATCTTCCCGCCTCAGCCTCCCATAGTGCTGGGATTACAGTTGTGAGCTACTGTACCAGGCCTTAACAATTTTTAACTGTGGTTCTGCCCACACATCAAGTCAAATAATTCTAAGTAAGCTAACACTGGTTTCTTTGATAACAGGCTACTACCTGGAGTTCTCTTCAGAGAAAATTTTCCACTGTTTATTTTTTGTGACTGAAGACCATTAGTGAGTTCAGTCAAAGAGCCATTTCTTGTCCACATACACTAAAACAATGACTTTTCTCTTAGAAATCAGATAGAAGCTTGGCCTGTTGTGATGCCATACTTGGCTATCTAGGAATTCTAATGCTGTGGAGATATGATAGATAATATATGAGTGATGCTAAGTTTTGGCAAAGAGCAATTCAAATCTCATGTATGTTTTATCCTCCATGAATACTCTCTAAGGAATTTGGGAATCAACACAGTACATGTACAACTTTTGTATCCCCAGGGTTTCCTCCATAGCCTGACTCAGTGGGCACTCTAAATGTTGATTATGTAATTGGTGCTTGTTTTCAGAGTGGTAGGCTTATGCTGCATGTTGTAGAAGTGGTAAACTTAGGCATATGATCTCTATATTTCGCCCAGTTCATGGTAGCTAGCTGCTAATACTCAGTTTAGCTGTTATGATAGCTGAATTGATAGTTATTACACTTTCATTACTTACTTTTTGGCAGCTTTCAATGAACTCATCTATGGTAACAACCCCATCTTTATTTTTGTCCATTTTCTGTTCAGGAAGAAAACAAAAATTGTATTTAGACTTATCCCTTAATACCCTCACACCTGGACCAAATGAGCTGAAGCTGATAAAAAGAAAACCTAGCTGCTTATTTATTTCACGTGGAGGAACTGTTTCAGAGCAGGAACCAGCAGTTTTTTAGAGATAAAAATGATAGGGCCAAATGCTTCTGGCTTTTCCCTTTTCAATATAATGTGGTGAAGATGTAGAGTCACTCTGTCCTAGGTAAAATCCCACCTTCTAGATGTGACAGAGCTTGCGCAATTTGCTGAAACTTTCAGAGCTTGCTTTTTGTCTCATCTGTAAAATGAGATTAATGAGGATTTATAGGATTCTTGTAAAAACTGAATGAAAACAAAACTTGTGAAACATGAGAACTGTTTAGTGTTGTATCTTGGATTTAGTGAATGTTCAATAAATGCAGTTATCAGCATTGTAAATTCAAAACCAAAGCTATTAAATTAATAGGATGCTAAATACTGTTTTGTTTCAGTAAAAATTATTTTCCTTTGCTCTCTTTTGAATCATCGTGGTGCATGGCAAACATCAGGAAATTTTCTCCTAACTTCATGCCCTCTTGACTTCTGTTTTAATTCCTACCTGAAAAAATGTTTCAACGTGTTGTCTGGGAGCATCTTCTTTGAGGACAGGATATGTACATTTACCCATCATATCGTATATTGCTTTCATTATATCAAGCATTTCCTGAAAAATAAAAGGCACTCACGTGAGGCTGCACACATGTATGAAGAAACCAGTCTAAGAAGCTCTGACAGATTTTTCCTACTCAATTTTAAATTTTTGACTTTTTGTTTGTTGGATTCTTTGTTAGACGACTGTTGGTTGTCCCAAAGGAAAAGGCAACAAACAGCTTTCTGCCTTAAGAGCAGAAGAATCAGAATTTAAGAATGAATTCTGATCTCTTGGTTTCAAAAGGAAGCAAATTTCCATGTATCTACCATAGTCAGGAAAAGAATATGCTGGCTTAATGTTTGGATTTCTATAGACTTTAAGTAGACTATGTTTATTTAATTGCATTATATATCTTATGTGTTGATCATCAGTTTCCATCTATTGAGAATCAAATATACGGCACATCGTATATTGAGAAAAAACACCATTTAGAATTAGTGAAATTAATTGGTAAGTCTTAAGGTTCATTAGGGTTTTTGTTGTATTTTTCCTACTGTGGCTTTAACTTAAGTCACATGTGAAGACTAGTCAAAAAATTTTGACCCTGGGAAACACCTTTAAATTTTGTTATTAACTTTTTCTCTAAAACAGTCTAATTTTTGCCTTACCACTTTCATTCTTATGAGAGTAAAAATAATCTCTAATAACTTAAACATTTAGATTTATTGTTGCACATTTGTTTCACGTGAAAGATCTCTCAATTAGGTTAATACAGAGCGAATATATATTTACTTTTAAGAGTATTCAATTATAAATGATAGAGTAATTTGTAAACAGGTGAAACCTTTTAAGATGTTTTAAGCATAGATAAGTAGCAAGTAGTTTGTTAGACACAGGCAGAATTCTTGAGATGTGTTAAACACAGAGGTAAGAATTGAAGAACAAGAGATATTTAAGGTATCCTAAGTATCTGGGTAATAAATATTCATGATATAAAAATATACAAGAAGCACTATTTAGGATATGCTCCATATACATGAACACAATAGCCATAAGGTCTTAATTTGGCACCCACTAGTGATACCTATTCTGGCCCCAGGTGTCCTCTGTGCAAGAAACACAAATGAAACCCATTACTACTTATCAGGCTATACTCGTGACCTGGCACACTTGCACCTGTGTCTCTCCAGTAGCGCAAGTTCATGTCATTTGCTGTTGGCCCTGGGCACCTTTTGTCTGTGGGGCCTCTTGCTCAAAACTCAATTCTGGGGAAGTCTCGTGAGGCAAAGAGAGACAGGACATAGGCACACTGAGAATGCCCAGGATTTAGGGAGTGGTCTTTCAACCCCATTTGCAGCCTGTCCTGCGTGGTTAACTTACTCCATCCCTTTCTTTACTTCTCGCTGTGTTTTAAATTGGTTTAATAAACTGTGTAATACGAGTATCTTAATTTGGTCTGTGAACCTTGTTTCCTGGATAGTCTGCCTCAACGTGCATTTGGAGACCCCACCATTGCGTCAGGTCATTCCACAATCCCCATGATTGTAAAATTTCATTTCCTTATGGATCACATGCTGTGGGGAAAAGAAAGGCTTCAGGCTAAATGTTGAAACATGGGTTGGATACATTTTCTTTCTATCTGATTCCAACCATGATCTTTATTCCATTCACAGTATTTATTAAGATGCCAGCAGGAAACAAGGGTGTAATCTTTATGTGTTATATATTTACTTTGGAGCTTCACCATAAACTACTTCTATCCCAAGTTTTTAATTGTACATCTTTCTTCCACTACATAAAATATTTTGGAATTTCCTCAAAAAAACTTTTCAAATTAATAATTGCAATTAATATTTTAAAGTTAAGAAATGAAAATGGTCCAAATTACTGTGATGTTGGTGAGGCATCCCTTACCTCTTTAGTGATGTAGCCATCTTTATTTATGTCATACAGATTAAATGCCCAATTGAGTTTTTCTTGTACTGTCCCCCGGAGCAAAATGGAAAGACCTTTGATGAAATCCTGAAAAGAAATAAAAATTCAATTTTATATGACATTTTTAAAAAAACAAAAACAAAAAAAACAAATGATGTAAGTAAGGGCTACAACCCTCTGGATCTTGAACATTTAGCAAAATGATTGATGTGTTATTGGTTGTCTAGTTTTCAGACTTCTCTGTGGGCATAAATCACTCCTTAGTCTTAACATTTTCATATTCTAATTGGAAACTGAGTTAAATCAATGGTCATACTGGAAATTGTACCAGTGCGTACCCACACAGCTAGAGGCTTGAGTATAAGTGGTATTGGCTTTCCACTGCAAGTGCACATGATTTACTAAAAGAATCTAATAATAGTTTTTTCAAAAAAATACAAGTGCACACATAACACACTTCAATGAAAAACCGTTTGCTAATAAGAAATGTGGCTGTCCATAAAAGATAAACCAATTGTGGTCTTTAATTAGAAATCCAGTTATAATTTACATGTGGACAGTGGGTAAGAGCATGGAACTGGAAAGGACAGACTGCCTGGATTCACCCTCCAGCTATATTACTGGATGGCTTTGTGTCTTCAGGCAACTTAACATCCCTTTGCCTCAATTTTCGTATCTGTAAAATGGAGCTAATAATAGTATCTACCTCTTCACAATTTTATGAGGATTAAAAAAGAGGCTGCTTATAACAGTCCTTGGCAATGACATTGGCTATGTAAGTTTTTGTTAAGTAAATGGAGCCCTCAGTTTGTATCCTGGTTAGATTGCATTGCAGACTGGCCAGATTAACTTGATTAAATTCATTTAGTGTTTTTTTTTTTGTTTTTTTTTTTTTTTTTGAGATGGAATCTCGCACTGTTGCCCAGGCTGGAGTGCAGTGGCACAATCTTGGCTCACTGCAACTTCCACCTCCCACCTCCCAGGTTCAAGCCATTCTTCTGCCTCAGCCTCCCGAGTAGCTGGGACTACAGGCACCCGCCACCATGCCTGACTAATTTTTGTATTTTTGGTAGAGATGGGGTTTCACCATGTTGGCCAGGTTGGTGTCGAACTCCTGACCTTGTGATCTGCCCACCGCCGCCTCTCAAAGTGCTGGGATTACAGGCGTGAGCCACCACGCCTGGCCAGATTTCTTGTTGTTATGTACAGCAGGGTTAACGTTACAATGTGCTGTATTCAGTTTATAATCCACTTTTAGGTAGGAATGAAAGCAGAGGGGAAATCCAAAAGTCTTCTGGGTGAATTTGCATTATATCTCCCTTTCTCACATTCCTTCCTTTTATAGCTGTATTTCTATCTGAATTTCTCAAAATGTTTTTTCTTTTTTAAATAAGTAACATCCATATAGTTCAACATTTAAAAATTGTGTAAGCTGCCTGGTGAAAAATCTTTCTTCCCTTCCTGGACCCAGCCACCTGTTCCTTTCACTCATAGACTACTGGCATAAATAGTTTGTATTTACTTCCAAGGAATTTTTGTGCATACACAAGTATAAGATATATTTGTTTTACTAGCTAACAGACTTCTATACTTTTTTTTCCACTTAAGCATAAATCAGGGAAACAATTTGAGTTTCCATTGTATATGTAAATACATCGTAGTTTATTTAACCAAATTGTTCTTTTACATTTTTTCTCATCATTATTTCTAGGTATTTTAATATTTCTGTTGCTGTTGTAAATGAGATATTTTTTTCTATCATATATTCTAAACTAGTTGTTTGTATGTATGAAAGCCATTGATTTCTGTATGATAATTTTATACCCTGTCAATTTGCTGACATACGTTGGTTTTCTTCTGGGTTTTCATGTGTGCAATATTAGCTGCAAATGGAATTAATTTTACCTTTTTTTCTAATTTTTATATGTTTACTTTTTTCTAATTATATGGCCTAATATATATAGAACAGTGTTACATAATGAAAATGATAATAGATATTCTTAGTTTTTTCTTGAACTTGAGAATATTTCAATTCGCTTTTAAGCATGATACTTACTTTTATCATGGTAAAGAATTATACAACCCTTCCACTTAAGCAAATTTATCAAGAATGGCCACAGACCTTTTTTAGCAAAAATGAAAAAGACAAAAACAGAAATAATTGTCAAATTCATATTGCAAGGGACCCTGAATAGCCCAGTCAATTTTAAGAAAGAAAAACAAACTTGGAGGACTCACACTGCCCAATATCAAAACTTAGTACAAAGTTACATTAATCAAAACAGTGTGGTACTGGCATAAAGACAGATATATAGAACAGTAGAATAGAATTGAGTCTAGATATAAACCAGCTGTCTGTGGCCAATTGATTTTCGATAATGGTGCCAAGACCATTCAATAGCTATGGAAAGAATAATCTCAATATATGGTGCTGTGGCAACTGGATCACCATACTTAGTTTGCTTCCCATTGGCATGAAGGGTAGAATGTCAAGTGAGAGAAAAACAAGATTCCAGAGAAAGCCACAAGGAATTCCAATATTTGGCAGGTACAGAGAGGAGAAGCTGGCAAAGCATCTTGAAAAGAAGTTGCTAAAGAAGTGAGTCAGGAGAACAGAGCATTTCCCTAGGAAAGGATTGTTCATTTTGCTCCAAGGTTGGAAAAATGTTCACTGGACCAGCAACATGGAGGTCACCAGCAAGTGATAGGGAACGGTCCAGTGGAGTAGGAGTGAAGAGTAATTTTTAATGAGGAGCACTTTGAATACTGAAGAGAAGAATCTAAAAAGAGTAAGAGTCAGAAATGGGCTGTGCTCTTGAGAAGGTGGGGAGGATCCAGAACATGGGTAGATGGGCCGATCTGAGAAGGGAGTTGATACATGAGACAGAAGAACATGGTGTGGATGCCAGCAGCTGCTTTGCAGGTGGGAAGATGACTGTGTTTCTGTCCGATAGCTTTAGTGAGTGTGAGCTGTTTGAGAGTGAGGAGCCTGGTAGAAGAGGTAAGAATCTGAGGTTTGAGGAGAGAGGCAGAAGCTCTGATACTAAGCAGTAAGATGACATGCAAATTAGAGAAAGGGAGACCTCCCTCAAATTATTTCCCTGCCATATTTTAGAAAATTATTTATGACATAGAATGTAGTTTAGTTAAAAGGTAATGACAGCCCTTGGAGGTATGAGTGTACATCTTGCACAACCAGCAGGCTGGGGATCATGGCTCATGCCTGTAATCCCAGCACTTTGGGTGGTGGAGGTGGGAAGGTTGTTTGAGTCCAAGAGTTTGCAAGCAGCCTGAGCAACGCAGCCAGATCCAAATTAACAGCAAGAAAAACAAATTAACTGGGTATGGTGGTGCACACCTGTTGTCCCAGCTACCTGGGAGGCTGAGATGGGAATCACTTGAGCCCAGAAGGTCGAGGCTACAGTGAACTATGATTGCACCACTGTGCTTCAGCCTGGATGACAGACCAAGACTCTGTCTCAAAAAAAAAAAAAAAATCCTTAGCTTTTTCAGAAGGCATAAAATATACATTGCAGAACATAGAGCCTTATTCAAGGAAGATTGCTGAGCAGTTTTGAAAGGCTAGATGAGATTGATTGTTATCAATGTAAACGATATTTTTAAAAATTCACAGCGTAGTAATAATATGTCATTAATTGTAAGGGGAGCTGGCCACAGGGTCTTTGAAAACATGCTTAGAGTATTGGTTCTCAAAATATAATGTGCAACACAGTCACCTGGGGAGTGTGCCAAAAGATTTATGGGACCTACTCCAAGAATTATGATTCATTAGGTTGAAGTGGGACCCCAAAATTTACATGTCTGACACATTCCAAGGGGAAGCCTGTACTGCTTCCAGGGATCACACTTTGAGAATCACTGGCCTACAGCACTCATCACTGGCATTGACCTCACCACCACACAAAACAGCAGAGAAACAATGAAAGATTTAAAGATAGCACTTTTGGGGAATCCCCCCAAGATGGCTACATAGGAACAGCTCCAGTCTACAGCTCCCAGCATGAGCAACGCAGAAGATGGGTGATTTCTGCATTTCCAACTGAGGTACCAGGTTCATCTAAACTGGGACTTGTTGGACAGTGGATGCAGCCCACAGAGTGTGAGCCGAAGCAGGGTGGGGCATCGCCTCACCCAGGAAGCGCAAGGGGTTGGGGAATTCCCTTTCCTAGCCAAGGGAAGCTGTGACAGATGGTACCTGGAGAATCAGGACACTTCCTGCCAATATTGTGCTTTTCCAACAGTCTTAGCAAACGGCACACCAGGAGATTATATACTGCACCTGGCTCAGAGTGGCCCACACCCACAGAGCCTTGCTCACTGCTATCACAGAAGTCCGAGATCGAACTGCAAGGCAACAGTGAGGCTGAGGGAGGGGCGTCCACCATTGCTGAGACTTGACTAGGTAAAGCAGCCAGGAAGCTCAAACTAGGTGGAGCCCACTGCAGCTCAAGGAGGCCTGCCTGCCTCTGTAGATGCCACCTCTGGGGGCAGGTCATAGCTGAACAAAAGGCAGCAGAAACTTCTGCAGACTTAAACATCCCTGTCTGACAGCTTTGAAGAGAGTAGTTCTCCCAGCATGGAGTTTGAGATCTGAGAACAGACAGACTGCCTCCTCAAGTGGGTCCCTGACCCCCGAGTAGCATAACTGGGAAACACCTCCTAGTAGGGGCAGACTGACACCTCATACAGCCAGGTGCCCCTCTAAGACAAAGCTTCCAGAGGAAGGATCAGGCAGCAACATGTGCTGTTCTGTAGCCTCTGCTGGTGATAACCAGGCAAACAGGGTCTGGAGTGGACCTCCAGCAAACTCCAACAGACCTGCAGCTGAGGGTCCTGACTGTTAGAAGGAAAACTGACAAACAGAAGGGAATAGCATCAACATCAACAAAAAGGACATCCACACCAAAACCCCATCTTTAGGTCACCATCATCAAAGACCAAAGGTAGATAAAACCAGAAAGATGGAGAGAAACCAGAGCAGAAAAGCTGAAAAGTGTAAAAATCAGAGAACCTCTTCTCCAAAGGAACGCACCTCCTCGCCAGCAATGGAACAAAGCTGGATGGAGAATGACTTTGATGAGCTGACAGAAGTAGGCTTCAAAAGATCAGTAATAACAAACTTCTCCGAACTAAAGGAAGATGTTCGAACCCATCACAAAGAAGCTAAAAACCTTGAGAAAAGATTAGACGAATGGCTGACTAGAATAAACAGCGTAGAGAAGACCTTAAATGACCTGACGGAGCTGAAAACCATGGCACAAGAACTATCTGATGCATTCACAAGCTTCAGTAGCCATTTTGATCAAGTGGAAGAAAGGGTATCAGTGATTGAAGATCAAGTGAATGAAATGAAGCGAGAAGAGAAGTATAGAGAAAAATGAGTTAAACAAAGCCTCCAGGAAATATGGGACTATGTGAAAAGGCCAAATCTACGTCTGATTGGTGTACCTGAAAGTGACGGGGAGAATTGAACCAAGTTGGAAAACACCCTTCAGGATATTATCCAGGAGAACTTGCGCAACCTAGCAAGTCAGGCCAACATTCAAATTCAGGAAATACAGAGAATGCCACCAAGATACTCCTTAAGAGCAATTCCAAGACACATAAATTGTCAGATTCACCAAAGTTGAAATGAAGGAAAGAAAGTTAAGGGCAGCCAGGGAGGTCGGGTTACCCACAAAGGGAAGCCCATCAGACTAACAGCGGAACTCTCGGCAGAAACTTTACAAGCCAGAAGAGAGTGGGGGCCAATATTCAACACTCTTACAGAATTTTCAACCCAGAATTTCATAACCAGCCAAACTAAGCTTCATAAGTGAAGGAGAAATAAAATCCTTTACAGACAAGCAAATGCTGAGAGATTTTGTCACCGCCAGGCCTGCCTTACAAGAGCTTCTGAAGGAAGCACTAAACATAGAAAGGAACAACTGATACCAGCCACTGCAAAAACATGCCAAATTGTAAAGACCATCAAGGCTAGGAAGAAACTGCATCAACTAATGAGCAAAATAACCAGCTAACATCATAATGACAGGATCAAATTCACACATAACAATATTAACCTTAAATGTAAATGGGCTAAACGCACCAATTAAAAGACACAAACTGGCAAATAGGATTGTCAAGATCCATCAGTGTGCTGTATTCAGGAGACCCATCTCGCCTGCAGAGACAAACATAGGCTCAAAATAAAGGGATGGAGGAAGATCTACCAAGCAAATGGAAAACAAAAAAAAAGCAGGGGTTGCAATCCTAGTCTCTGATAAAACAGACATTAAACCAACAAAGATCAAAACAGACAAAGAAGGCTATTACATAATGGTAAAGGGATCAATTCAACAAGAAGAGCTAACTATCCTAAATATATATGCACCAATACAGGAGCACCCAGATTCATAAAACAAGTCCTTAGAGATCTACAAAGAGACTTAGACTCCCACACAATAATAATGGGAGGCTTTAACACCCCACTGTCAGCATTACACAGATCAATGAGACAGAAAGTTAACAAGGATATCCAGGACTTGAACTCAGCTCTGCAGCAAGCGGACCTAATAGACATCTACAGAACTCTCCACCCCAAATCAACAGAATATAGATTCTTCTCAGCACTACGTCACACTTATTCCAAAATTGACCACATAGTTGGAAGTAAAGCACTCCTCAGCAAATGTAAAAGAACAGAAATTATAACAAACTGTCTCTCAGACTACAATGCAATCAAATTAAAACTCAAGATTGAAACTCACTCAAAACTGCACAACTACTTGGAAACTGAACAACCTGCTCCTGAATGACCACTGGGTAGATAATGAAATGAAGGCAGAAATAAAGATGTTCTTTGAAACCAATGAGAACAAAGACACAACGTACCAGAATCTCTGGGACACATTTAAAGCAGTGTGTAGAGGGAAATTTATAGCACTCAAAGCCCACAAGAGAAAGCAGGAAAGATCTAAAATCAACACCCTAACATCACAATTAAAAGAAGTAGAGAAGCAAGAGCAAACACATTCAAAAGCTAGCAGAAGGCAAGAAATAACTAAGAGCAGAGCAGAACTGAAGGAGACAGAGACACAAAAAACCCTTCAAAAAATCAATGAATCCAGGAGCTGGTGTTTTGAAAAGATCAACAAAATTGATAGACTGCTAGCAAGGCTAATAAAGAAGAAAAGAGAGAAGAATCAAATAGATGCAATAAAAAATGATAAAGGGGATATCACCACTGATCCCACAGAAATACAAACTACCATCAGAGAATACGATGAACACCTCTATGCGAATAAACTAGAAAATCTAGAAGAATGGATAAATTCCTGGACACATACACCCTCCCAAGACTAAACCAGGAAGAAGTTGAATCCCTGAATAGACCAATAACAGGCTCTGAAATTGAGGCAATAATTAATAGCCTGCCAACCAAAAAAAAGTCCAGGACCAGATGGATTCACAGCTGAATTCTACCAGAGGTACAAAGAGGAGCTGGTACCATTTCTTCTGAAAATATTCCAATCAACAGAAAAAGAGGGAATCCTCCCTAACTCATTTTATGAGGCCAGCATCATCCTGATACCAAAGCCTAGCAGAGATACAACAAAAAAGAATTTTAGACCAATATCCCTGCTGAACATCGATGCAAAAATCCTCAATAAAATATTAGCAAACCGAATCCAGCAGCACATCAAAAAGCTTATCCACCACTATCATTTTGGCTTCATCCCTGGGATGCAAGGCTGGTTCAACATACACAAATCAATAAATGTAATCCATCATATAAACAAAACCAAAGACAAAAACCACATGATTATCTCAACAGACACAGAAGAGGCCTTTGACAATATTCAGCAGCCCTTCATGCTAAAAACTCTCAATAAACTAGGTATTAATGGGACGTATCTCAAAATAAGAGCTATTTATGGCAAACCCACAGCCAATATCATACTGAATGGGCAAAAACTGGACTCATTCCCTTTGAAAACTGGCACAAGACAGGGATGCCCTCTCTCACCACTCCTATTCAACATAGTGTTGGAAGTTCTGGCCAGGGCAATCAGGCAGGAGAAGGAAATAAAGGGTATTCAATTAGGGAAAGAAGAAGTCAAATTTTCCCTGTTTGCGGATGACATGATTGTATATTTAGAAAACCCTGTCGTCTCAGCCCAAAATCTCCTTAAACTGATAAGCAACTTAAGCGAAGTCTCAGGGTACAAAAATCAATGTGCAAAAATCACAGGCATTCCTATACACCAATAATAGACAAACAGAGCCAAATCATGAGTGAACTCCCATTCACAATTGCTTCAAAGATAATAAAATACCTAGGAATCCAACTTATATGGGATGTGAAGGACCCTTATAAGGGTGTGAAGGACCCTTATAAGGGTGTGAAGGACCCTTATAAGTTCACCCTTATGTGAACTACGAACCACTGCTCAATGAAATAAAAGAGGACACAAACAAATGGAAGAACATTCCATGTTCATGGATAGGAAGAATCCATATCGTGAACATGGCCATACTGCCCAAGGTGTAATTTATAGATTCAGTGCCATCCCCATCAAGCTACCAATGACTTTCTTCACAAAATTGGAAAAAACTACTTTAAAGTTCATATGGAACCAAAACAGAGCCCACATTGCCAAGTCAATCCTAAGCCAAAAGAACAAAGCTGGAGACATCATGCTGCCTGACTTCAAACTATACTACAAGGCTACAGTAACCAAAACAGCATGGTACTGGTACCAAAACAGAGATATAGACCAATGGAACAGAACAGAGCCCTCGGAAATAATACCACACATCTACAACCATCTGATCTTTGACAAACCTGACAGAAACAAGCAATGGGGAAAGGATTCCCTATTTAATAAATGGTGCTGGGAAAACTGGCTAGCCATATGTAGAAAGCTGAAACTGGATCCCTTCCTTACACTTTATACAAAAATTAATTCAAGATGGATTAAAGACTTAAACATTAGACCTAAAACCATAAAAACCCTAGAAGAAAACCTAGGCAATACCATTCAGGACATAGGCATGGGCAAGGACTTCATGTCTAAAACACCAAAAGCAATGGCAACAAAAGCCAAAATTGACAAATGGGATCTAATTAAACTAAGGAACTTCTGCACAGCAAAAGAAACTACCATCAGAGTGAACAGGCAACCTACAAAATGGGAGAAAATTTTCGCAACCTACTCATCTGACAAAGGGCTAATATCCAGAATCTACAAAGAAATTAAATTTACAAGAAAAAAAAAAACCCTTCAAAAAGTGGGCAAAGGATATGAACAGACTCTTCTCAAAAGAAGACATTTATGCAGCCACCAGACACATGAAAAAATGCTCATCATCACTGGCCATCAGAGAAATGCAAATCAAAACCACAATGAGATACCATCTCACACCAGTTAGAATGACAATCATTAAGAAGTCAGGAAACAACAGATGCTGGAGAGGATGTGGAGAAATAGGAACACTTTTGCACTGTTGGTGGGACTGTAAACTAGTTCAACCATTGTGGAAGACTGGTGACTCCTCAAGGAGCTAGAACTAGAAATACCATTTGACCCAGCAATCCCATTACTGGGTATACACCCAAAGGATTATAAATCATGCTGCTTTAAAGACACATGCACATGTATGTTTATTGCGGCACTATTCACAGTAGCAAAGACTTGGTACCAACCCAAATGTCCATCAATGATAGACTGGATTAAGAAAATGTGGCACATATACTGGATTAAGAAAATATGGCACTATACAGCCATAAAAAGGATGAGTTCATGTCCTTTGTAGGGACATGGATGAAGCTGGAAACCATCACTCTCAGCAAACTATCGCAAGGACAGAAAACCAAACACCGCATGTTCTCACTCATAGGTGGGAATTGAAAAATGAGAACACTTGGACATAGGATGGAGAACATCACACACGGGGGCCTGATGAGGGGTCAGGGGGATGGGGGAGGGATAGCATTAGGAGAAATAAATAATGTAAATGACGTGTTAATGGGTGCAGCACACCAACATGGCACATGTATACATATGTAACAAACCTGCACATTTTGCACATGTACCCTAGAACTTAAAGAATAATAATAATAAAAATATAAAATAAAAATAAAGATAGCACGTTTAAGTCAAGTGTGGACTTGTGTTGTTTGCCTCCCTAGCCCTAGTAGGTCCCAAATTTCCATTTGGTGCTCCATGATGTTCTGTGGAAGTTCACTTCATCTCTGAGTCTAGTGATAGAGCCATGACCTGGGCGAAGTCAGGAAGCACATTTTATCCCTTTGGCCGGACAACTGGATTTGTGGTTGCCATTTGACTAAACCTAGTCCAGGTCTAAGAATGACTCCCCAGACTCAGACTCTTGCTAGGAATGGTAGGACAGAGATGTGCTTCTTTCCTTGCTCAACAGGAGCAATGAATCATGGAGCCAAGGAGCTTTGGCCTCTTCTTGCAGCCCTACAGGGTCCCACCCTTAGGTTGTAGCCAGCCCCATCTCTGGCCTTTTTGTTGCTGTGAACCAATGAAATTACCATTTTTTTTTGTCACTTGGTGTATCCTTTTCTAGTATTTGTGAACAAAAGTATCCTGATTCACATGGTGACATCTAATTCACATCTTCTTGAATACTGTATATCCTGAAACAATTTACATTAAAAGATAGCTATGGTCTTAGAGCACCTCTCTCTTTTTATCCTGTGGGATGATATCAGTAAAGAGTTACTCAAAACAGGAATGATATCTTTTCGTGCAAAAGAAAAATGAGAAACTTAATGTGGCTTATAAGACTTTTGCTCCGTGCTTTTCTGAGTTGTAATTGAAGTCTCAAGTAGGAAGTGACAAACTTAACAACAACTCTCAATGAGTACTTTGCACAATTACTTTACTTGTAAATGTGAAAGGAGGTTATATCTGTTCCCTAAAGTACAAAAAATGATAAAGGGGTGGAGAGGTCTGTACCGAATTCTGGTTTCCATTCTCTTATTATCAAGGCAAAAGGAGAAAGACATAGAGATTTGACTTTATAATAGCCTAGACTTGTTCAGTTGTGGATTCTGTTCATCTGCCAAACCTTTAATGAGTGCCTCAGTGCTGGCCACTATGCTGGGGACAATCCTCCTGACTCCCCTGACTCCCTGCCAATCAAAGACTGCTATGGCTTAGAATGATGCATTTGCATGTAGTTGCCTTACTGGGTAATGAGATGACCAATGTCATTATTAACTGGCTTTGTTAGAAAAATTCCCCCAACTAGTGTAAATTAGTTCAACCATTGTGGAAGACTGTGGCGATTCCTCAAGGATCTAGAACTAGAAATACCATTTGACACAGCCATCCCATTACTGGGTATATACCTAAAGGATTATAAATCATTCTACTATAAAGACACATACACATGTATATGTATTGCAGCACTATTCACAATAGCAAAGACTTGGAACCAACCCAAATGTCCATCAATAATACACTGGATAAAGAAAACGTGGCACATATACACCATGGAATACTATGCAGCCATAAAAAAGGATGAGTTCATGTCCTTTGTGGGGAATGAAGCTGGAAACCGTCATTCTCAGCAAACTATCATGAGAACAGTAAACCAAACATTGCATGTTCTCACTCATAGCTGGGAATTGAACAATGAGAACACACGGACATAGGAAGGGGAACATCACACACCAGGGCATGTCGGAGGGTGGGGGGCTAGGGGAGGGATAATATTAGCAGAAATACCTAATGTAGGTGATGAGTTGATGGGTGCAGCAAACCACCATGGCACGTGTATACCTATGTGACAAAAATGCACACTCTGCACATGTATCCCAGAACTTAAAGTATAATTAAAAAAAAAATCCCCCAACTGATAACTGCTATAGTTAACATCTAATAACTACTGAGCACATATTTGGTGCCAGACACAGAGCCAAGCCCTTTACTGACATTATGACTTTTTCATTTTTACATTATCTTATTAAGTAGCTTTGATTGCTGATGTTTTAGCAGTATGAATGCTAAGGTTAAGAAGGTTAAGTACTCAGCCTAGGGTCTCAGAGCCGCTGGGTGGCAAAATGGAGATTAGATCCCATCATACCAAATCCAGGGCCCCTCCTATCATATTTCTTCTGCCTTTCAGGTTTAAGCAAATTAAGTGGAAAACTCCCATTACCCTTTATCGTAGAATCAGATGGTCTCTCTACTGTACCTCTCAGTATGCTATTGCTATTATTCAAAATGTGTTCATTCCCTAACCATTTCTATTTTCTAGAGATTTCCCAGGTAGCTAATCAATTTAGAAAAGTAACTGCAACAGCCTAGTTTTAAATTTGATTTTCATTCAAACTTTATTAATTTAGCCATTAGTTTTCATTTAAAAGGAAAGGCATTTTACCAACATGCATATCATATATAATCATTACAACTAATTTCCCAAATTATAATCAACGTTCATTGCAATTACTGGTATTTTACATAAATATTATAAAAGCAATGTTATGCATGGTTCCATATCATTAACACCATACTAAATTTACATATAAAATTGGATATAATGTGCCCTAGGAAATTGGTGGTATATTTCTGACACATAAGTAATTTCAAGTAATGGAGTCACTAATAGTTTTTGCCTTACTCATCCTCTGGAAGCCAGCTATAAAAGTTTATATTAGGTGAACTATATTAGGTAAAACCTTTGGCTTCTATATTATAGATAAATTAAGACTGTGCTGGAATTAAACTTGTTTCTAAAGTGAAGCAAACACAAACACAACATTATCATGAAATGACCAAAGTTACTATCATGGAGTGACCTAAGCTGCCATTAGCAAAAGAAACATTGTGGAGACTGGTACCCAGGATAGTCTTCCCCCAACCATCTCCTCTCCCTCCACTAACTGCTTCTACACCCAGGATAAACCTGCCTGCCCCATCTTGACTTAGTTCATTCCCTCACCTTAGTTCATTCCTTCTCCACTCTCAGCTTTTATTTTTCTCTTCTCAGTGCTATTTCTCACTTAAGTTATGGGAGATGACCTTTTGGGATTCCTGGCCCAGAATCTTCGCAGTTGTGGTACCCAGTCTGCATGAGCATGGAGTATGTGTGAGGAGGCTCTTGCCTGCCCTGTTCATCCTGCCCCTGTGGTGACTGGCTGGATGACATTGCAGAAAGCTGCACCCTATTTTTTTCATCTTGACTCCACAAAGCCATTTCACCCAGATAGCTGCCTACGCCCATATGAACTTTTCTTTTAAACATGACAGTTCTGTTGGAATACAATTCTACCAATTTTGTTTTAATTTCTTTTGAATTTGTTTCATGCTTCACCTCCAATACCTTTACTGGAGTTCAGGCTTTTATCAGACCCTGTCTGCACTCTTGCAATACTTAGCTGCTAATTACACTCCATGTTTCCAGGAATATAGCTCTGATAAATTCACATCCCTGCCAAAAATTCTACAAAGGCTCCTCATCTCCTACAAGATAGTCCAATCTCCTGCCTAAGACATGTCAACTTCTGGCCTCTATCTCCTTCCCCAACCTTCGCTCTTGGCTCTCCAATTGTGTATTCTATCTTCTTGATGATTTACACGTTTCCCTTGGTTCCCAGGCCTGATATACTCTGTCCAGCCTCTGCCCCACTCTCCATTGCTTCCCATCCCATTCCAAGCCTTTGTTCTCTTAAGGAGCTCCTGACTGTCCTTTAGACAGTCCATCAGTTGCACTGAGCAGGCTTCCCTGCTACAGCCCCTTTTGTGCCAGTACCATTTCCTTGCTGGCCTCATTCATCATCTGCTTCCCTTTATCAGAGCTCTCATCAAAATTTCTGCTCATATTTAAGATGCATCCTTCCTCACTTCCAAAAATAAATGCACCTTCCAAATTTTATATATATATATATATATATATATATATATATATATATATATATTCCATAAGTAAATATAAATGTATATATGGAAAAGAGAAACTGGAATCACAAAGCAAAATATGTATAATGCTACTTCTGAGACCAAGCACAACCCAATCAGAATGTAACAAATAAATGAGGTATACATTTCTCACATATTTTCCCTAACAAAAATAAAAGCCTTCACAGCTGATCAGAGTTCATGTTGGGTTTATTCTCCTAATGTTTAAATCAATATACTACAATTTATGATCTGCTATTTACCATTTGAATCATATGAATTACGTGTGTGTGTGTATGTGTGTGTGTGTATATATATATATATATATATATGAAATACATATATAAGCTATGTAAATATCTAGGACATTTTATTTTACTAGGTGTTTATACACAGTAGTTCATGAAGGAAATTAAATACTTTCTAGCTGGGCGTGGTGGCACGGGCCTGTAATCCCAGCTACTCAGGAGGCTGAGACAGGAGAATCACTTGAACCTGGGAGGCAGAGGTTGCAGTGAGCTGAGATTGTGCCACTGCACTCCAGCCTTTATGACAGAGCGAGACTCTTTCAAAAAAAAAAAAAAAAATACGTTCTCTACAGATCACTTAAAGTTTGTAATTTAAAAAGAGATTTCCTCGTAGAATTGTCAGGCTGGTGAATGTAGTCTTTTTCTACATTTAATTTCTTGCCTGTGTGCCCCACTTACTGAGACTTCCATAACAGGACTTTTGACTTTATCATCTTTGTATTTCCAAGGTCTACCACAGCAACTGGCCCATAAGGAGGTGTCAGTAACTGTTAGTTAACTCATTTGCCTTCCAGGACTTTTCACATGTAATTGAAGAAGTGGACTCTCCTTGTATGAGCCGATATAAAGCATTAGAAAATAAACTGAATGTGGCTTGCAATTTGTACATCTTTTGAAAGATAATTTTTGGCAATTACATGAGAGAAAGGGAGTGTCCTTGGGCTTTCTTTCCCCTGAGCAAAAATAATCATCACCAAACTCACATTTTCCCCCTAAAAAGACTAAACTCTAAATAGTCAAATGATATGAAAATAATCCAGAGCTTACCTCGAAACTCACAGCTCCATTGTGGTCTGTATCAAATGCATTGAACAGAAAATGTGCATATGTTGTAGAGTCTGAAATGGTAAAAAGGGAGTATCATTAAGTCAGTGTTTCCATATCCTACATAAGACTTGGATAGCAGTCCAAGCTTCCTTTGATCCAGAAGAATTAACTCTGCCTCCTTTAGTTTGTGCTTTCTTCACAACTGCTTACCCTCTTTCTGTAGAGGACTAGAGTTTGAGATTCACAGGAAGAAGCAACCTACATAGAGGCCATTGGTGACAAACATTCTCTATGAGTTTCTGGCTGGCAATGCTGTAGTCTTGGGTGATGAGATTAACACTGGGACAAGAAATGGTCCCATAGGTGGATGTGAAGATTGAGACTTGTCTGGAATTTGCTTAGTGTTTGGAAGAGACCATCTCTAGAAGTAAAGTACTAAAAATACTACCAATGAGACAGAGATGAGTTGCTATTATTAGTGTCTCTGTCATTATTAGAACTTTCATCATTGTTACAACTCAGAAAATGATATTGGGAATTAGAGAAGGTGAAAAACATACCCAAAGTCACACAGTGAAGAAGGAGTAAATCTGGGACATGAACTTAGGTCTTTCTGACTCTGAGAACCAGGCTAGCCCTCAGCCAGTACCAGGCTAGCCCACAGGCAGTAAAGTTGGCTGATGGATTGGGGTCATTGGTGACTTGGGAAGTTTCTGTGGCTGTGTTGGAAGGGGACTGGGTGGTCCTACATGTTCCTAGTTGTATGAAGTTGCATGAAGTAGGGAGCCCCTACTCTGTCTGGGTCCTGGGTGGGATTCAAGGATCTGGGTAATGATGGACAGGTATGTCTTCTGAAGTCTAACAGGTGTTCTTAGTTTGCTTCTATTGGGTATTCTTCCCCTCTCATTTTTCCTTCCTTCCTTTCCTGTTTCTCCGTTGTCTCCTTAATCTCTGGGCTTTCTGCCATTTCATTTAAAAGTCTGTATTTTTTCCTTATTGTTTTCTGTTCTGAGTGCCTAGCTTTCATTCCTTAGGGTTTCTTTGCTTGACCCTTGATAAAATTTACATTATTATTTTCAGTGTTGCATCTCATGGGCTTTAGCCTTTTATCTTAACCTTTTTTGTCTTTTCAAAATAAAATGGTAACCTTTTAGCTCATTGGCTCTAGCCTTTTATCTTCTGTTTTAAATCTCATCTATTTCTATTTTATAACTTTTAACCTTTATTGGGTTTTAACTTATCATTGATTTAATTTTTACTTTATGAATTGCTTTTTATAGGCTGTCAAGAAGCTAAGTCATAGTAACAGGAGTACAGAATTGCCCTCTGAGGAGGCCATCTAAATTTCTCTCCTGGCTCTCAGGGCTCACGGCCTCCTTACAGGTTGTTTTTCCCGAATGCTTCAGTGTAGTAATTAACACTACTGAAGGCTATACATTTCATGAGGTAGACTGTACACTCAATTTCTCAAAATGACAGTGGCATCTTCGCTCATCTCTCACCTTTTTAATATGCTATGAAGAACTACTTATCTTTGAACACAGGAATTACCAGCACCGTTTTCAGTGAACTAACCAAGAACCAAAATTGGGTCTAAATAACATGTAACACTGTGACATCTAGAGTGGATATCCATCCAGTATTGATACATTGCAGGAAGAAATTCTTTTGCATATGGAGCCAGGAGTTTAATTACCATAAACTTAGTTCTGTTGTTGGGAAGCTCCATTATAGAGTTATCAAGAATTGGCAGCCTATTTCAACTTGCAAAGTTGTTTTACTCTCAGCAGTACTTTTTCATGTACTTCTTGAACTATATAGTGCCCTCTGGAGATGTGAATTGATCGATGGTGTGTTGAACTGATTTTCAGAGGAGGAAAAAAAAAAGAGATTTTGCATATTTTATAATGAGCTTCATTAAGCAAGTCTCTAGTTACCCTGTTTTCACAATCAGAGTAAATGCCTTTACCTTAGCAAGCAGTACTCACCATAAATAATGGCTCAAAACAACGATGTTTGCTATTTTTTTAATCAAAAAGAAAAAAGATAACATGGGTATATGATAATTACTATTCTTCTCAAATGGAGTTTTTCTAGCTTAAAGCTTGATATGTGGGAATTATGCTTTCAAGGTTTACACTAATGTGGTACAGAGGACATCCTGTTCTTCTAAATGTGCCTCTGCAGTTCTTTTAGAAGTTACAGCGGCTTCCCAGTCTAGACAATCTATGCACAGAGGTTTTGATAATAGCATAGTGGAGTCAGACTGCCTGAATTTCAATCTCAGCTTCACCAGAGATTAACTGCATGACCTCAAGCAAGTTGTTTTACCTTTGTGTGGCTCAGTTTCCTCATCTACAAAATGATAACAATATCAGTATGTACTTCATAGAGTTTTTTTTTTTTTTTTTTTTGAGACAAAGTACTGCTCTTGTCCCCCAGGCTGGAGTGCAATGGCACGATCTCGGGTCACTGCAGCCTCCACCTCCTGGGTTCAAGCGATTCTCCTGCCTCAGCCTCCTGAGTAGCTGGGATTACAGGCACCTGCCACCATGCCCGGCGAATTTTTGTATGTTTAGTAGAGACAGGGTTTCATCACGTTGGCCAGACTGGTCTCGAACTCCTGACAGCAGGTGATCAGCCTGCCTCAGCCTCCCAAAGTGCTGGGATTACAGGTGTGAGCCACCATGCCCAGCCTTCATAGAGATCTTACTAAGTTTAAATGAGACACTATTTGCAAAGTGTTTAGAAATAATCCTATATACTTATTAAAATTTCAGTAAATATTAGCTATTATTATTTCCTAGGCAAGCCACTTTTATTTCAACTACCTTAAACACATGTGATCAAATCTTTTACAAACGTAACATCTTTTCACCTTAAATAACTTGCTGTTTTTGTAGGATTTCTGTTGTGTGTCTAGGTGACGAGTTCTAATTTAATGCAATTTTCTGCTCAATAAAAGACAAGATAATTATGTCCTAAAAATCAATGGTCCTTCTGATGGAGTTTGGATTTCTTCTGGCAAGCACTTGAAGACAGTGGAAAGTTTTAAAGAAGAGGAGTGAAGCCACTGGCTTTGACTGGGTGAGAGAAAGAAGCAAAGGCAAAGGAATGTCCAGCTAGGCAGAAAACTGGATAAAATGACGAAAAGAGAAACTGTCTACAAAAGCATCTATGGTTCTGGTTTTACTCAACTGTGTTCTTAAGCACTCAATAAATATTTGTTAAAAGAGTGATTAACTGACTTCTTGGAATCTAGATTTCAGTACAGTCCAGGGCTTAAAAGATATAACAATGATCTCCCTTCTCCGTCTATGACCTCTTCGTGATCACATTCCTTTACATAACAAAAATAGTTACTGAGTTTGTTAAGCTGGGATTGCCTCAGTTTCTTATAATTTTACTTGTGAAGCTGAAAAATAAATGTTGAGATTTTATAGTTGAGCAACAAAATTTACAGATTCTTAGGGTGGGAAGACATTTTGGATACTATTTAGCATTGTATTTACATTGAACAAAGGTAAAAATAGGGACTTGTAGTGACATACTGAGGTCACCTAGTTAGTTCATGGTAAAGTTGGCAATGGAATCAAGATATTCCTATACCATCTCTTAGAAATCGAGGATACTAGAGTAGAAAAAACCCCTAGGATTCCTTTGGTGTGACTCCTGCATTTTATAGAGGAACAACTTGAGGCTAAGAAAAGTAAACTACTCGAGGTTACATACCTTGGTGGTGGCAGTCTATCCACAAACTCTGAACTTAGTCCAAAGTTCTTAACCCAATTATATCGAGAACACAGTGAATATAGCAAGTAACCCTAGAGTTCGTTCTTCATAGTATTTGAACAAACACACTTGATTATCATGCCCCAGGTTTGTAGAATGAAATCAATCTGGTTTATTTCTTTTTCCTTTCCCACACCCCTACTCCCATTGAATTCAAGCACGAGGAATAGAATCACCTTCATGTATTTGAATATACAATTCATGACATCGTTACTATGGTAAGACAAGTTCATATGTGTGAATAGTAGCTTCTGTCAATAAGCCCTCTGTAAATCACCCTGAAAATTGTTAGAAATACTGTCCTAGGACAAGAAGGATACTCAGTGGGTGAAGTCTTTTTTAAATTTTATTTTAATCTTTATGTCTACAGAACTCATCTGACTCAAGTGACTTGCATACAGCGGCTGCTTAAAAAATGTTTATTGACAGATTATTCTGACTTGAGCTCATTTGTTCATTCATTCATTCATTCATTCATTCATTCAACAACTGTTTATTATATGCCTAGTGTAGACAACATAAGTGCATTCCTACAACATGAGCAGGAATAGCCCAGGAAACTATGATTTTTATGGGCTTTAAAAATGTTTAGTGAACTAAAAGCTTACACACTAAAGCTTCTGTTGTATGTGGAGTTTAAGAAGTTTTTGTGTAACCATATAGGCAATAGCACCAACAAACCGTTTCCTCTCTGCTTGCCTTACAGTAGGCATACTTTATCCCCTGCCAACAAGAGGCTTTTGTTCAATCCAGTTTTTTCTGACATCCAGCTCACCAAACAAGTTGGGTTTGATAAACTGTTTCACAAAGCAATAGAGAAAGCTAACAGCCTGACACAATACAAATTGCAGAGAGTTCTGTAGATAAGACAAAGCACTTTCCTGGAGGAAATGGTGAGATGTTGTGATTTATGGACCCATCAATGTTACTGTTCATAATGAGAAAAACTGTTGCATTCAGACCATCATCCTGAATAAAGGATGACTCCGTGGAAGTGTAAGGATGGCCATCACATGAATTCGCCTGCCATCAGAGATCACATTCTTCCTTAGGACATTTTTCCTTTTCTGGCCTTATGTAAGAAACAATTTGTATGTATGATATTAATTTTTAAAAATGCAAAGCAAATCATAATTCTTTAAAATATTTCATTTCCTTCAGCGATGCCTCATGTGGTCAGATTTCTGCATTCAATTAACATGAATAATGAAATAATTGTTAAGAGTGTAACAGTAATTTTTTCTCAAATCCCTAATCCCTTTGGATTTTGTGATAGGAATCCTTTGCAAAATAGATGTGCTCTGTTTAAGAAGATGTTCTCTAATGCAGAAATGTTATTTTTCAAATAAAGATATAATTTTAATGTGGAGCTCTATCCAAGTTTTAGTATGTAATAACTTGATTTGAAATGATTGAAAAATAACTTAAAGATTTTCATCTGCATTGGTGCTTTGATATTAATGCCTATTAAGATGTTGGTAGGCACTCAGATAGTAAATATAATTTTTCTTTAAAAAATCCATGGGTTTTAAACAATTTAGAAAAACATGAGGTAGTTAATTAATTCCCCAAATTAATCTCTCATTAATGCAGACAGTGAACTCATTATAATCCTGGCATCAGGTACTATTACCAATACCTGTCTGTGGTTTGTTAGAAGGGCCCTCCCCTCTGCACTGTAGTAATGAGATGGGGTGGGAGAGTTGTCATCCAAAGTATATCCAAATTCACTTAATAACAGTCTTCCTGTGTTTTCTTAGAATTCTAATTTAATTCTTTTAAAAGTCCACCGAAAACAAAAATTTGTTTTGACATGTTAGGCACAAAATTGTTTTAAATCCACTAAACTAGCTAAAACCAAATGGATTAAAACCCCAAAGGAAATCTGACTTTTGTATGAAACAACTAATACTTAAGTGCTGTACACTTTTCAAAGAGCCTTTTACAGATATTATTCCACTGTACAGTGATAGCCAGCCACCATGTGAGGTGGGTGTCATTCATTCATTCATGCAAAAAGCATTTATCAAGTGCTATTACTTGTCAGCCACTGTCCCATGACCTGTGGATACAACAGTAAACAAAGTGGAGAAATCCTCTGTTCCCCTGGAGCTGACATTCTAGTGGAGAGAAAGAAACAACAATGGTACAAGTGAAATATATATTATTGGATTGTCTCGAGTGCCGAAAAGAGACATAAAGCAGGGGAAGGGGATGGGGAATGTTTAAGGTGTTGCAATTTAAGATAGAGTGGTCAGGGCAAGTCTCACTGAGAAGGTGGCATTGGCGTAAATGCAAAGGTGATGAGATATTGAGATAGATATTTGGGAGAAGATAATTTCAGGCAGAGGGAACAGCAGGTTCAAAGGCCCAGGAGCAGCATCATGGCTGGTGTGCTGGTGGGATGGCAAGGGGGCCACTGTGGCTGGGTGGGGTAAGTTGGGTGGGAGAATGGTAGAGGATAAGGCAGAGAAGGGACAAGAGACAGTAGCCACCATTTGTAGGCCACTCTGTAGGTTGTGGCTTATGTTCTATGGAATGGTATGGTTTCGAACAGGCAGTAACATGATTTGCTTGCATTTTAACGGGATCACTCTGACTCATTTTAAGAGTAGACCATGGTTAGGGGAGGGGTCATCAGAATCAGAGAAGTCAGTTTGGAGACTACTGTGTTTATTTTGGCAGGAGATAACGGTGGCTCCTTTAAGTGGAAAGTAGTAAAAAAAAAAAAAGTGTTGGCAAGGTCAATGGCAAAGTCAACTCTGGCCATAATAACAGAGAGAAACAGTTGTCCCCTATATTGAGTAGATGTCAAAGTTGAAAGGAAGTACTAGATGGTTCCCTCTTGTCTTGAGATAAAACCTTCTTCCTGAACTCCCGATTCATGGACTCCACTATCCCATCGCATCACTATCTTTTTCCTCCAATTCTGAATCCTATTTATCTCTTTTCTTTTCTATCCTAAAGCTATTAACATCTCCTTCTTTACCAGTCTTCCCTGTGTATAAACAATGTCCAGTCTTTTCTACATTAAAAGATAAAGTCTTCCACTGGTATCTACCCAGCACTATGATCAGTTTCCTCATCACTTCACTCTTCCAGCAAAGCTTTTTGTAAGTGCTGTCTCTATTGGTTGTCGCTGTTTTCTTCTCATCGTCCTTTTCACCCTCTGCAATTTGGCTTCTGCTTGTGCGCTCCACTCCCTAGTAGTTCATCCAGGGCACTTGGGCTGTCCTGATCATGCCCAACAATGACTCCCATGTTGCCACATCCCAAAGAGACCTTCTGATCCTTACCTTACTGGACTTCATCATTTCATTTCTGAACTATCTATCTCTCTTGTGTTTATTTCCATAAACTGTTCATTCTCTGTCTCCTTTGTTGATCCCTTTTCCTTATGGTTCTTGACATGTGTTCTGGAGTTTCATGCTGGCCTCATGGAGCTTGCAACCTTTTATAATTCCCCCAGTAACCTCATCTACATCATGGATTTAACCACTACTTCTTGATTAATAATTCTCAAATCTCTATCTCTTTCTCTGACTTGTCCTCTGAGCCTCACATTTGTGCCAACTTCTTGTTGAGTCTAAATCCCCACAGGCACCTCAGATGTAATTTGTCCAAAACTGAGATCATTATCGCCCTATTCCTCCTGTAAAGAGTCACCTGGTGTCCATGATGGAATCCTGGAAGGTATCACAAACTCCTCTCTTCATCTCTTTATGCCACAAAAAGTTAGTTCATCACTAAATTCTTCCATTTTTGTCATCTAAATATGTCTGTAATCTGTCCCCACTTCTCATTTTCTCCTATGCATATACTTATTTAAAGACCTTATTGTTTTGCCTCCTACAGCAGTAATCTTCTAATTAGTCTCCCTGCCTGCAGTATTGCTGACCTCAAGTTAATCTTCCACTGACCTATCAGTGAAATGTATCCCAAACACAAATCAAATCTGACTGTAAAAGATCCCACTTAAACTTATCAGTGGCTTTGCATCACCTCAAGGATAAAGTCCCATTTCTTCATATGGCATCCTTGACTCTCTAGGACATTTCACCCTCCATTGTACACTCTCTACCCTAGCCACACCCAAATCCTGGCAATTTCCTGCAAATGCCCATCTTCAGTTCTATGCTCTGACCCTTTGTTTACACCCCATTTGCCTAAAATGTCATGTCCCTACTGCCTTTTAAAGCGGGAAGACATCATACTCAGAAGTGAACTTCTCCTGAGAGGTATAATGGGAGAGCGAAAGACTATACACTTTGGAAATGGATCAAACTCTCTGCACCTTAGTTTCCACGTGTGTATCTTTAAAAAAATGAGGATTATAGGTAGGGTTGTTGGATGGTGAGGCATGCCAGGGACAGGCACATATTAGATGCTTTCTGAATGGCAACAACTTCAGCTCAGGTTCAACTCATCTGGAGAGTCTCTTTTTATGTCCTCTCTGTCCTGCAGCTAATTTAATCATGCCAGCACTGTGCTCTCAGAATATTATTTTTTAACTCCCATAATCACAGTTATACTTGAGTTTGACATTGTCCATCTGCTACACTAGGTATAACATTCTTTTGGGCAGAGATTACATCCTATTCCTCTTAATTCCCCCTACGTGATCAGCACCTCATGCATGGCTAGGCACACCATAGGCTGTGGGACAAATATAAGTTGGGCATCTGTTAGGTAATTGAAAGAAAAACTATAAGGTCCAATGGCAAGAATATCTTTTCACTCATCTCTAACATGCATGTATTATCATTACGCTATCCTTGTGTTTTCTTTCCAATTAAAATAATATCTAGGATGGTTTTAATTTTCTCAGATGAGGGAGCACAGTAAAGAATTACTGAAAGAAAGAGGAACAGCAGAAAATATACAAGGGGAGGCTGCAGAAAATCTAGGTTATAACCCAGATCTGCCACTGAGTCAATATGTGGCCCTGAGCAAACCATTTACCTTCTCCAATCCCCAGATTTCATATCTATAAATTGAGGATAATTACATTTTTCCTAATTTTCAGAGTTGGGAGAATCAAGTGAGACCTACAATGCATGTGAATGAGCTTTGTGGCATTTTTGAGCACCCTCATAATAGTCAGAAAACATTGTGCATTTGAGAGCCACAGTACTGGGCACACAGTAATAGTTGTATTAAACTAAAGAGCAGCCTCTTGGATATTTGATAATTTCTAAGTCGCTGGCTTTTATGGTACATTAAAAATTATATACACTTGCATGCTGTGCATTAATTCTTTTACATAACGATTAAAAATGTAGCATCATGCTATGAAAAATTAAACTCAACACTGCAAGCATAATTGTAACTCTGATAGTATGTTAACAAGTCCACATTTGTACTTACCTCCCTGTGGAAAGAACTGCGAGTAAATCTCTTTGAAGGTTTCTTCATTAACAACACCACTGGGGCATTCCTAGGGAAAGTGGCAGAGAAGCAATATGAGCAAAGTGTTCATAAAACTGAATTTTTTTTGCACATTTTGAAACAGAACTGTCTACCATGCAAAGCTGCACCAAGAAAATTAACCATTCATCCATTATTACAAAGGGAATAAAAGCACACTATAAACTTATGTTTGTTCCAGTTCTCACAAGAAAAAAAAACGTAGATGTAAATATCTTTGCATATTGAGTATCAAAGTAGGTGTAATGTATTCAGAAACACAGTGCTGCTTTTAAGAACACATATGTTTATTATAAAGTAAAAGGAAATTGCATTATTTTTCACACAGCAAGCATGTTGCAAGATGTTTATAATATAGTCTTTGGTGAATCTTGGTTTTGTCCTTTCAAGGTTTTCTGAACTCACATAATCTTCGATTCAATGGCAGAATTACTCTATTGGCATCTCTAGTGGCTCAAGAAGCTTCAACCAGTAATAGATACTAATGCTTGTTAACAGGATGTCTAGGCATACCCAAGACATGGTTTTGTAACAAGTGACCTTGGGTGAGATAGAACCCCATATTTTTGAACTTCCGGAAAGGAGAGTCTGCAAAGAAATGGCCTGGCCTGGGCTTAATAGATCCCCACCTTTGTCCCTGGGTCAACTTGTCAAAGAATGATGGACATTGATCTTGGGAACTACACCCATGTTGGACAACTGACCTGGAGGGGCCACAGGGCAAGGTTAGCCCTCTGAGAGTGGTTTTGGCATTTTTGCTAATAAAAAAAAGAAAAAAAGAAACTTTAAAGTGTCAGAAGGGGGCTGCCTTGGTGCAGAATATAAGGTTTGAGCAAGCAAATTGTCCCCCAATCTCTGGAAATTCCTCCATTTTTTGGAGTTATAAGAACCAGTGTGGTTAAGAATTTAGGCGTAGAGGCCCCTTGAGTGGTGGAGACTGACAATCACATGATAGCCCAGAATTGAATCATGTGAGATATTAACTGTATGGTGATCCCTTGTTATCCTTGGGGCATTGCTTCCAGGACCACCGCGGATACCAAAATCCATGCACATTCAAGTCCCACACTTGGCACTGCAGAACCTGCAGATAAGAGAAGTTGGTCCTTCCTATCCTGTATCTTTGATCTGCATTTGGCAGTGGATGCTGAAGCTGCAAATTCAGAGGGGCGACTATATTTATTGACAAAAATCCACATATAAGTGGACCCACACACTTCCAACTAGTGTTGTTCAAGAGTCAACTGCACATTGTAAGTGGAGAAGTGGTAAGTTCTGTTTAGTCTCTTTTAGTAGATTCTCATGAACAGTCCCATGTGATCAGAGCTCCCCTGACTCTAGTTGTCACAGCACTCCCACGCCACCTAACGTCCACCCAGGACTAAGTTCACTGGGGAAGGATGAATGGTGTGCTAACTCCCCAACAGACCTGACTTTAGACATGAATATTCTGTGTACTCTAAATTTGATACTGTTTCCAGCATCTTTATCAATCACCTATGGTAGTATTTAAAACATCACTTAACCCTTAAAATCATTGTTCCCTCACTAATAAACTTACTTTCTTTATTCCAGTGAGTCAGTTACTCAACTGTAATGTGCTTCACCTGCAGAATTTTCTATTTTCTCATTTGTTGTTTTGAAAGGTAGGACCTTTGATACATAAACAGTGTTAACAGTTTCAATGTGAATTTGTGTTTACAGAGCTTCTCGATATGGTTTTATCCCATTTGTTAATGATGAGCTTAGGTAGGCAAAATAGCTGCATTCACAGAGGCAGAACTGGAGGTGCTGAGTGGCAAAGCACTTTGTTACACACTAAGCCAGTGGGGAAGCTGGAATGTGGGCTTGGAACTCTCCAGGTCATGACAAGGTTTCGTATTAGATGACCCCTGTGGAAATAATGATGACCTCAAGGACCTAAGAGAATTGGAGTAAAGAAAAAAACAACCAAAAACAAATGAGCAAGCAAGCAAGCAAGTGAACTGTGATGGTTGATTTTATGTGTTTAACTTCTCTGGGCCATAGTGTCCAAGTGTTTGGTCAAGCATTATTCTGGATAGTTCTGTAAGGGTGTTTTTGAGATTTATTACATTGATGCAAAATTGCGGCTTTTGCTATTACTTTCAATACATTTAAGCTGGTAGACTTTAAGTAAAGCAGATTGCCCTCCACAATGTGAGGGGGCCTCATTGAATCAGTTTAAGGCCTGAACAGAACAAAGACGGACCTTCCCAGAGAAAGAGTGTTCTTCAGACATCATCTGTAATATTGGCTTCCCTTGTTCACCAGCACCCTGCCTTTGGACTTGAACTGTAACTGTTTTCTGAGGCTCCAGCTTGCCAGACCCCTTCATTAGATATCAAGCTGGCCAAGGCTCCACAAAGTGTGAACCAATATCTTAATAAGTCTCTTTATACTCACACATCCTATTAGTTCCATTTCTCTGAAGGACCCTAATACATAAATGAATTAACAACCAATAGCTACAACTCCAAAGGTGGTATGTATACAGCTAATCTCTCAAACATTTTGACTATCTATCTAGCTGACACCAATGGACCCATTTTAAGACTAAACACTTTGCAGTTAGACCCTCTCACACATGGAAATTGTGATTTATTGGCTATTTAATGCTAAGCCAGTTGCTTGGGATAGTAAGGAGAGAGTAAATACCTGGCTCTCTGCCATCAGGTGGCAAGCTTGTGCAAAGTTAGAGCTGGAAAGTTGCCTGGGAGTTAAAAGTTGATGCTGATAAAGGAAGAGGACTTCAAGCAAAGGGACCTCTGCATCAACAAATTTGTTAGCTGCCTTCAGTCTCTAGATATATTTGATAGATATAATGTGAAATGAATTTGTAAACTGACTATCTGATATGCATGTGTTTTATGTTTAATCACATATCTGTGTCAGAGGAAACCTTTTCTCTGCCAAATGAAAACTACTGGCCAAGTTTCAGGGTGGAAAGTCTCACCAGATAAATTTGTTTTTATCCACCTTATATTCATTACATTAGTTTACATCTCTACAAACACATACTGTATGCCTATTATTCCAGGAGTCTTCTAGGAACTGGGACTGCTACAATAAACCAGTCAAAGGTCTTCCCATCATGGAACCTCTATCCAACTAGAAGAATAAAGACTGTCTTTGTTCAGGCTCCTTTAACAAAATGCCATAGACTAGGCAGCTTATAAACAATAGAAATTTATTTCTCATAGTACTGGAGGCTAGGAAGTCTAAGACCATAGGATTAGCAGATTCAGTGCTTGATGAGGCCACATTCCTGGTTCATAGATGGCATCTTCTAGCTGTGTTCCCACATAGTGGAAGGGGCGAGCTAGCTCTGTGGGGTCTTTTATAAAAGGACACTTATCTAATTCATGAAGTCTCTGTCCACCTGATCTAATCATCTCCCAAAGGCCCCACCTCCTAATACTATCACATTGGGGGTTAGGATTTCAACATATGAGTTCTAAAGGGACACAAACATTCAGACCATAGCAAAGACCAATAACTAAATATTAAAAAATCAAATCCAAGAATGATGATCTTTTATTTATTCCCAGAGATTTTTTATTGAAACTAGTGCATTTTTTTAAACCTTCAGGTGAGAAAAAGATGCTAGTGATTTACAAGATGGTATACATTCTGTAACTTTTTCTTCACCTCTTCTGTGCAGTGATCTCTCCATAAAAGTGGTCTCTCTACTTCTCTATCAAGAATGAATTTGGCCAGGCTGCATGTGCAGCAAAGTGTAAAACATAAACAATGTGCTGTATTAGTTAACTCTTGCTGCTGTAAAATTAGGCCTTCAAATGTCCCTTAATCAAAATGCTTGGGAACAGAAGTGTCTTGGATTTTAGATTTTTTGGGATTTGGAATATTCACATTACACTCAGCAGTTGTGTTAGTTCATTTCCACACTGCTATAAAGAACTGCCCAAGTCTGGGTAATTTATAAAGGAAAGAGGTTAATTGACTCACAGGTCAGCATCCCTGGGAAGGCCTCAGGAAACTTACAATCATGGTGGAAGGCAAAGGAGAAGGAAGGCACCTTCTTCACAAGGCAGCAAGAAAGGAGAAGTGCTGAGTGAAAGGCAGGAGCCCCTTATAAAACCATCATAACTCATGAGAACTCACCCACTTATCACGAGAACAGCATGGGGGAACTGCCTCCATGATTCAATTACTCCACCTGCTCTCTCCCTTGACACCTGGGGATTATGGGGATTACAATTCAAGATGAGATTTGGGTAGGGCACAAAGCATAACCACATCACCAGTTGAACATACCTAACCTGAAAATCTGAAATACTCCAATGAGCATTTACTTTGAATGCCATTTTGTCTCTCAAAAAGTTTTGGATTTTACAGTATTTTGCTTTTTTGGATGAGGGATAGTCAACCTGTATAACACAGTTAAAAACCACGTAGTATATTTCTTATTCACATAACAATCTTGGGTGAGTGTACAGATCAGCTGATGGTTCTTCTAGGGACAGAGGCTAATGAAGATTTGGTGACTTTAACATATGGCGCCAACAGTCTCTGTGACTGTGTCATCCAGAAGGAGGAAAAGAACGCTGAAAAGAGTACATGGAAACTTTTTATGGGCCAGGTCTTAAAGTGGTATACATCATTTCTATTCTCATTTTTTTTGTTGTTAGAGATCACTTAATGTGTCTACCCCAAACAAAATAAGAAGTCTGGTATGGCCAGAAAGAAGACAAGAATGCAGATTTGTAAAGAGTTTGGAATATCTATCCCTGTGGCATGTTTGAAAGATACTCCAAGTGTCTGTGTTCTGAAACAGTTCTCCCACTGATGCTTTATTTATTGATTTTTATTTTGTATTTTTGTAAAGATGGGATCTCACTATGTTGCCCAGGCTGGATTTGAATTCCCTGCCACAAGCAATCCTGCCTTGGCCTGCCAAAGTGCTGGGATTACAGGTGTGAGCCCAGCCTCCCACTGATGTTGTAACATGAAGATTATCAAGTCATTTAGCAGTATAAATTGTCTCCATTTCCCAGGTGTCATTTTTAAAGACTGTTTACTTGCTTCAAGTAAACAAGTACAATGAAGCTTAAATGTTTGAGCATGAATTTTTTCATTAGATTTTTCTAAGGATCCAAGAAGCAGTAGGGTTCCTGGGTTTAGGGATAGTAAGAAATGCCTCACTCATCCATCTTCTGAGAATTTGCTGCAAGCTTCTACTAACCCTTATGGTTCTGTATTCTATTTTCTAATGAAATTTTGTCTGATTATTAGCAAATGATTATTCCATGAAAATATGCCCTCTATAGAAAAAAATTAAAGAAAATGAAAATCACCCATAATCTGACTACTGTAAGAGTATATTGGTCATTTATATAAGCATATATACCGTAGAAATAAAGTTTTAATAAGACAAAATTATAGCATTTTATGTTCTTTAACTTTAGGAAATATCCTGAACATTTTTTACATCATGATTTTTAGTGACTGCATAATAATGCATCCATTGAACTTACCATACTGTTGCATATTGAGGCGATTTTGGCATTTTTGCACTACATAGGAATAATGATGTAATTAATATTCTATGCATCCTTCTGTGACTGCACTTGTGGTTTCTTCTTTATGACTAATCCCAGAAGGAGAATCGTAAGACCAACCAGTTTAAACCATTGAAAGCTCTTTCTATGCACAGTCATGGTGCTTTCCAGAAACGCTGCATCCATTCGTGCTGCCACCGCAGCTTTATGAGAAAGTCTCACACCGAGAGGAGCTACCGACTAGAATCACATGGGAATTGGACACACACACACACACACACACACACAACCCCATGAACAAACAGCAATAATTTGCTTCCCTCATGAATCCAATCGTCATTCTGAAAATTACCAGTGGACATTGAGGCGTTTGGACAGGTCCCTCCGAGGCATAAAGCAATTTGCCTGTTTTTCACACAGACAGGGTCGCTGTGATGGCACTCAGCCGGACCACATCACCACAATCACAGCGGTTTATTGAGGATAAAATAAACAACTCCATTCCTTCTTATGCAGACCATTACTTTTAACACTTTCATCAACCCTGAAAGGTGGGTATTATTTAGACATGAGGACAATGAGCTTGGAGAGATGAAGTCACTTGTTTGAGTCACACAGGTTTTGACAGAGACATCTTTTTGCTCATTTATTCAATAAGTAGTTATTTAATGCCTTCTAAGTGTCAGCAAATAGTTCATATGCCTTTTACTATTCTGGGCACTGGAGATACAGGAATGAGTTTTTAAAATTCCATTTCTTTTTTGCTCTTGTGGAATATAACATTTAGTGGAATCAGACTCATAACTCTGACTCCATGAATTGCAATGCTATCTTGCCTTCTGGATTATTACTTTTTCTTCTATTAGGACTGAAAACATAGTCTCCTGGAGAGTCATCTGTGGAAATCCTTCTTCTGGGAAGATGTACACGGTGTATTTGTACCCAGAGGCACCCATCACAGCTGCGTTGGAGAGAGGCATGTGCAAAGGGAAGCCATTTCAATCAAAATTGGGATCACCGATTAAAATTTATTGTGCATTGTAGCTTGAGAGATTTGAGGAAAGCAATCTTTTTCTTTTTAGAAATCTTTGGTTTTAGTGTAACAAGAACCTCCCCACCTTCCTGTGTGCCACATACTCTTTACTGTCATTGTAAATGGCTAGATAGTAATGGGCTGAGGAAAATGTTCTGGTTTTTAGGACCAGTCAAATGAACTGCTCCATCCAGTATTTAGGAGCTGGAGGTCTCTGGTTCTGCTGGCTGGTATACTTATCTATGATGACCATTGCATTTCTTTCATTGCCTGTGAAACCCTTCACTGTGATATGATCACAACACAATAAAAGTAGAATGAGGTTTTCTTTGCAATATAACTGCCATAGATTTGTCTGTTGGTGAAGAAACAGTCGCCTTTTGGGGCCTTACTGCTGTGTTCCCTGATGAGCCTTTTCAGTCCTCTCAGGCCATGTGGGGACACATGTGAGGGTCAAGATTAGTTGTAGATATGCAATGAATACTATGCTAGTACTAATATCAATTTTAATAAGGCAGTATTACTATTGTAATAATCAGCATAAAGTAATACTTTATTGGTATTGATATTTTATAATTATTAATGTGATGATGACAATGATGATACTGATGATATTAAGCTAATACACATGAGCACTTTTTATGTTCCAACCCTTGCATTAAATGTTTTACATGGATTATCTCGTGGGAATAGAAAGATGTTAGTATTAACTCCATTTTACAAATGAATGAACTGTCTTAGAGAGGGGCCACTGCATTCCCAAATTAGAAAATAGCAGATCTAATCTATAGATCACAGAATCAGGAAACTTGAGAGTTTAAAGCAACTTTAGAGGCCAGGCACGGTGGGTCATGCCTGTAATCCCAGTACTTTGGGAGGCCAAGGTGGGTGGATCACCTGAAATCAGTTCGAGACCAGCTTGGACAACATGGTGAAACCCTGTCTGTACTAAAAATACAAAAATTAGCCAGGCGTGGTGGCACATGCCTATAATCTGAACTACCCAGCAGGCTGAGGCAGGAGACTCACTTGAATCTGGGAGATGGAGGTTGCAGTGAGCCGAGATCACGCCACTATACTCCAGCCTGGGTGACAGAGCAAAACTCCATCTCAAACAAACAAACAAACAAACAAACATAAAGCAACTTTAGAGACAATTCAATTCAATGTCCTCATTTTGAAGGTGAGGGGATAGAGATTAAGGAGGTTATAGGAACTGACCATAGATACACAGGGGGCTGCTAAGCCTGACCTCATGTCTAGGTTTCCTGAGGTCTAGGACTAAGCTTTGATACTGCAAATGTCTTCGTGTCCATACAATAGCTGGTAATTTTTGTCAGGTACTATTTAGAGGAATCTAGTGCAGTGCTTATATTCTTGGGCTCTGGAGTTAAATAGAAGGCCTGGGTTGAACCCCTACTCTGCCACTTGGGAGCTGTGTAGCTTCAGGCAAACTGTTTAATCTAAGTCTCATTGCTCTCCTCTGTGAAACGGGGACAGGAATTGACCTCAGAGAGCTGCTATAAGAATGAATAAGATACACATATTATGCTATTATCCTAGCCCTCTACCTTACACATCATATTTGGTCATTTAATATTAGCTGTTAGTACCATGGTAATAGTTTAGGATTTGGTAAGCAGAACTCCATCACGCAATGAGTCACTGTAACATCAATGCCGATAGACCAAGGATAAATCATATTTATCAACGTGGTTGAATCTAGAATAACACAGGTCTGAAATGCAATCAGCTTATGAAGTATATATGAATTACGCTTTCTATTCTAGTGTTATAAGTTGAATCACTCTATCTAATATCATCAGAATTTACCCTAAAAGAAAGGAATATTGTAATTGTAAATGATAGCAGAGGAGAATAAAGGCCACCATCATGGAAATAAATGTCAGTAGAAACCCAGGAGCCTCTTATTTATTAATTTAAAGTTTTCCCCAGCGATGCTTACATGGTATGTTTGAAATCATCATGGAAAGTGTTGGGAAGGGTGCTTTGGAGAAAGATCCATGTATGCATAGGAAATTGCTAAGAAACATATTTTGTGAGTGCTTCAAGAGTTCTTATACTTTCACCTTATAAGGAAACCTTTCAGCATTTCCTGGAAGGTTTTCAGAGCTCTGTTGAAATGCATGAGAAATAGCTGCAGTGGTATGCAAATCACAGGTATAATAACATCATATAATTATAATATTGTCCACTCCAATAATCTTTGCCCACTCTATTAGCTGAAATCTTCTCTTCCCCTAAATCATTCTGTTCTGATATGTGTCTTCTCCTCAGGATCAGAATTGTTATTAAACATTTAGAGACTTCTTCAGGATTAAAAAAAAGAATTACAGTAAGACATTTCATAGGAAAAAAAAACTAAAAGTGCTTGTGAAATAGTTATTTGGGGATCCTTTCATGATACCTGTAATGCCACATCTCTTAGGCATCTGTATATTTCACCAACTCTCACACCCATCTCTGGTGCTAAGGAGAACATACAAGGTAGTCTGCTCGGTCTATCAGTTAAAATAGTATTTAGCATGTAGTATGACAATTCAGAGATTCTCTGGCATTCTATAATTGCAGGAGAATTTTCAAAATTTAAATGACACAATCCTACAACCTGTGCTGCTGATATCACCAGATTCTGTGGACTTCTCTGCTCTCTTTAGAGTTAGTAAATACAAGGCAGGGACTAACCTTTACGATGTTTAGAATAGGGAATACTAAAAATATTTATGCTGAATGAATAAATCTTCAGTCAGTTCTTAGCTTTTAATAAATTAGAAAATGAATTTGCTCTGATAATGTCCTTCAAAACTTGGGCCTACATTTTTAGAACTCCTAAGACCAAGACCAAGATAGTCATGGGGGTTCCGATATCCCCATGATTGCCCACAATGACTATGATCGCAGAAATTAAGGGGAGATGGCTAGGATCAAGAAAAACACTTCTTATTTCAACATAAAAAGCTTAACATAGTCAAAAATTGGATTCTAAAAAGCTCATTTAAAAATTATAGGATTAACCTTTCAGTTTTCAAAGCAGAAAAGCTGATCATTAAGAACTAGAGCTGGCTATAAATTTCTGTTCTAATATGCCCAGGTGTTTGAACTCCTAGCAACTCATTTATTCCTTCTTAGTCTAAATGTTCTCATCTGATATAACAGGTAAGTAATACTAACATCACAGGTAAGCAAAAGAAATGCAAACTAAAATAGACAATGGATGAAAGAAACCCAACCAATTTTAAAAACTGAATATACTCAACATGTTGGATATTTTCTTGTTTCCAAAATCTGCATTAACTGCCTCTTCCATTTCCTGAACACACTTCTGGGGTCAAAGTGGTTAAATAGGCACTGCAGATTAAAAAAAGAAACAGCCAATGGTGGGAAAAGGCTGACCTAGATACTATCCTTGGAAAAGGAATGAGAGCTGGGTGACCAAGATTCAATTCAGCTGCAAGGATGTGGGCACATTCTGAGCCCCACGAGTTCTCAGGGTCACCCAGGATGAAGCAGAAATCCAAGGTACTAGGCAAAGGTTCTCTCCCCTTCAGTTCTGCCCTCTAACCATATGGAAGAAGGAAATCACATGAGATTTACAGCCAAAAAAAAAAAAAAAAACTGGCTCAAGTTTCAGCTCTACTACTAATGAAGAAATAATTGAAAAGTTCTGCTTTGAGTCTTAGTCTTTAAAAATGCAGGAAACAATAGCATCTTATAGTAAAGAAATGAGAACTAATTGGCATTATGTATATAAAGATTCTAGCATAATACTAAACATTCTACAAATTGTACTTATTTTTACTATTATCTCTTCAAGTAACTTAAGTTGGTTCTGCAAAAAGAGATTTTCCAAATTTTGTAGGAAAAGGCTTCCTGGGATTGGGCCCAATTCCTGAATCTTTAGTGGAATGCATGTAGAATTGTTTGATTTACGGAGACTTTTAAAAGGATTTTCCCAACTTTATCCAGAAGACAGTGTCCATTTTGTCAGGGTCTTTTAAAAATTATGATGTAGTGAAATTCTATAGGCACCCAAAACCATTTAGTGGAAAAAAAAGACAATGGTGCCCTGGGACAAAGCCTATGTATCAGTTTTCTATTGCTGCATAAAAAATGACCATAAACTTAGTAACTCTAAACAACACAAATGTATCATCTCACACTTCTGTGGGATAAAAGAGTCTGACATGGCTTAGCTGTGTGCTCTGCTCAGTCTCCCACTTAAACTGGCTATGGTTCTCATCTGGGCCTTGCAGTCCTCTTCCAAGCTCACTGAGGTTGTTGGTAGAATTCAGCTTCTGTGGTTGTAGGGCCCAGGTCCCTGTAACCTTTTGGCTGTTTACTGGGGGCTTCTCTCTCAGCTTCATTCCATCTTCAAACCAGCAAAGCAAAGGCCTGTTGAGTCCTTCTCACACTCTGATTCTCTCTGACTTCCCCTTTGGTAAAGGACTCGTGTGATTAGATCAAGCCCACAAAGATCATCTCTGTATCTTAAGGTCAACTGCCCTGAGACTTTAATTATATCTGCAAAATCTCATCACAGTAGTACCTTGCTTAGTATTTGATTGGATAACCAAGAGACAGGGATCTTGAGTGGCTGCATTTAGATATCTATTAATACCTCCCACAGCCTGCTTCTTCTGAACATCAGTTCATTTTGGTTTTCATAGCAGTTTTTGTTTAACAACAGTCTTTTTTTTACAATTATACTCACAAGTGTATCCACCACAACTCGCAACTATATTTCTTGGCACCTGCCATAGTTTAATGCGATTTGAAAAGACTATATTCTGTCAAGGCTTTAGAATCAGCAGTGTAAAGACCAGCTGTGAGGCCAAAATTCAATATTTTTTATGAGTGCTAAGAATAGTATCCCATATGCTGAGTGTTCCCCGTCTAGAGTATGTCTGCCTATATCCAGAGCAGAAATAAATTTTTTTAGATTTTACTAATTGATTAGATCACTTTCAAGTTGGCATGATATCAGCCTAATAATATTGACCAAAAAAAAAAATACCGAGTAAAGAATTCTACTTAAAAGAAACACGCAGTGTTTCAATCAGAAAGAATAAAATAAAATACAGCAGGTACTCCATATCGCAGCTGCAGCATGCACAGATTCAACTAACTGTGGCTTGAGAATACTTGAAAAAATAAAAATTAAAAATAAATAAAAAATAAGGCAGGTGCAGTGGCTCGCGCCTGTAATCCCAGAACTTTGGGAGGCTGAAGTGGGCGGATCACCTGAGGTCAGGAGTTGGAGACCATCCTGGCCAACATGGTGAAACCCCGTCTGTACTAAAAATACAAAAAATTAGCCCTGCATGGTGGTGCATGCCTGTAGTCCTGGCTACTCCGGAGGCTGAGACAGAAGAATTGCTTGAGCCCGGGAGGCAGAGGTTGCAGTGAGCCGAGATCATGCCATTGCACTCCAGCCTGGGAGACAGAGCGAGACTCCATCTCAATAAATAAATAAATAAACAAACAATATGAATGAAAAACAATATAACAACTATTTACACAGCATTTCCATGTATTAGTTATTATAAGTAATCTAGAGATGATTTAAAGTACATGGGAGGATGTATAGGTTATATGTAAATACTACACCATTTCATATAACGAGACTTAAGTATCCCCAGATTTTGGTATCCATGGGGGAGGGTTCTGAACCCAGTCCCTCAAGAATACAGAGAGATGACTGCATGGAGATGATGGTATACACATATGTTCATATATATATACATGGTTGTATAAAGCCTTTTTATTCCCTGAAGATTTAAAAAAATCTATTCTCTCCCAGTCTGATTTCTGTCACCTACTAAATTGGCTAGATTCTGGCCCCTTGATAACTTCATTTAGACTATGATTTCTGGACTCCTTATGTGAGATTACACATTTTCCTCATGTGTAAGCCATTTTTTATTGATCTTTTTTGTTACTTATAGTCAAAAGCATTCTAACATAAGCTACAACCTTCTTGTCCTTGTATTACACCTTTCTACAGAAAGAGAAAATAAAAATGAGTTGAGTTTACAGGTTGCTGACAAGTTTGGTGAAATGTCTGCTGGAGAAAGAGGTGTCGTCTATAGATTACGGTGGTGGGTGCGCATATGCAGGTCCAGATTTTTGGAGAACGTCTTTTAAAGTCTATCCAAAGACACTTTGAGAAAGCATAGGAATTGGGGGTGAATAAAACTCACTTTTTTTTTTTTTGAGACAGAATCTCGCTCTGCCGCCCAGGCTGGAGTGCAGTGCTGCGATCTCGGCTCACTGCAAGCTCCACCTCCTGGGTTCAAGTGATTCTCCCGCCTTGGCCTTCCTAGTAGCTGGGACTACAGGCACCCGCCACCAAGCTCAGCTAATTTTTTTGTATTTTTAGTAGAGACGGGGTTTCACCGTGTTAGCCAGGATGGTCTCGATCTCCTGACCTCGTGATCCAGCCAGCTTGGCCTCCCAAAGTGCTGGGATTACAGGTGTGAGCCACTGTGCCCAGCTGAATAAAACTAAATTTAATGATCATTCGTGGTCTGCTGGGCACTGAGCCATGTGGTGTAGGAGATACATGTTCTCATTAAATCCCTGAGAAGTAGAAAAGGTAGATGTTTTACCACACAATGTTTAAGAAATGAGCACAGGGAGGTTTAAAGAACTTTCCCAAGGTCAGTGGGACTGGGATTTGAACTTGAGTTTGACTGCAAATCTTTCACATCTTCCTAAGCTTGAAAGGTGAGTGCACCTGCGGGGGGAAAAGTTAACTAAGGGGTAACTTTTATCCCAATGTCTTTCAATCCTATTAATCACTAAAACACAAAGTATTCGTTATTTGTTCAACACGTATTCATATACCAAGCACTTGACTACGCACAGGAGCGTAACGGTTAATCAACAAGCATGGCCCTCATCCAAAGGAGCTTACTACGGAGGAAGCAGTCAGTATTCAAATACTGACATCAATAAATATATTGAAACCCTCAGGGCAAAGCAGCATGAAAACTTGAATTGTTTTTTACAAATAAATTGAAATGTCCCAGGTGAGGGGTTGGAGGATAGGACCTCAAGTTGTCTGGTCATCTGCTTTGGTGAGGCAGGTTCAGGACAGGTCAGATTCAGCTCTAAATACATTTTATACATTTTATTATACATTTTGTTCCCTTTCTCTCTCTCTTTCTTTCTTCTTTTTTTTTTCTTCCGAGTTTCGCTCTTGTCTCCCAGGCTGGAATACAATGGCACAATCTCGGCTCACTGCAACCTCCATCTCCTAGGTTCAAGCGATTCTTCAGCCTCAGCCTCCTGAATAGCTGGGATTACAGGCGCCCGCCACGACGCCCGGCTAATTTTTTGTATTTTTAGTGGAGACGAGGTTTCACCATGCTAATCTCGAACTCCTGACCTCAGGTGATCCGTCCACTTCAGCCTCTCAAAGTGCTGGCATTACAGGCGTCAGCCACCACACCCGGCCCCTTTCCCTTTCTTATTGCCATTCTGAGAAAATACTAGTTTGTCCCTCTTGCACAAGTTTTTCCCTCAGTGAGCTACCATTTCCAGGAGCAGCCCTGAGTCTCTGAAGTTAAAGAAAAAAAAAAAAAGTTTAGTCTGCTTAATTAAGTTCTTGTTGCAAAACTTTCTTAGTTATTACTCTCAGTTGTAGCTTTTGGAATCTAACAGCCCCTCGCTTATGAGCCACTCATATCACTTACTAGCCTGGAACTTTGAATAAGTTACTAAACTTCTTCAAGCTGGATTTTATCATCACTCATTTATGCAGGACGTATTTTTGAAATTGTTGCAATTGTTGCAAATACTTGAGAAGTTTCCACCCTCCTTTGCCTTCTCCTAGTGCTTCTTCAGAGGCTATGAAGGGAACAATTATCAAGGGTCACGGTAGCTGCCTAAAAGGAACCTGTGTCTAGTACTTCAGTGCTTCCGAGCTCTCAGGTGGGACAGTAAAGCCTCTGTCTCCTCTCCATGCCAGGCAAAATGACCCAAAAGGAAACTCCCGGGCCTGTTGACTCTGAGCAAGCTGGGGCAGAACGCTTCCGAGGGCTCTCTGGAGCTCAGACGGCGCTCAGCGTGAGTTGGACCAAACATTCTTAGGGTTGTATCATCATAATGAGGCACAAGGGGGCAGTAGTGTCCTCCATGATAGCTAGAAAAGCGATTTCCAGTTCTTTTTCTTAAGGGATTGTTCTTTTCCTAAGCTTGGTGCCTGTCTGGGTAAATTTCTTTCAAGAAGGCTATTTCCTTTTTATGAACGGTGACAGCCTCATTCCTACATTAGATAATTTAAAAAATTAACTATTTCTGGGAATGGGGCCCAGAGACTCTGATCTCCATTTTGGATATTACATTTGGTGTACGTCAGTCTGAATTCACAATCACTTTTTTGGCAGTTGGGCCACCTTTAATTTAGTCACCAAAAACTTGTAGATCTTAGAAAACAAATAAGCAAGACAACGCCACTAAAGTTCCAAAGCTTGAGTCTGAAAACCTTCTGAAATTGTTAAGTGTATGTGGGCTCTGGAGTCAAAGCTGCTTGAGCCTGCTTTGCTGTTTAACAGGGGAACATTTTAAACCTTTAAGATGAAAATAATGATACTACCCTATCTGGAGGTTATTATGAGGCTTAAATAAAGATAACCCATGCACAATGTCTAGCGTCGTGCCTGGATGTATAAACACCCAGTACACATTCCCCATGGAGGAAATTATTTCTACAATGATGCTCGTTCTGAACCTGTTAGCTTTTGTCATGTTTTCATGTAATATGGGATATTATGTTTATCCTTGTTAAATACCATCTGCTTATTTAATTTCAGAGGATTTTCAGAATATCACACCAGTGTTCCACTTCCTTAGTTATTACTCTCAGTTTTGTAGCTTTTAGAATCTAACAGCCCCTTCCTTATGAGCCACTCATATCACTTACTAGCCTGGAACTTTGAATAAGTTACTAAACTTCTTCAAGCTGGATTTTATCATAATTAATTAATGCAGGACATGTTTTTGAAAGCATATTATATGTCAGAGAGTGTAAGAAGAAATGGAGCTAAAACAATCAAGACAGATGAAGTCCCTCCTGGAGTTTGATGACTATCAGAGAAGTCACACATAAAACAAAGTTCTGTGTAAATAACCATTCAGTTACAGTTGCGATAAGTGCTACAAACCAAGTATGGAAGGTCTAATTTATAGGGAAGACTTCCCTGAGGATGTGACATTTAAAGAGGGACCTGAAGGATAAGTAAAAACTAGCAGGAGATATTGCTGGGGAAGAGGCAAAGGAACCCTGTGTACAAAAACCTGTGATGTGATCAATGACTAAAGAGATGGCAAATGTGCCTGGGGAGTGTGGTCTGAGACAAGGTTGGTTAATTTGGGGCCTGCTAGTTACATTAAGAATCAAGGTCTTTGCCATTCACAAGATAGGTATCATATACCTGTTTTTCAGAGCTCTGGAGAGAATTAAGAGATGATTTACATCAAGTGCCCAGCACAATCCCAATCGCATTCTAAACACTCAGCATCCCTCTCTTTTCTGTTTACTCTACCAGAGTTGAATTTTTACCTCTGGTTTATTATTTATTCAATACGTAATTATTTAGCGTCTACTGTGTATCAGGCTCTCTGTTATAAACTGAACAAACAAAAGGGGAAAAGCAGACATGGTCTTGCCTTTATAGAATCTCTCCACTGATGAGCTATTATGTTCTTTGTGCATATGAATTTATTTCAAGGGAACAATAGTTTCAACATATATGGCGATTAAAATCTTGTGCTCCTATCTCCAAAAATTAAAAGTAAATAAAAGCAAGCAAGCAAGCACACAGAATAAACTCACATTGCCATGGATTGCAATGTAAATAACTCAAGATTATGAACTTGTATGTAGGAGTTACTTCTGCATGTTTCTTTGCTTTTGCTAATGATTAATAATAACGAGTCCAGGCCAGACACAGTGGTTCATGCCTGTAATCCCAGCACTTTGGAAAAACAAGGCAGGAGGATTGCTTGAGGCCAGGAGTCCAAGGCCATCCTGGGCAATATAGTGAGACTCAGTTTCTTAAAAAAAAAAAAAAAAAAAAAAGTTAGCCAGGAGTGGTGGCATACACCTTTTGTCCTAGCTACTCAGGAGGCTGAGGTGGGAGGATTGCTTGAGCCCAAGAGTTTGAGGCTGCAGTGAGCTATGATTGCTGCTGCACTCTAGCCTGGGCAACAGAGAGAGACTGTCTTCAAAATAAATAATTAAAAAGAATAATGATGATTGTTTTTACAGTATATTCTTGCACATGGTACAGATGGTTAGAATAAATCTCTGTACTACTGAAAGTGCTAATAAGTCTCCATTATATTATCTTAGGGGCTAAGTATCCTTCAGGAGGGCAGAAAGACTCCCAGCTATTAGGTGTATCTAAACCCCACATGGCTATGTTTACCCTGAAACTGAGGCAGTCTAACTCTTATTCCTTTCTGTTTACCTGTTTTAATATATTGCATATTTATCTATTTAATATATACAAATGTTGTCTTCTGATAAAGGTCCAGAAATTCCAGGCATATAAAAGAGCTTCAAATCCCAACAATTCTACCACATTCACTTTTCATTTCCATCTGCACATTTTTCATTTTTAGAGCTCATGGATAGTCTAGACATTTATTTGCAAATATTATGAAGGTATTATTTCAATCAGCAAGGGATTCTCTTCAAAACTTATATGAGCTTATGGTAACAATTCTTATTCTCTCTAGTGAGGCATAAAGCTAAAAGTTTTATGTTTTTGCCCCGTAAGGAAGGAAAAACAATGCATGTTTTTGTTTTTTTCTAGTATCTCACAGATATTTTCATTTCCTGGTTTACCAGTTGTTAACCTTAATGCATCCCAGAAGGAGATTAATATTTGGATTTAAATAATAGGAGCTCTACTTTCGGTTTCTTGTTATCTTTGCTGGGAGATGAGAAGTCTGGGGTGGTTTATTCTCTGTACAACCTCTCAAAATTGTACTATAGACCAACATACTGAGGAAGATAAGGAGCAATCCCTCCAGTACTTACAATGCTCATATGAAAATAGATGATTTTCTGAAAGAATTAGAATGCTATATTTTATTAATTGTTTCTAGTTAGACTTTAATTCCAACAACTAATATCTCCTTCTTTAAGAATGATTTCCCTAATTCTACCGTTAGGAAATTATTTAATTCTACCATAATTATGTTTTATTTTTTTCCATTTTATGCCACTGTGCCAGGCACTGTCCATTTTATGACATATTTGTGTCAGCTTAACAAATCTAGCTCATCAGTTCAGAATCAACAATGAACCAAATATTACTGTAGATTATATGTTAATACATAGGAGCACAGTTATTACATGTATAACTATTTCTCCATTTTGTGACCATTATAGGGTAATTATGAATAGATGAAGGCATGATTACTTTAGATCAAAACACAGGCAAAAAAAATGGATCTTCTTTGGGGAAATGTTTTATGCTATAGACTGAAAGTGTGTGTGGCCTCCAAATTCATATGTTGAAACCTAATCTCCATTATGATCATATTGGGAGGCGGGGTCTTTGGGAGGTGTGTTAGTTCATTCTCAGGCTGCTATAAAGAACTGTTCAAGAATGGGTAATTTATAAAGAAAAGAGGTTTAATTGACTCATAGTTCCACAGGGCTATAGACGCCTCAGAAAACTTAGGGCAGAAAGGGAAGAAAACATGTCCTTCTTCACATGGCAGCAGAAAGGAGAAGTGCCAGGTGAAGGGGGAAAGCCCCTTATAAAACCATCAGCTCTTGTGAGAACTCACTCACTATCATGAGAATAGCATGGGGGCAACTGCCCCCATGATTCAATTACCTCCCACTGGATCCTTCCCAGAACACATGGGGATTATGGGAACTACAATTCAAGATGAGATTTGGGAAGGGACAGAAAGCCTAACTGTATCAGGAGGTGATTAGGTCATAAGACTTAAGTTTTTAATGAATAGGATTAATGTTCTTATAAAAGAGGCCCAAAGAGCTGCTGTGCCTCCTCCGCCAAGCCCTAGTGACATAATGGAAATATGGTCTTCCATGAACCAGGAAGAGGGACTTTACCAGTAACCAAATCTGTCAGCACCTCGATCCTGGACTTCCCATCCTCCAGAAATGTAAGAAATAAATTTCTGTTGTCTATAAGCCACCCAGTTTATGGTAATTTGTGACAGTGGAGGTTGTAGATTACAGAGAAAAAGTGGAGGTTGTAGATTGCAGAGATGAATTAGTGTAGTTTATGAAACCATGAAGTTTGACGTTCCTGAGGGATATCCCAGAGAAGTTGGGAAACCAGTAATTAGAAAGGAGTTTGGAACTCAGGTCAGAGGTCAAAGCTTACAGCTATCAGTTTGTGCTCCTTTAGCACATAGGTATAGAGATCTCCCAAGGAAAATACCTAATGAAGAAAACCAGGGAGCTGAATGCACAGCCTTGGTGGGAAGCTACATTTAAAAAACAGGAATGGGATAAGCAGTCCATGAAGACCAGGATAAAGTAGACAGAGAGGTACAAGGAGAAGCCGTAGATTATATCAAAGGAACCAAGGAAGAAGAGGCATTCAAGTAACTCAAGGCCTCCACTCCCAAACTCAGCAGAGACTTCAGTTAGGTCCAGAGAAGTCACAGGAGAAAGTGTTAGTAGCATAGACTCTGAAACAGGCTGTGTAGGCTTGCATCTAGTCTCCACTACTCACACTAGCTGTGTTTCTTAAATTCTTTGTGCCAGTTTATTAATTTACTTGTGCCTCACTTGCCTTATCTGTAAAATGGGACTAATAGTATACTTACCCCATAGAGTTAATACAACCATAACATTGACCAATATTTGTAGAACCTTAAATTCTTAACTCATAGTTAGAATTAAATATATTTATTGAATTTAAATCAAGCAATTCATAGATGTCAAGATTGGAAACTATTCAGTGGATTTGCAAATGAAATGTAGTTTTGACACACACACAAATCAGTACAAGGAAAACTGGGGAAATCTGAATAAGATCAGTGGATTACATCAATGTGAGTAACCTGATTTAATATTGTACTGCAGCTTTACAAGATGATACTACTGGGGGAAATGGTACCTGGTGACCTCCTTGGACTATTTCTTACTATTGCATGGCAACCTATTGTTATCTCAAAATAACAAGTTTAATTTAAAAATATTGGTAGCCATGGAAAATAAAGGTGGTCTTGACCTATGAAAGAACAATTTAAATGACATGGTAGAGGCAGAAGCCAAGAGTTAAGAAATAAATGCAGATGAGGGGTTATATAGACTGAACTTAGACAGCTGTTTTAGGAATTTTATGTAAGAGTATAAGAATGAGACTTGCCAATAGTTAGAGAGAGCTGTGTGTGCATGTAAAAGTTGTTGTTATTGCTGATTTGGAATGAGTATGTCTTCTAATGCATTTTTTAAGGGTGAATGAGACTTGACTAGCATTACAATATGTAAGGAGGCAGCTAGGAAAAGAGGAAGAGACAGGGAGGAGGAGGAAGGGAGGGAGGCAGATAAATTATAAAGAGGAATCAAGATATCATAGGAAGTGGGATTGAAAACACTAGGGAAATGGAACATTCTTTTCTTTTATACAGGAAGAATAAGTCAGCAAATAAATACCAAACAGGTGCCAGCTATACACTGGACTTCCTTCTAGGAGTTAATTAAGCACTGTGGTTTTGATTGAATAATACAGATCAAATTCCTCTGTCCCGTGAGAAAATGAGACAGTTCTGTAGGTACATTTACTGCTGGAATCAGAAGAGCTGTAAGGATGTATAGGCATGTTACTGTAAATAGATGAGGAGACACTAGATCATGAAAAAGAGACAAGATTATCAAGCTGAGTGTAAAAATTGCTAATTAGTAGTGACTCTCATATCTGGATTTTTGTTTGGTTTTCCCCAGCAAGTAATAGAGAAGTGGAAGACAAATCATTCTCTGACCCTAGAGTTCGGTGACCCCAGAGCCATATAGGTATGTGACAGGTTGGAAACTGGCTTCTCAAAATATATTGATAACCTAATCTCTGGAACCTACCTTACAAGTCCCCCCTGCCCCACAACCCCCCCCCCCCACACAAAAAAGAAATGAAAACAAAAAAAATTTCAGGTATAATTAGTTTAAGGATCTCTATAAGGAGAGATTATCCTGGATTATCCAAGTGGGCCTTTTAGGCTATCCCAATTGTCCTTACAGGAGAGAGGCAGAGAGATGTGACATACATACAGAGGAGGAAGGGATATGATGATGGACCAGAGAGACATTTGAAGATGTTGACCTTGAAAATTACAGTGGTGCAGCCACAAGCCAAGGAATGGTGACAGCTGCCAGAAGAGGAAGGAAAAGATTCTCCCCCAGAATTTCTCAAGGGAGCATGGCCCTGCTAACACCTTGATTTTGGCTCAGTGATATTAATTTCAGACTTTCGACCTCTAGACAGTAAGAGAGTAAATTTTTGTTGTTTTAAGCCTTTCAGTTTGTAGTATGTTGCTACAGCTGCATTAGGAAACTAATACATGCATGATTGTAGGACATGGATAAGGAAGTAGGGATGTTCAAGGGTATTTCAGGAAATCAACCATATAGTGCAGATTAGTATGGAACTTGTGAGACTAAGAAGGGCTGGTGATCCCAAAGGTCTTGCTTGCAGAATCAATGAGCAGAATGTAGTGAGATTGAGGGCTTAAGACAGTTGAATGGATATAAGGTTGTGGTCAAAAGGGTGAGACCATCATTTAGGATGTCAGGAATTAAGTAGTTTCAGGTAATAATAAAGTCCAAGTGATATCCATCAGAGTGAAAAGTGGAATGGAAAAGAAAATAATGGCATTTAAAGAGTCAAAAAACACTGAAGCTCAGGTGAGTGGCTGGTAGGCAGGTCAACTCCATGGATATTACTGTCAAGCCAATGAACAAAGATTTTAAAGTCAGCGATCAAAGTCTGGAATGAGTATGATACAGAAACTCTCCCAGTAATAACATGAGACGCCCTGATTCTGGTTCTCTGTGACTCAGCTCTGTTAGACAATTTTCTTACTTCAGGAACTGCCAATACCCCATTTAACATGATGCTGGTGAGGCTTTTAATCCCATTTCCATGGGCCACAGGGCTAGGTCAAATGATGCAGGCTTTTCCAGGAACAGTTCTCCATCCCCCAGGCCAAAATGATTGGTTCAGTGTCATGTGACTAAAACTAGTTCCTGCCTTGCTGGAGTTATTAGCACGGAGAAAAGGTGAGTAAAAGAGACAGCATCCTGATACACTGTTGGAGCCTTGATCCAGCCATGCCTGATGCTGTAAGTATTCCTATCTTAGATATGTGAGTCAATAAACCTTTAACTTAAGATACTTTGAATGGGTTTTTGTTACATGTACTCAAAAATATCCTAATTTATACCAGAATAGTATTATTTTCTTGCTCTTTGTTCTTTACAGGGTGGCTACAAAGGAATCAATGTAGCCTCGTAGTTTCTCTGGATGGTATTTCAGTGCTTTGGGAGATAACCACCACATAAATGAGAGAGTTCCTATTTTTCTTTGTTATTGTTTTACTATCTAACCCCAGCTACAAGAAAGGATATATTGGTTTATTTTACAAACTTTATCTTCACAATCAGAAGGATGTGAGCTGTAGAGCATTATTTTAAAGACCAGTCGGAAGATGAAATGGTGCAAAAAATAAAAAAAGAAGAAAACCAAATTAATCTGCAAACACATTAGAATTTTCAAGATTTAATTTCACTGTTATTTTTGCCCATTTGAAGCAAATCTATTCACTAGATCTCTATTAAATCCCTACTGTAAGCCAGGTACAAATAAATGAGATGAACAATTTGAACTGATTTCAAGTTGCAAAGTAACAATTATATGATGAATTTCTTTGAGAAGCAAATGTTGGTATATCAGTCCATTTTCCCGCTGCTGATAAAGACATACCCAAGACTGGGAAGAAAAAGAGGTTTAATTGGACGTACAGTTCCACATGGCTGGGGAGGCCTCAGAATCATGGCAGGAGGCAGAAGGCACTTCTTACATGGTGGCAGCAAGAGAAAATGAGGAAGATGAAAGAATGAAACCTGATAAAACCATCAGATCTCATGAGACTTATTCGCTACCACAAGAACAGTATGGGGAAAACCACCCCATGATTCAAATTATCTCCCATTGGGTCCCTCCTACAACATGTGCAAATTATGGGAGTATAATTCAAGATGAGATTTGGGTGGGGACACAGAGCCAAACCATATCATTCAATCCCTGGCCCCTCCAAATCTCATGTCCTCACATTTCAAAACCAATCATGCCTTCCTAACAGTCCCCCAAAGTTTTAATTCATTTCAGAATTAATCCGAAAGTCCACAGTCCAAAGTCTCATCTGAGGAAAGGCAAGTCCCTTCTGCCTATGAGCCTGTAAAATCACAAGCAAGCTAGTTACTTCCTAGATACAATGGGAGTACAGGTATTAGGTAAATATAGCCATTCCAAATGGGAGAAATTGGCCAAAACAAAGGGGTCACAGGGCCCTTGCAAGTCCAAAATCCAGCAGGGCAGTCAAATTTTAAAGCTCCAAAATGATGTCCTTTTATTCCAGGTGTCACATCCAGGTCATGCTGATGCAAGAGGTGGGTTTCCATGGTCTTGGGAAGCTCTGCCCCTGTGGCTTTGCAGGGTACAGCCTCTCTCCAGGCTGCTTTCACAGGCTGGCACTGAGTGTCTGCAGCCTTTCCAGGTACATGGTGCCAGCTGTAGGTGGATCTACCTACAGCTGGGGTCTGGAGGATGGTGGCCCTCTTCTCACAGCTCCACTAAGTGGTGTCCCAGTAGGGACTCTGTGTAGGGGCTCCAACCCCACATATCCCTTCTGCACTGCCCTAGTAGATGTTCTCCATGAGAGCCCTGCCTCTGCAGCAAACTTCTGCCTGGACATCCAGGCATTTCCATACATCTTCTGAAATCTAGACAGAGGTTCCCAAACCCAAATTCTTGTCTTCTGTGCAGGCTCAACACCACATGGAAGCTGCCAGGGCTTAGGGCTTGCACCCTCTGAAGCCTTGGCCCAAGCTCTACATTGGCCCTTTCAGCCACAGCTGGAGCAGCTGGGATGCAGGGCACCAAGTCCCTAGACTACACACAGCATGGGGACCCTGGGCTCTTCCCAACGAAACCATTTTTTTCCTCCTATACCTCTGAGTCTGTGATGGGAGAGGCTGCTGCAAAGGTCTCTGACACACCCTGGAGACACTTTCCCCATTGTCTTGGGAATTAACATTCAGCTCCTCATTACTTATGCAAATATATGCAGCTGACTTGAATTTCTGCTCAGAAAATGGGATTTTCTTTCCTACAGCATTGTCAGGCTGCAAATTTTCCAAACTTTTATGCTCTGCTTCCCTTTTAAAATGGAATGCTTTTAACAGCACCCAAGTCACCTCTTGAATGCATTGCTTCTTAGAAATTTCTTCTGCCAGATACCCTAAATCATCTCTCTCAAGCTCAAAGTTCCACAAATCTCTGCAGCAGAAGCAAAATGCCACAAGTCTCTTTGTTAAAACATAACAAGAGTCACCTTTGCTCTAGTTCCCAACAAGTTCCTCATCTCCTTCTGAGAACACCTCAGACTGGACCTTATTGTCCATATCACTATTAGCATTTTGGGCAAAGCCATTCAACAAGTCTCTAGGGATCTCCAAACTTTTCCACATTTTCCTGTCATCTTCTGAGCCCTCCAAGCTGTTCCAACCTCTGCCTGTTACCCAGTTCCTACGTCACTTCCACATTTTCAGGTATCTTTTCAGCAACATCCCACTTCTGGTACCAATTTACTGTATTAGTCAGTTTTCACACTACTGATAAAGACATACCTGAGACTGGGAAGAAAAAGAGGTTTAGTTGGACTTAACAGTTCCACATGGCTGGGGAGGCCTCAGAATCATGGTGGGAGGTGAAAGTCACTTCTTACATGGCAGCAGCAAGAGAAAATGAGGAAGATGCAAAAGTAGAAACCCCTGATAAAACTGTCAGATCTTGTGAGACTTATTCACTACCATGAGAACTATATGGGGAACCACACCCATTATTTAAATTAGCTCCCACTGGGTCGCTCCCACAACACATGGAAATTATCGGAGTACAATTCAAGATGAGATTTGGGTGGAGACACAGAGCCATAGAATATCAGTTGGTAACACACTGAACTAGGGCTCTACCATTAAGTAAGCACACAGAAATACAAAGTTCAAATAAGGATAAACAGGGAATATAAAAACTATTCTGCTTAATAGGAATTCAGATACCTCTTAATTTTTTATATTATCTAGTAATTAAGAGTGAGTGATATTATTGGGAAACCATAAAGGATCCATTTCATCAGCACTGTTTTTTGTTTGGTTGGTTGGTTGTTTTGAGCCCTTACATATATCTGGCACTGGGTAGGCTCTGAGAATACAATGGAAAAATGGCAGGCCTGGTTCCTGCCCCTACCCTTTGGTTCCTGTCAGGGTATTCTCTGAGGCATCACAGGGTTTATCCAGTTCACTATTTAGTAAATGATAAAACTCACATTCAAACACTAGTGTCCTAAAACAATATAAGTCTGTCTCTCCTAAATGAGCTCATTATTTTTGTTTTAGCCACCTGAGAGTAGAGTTTCTAATTCCTATCTAGCTTGCTGTTCAAATAACTGATAATTAATCCCAGAACATTAGTTTGCTTGAATTGAAAAGGCACATCACGTTCAAGTGCCTCGTTTTTAATATAAGGCAAACTGAGGCAAAGAATGTTAAATGTTCTTCACAGAACAAGAGGAGAGGCCACTTTTCACCCTCAGCCTAGTGTTTATCTGACTAAACCACACCGTGAAAGATAACAGTCTATGAAGACAAAAATTACAAGGTTTAGAATCCTCTTTCCTTCTCCCTCAGACAACTGGGAAATAATATTCTTTAATAAAGTTGTGGTTATTGGACTAGCACAGTAGCCAAATTTAGGATGACTTATTTATTCTTAAAGGTTGGGACTTTCATTCTGGAAGTACTTTTAACTGTTAAAGATTCCTCTTTCCCTTTCCTTCTTCTTTCCTTGCCTCCCTCATTTTTCCTACATTCCCTCCTTTTTTTTCTTGTATTATTTCATTACACAAATGATCATTTATTCCATACAAAGTTATGGAATGTGTAGGGTGGGTATGCTGGATGCAAGGGATATAAAATTGGCACAGCATCTTTCTTGCTGTCAGTTGGCTCACAATCGAGTGGAAAGCAAAGATGCATTCAGTGAATCATTACAAAACACTGTGATGTGTGCATTACGGTTCATCACAGAAGGAGTTTTGGACCCTTACTGGGAAGAGGAGAATTAAGAGCTGGGTGACTGCGAAAGATTTGCAGGGGAGAAAATGGCTGGAGAGATTTTGAAATAAGGGAAGGGCATTCCCCCATTCCAGCATGCAGAACTACCACTTGCAAAGGCAAATACGATTTTCTGCAGATCCTCCCCTAACCCCACCCCAGAAACTGGGGATATATATCATTGGGAAGAGATACAGTTTAATAGAGAGGAAACACTGTTGGACCACTCTCCCAACACCTGTTTCTCAAATGTGAGGCAGGGCTAGCCAAGCATCCCACATCAAGAGAAGATTAGGATGGGGGAAGAGGTAGAAGTCAGGCAGGAAGAATGTGAAAGACAAGTACCAGTCTATGAGGCTGGACTGGTAGGTAGGACCAATACTTAATTTTCTAAATGCATGCCACTTTCCCTACAGATCAATGACTGCTAGCACTTCCCTACTTGCTTTTCTTTGGATTTTTTTTTCTTTTTTTTTTTTTTTGCTACTGCATGCTTCTTTGACTACTGCTGCCAACCTTGGGAATGGATTGATGACCCACTTGCTTCTCAAACAGCTCTGCAGATACCACTTAGGAAGCTGGTGTTCGTGTTCTCAGACTGAGGAGGAGCAGTGTCCAAAATCAATTACCTGGGATGGTGTGTGCTGATCCACCTAGCAATGAACTCAGATCTTTGGAGCTTGTTTATAACACGTACATTGCTCAACATACCCTGGTTCTAAGATCAGTGATGCTATTTCAGAGCACAATGGGGATAATACATTTTACATTTATTTAATGTGAATTTTGGAAAAATTTGATTAAAAATGCCACCTTTGGCTTTTTTAAATAAAGAAAATCACAATAAAGGATAGAAAGTAATTAATGATTTTTAAAACTGGTTAACCATATACAAAAATCAACTCAAGATGTATTAAAGACTGACATTGTAAGTCCCCAATCTATAAAACTCCTAAGACCTTGGTGGAAGGATCTCCATTTCTTGGTGGGAATGTAACTTGGTGCAGCCACTGTGGAGAGCAACATGGAGATTTCTCAAAGGACTAAAAATAGAATTACAATTTGACCCAGGAATACCATTACTGGGTATATACCCAGAGGAAAATAAATTGTTCTACTAAAAAGACACATGCACTCATACGTTTATCACAGCACTATTCACAATAGCAAAGACGTGGAATCAACCTAGGTACCCATCAATGGTGAATTGGGTAAAGAAAATGTACATATACAGCATGCAATATTCACAGCCATAAAAAGGAATGGAATCATATCCTTTGCAGCAACGTGGATGCAGCTGGAGGACATTACCCTACGTAAACTCACACAGGAACAGAAAACCAAATACTGCATGTACTCACTTATACATGAGAGTTAAGGCTTGGGAACACATGGACATAAAGATGAGAACAAGAGACACTAGGAACTCCAAAAGAAGGAGGGAGAAAAGAGGACAAGGACTGAAAGACTTTCTATTGGGTACTATGCTCAGTGTCTAGGTGTTGGGATCAATAGAAGCCTAAACCTCAGCAACACGCAATTATACCCTTGCAACAAACCTGCACATGTACCCCCTGAATCTAAAATAAAAATAAAAGCCAAAGAGGCAAGTTATTTTAGTGATTTTAAATTTTCTTTATTATAGTCTTCTATATTTTTCCATATTTCTATAATGAGCATAGTGTTGTAGTTAGCAATAGATGGAAACTTTATCAGAAAAAGAAGAAAATCATCACAACCATCAACAAACTTACCTGGGTAATTTCTGTCCTGTTCTCTTACGAAAGTTGCAAAAATAAAAAAGACAATTTCTTGCTCATTTAGAATGTACACTGTGCTTTATAATACATATGGCCACTACCAATTTCTTGCAAGTGTTTTTTTTAGACTCTGGGAATATAGTGGATGGGTTGAGAGAAAAGGTACCATTTGTTAAAGAGAAAACAGTATTAGACTAGAAATTGGGGTAGGATACAGTTCTTTATCTTTATCAATGATATAGCCTTGAACAACTCCCTTAACATCATAGCATGTGTTTTGTTAACGTAAGACGGGCCCGATAAAGTATCTCCCATCTGCCAGACAGGATGACTGGAAAGAAGTATAAATATTTTGTAAGCTGTAAGGTGCTCTATCTATGTAAGTTGTTTTTGAGGCGATTATTCTTAGTAATAAATAAAATACTGCTTAGAAACTCAACGTGGACAGTCTTGGTCTAGGGACCTACTTATTGTGCAATTGGCAAAGGGGCCCTTCTGAGATGATGCATAGGCAGACAGTTTAGATACAAATAACTAGAAATGGTCAAACTGTAATATCTGTCCTTTCCCACCTTTTACATCTCAAAAAGCAGTTTTCATGTTTCATAGTAATAAGGGCTTTTACATCTATAAATTCCCTTTCAAACGCCTACATCTCTCAACAAATTTGCTACCACCGCAATTTATTTTTTAGGTGGTTTTATTCAGATGAAAATAGTTTATTTGAGCACTTTGGAGTTGCTGTTTGAGAATGCTATATGAGTATTAAATACTGTATTATATTTCTGATGCTCTTTAAAGATTTTCTTTTCTGTCTGCAATTTAATTTTGTTTTTAGAGGTTTTTTCTCCTCCTCTTCTCATATTGATTTTATTTTTGGCGCTATTAAAAAGTGCTCAATGAACAACCTTTTTGGAATGAATGTAAATAAGTCTGTATCTCTATGTATATGAATATTTTTAAGTGCATTAACTTTTAGTATAAGACTTATGTAATGATTAATTTGCTCCTCAAATTCTAATTCTTATTCAATCAATAACCATTGTTCACAATTTTAAATACATTTTATTGATTTTTGAACATTTAGGTCATTAGTAGTAAGATCAATGTTAGCCATAATTCACCTTTAAATTTCCAATGTTCAGGTTATTAAAAATCATTTGCTTTTATTTCCAGCATAATTTATTTTTAATTGAAATTCTTCCTTGTGATAATTTTTCTTTTTAAAGCAACCATGTCTTCTTTATAACTGTCTGAGTGTCCAATTACATTTTCTTACTTATGAAGGTTTTTAATATCTAATCATATCTTATGTAATCAGTGGGCTATTGTGTAAAGTAATAGTTCTTTTTCTCCCTTATTTATAGGGATTTTACTACACACTTCCTTCCTCCCTATTTTTTTCTTTCCTGAACACCTTTCACCTGGTATTGTGATAGTTCATTTACTTGTATGTATTGCTCACTAGATGGTAAACTCTGCGGGGAAAGGAATTTTTTTGCATGTCATGTTCGCTACATCATTCCTGCATTTAGCATATGCCTAACAAATAGTAGTCTAGCAAGTATTTTAAATGGATTAATTAAGGAACTCTAAACTACAAGACACCAAGGAACAGATGTTCAGATAAATACATAAAGATATAATCTACATGACAATGAAAAGGTTATGTTAAAAGTAAAACCCTGAAGTGCATTAGAATAAATATTTAAAAATACTATCCAGGACATATAACAGTTGCTATTTTTCTATTTAATGAGGTATATTTTGGATCCCAGTCAGCAAACAACTCTCTCTACCAAAAGTAGCTGACTATAGCCCAGCCTGTCTTTGCAGTTCATGGCAGAAGAAGAGCAGAGAACACACAGGGCTCAGGTCCAGAGTTAGCTCAGAGAAAACAGAAAATCCAATCTCAGCACAGTAAACATGTAGGAATTCAGCATCTCATAGAGGTTACTGAAAGCAAAGAATCAAAAATAATAAATGGTTATAAATAGTCCATGCTCTCAGAGAACTTTGAGTGCATAAACAAAACCTATAAATCTTCAGCAAATGAAAATAAGGCTCTGGTTAATAAAACAAAACAAAACAGAAATGGCCTAGTGTAATTGTTAAGAAGAGGAGAAAAACATACCCCAAAGAATTCAGTATGTAGTTGGTGAATTCAGAGCAAACAAAAATGGAAAATTACACCTTCTCAGCCACACAAAAGAAAAGACTTCTAAGGATTTAAATTAAGAGTATCACAGTGAGGAGGAAGGAGGAGTTGATTATTGGGCAAAATATTTTGCCTCTATCAAGGCTTGAGCTCATGAGTAAAAGGTGTGCGAGGCCTCCTTCCATAGTGTGCATTCAGTCCTTCTCAAAGAATCCATTCATTTCCACATTAAATTCTCAAGTAAAGAAATCAATCAAACAAAAAAACTCCCACATGTGTTATTATAGTTTCTACCTGGACTATGTGGACATGTCCTGTCTGTCTATAGCAGTTGCAATGCTATTGCCCAGAGTGGAAAAAAAGAAAAAGAAAAGGAGCTTCCCATAAGGTTTATTTCTACATGTTAAAAACTCTATTGCTAAAACCCTACCACACTAGCTTAGGAATCACATTTTTAGTAAATGTCACCAACATTTTAAAAATTTGGGGCCATTTTTATCCTCTAAGAAATCTCGAAGAGATCCAGAATTCATGTATTTAAAATTTGTCTCATATAACAAATAAAAGAAAAATAAAGACAATGAACAGCTTCACAGACAAAAAAAGAAAGATACTCCAGGTAAAGCCAAAACAATACAACTTTCTAAAAATAATATAGAAAAACAGCTTTATGACTTGAAAATAACACTAGCCATTAGTTATTAGTATTAGATTGCAAAAATAGCTACAAATGTCTCTCCTTCCTGAATCTATGCCCTTGGGCAGTCCACTTCCATATCTATGCTGGGCTTGGCCCTGTGCCTGTCTTTGACCAATCACAAATTGCTGCAATCAAAGGCCTCGAAAGCACTAGGTCATTGAGGTTTGCCCTCTTTTGCTGCTCTCAGGACATCATCTTACCACTGCCATATGAAAAAGCACAGGTTAGTTTTCCTGGCTGCCAACCTGCCAACTATTAGATATTTATGAGACATCATCCTAGATCATCCAGGCTCCAGCTGATGTAGCTCAGATATTAGCTGAGCCATCAAAAGCAGAACTGTAAATCATGAGCTGAATCAATGTTTGTTGTATTTAGTTCCTATATATGGGAAGGGTTTGTTATACAGCAAAAGCTAACTTTGTAGAAATTGGTACCTAGAAACGGGGTGCTATTATAACTAAACTTAAAACACAGTCATGTATCACTTAATGATGGAGATACTTTCTGAGAAATAGGTCATTAGGTGACTTCCATTTTGTGCAAATATAAGAAAGTATACTTACACAAACCTAGATGGTACACCCTAGTACACATCTAGGCTATATGGTATAAACTTTTGCTTCTAGACTGCAAACTTGTACTGCATGTAACTGTAACTGAACACTATAGGTAGTTGTCACAAAATGGTAAGTATTTGTGTATTTATACGTATCTAAACATAGGAAAAGTACAATAAAAATGTGATATAAACAATAAAAAATGGTATCCTTGCACTTACCATGAATGGGAATTGCTCTGGGTGAATCAACAAATGAATAGTGAGTGAATGTGAAGGCCTAGGACATTGCTGTACACTACTGTAGAATTTATAAGTAGGCTACCCTAAATTTATTTAAAAAATATATATCTTCAATAACAAATTTAACTTTAGGTTACTGTGACTTTTCAAACTTTACAAACATTTTAATTTTTAAAAGCATTTAAACTCTTGTAATAACACAGCTTAAAACACATTGTACAGTTGTACAAAAATATTTTCTTTCCTCAATTTTATAAGCTTTCTTAATTTTTAATTTTTTTTTTTTACTTTTTAAACTTTTTTGTTAAAAACCATAACATAAACACCCTCATTGGCCTAGGCCTACACAGAATCAGGATCCCTATTATGACTGTCTTCCACTTCCACATCTTGTCCCACTGGAAGACCTTCTAGGGAAATAACTTATTCAAAAGAAGTTGACAAAGCCATAAGAAAACTGATTTAGCTGGCTGGAAAAAGGGAAAAATGGTCACCTGCAGTAAGTTGGAGAATAGACAACATGTCAAATGAACCTACAGACCTTGACAAGTTGGTTTGTAGGCAGAATTTTCCAAGTGCCATTTGGATTATTTTGTTGCCTAAGATAAAGGAAGAAAAGAGAGAGAGAGAGATTAGCCAAAGAAAGATGGCTTATTTTGCAAGTAGAATTCAGAAAGAATAAGGAGGGACAAGAACTTGCTAGGTTGGAAAATAAATCTATTGCTCATCCCCAATCTTCTGTTTCTAAAATATTCTAAAATAAAGTATGTTCTGGGGCCAGATGAAAAGACATGTTACATATACAAGGCAAACTATAAAGATGACAGTAGTTTTTTCATCATAAATAATGCAAGTTAGAAGACAATAGAACAAAATCTTTCCAAATACTGAAAGAATAAAAATATCAAACTAAAATTCCTTATCCAGTAAAGATATATTTCAAAAACAAAGACAAAATAGACATTTTTAGATGTCAACAGCTGAAAGACATAACTTACTACAAGAAATGTTGAAAAAAGTCATTCAAGCAGCAGAAAACTGATGTCAGTAGAAGCCTAGTTCTACACAAAGAATGAAGAGCAATGAAAGTAGTAATCACATGAGTAAATAAAATATTTGTCTTTATTATTTAAATATCCTTAAGAGATAACCAATTATTTAAAGCAAAAATAATGATGATTTGAGTTTTTATCATATATAAACATAAAATGTATGAAACCAATCATACAAAAACCAGGAACAAAGAAATGGAAGTACACTCTTGTAAGATATTTTTTTTGCACATGAAGAAATATAATATCATTTAATGACAGACTGTGAAAAGTTAAAGATGTTTGCTATAAACCCTAAAGCAAACGCTAAAATAAAACAATCAAACTTTATAATTAATGTGATGCTTAAGTTTATATGTTAAGTTTATATGTTAACTTGGCTGGGACATAATATCTAGATATTTGGTCATACTCTATTCTAGCTGTTCTCTGAAGGTATTCTTGAATGGGATTAACATCTAAATCTTTGAGTAAAGTAGACTGCCTTCCATAATATGAGAGTTCATCCAATCAATTGAAAGCCTTAAGAAACAGATTGACCTCTCCTGAGAGAGAAGAAATTCTGCCATAAACTGTCTTTGGATGTGAACCACAACAATTGCCACCCCACCAGTCTACCCTGCCCATATTGGACCTACTAACCTCACAGACATGTAAATCAGTTCCTTAAAATAAACTTCTATATATACATCTATACACGTTATTGATTGTTTCTCTGGAGAAGGCTGACTAATACTACTAATAAAAATCAAGATAGAGGCTGGGTGCAATGGCTCACGCCTATAATCCCAGCACTTTGAGAAGCTGAGGCAGGCGGATCATCTGAAGTCAGGAGTTTGAGACCAGCCTGGCCAACATGGTGAAACTCTGTCTCTACTAAAAATACAAAAATTAGCTGAGTGTGGTGGAGGGCACCTGTAATCCCAGCTACTTGGGAGGCTGAGGCAGGAGAATTGCTTGAACCCGGGGGCAGAGGTTGCAGTGAACCGAGATTGCACTCCAGCCTGGGCAACAGAACGAGACTCCATCTCAAAAAAACAAAAACAAAACAAAACCCAAAGCAAACAACAACAACAAAAACAAATAGCAATGCAACATATGTAAACCCAACCATATCAATAATTATCTCATATGCCAATGGGATAAATGCCACAAATAAAAGGCAATGATTGTCAGACTGATAAAAAGCAAGAGCTAATTATATGCTACCAACCTACTTTAAATATAGAGATAAAAATATGTTAAAAGGCTGAAAACATTAAACCACTCTGTGTTAGTCAAAAGACAGTTGAAGTGGCAAACATTAGACAAAATAGATTTCAAAGCAAAAATATTGTCCATAATGAAGATATTTCTTAATAAATTCAAGAGCACAGAATAATCTTAAATATTTATAGATCTAATAATATAGATTAAACATATATGAAGCAAAATATGATAAAATTACAAAGAGAAATAGATGCATCAAAATAGAGTCAGAAATTTCAACTTCCTTATCACAATGTTTGATAGAATTTTAGAAATAAATTCAGTGGTTTATAGGACACTTGAGCAGTACTATCCACCAACTTGAATGAAATAACCCAAATGTTGTTGAGGATGTAAACAAACTAAAACTTTCATGTACATCTAATGAAAAGAAAAACTAGTAGAAGTATCTCATAGAATAGTTGGCAATATCTTAAAAAGTTAAAAAATATACCAACCCTGTGATTTAGACATTGAAAATATACACATTTACCCAGGGGAAAAGATAGTAAGTATTTATACAAAAACCTGTACATGAATGTTAACAGCAGCATTATTTGTAACATCTTTAAACTAGAATCGTCCTAAATGTCCATTTACAGGTGAATGGATAAACAAATTGTTGTATATACCTATAATGGAATAGTACTCAGCAACACAAAGAAATGAACAACAGTGATACATAAAACAACATGAATGAATCTCAAAGGATTAAGACTAAGTGAAACATTCATATTCTTATTTTATAAAATTTTAGAAACTGCAAATTAGTCATGCTGAGACAATGTAGATCAATGGCTGTCTGTGAATGAGATTGGCAAGGAAGGGAACTAAGGAAAGATTAGAAACACAAGGGAATATTTAACAGTGATGGATGTTTTATTATTTTGATTGTATTGATGATTTCATGAATGGGTATATTCATATGTAAAAACTTTCAAGGTGTATACTTTAAAGATGTGTGGTTTACTGCAGCAGTCCCCAACCTTTGTGGCACCAGGGACCAGTTTTGTGGAAGACACTTTTTCCACGGATGGGGTGGGATGCTTTTGGGATGATTCAACCACATTACATTTATGGTGTACTTGATTTCTCTTATTATTACATTGTAATATATAATGAAATAATTACACAACTCACCATAATGTAGAATCAGTGGGAGCCCTGAGCTTGTTTTCCTGCAACTAGATGATCCCATCTGAGGGTGATGGGAGATAGTGACAGATCATCAGGTACTAGATTCTCATAAGGAGCACACAACCTAGATCCCTCATGATATGGTTTGGCTGTGTCCCCACCCAAATCTCATCTTGAACTGTAACTCCCACAATTCCCATGTGTTGTGGGAGGGACCCAGTGGGAGGTAATTGAGTCATGGGAGTGAATCTTTCTCATGTTGTTCTCATAATAGTGAATAAGTCTCATGAGATCTGATGGTTTTAAAAAGTAGATTTCCCCTGCACAAAGTCTCTCTCTTTGCCTGTTGTCATCCATGTAAGACGTAACTTGCTCCTCCTTGCCTTCTGCCATGATTGTGAGGCCTCCCCACCCATGTGGAAGTGTGAGCCCATTAAACCTCTTTTTCTTCCCAGTCTCGGGTATATCTTTATCAGCAATGTGAAGATGGACTGATACACCTCACATGAGCAGTTCACAGTAGGGTTCATGCTCCTATGAGAATCTAATGCTGCTGCTGATTTGATAGGAGTCGGAGCTCAGGCAGTAATGTGAGCAATTGGAAGTGGCTATAAATACAGCTGAAGCTTTGCTTGCTTGCTGGCCACTCACCTCCTGCTGGGTGGCCTGGTTCCCAGCAAGCTGTAGACCAGTATCAGTCAGTTGTGGCCCAGGAGTTGGGGACCCCTGGCTTACTGTATGTTAATTATACCTCAATAAACTTAATAAAATTATGTACTCTATAATTCCACTTATATAAAAGTAAATACAGCCAATAGTAAACTATATTGTTTATGGATGCAAACTTTGGATATTGAACTGTAAATCAAAGCAAAGTAGGGATAACCTTGAAAGTTAGGATACTGAATAACTCTAAGATGGATGGAAAGATTTATCATTGGGAATAACATCTGGATTCTAGTGAAGTTCTATTTCTCGATCTCTGTGTGGGTTATGCGATATTTGCCTAACAAAAAATTGTTTAAGCTGCACCTGTATTCATGTTGCATAGGCATATAAGTGTGGCTTAGGGCATTCAGAGCAGTCTTTACATGATCTAACAACACAACACTGACCTGCACATTCTCTAAGTGGGACATCTGAGTTTCATTTCTTTGAAATGTTCTTTAAAATTTTTGAGAAAAAGGTGTTAACAATTCTGCCACAAAGATTAAGACTGGATTTGGTTAATCTTCAGGAAAGCAGAAACTTGTTTGTAACTACTTGAAAATCCCTTTCTGGTATTTGAGCTTTGTGGGACTTTTGCAGTAATTTACAGCTTGATTTTAACCGGGTTGAACTTTAATTTAACCAGTTGATTGTGGCAAGTTATGATAAACAGCATGAAAAAGAAAAAACAATTTCTTTCATAACTGATAATGTACACATGCTGAGGAGAAAGTGGGACTCTGAATTCTTTTGGTGATCAGCCATTAAATCATAAAGAAGAGGTGTCTTCTTTATGGGAAGATAGAATAGAAGCAAGATCTTCTTAGGTATGTGATCCTGGGCAGATGACTTTATTATACTTCTGTGAAATGGTGCCTCAGCAACCACTTATATTTTGGCTGTGAAAATCAAGTGGCTATAAATGTATTAAAATACATCCGAAGCCTATAGCCCTAAATAATGTAGCAACTCTCAAGTTGCTTTTATTAATATCAGTTTTCATAGTTTTCATTCTAATTTGTCATAGTTTTCATTCTAATTTGTTTGCTGATTTCTTATCATTATTCTCAGTAATGCAGTCTTTCTCTGAATCATAGTTAGTATTCTTGACCCAGTGACTCAAGTCAGCATGTCTAATTTCTTAAATCTGAATTGTCTGCAAGATTTCATCTTGATTCTATCTTTTGGGTTGCGCTCAAGCCAGTGTACCAATTTCACAATATCTGCTAATTGGTACATTGTTGCCTACCATCTTTAAAATAGCCTGCTCTATAACTCTAGTTTTTTTAAGGAAATCAAAACAATGCCATTATTATAAAAGTTAATGACATAGCAATAACAGATCTATTGTCACAGTGCTTATCCACTGCAAGTGTCCAATATATCTTACTAATTTTTCAGAGTTTAGTATTTCCACTGTTGAAGTTCTTTTTATTTTTCATAAGATGGTTCACAATGGACACAGGGCTCAACATTACAGAAGAAATTGTATCAGTCTTTAACATCTTATCCATAAATAATGGCATTGTAAATACACACACACACGTCAATTATAATTGATATACCCTCATGCAAAAGCATTATTAAAATCTACAATATTGATATAATAATACCACCTACATCATTGAGTTCTGAAAATTCAATGAGTGCATACATGCAGAAAGTTTAAAATAAAGACTAGGAAAATGTGTCGGATGTTTTCTTCTTTGATCTTAAAGACAGAGATAAAATGTACATATTTTCTTAGTCGAAATCTAACTTAGTATATATCTATTAAGTTAATATTTACTCTGACTCTCAAACATTCTGAATCTCTTAGTGGCCAATCACTTGTCTAATGCCACCCAGTTGGAAGGAGCTAAAATTGCTTTTTTGTTTTTTATTTGCTTGTTTGTTTTTTGAGACAGGGTCTCACTCTGTTGCCCGGGCTGGAGTGCGCTGGTGTGATCACAGAACTGGTTTTTAACCACGTTTTGGGTAATAATACTTCACAAGAATGCTGGATGATTAAATGAAGTAGTGTGTGTAATGTGTTGGCTCATTGGACAGAACACTGGGTGCTGAGGGATCATATAGGAGTCTGACTCTGCCTAACTCTTCACCTTGTTTAATAATAACACTCTGGAAAGCTCATTTATCTATACATGCCTTTAAAAGCAGACAAAGCATTTTTATTGCTTTTTTTTTTTTTTTTACCACTTCCATGGCCTAAAAGAATCACTTTTGTTTTGAAGACTCTAATTTGCAGAGTAAACAAAAAAGATGGAAATAACTAAGAAATAAAACCTCCAAAAGTTTAGGACCCCAAATAAAAATCATTTGAAATGCATAAAAATGCATAAAATAGGTACAATGAATAGTAATAGATGGAAAAAAACAGATTCCATCATAGGTTTGTTACTTGAATACTAAACTTTTTCAATAATTAGCTGTTATAATATCCGTGTTCAAAAACACAGCACTCAGTGCAGATCAAAATTCTAAAATAAACAACAGTTACTTTCCATTTTCTCTTGAGTAAGTTATGAGATTACCTCTATTGCTCTAATCTAGAAGATATGAAAACAGGCCCTCCGGCCCTAACTGACTCTGTGTTGTGTAATAATATTTCCCTTCACCAACCTTTACAATGAATATAAAAATTCAATTTCAGACCTACAAGCTAGAAAGGGCTCAAGTGTCACCAGACTTTTCTAAGGGGATATTTTCTGTTTTTGTCTACATTTATATTTGACTCATTTAGTGGAGGGAGGTAATAGGATTTTTCTATCTGCTATAGAAGCTATTTCAGAAGTACACAGATATAAGGTCAGAAAATATATTTTAAAATCACAAAAGAAAACAAAATGATATGTTGGTTTTGAACCCTAGGGTCTTTCAACATTATAATCAAGCATGCCTGAGAATATCTAGCTGTGACTTCAGAGAGAATAATAGTACACCCTTGAGTCTACTGCAACAGTCTTCCATGGTATGGTAGGAAAAGAATCCTAGGATAGCTCCCAAGACTTACAAGATACACACCTCCTGGTGTGTATGCCCTGCATAATCTCTGGGAATGTGAATTTAATGGATTTTCCTCTGCGATTAAGTAAAGCTATGTACACTATACAGTTGATCTTAAGACAGAGAATTTATCCAGGTGGGTGCGACTTAATCACATGAGACCTTTAAAAGTAGAGCATTTTATCTGGCTGACTGAAGAAGAGGAAACCAGAAACGGAAAGCAGGAAAAGAATTTGCATCACTCTTGTTGGTTTAAAGGTAGAGGGGATAGAGAGCAAGGAAAGTGTGCAGTACTCCAGGAGCTAAGAGCAGTCCCTGGCTGTGGGTCGGCAGGGAATTAGGAAACTCAGTAATATAGCCACAGTCAACTGAAATTTGCCAGGAAGAATGATCTTAGACGTGGATTTTCCTCCAAAGTCTGCAGAAAAGAACTCAGCTTTGCCTATACCTGGATTTTGGTTTTGCAGTTTCTTTGGAAGATAACACAGTGATGGTGTGCTGGACTTGACCTACACAATTGTTAGCTAGTAAATCAGTGTTTTTAGCCTCTAAGTTGGTGATAATTTGCTACGCAGCAATAGAAAACAAATTCACATGGCTTGGATCCTACCCAAATAGTTTTTATTATTTCATTAATTCATTTGTTCATCTCTATATTTATTTCTGAACACATTCATTAAGTGCCTATCATGTCCCTTCTCTAATCGTTATGACGAGTTTTTAACATACAAGACAATTTTATGACCCTCACCTTAAAGACTATGTTATCAGGATACTGGAATGTAACATTATTTACTGTTCCTAAACATTATCAAATACACATACTGCAGATACTCTGAAAGTTGTGAAAGCTTTAAATAATTCAGTATGCAGTTTTGTGGCTCATATAGAAAGCTTGATGGGCCTTGTGAAAAGCTGTAGGCATTGCCCATGTCTAAAGGATAAAAGCGGTAGATGACAGTACTCCATGTAATTATTTTGGCTGTCTCACAGGCTTATTGAAATTTCCTTGGAGTGACATCAACAAGATGGCTATCTAGAAGCTCCTAGCATCCTTCTTTCTACCACACACACACACACAGACACACACATACACACACACACACAGACACACAAAAAAGCTATGAATAATCAAGTACTTTTTGACCAAAATAACTAAAGGAGAGCTCTAGAGAATAGCAAAGAAGCAGCAGAAATCCTGTAGAGCATAGAAACCCAGGATGGCTGCATAGGGAAGGGAAAAAGATACCTCGCCTCCGCCACTCCATCCCCTCAGTTGGAATCAGCTCAGAACCAGGGAGGACTCCTTTCTGCAGGGAAAAATAAAGACGACCCCAGCAATTCTGATTGCCACTGCAGACACCTGCAGCCTTTGTTATCAGAGACTCCTACAGTCCTCACAAGCTCTAAACTCAACTGAGAGAGCTCCCTAGAGTCACATGCTGAGCTATATTCAGAGAAGGTGACAACACTGTGCCCTGGCCTCACTTCTCCCCACTGCCCCCTGTCCCCTATCCTATTGCCTGTACTGCTACTGCACTACACCATTTTGGAACCAGAGACACTACTAGAGTGCATCCTGCTCTGGGGGTGAAACCCATTGCACCACCCTCCATTCCTGAGAGTTTGCTGCTATTGCAACATGCACACTCCATAGTGTGCCATACCTGAGCCAAGCTGCTACTGTGCCCTACTCCCTAGGGCCAATCTACTATATAGCTGCTCCATCCTGCCCATTCTAGTTGCTGGGGCACCTCCACTTAAGGCCAACATCCAGTGATGGTCTGCCAGCAGGGGATTTCAGATATTCTGCACACCAGAGCTATCAACTGCACCTCACCTTCTAGCACCACAGGTGAGGCAGCTTCCTGAACCTAGAGACTCTAATAACTCTGGCATACCAGACTAGTTGTTTGCCCCAGCATCACAGCTGATACAGTGCCCTGCTCCCCAGGCATCTGGCAGCCCCACTAACCCACATAGCCATGCTTTCTGGAGCTGAGAAGACATAGTACCTGAAGTCCCAGGAAATCACAGGAGCTGTGCCACTACCATCTCCAGGACAAAGAGCCACAGTTCCTGCATACCTGTAACTGGACTAACCTCCACCCATCTGAGCTGGTGAGATGTCCCACCTTTCCAGGGAATGAAGTCATTGCTGTGCTGCTCCACCACCCTCAATCCCAGGCCCAAGCCACAGTGGTGCCTTGCCATTCCTGAGTACTTGCTGTTACTGTACCCAGGCTCACAGAGCCTGGGCTTCTGTCATGTCCCACCATCCCAGGGTCCAAACTCCACACTATGTGCTATCTCATCCCTCAGATCCTGAGCTGCTTCTATGTCCTGTTGGTTCCAGGATCTGAATTGTAGCTGTGCACTGTTCCGTGAGGATTTAGTCTCTGGAAAATCCCTTCTTCTCCAGAGCTGCACCAGTGCTGTACCCTGTTTCCCAGGGTCAGAACATAGCTATATTACAGCCTCCTGGGTTTAAGCTGCTAGAGTTTGTCTCAAAGCAATAGATCCCAGCTTTTTGGGAGAACTGCATCCACTTGTGCCTGGGAATGTGAACCTGTGTCTCAAGTCCCAGGTGTTACAGTAATTTCACAGGACGCCCCACTGTGGGGGAAGATAAGAACAGAATGATTCCCAAAGTTCTTGCCATAATAACATACATAGCCACCATTATTGCCACAAATTCCTGTAGCCTAGACCACCAAGGTACCAAGGTATGTCAGTCATCACTGACACTGATCACAATTGAAGAAGCTGCATACAGACTGTATCACTGGGCCCACACAGAACTACAGCCACTGCACTTTGCCCAACCAGTACCCTCAGGCCCACCTTCGGTGAAAGCCTACAAAAGCTACTCTGTAAAGTTTGGAAGAGGTAACTACACAATCAGATGTGCAGACATCAATGCAGGAACACAAGAAACACAGAAAACAAGGAAACATGACATCACCAAAGGAGCACAATAATTCTCCAGTAACTGACCCCAATGAAATGGAAATTTACAAATTGCCTGAAGAGGAATTCATAATAATATTCTTTATTATTAACAAGACACAAGAGAATACACATAGGCGATTCAATGAAATCAGGAATATAATTCATTATCTGAATGAGAAATTCAACAGAGAGATATAATAAAAAAGAACAGAAATCTTATAGCTAGTGAATTTAATCAATAAAATAAAGTTTAAAAATACAATAGAAAGCTTCAATAGCAGACTAGAGCAAACAAAGGAAAGATTCTGTGAACTTGAAGATAGGTCATTTGTGACTTGGTCTGACTTAGAGGAAACAAAAGAAAAAGGAATGAAAAAGAGTGAAGATATTCTTTGGGACTTATGGGATATCATTAAGCAAATAAATATTTGCATTATGAGATTTTCAGGACAAGAGATTAAAAAAGGGACAAAAATGCTTATTTAATAAAATAGTGGCTGACAATTTCCCATTTTGGGAGAGATATGGACATTCAGATTCACTTAGCTCCAAGGTCCCCAAACATATATAACCCAAAGAGGTTCTCTCAAAGGCACATTATAGTAAAACTGTCAAAACTTAAAGACAAAGAATTTTAAAAGCAGCAAGAGAAAACATCAAGTCACATACAAGGGAATCTCCATTAGAATATATCAGTAGATTTCTCAACAGAAACTTTGCAGACAAGGAGACAATTGGATGATATATTCAACATGCTGAAAGAAAAACCTTTCAGCTATGGCTGTTATACCCGGCAGAGCTATCCCTCAGAAATAAAAGAGGCATAAAATATTATCCAGACAAGCAAAAGCTAAATCCATCACCACTAGACCCATCCTAAAAGAAGTGCTTAAGGAAGTTTTTCAAAAAAAAAAAAAGAAAAGAAAAAAGGCATTATAATTACTGTCATAAGTATATATGCAACTATAAAACTCACTAGTGGAAGAAAATGCATAGTCAAGTTCAGAATACTCCAGTACTATAATGGTGGTATGTAAATTATACATCTGCTTAGTATGAAGATTAAAAGTCAAAATGGTCAAAATAACTACAGCACTACAGCTACAATAAGTTGTTAAGAAATATACAATATGAAAAGATGTGTGACATCAAAAACATAAGTTATAGGGGGTGGAGAGTAAAAGTCTAGAGTTTTTGTATGTGATAGAAGTTAAGCTGTTATCAGCTTAAAATAGCTGATTAAAACTATAAGATGTTTTATGTAAGCCTCATGGTAACTGCAAAACAAAAAACATGGCAGATATACAAACAATAAAAAGAAAGGAATAAAAGCTTAATACTACAGAAAATTATACCACAATGATAGACAACAAGAGAGGAAGAAAGGATCGACAGAGCTACAAAACAACTGGAAAAGAAATAATAAAATGACAGTAAGTCCTTACCTCTAAATGATAACCTAGAATGTAAATAGATTCAATCCTTTAATAAAAAGATGGAGTGGCTGAATGGATAAAGATACAATCCAATTACATGCCGCTTGTAAGAGACCCATAAAAGACACATGTAACTAAAAGAGAGCAAGAGTGGCTACAGTTATGTTTGATAAATCAGACTTCAATTAAAAAAACTATCAGAAGAGACAAAGAAGGTAATTATTTAATGATATAGTGGTCTGACAATCAAGAAGACTTAAAAATTGCATATACATATTGCATATATATATGCTATATATATGCTATATATATGCTATATATGCTATATATATGCTATATATATGCTATATATGCTATATATATGCTATATATATGCTATATATATATGCTACATATATGCTATACATATGCTACATATATGCTATATATATGCTACATATATGCTATATATATGCTATATATATATGCAATATATATATGCAATATATATATATGCACACACACACACGTCTCCAACATTGGAACACCTGAATACACAATGTAAATAGTTATAAACCTGAAGAGCAAAATAGAAATACAATAATAGTAGGGAACTTTAATACTCTTTTCAGTAATGAATAGATCAACCAGATAGAAAATAAATGAGGATATAATGGACTCAAATTGCACTTTTGACCAAATGGACCAAACAGACATATACAAAACTGTCCATCTAATAGCTGCAGAATACACAACTTTTTTCACACATGGAACATTCTCCAAGATAGACCATATTTTAGGCCACAAAACAAGGTTTTAAAAATTTAAGAATATCGAAATCATACCTAGTATTGTTTCAGACCACAGTAGAAATTAGTAACCAAGGGAATCTTGAAAAATTAACAAAAAACGTTGTTGTGGAAATTAAACAACATGCTTAAACAACAAATGGGTTGAAGAATAAATCAAAAGAGAAATTTTAAAAATATCTTGAAGCCGAGCGTGGTGGCTCACGCCTGTAATCCGGCAGTTTGGGAGGCCGAGGCGGGCGGACCACGAGGTCAGGAGGATCAAGACCACCCTGGCTAACACAGTGAAACCCCGTCTCTACTAAAAATACAAAAAATTTGCCGGGCGTGGTGGCAGGCACCTGTAGTCCCAGCTGCTCAGGAGGCTGAGGCAGGAGAATGGCGTGAATCTGGGAGGCGTAGCATGCAGTGAGCAGAGATCGCTCCACTGCACTCCAGCCTGGGCTACAGAGTGAGACTCTGCCTCAAAAAAAAAAAAAAAAAAAAAAAATCTTGAGATAAATGACAATGAAATTACAACATACCAAAACCTATGGGATGCAGCCAAACCATTTCTAAGAGGAAAATTTATTGCAATAAATGCCTACATTAAAAAAAGAAGAAAGATCTCAAATAGATAGTCTAACATTATACCTAAAGGAACTAGAAAAAGAAGAAGCTACACCAACGATTAGCAGAAGGAAAGGAATAATAAAAATCAGAAGTGAAATAAATAAAATAGCCACGTGCAGTGGCTCACACCTATTATTGCAGTGGGTCATACCTATAATTCTAGTACTTTGGGAGGCTAAGGTGGGTGGAATGCCCTGAGCTCAGGAGTTCAAGACCAGCCTGGGGAACATGGCAAAACCTCATCTTTACCAAAAAAAAAAAAAAAAAAAAAAAAAAAAAAAAAAAAATTAGCTGGGTGTGGTGTCATGTGCCTGTAGTCCCAGCTACTTGGGAGATTGAGGTTGGGAGGATCACTTGAGCCTGGGAGGTGGAGGCTGCCGTAAGCTGAGATTGTGTTGCTTCACTCCAGCCTGGGCAACAGAGTGGGACCCTATCTCAATGAAAGAGAAAGAAAGAGAGAAAGAGAGGGAGAGAGAGAGAGAAAGAGAGAGAGAGAGAGAGAGAGAGAGGAAGGAAGGAAGGAAGGAAGGAAGGAAAGAAGGAAGGAAGGACGGAAAATAGAGAACAGAAAAACCATAGAAAGAATCGAGAATATATTTTTGAAAACAACAAATTCAATATGGAGGCCATTTGATTTATGAGAAAAAGGAGGAAATTCTAGGACCATGCTGAATGGGCTCTGATGTTGAGTCTGCCATTTTCTAGCTGTGTGACTCTAAGCAAGTTATTTAATATCTAAGCCTTATCTATAAACTAAGGATAGTGATTACTTAATTCCCAAAGTAGTTGTGATGATCAAATGATATAAATTCAGTAAAATATTAAAAGTGATGGGGTAGGATAGTAACTCAAGTGTAATAGTGATAGTGATACTAACGGTGACTAATATTAGTGAGCAAACATGATGTTCCCAAGACTGCACAAATTATTTTCCATGCTTTATCTCTCATTTCCTATGGTAAGTGCATCAGATAGGTACTGTTATTTTACCCATTTTGCAGATAAAAACCAAGGCACACAGTAATCCAGTAATTTGCTCATGGTCATGTAAATAAATTTGAACCCAATTTCTTGTTAGCACTCTCTTCTCCTTATAATGTTCTTTTTATCCCTTCAGTAAAAATAAGTAAAAATATTAATGTGTATGTTTTACCACACTGCTGTACTTTAGCATACAGTAGACATTGTGAACATTTTAAGGTCATAGGCTGAATTTCCTTCATAGAAAAGAAAGATTACTTTCTTTCATATATATATTCTATATAGCTCTTTTTCTTCTAAAACCACATATCTACAACCAGCTTGGAATATCCTTACCTAATATCTTTGTTTCTTTTTCTCCTCCTTCTCAAAATCTTTTTCTCTACTAGCTCTTTCTTCATTGTTTATTAAACATTTCTTGCCCTTAAGAAAGCACCTTTTGTTATACTCTCTTTCTACTTGATTGGGTGTGTATTAATCAGTACATACTAGGTTGCTAGTGTCAGAAACTTAATGTAACTTAGGAAAAGTAGAAATGTATTTATTTACGGAATAAAACAATTAACAAGAAGAGCAGGTCTATAGTTGGATAACGGAAACAACTGGATCAAAATATATGAAAGTCATAGGGAATGGAAACCTCATCTCTACCTTTTTCTGATACTCGATTTAATTTTCTCTGATTGCAGACCAGCTTCCTCTGTGTGGTGGTAAATCTAACTGACACAATTCTAGAGCCTCATAAATGAACAGTTTCTTCTAATGGCAGGAGCAGAGTCGTGATTCTGGTTCCAAAATTTCCCAAGAAGGGTTCTGATTGGTCTGATTTGGGTCTGTATCCCACATGCTTGCTGACAAGTAGGTAGTGGTAGGTCAGGTAAAATCCATTTAGCTCCTACTAAAGGCATGAGGATGGAGAATGTAGGCAAAAGGAAGTTTTCAGACATCAGGAAAATACTAAGCAGAAAATATCATAGATGCTTCCTTTTTTTTTTTTTTTTTTTTTTTTTTTTTTAAAGAGGCAGGGTCTTTCTGTGTTGCTCAGACTGCTCTTGAACTCCTGGAGTAAAGAGATCTTCCCACCTGGGATTCCCAAAGTGCTAGTATTACAGGAATAAGCCACTGCACCTTTCTGCCTTCTCCTCTTAAAGTTGCTGTTCCCTTTAATACTCTTCTTCTATTGACTAAATTTTGCCAAGCTTTGTAACTGTTCTGAGAAATTTCTTTGAATATTATACTTGTCATCTGTTATCTCTTCACCAGATATTTTTCTGTCTTTTTTTCTTATATAGAATTTGAGGTTTGGGTTGGATATTTGAATATAGCAATATTTGACCATATTTATGAGAAATTACTTGAAACTTTCTGCTACATTCAGCATAGAGAAGAGTTGGTTTATAAAGCATCTGGCTTATTGGAGAAATTTTTTCCTTCAGTTTCTTTCCCAATAAATGCCATTTCTGCTAACTCTTGATTAGACTACAAACTGATCTCTGTAATACACAGACAAGTCCTATAAATCTGTCTTTAATGGTTCTCATTCAATTAAAGTCTTTTCATTGCTTAAATCTTTCTTTCCTCAGAGTAGTAGAAAAATTTCAAACTGAACGGATTTCAATTTCATCTCCTTACCTGGTTCAATAGTGGTATTTTGAGGTTGGCTGGCTGCTCAAAAGAAATTTTTGTTCTTGAAGTCATGTAAATGTACTAGGGTATGTTTAATGTTGACCATATGAGTCAGTTTTTCCTAAGGCATGCTGTGCTTTGACAATATATAGATTCAAATCATCTACTATTTCAAGAATTTGAAATACTACTATTTCTGAATTATGTTTTTAAATAATAATTCTGTTCCATTATTTCTAGTTTCCTTTGGGGGGGCTTTCTTTAATATATTCTTTGCCTGTTCTACATTTTAATTACTTTTTCCGTCTAATAACTTTTTAAAAATGAGTTTCTTTATTGTCACTTTGTTTTGTTGCCTTTTAAGTCCTCTATGCACCTTGCTGTATTTTTCCTTCCTTATATGTCTTCTAATTTTGCCTTTACCTTTTTTGAGTTTTATTTCTTTTACTTTTATTTCCTGAGATCTGCTAGTTTCCATTTCATGCATATTGCTGTTTCACCATCTCTCTTGTGTGCTTTTTTATTTCTGTACTATGTTCTTGCTTTACAGAGGCAACTACTTCAATGCATTTTACTCATTTGTTTTAAAATTTATCACAAAATATTTGACCATAGTTTTCATCTATTTTGTTGCAACTTGTTTTCTTTTCAGGATACTTTGCCATTTGACCTTCTTATTTTTTTTTAATTTATTTTCCATTATATTATTATATAGATCCTGTTCTTCCTTGCTTCTTGTTTTACTGCTTATTATCAAAGGACATGAATTTTCCCCACTAGCTATTTGTAAGCAGTTTATATAGGGTGGGTTGGGAGGTAAAACAGAACCATGCTTAGGGCTAAAAATTACTCAATATGAACTAAAAATCTGAAAAACCTGAAAATACTCACTATAAGAAAACAATTTCAAAAGATATTAAATATCTGTAAAAAGTTTTCAAAGATATCTGGTTTGGTGAGTTAGTGTTTCCAATTATGTTAGTAAGCAGCAGAACTGGGTTTTGAAACAAGGGGTATGGATGTGGATTCTGCAATGTTTACCCAGGTATAAGACCAAATGAAACTAGCAAGTTAAACATAAACAAAATGACAGAGCCAATTGATATCCAACTAGTAACATTCATTTAATCTGATAAATTCTGCTGTTTTGCTGAAATGAAATTGCCCTTCATAAGGTGAATATAGATGAGAATTCTGCTCCATATGGAATAAACTCACATCATTGTGAGTTTATATGGTTCTGTCATCACTGTGGGCTGTGTGCTGAGTTAATTCTCTCACCATTTTTTAAACAACTGTGAAACCTTCCTTTGTAGAGTTGCCTTTATGACATTTATGACATTTGGCCAAGTCATTTAGACCAAGTATGTCATTTACACTTATACTTTGGTCATTTAGACCAAATATGTCATTTACACGTAATGTTAGTCTTCTTTATTTTCTCATTAGCTCATGTCAGTATAAATGGAACTACTTGACACCAACATAAACATTAGTGCAAAGACAAGTGTGAAGACCCTGTAATCACATGGCACTTTTCAGAAATATGAGGTCATCCAGTGATTCTACAAGAGGGGTTGGCAAACTGCAGCTTGTAGGCCACATCCAGTTTACCCCTATTTCCATAAGACCCATGAGTTGAGAATAGTTTTTACAATTTTAATTGTTAAAAAAAAAGAATATGCCTCAGAGACATGTGTACTTCTCAAAGTCTAAAATACTTAGTATCTGGCCCTTTAAAAGAAAAAGGCTGCTGATCCCTGTCCTAGAATATACTTATGTCATTTTTAAAAATGGTTATTATGAGATGAAAGCACAAAATGAAAAGCATCTTTTAGAAAGCTTCAGGATACTTGGGAATACTTTTTCAGAAAGCAGGGAAGAAAACACATTTCTACCTACTGAAAAATGTGCTCAGTAACTCATCCCCAATATTTGTGAGTTAAAAGCACAAACAGACCATTACGTGGGAGAGGCACAACAATTCTTGGCACTAAGATTAAATAGAAATCACTCCCAGGATTGTCATAAAGAAGACACTATGGAAGATAACGATGTCTTCACTGGCGCACCTACAGTACATCTAACAAGTTTCACAGGGCCCTTTTAAAAGACAATTTAAAATATAGCCTGATGACAACATTCCTAAAAACAATGTAGTGAAGGCAGTTTTAGAGAACTTGAGAGTATGGGTCAGAGATTTTCATTTCTATTAATCTGACTCCATGCAAGGCTAGATTGTAGACTCTGGACATATGAAGAAACTGGAAACCCTTAGGACAAATCTCTTTTTTGGTAAAACTGTTGAATATATGAGTAGATACCCTGCTACACAACTAAAGGTCAGCTTTTCTATGTTGCCAGCTGAATTCATCATACCCATTTCACATTATCATTACAGAAGAGCGTGACAATGCAAAATTCTGGAGATAAGATCAAACATATGAATAACAACATTTAAGGATGCCATGAAGGCTATTTGAGACAGGTCCTCTGTCCATGTGATGCAAAAATGACAGAGGACACATCAGACATAATTTGTCACAACCCAATGACATTCATGTCAGTAGGTGCTGAGATGTAATCTGTCATGTTTTAGTTAGAGGAAACTGTATGTAGCTCTTTTGATGGATTGATAAGTAGATTCATCCATCCTTATACTTTGAAAGAACATAATTATTCATAATTATTTGCATGTAGTTATTTATAAACACAACCCTTTACATTTTATCAGTAAATGTCAAGAGTTGCCTCACTCGGTGCACTTTATGCTAGTTTAGCTAATTTGCTTAAATTGGGATGCCCAGAGCCCAAGTATATCCTCTTGTGTCCTGGGAAACCCACCCTTGCCCTTTGTTAAAGGAGTAGCAGTTCCATACGCTGGATGGATTGAGGAATTTCCCATTATTGATTAAAGGTCAACTATACTCTGGGTTCTATTAAATAGGTACACATGAAATTAATTAAGATGAACTAGTTAAGACAGGTTCACCATTTGGAGCCACTCTCCCCCATCTCCACCTCATCATGCAAATCTTTTTTATGGAAGCTCTATTCAGCTTAGATATTTAAATCAGCTCTCAGTAACTTATCTACCATAACCGTTTACTTAGTTGTCCTCTCTCACTCTCAGCAAAATCAATGAGCTAAAAAGATTAGGAACCATCATTCTTTGTATTTCCAGCACCCAGCCCAGTGATGGTGTGAGGACACATCTGTTACTCCACACCTTCTATTCTCAGCACACCTTAAGCTAAAACAACTTGTGTTTCTGGCACAGCTATCGGAGACTTTCAGAGGTGACAAACTCATGCTCATTTATTTAGTTGCCTAATTTCTCCAGTGTCAGTAATAATCTATATTCTTAGCAAATCATTGGGAATTGGAAACCACTCTGACAGATTAAGGCCAGGAAATTTTTTAAAGAAGAAATGCAAGAACTGGAAATTACATATGTGACCTTGTGCCATTCAGCCTGTGAATGGTGTGTGGGCTTAAAAGGTTGTTAGGGTTGGGATGGTAGAATATGTAGAGCTTTTGGAGAATGTTTTTTGTTACTGTTGTTTGACCTACTTCATTCCCTTCAGACTCCGAGAGGTCATAACACACGATATAAAGTGCAAGGTTAATAATGGAGAATGTCGCATTCAGGAGTTTCTCTGCCTAGATGTGGAATTCTGGCTTATAGGCTATTTCTTTCTGTGTGTCTCTTTCTCTTCACTCTTGAAATAAGTTAAGAAATTCTCAACGACTGGAATATATGTTTTCCACCTTTTCTGGCCATCAACTGCGTTATCAGGATGAATGTCAATTACTGTCATTCTGGAAGTCATAGGGTGCATTATCCTGTTTTCCTATTATAGGGGTATTTGAGTAATAAACTTACTCTCTTGTAATATCATATAAAATTTTATTTTAACTGACATCTAAAAGCACGAAACCTCTTAAAGTTTGGCTTGCCCCATGGAGGTGAATGCAGCTGCAGCTCATCTCAGGAGTCTGCCCTTATATGAACTGCTTGTTCTTACCTTTCTACTCCTCAGCATGTTGAAACTCAGACCACACTCCTAAATGAGACATCCAAAGGCTCCGGCCTGCTGGAGTGCTGACAAGCATGCTGTTTAGGGCAGGTACTCAGAGGCAAAGTCAGAGAAACATGATCTCTTCAGCAGCACGTTTTTGCACATGAAACCTGTGTAAACTCAGCATGACTCACTCAGGCCAAGGTGAGCACTCTGATGTCTGTGAACGACTGCAGCAACTTGGCAACTGGGGCCAGTGTGCTTCCCTGTAGCACTCAGCAGAGACAGTTCAGGACTTGAAACAATTTTCCTCATTGCTGTTGTCACTGGAGAACAAAAACTGCAAAAGCGAGCCATTGTTCACACTGAAAGTCATTTTGTGGAGAAAATGAGAGGCTTGGACCAGTCTTTTTGTCCTTTATTGTATCGTCCCCTCTGGCATCCATTTATGGGTCTGATTTCATTTCTATTTTCATTTTGAGACTTTTCTCTATGACCTCAGGTCAGAGACAATATCAAAGGCAATATGTTTTAGTGGGTTTATTTGTCTGAGTCAACAGAAAAAGAGAGAGGGAAGGGAAATGGAAGAGTACAGGGCAGGGGGGAGGAAGGGGGGAGAGAGAGAGAGAGACAGAGAGAGACCAACTGAGACTAAAGCTATGTCTGTATGAAAAGATGACTATAGTTGGATCTGGAATTCTGAATTTGCAACTAACACTGATGCCATTTACAATGTAACAATCAGCTTTAGTCTTCCATGTGAATGTAGATATTATATCATCATCTCATAACATTTTATTCCATATACATGGTCACCAAGATGAACAGAAAGAGTTAGATCTGGGTGGTGAGAACTGGGAGAAAACCAGCCATGAGAATAAGATGGATTGTCTTTTGTCACAGAAATAGCAAATTTTTAAGTGTATTTGAAATGATAAATACTTTTTTTTAACCTTTTGTAACATTTCACAAAACTTTTAAATCAAATTTCAACTGGAACTTTGGTCTGCTTTCCTTAAATGCAGCTGATTTCTTGCTAAATTCCATTGCATTTGATGCCTTCAGGGATTTGGGAAGTTAGCGTACTGGGACAGAGGCATTGATGATACATATGACGTGGACAAAGGAAATGAACTCAGCATATGTGGGAAGTATAGCAAGTGTTCACTTGTGGCCAGTGTCACCAAAAATGCCACCAAGGTAACTCAACATAGTCAAAGTAATGAGGCAGAATTGTTCTTCAGTTAACTTGTTAATAGGGAAACTTTTTATAAGCCTAACTGGTCTAGTGATATTTGGTCCAGTTCTCAAACCTATCTTAGAGGCTTCCCTGTCTCATTTCCATAGGGAAAAAACTCCCTATCCAATTATTAAATGGATAAATAAGTGCTTAAAACGTGAAAAATAGGGAAATTCATGCTATTTGAACTAGTTTTTGCTTAAGTATGATATGGCCATGGCACCAAACTTCAGTGTGTATTTAGGATCACCTTAGATGCATGTTGAAACTATACACATACAGCCTAAGCTAATCCTAATGAACCTGCTTAAGTTGGTCTTGAGTGTGGCCTAGGAATTTCATTGTAAACAAGTATCCCAGATGATTCTGATGCACATAGATGCATTCTGATGTGTGTGTGCATGTGTGTGTGTGTGTGTGTGTGTGCGCGCGCGCACGCGTGCACGCCAGAGGGGAGATAAGGGAAAGATTTCAAGTTAAAAATGGGTTTGGGTTACTTTGTGAAAGAAGTTGAATGGCATGCTAAGGAGTTTGTGTTTTTAAATAAAGAACAAACGTGATCATATCTGTACTTTGAGAAGTATAACTCTGGTGACAGGACGGTTTGAAGAGGGAGGGGAGAGGAGTCAAGAAGACTAGTTAAGAAGTTTTTCAAAAGATGAGCACTTCCGCCAAATTCTTCATCACACATTGTACAGGTAATAAATAAGACATGGTTCCTTTCATGAAGTTGCTTATGATCTTGTAGGAAAAGATTCAATGAATGAGGCAGAGATGGAGAAGTCAGAGAAGTGGCTTGGATGGGCAGGTTGGGGCTGGACAGATTTTGCAGAGCTTTAAGAAGCAAAGGAAGAGCAGATTCCCAGAAAAGAATATACCCTAAGAGACAGGCCACTAAATTAAATGACAGTTTGATGGTGCCACTTTTTTCCCCCACTGGGGTGTCTGGACTCTACAGACTTACATAAATGAGCAGTGAGAAAATGTAAGTACAGATTATTGATTACTTTTGGGGACATGTTTGCGTAAAGAAAGACAGAGCTAAAATAGCAGCTTGAAGATATCAAAGGCTAAGGAAAGGCAATTTTTGTGTTGTTTTGCTTTTGTTGTGAGTCTGTTGTTCTTTATAGGGGAGATTGGAATATATTTCCAGGAAAAAGGGAAAGAAAATCCAAAACCTAGAGAAGTGAATGTTGGTGGGGCAAAGAGAAAGAGAGCAGGAATGAGACCAGGAGGGCAGGTGAGGTGAAGAATTCGGTATTGGGAAGGAAGAGACCAGAAAGCTGAAGAGGATGGATGGCTACACGATACCTTTGAGACTGGGAGGAAGCAGCAGGAGAAAGAGATAAAGAACAATGAGAGATATGAGTTAGACACTGGGATATGAGTTAGACACTAGTCACATTTCACCAAGGGAAGAGTCCAAGCTTAAACATATTTTTCATGTCGCAATATGCTTAGGGAAAGCTGGCCCCTTTCCGAATCCCGGAGGATGAACACGTGATTGATCTAAACACGGCATAGCTATCCCATTCTCTTCTATTGGAGTTCGGTTTGGGGATGGGCAAGTGACCAACTTTAGGCCAAATATTAAGGAGATTTCTTCTGAGGGTACTTCTGGGAAGTATTTGCTTCATGATATATACATTTCCTCCCTTGAACTTGATAGTATAAAGGCATAATGCTTGGGATGAGGGAACCATCTTGGAACCATGAGGTGCAAACTTAAGGACCTAAGTTAAATACTAAGGATAGGGGAGGAGAAGAAATCTGAGTCTAATGATAACCTTGAGACAGTGTGGTATCTCTGGGACTGCGTACCTCCAATTTCTTGTTTGTGTGTGAGTGTGTGTGTGTGTGTGTGTAATCAAACAATAAAGAATATATGTATGTTCTTTCTTGTTTAAATCACAACTATTTTAATTTTGTGATATTTCTGTTAAAAGTATATGTAAGTGATGTTGGAAAAATTGGTCTCCATCTTTTTATTAAAGAGGTAGTCATGTGCCCAGAAGGATGGAGGCCCACCTGTGATTTAGGGTTGGGATGTGTGGAAAATACCTGAAGCTACCATTGAAGATACTGAGAATGGCAGGAAGCTAATGAAATAAATCAAAGAAAGGCAGCATAAACAGACCTCAAATAAAGTAGGACTGGATGTGGACAGAATGACTTTGCAACATTGCCAAACCTCAACAAAGGGGCAAAAAAGGATAGAGTCCTTGTTGAGGAGGGTTTAAAATTGGATACCAGAACACAGCATCAACCCAAAGTCAAAGGCACAAAGGTGTCATTGAGGGGAGCAAGGGCAGATTTAAATGTTTTATGAAGGAGCAAAATCAGGATTAGGATTGGATAGTGCTTGGACAACTCATACAATATGTTTTTGCCTCAGTTTTGTCATTGCTAAAAAGTAAAATTAACAGCTAGTGCTTAGGTTTTTGTGAGGGTAAAATGGGATAATGTATAATTTATTTTACATGGTATCTAACATATTTTTAAGAACTCAACAAATGTGGTAATAATTAGATCCTGAACTTCTGTCAAAGCCAGGCAGGGGGGCACTAAAGAAGCTCACACAACAGAAATAATGTCAAATATAAGTGCGACATATATATTTTTAAAATCAGCAAGATGTATAAACAATTCTCACTATTAATACTAGTAAGTTTCTTCAAAGTTGAACTTAGGAAACAGGAAAAAATTGGCACAGAACATCCTGTGTATCTTACCAAGATAAATTCCAAATAAATTGCCTGCTGGCAGTACCCATTAATTATTTGCCGACAATTTTTCAGCCAGCACATGCTTTTTTATTTAGCTGGTCCAGCAAGTCACTGCAGTTGTAGTTGTTCATCTTGTCACAGGACTGGGTAGAAAGCCAAATGCAGAGGTATGAGCTGCCAAGTAACCCACTATCTGTGCAGCTGTGGGGAGGAACCAGAAAACCTCAAGACTTCTTGCTGCTTCCATTTTCCTAGTTTTTTTTCTCTAGAACCTCATCCACATCGTATGGTGCTGGGAAGGGTCCCACAGCGTCAGTGTCTTCTATGAGTTTGTTAAAAATGCAGACTCCCAGGTCCCATCCCAGGAGAACTGAAACAGAATTTGCCTTTTGATAAGATGTCCAGATGATTTGTTTGCACATTAATGTTTGAGAACCACTGATATTTAGGACTTATCTGAAGCCACCTCACAGGATAGGCAGAGAATCGCTGTTTCACCCAAAGGCCCTCTCATTTCCTTGTCATCCCTTCATGATGCTGGATGTGGGGTTCTTAAGTGAGACCTCATCTTCACTAAATCTCTCATTGCTGTGCCCACTGAAGCCAGCCTTCAGTTACCAGGGAGCATTGCCTTAGACCACTTTAACCAGAGAGCAACAAGCTCAAGGAAATTGTATGAACTCAGGTGCTAGACGTTCCTGGGTTTATTCTAGGCTCTGCCTCATATTAGTTGACCTGGGACAAATTAACTCAACTCTGTGATTGCACCTCTCCCTCCAAGCAAGAGCCTCTGCAGCCCTTTTTCGTAACTGTTGACCCTTTTCTGATGGCCATCACAGGTGGGACCAAGGGAGTACACTAGGGGATATTAGAGGAGGATCCCTAATACAAGATTGGCCAATAAGCTTTGCTTCCTAGGACATCTGGATTTGGAAATCAGAATCCACTAGTTGCCTTTCTCAGTGTTTGAGCAAAGAAGAATTATAGGACGACCTGGAGAAATTATTTCTCAGCAATGGGCTCAGAGATACAGAAAAAAACAAAGACAATATGGCTGTAGAAATATCAGTCTTCATTTCTGATAGTTTTCTAATTTTGGATCCTGCTGTCTACTGAAGTCTGCATTCTGCTTCTGGGTTCCATCCCTTTATTCATCTAATAATTTATCTCTCTCTCTCGCCCACACTAAATTAAATTCCTTAAATCCACACAGTCCTGACAAAGCAATAAGCTTTAATGAATGGTAGTTAAAATGATTATTATTGCTACTACTGGCTGATCAACTTAATCATTATTATTGTAATGCCTCCTATATCAGCTGTTTTTTCATTCAAACATAGTCACTGATAATTGATCCTCAAAATGGTAAGAAAACCAATCATCTGAATCACTAGGAAAAATAAGGAAATACTATTTTCATATATGTTTATGTATTCACTATTGCATTGATGTTCAAATAATTAATTTAAAATAGAATGATGTCTACCATAATTATAGAGCACAGTGGCAGCTGTCATTTAAGAGCACATTTTAGGCCTGAACCCCTGCACCACTGAGGGAAGGAATTGTCTCAGCCTTCAAGCCTATCGTGTCCCATGTTATTACTCAGATATCACAGGAGACCTAACTGACATCAGGAAGGTAAACTCAGTGACCCAGGAAACAAAACTGTTAAGTTATAAAATGATGTTAAGAATCCTTGATTCCACTTGCTGCTGTGGGTCTCATATAATATACTCCCCTCCAAGCCCACAGAGCCTTATCTCAGCTGGCAGCGATCTGGAAACCTACCTGTTACATTAATCAAAACATCTTACTGGAATGCTAACTTCTTGCAAAGTTCCAGCTCTTTTCATCAAAACCAATTATGTATGAAATGTTAGACATTGTCCAGTGGAAGATATATATTATCAATATTAATGATAAAAATCACAACTAACATTTAGACGGTAGCATGTATCACACCCCTTTGAAAAACGCAACAGTATTTTCAGCTAGTCATCATTTTCTACGGTTTTGTAGTGAGACATGTGAGACTTTTAAGAGGTCAAATAACTTTCTCAAGGTTCCCAGTTTGCCTGTTGCAAATTACACTTCTCTGACACATATGGATAGCTCTGTCCAGTGAACACTCTTAGAAACCTTTAAGTAGGCTGGGAGTGGTAGCTCATGTCTGTAATCCCAGCACTTTTGGAGGCCAAGGTGGATGGATCATCTGAGGTCAGGAGTTCAAGACCAGCCTGGCCAACATGGCGAAACTCCGTCTCTACTAAAAAAAAATACAAAAATTAGTCAGGCATGGTGGTGCACACCTGTAGTCCCAGCTACTTGGGGAGGCTGAGGCAGGAGAATCACTTGAACTTGGGAGGCAGAGGTTCCAGTGATCCGAGATTGCACCCCTGCACTCCAGCCTGGGCAACAGAGTAAGACTCCATCTCAAAAAAAAAAAAAAAAACCTTTAAGTAGAAGGCAGAGCCTTTCTCAACATGCTACACCATTAAAATGTCACATGTTCCTTTTTTGAGAGGTAGGGAGAACACTTTAGGGAGAAATTGTCTCTTCTTCAGAGATGTGGCTGGCAAAAAAGCAAAGGGAAGTCGGGACACTTTCCAAAAAAGCAAGCTACGTAGGGCGCAGACTGCGGGCAAGACAAAAGACCTCTCCAGCCATCCTGAAACATTAAACCCAATTTCCTTATCCCCAGCAGGTATCTGGCACAACTCGCATCATTACAATTTTCTAGTGTACTGAGCTGGGGAAATGTTTCCAAAGGAAACTGAGTAGTTACCAAAGGAAGAGTTGAAGACACTTTGCCAATTCTCTTTTCTTAAGGACTTAGTAACTCAGACTTTTTAAGGTAGGAAAGATTTTGCCTTTTGAAAATAACTAGAGTTTTTGCTACCTTGACAATTTTAAGCAACACTGAAAGAACCGTGGAGGTTGTATAAACCATTTGAATTTTTCCGTCATAGACCTAATAATCAGGACTCTGGAATGGATTTCATCTTTTCTTATCAAAAGGGCTGCTCTCATGCTCAATCAGCTATTCTGTTTCTTTTCAAAACCGATTTTGTGTTAGCCATGGGGAGTCAGGCAGTGGATTGTCTAAATACTTTTATACAGAAACAAAAATTCATGCTTGATGTTCAGGTCAGTTTTACAGAGTTGTAATTTAGAGGCATTCAAGGGAGTTTAATGGAGAAGGAAACCAGTCAATATTTTATTCAATCCAAACATGAACCAACATTATTAAGTCGAGGAATCTTTCTGCTGAGAAAATAATGTCACAAAGGTTCAGTCAATCTCTGGGAGAGGAAGGAGGGTTCATAAAAGACTGCACAGTTTACATGTGTTGTGGGAATTTAAATTTTAGTAATTCTTGATGCAGAATTGGACCTGTGGAATTAGTCCCATTTTACCTCCATAGGAAGTGTTCAAGCCAGCTTTCTAAGCAGATTTCAAATTCTGCGTTTAATTACATTTCCTAAAACCCTTAGTTTGCACACACAGCCCATGCTACTCTGGCTCCGATGTCCTTTTCAGTTGCTGGTTGGCCCTTCTTCATCAGGAGCCCTGTTCTCGACTAAAACCCAGCTCCACGCTGCTCCCATCCTGCTAGGCATGGTCATGATCATCCCAATGCCTGCAATGCCCCCTCTCTGTCCAGGGAATGCTTTCTGATCTTTAAATTCCTGAATCAAATATCACCTTCCCCCTTTTCGCTCCTCTTATGCTGCCTAACAAGCTTAATTATTCTTATTTCTCTGTTTTACCTTTGCTATCACCTTATTGCCATTTATCATGGTGGCTCATTTTACCTTTTTTTTTTCTTTTCCTTGATTACAAGCTCTTTGAGGATCTTTTTTTTTTTTCTTTCCTGCCTGGTCAGTGTTCAATACTTACTGAGTGACTGAATAAATATATATATTAGATAATGCAATTACTATGGATTTTAAAATCTAAGATCAAATTATTACATTTGTTGTATAATCAGATATTTTCTTTGAAAAGTTATTCTTTCTCCAACCAGTAACTCCTCTGAGCAAGTGGTGCAAGCACTGCCTAACTTCTTGAGCGTAGAGTATGAGGAGAAGGAGCAGTTGGGTACCCACAATTGTCAGGATACCAATAATCTGAATTGTGGGTAAAAAAATTATTCTTTAGAGCTATGCTTTTGGATTCATGGCAAGTTGATGTTCACAGGGTTAACTGAAAATAAATGTCTACTGCTGTTGTGCACTGTAAATTGGGTGCAAGTTATATGGCCTCCACTGTTCAAGATATATGATGAGTCGATTTCTAATGATTGCAATACCTCATGAGATACCTTACCCACTCAGTTTTAGAGATAGGAAATTTGAGGTTCAGAGGTGTCAAAATGATGTCTCCAATACCAAATAGCTAAGTAAATGTTGAAACTAAAAGGGGAGCCCCCTGCCAAAGACATCCTATGAGTAGCAATAGAATAGCCAGAAGGGCAGAGTATTGGGGTGGTGGTGGTGGTATCAGTTCTCATGATTTTAACCCAAAATGACAGTCTAAGAAGGAAAGTTAGCATAGAATATTCTGGTAGATATCATGAAACTCCCACTCCAACTTATCAGAAGAAAAGCAGCCCTTTTCAGAAGCAGCCGACTCTAGCCCTTGGTATGTCTTGTCAGTGGACTGGCTCAGATCTCATAATAGTGCCATCCCTTGGGGGACTTTTTGGAAGCTGCAAACCTCCCGACAGAAGCGCTGTCTAATGAGAGCCTCATTCCTCCAAGTGCTAAGGGCAAGAGTCTGGGCAGAAGGATGTGTGTAGTGCTGTTGTGAGAGAACTGGTTGGTACTGACACCTGAAAAATCTCCACTAGCTTTTCTGCAAATTATAACATTAATATGCTTGAGTTCAGCCATTGGGAAATTAAACCTAATGTACTATAGATAAAAGATTGTAGGCCTTATTCAAAATAAGATTCAGAATTAAAGAAGACTATGCATGGTACCTCCAGAAACACTATGTATAATATTAAGTATTCCAGAATAATCATAAGAATGCAACTAACATTTTTGGATATTTACATGTGACAGGCACTATGCTAGTCATTCTATATATATTATCTCTTTTTTTTTTTTTTTTTTTTTTGAGATGGAGTTGACTCACCACAACCTCTGCCTCCTGAGTTCAAGCGATTCTCCTGCCTCAGCCTTCTGAGTAGCTGGGGTTACAGGCATGCACCACCACATACAGCTAATTTTGTATTTTTAGTAGAGACAGGGTTTCTCCATGTTGGTCAGGCTGGTTTTGAACTCTCGACCTCCCAAAGTGCTGGGATTACAGGCGTGAGCCACAGCGCCTGGCCTTATGTTATCTCACTTAATCCTCACAAAGAACTTATGATATACACAAACACTATCATTATCTCGTTTTACGGATGAGATAACAAAGTTACACTGTTAATAACTAACAGAACTAGCACACAAACTATATTATGCTGATCTACTCATTTTCCATTCAAATTAATTGAGGACTGAAGACCCAAAGATGAAGGGACACAACATCTGCTCCCACAGTATGATAGGGAAATGAATAAAACAAACCAATTGTTCAATGGAACTATGGCACTATGGCATAAGAGAGAGGCAGAAATGGTCTGGTAGGCTAGGGGTGGGCAGGGGGGATTTCGGAGCTATCTGAGACTTGGAATAATAAAAGGAGTTTCTAAGGTAGAAGAATCAAATTATAAAACTGGCAAAAGAACATAGCATATGCTCAGAGAATGATGGGTTGTTATAGTTTGAATGGATGAGGTCCCTCCAAAATTCATATGTTGGACCTGAATAATCAATGTGATAATATTAAGAGATGTGGCCTTTTGAGAAGTGATTATGTCATGAGTGCTTCGCCTCATTAATGGGATTAGTGCTGTTACATGAGAGGTTGAAGGAAGCACTCTAGGACCTTCAGCTCTTCCACCCCTTCTACCATGTGAGGACACAGCATTCATCCCTTCTGGAGGATGCACTTCCAAAGTGCCGCCTTGGAAGCAGAGAGCAAGCCCTTACCAGACACTGAATGTCAGAGCCTTGATCTTGGACTTGCCAGCCTCCAGAACTGTGATAAATAAATTTCTATTATTGATAAGTTACCTAGTCTCAGGCATTTTGTTATAGCACCAGGAACTGCTGGTACCAAGCAGTGGGGTGTTGCTGTTAACAAATATATAAAATTGTGGAACAAGATAATGCAGAGAGGCTGGTAGATTTTGGAACCGAATGCTAGAAAAAGTCTCTATTCCTGTGAATAAAGCATTAAGGCAGTTCTGGTGATAACTCAAAAGAGAACAGCTGTAGGGGAAGCCTTAATCTTACAGACTACTTAAGTGGTTGTGATCAGAATGCTGATACAAATATGGATGGTAAAGGCAATTCTGATGAGGCCTTAGATGGAAATGAGGAACGAGGGATTGTAAACTGGAGAAAAAGCCATCCTGTTTATAAAGTGGCAAATAACTTGGCTGAATTGTCTGTGTCTTAGTGCTTAGTCAGAAGCTGTGAGCAATGAACTAGAGTATTTGGTGGAAGAAACTGCTAAGCAAAATATTGAGGGTATGGAACAGCTTCTCTTGACTGCGTATAGAAAACTGTGTGTGAGAGAAACAAATTAAAGATGGAATTTATACTCAAAAGGCAAAAAGAACTCAAAAGATTTGGAAAATTCCCAGCCTGGCCAGATTGTAAAGAATAAAAAGGTGTGTTCAGGAGGGAACACCAGGGTGTGATCAAGTGATATTTGATAAGATTAGTGTGGATAGAAGGAAGCCAGATGCAATTCAGCAAGACAATGGAAGAATGACCCTGAAGGCATTTCAGAGAGCTTTGAGGGTGCTCCTCCCATCACAGGCCCAGAATGCCAGGGCCTTGAGAGCAGAATGGGTTCAAAGGATGGGGGCCAAGGTCCCTGTGGGACTTTGAGGCTTACTACCCAGGGCCAACTCAATTTCTGCTCCACCCATTCCAGTGCAGTGCTCTTTGGCTGCTCCAGCATGGCTCAAACAGGTACAGGTTTAATGCAGGACACTGCTCCAGAAAGCACAGGCAGTAAATCTTGGCAGCACCCACCTGGTGCTAACTGCTGGTGCACAGAGTGCCCAAGCTGTGGAGGCATAGCTACCTCCACCTAGGTTTCAAAGGATGCCTTGGAGAGCCTCATAGCCCAAGCAGAGAACTGCCACAGTGGTGGGGCCACCTCACAGAGCCTCTACTAGGGTAATGCCTGATAGAGCTATGGAGTATTCCACCCATGAGAGCTGCTGTGAGGGCTGTGCCCAACTAAGCCATGGACGGGTCTTCCCTGGGTTTTGGGTCCCAACCCCCACTCAGTATGTCAAGAAGGCAGGACATGGAGTCAAAGAAGATTATTATCACGCCTCAGAGGTGAATGTCGTTTGCCTTGTCGGGTTTAAATTTACTTGTGAATTATTACCCCTTTCTTCTTTCCTATTTCTCCCTTTTGTGATGGAAATACCTGCCCTGTGCTTGTTCCACCCTTGTATTTTGTAAGCATTTAACTTGCTGGATGTCACAGATTCACAGCTGGACAACAATTTGCTTCAGAATGAATTGTACCTTGAGTCTCATCCATATCCGAGTTAGATCATATTTACAGGAGACTCTGGACATTATTTTTATTTTTTCCTTAAATAGTGTTTGAGGTACAGGTGGTTTTTTGTTACATGGATAAGCTCTTTTGTGGTGATTTCTGAGATTTTGGTGCACCTGTTACCTGAGCAGTGTACACTGTACTCAATATGTAGCCTTTGATCTCTCACCCCCTCCCACCCTTTCCCCACAAGCCCCCAAAGTCCATTGTATCACTCTTGTGCCTTTGCCTCCTCATAGCTTAGCTCCCATTTATAAGTGAGAACATACAATATTTGGTTTGCCATTTCTGAGTTACTTTACCTAGAAAAATGGCCTCCAACTCCATTCAAATTGCTGCAAAAGACATTTTTCATTCCATTTTAGGGCTGAGTAGTATTTCATGGTGTGTGTGTATGTGTGTGTGTGTGTGTATCTATGTATCTCTCTCTCTCTCTCACACACACACATTTTCTTTATCCACTTGTTTGATGGGCACTTACGGTTCCACATCTTTGCAACTGCAAATTGTGCTGCTATAAACATGCGTGTGCATGTGTCTTTTTCATAGAGAATTCATGACTAAGACCCCCAAATCAAATGCAACAAAAATAAAAATAAATAAATGGGATCTCATTAAACTAAAAAGCTTCTACACAGCAAAAGAAATTATCAGCAAAGTAAACAGAAAACCCACAGAGTGGGAGAAAATATTTGGAAACTATACATCCAATAAAGGACTAATATCCAGAATCTACAAGAAACTCAAACAAATCAGCAAGAAAAAAACAAATAATCCCATCAAAAAGCAGGCCAAGGACATGAATAGACAATTCTCAAAAGAAAATATACAAACAAATGGCCAACACACATATGGAAACATATTCAACATCACTAATTATCAGGGAAATGCAGACTAAAACCACAATGAGATACCACCTTACTCTTGCAAGAATGGCCATAATTAAGAAGTCAAAAAACAATAGATGTTGGTTGGTGAGGATTGGTGAAAAGGGAATACTTTTACACAGCTGGTGGGAATGTAAACTAGCATAACCACTGTGGAAAACAATACGAAGATTCCTTAGAGAACTTAAGGTAGAACTACCATTCAATCCAGCAATCCCACCACTGGGTATCTACCCAGAGGAAAGGAGTCATTTTGTGATAAAAGAGACTCTGAACTTTAGAATTTTGAGTTGTCGCTGGAACAAGTTACAATCTTTGAGGCTACTGGGATACAAAGAAACAATGCATTTCGCATGTGAGAAAAACATGAATTTTCACGGGGCCAGGGGTGGAATATTATTGTTTGAATATATATGTTCCTCCAAAATTTATATGTCAGAACCTAATACCCAGTGTGTTGGTATTAAGAGGTGGGACCTTTTGAGAAGTGATTAAGTCATGAGTGGTCCACCCTCAGGAATAGGGTTACTACTCTCATAAAAGAGGTTGAAAGGAGTGCCCTAGGCCCTTTTTCCCTTCTATGTCTTCTACCATGGGATGACACATAATTTTTCCCCTCCGGAGGATGCAGCAACAAGGTACCTTCTTAAAAATAGATAGAGAGCAGCGTTCACCAGACACTTGATCTGCCAGTGCTTTGATCTTCAACTTCCCAGCCTCTAGAACTGTATAGTCTGTTCCTGCTGCTATAACAAAATACTTTAGACTGAGTAATTTATAAACAATAGAAATAAATTATGGTTTACCCAGTCTAAAGTATTTTGTTATAGCATCAGGAACAGACTGAAAAATGGATACTATGTCCTGTATGACTGGCGCATAGAATGTGAAACAGAGAGTGACAGGGCATCAGAGTGGAATATGGGAAAAGGCCAAATCCTGAAGGTCCTTGTATGTAATGCAAATGAAATAAAATTTTATTTAAATAAAAGGATAGGGAGCCATTGAAGAATGTAAGTAGAGTTGGTATCAATAGCGTTGCTATTTATGATGATCATGTTATGGAGTGAATGAGTGTGTGTGTCCCCTAACAGTCATAGGTTGAAATTCTAACCCCCAATGTGCTGGGGTTATGAAGTGGGACCTTTGGGAGGTCATTAGGTCATGAGGGTGTAGCCCTCATGAATGGGATTAGTGCAGTTATAAAAAGACACAAGAAAGCTTGCTTTCTCTCTCTGCTCTTCACCACATGAGGCTACAAGGAGAAGCAAACAATCTGAACCAGGAAGCAGGTTCTTACCAGACATAGGATCTGCTGGAAACTTGATCTTGGATTTCTCAGCCTCCAGAACTATGATCAATAAATTTGTTGTTTAAGCCACCCACTCCATAGTATTCTTTTATAGCAGTCCAAACTTACAAAAATATATCACTTTGATGGAGTGTAGTGAATGGACTGATAATGGTGAGACTAGAAATAAGGAAGCTAATGGAGATATTGCAATAGTCAAAGCCTTAAAATTGAGTGGGAGGAGTCGGAATGGAAAGCAAATAATAAATTCCAGAGTATGGGTAGCATAGAATAGTGGCTAAGAATATGGCTTCTGGGCTGGCTACTTAAGCTTGAACCCCAGCACTGCTACCTCCTAGCTATGTGTTCTTTGGGAACACCATTAGCTTCTGTGTTTGAGTTTCCTCATCTATAAAATTCATAATAATGGTATCTACCTCATAGTGTTGTTGTGTATATTAACATGACATTTGAACATGTTGCTGAATATTACCGTACAGTTATGCACTTTATGTGATGTGCCTAAGTGTCTAGCACAAAGACAGCATTATGCCAGAGGCATTTGTGTCTGTGTGTGTGTATGTGTGTATACAATCTATATATACTTTTTGCTCATCACAATGGGCAAAATTATTTTTGTTATAAAATTGTATTCTAAAGTAAATTTAATTTACTTAAAATTATATTCAGGACAAGTAGGCACAAAAATTAGCCTGGTTTAGAATGACAAATATGTATAAAAATTAAAAATGTGATTCTTTAGGCCAGGCGTGGTAGCTCATGCCTGTAATCCCAGCACTTTGGGAGGCTGAGGCGGGCAGATTATGAGGTCGAGAAATCAAGACCATCCTGGCCAACATGGTGAAACCCCATCTCTACTAAAAATACAAAAATTAGCCGGGCGTGGTGGCATGTGCCTGTAGTCTCAGCTATTTAGGAGGCTGAGGCAGGAAAATCGCTTGAACCCTGGAGGCAGAGGTTGCAGTGAGCCGAGATTGCACTTCTGCACTCCAGACTAGCAACAGAGCGAGACTCCATCTCAAAAAAAATGTGATTCTTCGACATTTATGTTTTTGAGGTCCTTTTAAAGTCCTATAGTTGCATGGTATAATGACTTTGGAGATAGAATGTTTCAGAATAGGTAACATTAAAGGATTGTCCCATGTAACTGGATTCTCATAATTGCTTTTTTCTTTTTATTACTACTTAATACATATCCTAGATAACCCAGATAACTTGGTTTTGAAGAACTACTAAAACACAATTAAGTATTATCTTTTACCCTAAATGTGGTTAGACTCTCTGTTTAAAATTATTGATTTTTGGATCCCATATGCTCTGGAAATTTTAGTGTGTTTTAAAGCAAAATATAAGAGAATGTGAACCGAGGGATATTTTACTCTTTACAGCATGTTGAACCCAAACTCTCACTAGTATCTCATCGTATTTCCCAAAGGTTTGCCAGGATAAACTTCAGAAGCAGACAGGGTGCCTTGGCTCAAGGATTTGAGAAATTTGGTCTTACTGAGAGAAAATAGAGTGAGTAAATAATTATTTTCAATAAAGGATTGACCTGGTCAATTTTACGTTTTTTTTTTTTTTTTTTTTTTTTGTAAGATCTGATGTTGGGATGAGGAATAGATTGATCAGAAGATAGTTGTATGGAGACAATTAGAACATTCCTAACTACTTCATAAGAGAGATGATGTAGGCATGAGTTATGGCATGTAGGACTGGACTTAAGAGGAAGAGAAAGAACTGAGAAAGTGGTAGAAAAAAATCTCATAGAACTTGATGGCTGATTGAATTTGAATGACTAGGGAAAAGAAGGAGTCAAGAATGATCCCACATTTCTAGGCTGTGTAACCAGGTAGAGGATCATGAGCCCCAACTGACAGAGAATGTGGAAGAAAATGTAGCTTTGGGGTATGGAGAACAGAACGTTTAGTTTTGGACATACTGAATTTCAAAGGTCTATGCCAGAGCTAGGCAGGCATGACCAGCAGATAATGGGACACACAGCTCCAGTGAGAGGTGTGGGCTGGAGATACTAATTTGAGATTTATTACCAGAGGTGGGAGATGAGTCATGAACATGGGTGTGCTCTTCTTAGGAGAATGCAAATTGCAGAGAATAATTGGTCAAGAACAGAACCCTAAGGAACAGAAGTGCGTAAAGAATTTGTGTAGAAATGAAACCCTTGAAGATGAAAGAATTCTGGATTAGACATGTAGGAAGAACACCACGGAAACCAAGGGAGTTGACAATAGTTTTGGGGTAGAAGGGATCTATTTTATGTTGTGAAATGTCCAATTAGATAAATACTAAAAAGTTTCCATTACGTTTTTAAAATAGCAGACTTTTTTTTTTTTTGAAAACCCTCTTATTCAGAACAGGTTCAGTGGAATGTTAGGGGTAGAAGCCATATTGAAGACAGCTGAGAAACTAATCCTAGGTAAAGATGTGGAAATTGCAAGACCTCACTTTCAAAAAGTTTTGAGGAGAAGAGGAGAATGGCAATACTACTGTAGAGCATACTTTGGGAAACTCTGGGACCACCTGGGTCATACTTTGGGACCAGGAGAGGCATGTGCCTATTTATTGGCTGAGAGGAAGGAGCTTATAGAAAGTGAGCAGTTTAAGATACCATAGAGACTCCGGCCATTGTGGCTCACGTCTGTAGTCCCAGCACTTTGGGAGGCAAAGGTGCAAGGATTGCTTGAGCCTAGGAGTTTGAGACTAGCCTGGGCAGCATAGTGAGACCCCCATCTCTAAAATTTTTTTTTTTTTTCCAAAATTTAGCCAGACATGGTGGCACACACCTGTAGTCCTAGCTACTCGGGAGGTTGAGGTGGGAGGATGCTTGTGTCCAGGAGGTCAAGTCTGCAGTGCGACATGATCATGCCACTGTACTGCACTCCAGCCTGGACAACAGAGTGAGACCTTGTCTCAAAACAAACAAACAAACAAACAAACAAACAAAAATACAAAAGAGAGAGTGATGGCTAAAGGAAAATGTATGGGAATGAAGAACATTCTAGTACTCAGGTGCCTTAACTTTGACCCAGAAGAAATTTTTTTGTAATGAGAGCCTGGAAGAAAAGAGCAAAAGAAGTAATGGATACTATCATTGATAGAACTTTCAGCAGAGACGCAGAAATTTGTGGCTTATAACATTAGATGGCATCAATATTCCCCCTGAGATAGGAAACAAGGTCTTCTAAAAGTGAGAAGGACAGATTATTTAATACAGGGGCTAAAGAGAAGCCCCTTCCTCTTGAATAAAGCCTGTGATAGATGATCTTCAAAGAGGACCACCATCAACTTCTTCTTCCCCTGGAAGCACACACTGCCACATCCCACATCAAGAGGTGGGATTTGTTTCCCCTTCTCTTGAAGCTGGGAAGACGTGTTATTGCCTTTGATCAACAGAATACAGCAGAAATAATGTTATGCCAGTTCCAGGCCTAGCTTTCTAAGCATAGTGGAGTTCCCCTTCTTCTCTCTTAGAAGCCAGCTACCATGAATAAGAAATTCAACTACTCTGAGATCACCAGGCTGTGAGAAAAGCTAAGCTAGCTGAATTAATTTGCTAGGACTGCCATGACAAAATACCACGGACTGGGTGGCTGAAACACCAGGAATTTATTTTCTCACAGCTCTAAGAGCAAGGCATGGACGGGATTGCTTTTCACTGAGGTCTCTCCCCTTGACTTGCAGATGACTAGCCTCTTGTTGCCTCTTCACATGGGAATGCACGTCTCTCTGGGAATGCACATCCCTGGTGTCTCTTTCTCTTCTTATGAAGACGCAAGTCATACCAGATTAGATCTCATCCTAAAGGCCTTATTTAACTTAAATGTCTCTTTGAAACCATTTTTCCAAACATGGTTACAGTCTGAGGTACTGGATGTTGGGACTTCAACATATGAATTTTGAGGATGCAGAATTCAGCATCCAACACTAACCATGTACAGAGATCATGAGAGAGAGGGACAGGACAGATGGGCAATGTGGAGATTCATTGGTCAGTATTCTGAGCTTATATTTTCTCACATAATCATCCTTCACATAAGTCTCTTTAAGCACATAGAGCAAAGCTGTATCAATTTCATGCTGCAGTTACACCTTTCTATTTAGAATTCACAAAACAAAATTACCCATCCCCCTCAAAAAAAAAAAAAAACAAAGAAAATAACACATATACATCTTCTGATGGAACTAAATCTGATATGTAAAATGACTCAAGAAAAATCCCCAGCTAGTGAGACTGTGCTACTCTCTATTAGGGTAATAAAATAACCTGCTAATATCACTGGCTTCTGATACAATTGTGATGTGTAATATATAGGCTGGGAGACCACTGTGGATATCTATTTTTCTCTCATTTTTCCTTATATAATTTGGGAAGTGGAAGGAATTGGAAACTACAATTTCCTCATGCCTTCATAATAGATTCTGTACATCCTTTGGAAAGTCCACAAATCTAAAACTTTAAAAAGCTACAGGGATCAGGCGCGGTGGCTCAAGCCTGTAATCCCAGCACTTTGGGAGGCCGAGGCGGGTGGATCCCAAGGTCAGGAGATCGAGACTATCCTGGCCAACATGGTGAAACCCTGTCTCTACTAAAAATACAAAGATTAGCTGGGTGTGGCAGTGTGTGCCTGTAATCCCAGCTGCTCAGGAGTCTGAGGCAGGAGAATCACGTGAACCAGGGAGTTGGAGGTTGCAGTGACCCGAGATCGTGCCACTGCACTCCAGCCTGGCGACAGAGCAAGACTCCGTCTAAAACAAAGAAACAAACAAAAGCTACGGGAAGTAAAATGTTGTCAGTTTAATTCTATGAGAAGGTCCATATTGTGATAAGGGAATAATATTAAGTCATGTACAGAAGGCTGATACTCAGATACAATAGTGACCATCTACATTGCAGGGTGGATTTGAAGCTGTCCATTTCATCCCATCCTCTGCAATGGAATGGGAACTCCAACACCTTCTCCAAAGCTGAGTCGCTCACTCATTCTCTGTTATTCTCTTGGTTTTCTAAGCAGACTGTGTTCCAGTTTCCATTTCATTCTGTATTTTCTTATGCACATTGTTTGTTGAATTTTTATATCCACACAGAAATGCACATCCCTACCTCCATACCTACACACATAAAAGATTTTTGATGTATGGATGCTGGATGCAAGGACTAAAGAATCAAAAGCCCTTGGAATAAGAGAGTACTGAGAGATAGGACAAACACATTTTTTCAATGTTCAGACTTGCTGGAAAGGAGAAAATACCCTAAAGAAAGTGTCAGAAACCCCCCTTTAGGCCTCTTTTGTTACTCTCTCTAGCTTTTCAATTGGGGACGTCAGTTTTGCTGGTGATGGCATAGGCAGGGCAAGGCAAAATTAATATAAAATTAGAGAAGATACGCTATAAACCGGCAGAGGTCCATCTTTAAACCATTGTGAACAGGCAGGGGTTCATCTTTAAACCATTGTGAAGTGTGTCTTCTCTAAGTTTAAGACGAAGGTCCAGTCTTCTCCAGTGGGGCCAGAAGCACAAGTCCTTTTATTTTTTATTTTATTTTTTTTTTTGAGACGGAGTCTCACTCTGTCGCCCAGGCTGGAGTGCAGTGGTATGATCTCAGCTCACTGAAATCTCTGCCACCCGGGTTCATGCCATTCTCTTGCCTCAGTCTCCTGAGTAGCTGGGACTATAGGCGCCTGCCACCATGCCTGGCTAATTTTTTGTATTTTTAGTAGAGACAGGGTTTCACCATGTTAGCCAGGATGGTCTCAATCTTCTGACCTTGTGATCTGCCCGCCTCAGCCTCCCAAAGTGTTGGGATTACAGGCGTGAGCCACCGCGCCTGGCCCAGAAGCACACATTGTAAGAGATTCTGCCTTCTTTGCTTTCAGGCCACAAAAATAAGAGGTGGGGCCTGGTCCTTGTAGGATTTTTTTCTATAATATACTTTTAGTTTAGCTAGTATTATATTTCTGTGTACAATCCATTTCTGTTATTACCATGGTTACTACTATTGTTTATTATCCTTGATAATCACTAGCTTGAACCACTGCGATAAGTTTGAAGCTGATTTAATAGCCTCTACTCTCATTCCTCTCACTCTGCTCTGTCAGAGTGATATTTCTTAAACATCAATGTGACCATATCTGTGGCTTGTCCTTTCGGTGATCTCATCCAGTCTCACGGAGATAAGTATGATATAGATGTTGGTGTCATCAGTATTTATTTCCCAGCCTGGACCTCTCCTCTGAACTCTAGATTTATATATATGCAACTACTTACTCCATAGCTCTCTTCGGATGTCTAAGAGACATCCTAACTCTCCAAGCAAGATGAGGCTCCTGATCTTCCTCTCTAAATGTCATCCTCCCTCCCTCAGTTCTCCTTTCCCATTTCAGAATGTCAATCCATTCTTCTGAATGCTTTAGTCAAAAAGGTCAGAGTCATCTCTGAATAGGAACTGAGATACATAGGCTAAATGACATCATGGCATCCTCATTACATGAGTCAGTAAGTAGCAGCATCAGGATATTTACTCGGACAGTGTAACTCCAGAGTCTTTGTTCTTTACCCCTATGTTTGACTGCTTCTCTACCTTATAAATCCCTTTACAGGTAATCCAAAAACTTCATATAGAATCTAAATGACAAATGCCAACTGCTAACCTCAAGGCAAGCTTGCTACATCAAAGAACTATGAATTCTGGTCTACCTAGCTGTCTGGGAAAAGAGCTGAAAATTCCCTTGGTTGAGGGCCAAGATCTTTTGATTCATTTTTCTCTCTCTTTCTTATACCTTCTGCATGTTCTTATGGGAATCCTAGATTCTGCATGTTCTTATGGGAATCCTAGGCTGTGATTTTGAGATGGGAATTCAGAAGTTTCTGTTATAATTCTGTCTCAGCTACTAATTAGCTATATGGCCTTGGGAAGTTTCTAAACTTTTTGGTATTTTATAATTACTCTGCCAAAAAATGACATGCATACACTAGATGGCCCAGAGTCTATAGCAATAATACAGAAAAAATGTATAGAGAAATAGATAAATCAAATTACAGGGCCTGTTTGCTTCTTGAGGGAAAGAATCACAAGTTTGTTTACTATCCATCTCCCAAGTGCTTATTGAAGTTACATCTTCGGCAGAAACTCAGTAGGTATGTGTGAATTGCTGGTTGAAGATTCATGATTTGCTATATGGTACGGACAAGATGCCTTAGAATTCCAGAGGCAGTTTGGAATAGTAGAAACAAATCTGAATTGAGAGGCAGACAACAGGATCTAATAGCAGAGAAGGCAGAGATGTGTAAGTTAGTTGACTTCAGGACAAACATCTATCATATAGTCAAGACTTTTAGTATTTGCCTCTGTAAAATATAAAGAGAGTGGGATTGGTTGATCTCAAAGATATCTTAAGGGAGCTGTGACTGTATAATTTACTTTTTCCATAAAACCTAAAAAGTGTAAGCATGAAACATTTTTGTGTGTGTATCTATTCCATTGGAAGGGCTCAGCAATTGAGCATCAGGATCTAGCACATATAATCATCTGTTTACATTTCATTTATTTTAGACCCCACACCAATACTGTGAAGTGGATAATAATATCTCCATTTATGCATAAGGAAATTGAGGTCCAGGGAGGCTTTTCAAGGTAAAACTCAGTGTCAGAGCTGGGATTGCAATCCAGGATTAAGTGGCTCTCAGTTTCAATTCTCTTTGCATTGAACCACACATCCTCCCCAAGTCTCTGGCACTAGTGATGCACATCAGGAGGCAATGTAGGGGCTCTTCAGGATATAAAGAGGGCTCATGGGTACAAACATACAGTGAAAAGGACATGGCCACACTTCTTGAAAACCAGGTTCATCCAACTCTAACAGAAAGTGCTATGATTAGCCAAAAAATATATTCTAGTCACACACACACAAAACTAATTAATTAGAAAAATCTGGTGATTAACTGCATGCCTTCATTGTTTTCAATAAATGTAACCTGTCCAATAAATCAGTAACATTTATTAATGATAATACAAAGTATATTCAGTAATAGGCTTGCCTTCCATGAGGAGACTAATATGGGGTTTTATATGGAGTCCCAAAAGAAACCAAATAAACATTGTTAGCATTTGCTTCATTGCACAGATTACATGGTGCCTTGATTCTGCTGCTGACAAGCAGTAAATTGCTCTGTTGTGTGTGGTGCTTAAAACAGGTTTAATCTGCTATTATTAATAGTTCCATGAAGAATATGATTGCCTATCCCCATCCCACTTTCAACCACTGTGGCCAACATACGGGAACTCAGGCAACTAAAATAATTACAGACCACAAGCTGTAACAATAAACCACAAAAGGACTAATCATATCCTTTCTTGGAATTTACTTATTTCAAATAGTTTGTTACTTTTTTTTTCATGAAGAGCTCCATATTGGACCACAATTGTGATGAGAAGATCTAACTTGGATTTCAGCTGCAGAAATTATGCTATTTACTTTCTTATTACAGGCACTAAATTGCTGTTTGGATTATTATTATTTTTTTCCTTTCTCTAGATAGTTCAACAAATAGATTTTACGGTCTCTTTATGGGACAAAGCAGAGTATGATTTCGAAAAGTATAAAGACTAAATAACTAGATAATTGCCTAGAGTTGAAGTGGTGTATTCAGGAACTTCACTGGGAGGAACTAAAAATAATTTAAAAATAGGAGAAAGTGTCATTGGCCCATTTATGCAAAGCCAATGCAAAGAAAAGCTGAACACTTGACTTCTGAGAAATTAAAGACAAACTGTGGTGCCAAGTTACAGCAATTCCCTTGGCCTAATTTTTGGTAAATTTAATTTTATCCTTTCTCAATGTTGTGGAATCTATAATGTATATTTTATTGGTCATATTATATGCATGTCTCATGCAGGTTTCCTTCAGAACTTCTTGAAGATCAATAGGGAATATATTAAAAATGAAAATAGAAATTAGGTTGAATATTGGCCTACCTACAATGGTTGAAAAATCACTTTAGAAAAAAGTGGTTTTGCTTATTTCCTTGTTGACCTATTTGAATGCTTTTTATTTAAAAAAAAAAAAAAAGGTCCTCAGCATGAAGGATTTGGTAGGTGATGTTTTATCTCACTGTAAACATTTCTTTTTGCTAATCAAGGATCTTTGAATGACAGAAGGGATTTTAAGGAAGACAACAAGTTAGTCTTCTGGAGTAACATTATCTGCTCTAGTGAACTGGTCCTTTGGAGTTCGGTGGTTTTAAAGGCATGCTTTCTTTTATTATTTGGAGATTATATTGTTTAAAGTTTTCTGCATGGTGAATAGAGGTTGCTAGGGGAACATAAAACTCTACACAGAGACAGAACTATGACTAGGTCCAGGCTCTGTCACCAAATAGCTTGTGATGCTGAGTCAGTCTCACAAATGTGCAGCCTGTTGTTTCCTCTTCCACAAAATGATAATATTTCTCTTCATGTGGCTTTGGCAGTGATATGACCTATTACATGTGAAGGCATTTTATGATAACGTGCGGTGCACATTAGACATCAAACTTTGTTAACATATTAATAATATACCTCATTTGGTGACATTGTTCTTTTTCCTTTATAATTTTTCAATGATAATTATTAAAATCTTTGTCATCAACTTAGTGAAACCCCGTCTCTACTAAAAATACAAAAATCAGCTGGGTGTGGTGGCACATGCCTGTAGTCCCAGCTACTCAGGAGGCTGAGGCAGGAGAATCACTTAAACCCGGGAGGCGGAGATTGCAGTGCGCCGACATTGTGCCACTGCACTCCAGCCTGGGCAACAGAGTGAGACCCCATCTCAATAATAATAATAATAATAATACTTTAAAAAAATCTTTACGGGTCATATGTGCCCCCTCCCAGTTCACCAACTTTGCCTTCTCACTGGATGGTTCTCATAACTTAACTCTATTTCCACCTACTTTTCTAACACGGTATTTCATACCATACAAATTGGTCCTTTACGCAAAATAATTTATATGTTAATGACTTGGTCAGATGGGCTCAATATTAACTTTTTCCTCGAAGGTGCTAGTTTGTTATCCCACACACAGTGCAGTTAATACACTCATAAATGTCCTTCAAAAATGTTTCTAAGGGCCCTGCAGACTGAATTTTAGACTCCGTGCTCATTTTTACTTCAGTAATTTCATTAGTAGTGTTTATTTTATAAATAGTTTGTAAAGTGTTTGAAGGCAGAAACATTTTTAAAATGTTTATATATTTTTGTTCCAAAGTATTTTGCAGAGAAACAAATCCACAGAAGCACCCCTAAACTGGGAGTGTGGTGAAGTGGGGAAGAGCCCAGCCCAGGGCTGCAGATCTCGGGATCCAAGAATACATAGCAGGTAGCTCAAGAGGGAATTTAGAGTCTAGGCCTGCATAGAATTCACCTGAAAAGGTGGAACAGAGACCAGGACTGAAACCAGGACCAAAACAAGGACCAAACAAACCAGATATTCCAGAGAAGAGTAAGTGGTTTCTATTGGTAAGAGTTGGGATTAGCAGAAATTTCCTGAAACCCAGATGTAGTCACAGAAGCCCTAGAGATCCCATGGCCCTGCCTAAGTGAAATTAGGGAGAGGGCTCAGTGGGGTGTCTTGAATACATTTACTTGTTCAGGTGTCGAATAATGCCTATTGAGAAGCAACTATGTGCCAGGAAAAGTACAGGGTACTGGGTATATGTGGGTAAGCCAGACAGCAGCAACTCTGCCCTCATTTACCTCCCATCTCAGAAAACAATAAACAAATTCATTAATTATTAGAGATAATGATAAATGCTAAGTAAGGAACAAACTGGACACAGCAGGGGTTTCACCTACATGGAGCTGTGATTAGGGGAGATGATGTTTAAGATGACATTGGAAGCATGAGAAGGAACCAAAAGGTCCTCAGACCAGGAGAGGCCAAAAGCTCTTCTCCATGAGTGATTTAAAGTAAATGTACATAAAGAGTAGCCAGTGGAGGAGATGGTTGTTAGCACCGTGATGGAAAGGTATTGGGAAATGCTGGAAAAGCATGGCATAAGGGCAAGAAGGGAAGGTCACCCAAAGGCAAGGTTCTTGTGGGCTTCCCAAACCTCCTCTGCTTCTCTGCAGGTGCCAGAATTTGGTTATTTCTCTGGGAAGAACTTGTGTCATGAAATTGAAAGAAGCCCAAGAGAGTTGCGCCATAGAGAATGAGGAGTGTTTGTCAGATATATAGTTGTCATTTACTGAATATTGTGGTTCTCATCTTAGTTTACTCCCAAGAAAATACCTGGAGGCTTTCAGGTGCTTCTCTCTTACGAGGCCTGGTACTAATGTTTTCATTCAATTCTTTGAGCTTCCCTAGATTCTTTTAGGAACTTCTTTTTTTTCTCCTGTTAGATCAAGATTCTGTTGCTTACCATCAAAGAGCCCAAGCTAATACAGTCACCTCTCTGTCCTTATCTTGCTTGTCTGCTTAGCATTCAATGCCTGTTTTTTGAAGGACTATTGTCTTTGGGTTTATGTGATACCACATCCTCCTGGTTTTCTTTCCATCTCTCTGGTTGCTTCTTTTCAGTGTCCTTTGCTATCTCTTCCAGCTTTACTGATCCTCTAAATGCTAGAGTCCCTCCTGACCAGGACTAAATCCTTTTGTCTCTTTTAAGTCATTCTTAGTGGTCAAAAAGGTATGCACTTAGGTGCTAGGGTACCTTGGTTCAATTCCCAGCCTTGCCACTTCCTAGCTGTGACCTCGGAGAGGTCACTTAACAATTCCTTGCCCATTTCTTTTATTATTATTATTATTTTAAAAAAACCTATTTCGTAGGGCTGCTAAGAGAATAAAGAGGGTTAATCATACCTAAAGTATTTTGGGCAGAGCTGGTTCATTATATGCATTCAATGCATGTTATTTTTCTTACAATTGTTAGTAATCATCAATTCCCATGGCCTTAAATGTTACATATATGCTGGTGACCCTTAAATATGTATTTTCAGCCCCAAACACCCCTCTTAGCTCTATAAAATTATGTATCCAACCACTAGAATTTATCAAACTTTAGAAGACTAAATTCAAATTTTGATTACTAATTCTTAACACCCCCCAATCTCACTCAACAATTTCCCCCCAGTTTTCTGCATCTTAGTAAATGGTAAGAATACCTGCCTAGTTGTTTAAGTCAGAAAACTTGGAATCATCTATATTGTTGCTCTTTCCCTCCTAGCCACATTCAACCTATTTGTCAAATTCTGTCATTTTTATTTATAAAATATAGATTAAATACTTTCACTTCTTTGTATCTCAACAATTAAAATTTCTAATCCAATGTACCATCATAACTTGGCTAGTTTACTGCAATATCTTCTTTACCCATTCTTTATTTTTCCTCCATGACCAAATCCATTATTTGCCAAATAGAGTTTTGTTTTACAAACATAAATTTGTGTCATTCTCCTACTTAATCCTTTAATGATTTTGCCCTGTGCAATGAGTCAAATCCAGTCTGCAAGACTCTGCTTGACTTGCTGTATGTCTACCTGGCTGGTCTCATCTTATATCACCTTCTCCCTCAATCATGGTGATTTGGTCACATCAACCTCCATCAGTTTCTTAAATCCAATAAACCCTTTCCTGCCTTAGGGCTTTTGCGCTTGCTGTGTCTTCAACCAGGAATAACTTTTTCCTTGCTTCTTTCATTACTGGTTTTCTCCTGAGGTCTGCCATTAAAAAACCCTCAACTTCAGAAAGGCCTGCTACATCACTCAGATTTCTCCAGAGAAGAGAGATGATTGGATCTATGTCTATCTATCATCTATCCATCTGTGGATTTATTTTAAAGAATTGGCTAATGTGATTATGGGGAATGGCAAGTCCAAAATCTGTAGGGCAGGTGAGCAGGCTGGAAACTCAGGCAGGATTTCAACATTATAGTCAAGGCAGAATTTCTGCTTCTCTGGGAAACCTCAGTTTTTGCTCTTAAGGCCTTCAACTGATTGAGTGAGCCCCACTCACATTATCAAGGGTAATCTGATCTACTTAAAGTCAACTGATTATAGATGTTAATCACATCTACAAAATATCTTCACAGTAAAATATAGATTAGTATTTGACCAAACAACTGGGCACCCTAGTATAGCTTAGTTGACATATAAAACTTATCATCATACTTTCCTTAGGTCTCCTGCATCCACAGGAGTCTCTTTCATAGAGTTCTCTCTTTTTTTTTTTCCATTGGATGTACCATAATTTACCCTTAAGTAATTCTTTGCTTACTTATTAATTTCCCCTTCCTCCACCACACTCTAATGTCTATCAGGTGAGAACGATTCTTTTTTGCATCAATATATATCCAATACTAGCAAAGTCCTTGGGATATATTAAGCATTCAGTAAGTAGTTGGTGCTCGATGCTTAATATGTGTTTGTGAAAACAATTAACAACCACAGGGAACTTGAGATGAAAAGTTTTGACCCAATCTTCTAAAATTTTTATGGGAGTTAGAATATCAGATGTTAAGCATAATTTACTAAAATGTGAATAGACAAGAAAATAACTGATTATTTCTCATTTTCTTTTGACACATTCTCCTCCCTTGTATTTTCCTGAAATTAAATTAGTCAACACAGATTTAAGAGGACTTAGAGTCTCACACACTCAGCCCAAATATAGCATTGAAAAGACTTCCAAAGCTTTGGCAACATATTTTATTTTAATAAAGATTCAAATGCCTGCAGGATCACTGGAATAATTGCCAGTTACACTTCTATTAATGAACACATTTAAATGGGGATTGTGAAAAGCAGAAAATGATCTGATTTTATGGAGTACGTTTACTGCCAGCAATGTACAGTGATGAATGGTGCCCTAGAATTTAATTTTAGTTTTAGCCACAAAACAGCCAAAATTGCACAGCAGCCTCTTTAACGAATATGTACTGAACTTGAAAAATTATTTATTGAGTTCTCAGTGATATATATATATATAAATTATTTATTGAGTTGTCAGTGCTATATATATATATATATATATATATTTTTTTTTCCTTGGAGATGGAGTCTCGCTCTGTCACCCAGGCTGGAGTACAGCAGTGCAATCTTGCTCACTGCAACCTCTGCCTCCCAGGTTCAAGCAATTCTCATGCCTCAGCCTCCCGAGTAGCTGGGACTACAGGCATACATCACTATGCCCAGCAAATTTTTTTTTTTTTGTATTTTTAGTAGAGATGGGGTTTTGCCATGGTGGCCAGGTTGGTCTTGAACATGTGACCTCAGGTGATCCACCCATCTCAGCTTCTCAAAGTGCTGGTAATACAGGCATGAGACACCACGCCCGGCCTCAGTGATATATTTTTGTGAACCAATTAGTTACTTCAAAAAATAAAGAAGAGTAATGCTGTTAAAGTTGATCCACATAGCAGTCTTATTACCACCCTTGCATGGGCTCTGTGCTGTGAAGACTAGGTTCTATGTGCAACAAGTTCTATTAACAAGCCTCTTTGGATGAAGCTGCTTTTGAACTTGATATGCATTCAGTTCTGATGTACAGTGCTAAAGGAAGTAGAAAATCTCAAAGGGTTCATAAGACAGAGTCTTAGTACTATTTCTAAATGCTGGTTCTTCAAGTGGTATTTGAGTTTGAAGTACATCAGTTCACACTGCTCCCAGACTAAAACAAAAAAATGTCTTAGAAGGATTAGCTGAATCTAAGGAAACTTTTTAGGAATATTAACCAGAAAAATTCAGGAGAAGCAAGTTTTGTTGACTTTATCAGAATGCTGTTTGTTCCCCTAAATCCAACTTCTCCTTTTGCATTTATATACTGATATTTAGCCAGAAACTACATTTCCCATCTTCCCCTGTAGCTAGATGATCCCTGTGACTAAGTTTGAGCCCTTAATGTGAATAAAAGTGATGTAGAGACTCTTCATGTTATCTTTAAATCCAGACTCACTTGCCCCTGGACTATGACTACCTCACTTTCCCTCAGGATCTGAACATGACACTGACCCAGTTTATAGGATATAGATGGTAGCAAGGGATAGCAGGACAATGTGTTGGAAGGAACCTGGGTCGCTGAATGACATCCTGCTAGAGCAGAGCTGCCACATCAGCCTGGACCAAACCAACTATGACTTGAAAGAAAATGGGAGCTTTCTTATAGGATTGTTGCAGATGAATCAATACAGAAAATCTTGAAGTCTTTAGAAAGACTTGTAATGAATTTTTATATTATTTAGAGGTTACTTTTACATAAGTTGTTTTTAAAAACTACCTACATTTTAATGTTATGTCTTTAAGACATCAAAAATTATGCTATCTCTTTTGATTTTTGCAAAATCCCAGTGAGGGAATCATTATGAGAAAGATTATGTTAGCTTCTGGAGGAACTCAAGGGACAGAATAAAAGTAACCACAATAAAGGCACTATTTTCAGATTTGTCCTCTGACAACTCTTTGTAGGGCTAAGAACAAATCTGTGTTTTCTAACTTTTTTTAGGGAGGTGACTCTCAAATCTGTATGTGTGAATATATGTATAATATTACCATTGCGATAAAACTTATAAAGTGATGTCTAACAAGTAAGTCATTAGACATCCAGTGCTTAGCATGTACCCAAATTCAACTATATTCCAATTTGAATAAAGCATATATACATCTATAGAGATATAGATCTATAGATATAGATATACATAGTTTTCAAAAAGCAAATATCTACCTATAGACATCTATCTCTATATATCTATACACATAGATATAAGAATATATTAGATTCCCCTATTTTAGATTATTCTTCAAAAAGCAAGTAGATATCTATATTGTATACCATGTATATATCTATATTATATATATATATATAGATAGGTTATTTTTCAAAAGCAAATTTATATATATATATGTACATAATGTGAATCAAAGTTTGAGAGGGGGAAAAAGAAACTTTAAGAAAGAACTTCTAGATTATACAACACAATTCAGAGTACTGGCATGATAATAATGGTGCTAATAGTGATAATGATAATAGCAATAACAATAATAGCAGCTACATTTTGAGTGTTGTCATGAGACAGGGTCTGTGCTTTTTGCTTTACATTCATTGTCTTTGCAAAGCATCTATGAGATGTTATTCTTCAATTTTGCAGGTGACATATGAAACCCAGGGAGTATCTTGCCCAAGGGTAACCAGAACCAGAATCTAATTACATTATAAATTTTACCTCAACATATATCCATTTTTGCACAGAAAAGAGTTAGCATAACAGGTGTGAGATCACTGTCCTTAGAAAGGCCTGCTTGCAAGGCTAGCCACTTGGATGTTGGGAAAGTGTCTACCATTCTTTGAAGCAAATGGCTCACTGTGCTTAAACTGTGCAAACAATATGGTTTATGTTGAACATCTGCTTTGCTTCTTGGAGTCTGGAATTTGGGTACATACTAAGTACTGAACGTCTAATGGCTTCCTTGCTAGACAACATTTTATAAATGCTATCACAATGACTCATTGCTGGGAGAATTAAGCACTTCCTGTGAGACTTCACTCAGAAAGAACTCTTGGAAGCTTGCCTCAGGTTTCCTCCAAACATTACCCCATGTGCCTTTTCCCTTTGCAGATTTTGCTTTGCATTCTTTTGTTGTAATAAATCATAAATGTGTGATTGTATATTGGGTCTTGTACATCCCCTAGCAAATCTTCAAAACTAGAGACAGTCTTGGGAACCCCTAACATATCTATCTTCCATGTCATTCTCTCATTTGGAGAAAATAAAATTTTATTTTCTACCTGAGTACATAGGAAGACGTATTTCTCAGCCTCTCTTGAAATCAAGTTGGACCATATGACTGAGCTCTGATGGGTGGAATGTCTGTTAGTCCAAAATAGGCCCATCAAATGCCCCACACCATCCTTCTGCTCTCAACTGAGGACCAGATGCAGATGACCCAGTGGAGGAAGCTGGCACCATAGGCAATAGTGGAACCACGAGATGGAAGGAGTGTCCTCAATAAATGAGTTGAACAGAAGTCCCATCCTGTCCCCAACGGAGTCACATAGGATTAGGAAATGAAAGAGAAACAAACATTTTTTTGTCTTAAACCACTGAGTTACTGGAGCTGTGTGTTACAGCATTGATCCTTCTCTGTCTAATACATATGGTGACGTGCTGGATACCAACACCCCCATCTCCTTCCGCTCAACTTTGAAATATGTTGCAAGAGTGAAAGGGATTTTTAAGCCATAGAGATCCCATTACTCATTTGATAGAATAATATTTGATGGGCAAACACAGGACACGAATAATCTACCAGATGGCGACTCTTGCAAGGGAATCAAAGGAAGTTCTTCATTACCATTTGAGATTGCTCTTAACATTTTTGAGTAGTACTTGATAAAACAAATAGAAGGTGTTAAACTACTGGGTGTAGTTCTTTTACTAAAGGAGCCATGCTCTTTCACTCCCCCTATTATTAGATTATTTTTCAAAAAAGCAAATTAACAGCACTTCAATTTTACTCAGTAGATGTGGAAAGAACTAAAAAGAAGAAAGTGAGAGAAGATAAAAATTTTATTGGGCTGGCCTCCAATCTTTTTGTTTGGGGTCATTCATTTGTTCACATATATTTATTGATTACCTGTCATATACTAGACACAGCCTGAAGGGCTGAGAATTTTGTAGTAAAGAAGGTGCAGCACCTGCTGTCAGGAAGCTTAAAGAATAGGGGAGGAGTCCACAAGCAAAGAGGAAACCCAAAATAAGCACTATGATGGGAGCACATAGCAGAGTCTCCAAACCTACTTTAGGAGATATCAGAGAAAGCTTTTCCACAGACAAGTCTTTCAACCCCAAAACTCTCAAGATAGCTGTGAGTCCTCCTCAGTTTCCCTCCCCTTTTAATCCAAAACATCACGACGTCCACTCAGCTCAACCTCCACCACATATCCAAGCCCATCATTTCTCTCCTTCTCTACTTGCTACTACCCTGGTCTATGCCACATCTCCTTTCCGTCTTAATCTCTTGGACCAGATTTCTAGAGGGTCCCCAATTTTACTCTGATGTCTTACACTCCATTTTGCTTAGAGTAGCCCTCCAGGGCCATCTTAAAAAAAAAAAATCAATGCTTTGTTTGTATCTGAACTTTTAAAAACTGGTAGTTCCCCACTATCCTTAGAATAAAATACAAATGACGTTCCAGGTTCCAGCCACTCTTGCTCACTCTTGCCTCATGATTTTGGGTTGTTCTTTATGCCTAGAAAGTCCTTTTTTCTACCTTCCCATGGCCGTGCCCTTCTTGACATTGCAGATACAATGCAATGCCACTTCCCTTTCTCTAGCCGCCCCATCGAAAGAAGCTCCCTGCTCTAGTTCTTTGTAACAAATGTCATCCTCCTTCTACTGCCACTAGATATTTTCTTATTTAACTATGTGTTTGCTTTTTGCCCCTCTTTTCACTATCTTCCCCCAATGGAATACAAACTCTAAAGAAAAATTACCTGTCTTTTTTTGTCAGTGTATCCTAAATACCTTTTACAGTGATGAGCCTGAACTCAGCACTCAGAGAATAAGCCATGAAAAAATATATTGAAAGGAAGTCTAAGTATGGATGTGGAGAAGGTGTAGCTGTTGTCCTGATGAAGAAGGGAATTGTGGGAAGCAGCATTTCTCGCAGGAGAAAAAGTCCAGGTCAAGGCCCTTCAGAGGGGTGCACTTCAGCTGCAGGCAGTTCCTTCTGGCTGGAGCAGAGTAAATAGGGATGAGTGAGGGGTGAGACGCGAAAAGTCAGCAGAAGATGGTTGGTCAAGGCCTGGCTGATCGTGAACTAGTTGGGTCACTGCAGTATAGACAGCATCTAACCCAATATCTGACTTATAGTAGATGTTCAAGAAATATTTGTTGGATGAGCATGTAAGGCAATTGAGTCTCTCTTCTAATGGCAAAAAAAAAAAAAAAAAAAAAAAAAAAAAGCCAGCAATTGGTTTTAAGTAGGAACTGACTGGTTTCTATTTGTTCTTTAGAAAGACCTTTTCAGCTGCACAGTGGAGAATGGTTCAGAGGAAGACAGGACTGTAGGCAAGGAGTCTGGGTCATTGCAGACATGCAGATGAGAGGTGACAGTGACAGCAGCGTGTGAGAGGCAGGGCAGTGGAGAGGGAAAGGCAGAGGCAGATTTGAGAGATACAAAGACTGGAGAATTGGCTGAGCTTGGAGATTAATTAGAAACAAGAGGTTCTGAGGGAAGAGCCCAGAAAGACAACTGGATTTACATTTTTTTTTTTTTTTTGAGACACGATCTTACTGTCACCCAGGCTGGAGTGCAGAGGCACAATCTTGGCTCACTGCAACCTCCACCTCCCAGGCTCAAGGGATTCTTGTGCCTCAGCCTCCCAAGTAGCTGGGATTTCAGGTGGACACCACCATGCCTGGCTAATTTTTGTATTTTTAGTAGATATGGGGTTTCGCCATGTTGGCCAAGCTGGTCTTGAACTCCAGGCCTAAAGTGATCCAGCCGCCTAGGCTTCCCAAAGTGCTAGGATTTCAGGAATGAGCCACCATGCCCAGCCTGGATTTCTAAGTGACTGCATAAATGAAGGTAACATTTTTGTCAAAATAATCTCTCCACACAGATGTATGCACATAAAATATACCTATGAGAATAAAGGAGAAAACTAACAGTAGTTACCTCTAGCAAGGTGGGATGAGAAGTTTCCTGTACCTAGGACACTTCGATATTTCAATTTCTAAACCTCTGTATGATTTCAAATGTTTAGCATGACATTTTATGAGTTTAAAATTTGAAAGAAGGCCGGGCATAGTGGCTCATGCTTGTAATCCCAGCACTTTGGGAGGTGGAGGCAGGCGGATCACCTGAGGTCAGGATTTCTAGACCAGCCTGGCCAACATGGTGAAACCCCGTCTCTACCAAAAGTAGAAAAATTAGCTGGGTGTGGTAGTGCACGCCTGTAATCCCAGCTACTCAGGAGGCTGAGGCAGAAGAGTCCCTTGAACCCAGGAGGTGGAGTTTTCAGTGAGTGGAGATCGCGCCACTGCATTCCAGCCTGGGTGACAGAGCGAGACTCCGTCTCAAGAAAACAAAACAAAACAAAACAAAAAATTGAAAGAAACAAATAAATCAAGAAGCATCTAAATGCCACAGAATATATTAGATTGATGCAAAAGTAATTGTGATTTTTGCCATTGAAAGTAATGGCATAAAAACACAATTTCGTTCACACCAACATAATGCATAACATAAACTAATGCTTAACATATTTCAAGATGACATTACTGAGTCATTATGAATTTTTAATTACATTATGAAGTTTAGTTACTTTTGTACATAGAAGAATAAGGAAAGAACTGAAGGGCTCTGATATCTTTTGACAGCACTCTTAAAGATATTAAGTAAAACATTTCTCATTTATTTTCTTATCTACATGGATATTAATATCCTAAATTTTTAAAGGATAGTTTCATGTCCAGAGAATCTAAGCCATTGTTCAAGCTCAGAAATGGCAGCGGTAAGGTTTGAACCCTGGACAGCGCTTGCACTATGTCAGTCTATGGAAGTCAAAAGGGAGGTCGTGTTAACTGCATAGGCTTATAGGCAATCTTCCCTTCAGAAAGCCCTTCTGGTTGGAAATCTGACAGACAGTTCTGCTAGGGCAAAGGAAATAGCATTTTAACTCTGTTCTTACCTTAATTCTAAAGTACATGAATAACACTTTGCTCTTAAGGAAGGCCTTTTATCTGAGTCTTTCAAACACTGAACAAAACCAATTATTACCCACCCTCCTTCATGGTTCAAAGAGAAGATTTTAATCCCTAATTTGCTGACAGAGAGACAGAAGCCGGCAGGAATGAAGTGATTTACTGAGGGTAACACAGTCTATGAAAGCGTTCAAGAATAACCCTGAGGGCTTGTGACAAAAGAGCAATTGCCTTATGCAATTAGCAGTGAATTCCTCTGTCCTAATCACTGCATCTTACTGTTTCCCATGCAAAGTTTAAGGGAACTAAACTTCTCCTCTTTCCTTTCCCACCATAAATCGGACGTAGTGCTTTTTATGTAAATGTACTTTGCAAAAATGTAGATCCCTATAATTTTACCTTCCATCTGTTTCATCTGTTTTTAAAGATCTTACTGCAGAATTTCCCAAACACTTTGAATGGGGTGGAAAAGCCCCATACAAGAACTCAGATGTCCTGCTGGTTCCTTTGGCTACAACATCAAAACTCTTGCAGAAATGAAACAAAAAAAAAGTATGCTTCTGTTCTTCATGAAATTGCCCAAGGAGGGTGTCTGGATAATAAGCCAAACATGGAGGGTGGGGATTAACTGCATTTGAGATGTGACTGCAGAGCACATTAAGCTGCTTTGCTCTACAGGTGTTGCTGCTTCCTCACAAGCTCCACTGTGATGGATACAACCTATGTGACCCCCAGTGAGTCACACCTTTTTAAATCTCCTCATCTTGAGTGCTGAGATGTGCAGTGTAAGGTCCCCTGAGCAGGCTGCACCATGGTCAAGCCATCATGACCCCTGTGACCCACATGTACACATCCAGAAGTCTCAAATTCTGGGAGCCAGAAAGTCTGGGACAACAGGAAAACCACTAAAGAAGAAAAATGGCTAGTACCTGTCTTAGCTGATTAGGTAACCCTGCGACATTCTACCATTCTAGCATGCTCTACCCTAACTGATCAATCAACCTAGTGACACTGTGCTCTATGACCCCTCCCACCTTGTGATAATGCACCTTGCAACCTTCTTCCCCTGCCCACAATAAATGGCCCCTAACTGTAACTTTCCACTGCTTACCCTAATCTATGAAATTAGCTCCAATCCCACCACCCTCTGCTGACTCCCTTTTTGGACTCAGCCCGCTCACATCCAGGTGAATAGACAGTCTTGTTGCTCACACTTAGCCTGTTCAGGTTGTCTCTTCAATTAGATGCGCACATAACACAGAGGTGATGGGATGAGATGCCACACCCATGACTGTACTACCCATTAGAGGACTAGAGAGACCCTCCGTTGTTGGCTTTGAAGAATCCAGCTGCCATATTACAAGGGAGCTTGCAAGAGGACCAGGTGGAAACGGACTGCAAGTAGCCTCTAGGGGCTGCGTGGCCCTACATTGACAGCCAGCAAGAGGGGAATTTCATATGTGCAACCACAAAGAATTGAATTCTGCCAACAACCACAGGAGCTTAGAAAAGGATCCACGATCCAGAAAGAAATGCAGCCCAATCATGATTCTAACTGTGGCCTCATGAAACTCCAACCAGAGCACTTAGCTATGTCATTTCTGAACTCCTGATCCTTGGGACAGTATATTATGAATGAATGTTTTCTAAATCCATTTAGTATTTGGCAAATTGTTACACGGCAACAGAAAATGAATGTAAACATCTTTCTATTTTAGATAAAAAAAGATAGTAACATAACATTTAATGTCAAAAGGACATTAGCAGGTATTAAAGTGATGCCTTAATGATATATTTGATTTTAATGGATAATTTTACCTATTATAATCCAGAGCAAAGAAAGAAAAGGAAGCAGGGGAAGATTCCATAGAAGAAGGAACCAGCTGTCTGAAGCATAGAGGTCTAACTATTTGCAACTCATCCTGTGCCTTAAAAATGGGAAGACTAGGTTATATATTATTAATTAATGACAGAAAAAGCCAAAGCAGCATTGGCATCACTATATTAAAACTTAGTGCCCCACTATATCATTTACAACCACCTAAAATTGAACTGAAGCTATAACTGGTTTCGAAAGAGTGCAGCAAAGCAAGATTATGAAACATATATATTGATATTTGTGTGACCTTTTGACCATTGGTTCTCAAATGAGGCTTTCTGTTCACTGTCTGTTATAATGTAAAATATTTTTAATAGATTAAGGACTTCAGATTAAAAAAAAGAAGAATTCCTAAACATCATCCCAGTTAACTGAATAAAAATCCTCAAAAATAAGACCTCTTACCTCTCTCCAACCCCTACACACACATACGCGCACACACAACACACACACACCAAAGACTTCATGCGATTCCAATGTAGCTAGCCTAGTCATTGGTATTTGTCATGATAGAGCTCATCACTAATAGGTCATTTCTTTTTGTGCTAGAAGCACCTTGTATATGTTATATATCTAGTTCAATGGTTCTCAATCTTGCCTACACAATATAATTACTTGAAGAGCTTTATAAATCCTAATGCTGAAGCTTTTTCCCAGAGCAATTACATCAGAATCACCAAGCATAGTAGCCACTATTTTTAATTTGTAAAGCTCCCCAGATGGTTGCAACGTGCATTTAATTTTGAGACTGCTGATCTGTAGATAATAGTTTGCATTTTCTGCATCCTTCCTAATATATAATTATGTAGTCCAAAACCCAAACACTGCCTGGGAAGTATGTAGGCCAACCACGACTGTCCCACTTTGATGGAACATACAACTGAGGTTGACCATTTGGGGCCATACTATAATAACTCCTTTTTATTGAACTTCATGTTTATTATATTTATTTCTTTAAAAAAGTGCAATCTAGTTATCATTATCCCAGTTTATAGACAAAGACACATCGTCTCCTGAGTCAGAGGGAACTGCCCAAATGAGTAACATGACCTGAGGCTGAGTGACACCGAAGCTTATGATAACTGCACAAAACCAGTGATTCTCAAAGTGTGGGCTCCAGACCAGCAGCATCAGCATCACCTTGGAACTTGTAAAAAAGAAAATGCAAATTCTATGACCCAATCCCACCTCTACTAAGTCATAATCTTTCAAGATGGGGCCCAGGAATCTGTGTCTTGACAAGCCCTTCAGGTGATTCTGAGGCTCCTTATAGGTGGACAGTGTACTGTATTCTGTCTCTATCAGCTGCTCACTTTTGAGACTCAGAATCTGGCAAGAGACCTAAAAATGTGTGGGAGCCTCAGTGAGTAAGCCTGTGTGAGGGAGGAGATATTTCTCTCACTATCTTCCCTTCCTCTCATTTCCAATCTATATTAACAATCTATGTTGAAAATGCTAGGGGATGTATCAGAGATACCATATGGGAAAAAATTGGTGGAGTTATGCTGGTCATATTTACTTGCAGGGGTGCCTGGCTATGTTGAGCTACTTTCACACAAGTGTGACCATTTTAATATGTTGACGAATGGTTTATCCTTTGAATCACAGTATGGAGAGTTTTAATAGTTTCATTAAAAATGAATATCCCAACTGTTTCCAGGGAAATGAGTTTGTGATCTTAAGGGCTTTGAGGTAATTGGTGTTTAGGGAACCAAGGCAGTTGGTTTGCTTTCTTGGATGGAAGCTGCTTCAGCTTACTACCATGCTGTAAAACCCAAGTGCTGCTGACCTGCTTAGTGTATTTCGGCTATGCTTAGGGTTCATTTATTAGAATTGTACATTTGACTAGGGGGAAATAAAAATTAAAAGGCCACTTGTGTTTGATTTATGAGAGATGTCGATTAATATTTTCTGAGCAAACTGTGAAGTCCTTTCTTTTAAAGAAGTATATAAAATAGGCCTTTGGCATATTCAGGTCTGATGGAAATTTGTCTCATGGGGCAGGGTGAGATGGGAGAAAGAGAAATCAATAAAGATAGAGAAGAGAAAAAAATAGAGGAAGAGGAGGATGGGGAAGAGCTGAAAGGAGACAATAATTCACAAGGGGAAGAGACAGAAGAGGTGAAAAAAAGGAAAGCAAGGAGGAGTGAAGAAATAAGAGGTGGGGTCAGAAGGATTAAAAAAGGGGAAAGAAAAGAGTTTGGGAAAATGGGGGAAGGAGAGAAAAGGAAGAAGAGAAGGACATATGGGCAACAAAAAAAAACATAAAATAAAAAAAAATAAAGCAATGAATGCAGACTTTGGAGCCTAGCAATTTATTGTGAAGTGCCACTTGTATTAGACATGCTGCAGAGATGCTGGCTCCAAAGATTAATGATGGCAGTAATCATGATTCCAATTTATAGCAAATGCAATGAAAGGCAGCCAGACCCCAAACAGAGAAACCCTACGGGGATGGCATTGGAATAATAACATAGCAGCAGTCGAGGAATACAGGGATGCTGAGAGATTGGATTCAGTTCTCCTGTGTTCAACAAACATTCTGTATCTGATGTACAATCCAATGTTAAAAAGAAAAAAAAAGTCTGCTTATTACTAGATCTCTGAATTATAGCAAAGAAGTTTAGGTGTTCACATGAACACATTTGAAGTTTTATTCTGTGATTCACCTCCTCTGAGCACTGACTTTTGGCCCAGATTGGTCTTTTACACCTCCTTTCCTTTCTGTCCTTGCTGCTCAGTGTTTTTCTGCTGCCAGTGGTCAATACCACTGTTTCATTGCAAATACCTGCTGTCTCTGAAGCCTGGAACCACTGCAGAATAGGCATAACTACTCATCCTCTTTCCTGGTTGTCAAAACCCTTTTCCCTTTATGCATGTTTATTTGTATGTATTGTCTTGATATATTACCTATCAGATTCCTTTAATCAGTGGTCTGTGTGTGTGGTGAGCACTCATCTCCATTATAATCTCCTCTGCCCCCACCTATTGCCACGAAGTCCTAGGTCTTTGCAGATGATCAAATTTTGGAGAAGAAACAAATTTACTCTGCATAATAGAGGGAGAAAAACTTAGAAAGCCCAGGGCAAGGAGAAGGGGCTGAGGAGCAGAAATGGGAGAAAGACAGACTCCATTCATTCAGACAGATGGTGGAAACTTGTGTGCAATGCGCATGCAGAAACCCTATAAAAATATTCTGCAGTGTCAACTACCGGTATGAATTCTCTGAGTAAATTGCTGTTGTGGATTCCAAAGAAGAGGTAGAGATTCATATCTAGTCTGCATAAGGTTGGACAAAGGCAGCAGTTGTGGTGGTCAGATGTGAAGAGGATGGCATTAGAAGAAATCCTTGGACATCACAGACTTCTACACGCACTGGAACTGGGGTTCTTAGGGGCTGGGTTTCAAAAGGATCAAAGCAATTTAATTTGGATCTCCAGGGGTGCCTGTAGCTACTTTGGTTTCCATATGTATAAGAACAAACTATATGTTGGGATGTGTATGCTATTTGATACATAAACATTTGATGCCTTTAAGGATGAACTGTTTTCAGATAGATTCATGACAGCAAGTTTTCTCTCCCTATTCAGACCATAAGCTCCTTAAGGATAGAAGTGTATCTTCTCTGGCTTTTGAATAACCTGCAGCATCTAGTTTAACCCTTAGCACATACAAAGTATTTGGTAAGAGACTGTGTCTCATAGTCAGCCTGGATCCACTCACTTTCTCTCACCCCACCCTCTGGGGTTTTCTGGGCTCTCATTCCCTTTTGAAGATGGTTCACCCAGGAGGGAGGGTCATCTGCACACCTGGATTGCAGAGAACCAGGTACAGTGATGACCTACAGACACCTGTGGTTTACAGACATTGGCAGCATGGTTTTTTAAACTATAAAAGTTACAGTAATTATCCTCCAATTCCAGGAATGGAATCCCTTGATAGGCCTCAATCTACATTCAAGATTCAAGTCAAGCACCAGCCTGTATTTAAAAACTAAGGAAACAATGGAAGTTTAATGAAATTATGTCATTATAGTTGATGAAGAGAAAATATTTCAACCAAGAACTGAATTGAATAAAACTTTCTCAGAAACTCTTTGTTTAATGGGCAATCACAGTATGCCAGCATGGGTGTGCCACAGAGAATCAAAGTCCACAGATACTGATTATATTCCTATCTGGGAAGGATCAGTATGAAATATACATATGATGGGGCTCTCATAGAATGGGATATTTTCCCCCTTTTCCTCTCATTTCTCAATGCTCCTCTGGGAATTGTGTGAAGGTAAAGTCAAAAAGAAAGTTCTTACATTCTTAAATCCTCTGTAAAGGATCTGAAGCTCTTTCTTGGTAAATTTGCTCTGGGCTTCCAGAAGCTCAAGGGCTTCAGGCCGATGCCTGACGGTGGCCATCTCCAGTTCATCTTCCACGCTGTCTGTGGAGGAAAACAAGAAAGAGTCTTAGGACCAGCCACTGCTCACCGATGCTTACACAGAGCAACAAAGGAAAACGGAAGAACATGTCTGCTAATGTCTGTGACTGTCCACAGAGGAAGGACCCTCACAATGCCTATAAGGCCTTTACATTTCCCAGTTTAAGCGTATTAAGCTAAAACACTTGTATATGATTTTTTTGCATATTCTTGTCATTAATGTAGATATTACAACCCTAGCATTGTTTTAAGACAACAAAAAAGAGCACAGGAATTTATTTCAGATAATCAGTGGATTATATGATTACGTCAAACAAAAAGTTTAAGTAGCAATATATATTACTCTATAAATCTAACAGTAACATATATTTCTTTTTTCCCCAACGTTTAAGTTCAGAGGTACATGTGCAGGATGTGCAGGTTTGTTACATGGGTAAACATGTGCCATGGTGGTTTGCTGCACAGATCATCCCATCGCCCAGGTATGAAGCCCAGCATCCATTAGCTGTTCTTCCTGATCCTCTCCCTCCCCCAACAGGTGCCCAGCATGTGTTGTTCCCTGGCAGTGTCCATGTGTTCTCATCAATCAGCTCCCACTTACAAGTGAGAACATGCAGTGTTTGGTTTTCTGTTCCTGCATTAGTTTGCTGTAGAGAATGGCTTCCAACTCCATCTATGTGCCTGCAAATAAAATGATCTCTGTCCTTTTTATGGCTGCATAGTATTCCATGGTGTATATGTACCACATTTTCTTTATCCAGTCTATCATTGGTGGGCGGTTAGGTTGATTCTGTGACTTTCCTATTGTGAATAGTGCTGCAATGAACATATGCAGGCATGTATCTTTATAATAGAATGAATTATATTCCTTTGGGTATATACCCGGTAATGAGATTGCTGGGTCAAATGGTATTTCTGCCTCTAGGTCTTTGAGGAATCACCACACTACCTTCCACAATGGTTGAACTAATTCACACTCCCACCAACAGTGTAAAAGTTTCCCTTTTTCTCTACAACCTCACCAGCATCTCTAGCATTTTTAAGGTATAGTTAGAAAAACATAGAAGATCACAAATAGTCCAACCTGGAATTTGTTTCTATATAACAACCACTAGTTATAAACAATGGAATTGTCATTTAATAATAATCAGTTTTGTGCCCTATGTAAAATGCAACTACAAGATAGCCTCTGATAATGTTCACTAAGGATTCCAATGAAATCAGATATTTTGCACAGCTACTTGGGAGGCGGAGGTGGGAGGACTGCTTGAGCCCAGGAGGCTGAGGCTGCAGTGAGCAGTGATGGCACCACTGCAGTCCAGTTTGGGTGACAGCATGAGACCCTGTCTCAAACAAACAATCAAACAAACAAAAAAAATAGAACCTTAGACTCTCAGAATGGAAGGACATCTGAAGAAAGATATAAGGAGATAGAGAAAGAAGGAAACCTCCCTAATTCATTCTATGAAGCATCACCCTAATAACAAAACCAGCAAATGACATAACCAAAAGAGAACACTACAGACTGATATCCTTGATGAACATAGATGTTAAAATCCTTAACAAAATACTCACTAGCTGAATCCAACAACATATCAAAAAGATAATCCACCATGATCAAGTGGGTTTCAAACCAGGAATGCAGGGATGGTTTAACATACGCAAGTCAATAAATGTGATATACCACATAAACAGAATTAAAAACAAAAATCACACGATCATCTCAGTAGATGCTGAAAACCATTCAACAAAATCCAACATTCCTTTATGATTAAAACTCTCAGCAAAATTGGCATACAAGGCACATACCTTAATGTAATAAAAGCCATCTATGACACACCCACAGCCAACATAATATTGAGTGGGGAAAAGTTGAAAGCATTCCCTCTGAGAATGGAAACAAGATAAGGATGCCCACTCTCACCACTCCTCTTCAACATAGTATTAGAAATCCTAGCCAGAGCAATCAGACAAGAGAAAGAAAACAAGGGCATCCAAATTGGTAAAGAGGAAGTCAAACTGTCATTGTTTGTTGATGACATGATTGTTTACCTTGAAAACCCTAAGGACTTCTCCAGAAAGCTCCTAGAACTGATAAAAGAATTCAGTGAAGTTTCTGGACAGAAAATTAATGTACAAAAATCAGTAGCTCTTCTATACACTAACAGTGACCAAACAGAGAATCAAATCAAGAACTCAACCCCTTTACAATAGCTGCAAAAATATAAAATACTTAGGAATATACCTAACAAAGGAGTCAAAAGACCTCTACAAGGAAAACTACAAAACACTGTTGAAAGAAACCATAAGTGACACAAACAAATGGAAACACATCCCATGCTGGGTAGAATCATGGATGGGTAGAATCAATATTGTGAAAATGACCATACTGCCAAAAGCAATCTACAAATTCAACATAATCCCCACAGAATACCATGATTATTCTTCACAGAATTAGAGAAAACAATTCTAAAATTCATGTGGAACCAAAAAAGAGCCCGCATGGCCTCATAGAAAAAGCAAGACTAAGCAAAAAGAACAAATCTGGAGGCATCATACTACCTGATTTCAAATTATACTATAAAGCCATAGTCACCAAAACAGCGTGGTACTGGTATGAAAATTGGCACATAGACCAGTGGAACAGAATAGATAATTTGGAAATAAACCCAAATACTTACAGCCAACTGATCTTTGACAAAGCAAACAAAAACACAGAGTGGGGGAAAGGACACCCTTTTCAACAAATGGTGCTGGGATAATTGGCTAGCCTCATGTAGGAGAATGAAACTGGGTCCTCTTCTCTCACCTTATACAAAAATCAACTCAAGATGGATTAAGGACTTAAATCTAAGACCAGATACTGTAAAAATTCTAGAAGATAACATTGGAAAAACCCTTTTAGACACTGGCTTAGGCAAGGATCTCATGACCAAGAACCCAAAAGCAAAAGCAAAAGCAATAAAAACAAAGATAAATAGCTGGGACCTCATTAAACTAAAGAGCTTTTGCATGGCAAAAGGAACAGTCAGCAGAGTAAACAGACAACCCACAGAGTGGGAGAAAATCTTCATAATCTATACATCTGACAAAGGATTAATATCCAGAAAGTACAACGAACTCAAATGAGTAAGAAAAAAACCAACAATCCCATCAAAAAGTAAGCTAAAGACATGAATGGACAATTCTCAAAAGAAGATATACAAATGGCTAACACACATGAAAAAATGCTCAACATCACTAATGATCAGGGAAATGCAAATCAAAACCACAATGCAATACTGCCTTACTCCTCCAACAATGGCCATAATCAAAAAATCAAAAAACAGATGTTGGTGTGGATGCGGTGAACAGGGAACACTTCTACATTCCTTGTGGGAATGTCAACTAGTACAGCCATTATGGAAAACAATGTGGAGATTCCTTAAAGAACTAAAAGTAGAACTACCATTTGATCTAGCAATCCTGCTACTGAGCATCCGCCCAAAGGAAAAGAAGTCATTATTCAAAAAAGATACTTGCACATGCACGTTTACAGCGGCACAATTCACAATTGCAAAATCGTGGAACCAACCCAAATGCCCATCAATCAATGAGTGGATAAAGAGACTGTGATATATTTATATAATGGAATACTACTCAGCCACAAAAAGGAAAGAATTAATGGCATTTGGAGTGACCTGAATGAGATTGGAGACTATTATTCTAAGTGATGTAACTCAAGAATGGAAAACCAAACCTCGTGTGTTCTCACTGATTTGTGTGAGCTAAGCTATGAGAACGCAAAGGCATAAGAATGATACAATGGACTCTGGGGACTTGCGGGGAAGAGTGGGAGACAGGAGAGGGATAAAAGACTACAAATATTGTGCAGTGTATACGTGGGTGATGGGTACATCAAAATCTCACAAATCACCACTGAAGAACTTACTCATGTAACCAAATACCACCTGTACCCCAATAATTTATGAGGAAAAAAAGAATTGAAGGACATCTGTTCATTTTACAAGTAAAGTGAAAAAAGAAATCAGATATTTTGCCTTGGGCTACAAAATAAAATGTTCATATTAGGTGCTGACAAGGGTAAAGTAACCAGCAGCCAGTTGGTTTCATGGGTACATACTGGATGGTTGGGGGCCTAGAGGATATTCTATTTAGGTCCATTTTGTAGTCAATAGAGTCAATAGGTATAGAGAAGCTTTAAAATATTGTACTTTGCTTTGTGAATTATGTTTACGCTATAATTTCTCAAAGATGTTTTATGCAAAAAGGAATTTTGTGCCCATAGATGTTTGGAAAATGCTGTGAACTTTAATGTAGTTTTGTCACAAAATATTAAATTATATAGGTTTGCGAAGACCTGTAACAAGGAGTCTTGTTTAACTTTGCGTAACCCAACTGACCCCAAAGGTATTTGTCCATAGAACCTTTCCTGGCCCAAGTAACATCTGGTAATATCTGCACATTTGCCCTAGGGTCATGTAAGCACAAGTCTGGAGGATTTGGAAATATATTAGGGTTCAGGTGCTTGTGTCTCAAATATCATCCTTCAGTCCAGCTCCTTTGAAGTGGGGTCAGATAGTGGCCTATAGGAATTCTCTCTGTTGTGTAAACCAATCCACACCTCAGATGAGGAACTTAGCAGGAATAAAAACATCCAGGCTCAGTATGAAGCCTTGGCTTCCCCTTTCTATCCTTTCTTCTTGACTACAGATTGGAGACTCAGAGAGAAGGGTCTAAGGATAACAGTCAGCTCCTCTCATCCCAGAGCCACTAGGACCCCAATCCCTTGTCCCATGGGTCAGTTGGAAATGTAGTCCTTTTTGCCAAAGTCGAGCCATTTTTGACACTAATATTGCTGCCTCTTGCTAACATCTGTTCCTCCTTACTACTCTGCCTCACTGAGAGCATTGAGGGGCCAAAGCTCTCACTTGGCAAGGAAGAGAAGGTGAGTGGCACCCTAATCTTAGCATATCTTAATTATTGCCCTCAAGGAGTTTACAAAAAAAAAATTGGTGATGAAACAAACACTTGGAGTGGCTATATTTGTGAAAATGAGTAATAGGAGATGAAAACAAACATTTGCTTTGTACTTTTTATATTATAATAACTTATCTGGAAAGAATGAAATGGAAAAGCTTCAGAATAGTGACGGATGAATAAAAATAATAGAAAAGGACATGGAAAGATGAGAAGGCTGACAAGGATAAAATTGATGGGATAAAATTGAGCTGACAAGGATAAAATTGATGGGAAAGTAAGTAGTTGTGCTCCTAAAGTATGTGGGAAGAGCTCAAAGTAGCTGGAAAAAGGCACCTAGGCATTAACAAATTGATCTGGGCTTTATGGGGAAAATCAAAAAAGCCAAAATCCTTCAATTTTCTCCTTCATTCATTTGAACAAATGGGTTGATTCTATTCAATGGGTCCTGAGATAGAAAAGATGATGGAAAATGTTGCTTTTAGACTGCTGTTGATCCAATGACTTCAACTATGTTGTATTATTGTATTTGCCAATGCAGGAGTAAATAGCATGCAATAGACCTCATGTAAATAGATAATATCGAATAGAAAGCCTGTGCTTTCTTGAACAATGTCTGATGTAATCTTCTTTTGAATCATTTATAGTGCAAGTTCTTCAACCTAAAATGTTCCACTTTCCTTTTCCACCTGTTAAAATGTATATATCTTTCATGATCCAATTTAAATATAAGTGTCTCATTTCTGAAGCCTCTCTGGATTCCCATACTATGCAAAATTGGTGACCCCCTGGTCATCGTTCCCACACTCTGGTTCTTGTATAGCATGTAAAACATAACATCATGATCTGCTCATGTTTGTTTTCTCCATTGTGAGTTTTTTTTGCAGACAAGATCAATATCTTACATGTCTTGTTTATCCTCTGAACCTAACAGGAAGTCTGATACTCCTTTGTCACTTAAGAATAATCTGGTAAACAAAGGATATTCCTGCTCAACTTTCTGATCCTCTCCAATCCCTTGAATATTTGCTGCCCTATAGGGAAATATTTTTCAGACTGAAATTTGTGGGCTGTTGGTGGACCTCAAATGTCTTCTTCAGAATCACTATGTTCTCTATTTATTGTACTGGGAAATACAGCAAAAGTAGAGGGGATTTTAATTAAATTTTCTGAGCAGTCTTTCAGTCATAACATAACCTTGTCTAGACCTAGTGACCCTCACATGGGACAGAACCAAAACAGCGGATTAAATTCTGGGCCTTTGTATCGGGCAGCAATCTGAGCTGTGCTACAAATGGAGTTTCTTTCTCTGCAGATGCAAAGTCTGAGACAAAAGACACAGGGCTGGAGGATCAGTATAATTAAGTGTGCGTGATAGGATGATCATCACATGCAGTATTAAAAAAAAAAAAAAAACGCCCTTGAAGTGTCTGCCTGTGGGCTCTCTTGCTTTTCCAGCTGTCTGGTACCTTACTTCTTAATGACTCCTACCTGCCAAAGGGCTGTTTCTATTTCTAGGCGGGTGACAGGCTCTAAAAACATAACTGAAATCATCAGCAATCACCAGCATATGATAAGTTAAAAAAGCAACACCACCGAACCCAATCAACTCTGATTCTTGGAGGCAAACTATGGGGAGCACGGCATGATCCCACGTAGGACTGCGAATTCTCATTGTGACTCAGCCACCTTGTAAGAGCCTGTATTTTGGGTGGTTTTAACCCAGTGCCTAACATTTATTGAGCCCTTGTTGTATGCCAGGAGATGGGCAAGGTGCTTGATTGGCATAATCCTAATCCTCACAATAACCCCAGAGTGAGGTTTAATTGTTTATTTTTCACATACATGGAGACTGAGTCTCATGGATGTGAAGAAATTCACAACCAGAAGTCAAATATGTGTTTATATATACATAAAAACATAACATATATATCTCCTATGCATATATATGGGTTTCCATATATATGCATAGGGACAAGATTTACACCCAGGTCTTTGATGCCACAGCTTATGTTCTTCCCACTTCCCACTTTGCCACAGTCTCTTTTAATACCAGCAGAAATAATGATACAAATAATGATAACCTCTCCTCTCTTATTTTGTCAAACTCCTCAGAAAAGTTAACTGTATTCATTAGATCCATTTTCTTGCTCTCTCCTTAATCTACTGCAGTCTGACTTCTGGTCCTATGGTGGACTGAATTGTGTCCCTCCTCAAATTCATATGTTGAAGGTCTAACCCTGTATTTGGAGGTAGGGCCTTTAAGAAGATAGTTAAGCATAGGCCGGGCGTGGTGGCTCACACCTGTAATCCCAGCACTTTGAGAGGCCGACGTGGGTGGATCACCTGAGGTCAGAATTCGAGACCAGCCTGGCCAACATGGCAAAACCCCCCATCTCTACTAAAAATACAAAAAATTAGGCGGGTGTTGTGGTGGGTGCCTGTAATCCCAGCTACTCGGGAGGCTGAGGCAGAAGAATTGCTTGAACCCAGGAGGCAGAGGTTGCAGTGAGCCGAGATCTCGCTACTGCACTCCAGCTTGGGCAATGAGAGTGAAACTCCATCTCAAAAAAAAAAAAAAAAAAAAAAAAAAAAAAAGAGGAAGACACGAGGAATGTGGGCTTACAGAAGAAAGGCCATGTGAAGATGGAGTGGGAAGATGGCTCACAGCTGGTACCTTGACCTTGAACTTCCAGCCTTTAGAATTGTGAGAGAATAAATTCCTGTTGCTTAAGCCACCCAGTCTGTGGCATTGTGTTATGGCAGCCCTAGCAAACTAATATATCTACCTATATTCAAATGACACACAACACTGATAAAAGCAGGTCTTGTTATCCACAAAGTTTGCACAATGAGTGCTGGGCAGTTTGCTAGCCAATTATGTCATTTAATCTTCACAACATCTTTCAAGAGAAGGATTATCATCCCTATTTTATAAATGAGAAAATTGAGGCTTGGAGAGTCTAAGTAACTTGGCCATAACCCAAGCAACTCTTGGCCAAATGGCTACTTAGTAAACAAGATGAAGACAAGTGTCTCCAGCAGCCCAAAGTCCAGGTTACTGAGCACTATGCTGGGAATGTTAATAGCAACCATCACCCTATGGAGAACTTTTGCTCTAAGCGTGGTTGTATATTATCCCATTTTAATACAGACAGAAGTTCAGTGAGATAGCTACATTTTACAAGAAGTCATGTAGCCCTCATTTTACAAGGAGTAAATTGGGACTCACATTTCTTAAATAACTTACTCAAGGTCATACAGCTTACAAGTGACAGGGCTGGGATTTAATCCCTGGCTTTTTAACACCAAAGACCATGAGCTTAGTCAATATGCTACTTTAAGAGATGGCAACAATTAAATTACTTTGTTCAAAATCCTAGGGGATAAAAGATTTTAAATCACAAACTAGCTGGCTGCTGAGCCTCCAATGCCTCAATTTCTTTCCAGGGAAAATATGCCGGGGCACCTTCAGGAGATCACCAGACCAGCAGACAAAGCTGTGCTGATAAGAAACACATGGTAGAATAAGGTACGAAGTGATGGGATCTCAGAGCTGGAAGGAACACAGGAAACTGTTTGTTTTTCTGCATTTTACCCCTGAGAAATTTAGATTTGGGAAAGATGAATGTTTGTTTGAGACAAAAACCAGAACCAGATGGGACTCTGGCCTCTGGAGTTATCTCCAGGCCATGCAGACATATCATCACTCAGGTATCTTGCAGAAGAGCCAATTCAAATGCGCATTTGCATCCTGAGATAAGCGAAATACAAATAGTATTTTAATTCATGTATCTTCTAACAAATTTAATTTTAATCAGACAACAAATTCCCAAACCCAGACACCATTGAGCTTCCTGGCTGTGTCTTTTTGTCCTTTGTTCTTTAGATTTCAGTCTCTCAGGGCTGAGTTTGTCCTAAGTCTGACTCAACAGTCCCCTCAGGCCATGACACAATTGGGCTAGAAATTGGAATTCAAATCATCTAGGAACAACAGAATGCGTTTTAAAAATAGTCATCGTTCTCCTCTTTCTCACAACTTCTCTTAAAATACAGTAGAAGCTTGGTACAGCTCAACTCGTAATTATGCAAATTTGACTCTAAGGGCAAATCATGCCATCCAGAACACTACTACGGAACATCTTGCCTTACGAACAAATATGAGCGTGAGTCCTACCTTTTGACGACATGCTTTGGAAACAAGTCTTCTAATGCAGAAAACAAATAATATTATGAAGAATAATGTCACTTTTTGAGAAAGCTGATTCAGAACTCAGGCCATGTGTGCAGAGATGAGTCCTTGCCTATAAAGCATGAAACACTGTGAGGCTGTTGCCTTGTTCTTTTATTTAGGTCCTGCCAAAATACGGGAAGGATTATCTTATTTGGCACACTGAAGGTGCTCCATAAGAGAATGTGAAATAAATAACTACTTGAAGCATTCCAAGAATAGTGAGTGTATCTACAGCAGGTCCCATTTCTTTTTTTTTTCTTCTCTTTTTTTCTTTTTTTGAGATGGAGTCTCGCTCTTGTTGCCCAGGTTGGAGTGCAGTGGTGCAATCTTGACTCACTGCAAGCTCCGCCTCCCAGGTTAAAGCGATTCTCCTGGCTCAGCCTTCCAAGTAGCTGGAATTACAGGAACGCCCCACCACACCTGGCTAATTTTTGTATTTAGTAGAGAGGGGGTTTCACTGTGTTGATTAGGCTGGTCTCAAACTCTTAACCTCAGGTGATCCATGGACCTCGGCCTCCCGAAGTGCTGGGATTATAAGCGTGAGTCACCGCACCCAGTCCCATTTCTAAATACAACATGACTCTTCTTTAAAAATAAATGTATCCATTTGTCATTCTAAAAAGATTATAAATATTGTAACTTTAAAATTCTATTTGAGCTGAAATTAATTTGTCTAGACAAAAATTCAGCCTGCTTGACTTATATTGCTTTATCTCATTGATAAAAATACCCTCTGAGCCATTACTCCTAATGTTTACATTTTATTAAATTGGCCGAATAGTGAGTTGATCCATATGGCAATAACATAATGAGGATGATCACTTTCTAATGATATCTTATGTATTATTAAATATTTAGAAGCTTGGTCCAGTGGTGGATATTGGAGGAAGATTTCCAATGCTGAAAGATTCTTGACCATAGCATTAGATGCTATTCCTGAGAACTTCTAGGATAAGGAGGTGATGCTATTGTTTGTTTAATGTTCAAGTCTGATACATCAGGACAAAGAAAAAGCTGCCTGGAGGAAGATTTCCAAAGCGAATTTTCATGGCACTGATATAATTTATTTCCACCCTTCTTTTCTACTGCAAAAACTTGTAGAGGGATGACAACATACTCACCATTCCATTCCTCGGTTCCACTGCTCACAAAGCTCAAAGAGGGTGGCATGATAATCAGCTGAGGAAATAGTTTCTTGGGTGGAGGAATTTGCTGAAGTCTGCACAGCTGTGCAGCTGATGAGTGTGGGCACGGGGAGCCAGGACCTGCCCCAAACCTGTCTTTCCCCTTCCTGTTATATCATTTGACCTCCCTGGATAGAGAGTTTAAACTGGGGCCAGGCCCTGTAAGCAACTCTTTAAACTTTGACAATTTTAAATGCTTTATTGCAAGAATGCAGAGGTCTGGGAACTCCTTTGACTTTTCCTGTCTTTATTACTATTCACCCATCCACCTACCAAGAGTTATTTTCAGGTGCACATGGAGAGTATAGAAGCAATTAATTCCAAGCTGATCACACACAGGCTGCAAGTAGAGAGCAGTCAATCCATTTGAAACACTGTGGGAGTCCTAGGCCTTCCCAGACCAACCCGAGCAATTGGAATCCTGATGTTTTAGTTAGTTTGACACGTATTTCTGCAACCCTGGCCCTGAATGTATGTTAGAACCAAAATACAAAAACAAACACCAAAAAATGAACAAAACCATTTATAATTAGTACTTTATCTTACTTAATATTTGTATATCATATTGAAAATGAACAGTTCTTGGAAAATGGCCATTTAGTTTGAACATCTTCTGTTACAGGTACTTGTTGGCAATGACATTGCAATTTCCATTCTAGGAGAATGAGAATTGCTTTGCAATTTCATAATTGAATTCAATCACTTATGAAATATAACAACCCAGTGGTGAACAGCTGAAGCTATTTGCCACAGCACTTATGAAATAGATTGTCTCTACCTTATTTACAAACATAAATAACTCTTCAACAAGCTTAGATTTTAAAAAATAATCACCTAATTGGAATGCTTATTATCAGCATTAACCATATTATTACTACAGCATCATGAATGGCCCCTTATGGTAGGAGTTATTATTATTATTATTATTATTATTATTATTATTATTGAGATGGAGTCTTACTCTGTCACCCAGGCTGGAGTGCAATAGTGTGGTCTCAGCTCATTGCAACCTCCACCTCCTGGGTTCAAGCAATTCTTCTGCCTCAGCCTCCCAAGTAGCTGGGACTACAGGCATGTGCCACCACACCTGGCTAATTTTTGTATGTTTAGTAGAGACGGGGTTTCGCTATGTTGGCCAGGCTGGTCTCAAACTCCTGACCTCATGATCCACCTGCCTCTGCCTCCCAAAGTGCTGGGATAACAGACATCAGCCACTGCACCTGGATGAGTTATTATTTTTTAGGTGGTAGGGTCTTAATTGATTTTTGGTAAATAAGAAAAACAAAAATTATACTGCCAGTCATTATGCTCAGACAGAAAATCTACAATAGGAATGCTGAGGGGGCAGAGGAAGGAAACAAGAAATTTAATTGAACTTACACATAAAGACAGACCAAAAGAGATTGATATACTAGTCAGGAAAGGCAAAAGCTGAGAGGGATTATGAGCAAAGAGAAAAATTTTAAAAAGCAATGGTATGTGGAGAGAGATGAAGAAAGCCCAGATTAGTTCACTAAATTAAAAATGCCCTATCAAAGGAGTGCCTCAAACTTTGATAGATTTTCTCTTAGTTGTCCTAAAAATCAATAACAAGACACACATATGTGTATGTTCATTACAACACTATTCACAATAGCAAAGGCATGGAATCAACCTAAATGCCCATCAGTGGTAGACTGGATAAAGAAAACATGGTACATATACACCACGGAATACTATGCAGCCATAAAAAAGAACAAGATTATATCATTTGCAGAAACATGGATGGAGCTGGAGGCCATTATCCTTGGCAAATTAATCCAGGAACAGACAACCAAATACCGCACGTTCTTGCTTATAATTGGGAGCTAAAATATAAGAACACATGGATACATAGAAGGGAACAACAGACACTGGGGCCTAGTGGAATGTGGAGGGTGGGAGGAGGAAGAGGATTAGGAAAAATAACTAATCAGTACTAGGCTTAATGTGACTGTGCAGTGGGTTCACCTTACCCACTGCCTAGACAGAGCCAATTTATCAAGACAGGGGAATTGCAATGGAGAAAAAATAATTCATGCAAAGCCAGCTTTGTGGGAGACCCGAGTTTTATTGTTACTCAAATCAGTCTCCCTGAGCATTTAGAGGTAGGAGTTTTTAAGGATAATTTGGTGAGTAGGGGCTCAGGAGGTGGGGAGTGCTGATTCGTCAGTTTGGAGATGGAACCATAGGGGGCTCATAGTGCGGTTTTCTTGTTGTCTTCTGTTCCTGAGTGGGATCTCAGAAATGGTTGACTCAGATTATCGGTCTAGGTGGTATCAACTGATTCATCAAGTGCAGGGTCTGCAAAATATCTCAAGCCCTGATCTTAGGTTTACAATAGTGATGTGATCCCCAGGAGCAATTTGGGGAAGTTCAGACTCTTGCAGCCAGAGGCTGCCTGACCCCTAAACTATAATTTCCAATCTTGTGGCTAATTTGTTAGTCCTGTAAAGGCAGACTGGTCCCCAGGCAAGAAGGGAGTCTTTTCTAGAAAGGGCTATTATCAATTTGTTTCAGAGTCAAACCATACACTAAATTCTTTCCCAAGGTTAGTTCAGCCTACGCCCAGGAATGAACAAGGACAGCTTAAAGGCTAGAAGCAAGATGGAGATCTCTTTCACTGTCATGATTTCCTCAGTGAAACTTTTGCAAAGGAGGTTTCATTAATACCTGGGTATTTTCGACCAGACAAAATAATCTGTACAACAAACCTCTGTGACACGAGTTTACCTAATAACAAACCTGCACATGCACCCCTGAACTTAGAAGTTAAAACGAAGGAAGAAAAAGAGCAAAGAACAATCACTAATATTTATAGCATTTGTTTTGTGTAAGCTCTCTCTTTCATGAGTGTATATGTATATATATACACACACACATACATATACATATATACATATGTATAACTAGATATACGTACATGTAAATGTGTGTATGTATACATACATATGTATGTATACGCATGTATGTATACACATGTATGTATACGTATGTATGTATGTATATGCATGTATACGTATGTATGTATACATATCCATGTATACACATGTATGTATACATATCCATGTATGCATACACATGTATGTATACACATGTATGTATGCGTACATATGTATGTACACACATGCATGTATATATGCATATATATGTACACATATGTATGTATATATGCACACATATGTATGTACACATATGTATGCATATATGTACACATATGTATGCATATATACATACGTTTATATGCATATGTATGTAAACATGTATGTATAACATGTATATATGTATGTTATACATTTTATATATACATGTTATATATATATAACATATATATACATACACTCATAAAATCCCCATCAGCGTACTATAAATGCTATATTCTTGTTCTGTAGATGAAGATACCAACACAGAGAGACTAAGTAACTTGCTCATGGTCACACCATAACAGAGTCAGGGAATGGAGTCTGGGAAGTCTGGTTCCAGGATTCATGTAATAACTATTCAGCTGTTCTGCCTCCCCCAGAGCAGGAGAGAGGATGATGCCCCACTTATCTAGAATTCATGCACCCAAATAAGAATCAGAAAATTAGTAGCAAAAGGGCTCTAAGCAGAAAATGGAACTCTGTGAGAATTGAAAGGGGTATTGAGTCCAGCCCCTTAACTTTGTAAGTTCATGTCACATACAGAGCCTTAGCTACAGTGGTTGTAAATCAAAAACCATTAGGCATATCAGTGGCAGAACTGGGCCTAAATCTTGATCTTTTTCATTCCTACTGCAGCACTTTGTCAGATGCCTGCCTCAGTATCTTTTATGGATAAGAGTGTCTTCATCCTTACTGTACCCACAGTTTTAGTAAGCTTCCGATTCCACATCAGAAGCAGATACTGATAATGGAGAAGGAGCATACACTGGAAGGAGTCCATGAGCCACAGTTATAATACCTAATTTTCACCACTGGCTCTTCATTATCATATCTGAGCAATGTGATATTCTGTGTATAAATATTGTCACCCTGCTTTTATAGATAAAGAAATCAGGGTTGGAAGAAAGGATGTAACTGATGAAGGACATAGAAATAGGACGTTATGGAGTCAGGACTTAAACCCAAGCTTACTGACTCTGAAGACTAGAAGTGACTGCAGGTTGTCTGAGAGTAATGGAGGGAACATAAAGTTGAAAAACATCATAGGCATATTAGAGAAAAGAGTAATGACAAAAGTCAGTGGCTAACTTATTCTTTAAGAATAAGTTCTAACCTTATTCTTTAAGAAAATGTTTTATTCTGCTTACTTTATTTTAGAAGGTAACAGAAATGTGATACATTTTTAAATATTATTAATTAAAATTGGCAGCTTATTCATAGTAGCCAAAATATGGAAACAACTTATGTCCATCAATAAACAAATGGATAAAGAAACTGATATATACAATGGAATACTATTCAACATTAAAAAAGAAGATCCTACTATTTGTCACAACATGAATGAACCTGGAGGACCTTATGTTAAGTGAAATAAGCAAAACGCAGAGAAAGAAAAATATTGCATGATGTCATTTACATAAAGAACCTAAAAAAATGTTGAATACACAGAGATAGAGAATAAAACAATGGTTAAAGTGGGGAGGAACTAGGGAGATGTAGGTCAAGGTATAGAAAGTAACATATAGGATGAACAAGTCTAGAGATCTAAATTACAACATGAAAATTATAGTTAATATTGTATTTGTGATCTTTGCTAAAAGAATAGATTTTAGATGCTCTTGCTACATATAAAAATGGGTAACTATCTGAGATAATGAACATGTTAATTTGCTTGACTACAGTAAGTGTTTCACCATCTATATGTACATCAAAACGTCATGTTGTACACCATAAACATATAAATAACATTTTAAAACGTTTATACACCTTCTGAAATTGAGTCAGTAATAAAGAACCTGCCAACTAAAAAAAGCTCTGGACCAGATGGACTCATAGCTGAATTCTACCAGACATACTAAGAAGAACTGATACCATTCCTACTAAAACTATTCCAAAATATCAAGGAGGAGGAGCCCCTCCCTAACTCATTCTATGAAGCCAGCATCACCCTGATACCAAACTCTGGCAAGGACTCAACCAAAAATGAAAATTTCAGACAAATATCCCTCATGAATACAGACAAAAAAATCCTCAAGAAAAGACTAGCATATTGAATCCAGCAGCACATCAAAAAGTTAATACGCCACAATTAAGTAGGCTTCGTTCCTGGGATGAAAGGTTGGTTCAACATATGCAAATCAATAAATGTGATTCACTACGTAAACAGAATCAAAAGCTGGAACATTATGATCATCTCTATAGACACAGAAAAAGCTTTCAGTAACACCCTATATCCTTTTATGATAAAAACCCTTACCAGACTAGGCATCTAAATAACATAGCTCAAAATAATAAGAGACATCTATGACAAACCCACAGCCAACATCATACTAAATGGGCAAAAGCTCCAACCATTCTTCTTGAGAATTGGAACATGACAAAGATGCTCACTCTCACCACTCCTATTCAACATGGTATTGGAAGTCCTAGCCAGAACATTCAGGTGAGAGAAAGAAATAAAAGGCATTTAAATAGGAAAGGAAGAAGTCAAACTATCTCTCTTCACTGATGATATGACTCTATACCTAGAAAATCCTAAAGATCCTTTCAAAGGGTGACTAGAATTGATAAACAACTTTAGTAAAGTTTCAGGATACAAAATCAATGCACAAAACTCAGTAGCATTTCTACACACCAACAACGTCCAGGCTGAAAGTGAAATCGAGAACACAGTCTCAATTACAATATTCACAAAGAAAATAAAATACTTAGGGATATAGCTCACCCAGGAGGTGAAAGATCTCCACAAGGAGAACGACAAAATACTGTTGAAAGAAATCAAAGTGACACAAATAAATGGAAAAGCATTTCATTCTTGTAGACTGAAAGAATCAGTGTTATAAAAATGGCCATACTGCCCAATGCAATTTATAGATTAAATACTATTCTAGTCAAACTACTAAGAACATTCTTCACAGAATTAGAAAAAAAGTATTCTAAAATTCATATGGAACCAAATAAGAGCCAGAATAGCCAAAGCAATCCTATAAGCAAAAGAAAAAATAAAACAGAAACTAAGCCCAAGACATCACACTACCTGATTTTAAACTCTACTATAAAGCCACAGTAACTAAAAGAGCTTGGTACTGCTATACACACAGACACCTAGACCAATGAAACAGAATAGAAAACCCAGAAATAAAGTCACACGCCTACCACCGTCTGATCTTTGACAAGGCTGACAAAAACAAGCAATGAGGAAAGGACTCCCTATTCAATAAATGGAGCTGGGATAACTGGCTAACTATACACAGAAGATTGAAGCTGGACCCCCACCTTTCAACATATACTAAAGTTAACTCGAAATGGATTAAAGATTTCAATGTAAATCTCAAACTATAAAAATCCTGGAAGACAACCTAGGGTATACTTTTCTCAACATCAACTGTGGCAAATAATTTTTGGCTAAGTTCCCAAAAACAATTGTAACAAAACAAAAATAGACAAGTGGGACCTAATTAAACTCAAGAGCTCCTGCACAGTAAAAGAAATTATCCTACACTTGATCTTCGTGGATGAAGCTGGAGGCCATCATTCTCAGCAAACTATCGCAAGGACAAAAAACCAAACACTGCATGTTCTCACTCATAGGTGGGAATTGAACAATGAGAACACATGGACATAGGAACAAGAACATCACACACTGGGGCCTGTTGTGGGGTGGAGGGAGTGGGGAGGGATAGCATTAGGAGATATACCTAATGTTAATGGGTGCAGCACACCAACATGACACATGTATACATATGTAACAAACCTGCACATTGTGCACATGTACCCTAAAACTTAAAGTATAATAATAATAAAAAAAAGAAGCTATCAACAAAGCCAACAGGTAACCTACAGAATGGGAGAAGATATTCACAAATGATGTATCCAACAAAGGCCTAATACCAAGAATCTATACAGTAGGGAACTTAAATCAACAAGCTAAAACCAAATAACCCCCTTTAAAAACGGGCAAAGGACATGAATCAACATTTCTCAAAAGAAGACACAGAGGTGGCCAACAAACATGAAAAAACACTCAGTATTAGTAATCATCAGAGAAATGTAAATCTAAATTACAATGAGATACCATCTCATACCAGTCAGAATGGCTATTATTAGAAAGTCCAAAAACAGATGCTGGTGAGGCTGCAGAGTAAAGGGAATTCTTACACATGGTGGGAATGTAAATTAGTCCAGCCACTGTGGAAAGCAGTCTGGAGATTTCTCAAAGAACTTAAAACAGGGCTACCATTTGACCCAGCAATCACATTACTGGGTACACACCCAAAAGAAAACAAATAATTCTACCAAAAAGACACATGCACTCATATGTTCATCACTGTGCTCTTCACAATAGCAAAGAAGTGGAATCAACCCAGGTGCCCATCAGTGGTAGATTGGATTAAGAAAATGAGGTACACAGACACCATGAAATACTATGCAGCCATTAAAAAAGAAGGAAATCTTGTCCTTTCAGCAACATGAATAGGGCTGGAAGCCATAATCCCAAGCAAATTAACATAGGAATAGAAAAACAAATACTGCATGTTCTTACTTGTGAGAGTTAAACATTGAACACGCATGGAAATAAATATGGGAACAGTAGACACTACAGACTACTGGGAAGGCGGGACATTGAAAAACTACCTATTGGGTACTATGCTCACTGCCAAGGTGACAGGATCCTAATTCCAAACCTCAGCATAATGCAATACTCCCATGTAACAAATCTGAACATGTACCTACTGTATCTAACATAGAATTTGAAAAAGAAGAACATTACTGTAAAGAGATAGACATACAGGTAATGTATTTATGCAAAATATCATGCCTAATTCATAAGATGTTACTGTGTTGCCTTAGAAAGTAGGCAGTACACAGATGGAATTGATTACCTAGTGAGTTAAGCAGAGTTTGGATAAGCATAGTTATAATAAATTTTTGCTGGTATATTAGGGGGATGATTTGCAGCTAATATCAGTGATGACAAAAGTATTCTGCACTAAAACATTTATCCATCTATGTTTAAAAAAGCTATTAGGAAAACTGAGCAGTGATCTGGGTTTTGTTATGTTCCTTCTACTTTTAACCTAGTTTCCTCCTTGGCCTTAATTCCCCCACATGTTCAATGGCATAGAAATAGACAAAAAAGTAGTTAATATTATAGAATAAGGTAACTGTGGGCATTAAATGAGATGGTATATGTGTCTGGCACATAGTAAACATTCAATTAATGATATTGTTGTTCATATAATGAGTAGTAGTATTAGAAATATTTGCAGTAATATCTAGTGTTACCTTCAACACTAGGAGCAGAACAGTGCCTGGGAGTGCTAATTCTGACAAATTATTCAGTTCCTCTGAGCTTTCCTTCTTGGGTCTATTTCCCACCTCTGGCTGGACAATGTGTTTAATGTTTCCAAGCCTTAATTTTAAAATTTATAAACTGGGGATAATATTTGTATCAATTTCTTAAAGTTGTTTTAAGAGATTGAATTACTGGCAGGCAGTAATAATAAATTACAGTAATGATGACTATTATAATTATTGCATACATACTAATTGAGGTGTTATTCTAGAATATTTAGGAGTGAGGGGTCTAACACAGCACTTTCTGAGTTTGAATCATTTTTCTGACTCTTGTTAGCTCTGTGTGACCTTGGGCAAAGTGCTTAGTCTATGCTTCAGTTTCTTCATCAATAAAAGGGGAAGAGCAATGGAACCTACTATAAAATGTTGTCAGGAGGTTGAAATAAAATAATGTGTATAAAACATGTAAAATAGTGGCTGGCACATAGTGTTTAAAATACTTATTATTATATCACTTATTAAAATGTTCTTTGAGATAAGTATGATTTTGCCCATTTTCGATGGGTACATTGAGGTACAGAGAAGTTGAATAAACTGTCCAAAGACACAGAGTGATAAGGTTTGGCTGCGTGTGCCCACCCAAATCTCATGTTGAATTGTAATTCCCAGTGTTGGGGGAGGCACCTGGTGGGAGGTGACTGGATCATGGGGGTGGATTTCTTCCTTGTTGTTCTTGTGATAGTGAGTGAATTCTCAGGAGATCTAGTTGTTAAAAGTGTGTAGCACTGCCCCCTTCACTCTGTCTCTCCCACTCCACCATGTGAAGAAGCTGCTTGCTGCCCCTTCACCCGTCCATCATGATTGTAAGTTTCCTGAGGCCTCCCCAACCATGCTTCCTTTACAGCCTGTGCAACTGTGAGTTAATCAAACCTCTTTTCTTCATAAATCACCCAGTCTTAGGTAGTTCTTTCTAGCAATGTGAGAACAAACTAATACACATGGCGAGAGTAATTCTGTCATTTGAAAAAATCTTTGTCCCCTAAATTGTACCCAGCTGCTTCATTTTGCAGGCACTTCTTGCTGTTGAATTGCTAATTGTGGGATCCACTAGAAACCACAGCTCCCTGAGGACCTTTTATACTCTTCCTGTTTGGAATTGATAGGGGAATAAAAATCATCTTTTGGAATAGAATTTGAGACAATAACTGAGCTTTATAGTCTCTCATTTCCTCCCACACAACTTATGATTTAATATCCTGAATGGTTTGCTATTCCCTGAATGAAGTCTGAATTGCCAACTTCTGTGTTTTTGCTTATCCTATCCCCACTAAATGAACTTGCCGTTCTTCCTCCTCAACCTTCTCTGTCTCTATTCTCTAAGGCTCATTTCAGTGGGGAAGGGGCTTCACAGAGGAGAGGCCTCCTGAGACATTCACACACCCTGTGCACTTGTCACCTCTGATGGCTTTGTATATCAATGATCTCTTTGAATATCTGTCATTTCCTCTGTGATATAAACATTTAGAGGCAAGAGATCTATCTTGGTTATCTTATTACCACTAATGCCTAGTATGGCCTGGGCATTAGAGACAATTTATTCATTTATTCATTAAATATTGATTGAGTGCCTATTATGACCCAGGCATTGGTCAAGGTACAATGGACATTAGAATGAACAAAAACAACCAAATTCTCTCTCCCATGGGCCTGAAATTCTAATGGAAGAGTCACCAATTGGACATCGGAGTGGCAATGTCAAGTGGCTGGATGGAGACATGGTTCTGAAGTTGATAAGCACAGTCTGGCTGAAGATGTGAATATCAGAGTCATCACTATATAAGTAATATTAAGACCATCAAACTCAATGTGATCACTAAGGCGGTATACATTGGCAGAAAATATAACAGTAATTCTTTCTTTTATGGAATGAAGGAATACATTTAAAAAAAAAAATTAAAAGGGCCAGGGAGTGGCAGGGACTCCAGAGTAGGAAAGCCCAAAGCAGGATCAGCCTAGAAATGACCATTTTCTAAGAATTACTTTTCCTGTGGGTTTCCTCTCCTGGTGGCATGTCACAGAGCTTCCTGTTCATGGTGGTATTCACCAACAAGAAAATAACTGAGCAGCATGGCTGTATTTAACATTCATTCAACACAGACACAGTTTCCACATGGTCTTTACATATTCTTCATGTCTTCAAACATTTGCCCAGGGATAAACAGTGTCTCTCTTTGAGTTCTTTTTTCCTCTTAGTCCAGGGGCAGCTTGCATGTAAACATGGCATCCAAATAATGATGCCTAAACTCATCTTGATGTCACCAAGATGTGGCAGTCATGTGGCAAAAAATCATAAAATCTCCCACAACATTATTAAGTGAAAAGAGTTGGAAGTGAGTTCAGAGAACTCAGGAAAAATGCTTTGCAAAACAAAGCATGAAAATTTACTGTCCAGACTCTGCTCCATTTCTCCCATTAGAGTATAATCTTTCATAGTGTGTGGTATATCATAGCGATGAATCCACATACAGGATTTCTGTAATGATATGATGATTTTGACACTGATCCTTCTAACATCTGCTCACCTAAAGCATTAGTTTCACACTGCTATTGAAATAAATGTGATTTTTAATATCCTCAGGAACACTCAATGAAGAATATGTCCACCTCTAAGCAGAGTCTGAAAACACTGTAATATGCTATGGGATTGTTTTTCTCCCCAGCCTCAAAGGAGAATGGTTTGCTGAAAGATAAATAAGGTTTTATACTGTCAGTTCATCTCCAGAACTCATCTTTTGTTCTTCTACTTCCTCTTTTTAATGAAACCTTACAAATAAAGATGGACCAATATTACCATCAAGAATTGCTGCCTGTCACACTTGGTGCTTCAAAACCCTTGGCAAAAGGCAATTTGAAATGTAAGAAGGCTAAACTTGAACCCTGCAATCTAAGCAGATAAAAAAACAATGCTCTGTATTTTATAGACCTGGTGGAGTAGAAAATTGAGGCTCTTTGAAGAATTAGGTTCCCATTTCAGCAGAAACCAGACTCATCGACCAGACTCATGTTTAGCTCAAATATTACTTTTTAGGCCAATGAAAATGGAAAATAGGTTGTATAGCTCCTACGAGAAGCTACCTTGGTTACCATTATGAAAATATTACATAAAACAAAGAAGGCTCTCATTTATCTAACAGTCTACACAGTGTTTTGTAAGTAGTCATCATTCTACCCATTCTGGCCCAAATTAACAGTAACAAAAGTGGAAAAATCAAGTGGGAAGCAAAAGACTTAATCACATAGGTAACCTGAAAAAAACAAAAGATGCACTAATCAAAAACTAAGCTTGTTTAATTCTTGTTTCAAAAATTTGTGTTATTCAAGTATTTAAAGCCAAGATGTCTAAAATAAAACTACCATCTCTCCCTAACTGACCTTCATGGCCTTCCCTCTATGTTCCTTATCTTGATAAATTTCACCATTATCATTTTGGTGGAGTCACTTCATCTCTTTCCTATCTTTCACTCAATATCACAAATTGTTTTTCAATATTTCCAATTACGCACAATTCCACCATGTGTTTCAAATTTATCCTCTCCCTTCCACCACGATTGCCATGTTTTGACTTTTGTCATCTCTTGTAGGCAGGGCAGTCTAGTGGTAAAGACACTAAGCTTTGGTATTATGCCATTGAAGGTAAAATCCCTGCTTTGATGTGTCATAATTGTTAGGTGCTGGGTGAGTGATTTAATTTCTTTGTTTAGTTTTCTCTTTTCAGTGGAGGTTGTAATTGTACCTTCCTCACAGACTTGCAGTAAATATTAAGAGTAATTGTTCAGGCTTAAAATAGCATTATGCTCAAGTGTTAGCTATTGATACTGTCTTGCACAGACTTTTCAAGCAGTTTCCAACTAATTTTCTTGTCGTCTTTCTCTTTCTCTCTCAACAATTTGTCTTCTGACTTATTTTTGGTGTTATTTTACCACTGAGTTTCAGTTGGTTCATTGATTCAGAAGCCAATATCCCACTAAGTTTGGTTATTAGTTTTGACACCTGTCTGTCTCTTGTCTTCAAATATTGTTCTTGATCCTTTGCTAGTCTTTTCTCTAACTTCAAGTTCACATCATCCCTTCTAAAATTTGGCACATATCTAGCTCCCTCTACTCTTGGCTGACCAGCCATCCCCAAGTGCCAGACAAGATGAAAAATCACTCCTCAACTTAAAAACCTAACTTAAAATCCCCATTGCCTCTCTGCAGAGTGAATGCAGCATAGTGCCCAGGAAAGTTTTCAAAATCTGGCCCCAGATCACTTTGCTGGCTGCTTCTCTTTCATACTTCTTGCCCCTCCTGACTGGCTAAGCTTTATCTTTTGAAGTACCTAGAATGCTCCTCCTTTTTTTCCCCTCTGATGAAATGATGATTCTTCTCCAGAGGGCCCTGCTGAAATATTAACTCTTTGTGAAATGCACCTAGGTGAGATTGAATTTCACCAGTATCACTACAGTAGTTGTGATCATCGTAGTAGCAGGAGAATGACAGCAAAAACAGCCAACATTTAGTGACCATGTATTAGCCAGTAACTGTTCTAAACACTTTACATGCTCATTAATCCTTTGAGCAAACTTACAGATTATTTACTATCATTTCTACCTTATGGATGAGGAAATTGAGGCCCAGAAGGGATAAGTAGCTTAACTAAAGTTTCTATAACTAGTTAGTCACAGAATGAGGATTTGAACCAAATAGGCTAATCCCAGAGTTATCACGTTCAACTTTTTAACTCTAGTATCTCTCTAGTTTTGCCTCTCACAGCATTCACAGCACTTTACTTGTATTCGTTGTGTCTTAGATCTACATATGTGTCTGTTTATTTCAGTACAATGTTAGTCTTCAGATGTAGTGATCTGAGTGTTCCCCTGTGCCTGGAACTATTGCTTTTCAAATAGTGTTCCATAAATGTCTGCCATATTGAAGTGAAATTCATTAAATTTGTCAACAGAAAACAGGTGTCCTGACACTCCTACCTCTAGCTTTCCTATACTAAAACCTGTGAATGATTTAATGACAACTTCTGGTAGATATATAATGGACCAGGAAAAAAAACCCGCAATTTTCCTTTTTTCACTAAGTATCAATGTGACTTTGGGCAAGCCACTTCATCTCTTTTTTTTTTTTTTTAGTTTGGAAGATAGAGATTATAACCCTTGTGATCTGCCATTATCAAAGGGGTTTTATGAAAATGAAATATTCAAAAGAAAGAATTTTAAAACTTGTAAAAGCCCATACACGTGTAAGAAACAAATATTCTAATAGGTAAAACATATAGCCAATATCTGAACGATAGGGCCAATTGGTATTACAGCAGGGTTAAATGGAGTTTCTAATGTTTCCCATGTTCTGCCTTTCATGGACAGTGAAGTACCACAAAAGGAGGAAATCTGTGTTAGCTTTGAAACCTCCACCATTTGTCACAGCCAGAAATAATGCCGTCTCAATGGCTGCTGCAATGCTAGATCTGGAAAGAGACTTGGGCACAGTCTCTACTTCTTATTCGTGGATGGTGAAAGGCCCAGAGAGAAGGAAAAAAAAAAAACTCATTCAAGGGGCTACCACCATCTTCCTGCACAATATGTGCTGTGTATGACGGTCCCATGTTGAGCAGGTAAGTGGAAAAAGATCTAGTCATATTTTTTTGTAAAACTGACCAGAACGTTGAACGTAACTAGAGAATTGGTAAAGTACAGAGACTTTGCAGCTCCACTGCTGTGTTCAATCTCTTCCCCTACTCCCATGCCTCTTGCTGATGATGTGATTCAGAAATTAAATAATCCCTCATACCTCAGTTTCCTATTCTGTAAAATGGGTATAATCCTGTCCACCTTACAGAGTTATTTTTAGGATATAATGAGTTATACTGTGCAAGCCACTTAAAACTGTACCAGACACATAGTAAGTTCTAAATGTTTGTTAAATAGATAAAAATAACATCTGAGGGTTTGAACATGACACTTTTAGGGCTTAAAATGAAATTGAATGAATCTTGCTTTCTATTAAGAAATACGTAAATATTAAATTTACATTTAACATGGGTTATGCCTCTGTTCTTCCACAGATTTTCCTGACTACATGCCTAGGTCAGAGCCTTTAGCTAAATTCACCAAGGAGTTAGCATGAGATTAATTAACTGTCAGAGGTTAAACATTAAAAAAAAAATCCTGGAGGTTACTGTTGTATTTTTAATGGGCAACATGTTGGCCATTCAAGTTGCTTTTTGCAAACAAATCCTCCAACAGCCAAATGCTGATGGTTTCTCTGCCAACAGAGCATCTAAAAATTTCTATGATCAATATGCTACCGGGAAAAACAAAACACACTGAAATGTTATGGTATATTTCATGCCAAAAACCTGAAACACAGTTAGGAAATTATGTTTTGCAGTTATGCAAGGCAATGTACTGATGGTGGTTTATTGATGAGTGGTCTAGTCTCACCATAACCTTGTCATATTCATGCTCCCATTTCTGCTCAAATAAAAAACAAAAACCCCTGGAATGAAGCTCTAATTTAGTGAATCAATTATTTTGATTGAATGAGGGCACTGAGATAGTGCTGGGTAGATGTTGTTATGAGTTAAATTTAGATAAAAATGTGAACACATACAAATATACAGATAATCAAGTGTTGAATGTTTTATCTTTTGTATTATTTCCTGACCATTATCTAGTAAGTGCCTTTTTGTCAAATAATGTCCATTGAATGAGTAAGGAAAATGACTACTTTATTCTTTGGTAAAAGAACTGGGGCATAGAGAGATAAAGTGAGTTACTCAGAGTTATTCAATAAGGAGTTATAGCCAGAGACTTGACAGCATTTATTCTTTCTTTAAAAAAGTGTTTGTGCTTACATAAAGTATAGTAGCTAGGAATTTCTTGACATTAAGTCATCCATAAAGTAGCTAAATCCCTTAATCCTGTAAATAGCTACTCAATATCAATGTACATTCACGAGCCAGCTGTCAGCCTCCAAGATGCCACGGAATTGGGAAGAAATCTTTTTTTTTTTGTTCTGAGATGGAGTCTCACTCTGTCGCCAGGCTGTAGTGCAGTGGCACGATCTCAGCTCACTGCAACCTCCACCTCCTGGAGTGGAGTTCAAGTGATTCTCCTGCCTCAGCCTTCCAAGTAGCTGGGACTACAGACGTGCCACCACGCCCAGCTAATTTTTTGTATTTTTAGTAGAGACAGGGTTTCACCATGTTGGCCAGGCTGGTCTCCATCTCTTAACCTCGTGATCCACCCACCTCGGCCTCCCAAAGTGCTGGGATTACAGGCGTGAGCCACCGCGCCTGGCCCATGAAGAAATCTTATAAGAGGAGTGTGACTCTAAGTCTGACTGACTCTTAGTGTGACTGACTCTAGGAATTGTCGCTGATCCTGTAGATCACAACACCTGGCTCCTAAGATCTACAGACTCTGGAAAACATCTTCCATCATTTAGCCTCCTTCTTTCTAAATGCTACTATGGTTCTGGAAGGCTGACCTTTGTGGACAATATTATCTGGACTCCTTGCCCTTCTGGTTTCCCATTGGGTTTGGCCACGGGTGAAGAGGAAAAGGGAGAGGTTGTGGTACTTATCATCTGGGCTCGCTCTTTGGTGAGTTGACAATAGCTGCATTTCTTATCCAAGGACCAGAGCCCTTTTTTATTGTTACAGCTATAGCTATGGCTTTTTCCACCTTCTAGTAACCATCAACCTAGAAATCGTAACTTTCGTTCTTGCTAACACTGAATGTTTCATAGCCTTATTGGCTCAATAAACCCTGCGCATACCTTTGCAAATTGTCCCTTCATTCAACTATCCCCTGTTGCCCTATTTAAATATGCCTTTTTTTCCTTCCTGGACCCTGACTGATACTGAATCATAGAATTTCAGTGTTGGAAAGTACTGGATTTGGAGTTGAGTTTCTGATTTCAGATTTTTTTCAGAAGCTCTGTGATTTTGAGCAAATAATCTCCCTTGTCTAGTCTTCAGTTTCCTCATATGTAAAATAGCCTATATTCCTTATAGTAGGCTATTATTATTACTACTATTGTTATAATATGCTGTAAATCACTTAAAATGTGATGACTATTTCTTTAAAAACCATGTAGTCCAACTGGCTCTCCTGGGTGCCAACCGTATGAAATTTTCTTTTCCTCTCCTTGAATTTTTCCAGTAAGTTTTCTTCTATGGGTATGACAGTCTCAAATCTTGCAGTCAGACAGTAAGCGTATCTGTATCACTGGAGTAAGGTTCTTTTGGGTATAAGTTTTTGTTTATTCAACTTCTCAGTTGTGGGATTCTGCTCAAATCATTATAACCTTTTCAGGCCACAGCTACCTCAATTGTGAATTGGGTAAAACCTATCCTCCTGCAGGCAAAGGGCCAGAGCTAATGTTTTCTCTCTCTCTTTTTTTTTTTCCAATTTAAAGATTTACATTAGGAAAAACAGCTACTACTCTAGACCTATAAGAGCTCCCTCAATCAATATCAGAGGTCATCAGTGGAGCTCAGCCTGCTAAAGTGATGAAGACAGCAGGCTATGGAGTCAGAATTCTAGCTCTGCCAACTGGGGCATTTGTTTTGTTTCTATGTGCCTCAGTTTTTTTAGTCATTCTATGTACCTACCTCAGAAGGTGGTTGGGAACATCAACTGAGTTCATACTTGTCATTGATTCATGCTCATGATATTTCCTATACTAAATACTTTGCATGGATTATTCCCATGACAATCCATTTTCTGATAATCGTAATCTTTTTTGTCTCCAATAAACCATGGCCCTTTCCTCCTTCTAGGACACTCTCTCCAGACCTTCACATTACTGGCTTTCCTTTTATTTTAAGGACTTAAAAGACATCTTGTCAATGAGGCTTTCTCTGAGCCAATCAAGATATGTCCCCTGCATATATTCCCTTTCCATCATATTACCACAGGTTTACTTCTGCTATAACACTTATCACTTCCCAGATTACCTTTGTTTTCTTGTTTATTCTCTCTCTTCCTACATAAGCTCCAGGAAGGTAGTAAACTGTGTTCCACTCTTCACTAGAAAGTGAGTGTCTAGTATCATGCCTGCCCTATATGGTCTCTAAAAATATTGTGGAATGAATGACCAAATAACGAAATTAAGAGGTGGAGAATTTATGTAAATAAGTTTACAGTAATAAACAGGCATTTTGTTTAGTATGAGGCACAACAGGAATTCAAACACATGCCAGGATGATGCTAAAACCCACAATGCCCCTCTTTGCCTCTTTCAATAGTTCTTGGAAGAGATCATAAAAGTCTGAGCTGGCTCAGAGCTGTAGCAAAAGAGACAAAAAAAAGTGAAATTAAAAGATATTCAGAGAGAACACTGACCAGAGTTTAGTAGCCATTAAGATGGTGGGTGGGGGATCATTAAGCAGAGAGAAGATTCCGACTTCAGCAACTGGACAGCTCTTGATGCCAATGAATGATATAAGACGCTCAGAGTGAGTGCTACAGAGTGATGGTGATTAGGAGACTACATCTGGCTGTGCATTCATCCGCATCCTGGGATGGAGGTTCAAAGAGCTGCGGGCAATTGACTGCCTAGGGGATCGTGGGATGGGCCAAAAATGTGAACAAGACAATTCTTTGTTCACAGCCAAGGTACTGCTGACTCTATCCCTGTCTCATTTCTTACTCTGGTTGAGGCGATACTAGTGTCAGGTGGAAGACATTCTAAGGCCTAAATTAATTCTCATTAGATGATATCTATTACTCTTGCTCAACTACCAATCAGGTAGCTCGATGGGAGAAGGCCATTGGCTATGGCATAGATCTGTCACCTCCTGTCTTGAAGCCATGTGTGTTGCTTCCTGGTACATTTCCAAGACAATGGCGCTTTTTGATATTTGTCTGATAGTCTTCTCAAACATCAAAGTCAAGATATGTGGTTTATTTAACACAGTAGTTTGGGACTTAGAAGTTTTGCCTTTGACATTTTAAAAATGAGAAATACATTTAATTTTCAAACATTTAAGAATGTCTATGGTTCTTCATGCAGAAAATCTTTGTCATATGCTGCTTCTTTTAATGCTTTCGTTTGAGGCACAAACACCAGAACTAATAGTTTAAATCTGTATTTAACAAATGACTATAAAAGGTATATAATTTCGAAGTATTAAGAATATTATGCCTAAATAACAACAGAACTCAAGAAGAAATATGTATGCTTTGCTGAAAAACATTTGAAAGGCCAATTTGTGGAAAAATTTTCTAATATAAATTGGGAAGCTTGCATTCAGATAAATCAGTTCTTTTATCCAATAATTCAAAATTTAGGGGAAAGTAATTTTAAAAGCATAGATAGATATATACACAAAGCCATTTATCATGGTGCTATTTATATTGAGAGTGGGAGGTAAAAAGAGGAAAACTCTAAATATCCAAAGGCAGAGAATGGGATCAAATACAATATACTAGAGTTATGCAATGTAGTATTATGCTTGCCATTAAAAATGATTTTATAAAAAGTTTTAATAGCAGGGCTGATATTTATGAAAGTATATCATGTAAATGAAATAATAAAAATTTGGTATTGATATGACATAATTAGTACATATACATTGATGGGAAAAAAGATATTACTAGTTATTTGTAGTTACTTCATGGTAGCAGATTATGTGTGTGTGGCGTGCACGTGTGTGTGGGCTCTTATCTTTCTTTGCACTTTCCAAATTGACTGTCCTGAACATGAGAGACTTTTGCAAACATGATAAACCATTCACCTTTCCAACCCTGGAGGAGAAGGCGAAAAAGGAAGAGGAGAAGGCAGGAGTCTTATGGGGTCCACAAATCACGAGCTAAGTCTAGCGTAGGTTCAGTATCAGCCAGTACTATACAATCCCATTAGTATTTAAAGTGATTCTGATCATTTTTTTAGTATTTTCTATTTTTTTTCCTCTCAAAACATCCTTTTCCCTCACAGTTAGTTGAAAATTGCATTGCATCCTCTGTGAACATTTATTTGGGGGCATGGCTTTATCAGACGCTGGTGCAGAAGAGTGCTAACGAGACATGACAATTTTCTACTTCTCTACGTGAATACAGAGATCCATTTGAAAGTTACATTTTACCTATCTACAGTGTACAAATGACTATATTTTCAGCAAATATCTAATAAATTGGCAATTTTGATTCCAACCTGAAAGGAGAAAAGCAATGACTCTAATAACCAACAATCTTTGACAAATAGTGGCAATAAAAGTGCCTGCAGCTTCAATATCATGTAGGATTAGGGCTCTGGCATTTTTCTAGATTATGGTCTTCCAGGTTGCTGATGATGTTATGTTTTGTGAGATGGTGTGCATGTGTGTGCAATGAAAGAAAAAAATCACAGCAATGTATCTAAACTATAATTTTAATTTTTGTATGTGCATTGGCTTAGTGCTAACGAAAGTTATTTAGTTCTGCCTCCTCTCCCCACAGAATATAATGTAAGCTCTAATAGAAGAGCTTTCTTTGTTTTGTTTTGTTTTGGTTTGGTTTTTAATCTGTTTTAGTCACTGCTCCATCTCCCAGCACAAGAAGCAGGCAGTGACATACAATAAATATTTGTTGAATGAATAAGCAAATTAATTAAATCTTATTATGATGATATATCACCTTTGGTCAGTGCCATTGAAACAAATTGCTATTCTATTCTGGGACTTTTCACTGAATGTATTATGTTGTTTGTGGTTCTTTCCATATTTTCTCATTTGTGTTGTGGAGACCCATGACATTTTAGTGCATTCATATTTTTAAATCACTAATTGAATCCATGAGTTCCTACAAAATGGTGTAGCAGTATAAAAAGCGAGTAGGTGGAGCTGTGGGTTATAGCCCCAATACTCAGGGAATTCCACCTAGATTTTTAATGTTGCATTTTCTCACTAGCAAATAACACCACCTTCTCTGTCTGATTCTAAGAGTTGTTTGATGCTTGAAAAAAATTGTGTATAAAAGAAAGTTTGTACACAGAGAATATTTGTCAATGTATATTCTAAGTTATATAGCATCTTTATAAAATAAGCTGAGGATTTCCTTTAGATATTCCTCTATTTTCTACTCTTTAAGAATGCCACAAAATAGAGAAAAAGAAGATGGAGAATGTGATGGTTAACCTCACTTGTCAAGTTCGGCAGGCTATAGTACACAGTGATTTAATCAAACCCTAATCTAAGTGTTGCTGTGAAGGTATTTTGTCGATGTGCTTAACATCTATAATCAGTTGACATTAAGTTAAGCATAGATTACCCTGAATAATGTGGGTGGGCCTCATCTAATCAGTTGAGGCTTCCTGAAGAAGAAATCCTGCCTCAAGACTGTGACATCAAATCCTTCCTGAACTTCCAGCTGCCAGCATATTCTATGAATTTCAGACATGCCAGTCCCCATAATGGTGTGAGCCAATTCCTTCAAATAAGTCTCTTTACATATATGCATATGTACATGTGTGTATATGCATGTGTATGTATGTATATGATATGTATATGCTTATGTGTATGCACATGAGTATGTATTGGTTCTGTTTTTCTAGAGAATCTTGACTGATACAGGGAAAGAATCAACAAAGAAGAAAAGTCACGTTTATTTAAATGACACTTTGTAATCTTTTTTCTAATCTAGTGATATTTCTGAATTTGGGCAGTGTCCACTGGGATTATAGACCCAGTGGATGAGAGTCAAACAATGTACAAGGTCATATGTTAAAGTGTCCAGCTGCTCTGCTAACAAGGCAAGCAATAGGAATTCCTACAGTTACTTGAGTCCAGTCCCCATCCCTTACATCAAACAAAAATGTCCCAGTGTTTTGCAGGACAGGCTCCTGTCACTAAGACTGTGCTGTCAGTCTGCAAAATGGAAAATGACTCCTAATTGCCCAAATGTTCTCCTGGGTATTTAGGTAAACATGAGTACATCAATAGATTGCTTTTGTAGAATATACTGATTCTTTGTAGAGAACGGCAATGCATGCAGGCCTAAAGAAACGAAACAAGAGTTTCGGAGGAAAAAAAAAAACAAAAAAACAAACTTGCTTTGAATAGCAGGAGACGACGTTTTGGCAGCTGAGCAGGGCAAGAGCTTCATGAGCCGCTCTTTAATGCTGCGCTTGGTGCTGTTCTGAGCGTACAGGAAACCTAGAAGATACAGGATCAGTTCTGTTAATGCTGTCTGCAGAGAGAAAAGGGACGTGCTGCAGGGTTTATCAGAGAAGCCAGGCAGGAAGGATCAGGGACGCAGCCATCCACTCAGGCAATCACAGGCAGTGGGTTGGGACCCCCGAAAGGAAAAAAAAAGTTTGTTTTCTTCTTATTTAGTTTTGTTTTTATTTCTAAATGTTGTTTTGAAGATAATGACGAACAAGTGAAAGCAGAATCGTAAAATATATCTATTGAACGGCAAAAGATTAAAAAAAGCCACCAAAAAAATCTGGTGGTTTTTTTTTTTTTTTTTTTGGCCCTTAGATCAGGGATAAAACAAGTATCACTAGAAGAGTTAACTGGATTGAAATTTCAATATTCAAACCAGCGCTAAGGGCCCACATGACAATTTTCTGCTATTGCTCCCCATCTTTGATTATAGCAGAGATAGATGCTTCACATAAATCATTCACACCACAATCACCTGTTAGTACCTTTGCCTTCCTGAAAATGAGAAAATAAATGTCCTTAATATGCAGCTTCATTAGCATATACTGACATGCCCAGAGATGTGACAATCTTTCCCATTTTTTACATGTGGACGCTAATGAATGGAACTTTTTCAAACAGACTAATTCTGGAAGAAGCCAGACAAGCTTGTCAAACATTAACCCAGGAATAGACGGAGCAGTATGTGTGACAGCAGATACCTGGAGATGACTCAAGAAAAATCAAAAGTGGCTGGACGGGTGAGCTTGCAAACTGCTGAAACAACTTTTGATGTCAGGAGCCAACTATCCAAGTCAGCATCAATTTACCCACCCTGAGGTCTCAGACACTTGGATGTCATGTTAATAGGTAACTAGCCTCCCCGAGATCAGCATGCAAGGTGTCAAATATAAAGCATCAGCGCAGAAAACAATTTAAATCGAGGTTCTACCATCTTTATAACAGGAATCTGGCAAATGTATCACTTGTTCCTTTTCTAGTTCTTATCTTGGAATTATAAAAAAATTCCTGACCACAAGCCTACTGATTTAGTTTCCTAAATCATATGTTGCACCCACCAACAGTATCCACTGGCTAAAACTCATGTGTGTGTGTAGAGTAGGATGACAAAATGAAGTAGTAAATACACAAATTAAATAAGATCATTCCTCTGATTAAAAGCCCTCTAAAAGCTTCATGTTGTTTTTCTATCGAGGACGCCAAGTATGATCTGGCCCTGTCTGAGTCTCTGGCAGCATTTGCAGCCACTCTCTCTGCTTTCTGGGCCATCCACTATTGGCCACACTACCCTTTTTGCCTTTGGTAGAACTCACAAAGCAGGCCGTCCTCTGGCCTTGACACTTATGTGGTATGAAATGTCTCATTCAACTGCTGGTTGAGGGTCTGGCATGTAACAGAAGGTCAATAAATGCCTGGCAAATGAGTAAATAAATTCACTTTGGATATCTAAAGAAGACTTGATTCATTTCCTAGATTAGTATCTAAGTAAGCTTTTTAAAAATTTTACTTTAAGTTCTGGGATACATGTGAAGAACGTGCAGGTTTGTTACATAGGTATACATGTGCCCTGGTGGTTTCCTGCACCTATCAGCCCATCATCTAGGTTTTAAGCTCCGCATGTATGTGTAGAGTGGGGTGACAAAATGTTATAAATGTCCTTAATATTTCCCTCCCCTTGACCCCCACCCCCTGACAGACCCCCGTGTGTGATGTTCCCCTTCTTTTAAACTTGCAAAATAAATCTGGTTTACATAAAACACACCCTATATTTTGCTTCTGATTTCCATTTCTGGAAGGATGCAACGATTTAACTACCCTCTCCTTTGCAAACTCCTCCAGGACATGAGGGTCTTACTTTAGCTCCCTACACAGGCACTCTGCTCCTCCCCTTTATGCCATTTCAAACCTCCGTGCCAGGATATGTGCTGTTCCCTCAGTTTTGTCAGCTGTTCACCAACTCTCAACTTCTGTATCCCAGTGCAGCCTTTTTTTTTTTTTTTTTTCAAGACAGAGTCTCACTCTGTTGCCCAGGCTGGAGTGCAGTGGCGCGATCTCAGTTCACTGCAACCTCCAGGTTCAAGCAATTCTCTTGCCTCAGCCTCATGAGTAGCTGGGATTACAGGTGCATGCCACCATGCCTGGCTAATTTTTGTATTTTTAGTAGAGACAGGGCTTTGCCATCTTGGCCAGGCTGGTTTCAAACTCCTGACCTCAAGTGATCCACCCACCTTGGCCTGCCAAAGTGCCAGGATTACAGACGTGAGCTACTGCGCCCAGCCCCATGAGGCTTTTAAAACTCAGTTCAAACACACCTTCCTCTGGCCATCTTTCCCTCTTGTGTCTCCAACTTGCCTAAAAGAAGAAAGACCTCCTCCCTCCCCTGCTTCCCAAGCTAACTTTGGGAGAAATTTAGCTTATAGTTTAAATGATAATGGCCCTTCCCCAAAACTAAACTGCCTTTGTAAAGCTAATGAAAGATCACCAGGTTAGGAGGATGAGAGGAGCGTGAATTCTGCTAAGGTGTAGCCATAAGCTATTACCAGCCGTTATTCTCGAGGTCATGAGATTCATAACTTCCCCAATTACTCCTGCAGATAACATCACTACTGTAGAACCTAAGATTGGCTTTTTGAGATGTCTTTTCAGGTTTTTGCATTTCTGACAATGAATGGCTTCGCCCAGACCTGCCAACCAGTCCTGTGACCCTACCCAGAAGCCAACTCAGCATGAGGACCATTTTCCATATCCCTAGGATTGCACCCCAACCAATCAGCAGCACCCTTTCCATTACCCATCAACTATCCTTGAAAAACCCTAGCCTCTGAATTTTCAAGGAGTCTTATTTGAGGAATAATAAAACTCCGGGTCTCTTGCTCAGCTAGCTCTGTATGAATTAAGCTCTTTATTGCAATCTCTCTGTCTTGATAAATCAGCTCTATCTGGGCAGCAGGCAAAATGAACCCATTGGACAGGTTACAGTATCTGCTTCAAAAAGTTAGGATCAGAGGAAATAATATATAAAGCACTTATCACAGTGACAGCCACATAATGCAGTCCAAACAAATATTAATCATTTTGTTTCACTTATTTGAGTATACCCTATTCCCTACTGTCTCAGGGCCTTTTCACATGCTATTATCTGAATCTAAACTTCTGCTTTACTTTCTCTTCATCTGGTTAATGCCTGTTCATCCTTCAGATTTCAGTTCAATAACTTTTTGAGGAAAACCTTATAGGGCAAACCAACTAGATTATGAACAGTTATTATAGATGCCCATAGTTTTCTATGTTTCTCCATAGCAAGTATAATTAAAACAATTCATGATACAATTACATATTTGACACGTCTTCCCTACTGAAATGGAAGATGGAAGATGTCTACTTCTAGCCTTTACAGAATAAATGTTACTGGATATGCTATACCACTGTAAGGAACCATATAACTGGACAAGCTACATGAGGGAACTCTTTCCAAGAATTGAACAATAAACAACATAGAACTGTGATGCTTGAGAGAAGAAAAATCCCAGAGGTGTGCTTCACAAATGCCCTGGCTCGCCCCTGCCTGGTGACATGTTCCTTCCATAGTTCAGGGAGGTAGAGCTCATAGTCACTGAGCTGAAGTGGCAGAGATTAGAGTTCCAGGCTCCTGAAGTGGCTGGAATTTGTAGGCCAGGGTTAAGAGAGAATTGATGTATGCGTGTGTATTCTGCAGGTAGCTGGTGGGTGGGAAATTTGTGTGAAATTAAATGTGGGTTATTGACTAAGGGCTGGGATATGCACGATATCCAAGGCTTCCCAATGCTTAGCAGGCAGGGCTGAGAATGGAATGAAATAACACAAGCCACATAGAGCTGGAATGCTGCAAGTTGTTAGAGTTCTAGCCCTGCCAGCCTTCCAAAGAAGACTTCACTGAGCACCTCTGGCGTTGCCCTGAGAACTCAGAAAAACCACTTTGGGAGTAAGGATAATTTCCTAGAGTAAGGGCCATAGTGTATCACTGAGGTAATAGCCAAAGTTGACTGATCCTAACAAAGAATAGACCTAAAGCTAGAAAGACCAAAAAGAGCTGCTGAACTGTAGAATGCTTCGAAACAATATTCAATATATTTTAAAAGAAGGCAACATGACCCAAACTCCTTACAATGTATCCTAATAACATCTTTTGTACTATAAAAAAATTACTAGACATGTGAGAAAGCAGAACAAATGTGACCCATAATCAAGAAAAAAGAGAAGTCAATAAAAACAGACATTAGGTAGCACAGATGTTGGAAGTTGTAAGAAATGACGTTAAAGATAGTCATAATAAGTAAAGAAAAAAGTTCAGAAGAGAAATTAAACTACAAAAGGGAACTAAATGAAAATTCTAGAAATAAAAAGAAAATTCTAAAAGGAAAACTTCATTAGATGGACTTAACAGCAGACTGAGAACTACTGAAGAAAGGATTATGAGCTTGAATAGAGATGAAAAGGAAGAAATCTGAATAATAGAAAAAGATTTAAAAATAAAGAGAGCTTTACTCATCTGTGCATCATATCAAAAAGTCCAACATAGGTATAATTAAAGAACATAATGAGAGGTGAGATAAAATTTTGAAGCAATAATGACCAAAATATTCCACATATGTTTTAAAACACAAGTGAAATCTGTTGAACCAAAAGAAGAAAACTTAAAGTATAATAAATAAATAAATAAATAAATAAAAGAAGAATCACACATAGCTGTAGGCAAAATGCTGAAAATCAAAAATGAAAAAAGGCTTTAAAATGAAAAGAGAAGAAAAGGACCCGTACATACAAGGGTCAAATAATGTAAGAATAATTTTTCATCAAGAACAGCAGAAACACCAGAAAACAATGGAAGAGAATCCTTAAAGTTCTCAGGGGAATACAGAGACTATCAACCCAGAATTTTACCTATGTTTTTGAGAATGAAGTTGAAATAAAGATACTTTTAGATAAAATAAACCTGGGATAATTCATAGCTAAAAGCCTTGCATTCCAAGAAATGCTAAAGGAATGTCCTCAGGCTGAGGTTAATTGGCATAATACGGAAACTTGACTCTACAGGTAGAAATAGAGAGCACAGGAAATTGAAAATATGTGAATAAATATATTATCCTGTTTTCCTTTCCTACTTTCTTTGTTTAAAACAGCAAAAAAGTATTGTAGAGTTTATTACATTTGTAGATGTAAAATTTCTGACAATAATAACATGAAAGTTGGGGGAGGGTCAATGGAATTTTAATGTATGATGCTTACATTTTACATGAAGTGGTACCATATGAACTCAAAATAGTCTATAATAAATGAAGGAGACATACTGAAATCTCTAGATACAAGGGAAGCAGTAAAAAATAATATAAGAAGGTATAGTCAAAACTCCAATAGAGGAATTAAAATGAAATATATAAAATATTTAATTAATTTAAAAGAAAGCCAGGGAAGAGGAATAGAGGGACAAAAAGTAGAAGGGATGAGTAGAAAATACATAAGATAGTAAATGTATACCCCACCATATAATTAAATCAGAAATTGTATTTTTTATTCATTACTGAATTCCCAGTATGTTGCACAGTGCTTAGTATATAAAATGTTCAATCACTATCTACTGAAAGCATGAAATCAGACTATATATCTTTTATGATTGTCTCAGTATGTGCAGATTTGCTACTTGTAATTAGCAGATGCATTTAGAATGTACATATATGCTTCCTCACAGTGTGTGAAGCGATCCCTAAATAGATAGCTGTGTGTGAAGGCACTCTCTTAAGGATGATACTGACAGAATGAGGAGGTGGGACTGAATTCCCCAGCCAATCACACTAAAAGAAAGTTGATGGTGAATCTCCAAACTGCCTTAGTATGTAGGACATTTACCCTCACAGAGACTAAACACTCTTTGTTTTCATTAATTTATTAAGTTAATATGTATCGCCACCTACAATGGACAGATTCATATCTTAAATTAATTGGCTACATAAACCACTGAGCCTAATGAGAGCATTCAAAATTAAGTCAAAATAATCCTAGTTTACCTCAAAATCCTTGTCTTTCTCCAAATTAAGGGCCTGGCCAGCTGTCATAAATTACATATTCCTTTTGGTTTTTTTAAAGGTTACATGTTCAAGAGAGTGAAAATAAGATGTTCTGTCTAAAGGCTACCATGCCTGGTTTGTAAATGAACCTGTTAAATGCTGTATTTGCTCCCACAGCTTACTACAGAATGTTACTTAATACAATATCATACTTATTACAATTTTTACTATAGGAGTGTAACAGGTAAAATTAATCTCTATTTTAGTGGGCCCATGTTTAGTCTTTCACCATCCTTTAAATTGCTGTGAATTTTTTTGTCATGACTTGAAAGCAAGGATAGAGAAACATTTTAGAGATATCTGGGTTTTTTTCCATTCCAGAACTTGTGAGGATAATCATATTTGCTTCATATTTATAGTCATGAACTCCTAAGCTGGCAGCTACAACCAAGAACCAAAAAATGGTGCATTCTGCTTCTTGTAATTCATCTCTGCTAGTAAATTATAAGAAGCAGGGAAAATATTTTATTTGGATGGTTTCTATAAACAAGGGACTATAATTCTTGTACATTATTTTTCATCCTTGCTATTTCTTTGAGCAGTCTAATGTGCCACATAATTATCTAAGGTATTTGTTTTCTATAAGAATTGTTTCACAAGTATTCTTGTTATCAGAGTAGTTGTATTATATTTCAAAATGTAAGATGATTTTTAAAAGCCTGAGTACTGACCTAAGATGCAACTGTATGAACTCTACTCTGGAGGGCGGGGAGGGTGTCAGTGGAAGTCGTAAGACTTTTATTTTTTTGTGCCATCAAATACAGGTAAAAATAATTGTGCAATTCTGCTTTTTAAATAGGAACTATTGGCCTGCTTGGCCCTAAATGGAAGGGCTGATATTTTAAGTTGATTATTTTATTGTAAATTAATCCAACCTAATTCTTTTTAATTTGGTTGAATGTTTTTCTTGTTAAATGATGTTTAAAAAATAAAAACTGGAAGTTCAAAAAAAAAAAAAAACAAAATTAAGTCAACTCCCATACCTCTGCATCTAGAAGTCAAACCAAACTGCTAGTATACTAACATAACACTTTAAAGACCATAAAACAAAGCAATACAAAAAGAGATGAAAAATTACTTTTCATCTCATAAATATTTGTCCAAAAAGCATTCTTTATAATGTACATATTATAAGCATTATAAATGATGTTCTTTGTAGAACTGTAAATATACAGTGGCTACATAGAAAAAAAATCCCTGCTGTCTAGAATCTAACCATCTGCATCTATTATAATACCTATGACATTGCAGATCCCGAATTCCCTGAGGGGAGGATTCTGTTTGTTTATGAATTAACTCATTTAAAAGCATTTGTTGAATGCTAACTATGTGCTAGGAACTGTCTCAGATGCTGGCAATAATGCACCGAATGAGCCAGCCAAAAAACTTCTATTTTAGTGGACCTTACACGATATTTAGGAAAGAAAAAATAATCAACAAAAATAAATAGCAAGTTATAAAGTATATCAGATATGAAGGAGGGATGGGGCCTAGAGACTTCTGTTGGTGGATATGGATATGGGTAAGAAATAGGACGGGGAAAGACATAATTTTAAATATGGTGGCCAGGGAAGGTTTCATTAGAGATATATTTGGGCAAAAATATCTACATAAGATGAAAAGGTGTCTTATCCTGTTTCGATTATTAACAATAACAGTGTATTACATATATTAGGTACTAATATATATTTGTTGAGTGATTCATATCACTTATTAATTTATTAAGTTAATGTTTATTGCTACCTACAATGGGCAGATTAATAAATTAGTTGGCTACATAAACCACTGAGCTCAATGAGATCATTCAAAATTAAGTTTACTCCCATATCTCTGCATCTAGATGTCAAACCAAACTACTAGTATACTAGTACTTCAAACACGATAAAATGAAGTAATACAAAAAGATAATAAAAAGTAAGTGTGTAAATATATAGGCCATTCTAACTGTGCTCTAACTAAATGAGAATGTATTCATTTTTACCAATTGGAAAGGTTTTATCTTATAATGCCTGACATTACTGAAAACACGTCAGCCTATCATCATCTTGATTGCTCCATTTTTCTGGTCATGCAGACCTCAGTGGTGGCATATGCAAGTGGTCATTCTCCACTGGCTGCTTTTTGTGTTACACAGGAAATGCCATCACATGTCAGTGTCATGTGTCAGTGCTGAGCGATGGGCCATGAATTATGAATTCAACAAGTACTGACAGTGGCAATGAAAGTGGTAATTTCACCATAATGAGAACTATTCTTATCTTCCTCCTTTTTGCAGTACAGCAGATAGCAAAAACTTCTATTTCTCATGGGTTAGCTTGGAAATAATGGCTCGTACTCTATTAATTCACAGTCCCGATCAGCTTCTATTTTGTACTTTTGAAACACGGACAATGTTTTTCTTCCTAGATTTTAAGCCTGTAGAAGTCTGGTGGAAGAAAATGGCAAATAATGTTTCTACAGATCTGGTGTCTTCCCATGAATCAATAACTATGACAAAAATTGGGCTGAGCAAGGTGGCTCATGCCTGTAATCCTAGCACTTTGGGAGTCCGAGGCGGGCTGATCACGAGGTTGGTAGATCGAGACCATCCTGGCCAACATGGTGAAACTCCATCTCTACTAAAAATACAAAAATTAGCCAGGTGTGGTGGCAGGTGCCTGTAGTCCCAGCTACTCAGCAGACTGAGGCAGGAGAATCACTTGAACCCGGGAGGCAGAGGTTGCAGTGAGCCAAGATCACGCCACGGCACTCTAGCCTGGAGACAGAGTGAGACTCCGTCTCAAAAAACAAAACAAAACAAAATAAAAATCACCAGGAGTTTCAGGGGTACTGTGATCCCATCTGTGTTCTTTGAGTCAGTGACAAGCTGATTCATCAGTAGTGTCATGGATGCTGGGAATAGGGAGTACATTTTTTTACTAGTTGCAAATATGAACTTATTTATTAGGTTTGGGCAAAAGTAATTGTGATTTTTACCATTGAAAGTAATGGCAAAAACTGCAATTACTTTTGCCCCAACCTAATACTATGATGCCTATTTTTAAAGTGGACTTACAGTTCATAAATACTAGCATGACTACACAAACAAACACATACACTCAGAATTCATTTAGTATTTTCAAATTCATTCCTGAAGATACTAGGCCCCAGATAACTTGGGGTTCATATGCTGGTAATAATTCTTGCAGAAAATTGCTGCCCAACCATGCAGTTGTTATTGGATCTTGCAGTCAGCCCCAAATCATTCACTTTTAAGAGAAGTAGCAACAGTGTTGCTGACTGAATATGAGGAAAATACCTACATTTCATTTTTTAACTTTTTGAACTTGGGAGGCAGAAAATGACCTTCCTAATTGACCTGTTTTGTTATGCTTGATTATAAAATAGTTTGTGTATCAGTTTAAAAGAAGGCAACTAGAAGGTGCTTGAATTTGCTGAAAACGATCTACAGATTCCAAATGCAAATGGAGTAAATTTGACTCTACTTAGAGTGGCTACCTAAATACACCTGTTTCTCATAAAATTAATGCTACTCTCTGTCAGCCTTTCCATCTCTCTATCTGTCTTTCTGTCTCTGTCTCACTCTTTCTTAGTCTTTGTGCCTTTGCTTTTATCTTTGTCTCTTTGTCTCCCTCTTCTTCTCTGTCTCTGAGTTTCTCTGGCTCAATGTCTCTCTCTGTCTCATTGTTCTACATCTCTGTTTGTGTCTCTCCTTTATCTTTTTCTGCTCTGTTTCTGTCTCTACCCCGACTCAGTCTCTCTCTCAATCAAGGCAGGGTCCTATTTAATCTTCTTTACCTTGGTGTTGACTGTGTTCTTAACAAAACATTTAGAGAGAGTTTTGGTCAGTTGAGTGCAGAATAATTATTGCATGTTATCTGAGGCAAATATTAGCAAACAACTGGATGGTCAAAAGCTGTAATGCTTTCTAAAGCCGCTTCTAAGTGTGTTTGTTTTTATCACCTCTCTGCTGTACTGGCAGAACTAGCCAGAGAATACTAGCAGAAAACAACATGGAAAAGGCATCAATTTTCCTTGGGATCTTTTAAGATTGACCAATTGAACCTCAATTTTCCCTTGCTCCTCTGAACAATTTGCCAAAACTACTTCTACAGGGCTATCCTTTGTGTGGGGTTTGGAAATTATCTGGAGTTCCTTATAAATAGGGTGACAAGACCTTCGTTTGTCCAGGATGCTGCCAGTTTATGGGAGTTGTCCTAACACCCCATAGTCTGCACCCCCTTTTCATGTTCAAAAATGTTCTTGTTTAAATGGTAAATTATATGTTCATGCAATATTAGCAACCAGTATGGTCTGTTCCACAGACTAAGGTACAGTCATTGACTAAGTGAATACTTCATTGCACTGTAAACAATGTAAATAATGCAATTTCATTTTAAAAAATGGTGTTTTAAGAATAGCTAAATTAATAGAGAAGGTGAAATAGGAAACTAAAAATGTTTTTGTGAGCACATTAAAGCTAACATTTATGATGGAAAGATTTGGAACTTTAGGGTTCAGGGAGAACTCATTTGAATCTAAGCGCTGCCACTTTTTGTTTGTAAGGCTTCGGAAAAGTAACAACATCACTGAGCCTCTGTTTTTTTTTGTTTGTTTTGAGACATAATCTCACTCTTTCGCCCAGGCTGGAGTGCAGCAGCTTGATCATGGCTCACTGCAGCCTCGAACTCCTGGGCTCAAGTGATCCTCCCGCCTCAGCCTCCCAAGTAGCTGGGACTATGGGCACACACCACCATGCCCCAGTATTTTTTTTTTTTTTTTGTAGAAATGGGGTCTTGCGATGTTGCCCAGGTTGGTCTTGAACTCCTGGGCTCAAACAGTCCTCCCCACTCAGCTTCCCAAAGTGCTGGGATTACATATGTGAGCCACCTCACCCAGCCACCTTGCCTCTTTGATCTCACCTGTATATGAGGTAAGCAGCCAAAGCAAAAAGGAATTTATCAAAAATGACAGCAGTATCTTTTTGGATATAACCTAAACCTAATGTACTATTTCTTTTCCGCAAGCTAACACAAATAACTCTTATTTATTTTTATATTTTTTAATTGAGTTTTTGATCAGTGAGCCATGATCAAGCTCCATGCTGGAGTACAGTGGTGTGATCTGGGCTCACTGCAACCTCCACCTCCCAGGTTCAAGCAATTCACCTTCCTCAGCCACCGGAGTAGCTGGGATTACAGGTGCCTGCCACCACACCCGACTAATTTTTGTATTTTTGGTAGAGATGGGATTTCACTATGTTGGCCAGGCTGGTCTTAAACTCCTGACCTCAAGTGATCCGCACACCTCGGCCTCCCAAAGTGCTGGGATTACAGGCGTGAGCCACCGGGTTGAAGCATTTTTAACAATCAAGCATTGTAACTTCAAACTTTTCTTTGGGATAAGCCAAGCATGCCTTTAATATCGGAAAGCAAGCGACAGGTGAGTAAGGTTGATTCTTCTGATGGCGAGAGAACACAAATAAATTGATTCTTAATAGGATTTGGGATTACAAGGTGTATTTTCGTGTTGGAGTGTCCATTATACAATGAATCTTCTCCTCCAATGTCACCCACAGTAACTAGTATATATTCTTAGGTATTGTCTAGGCTACTCTGTTCATTTTATGACTGGCCCATCACCTGACCACTGCCTTTTAATAACATATTTGAAGGGATTTTCAGGAAAAACAGTCACTTGTTTCCTTTTGTTCATTCTTTTTATTTTCTCTTAGTATAAAATCCTGCAGAATCTCATAGTCTACTCTAAGAGCTTTGGCTTCTACTCAGAGTGAAATAAGGAGAAAACGGAGGAGGATTTTTTAGCAGAGGAATGATATCATCATATAATGTTTTATTCAACAACATTAATTAAGCACCTATTTGGCACTGGCAAAAACATAGTCCTTGCTCTTGTGAAATGTATAATCTAATGGGGAAGGATTAACAATAGAACAAGAAATGAATTAAACAATAGAACAAGAAAGTCCTCTAAATTTCATCTTGAACATGATCTTGTTCTAAGAAAAGATGCAGACAAATAATGCCTAAGATGCAATGCTCTAACAACAATAAGAACAAAGAGAACCTTCTATGTGCTAAGTACCTTACAAGCATCATATTATTTAACCTTCACAAGAGCCCCACTTGTGGAAGATAACATTATGAAAGCCAAATTATAGCAGAGGAAATTGATGGTAAAGATGCACGCAGTTTGTAAGTGGCAGTATCAGGAATGTGAACACTTGTTCATCTGTCTAGCTCCTGGGTCTGACATTCTGACTTCTGTACTGCACTAACAATGGCTCCACAAAATGGAACACTTATTGGATGTGTCTAATTGTGTAGTTTCTAGCTGCAGAAAATTTGTTTCTCTTTGTGGTATGGTTTTAATTTCCTTCTCTGCCTCTTTGGTTAAGCTTCTTAACCCATCTTGTCTTGAATATAGTCCTGAGAGCATGGTGTCTTTCATTCCTTTGCTAGAAATGCTACCTCTAATTCTATTTGCAGTAGGACATCCATCAAATTCCTGGTGGTATTAAAAAATAATAATGTGGTTTAGGAGAAAGCTGCACTAGGAGATCCAATTTTTTCATCTGAAAAATGGGGCTAATAATAGATGACACTAATCTCAAGGAAGTTGGGAGATGAATGAAGTAATTGTTTCTGCAAAATGCTTCAAATGCCAGAAGAAATAACATATAATCCATTATAATTTTTGATGTGAGACAGTACTTTCCTTTCCTGAGTTCTTTTGTGTCACTGTATTTAATTTTCATCTTTTAACAATGTATTTATATTCAATAAAAGTCTTTATTCATTAATTTAACCAATAAGTATTTATTGGATATAAGGTAGACCCTGTGCCAGGCACCCGGGAAGAAAATCAAATAGAATAGTCAATGAAGCAAAGTCTTTACAATCTTGTGAATATCCATTACTTGGCCATGATTGCTCATTAGAATCACCAAGGTGGCTTTAAAAAATTAGCCATGCCTGATCATTCCAGACCAACTGCATCAGGTAATTCTAATGGGAGGCCAAACCTGAGAACCACTGTTCTGCTTTGGGAAAATATGATGCCAGATAGGTTTTCTTAAGAACTGTAGACTTTTGATATTGCAAGCTGATTCCTGGTGGGCTAGAGTTGGAGCTTTTTAGCTCAAACACTTTTTTTTTAAATTAACTGGGCCAAAAACTAAAAATACACATATTCCACTTAGAATGTTGGATTTCTGGCTTCTGAGGAGGAACTGGATGGTCTGGCAACCTTTTGTCTGCATTTCTGTATAGCAGAAATTGGATGGGTCTGGTGAGGAGCTGCCCCTTTCACACAGGACATGCATGCTCGGTTTGCCAGTTTCCTCTGTTGCCTATCACACCCAACGCTAAGAGACAAGTCAAGTGCTATTCATCTTGGTTCACTTAACTCATTTACATTAGCTGCCTGGCCCCTGTAGGAATTTAACTTTTTTACTCTCCTCTGGTTGTTTACACATGGACATTGTAACTGGTTTGAATTGTGTCTTTCAAAAATTCATGTTCATCTAGAACTTCAGAATGTGGCCTTATTTGGAAAATAGAATGTTTGCAAATGCAATTAGTTAATATAAAGTTATATTGGTTTAGGGTGGGCCCTATAGCCAATAACTGGTATCTTTCTGGAAGGAGAAGACAGACACACAGAGAGGGAAGCAGGCCATGTGAGGACAGAGGCAAAGATTGAAGGGAAGCCAGCTAAGAGCCAAGAAATGCCAAGGATTTCCCGTAATGACCAGGAGCCAGGAGAGGAACAAGAATAGGTTCTCCTTCAGAGCCTCCAGAAAGAGCCTACCCTGTGGAGACCTTAATGAAGACTTCTGGCCTCCTAAACTGTGAGAGAATATATTTATCTTGTTTTATGCCATCCAGTTTGTGGAAATTTGTTACAGCAGCTCTAGAAAAGTAATACACACATCAGTTAACAGATTTTCAAAAACACCAGAGAAAATAAAATTAAGCCATGTCCATATATTCATCCCCTACTGTATATAGAACAATGTCTGCACACACAGAATCGCCAAAATGTAAGACAAGGGGCTCTACTTGTAGTGCCTTCTCATTAGTACTGGTATTTTTTTTTTTTAATTACTGCCAAGCTCACTCATCCCAGGCAAATTAGTCCACCACACACTACCATGGAGTGGATTTCTACTTGTGTGAAATTGGCATGTTCTAGATTCTGTACTGCTAGTATTAGGTAAATATCAGTTGAGGCTGAGCATTCACAAAGAACTAAACTAAAAGTAAATATTGTCCAGTTTTTGTTTCAATTAATTAATTAATCACATGTTTATTGAATAACTGATGACTTTCCATATCACTAACAGCCAAATTCCCTAATTAGCAACCTGTGGACAACCCACCCCCTCCAACCCACCGCCCCTAAATCTCATCTGTCTCCTCTTCTATTTTCCTCTAATTTCTTTCCTTGCCACTGCTGGTCACTGTGCCTGAAATGTCTCCTCTCAAAAATCTTCAAGATCTCTCCCTTACCTCCTTCAGGTCTTTATTCCCTTGCCACCAACTCAGTGAGGACTTCTCTCACAGGGCACTTAAAACTGTGTCCTCACGAAACTACTTCCTATTCTCTTTCAATTTTACCCCATAGGTTGGCTAATGTTATAGCCTAAATTGTACCTGCCCCTCCCTCCCCCCGCCACCCACATTCATAGTGAAGTTCCAACTCCCAGTACTTCAGATTATATTTGGAGATAATGTTTTTAAAGAGGTAATTAAGTTAAAATGAGGCCATTAGAGTGGGGCCCTGATCCAATATGATTGGTGTCCTTAAAAGAGAAAGATATACTGTGATGTCTAAGCCCAGAGGAAAGGCCAGGTGAGGACGCTGTGAGAGGACAGCCATCTGAAAGCCAAGGAGAGAGGCCTCAGAAGGAAAGACGCCTGCTGGCAGTTCTGTCAGGAGATCTGATCTTGGATGTCCAGCCTCCAGAACTGTGAGGCCAGTAATTTCTGTTGCTTAAGCCATTCAGTCTTTGACATTTTCTTACGGCAGCCTATGATGGTGAACTTTGTATGTCAACTTGACTTAGCTAAGGGATACCCAGATACCTGGTCAAATATTCTTTCTTGGTGGGTCTGTGTTTCCAGAAGATAGTAGCATTCAAATCAGTAGACTGAGCAAAGAAGACCCACCCTCACCAGTGTGGGTGGACATCATCTAGTCCTTTGAAGGCAGAATAGGAAGGCATAGGAGGGTAAGTTCCCTCTCTTCCTCAGCTGGGGCTTCCATCTTCTCCTGCCCTTGGGCATCCTGGTTCTCAGGCCTTTGGACTCCAGAACTTACATCAGTGCCCCTTTCAGACTCCAACTTGATTATGCCACTGACTTTCCTGGTTCTCCAGCTTGCAGGTGGCCTCTCATGGGACTTTTTGGTCTTCGTAATCATGTGAGCCAATTCCCATAATAAATCAACCTCTTTCTGTTTCTCTCTTTGTATACATAGTCTATTAGTTCTGTTTCTTTGGAGAACCTTGGGTAGACAACATAGCCCTAGCAAACTAACAGAGCTAACCACATGACTTATTGTCCAACCTGGAACACCACTAACAATGAATGAAGGGGATATTATTAATAATGATATCCAGACACTTGGCATAAACTGTAACTTCCCATGTATATCAGGACATTTGGTAGCCTTATCCATAGTACCTATCATTATAAATGCACAATGCACTTTAGTTAGTTAGATGTTTATTGCCTGCCTCTCTCCACCAGATAGTAAATTCCTTGAGGGCAGAGGTTTTTGTGCTTTTACTGCTTTATATCTAGCACCTAAGTATCTGGGACATAGTAGAGTCTCAATTGAAGAAACTGAATAAATAACTGTAAACTGTAAGGATGTGGTTAATGTTCACTGATCTATCTATATTTATGTCTATATCTATATCGTATCTATCTATCTCTATCTCATCTATCTATCTATGAAACTTTCTCAATGCGACTACCAATTATTTTGTACCTGCTATTGGCTAAGCAAGGTACTAGGCATTTTACATATGTTATCACTCATTTTAACAACAACTTTGCAAGCTGCTTATGGTTTCTATTTTAAACTTGACCCAAATACCTCAGAGATTTTAGGTAACTTCTCCTATACCGCTCAGCATATAGCTAAAGATTCAAACTTATTGCAAAAAAGATTTTTGTACATTCTTGGCAGTTAAACAATAACATAAATGCAGATTTCTAGCTTATCAAATTTAATGATCAATACTTAGGATATTGTTAACTGTACATGTTGATGTGCCAGTGTTATCTACAAATTATATCAATGTGGGTTCAGAATAAATTGTATTTTTTAAAAAAGTGTGGGTAGAAAGATCTCTAATGCTTTAATCCTAAATCCTCTATCAGCATAACAGAAAAATCAGGGACAACAAATCAATGTCCCTAAGATGGATATGAGTAGCTCTTCCTGCTAATTTGATTTTTAGTAACTAATTATTTAGGCTGGCACACAATGTGAAATATTGTCCTTGAAAACAGGCCCTGCTGCTCAACATTTTATTTATTAGAAACTGAGCCAGGAAAATCTAGTGTTAAAATTTATCATAGCAGCTGAGGGGTTATGTCCTGATGAAGTAAAATAATGCCATGACAAGATGATAGATGTTTTCTGATATCTTCTTATCACTATCTTGACCAGACCAAAATATTGCCTAAGAGGATTCTTTTGAGTTATGCAAAGTGAAGTCACATTTTGTATGCAATTTTGAAATAGGACCCTATAAATAATCAAGTCTTACACTATTTGCAACTTGAAAATAATGCAATACACAAGTTTTTGTTACATTTGTCAAGAATTTCATAACTTCAAAGCTGGCTGGCTGAATGAATGGTGAGCTCTTTAGGATATTGTGCTAAGGTAATATCCCTTAAAGCTTGCAGATAAACTCTGGACATCCTTATTAGCCTTATGGAAAAATCCACTAAGACCTTAAACTACTTGAGGTCTCCAAGAACATATTCTTCAAATAGAACATGATCCCTGTGTAATTCACTCTGACTAGGCTTCATCCTAAACACAGTGGAACTAAATTTTTAATCCTGAAAATGCTAGCATCACTCAATTCCATTCTACAAATATCTGTTGATGCTTAGGACTTATTAAGTCTGCCCTGATACTTTCCCCAAGGATCTCAGGGTTTTATTGGAGACAGGGTGAACTTGTTAGGCATAAAATAATCTTAAAAATGACCTCACTCTGGGGGCTAATCCTGTGCCTAAGTCTGTCATTCAGAATGTGCTACTGTATTGAATCTATCAGATTCTCCAGCTCTTCCAGATCTCAATGAAATGGAATATAGGGCTCCTTAGGAAACCCAAGACCACCTATTTTAGAAATATGCTATAACTAAACATTGAAAAAGGTACATTATAAGTGCTGTCATATGTAAGCTTTAAAAGAATCACTTATAAAGGAAGAAATGAAACCCGGGGATGATCAGAAGTCTGAAAACTAACGGAGTGTGTACATTAACCTGGTAGATTACTAAGGCCACCCCATAAACTATGTTTCATTCACCTTTGTGTCCCCAGCATCACGCACAAGGCCTAGCATTGACTGTTCAATACATATCTGTTTAATGAATGCATCATTGTTGGTTGAATTTCAAAGGAGAAAGAGAGGCAGGCTTCTCTTCATAAATAAATCATGACTTTTTCAAGATTCCCAAAACAATTAGTTTTCCACTAAAGCAATCTGAAGTGCCAGATCCTGGCAAACCTTTCTGTCCCTGGGAGACAAGCACGTTCAGAAAAGCAGAACCTTCAAACTTGCAGAGCCAGCTCATACTTGGTGGCCTTCTCACCTTAGGCTACTAGTTACTGAGAGTTGGGGAAAGTGGGGAAGGAGCCCAGCACTGTCAACAGACTTTATTGGTTGAAGAAAACAGTGTTGTTAAAACACTCACAGATCATAAAAAGAAAAAAAAAACACCCAAGGATATAAAATTGAGAAAAGATATCTGGAGAAAGCAATATTGTGTTCTCGAGCTAAAATTTCATAGGAAGCTTTTGAAAATGACCTCCTGGGTAAGGAAAATTATGGATCCTATCTATTCTCTGATTGAGCAAACACATTGAATTCAATACAATCTCAGCACCACATGTGCACAGAACAGAGCAGGACAATTTGTCTGATAAATGCGTTTATAGCAACAATATTTATGAGATCTATGTAGGCTTTGAGACATTGAGCTGAAGAAGTTTGAGCTTCATGTTAACAATGATAGCAACACAAGCCATTTTGTTTTCTTTGTGAGTGCTTTACAAAGCACTATCCAATTTAATCATGAAAAGAAAACAGTCCTATGAGATAAGCATGAAAAAGTTTAGGAAACAGAAAATGTTAAAGCTCAATCGCGTTTAGTTGAAACTCCTTTCTTCAGTTCTTCCCATACTGGGTTTCTCTTTTTCTTTATGTCCTTGTTATTTAAAATGTAATAAGGACATTGGTACTTATTGGTCTCATCAGCCTCACCCGGTAGCTTGTTAGCAATGCAGAATCTTCTAACTCACTCTTGAGCTACTGAATCAGAATTTGCATTTAATAAGATTCTCAGGTGATTTGTATGCACATTAAATTGTGAAAAGCATTATCTACATGGTGTCATATTAGTCATCTGGAATGCCTGCTTTTGGAATCTTAATTCATTATGAATGAGGGATAAGTAGAGGGCACTGTTATAAGAATATGGTGTCAATCTATGAATCTTCTCAAAACATAATCAGATTCAAATATTAATGGCATTGGTGATACATAGGTTAAAGTTATAGACTCTGAATCCTGGTTTTGCCACTTACTGTGTGGCCTTGGGAACACTCCTTAACTCTTTAAGCTTCAGTTCCTCATTTATAAATGAGAATAAGTATACTAAACTCAAGAGGTTATTGTAAAGGTCAAATGAAATGAGTACCCAGAGTGGTCACACAGTGAGTTTGCAGTCATATTTATTCTTTAAGTATGACATGAAACAGAGATTCACTCCAGCTGTCTATCTTTCCAAGAAAGGAAAAAAAAAAACACAACCTTTTAAAGTCTTTCTTTTAGATTTTCACTAAGTCATTCCTTTGAATACTATCATAGAGACCTGCTTTGTGTTAGCTTTGATCTTTGGAATTCTGCGGTGGTACAAGGTCATGATGAGCTTCCAGTGAATTATCCCACAAGGAAACCTTGACACATTTTCTGGACTTTTCACCACAGAGATTACTCATGTCTTCTCATATTCTGATTCTAAGAGGCCAAAATTATTAGATAATGGGGTGACTTGAACTCTACCTTTTTTGGATACAAGTCTGGCCCTTCTAGGGTTGATACACTTCAAAAATTCTTCTTAAAATCTGTGGAACAACTGAAAAGAAGCTCAGATAAATTCTCTTTTCCAGGAGTCTTGGAGACAAGGGGACAGAGGAAGAGTGATCTGTGCAGGGATGCTGGAAACCACAGGGAGACTACAGGAATTGAATCCTAGAAAAAGGAGCTGATTACAGGAGGGTCAGCTGAAAACAAGGAGCCACGGCATACCCAGTTTAGTTCTCTAGCACCATCCTGGCAGCACCATACCAGCCAGCAAGGTATTAGGTTGGTGCAAAAGTGATTAGTATTGCACCAGCCTAATATTTTATTTTTGTTGTTATTGCTATTTTTTGAGATGGAGTTTCACTCTTGTTGCCCAGGCTGGAGTGCAATGGCATAATCTTGGCTCACTGCAACCACCACCTCCCGGGTTCACGTGATTCTCTTGCCCCAGCCTCCCAAGTAGCTGGGGTTACAGGTACCTGCCACCACACCGGGCTAATTTGTGTATTTTTAGTAGAGACGGGGTTTCACCATGTTGGCCAGGCTGGTCTTGAACTCCTGACCTCAGATAATCCACCCTCCTTGGCCTCCCAAAGTGCTGGGATTACAAGCGTGAACCACTGTGCCCGGCTAAGCCTAATATCTTAAAGAAAATAACTAATAAAAAATTAAATGACTGTGTTCTCTCTGGTATGTGTAGTGGCAACGTGAAGATCCGACTTTTGTTCTGAGTGAAACAAGAAACATGGAAAATGCTTTATGAAAACATATTACATAGAGATGACTTATTTAATATTGTGCCATTGTTTCTCATATGGGAATAATTTCCTATATATGTGGTGTGCAATTTAAAATTAGATATCATAAACCACTAGGGTAAAAATATATGAGGCCTATACCGGGATGCTGTTTCAGCATGCAGAATCATTATTCTTTATAGAGCTAACAAATTCTTAAAAGACAGGCTGAGAGTTAAGGATCTGAAAACACTGCAAACTATCAAAGGCATACGAGGAATTTAACAATGCAAAATGAAATTTAAGTGAAGTACCTTAGTTCCTCTTCTTGCTTTCCTACTGAACAGCAACCCTATGTCTTTCTGTAGAAATGTTTATTTTGCACCATTATTTTGACACGTTCAAATATGACACTTTGGTCATATATTACTGCATATTTAAGCATGAGACATCAATCAGATACATGTAAGAAATATGTTGGTTTGGTCCAGAAAGGCAGGACAACTCAAAGCTGGGGCAGGGTAGCCACTATAAGACTTCAAAAGAACCTTGGTCTCCACAATCTTTTATCTGAACCTAAACGTTTCCTTTCTATTGATCTCAGGTCTTTAGACAAACCCAACCAATTGCCAATCAAAAGATGGTTAAATTTACCTATAGCCTGAAGCCCCCACTTTGAGTTGTCTTGCCTTTCTGAACCAAACGAATGTACTTCTTAAGTGTATTTGATTGATGTCTAATGCCTCTCTAAAATGTATAAAACCAAGCTGCGCCCCAATCACCTTGGGCACATGTTCTCAGGATCTCCTGAGGGCTGCGTCACGGGCCATGGTCACTCATATTTGGCTTAGAATAAACCTCTTCAAATATTTTACAGAGTTTTGCTCTTTTCATCGGCAGAAATTAATGAGAAACTAGCAATGCCTTTAATTGCCTGAGCTGGTTACTTGAGCAGACTGTCATCCACGCCTCCCTCCTCTGAAGCCCTACTTGCTGCCCCACTCTATTAGATTATCAATTTTAGATCAACTGCTGCAGGTGGTGCCTGGCTCTACTTGATGGGCTCCCCTCAGTTTGCCAAAGATTTATAAAAGCAGTGTTTTAAAGAATGGCGTTTACCCACTGAGCTAATTTTCCTCTCAGTTAGAATTCCATCATTCTTTAGCCTTAAGAGTAAAAAGTGAAAGGAGAATGGAATTAACTAGAGAACTGCCTATAGTTCTCTATGTGACTGTTGTGTTACCCTTCTCTAATAGAATAACTCTCTGCTCTTATGGTCAAGTTGGTGTCATCCAGAGATGAGATACAAGAATCCAGGGAAATTTTTTATCAATGATTGATTTTATGGGGCATTGATTTATAATAGTAACAATAATTTAAAACTATATATATGTATGTGTGTGTGTGTATATATATATATATATACAGATATATAGATATATATTTGAAACCCTAGGAAAGTTATATGGGCATAAAAATTTCATTTTGGAATCATTTGTCAATTTTGCCTTGAAGATTCAGAAGCCTTCTGGAATTTTCTGAACACAAATAATTAAACAGTATAATTTCCACACTATCTCTCTTTTTAAAAAGATGGGTGCTTAAATATACAGAAAACAACTTTATTATTGATTTTTAAATGTAATACAAAACACCTAACCAATGCACAGCATTGAAACAATTCATCAATTTATCTGGCATCCTTGATTGGAGAGTCCTTAACAAAATGCTAATTTAATTAAGCCTTAACTGTTTTTTTCTGACACCCTGATTAGAAAATGTTCAACTAATAATATAATCTTAAATACCAATAATGTTTTAAATTTTTACAAATTCGTGCAAGAACTCTTGATTCAAATTTGATTTCCTTTCTGTCTAAACCAATCTATGAGGTAACAATTTTACTTGTGTTTATCCTTGGTCATCTGAGGATGTAGCAGTAAAGAAACAGTAGTCAGAAGGTGTTTTTAGGAGAAGGAGGAGGAGGAAGAGGATGAGGCATGGGAGTAGGAATAGGATAAAGACTAGAGTAGTTTTGGAAAAAAGCATTTAAGAGAGACAGTTTTTTCAGCCCAGTTCCAAGACATTAGATGATGTTATTAGAACTTAAAAGGAAAAACGTTCTGCTTGCTGAAATGACATTTTGCATATAGGAAGTGTGTTACGTTGCTAGGGCTGCTCTAATAAAATACCACAGACCAGGTGGCTTAAACAACAGAAATTTATCTCACAGTTCTGGAGGCTGGACATCCAAGATGTAGGTGTCAGCAGGTTTGGTTACTTTCAAGGCCTCTCTTTTTGTCTTGTATCGATGAGCACCTTCTCACTGACCTCACATGCCCTTTTCTCTGTGCTAGTGTCTCCCTGGTGTCTTTTTCTCTTTTTATAAGGAAACCAGCCATACTGAATTAGGGTTTCACCCTAATGACCTTATTTTAACTTTAATGAGTAAAATCACAACCTCACAGATTGGTTTAGACTGAAAGAAAATCTAATTCGAATCAAGAGTTCCCATGCATGAATTTCATAAAATTTAAAATATTATTGGTATTTAATATTACACAGGTAGTTGAACGTTTTCTTTCTTTTTTTTTTTTTTTTGTTTGAGATGGAGTCTTGCTCTGCTGCCCAGGTTGGAGTGCACTGGTGCAATCTCGGCTCACTGCAACCTCTACCTCCCAGTGTCAAGTGATTCTCCTGCCTCAGCTTCCCGAGTAGCTGGAACTACAGACATGTGTCACAACGCCTGGCTAAGTTTTGAAATTTTTTTTTTTTAAAGTAGAGATGGGGTTTCACTGTATTGGCTGGGCTGGTCTCAAACTCCTGATGTCGTGATCCGCCCGCCTTGGCCTCCCAAAGAGCTGGGATTATAGCTGTGAGCCACCATCCCTGGCCTAGTAGTTGAATATTTTCTAATCAAGGTATAGGGAAAAAAACAGTTAAAGCTTAATTAAATTCGCATTTTGTTCACCACCTCTTTAAAGGCTTCATCACCAAATATAGTCGCATTCTGAGGTACTGGGGTTTAGAACTTCAACATACAAATTTTGAGGGACACAATTCCACCACTAACGGGTCAATTTCCCCTTCTTCTTCTTTCCTTTCCCCTTCCCCTTCCCCTTCTCTTCCTCCCTCCCTCCCTCCCTTCCCTCCTTTCTTCCTTTCTTTTCTTTCTCTCTTTTTCTCTCTTTCTCTTCCTCTCTTTCTCTTTCTCTCTCTCTTGTCGGGCAGCCTCCCAACAGGGGGATTTTAATAAATGTCTGCTGACTCTTGATGGGGCAAATCACTATCAGCTGTGCCTATTGGGCTGCTTTTTAACATTGCTGCTGAGCTGTTGGCTAGTGAAACATGTTAAGGTTCTTCTGGTCATCCGAAGATCCATGTGCCCCCTCCCTTATCAGTCCCTTACCCCGTCTGCACTGAATTATTACAATAGTATTATAACTGGTTATGCAGATTCATCTATGTCTCACCCTTCCATGAGAGCAGTCTGTCTAAAGCCTAGTTCTAACGAAAAAGCCCACAGTCCTTCACTAATTCAGGCAACACGTTTCTGCCATGTCTGCCTTGCCAGGAACTCCACTAGACATAAGAGATACAAGAGAGAGCAGTCAAAACTTTCATTTGCTCCCCCTTGCCTTCCAGATAAAGTCCAAATTCCTTTGTATAACATTTAGTATTTAGACCTTACCCACCTCCTCAAATGTCCCTATCCTGGAATTCACAAAGGGCTATTTTTCACCTCCTAAACATATTTTGCACATTAGAGCCAATATACCCTTTATGCTCTCTACTTTTCTATCTGTTCCCCTTCCTATAGAAAACCTACACATCCTTCCATTCCAGCTTTAGACCCTTGCCATTGCATATTGTAGTGAGACTTCATGGATGTATGGAATGAAGAAGGATAATTTAAATGTTTCTGAACTGAGTATCTGGGAAGAATGAGGAAGGAACCATTCAATAGAGACAGAGAAAGGTGAAAGACAAGTAGGATTTGTAAGGTTTGGGGCATTGAGTTAAGTTTTAGAAACTCCATGAGAACACATTGTTCTGATGTGTTTATTGTTGAATCTTCAGCATATAGAACAGTTTCTGCCACACAGTAGACACACAATACATATTTGGCTTAATGAGAGTATATGTGTGTAGTCCTTGGTAAGAAAATGATGCTACCTCAGTAGTCATGACCCCTTTATTTCAAAAGACACACAAATATAACAAAATTCCAGCACCACAAAAAATAACTTGACCCTTGAGGTTTATGATAATGGAAACTGAGCTTTAAATGTTAACACAGGTTAGAACTGAGGAAATTTATTACGGTGTTTTGGAAATTAAGAGGATCCTCCATAGGTGTTTTTGGGGTCAACTAATATATATTAATGTAAGAGTTTTGTCTAGAAATTTAGAAGCTCTAACTCTGCTACTGTTAATTGCTAGATTTGCAACTTTGGTTCAGTTATTAAAGTTATCTGTTTAAATTTCTATAAAATGTAGACAGATAATCTACCTATCTCATGGGATTATTATAAAAAATCAAATGAAATAATAAATATCAAAACATATTCAAAACTAAAAATATCATTGAGGTATTACATATAACCACACTGGCAATAACAGACATAGTTTTTTTGAGTAAACTGCTATGGACAACTTCAGGTAGGAAATAAATTGTTAAAAAGCACATTCATTGAGAACTTAGGAGAGATTGGTAGTTGGATAATTTCAAGATATGACTGATTATTTACTTTGGTTTTTTGATTTTTGTGCTGTTGTTAGAAATGTAAATTTTTTTATTTTTTTTCTTTGAGACGGAGTCTTGCTCTGTCACCCAGGCTGGAGTGCAGTGGCGCGATCTCGGCTCACTGCAAGCTCCGCCTCCCGGGTTCACGCCATTCTCCTTCCTCAGTCACCGGAGTAGCTGGGACTACAGGCGCCCGCATGATATCAAATTTTCTTGAACAACTGAACTATTATTAATCGTCAAGTTTTTTTTAGCTAATTCCTTATGGACATTTAATCATAACAACCTATTCTGATAAAAGAGATTCCTGATCCAGAATACTGCACATTATTGTAATGTCCCTGTGTACCAACTTGAGGTATTAATCTAATTAACCAAATTTCATGTACCTGTCCTCCTATCTCTATTGCAGAGCCTGTCATCATTCTTTTTTTTTTTTTTTTTTTGAGACAGAGTCTCGCTCTGTGGCCCAGGCTAGAGTGCAATGGCGCCATCTCGGCTCACTGCAACTTCCGCCTGCTGGGTTCAAGCGATTCTCCTGCCTCAGCCTCCTGAGTAGCTGCGATTACAGGTGCACACCGCCATGCCCAGCTAATTTTTGTATTTTCACTAGAGGCAGGGCTTCAACATGTTGGTCAGGCTGGTCTCGAACTCCTGACCTCGTGATCCGCCTGCCTCAGCCTCCCAAAGTGGGATTACAGGCGTGAACCACCGCACCCGGCCTCGTCAGTCTTTTTGAAAGTCTAATAGCTTAAATACTAACGATTGCCATTACACACATCTTAAACTATTAACTATGCTGAAAATTCATTTGGATTTGTTTCTTTATGTCTTGAAGCCATCCTGTAATACCCACTTATTGTAAAGCTGGTTAAAATTCCTCTAAAATAGATGGAATAAAATTCATATTGAGCAAGCTTTAATATGCCATTTTCAAAAGAGAACAGGTCAGGCATTATTTTGCAACAGAGACCAGGTTCTAGTGACATCTACTCAGTGATGTTTCCCCTGATATCCCTGTTACTGTGCAGAGTTGACCATAGTTGTAATAGCTGTTATTTGTAGAACTCGATATAGAGTTGCATGGCTTGGGCACACTACTTATGCTGCTAAGGCTCAGTTTCCTCACAGACAGAGCAAGGATAATAATAGTACTTGTCTCATTTAGTTCTTTGAGAGGTTAAATGACATAATTCATGAAAAGTGCTTTATTTACTCAGTGCTCATTGTTTAGTAAATAGCTTGTAAATATTACTTATTGTTATTATTGAGCATAACAACTTTAACCACAGTAAACTGTGACAATTGGCAAATGGAAACAACCTCATGTCCTCCAATAGGGATTGGTCAAATTCATTATGGTAACTTTAGATGATAGAAGGATTATGCAGCCATTACATAATCTGTTACAGAGGAATAAATATCGACCTCTGAATATGCTCTAGATCTGCTAAGCTAAAAAGTAGGCTACAAACGGTTTGCTTATTGAATAGACTAGAAAATCATATATGAAATTGTTACTGGTGGTTGCCTTTGGAATGCAGGAGTTTTTAATTTTTTTGTTATTTTACTTTCGTGTTTTTCTGCTTTCTTCACTGTTTTCCATAGAGTGTTATTTCATAGAGCATATTAGAGTGGGTGATGTTATATGCAAGAAATGTATGGCCCTTGTCACTCAGTGCACCACGCTTCCCATCATTAGATATCCAGTTAATGATGAAAATGGCTATGCATATCTCTCTTGCCCATGACCCCAGCATCTTGAGATTTTATAACACACACAACTGTCGACTGCATTGCTTATGTAAGGCCACACAGAGAACAGACTATCATCCCCCAAAGCACCCAGTGAATGCTTCCATTAGGGAGCTTGGAGCCCACTATGAGAGAAACAGTCATGCTCACATGTTCCCCTTAGTCATTTCTGCTGTTTGGGACACATTACTTTGGACACATTAAGACCTACCTATCCCAACCTTATTTTTTTATGCCTGCCTGCACTATAAAGATTGAAAAAAGTTAATACTCACTTCCCTGTCTTCTTTCTATTCAGGACTGGTGAGGTGATACAATGAGACACTTACCAATGTCTATTTCATTTTTTTTCATGGATGGGTGAAGGCTTATGCTTTTGTGATGACAGTCATGACTAGTACATCCTTCTCTCTTACTTGTCTAGAGAGTAGGTGCAATTGAGCCACTGCATTTATCTTACAGCCTTAAGGGAAAGGCCAAAAGATTCCCACAGCTGCCAGCACCGATATCACTGAGCCGCTAAATCAATGTGAACAAAAACTTCTTATTTCTAGTCTTCTCATTAAGTGAGGAAAATAAATTTCTATAGGTTTAAGCAGCCACTGGGCAGTTTTTCGATCACTGTAACCCCAAAATATTCTTAATAGATACATTTTTCTTAATACCACTGGGATCCAGACCTGATGCGTATCTTTTTCGAATGTTTTGCTATAATAATGATTTTCTTCATTCTAAATTAGCTTGGATTTCTCCTACTGGCTCACCTCACTTTAGAGTAGTAAATCTAGCACTCAAAAGACTTATTTTTTTTTTAAAGAGGGAAGGAATTTTTGTGTGTGATTATTTGTGTGTCTGTATGTGTGTGTGTGTGTGTGTATCTGTTACTTGAAGGGGAGGAAGCTTTTAATAATAATGTACACCTTTGTCAACAGTACATGGCCAAGTACAATTACGCCCTCTCAAGCATCATTACCCAACAGATCTATCACACTGTGCCTAGTTCACTTTTTCCTTTGTCTTCTGCCTAGCCTCCTTCAACACCACTCCAGGATGAGGAAAGTGAAACATGGGGCTGAACATGACAAGAATAGTGATCATAATCTATGTTTCAAAGAAGAAATGAAGCAGAACGAGCCTAACGGAAATTTCAGAGAAAGCTTTTAGTTCTTTTTCCCTTTCGTAAATTCTAACATCTCCCTGGTCCTTTTGTCCAGGAGTTCAGTACTTTCACGGCAGCCTCTGATTCACTGAAATGTACAATGTCTTACCAAGGTTATCCATCCCCATGTTAAACTCTGTTCCAACATAATTATCTCCAATAAAACTTCCCTCTTCTTAGTGTTTGTAAAGCAATCTGATGGCATTGCACTGAAGATATAGTTATGCTTGGTTTTGCCTAGATCCTCTAGCCCCGTTATGCCCCTTTGAGTGTGACACAGCTCCTAGAGGCAGTCTTTGGACCTGGTTATTAACGGAAGCTTTTCCTCCTCCTTTAACATAAGAACTTCATTTTTTATCCCCACATATTAAAAAAAGGGATATCTTCACCTTTAATAATCTGGGAAACTCACATTGAAGATTTTTACCCAAAAAGAGAAAAAATAGACTCCAGTGGAATGGATATTTCTAACATAAGAGAAACCATAATCAGACAGATTATGAGAAAAGTGAAACAAATCTAGTTTGTTTTAGCTGAATTGTCTGTTTCTTACAGGGCTATCCTTTCTTCTTACTAAACAAGGAAATAACTTGCCTGACTCTGACAATTACAAATTACTCTTGTTTGTAGAAATGACCTTATTTTATATGACCAACATTACAATGTAGCAAGATGACCATTATGAATATTATTCAATAAGTGCCCAGTTTACTGTCGTGTAAACTGTGTTTGCTTACAGCATTTACTTCCTCCATAGTGTTCAGTTTTCATGGTTCATTATTTAAGAACCATGCTTACAAATTTTATATAACAGAAGGAACCCTAATAAAGTGTGAGTAGAAATAGATTGGCTTTACTGTACCATGTCTAGTGGCTTGAGATGGGTTAAATTAATTTTCAAAGATTATATACAAAGGAGAAAAGGGTGGGTAAATTTCTGGTAATAGTTTTTGCAACTTTAATATTTTCTGATCCCATTATTCATTTTAAAAGATGAGTGCAGTAAGGCTAAATTGCATTGTTCTACCGTCTTCCTGACATCTTGATGACCTAGGTTGGCAGGGATTAACTGGGGGTTTACTCCCCAGGCTATTCCTTTTCGCTGTTATAAATAAGTCAGTGTAGAAATGGCCTTCACTCATTGGATTCACACTCTATTTTAAACCCAGAAAATACATTCTAACATTTTTTATTCCAAGTAATTTATAAACAAGTTTACAAGTCCGTCAAACAGATTTTTGAATGACTCTATTATCCCTCAGGTTGCAGAAACCAGAAAACTTGGAATCATTATAGAGGAATTTTTGCCTTCAAATAATTGTCCATGTGGATACCACACTGAAATTTCTGAAGCAATAATCTGATCACTTTTTAATCCAGCTCACAGTGCATCAATGCTTCCTCAGTACAACTATGCTTAGTGATAAGGTCCTCTCTAATTTCGCCCCTTGTTTACTTTGCAATTCTCATTTTTTGCCATATACTTCCCCAAAGTAAGGCCTTCATAATCTTGCACTAGTATGGTTACAAGAAGGCAAATTATTTTACATTTCTGGGGCTCTGACTAGAATTACTCCTCTGCTTATCCTTCAGGTTAAGTTCTATTAACAGATATGTTTTTAAAACTCAGATTTATCCAGATTAAAAAGGAAGAAGCAAAATTATCTCCATTTGCAAATGACATGATCTTGTATGTAGAAAATCCTGAGAGCCACACACACAAAAAATTAGAGATAAAAAATGAATTCAGCAAGTTTTAGGATACAAGATCAATATGCAAAAATAAATTCATTTCTATGTGCTTGCAATGAATAATTCAAAAATGAAACCTAAAGAAATTCATTTATAGGCTGGGTGCAGTGGCTCACACCTGTAACATAACAACTAGGTTTTTTATATATAACAACTAAAGCGTAAGTAAGCAAGCAACCAAACAAACAAATAAATTGAACATCGAAAAAATTTAAAACTTCTGTGCTTCAAAGGACACTATCAAGAAAGTGAAAAGACAACCCACAGGATGGGAGAATATTTTTGCAAATCATATGTCTGGTAGGAATTTAGTATCCAAAATACATAGAAAACTGTTACATCTCAACAATAAAAAGACAAACAACCTAATTTTAAAAATAGAAAGAAATTTGAATAGGTTTATCCAAAGAAGATATGCAAATGCCCAATAAGCACCTGTAAGGATGCTCAAAATCATTAGTCATTAGGAAAATTGAAATCAAAATCACAAGAGACCATTTTATACTCATGGGTAAGGCTATAATAAAAAAGGAGGACAATTATTTGTGTGGGTAAAGATGTGAAGATATTAGAACTCTCATTACTGCTGGTGAGAATGGAAAATGGTGCGGCCTTTTTTGAAAACATTTTGGAAGTTACTAAAAATGTTAAACATAGAGTTACCATATGACCCTGACATTTCAATCCTAGGTATATCCTGAAGAACAGTGAAAATATATGTTCCCACCAAAACTTGTACACAAATGTTCACAGCAGCATTATTCACAGTAGCCAAAAGGTGGAAACAACCACAATGTCCATTAACTGATAAATGAATAAACAAAAGGTGGTTTTTTTCAGCCAAAAAAAGAATGAATAGTGATATGTGCTACCACAGAGGTGGATCTTAAAAACAATGTACCAAAAAAATAAAAAATAAAATAAAATAAAAAAGAAGTCCGACTCAAAATGCCACACATTTTAGAATTCCATTTATATGAAGTGTCCAGGTTAGGAAAATCCATAAAGATAGAAAGCTGATGAATGTTAGCCAGGAACTGAGAGAAAGAGGGAATAGCAAGTAACTGCTAATGGGAATGGGGTTTCTTTTGGGGTGATAAAAATGTTCTAGAATTAGCTAGTGGTAATGATTGCATAACCTTGTGAATATACTAAAAACCACTGGATTGTATATTTTAAAATAGTAAAATTTATGTTATGTGAATTATATCTCAATTTAAAAATAAATTCAGCTTATCTATTAGGTTCTCTAGGCAAAACTTCCTTACTTCTAAGGCTACTCCCAGCACTCCTTCTCCAATTACACTACTGCAGCTCATAGTTCTAGGCGATTTAGTGTAGTGGTTAAGCAGCTGGACAGAATGAATGTCTTTCTTAAAATTCCTCTGTAGCTGACCAATTGTGAGCAAATTATTTAATTGCACTGGGCCTCAACTTCCTCATCTGTAAATGGGATAATAATATACCTCACTCATAGGGTTGTTTTGAAAATTATCTGAATCAGTATTGCAAAGCACTTGAAACAGTACCAGGCATGGCCAGGCGCGGTGGCTCATGCCTGTAATCCCAGCACTTTGGGAGGCCAAGGTGGGCGGATCACCTGAGGTCAGGAGTTCAAGACCAGCCTGGCTACCATGGTGAAACCCTGTTTCTACTAAAAATACAAAAAATTAGCCAGGTGTGGTGGTGGGTGCCTGTAATCCCAGCTACTGGGGAGGCTGAGGCAGGAGAATCGCTTGAACCCGGGAGGAGGAGGTTGCAGTCAGCCAAGATTGCACCATTGCACTCCAGCTTGGGCAATAAGAGCGAAACTCTGTCTCAAAAAGAAAAAAAAAAGAAAAGAAACAGTACCAGGCATTCAATAAGTACTTAATAAATGTGCTATTACCATTAAAGCAATTGTTTTATCTATTATTATGATCGCTATAAACATTCCCCTAAAATTCATATGTTAAAACCCTAACCCCAAGGTGATGGTATTAGGAGGTAGGGACTTTGGTAGGTGATTAGGTCATGAGGATGGAGTCCTCATAAATGCAATGAGTGCTCTCATAAAAGAGACCCCGGAGAGCTCCCGCATCCCTTTTGCATGTGAAAATGCATCAAGAAAATGGCCCTCACCAGACACCAAATCTACCAGTTCCTTAATTTGGGACTTCCCAGCTTTCAGAACTGTGGGAAATAAATTTCTGTTGTTTATAAGCCACTCAGTTTATGATATTTTATTATATAGCTGCCCACACTAAAATAATTATAATTATTATTTGGTATGTCTCTCCAGCATTGTACCCTACTGTCTATCACTATAGGCACTTAGAGATGTGTTGTTTTTGAATGGCTGGTCCCAGGGTCTAATTGAAGTCACTCGTGCCTCTTCAGGCTCAGCAACTCAACTATAGTCTGGTAATGATATCTTTGGCCAAACAGTATAGAAATAAACAACATGGTGGGTTCAGATCTTACCAACGATCCGAACCCTAATTAGTTGAAAACATACCAAGAATGTTGCAATCTGCTTCTTCTAAAATACATTTGCTCCAATGACCACAGAAAGAAAGAAACCTGCCTTTGCACTAGGGTCTTTGGAAATTAATAGAAAGTTCTGAGAGACAGTAGTTCTGTGAAAAGGCTTAGATTTTTTGGATGCCTGAAAGAATGCTTACACAACCTTGCAGTAAGAGAGTCTAAGAAGAAAAACAAGTTCTATCATTGCTTGTGTTCCCTATCCTGAAGTTTTCTCTCTCCAAATGACTGTTTTACTCATCAGTTTATAATCTTCTAGCATGACATATATTTTTCAAAGCGCCAACAAACGCTATTTATTCTCTACATGAACATTTCTCTTACGTACTCCAGGAAATAAAATATTATACTCAAATGAGTTCAGCTTCTTGTCCTATATGCCAGCCCTGGCAACTGAGCTGTAAGCAATACTTTTTGAAGTTCACCCTCACATCTACTCAGCAGGAGTGCAAAGCAAGATGAGAAAGTGGCTCATTACTTTTTTTGAGGGAGGATGAGTTCCAGCAAAAAAATTAAAACCACAAAATATTTTCCTTGGGTGACATATACTCAGACTCAGCAAAAGTAACTAAAAGATAATTTTTTGGATATGTGTAGCTTTACAAGCAATCTATTAAAATATTTTGATTAATACAACATATTAATTTTGTTCTGCAAAATAAAGAAAATGCCTATAGAGTCACCAGGTTTTTCTATAACAATAATCTACTAATGTTAGCTTCAAGCCACTCTAGGACATACTGAATTTTCTTCTTTCTTCAATCAAGGGTTTGATGTTGTCTAATGTGAAACAAGGAAGAAAATACATACACCTTATATGTATATATATAGGTATATATACACACATAATAAATAAAGCAATAGTATTTGATCTACTAGTCAGTGAAGAAATGTTTTATGATTATAGATACAATATTTGGAATATTTGACAACATCACTCTAATTTTATCTTCTTTACACAGAAAAATGATAAAGAGCTTTCCCTCAGTTTAACATTGCAAGCAATCAATGAGATTAAATGTTGCTTTAATGCCAGAAAACAAAAACAAACAAACAAAAAAGACCTTGGGGCACATTGGAGTTGAAAGGTCTTTTCAAACTGCATTCTTACACTCTCCCATTTTTCATTCTTTTCCCATATGGCTGGAAAAGGGGAATAAATTTTATGATGCCCCAAAATGCATATTTTTGAGTTTATTCCTGAAGCAGACAGCTTCAGAGAAAAAAAAATGAATTAGTTCAATTTTCCATGTTCCTCTACCTCCTACAGTCCTTCAAGTTACTTTGTGGTCATACCACAATCAGCTCTGTCCACCTTCACTCACAATCTCCTCTCTTATAAAATGACCCCTAACTCTCTCAGGTTCTCTCTATGATTTCTGCCCCAAAGAGCTCTCTTCTCTGACCTCCACCCACATTTCCTGCCCACGTAACCTCAGAGTGGCTTTTTAGAAGTGTTTACCTCTTTGCAGTTGTTATGGTGCACTTGCCTCATCCTGTAAAATTGTGGTGATGTGGCCTATTTTTCTCATGAGATTTTCAGTAGCTTTATGCACTAATAGAAAATATATGTGTGGTTTCTGTGTGCAATCTAGGAGAAAAAATAGTACCATTATGAAGTAGAGGAGTGAAACAGTGGGAAGGGGAAATGAATTTTCCACGAACACATGAGGTTCAAGAGATTTTAGAAGTTCATTTTAATTGGTAGCCCTTAGCATCCACTCAAAAAATCAGAAATAATAATACTTATAATCACAGCACATTCTGGATGGATGTAGCTTCTGTTAGCTAAACAGAAATCTAGTTTAAAATTGCAAAAATCTTTTTCCCTCCCCCGGGCAGTTTTGCTCACAGAAAGCTTGGCTGTTCAGCTATCAAAGCCATTTGTTTTCAGTCTTAACTCTTTTGCAGCAACAGTTAAGCCAAACCCATAATGGAGGAACATTTTTCTAATAACCTGTGATATGATTAGCTTCTCCAAAGTCCTAAACTAAACTATTTTAGCTTAATCCCAGTTAACTTAATTGTGGTCACACTCATTTTATTTTTCCTTACCTCCCCTCCTGTCCTTTCCCTTTCATATTTTTTCCTTTTTTGGTTCTTCCACCATTGACCATCTTATGTTTATATATATATATATATATATATATATATATATATATATATATATATATATATATATATATATATAAAATTGAGATGGGGTCTCGCTCTGTTGCCAGGCTGGAGTGCGGTGGCACAATCTCGGCTCACTGCAACCTCTGACTCCCTGGTTCAAGCTATTCTCCTGCCTCAGCCTCCCAAGTAGCTGGGATTACAGGCACCCACCACCACGCCCAGCTAATTTTTGTATTTTTAGTAGAAAGGAAGTTTCCCCATGTTGGTCAGGATAGTCCTGAACTTGTTATCCACCTACCTCGGCCTCCCAAAGTGCTGGGATTACAGGCATGAACCACCCGCCCCGGCCATGATTTATATTTTTTGAATGACTCTTACTTCAACTCTTTTCCCGACAGGGGTCACACATGTAGTTATTTAAATTTCTCTGTTTTATGAAATGTCTGTCAAGCACCTCCATGCTAAACTGCTTCACCCTAAAATGGGATAGCGAGCAAGACCAGACGTGGTCCTGCCCTCAGGAAGCTTATGGCCTAGCAAAAGTGGGTACCTCATTCACATTAATCATTCCATAACCTCAAATGAGACAATGTCCTGAACGAAAATAAATAAGATTTTTGAGAAAAAATTTTTTTTAAAATGTGCCAGGACTGAGACACTGAAAAAAAGATTGAAAGCACAGTCTAAGCTGACATCTCAGGGCTGAGTAGGTTACTCTTGAGAAACAAATCTGGCCAGGTGTGGTGGCTCATGCCTGTAATCCCAGCACTTTGGGAGGCAGAGGCTGCAATGCCTGTATCAGGAGGCAGAGATAAAGTGTGATTCTTCTGTGAAAGCCTCTTCTAGTCAGCTAGCGAACACATTTGAGTAAAACCCAATAACGACAGGTATGTGGAAGAGATCGCCATGTTGCAGACCTTTTGTTTTAACGTGTCCAACTTGGCCTTCCTCAGGATTGGAGCTAATTTTCACATGACACAGCTCTAACCTTTTGCAGGTAAGACCTTTTCATTTGATTTTTCCTCCTTTCCAAGAAAAGTTTTGAGCGTTATTAAAGGCCAAAGTACTGAAACTCTTCTGGTGGAATTTTTCTTCTTTGTGAATTACTTACAGTGGGACGAATGATTCAAAACCAATACATTGCAGAGTTGGACGGAATGTGAAACAAGCTCATCTCTGCTGTTTCCTCCAGACAGGGCTACTCTGCTAAACCGTCAAGCAGATGAGGTGTTAATCTTACAGAGCTTTCTCTGTAAAATGTTCTAGGGCCTCACAACCTCTCCACTGGGAAGCTGTTCAACATCTTACTCCTGTTTTGCACTCTAGGTCCATATTCCTCTTTATTTTAAGTATAGATGAAGAACTCTTCACATACTTGATAATAATTGGTTTCTCTGATATTAAAAGAAGTCATGGGTACTAGATACAGGAGCAGATCCAAGTCTAGATGGTGTGGATTAATGTCAAACCAGGCATATCTTTTTTCTCTTTTAATACTTTTATGGGCTTTTCATTTTATTTCCTCTGAGAAGATGAAGAGTACTCCATAATCACAGGAACTCTCCATGGTTCTCCTTGCTCTCTCAACACATAATTAAGAAATTCCTACTGGATTCCAGATGCCGTACTAGGAACTGGAATTCGGCAGTGAACAAGACAACCATGTTTCCTATCTTCCTGGAGCCTGCAGCAAGAGTGGTCTCACCCTGCCCTCTTCTCCTTTCCTCTCCTCCCTGTGTAATACATCATGGGTTTAGAAATGGAGGAGGTGGTCTATTACCCAGGAATGCACTTTACATCAAAATCAGGGCCTGTATAACTGAGTCCAGACTCAATCCAAATATCCACAAGGGAAGTCTAGAGAGTTAGGAAAACCAAATCTGTGAGCAAAAATGTCAATGGCAAGTAGGCCAACTGTAAGTAAGATATAATCTGGGCACAGGTGTTGCAGACTAAAGCTCCCTTTTGCTAAGGTGCTAACATACCAAAGGGGCCTTTAGGCAAGGCATCCAGGTATAAAGGCCCAATGGTAAGAATAACCTATTTTCTTTTCTTGTTTTTTACATAAAATGATACAGAAAGTTAGAGTGATTAGGATTATTAGCAGGGCTGATGTGAGAGGAAAAGATTATAATAGTTATAACAGCAACAGGTATATCATGTTTTACAACTTGACATGCCTTATTCAGTGTGTTTCAGTGAAAAGGGGTCAGGCAGACCTGAGTTTCAATCTAGTAGACATTAGCCCTTGGAGAGCAGAGGCTCTCATGTTCTCATTTGCATTCCAGGCTCCTATTATTGAACCAGGAGCACTGAAAGGTATTCCACGAATGTGTGTGGATGATGGATGAGTCCTTGCTCGGCTGCCTTTGGGCAGTTTGTTAGTAGAAGAGTCCTTTCTCTCTTCTTACTCTCATTTTTTCCACATTAAAAAAAAAAGATAGATCGGGCGCGGTGGCTCATGCCTGTAATCCCAGCACTTCGGGAGGCCGAGGCGGGCAGATCCCAAGGTCAGGATATCAAGACCATCCTGGCTAACATGGTGAAACCCCATCTCTACTAAAAATACAAAAAATTAGCTGGGCGTGGTGGCGGGCACCTGTAGTCCCAGCAACTCAGGAGGCTGAGGCAGGAGAATGGCGTGAACACGGGAGGCGGAGCTTGCCCTGAGCGGAGATGGCACCACTGCACTCCAGCCTGGGCAACAGAGTGAGACTCCGTCTCAAAAAAAAAAAAAAAAAAAAAGATAAATATGTATGTTTTAATATTGTTTGGCGGGGGGGAGTCAAATGAGAAAGCAGCTGGTACATGGAAGGTGCTCAATAAATGTATTTCTTTAAAGCTTTATTATTATCTCTGAATCCATTTACTTACCATCAAACTTTAGTGGAACTGGCCTCAGAAACCCAATTTCTGGCTAACACATAACCCTACATTGGTAATTAGAATCCTCTTCTCTTTCTGGGTCTTGCTTTGAAGTCTGAAGAGGACCTGCTCGCTACTTATTTTGACTATGGTAATGTTTATTGAATGGCTCTAGGCCATTTGAAATGAGACAAGTATAAAAAATTTAAATTACAGTATTATTACACCATTCTTAAGTAATTAAATTATTTCAGAATGTAATTTTCATATATTGAAATTTATAATATCAAATTATATGCAATTAGACGCAATTTCTAAGAGATATGAGGGAGAAATCTATTTAAATTTTCTATTTTGCCAAAGTTACTCAGTTTTAAAACCATTCATTTCACGTGATTCTTTAATTCTTGTAGGCTAAATGACTCACTGAACAATTCCTGGACAGCCCTGCCGATATGGACTAGGAAAAAATTAATTGTCCTTGTATATCTGTGCTAAGATTTTGAAATGATTAAAATTTGTATAATAACATTAATAATCATTGTAAAGTACAGTACTTCTCATCTTGAAAGGCTTTCATTTCCATCTTTATGCAACCCAGACACATTATGAACATTCTGCAAGGAGAGGATAACAGCACAGGCTCACAATCATGAAAAGGAATATTGTGGAACCATATGAAATTTAAGGTAACTGGGGCAAAAGATACACAGTGGGGAGAGGCAGGGTTGCAGACTGGACTTTTGTCTAGTCATGTTTTTATGAGACATGCACAGTACATGGAGAAGCCAAGTGATCCCTGTGGACGATGGAGAGTGAGTGAGAATGACAATGATCCACTTGCATTTTAAAAAAGATAAGCTTGGGGCCGGGCACGGTGGCTCACGCCTGTAATCCCAGCACTTTGGGAGGCCGAGGCGGGTGGATCACAAGGTCAGGAGTTCGAGACCAGCCTGGCCAATATGATGAAACCCTGTCTTTACTAAAAATACAAAGTAAGCCAGGTGTGGTGGTGCATTCCTGTAATCTCAGCTACTCGGGAGGCTGAGGCAGGAGAATTGCTTGAACCCGGGAGGTGGAGTTTGCAGTGAGCCAAGTCACGCCACTGCACTCAAGCCTGGCCACAGAGTGAGACTTCATCTCAAAAACAAAAATAAAATAAATAAAAAAGATAAGCTTTGCCACAGGATAGAGGAGGAATTTGAGTCAAAAAGAACTGGAAACAGGAATACTAGAGAAGGGGTTGTTTCTACAGTCCAGTTAAGAGGTGATGAAGAACTAAACAAGAAAATGTACTGGTGATGGGAAAAATAGTAAGACACCTGACTCAAGAGGTGTTCCCGAGGCAAAACTGACAGGATTGGAGATAGAGAATTCTAAGTTGACGCCAATGTTTAAAAGCTTGTAATATAGGGCTGATGAGGATGCAGTGAGAGCGTGGAGGATGAGATGTAGGTTACTTTGGCCGCCATTTGCAATTTTTGAATCAAAAGAGATCCACCATGGATTATTGATGAGAACTGTTAATATGTGTTTAAAATTTCACAGTACTTTCAGATATATTTTCTGGTTAGAGCCATACAATAACTCTGTAAAATAGGTAGATATGCAGATAAGAGAAGTCAAGTCAGTTGAGTAAGGTCACATGGGATTAATTGTCAGATTATTTGTTTATTATGTCATGTTACTTTTTATTAAACAAAATCAGTGAAATAAAGCTATAGGTAGGAATAAAGCTATTTCACATTTGAACATTTATGAAATATCTGCTGTGGATGCTTAATATCCATTATTTAATTTAAAAAATAGAATTGCAGAATTTAAATTATGGAAAACTGTGATTGCAAATAAATTCAATGCTAATGAATAATATCCTTTTGTGTGTGTATGGTTCTGCATAGAACATTTTATCCTTTTGAAATAAAAGCAATAATGAATAAGCTTTGTTGAATTGCTAAAAACAACTATTAATAAGTCTATGTGGGTGATGTTAACAAGTTGAATATTAATGAAGACTATCTCTATTATATTTGTCATGAGGCCATTGTCTTTACAGTATGCTAGATTTATGACATCCATAACTATAATAGTTAAACTTAAGATGAAAACATTTTTTATCTCAATTAAAAATATGCAAATACATACATAATTGCTCAAACTCATTTCAGATGATGTGAGCAAAAATAAATGGCAAAAGAAGCATCAGTTAAATAACAGTAGACTTGAATGCAGGAGACCCATATTCCAAGCCCAGCTTTGTGACTGTTACCAGTTTTAGGACCTTGGTTACTGTGATGGTTAACTTTATATGTCAACTTGACTGGCCTAAGAGATGCTCAGATGGCTAGTCAAATGTTCCTTCTGGGTATATCTGTGAGGGTGTTAACTGGAAGAGATTAGTATTTCTATCAGTAGACTGAGTAAAGAAGATCACCCTCACTAATGTGAGTGGGCATCATCCAGTCCATTGAGGGCCTCAATAGAACAAAAAGGTAGAGGAAAGGCAAATTATTTCTTTCTTTGGAGCTGTGATATCCATCTTCTCCTGCTCCCAGACATTGTAGCGTCTGGTTCGTGGGCCTTCAGACTAGGAGTGATTACACTACTGGCTATCCTGGTTTGCCAGCTTGCAGATGGCAAATGGTGGGACTTCTAGACCTCATAATAGTGTGACTGTCTGTCTGTCTGTCTGTCTGTCTGTCTGTCTATCTATCTATCTATCTATCTATCTATCTATCTATCTCCTATTGGTTCTATTTCTCTGGAGAACCCTGACTAATACAGTAAATAAATTTACTTCATGTCTCTGAACTTCAGTTTCTTTATCTGAAAAATTAGAGCATGAAAATAAATAAAGAAAAGTTCTTAGAGACTATAATGTACTCAAGTATAAAATATGGAATAGCCAACCAAGAAAACTATTTGGAAATATTTCTTGCAAGATGCCTACAGCCTAAGATGTAGAATTCTTCAAATGCATTAAATGCTTTTAAAAATATTGTTTATAGAATTTATTTTTCAAGTTATGTTCTTCTGGTGTACAAAATATCCCCTCCACTGTCTCTAAAAACCTTATAAAAATACAGTTTTTTACAGTTTATAGTTAAACATGTGAGTACGTGTGTGTGTGTGCGTGTGTGTGAGACAACAGTGTAAAAAAGATGGATTTTTCTCTTTGGATTATGAACTTCCTCAGTAGATAATTTCAAAGGGAGTGATTTGTCAAAAGACTCCAGCAGTGTCACCAAAATCAGAAAATAGTTCTTTAAGGTCATCATATTAAAGGCCAAGAATCATTTACATGTAGAAATCCTGCTGAGTTTGCTAAAAGTTTGTCTTTGTTTCACAGTCACAAGTTGTATTTCTATTCTTCCATTTTCTTGCAAGAGAAAACACTTTAAGTCACACCTGGCACTGAGCTAACACCATAAGCAGGCTAGCTACATGATGATATTTGAAACAAATTTAAAATTCACTTAATGAACTCAATTATTGTGTCAGCTTATAAATTTTCACACCATTCCTAACATTTTCTTGTCATTTTTTTCTGTCTTGAGAATGAGGTATCTGCAGTGGATACTGAATCATCAATATCTTCTGCATGGAACTGTATCTAGTTTCTTCATTGTACTCACCTATATAGATGCAACACAGAAAAAGCTCATTGATACATAGTTCATAATTTGTAATAGTGACTCTAAGATAGCTTTAGTGTGGGACAGTCTCAGAATAATATTTTGAATGAAGCAAAAGATTATATACTAGAGAACCACCAATGTATGAGTTAGGACTGGTTTCCACCTTTCCATGGACTATGGTGACTTAAGCAAACATGCACTTATTTCTACAAAACAATAAGTTCAGAAGTACGTGGTCCGATTTAAGCCTTCTTGTTTGTCATGTTAAACTGTGACTTATTTTCTCATGCTCAAAAATGGCTACTGTATCTTTAGGGGAAGAAAAGAGAATGGAAAGAAGCAGTGTCTGACCCACTCCACTTTAACATTGCATTAAAATTTTTTTTTTCAAAGTTCAATGGACTCCAGTTACACTCTAATATATTCAGTATATGTGTGGTGGCTTGTCATGTACTCAATTACATGTCATATACCCAAGATCAAAGACTTACTCCATATTCTTCATTGTTTAGCTCCTATCCCATACAGAGAGTACCACATATGATTTATTTTTTTCTCATTTTAGATTTGAAGTCATTCTGACTCAGGGATATATTAAAATGACTGATACATCCTAATTAATTTTGAGTATGTGTGGCTTGAATTATTGGGACATTGAATGCTAACCACTTGATAAACAGTCTTGAAGCTTTTGCACTTGGAGCCAAATTACTTTGATCTGATTGAGAGCATGAAACAGTCCATATTAGGTTTTATTATTTCTAGGCCATTGCTTCAGTGTGAGAAATCCACATATCATTCTCACTACCAGAAGCTCCATGTATCAGTAATGCCAAGAATGGAAATCCTCTCAATGGTGGTACCAAGCCTAAGCACGATCTTTGTGTCAGATGAACTTTGAGATGCTCATGATTTCTTCCAAATAATAGTGTACATGTTTATGTAGTCAGAGAATCCTCCAGTTTCATTCCCCTTTATATATTTTTAATAGAGTCTATTTCAATATATTGCAATATAAAAGTTTTCTCTTTTCTTTCTTTTTAACCTATATCCTACAATCTAGCACAAGCCCGGAACATAGTCAAAAATAAATGTTGAATGAACGAATGACTTTGCGCCAGTTTCTAAGCCTCTGTAAACTATAATGTCCTCATTAGTAAGCATATATGTCAAAATGCTTAGCAATCTGGGGTAATAAAATGCATTAACTTGGAATCAGTTTGCGTCCCAGATCCACAATTTATCATCTTTTAGAAACTTCAAAATTAACTTTTAAATTAATACATGCATTCATTCATTAATTTAACTCCATCGACTGCTCTAAACACTGGAAACACATAAGTGGAAAAAATGTTTTCTAGTAGCTCATAGTTCAGTGTAAGAGACAGAGACCAGTGCATGATAAATGCTCTATTTCTTTACCTTCAGGTGGGTTAGTAATGCCTGCTTCCCAGATTTGTATGGACTCAGTACACAGGAATCCATGCCTACTCTGCCTTAAAATATGCAAAAAAGCACTTTTGAAATGTTAAAATGATTTGCTAAATTATTTTAACAACTTTTTTGAAATGTGAAAATGGTCTGAATCACTATTTTCTCATAAAACAGGGCTAGTACCATGCTTGTTGCATAAGAGAGAGGCTAATTCATTATATGCAAAGGTTACCTGTGTTGGGAGTCCCACATACCCGCTCGGTGAGGGTATTTGGATGAGGATTCACAAGTCATATCCATGACTATTGGCTATTTGAATCAGAGCAACTCCATCCTAAATAGGAACTGGGTAAAAATAAGGCTGAAACCTACTGGGCTTCATTCCCAGATGGTTAGGGCATTTGAAGTCACTAGATAAGACAGGAGGTCAGCACAAGATACAGGTCGTAAAGAACTTGCTCATCAAACAGGTTGCAGTAAAGAAGCCAGCTAAAACCTACCAAAACCAAGATGGCGATGAGAATGACCAAATGCCATGACGACATCAGGAAGTTGCCCTATGTTCTAAAAACAAGAAGCATGAATAATCCACCTCTTGTTTAGCATATAATCAAGAAATAACCATAAAAATGGGAAACCGGCAGCCCTCAGGGGCTGCTCTGTCTATAGAGTAGCGATTCTTTTATTTCTCTACTTTCCTAGTGAACTTGCTTTCACATTACTCTATGGACTTGCCCTGAATTCTTTCTTGGGCAACATCCAAGAACCCTCTCTTGGGGTCTGGATTGGGACCCCTTTCCCGTAGCACTAGGACTTATTACATGCCTATGATTTATTACATGGTTACAATTTATTATTACGTGGCAGGAGGACACAAAACAAAATCAGCAAAGGAAAAAGGCACATGGGGCGAAGTTCAGAGGAAACAGTTAAGCACAGACTTCCAATAACTCTTTCCGAGTGGAGTCACATAGGACTCACTTAATTCTACCAGCAACAAATTGTTACAACACCTTGAAATGTTGTTCCTGATAAAAGCTCATTAGAGACAAAGTGCCCAAAGTTGTTTTTGGGGCCTGGTCACATAGGTGCTCTCTGCCCAAGATTTGAGACTCCGAGAAGGAAATCAGGTGTTCAGTATCAATTATATTTTTTATACAAACATATTTTTTATACACAGCAAATTACCCTTATCAGACAGCAAATAAAGTGAATCCTCCTGAAATCCAGGTTCCCAAATGCCAGACAATGGTCAACCTTGCAAGCAGTCCTATCTGTTTAGCTGTTTCAGGCCTGCTCTGTTAAGGCTCTTCTACACAACGCCTAAGGGCATTTGATTGAAAAAGACACCTGGCCTCTTGGGGTCTTTGCAATGCTTGCTAAAGGAAAGTTTGACAGGTGAGAGGTGCAGGAATAGAATGCAACTTTTTATCCCCTCCCCTTCTCTGGGCAAAAACAGGTGAAAGATTGGACAATAGATTAACTATGTCATCTGCTTGCCCACCTTTCTGATTTTGCTGCTTATCACAGTATTCATCAGAGATAGAACAGAGGTGATTTTAAAACTCTAGTACATTGCAAGACACCTTCAGCTGCATTCATGAAGAGTGCTGTTTATATTGTGTTTCTGTGCTTTGCATGTACTAGAGCTTACAATTTAAAATCAACCACTGCAGAACTCTTTGGTAAAGTGAGAAATCCATTTATAAGGTTCATTTCTTAAGTCATTCATCCTGTAAGTTCAGAATTGAATGTTTTGAGATTCTTTAAGGCACACTTGTGGGGCACTGGAGCTTTTTACAGCTGAGTTTCCACATGAGTCACTCCAACATACTGAACTGCCTGGACATTACTGAATTTAGAAAAGCTTCTCTTGGATTTCTTGTTACTATATGGTATTTGTGCTTTCAACTTAGTTTCTCTTGCTCAAATATTTAGTTTTTGAACACTGGATATAATTGCACAGCCAAAAATAAATTTTTACACCTCTCTAAACAAAGCAAGAAACTGTAAAATCCACAATTAGTATCATGAAATCTTATTGTAATTTTCTTTCTTTCTTTCTGTTCTTTTTTTGAGATGGAGTCTCGAGTCTCGCTCTATCGCCCAGGCTGGAGTGCAGGTGTGATCTCGGCTCACTGCAACCTCCGCCTCCTGGGTTCAAGTGATTCTTCCTACTTAGCCTCCGGAGTAGCTGAAACTACAGGTCCATGTCACCACACCTGGCTAATTTTTGTATTTTTAGTAGAGACAGGGTTTTACCATATTGGCCAGGCTGGTCTTGAACTCTTGAACTCGTGATCTGCCCACCTTGGCCTCCCAAAGTCCTGGGATTACAGGCATGAGCCACCGTGCCCTGCCCTTATTGTAGTTTTCTGAAGATATTCTTGCTGGTGTTATTTTAGGAATGTGGCTAAATGGCCTTTATCTGAGAAAGTGAGTTATTATTTTAGGGAGTGGCAAAAGAAAAAGAAGTGTGTGGGAATAAAATGTTTAAATTGCTGTTTTCTTAGCAGCTATAATAGTGCATGCAGCTGCCAGGACTACAATATTTAGAAAATTCAAGGATATTTATCTCTACCTTAAAATATTTTGAAGACTATACTCGCTTACATTTGCAGTTCTTTGAAATGTGATAATGGTTGATCAAAAGTAAAAAGATATTTTCTTGATTCAACATTAATCCTTTCCTGGAGTAACTTTACCCCCAAAAAATTAAAATAAAAGGCAAAAAATATTTTTTTCTTGCTAGAATTTTAAATTCTGGAGTAAGATTTGAGACTGAATTCTAACTGTTTTCAGTATGTGGTACAGTTTAAATTAAAATATGTGTCGGGTTTAGTCATAATGTCCTTATACCATTTATGTTGTATTCAACTGAATAGTAACACTGTCATCATAAATGCTACATTTATCTAGATTTTTTAAGTGTATTTTTAGAGCCAGACAACAATGCAACAGCATCTATCCCACTATTTTTGTCTAAGCACTGCTATATTAAAAAGCTTATTGTTTCTAGGGCTTGTTAATCTTGAAGACATGATTTATTTCTATGGGACTAATTTATTCAATTCGAGCAGGGATGATAGAAAATACTAGAATAAAAGCAAATTACTTTATGGATATGTGCCTGTGTGTGTAATTGGACACAAAGAACAATTAGAGGCATAAAAATGTTCAAATAAATGCATTTTTTCAGAGTATGAAAAATATATGGCATTTTTAATGTCACCTATAAAACTACGTATAATCTATAAATTATATTATCCTTATTGGGACTATTCATTGATCATCTAAACAGACCAATACAAATTTTCTAAGATAGTTTCTTTTTTTTTTTGTATTTTATTCTTCCTATTCTACCTTGATTTACCAAGATATGAAACTACAAATCAATAACATGGGGAACTTGGAAAATCCACAAATACATGAAAATTAAACCACATGCTCCTGAATGACCAATAAATTAAAGAAAAACTCAAAAGGGAAGTTAAAAAATATTTTGAAACAAATGACAACACAACATATCAAAATCTATGGGATGCAGCAAAAACAGTTCTAGGATAAAGGTTTATAACAATAAATGCCTACATTAAAAAAGAAGGTAGATTCCAAACAAATAGCCTAACATTATGCCTCAAGAAACTAAAAAAAAGAAGAGCAAACTAAACCCAAAGTTAGTGGAAAAAAGAAAATAATAAAGACTAGAATGAAATAAAAGGGAGCAGAAAAACCATTTAAAAATAGTAAAACCAAGAATTAGTTGTATGGATAGGTAAACAAAATTCACAAACTCCTAACTACCTAAGGAAAAAGACTCAAATAAATAAAATCAGAAATAAAAGTAGAAATATTGCAATGGAAACTTCAGAAGTAAAAATGATTATAACGGGCTATTATAAACAATTATGTGCAATATTTAATCAGGAAGAAATAGAAAGCTTGAATGGACCAATAAAAATTAAGAGATTGAAATATGAATTCAAAACTTTGCAACAAAGAAAAGCCCAGGACGAGATGGCTTCATGAATGAATTCTACTAAACATTCAAAGAAGTATTACCAATATTTAAATTCTCCCAACAAATAGAGATAGAAGAAATACCTGCAAACACATTTTACAAGGCAAGCATCACCTTGATCCCTAAGCCAATGACATCACAAAAAAGAAAACTATAGGCCAATATCTCTGATGAACATTGATGGAAAAATTCTCAATAAAATATTAGCAAACAAAATTCAACATCACATCAAAAAGATTATACATCATGACCAATAGGATTTATCCCTAGCATGCAAGGCTGGTTTAACATACACGAATGAAACAATGTGACACATCACATTAACAGGATGAAAGATAAAAAACACAGAATTTTCTCAATCAACACAGAAAAAGCATTTGACAAAGTTCAGCATCCTTTCCTGATAAAAACTCTTAACAGTTTATGTATAGAAAGAAAATTTCTCAACATAATATAATAAAGGTGATTTATGAAAAATCCACAGCTAACATAATAATCAGTGGGAAACAGTTGAAAGCTTTTTCACTAAGATCCAGTGCAAAGCACAAATGCCCACTTTTGCTACTTCTATTCCACATAATATTGGAAGTACTAGCAATAGCAATCAGACCAGAGAAAGAAATAAAAAGCATTTAAGTCAGAAAGAAGAAAAAGTAAAATTATCTCTATTTGCAGATGATATAATCCCTTATGTAGAAAACCCTAAAGATTCCACAAAAAACTGACAGAATGAATTAATTCAGTAAACTTGCAGGATACAAAATCAACATACAAAAATCAGTAGCATTTTTATACACTAATAACAACATATCTGAAAAAGACGCTTTAAAATCCCATTTATGAAAGCATAAAAATAGTTAGAAATAAATTTAACCATAAAGGTGAAATATTTGTATACCGATAACTATAAACCTTTGATAAAAAAAGTTGAAGAAGACACATATAAATAGAATAATATTCTGTGTTCATGAATCAAAAAATTTAACAATGTTAAAATGTCTGTATTAACCAAAGCAATATACAAATTCAATGCAATTTCTATCAAAATTTCAAGGATATGCATCACAGAAATAGAAAAAAAATTCTTGAAATTCATATGGAACCACAGACACATAAAAACAGAATAGGCAAAGGAACAATGAGAAAGCAAAACAAAGCTTGAGGCATCACACTTCCTAAGTTAAAATTATATTGCAAAGCTACAGTAATCAAAAACAGTATACAAATGGCATGAAAACGAAAATGTGGACCAACGGAACAGAATATAGAGAGCCAGAAACTTAACTAATTTTCAACAAGGGTACCAACAGGACACCCTGAAGTAAAGATAGTTTCTTCAATAAATGATTCTGGGAAAATTGGATTGCAACATGCAGAAGAATGAAATTGGACCCTAATCTTGCACCATATACAAAAATGGACTCAAAATAGATAGGAGACCTAAATGTAAGATGTGAAACCATAAAACTCCTAGAGAAGAACATAGGGGGAAAAATTCCTTGATATTGGCCTTGGAGATGATTTTTGGATATCACACCAAAAGCTTAGGCTACAGAATCGAAAATAAATAAATGGAACTACATCAAACTACAAAGTGTCTGCACAGTAAAGGAATCAATCAACCAAATAAAAAGGCAACATACAGACTGGGAAATATATTTTCACACAGCATATCTCCTAAGAGGCTAATATTCAACATTTGTAAAGAACACTTACAAATGAGTAACAGAAACAACAAACAGCTTGATTAAAAACAGGCAAGGGACCTGAACATACTTTTCTCCAAAGGAGAAATAATGGCTAACAGGATATGAAAAGGTATACAACATTGCTAATCATTAGGGAAACACAAATGAAAACCACTATGAGATATCACCCTTCACCCATTAGGATGGCTATTATAAAAAAAAAAAAAGACAAGAGGTTACTGCTGGTGAGAGTGTGGGGAAAAGGGAAATACAGTACACTGTTGGCGGGAATTTAGATTTGTGTAGTCATTATGGAAAACAGTGTGGAGGTTCCTAAAGAAATTAAAAAATAGACCAGCAATGACCCAACAATACCTTTTTTGGGGATTGACCCAGCAATTCCTCTTTTGAGTAGGTAACCAAAGATGATAAAAATCATCACCTTGTAAAGATATCTGCACTCCCATGCTCATTGCATCTATTCACAATAGTCAACATATGGAAACAACCTAAGAGTCAGGTTGACAGATGAATGTATAAAGACAATGTGGTACACACACACACACACACACAGACACACACACACACAAACATACACTGAATATTCTTCAGCCATAAAAAAAGGTGATCCTGCCATTTGCCATGACATGGAGGCATGGGTATACCTGAAAAATATTATGCTAAATGAAATAAGCCAGATAGTAAGAAAAATAGAGTCATGTATCATTTAACAACAAGGATATGTTCCGAAAAACGCAACATCATTTGCTGATTTTGTCATCATGTGAACAACACAGAGTGGACTTACACAAGCCGAAATGGTATATACTACTACACAACTAGTCTATGTGGTATAGCCTATTGCTCCCAGGACACAAACCTGAACAGTGTATTACTGTACTGTACTGAATACTGCACACAATTGTAACACAATGGGAAGTATTTGTGCATGTAAACTTATCTAAAAATAGAAAATGTATGGTAAAAATGTGGTATTATAATCTTATGGGACTACCATCATATATGTAGTTTATCATTGATTGAAACATCATTATGGGGCTCATGACTGTACTACATGATTTCACTTAATGTAGAATCTTAAAAAAGAAGGTCAAATATGCAGAGATAGACAATAAGTGGTTCCCAGGGATGGTGGGTGGGGGAAAAAATGAGATGAAGGTCAAAGTATATGAAGTAGCAGATATATAGGATGAACAGGTCTAGAGGTCTAATGTACAACAGAAGATGATAATAGTCTATAAGAGTCTAATATTGTAGACTATAATAGTCTATAACAGTCTAATATTGTAGACTATAATAGTCTATAACAGTCTAATATTGTAGACTATAATAGTCTATAACAGTCTAATATTGTAGACTATAATAGTCTATAACAGTCTAATATTGTAGACAATAATAGTCTATAACAGTCTAATATTGTAGACTATAATAGTCTATAACAGTCTAATATTGTAGACTATAATAGTCTATAACAGTCTAATATTGTAGACTATAATAGTCTATAACAGTCTAATATTGTAGACTATAATAGTCTATAAGAGTCTAATATTGTAGACTATAATAGTCTATAAGAGTCTAATATTGTAGACTATAATAGTCTATAACAGTCTAATATTGTAGACTATAATAGTCTATAACAGTCTAATATTGTAGACTATAATAGTCTATAACAGTCTAATATTGTAGACTATAATAGTCTATAACAGTCTAATATTGTAGACTATAATAGTCTATAACAGTCTAATATTGTAGACTATAATAGTCTATAACAGTCTAATATTGTAGACTATAATAGTCTATAACAGTCTAATATTGTAGACTATAATAGTCTATAATAGTCTAATATTGTAGACTATAATAGTCTTCTGTATTAGGTTAAGGCTTTTTGTTAAATAAGTAGATTTTAACTGCCTTTTCCCCAACCCCCACCCAAAGATAACTATGCGAGATGATAGATACGTTAATTTGATTCACCATAGTAACCATTTTACTATCTGTAGTTTTTCCATAACTTGTAAACCTCAGATATACACAAGGAAATTTATTTTTAAAAAGTGTACTTGTCAAAATATGCTTAAATACAGATTCAACTTTCAGTTTTTAAAGATTTTAACATAAATAATTTTTAACTATTTTGCTATAATATACATTAATATAAAGAAACAAATGAGAAAAAAATTGTCAGGCCATTATATAGTTCACTTATATGACAAAATGAAGGGTTTCCTTTCAAAATTATGTGTTTGCATCACTGGAATTTAGAGAAATCCTCATAGCTTAAGTATTGGAACTATTGTTTATAAAAATGCAGAGTAGAAGACCAGGCACAGTGGCTCACACCTGCAATCCCAGCACTTTGGGAGGCTGAGGTAGGTGGATCACCTGAGGTCAGGAGTTCAAGACCAGCCTGGCCAACATAGAGAAACCTGTCTCCACTAAAAATATGAAAATTAGCAAGGCATGATGGCAGGTGACTGTAATCCTAGCTACTTCGAGGCTGAGACAGGAAAATCACCTAAACCTGGAAGGCAGAGGTTGCAGTGAGCTGAGATCATGCCATTGCACTCCAGCCTGGGTGACAGAATGAGACTCTGTCTCAAAAGAAAAAAAATATAAAAAAATAAAAATACAGAGTATAAACAAGCTAATTGTACCAGTGTTTATGAAATGTCTAGTAAACATATAAGTTGTTAAATAAAATTTCCTATTTTAGTCATGGATGCATACAAGTAAATAGATATTTATAACATAATCTGATAAGTAAATGTTCTAAGTTAATGAGAATACTGTGGAAATCCATAGAGTAGCACCTAAATCTACCAATAGAAGGTGTTAAATTTATGAAGGCTTTCCAAAGGGGTAATACAGAAGTTGGACTATCATTACATGGTTTCACATATATCACACTTTAATTTGTGATTATCCACAATTTCTTATATTTTAAAACAATTTCAAAGTAAAATCTGGCATACTCAGCATTAGTAAATGTTCAAAATATTAGTCCAAACAATTGTTACTTTAAGCTAAAATTATATGGATTTGACTCTTCATTTCCTTCTTTTGCCATAACTTTAGATACCACGTCTAGCTGAAAAAGAAAAAAAAAAAAAGAAAGAAATTTAGCCAGTACTGAATTGAAATTACTTCATAATGTTCACAAGTAGGGTGGCTACCCGTTCTGGTTTATTCAGGGTCTCTTGGCATTTTATCAAACTTCCATGTACTGGAAAAACCCTAAGTTCCAGCAAAATGGATGGTTGGCCATTCTACCCATTGGCTCTTCTCAATCAATGTGATATATTTCCACACTTCTATTTGCATGTGTGCATTGAAGTGAAAAAAGGTTTTGGTAAAGTTATGTCACCTCAAGGATCAGAAGCAGGTACTTTATTCAAGTAAGTATGAAAGCATGCACAAAAAAGATATTTCCTATATAAATAGCAAAAATTATAGAAGGCAAATCTAGGAGTGATGCTATAATTGATGTGAACTTTTAAAGTGAAACTGAAGTTCATAAAATAATTTTACTTGGATTTCTTGTCCTCCAACTTCCTCCTGTCCATGTTTTTCTGCCTCATAAACACACGTACCCACATATTCAGTCAGCTCCTCCTATATTTTATCAAAACAAAACAATATGTTCTTTAACCCAATGTCATGTAGCATGGTGGCCACCTCACCTATGAATTTCTCTCTTAAAGTTTAATAAGACATTCTATATCTATTATCAATTTACTAGATCATTCCACATCATGTGCCACTGGAGACTATTCTTCCTTGAATTTCTCCCCTCTCTTGATTTATTGACACAATACCCTCCCAGTTTTCCTCTTTCAAATCCTTGGCAACTTTTTGCCTATCTGTTTTTGGGCTTCCCTTATTTCACTCACCCTTAAATTTAAATATTTATATTCCTGAGAGTTTTGTCATTGATTTGCTTCTCTCTTTAATCCACACACTATGCAAGCATTGCAGATACAACAGTGGATTTTTCTAAAAAGATAAAAATTTCTATCATCATGGAGCTTAAGTTCTAGTGAGGAGAAATAAACAAAAAATAAGTAAAAAATATAAACAGTTTATCATATGGCTCTAAGTGCTATGTAGAAAAATAAAGCAAGGAAGGAGGCTGTATTATACTCATAGAGCTGCCTTGACAAATGACCATTCTCTTGGCTATTTAAAACAACTGCAATTTATTCTCTCACAGCCCTGGAGGCTGGAAGTCTGAAATCAAGGTGTCAGCAGGGACGTACTTCCTTTAAAAGCTCTAAGGGAAAATTATTCTTTGCCTCTTCATCTTCTAGTGACTCCAGGCATTTCCTGACTTTAAGCAACATCACTCCAGTCTCTGCCTCCATCTTCACATGGCCTTCATTCCTGTGTATGTCCACCTTTCCATGTCTCCATGTCTCCAAATGTCCCTTGAGGACACAGTCATTGGATTTAAAACCCAACCAAATCCAATATGACTTCATCTTAACTTGATTGCACCTAAAGAGACTCTATTTCCAAAAAAGGTCATACTCATAGGGTCTGGATGAACATACATTTTTGAGATACACTATTCCACTAACTAGAGAGACTGAAAAATGCTTGTTGCAGTGATTGATGGGGAAGATGAGGAAGTCAGTGGGGTATCTCTAACCAAATAGCTCATAGGCATTTCAAACTCAACATGTCCAAAATTGATGTCATCATGACAGTCTCTTAAAACCAGCTTCCAAGCGCTTGCCAAATGCTGTTCCTTGGCTAGAAACATGGGGATAATCTTAGATACTCAAACTGTCTCCATTTCCCAACAAACTCGAAACCCTGTCAATCCTACCTCTTAGAAATGTATCAAGATATCTCCATACCTAATTCTACTACCTCTCTCTAGGCCATTCTTATTTCTGTCCAAGTTTTCCACCCCAATTCTCTACACTGCCTTAAAGGAAACTTCTAACAAGAATAATAGTATCATGTCACCTCTTTGTAAAATATCCTATAATAACTCTCCAATATTTGATATAAAATATGGTTTCCCTTACAAGTAAACAGAAATTCCACCCAGTTTTTCTTAGCAGATGCAACTAAAGAAGCTCTAATGACTCAAAAGTCTTTTTCTGTGGCTTCCATAAACATTTTTCATCCTGTACCAACCAATAATCTCAGTTCTTCTCCTACTACATCTATCCAAACTTCCTCAAACCAGCTATACTCAACCAGCTTCTACTTTCTAGCCAGTTTCAGCTGCCATCATCATCACTCCCTCCTCTTCATGAGCATCAACAATGTATCTGATAGTGTTTAGGCACTTTGTGAATGTAATTTTTAATTCACTTAACAATCCTAATGATAGAGGTCTTGTGATTCCCAGGTTATACATGAAAAAACTGGAACACAAGAGCTTAAGTTTCTTTCCTGCAGGATTCTTAATCATATGAAAGATACAGTTTTTTTTTTAACTTACAAATTGGAGTTAACAGTATCTACTCTATTGAACTGTTATTCAAAGGATTAATTTAACAAGGATCACTACACTTTATAATCTTTTCATAGAAGACAAAGTGGTGGTGAAAGCAAAGGGGCTGTCTGTCATAAAGTTGGTCCTGAGCCTATAACAGGATTAAAGAACTGCAGTTTCCATCCTGGCAGACCTTCAGCCCTTAGACTCAGTGGGGACTACCTAACACAACCATAGTATAGAAAACGGGTTCATTTATTCATTTAGCAAACATTTATTCCGGATCTTTCATGTACCAGGTACTAAGATTAAAAGATATGTTTTTTTTTTCTAAAATAAGGCCCCGTCCTAAAGATTTCATCATGCATACAGGTACATTGCTATATTACTCTATTTATAAAGCAATAATAACTTTACTCCTTCTACAAGTACTGAATATTTACTCTGAGTCCAGTACCCTAGTAGGTATTAAAAAAAATTCCAAAATTCTAATCTACCAGGGAGAGGTTTACAATGTCCATACTCAGACTGTACAATACTCTCCATATCCTATGAGTCTTCACTCATCCCTTCATTCTCCTGTATTATTTGCATATGTCTGTATCCTGAGCTCATCCACAAGCAACAGGATGGAAAAAAGCGTGCTTCTTGTTTATTTTTCAATCCCTCACCATGTCCCACAGAGCACAAAGTAAAATAGAATAAAATTTAGCCAAAGGCTGGTACCTGAAAAATGGCTAGCAATAAAACCACAGTTATTAAAGACAGAGTGCAGGTTGCAAAATGAATAATAGTTACTCTGCGCATCTGCCCTGTGGCTACTCTGGGCCCTCAGAACTGTCTAGGGCATGATCTCAAGCAGGTAGATCAGTGTGCTGATCTGTTGGCTGAAGGAAAAAAGCGTAACGTTCTTGGTGTCCGTTCTACTCTCCAGTACAGGTTTGGCATTATGAAAGGAAAGAAGAGGGGTAGAAGCCTCCTTAGGAAAAAGAGCTGGCTTTTGGTGCTGAAACACCTGCCTAGAGTGTTTGACCACTGCTGTGACTTGTAGCAAAGGTCTTTATTTAGTGCTGCATAATCTCATAAACACATACTTAGGGCATGAGCAAAAGGTGCCCCCAAGGAGTCTTTTTTTTTTTTTTTTTTTTTTTTTTTTTTGAGACAGAGTTTTGCTCTGTTGCCCAGGCTGGAGTACAGTTGCACGATCTTGGCTCACTGCAAGCTCCACCTCCCAGGTTCATGCCATTCTCCTGCCTCAGCCTCCCAAATAGCTGGGACTATAGGCGCCCGTCACCATGCCCGGCTAGTTTTTTGTATTTTTAGTAGAGACGGGGTTTCACCATGTTAGCCAGGATGGTCTCGATCTCCTGACCTAGTGATCCACCCGCCTCGGCCTCCTAAAGGGCTGGGATTACAGGCGTGAGCCACCGTGCCTGGCCCCCAAGGAGTCTTTTGAAAGCTTTTGATATTTGATACTGGAAGAAAAAATGTGATCATAGGAAAATCAGAAGGTCATATGAAATTTTTGTCTTTATCATTAAAACTGTTTCTCATCACATAAGAAGAAAGCACCAAAACCTCTTCAAGTTTTAAGACTTGAAAAAGTTTTCACATGGCCCAACTTTAAGTAAAAATTAGAGTCTGCTTTGGATGAAGCTACCTCTTCCACACTCGGTCAGACTCTTCCTTATTTACAGCCCAGCTATAAGTCTGTCCAGGGCATTTCAGAAATAAGTAATTAGGCCATAATTATTTATGCAAATTTATAAAGCCTAGTCATAGGTTTAACTTTCTTTCTTCAATTCTCATGTTTAACTATAATGGTTATTTTACAGAGAAATAATTCTATTTTTTCCCTTGAAAGTACTATACAATGACTTTAGAGATTCTAGAATAGGTGACTCTATCTTGTTTAGTCATTATCAATTTTAAATTACAACCAAAGAAACAGCCAAGCAAACATGAACAGGGTTTCTCATAAATATACATCTTTAAGTTTCAAAGAGACAGAGCTAATGAAACTGTCACTTTGAATGCTAAATGGAGCTCTTGATGTGCTTACGTTGAATCTTCTCTAGATTTTCTCATACACGAAATTTTGCTAGTTTTTTTTTTTTTTTCAGCATCAGTTCACCACTCAATTAAAGGTTGGTGCAGAATCAGGAGAAGCCAAGGCAAAGAGGAGCCCAGAAAAGCTCTTGTAAACACAAGAGCTTTTGGTATTGGCTGACTCAGAGACCAGCTATATTTCATGAAGACAAAACCAGTCCAGCCAGGGTCCTATGACTGTGCTTGTCACCTCTTAATAACCTGGGTCACCACTGATCCATTTTACCAGTCTCCATCACTGCTCTGTGTTGATGACTAGCATCCTTGATCAGCTGAAGCATCAAAATGATCGGGCTTTAAGTCAGAATATTTAAGAGCAGGTATTTCCAGTCATGTCTCTTACGTGTACTGTTGTTGGTCATTGAGCATAAAACTGGTCCTTCCCACTCTTTGATTACATAACTGCCTCTAAACTGCCTAGACTGAGCCCCTCACAGCTTCACAAACTTCTCCAATGCCTCCCTATCAAACCCTTTCCATTGACATTTCTGAGGCCTACATTTTATCATAAAAATGAAAACAAAGAAACAACACCTCTTACATATTCTCCAATTGTATAGAACAATCTTTCTATTGCTTATTTTTACTGACACATGGCTTAGTCCAGTCCCAAATAAAAGACACACATGCCTCTGAAGACTCCTGTCCTGAGAGCTATACTTCAACCTCTTTATCCTGAACTTCACATAGAAATTTTTGAAATATTATTTTATGCTTACTTCTATTTCTCATTTCTCATTCACTATGCAGCCAACTAAAAATGATTTTACCCTTTATCACTCTAGCAAACAGTCTTTGATACACATATCTATGATCACCTAATTTTCAAATTCAGTGACTCATTTTTCACATTTTTTTTTATTGGACTGTTCTGTTGCATTAGACACTGTGGAAATTCTGAAATCTCTAAGCTTTCCTGATGTTGCTCTAAATCTCTCACCATTCCTTCCTACCCTTCCTCACCTTTAAATGTAGATTTGATTCATTATATCATCCTTGATCTCACTCCATAGGTTTCCTGGAGCTATTGCTTCCCAACTCTACATTCCTATTTGCTATCTCCTTGCTGAAACTTGCTCATCTCAGCTTGCTTGGCTGATTCTTCCAGATTTCCGATGCTTCCCTCATTGCTAGATGTTAAACTTTCAGCCCATAATCTTTTTATTAATTTATTATTTATTTATTTATTTTTTGAGATGGAGTCTCTATCGCCAGGCTGGAGTGCAGTGGTGCAATCCCAGCTCACTGCAACCTCTGCCTCCCAGGTTCAAGCGATTCTCCTGCCTCAGTCTCCTGAGTATCTGGGATTACAGGCATATACCACCATACCCAGCTAATTTTTGTATTTTTAGTAGAGACAGGGTTTCATCATGTAGGCCAGGATGGTCTCGATTTCTTGGCCTCATGATCCGCCCGCCTCAGCCTCCTAAAGTGCTGGGATTACAGGTATGAGCCACCACGCCTGGCCTCAGCCCATGATCTTTTACACTAAACAGCACATACATCTGTGCTTCTTATCTGAATTGACTATACCACTTTCTTACCCAGTCACCCACACTGGAAGCATCTTGGACCATCCGCAACCAGGCTTTCAACAAATCACCAAATACTGCAAATTTTAGCTTTAAAATATGTATAGAATCTGATGTTTTCCACTTCATCCAAAGACCAGTATCCTGGTCCAAGCTTTTAGCAATGTCTGAACTCCTGAAATAGCACCTAACTTAGTTCTCAACCTTGAGCCTTATTCTTCTCATATGTAAACTCCTAAGCAATGCTCTACGAAGATACAAAAATGACTACGTCATTCCACTCCTAGACTTATTTCTTACAACTGCCTGACTTGTACTTTATGTAGATCTCTCAATCCATCAACCATTTCGCAATGATGTGCCTCTGGTTTTGTGGTGGTCTTCTCCACCTAGGATGCCTTTCTGTTACTTCTACTTGCAATCAGCTCTTCTTCATCTGTCCATTAAGGCACAGCCCAGTCAACATTTCTTCTAGGAAGGCTCCCTGACCTTCCCTTCTTGCATTAGATGCAATTTCTCAGTCGTTCTAAAATGAGTAATTATTATAGCTGTCACTTAACTATTTTGTATTTATTTGATCTTATGTCTGTCTCCTCAACAGCCTTTGAGTTCTTCGAGGAAGATGGCTGTATCTCATTTATCTAAGTAGTGTCAGCATATGCAAGTTGCTGGACACAAAATAGTCAATAAAACTCTTAAATTGACAACTTAGGAAGTGATCCAATTTTAATTTTCTTTCGTTCATGAAAAGTAGGGATAAACTGTGTTTTTCATGTTCAGAGATTGATGAAATTCATGGGATATTTCTGAAGATCTTTAAACATTCAGCATATAAAAATTATGAAATACATTTCTTGTGTAGTAATTTCCTATAAGGGATATTCTGACTGTTGGCTCTTTCTTCAGAAACTAAAATTTCTTAGAAAATAACTTATTTGGATTATCATCTAATTCAGACTTTCTTTCAAGCAGAAATTTTATCCAGGCTACAACTATTGATCCAGATAATTATTCTTATCATTACTTCTTGTATCAGTCTTTGAACTACCTTTGTCCATGTTGTTCTGCTTCTAGCAAAGACTAATTAATTAGTAGAGGAGAACATGAACATCAGCTGAACCGCTGCTGTAAGAAGGTAGAGAAAGACTGTGGAGAAAATATGGGCTCAGAGATAGACACACTGGATTCCAGTCTCAACCATTTAATGCCTGAGTGACAATGAGCACATTTCTCAGCCACTCTTGGCCCATTTCATGTTTTTCAAAATGTGAATAACAGTGTTACTCGGTATAATTATTTTGAGACGACATGAGTTAATGCTTTTAAAATACCTGGCACAATAATTTGAATTCCCCTTTCCCCATGAGAGTTGACATGCACCTACTGGATAGGAAAGCCTAAAAGAACTAAACACATGTTTCAGTATTTAACTATTTGCATGCTCTCTAATTTCTATTCACATGTATAATGACAACAGGTCTTCTCAAAAGATGATTTCTCAGTAAAATAAAATTAAGGCAAGAATGACATGAAATAATTTTTCCAACGTTAGTAGTGAACTTATTTCTGCTTTACTTGACTGGTTGCCAAAGTTTTTCCTTGACTATATGAAAGAAATTGGGTAAACTTTTCTTAATTGGCAAAACAAATCCACTCCGAAGTAAAAGTTACGAAACAGATGTTTTCTGCTTCTTAATAGAAAAGCTAGTACAGAAAGGAAGTTCCAAATGGAACATTCTGGTGGTGCCAAAGGAACGGAGAAAGAAGGACAAAAGAAGAACTTTTAAAGGTAGAAATTCTCATTATGATGATTGATTATTTAAACAAGGTTAATTTTTCGAGGCTTATGAACCTGGTAAATTTAAGACGGCAAACAACAAAATGCTACTGCTAATTAGACATCCAATGAAATGCCATACAGAAAGGTTAACTATTTTAAAAAATGTTATGTAATCTTCTATTTCAAATGTCATTGTTATTAGTTTTGTAATAGAGCTCACTGACAAAACAGACATGAATATATCTTCCAGAGAGTGAGGAGGAAATATTTTATTAGTTGTCCAGTATATAGAGAAATGAGAAAAATATTACAATAAATTTTCATCCTTCATTTGAAATATTCACATTTAATCATTTCTGTAGGACCGGAGTTATTTTGCTTTGGGCAGACCTGACCCTAGGCAGATTTGAAAACAACACCACAATATATGCATTGAGGGCCTACTATGTGCTAAGCACTGAGGAAATAACAGTGAACAAAACAGGTTAAGGTTTCTGGCCCCACGGAGGGATTCTAGTAGGGGAGGACTTGAAATAGGGAAATTGTAGTGTAATGTGATGTCCAGTAGTAACAAACACTAGGAAGAAAGACCGTTTAGAGATTGTTATTTTCCTGACCACCCAGCATAGCAATAATGGAAACGTTTGGCTGGGGTTCCCTCAATGCATTCCCTGGCCACTGCTGCAATGAGTGAGAGATTAAGTGAGTGTGAGGAGAAGAATTACATGGTGAGCACTGGATAATTTCCCCATCTTAACCAACCTGTAAGGCAGCCTGAACCATCTCCATCCTCCAGATAAAACAGCTAGGATTTAGGAAACTGAAGGAACTCAGCCCAGGTCTCTCAGCTAGTAAACTGTTAATGCAGTTTCTCTGACCCAAAGTCTGTGCAAATAGAACATCTCCAAGGATGCAGAGGCAGTGAATCACAGAAGTAGCTGCATTGCTTCTCCTTTAAGGTGTGAATAATAAGCACCAGGTGGTTTGTGCGTATTATCTTCTTTGGTCCCCACCACACAACTATGACGTAGGGCCATTATTATCCACAGTGCTCAGATAAGGAAACTGACACTGAGGGAGGGTTAAATAATTTGTTCAAAGTGATGGTAGGTCTATAATACAAACTAATCTCTGCTATTTCCTTCTTTTATTTTTATTTTTATTTTTATTTTTGAGACAGAGTTTTGCTCTTGTTGCCCAGGCTGGAGTCCAATGGCACGATCTTGGCTCACTGCAACCTCCGCCTCCCGGGTTCAAGCAATTCTCCTGCCTCAGCCTCCTGAGTAGCTGGGATTACAGGCGCACACCACCATGCCCAGCTAATTTTTGTATTTTTAGTAGAGACGGGGTTTCACCATGTTGGCCAGGCTGGTCTCAAACTCCTGACCTCAGGTGATCCACCTGCCTCGGCCTCTCAAAGTGCTGGGATTACAGGTGTGAGCCACCGTGCCCAGCCTCTGCTATTTCATTCTAAGGAGCTTATGTACTTTTCCTTGAGGTTGTTGACTTCAACCATGAATCAAGATCAATATGTTTGATTAAGAATGCATTGATCAAAATAAGGAAATCCCAGAGTACAGCTGCAGAATGTATAAATGCAGGCATTGCATTTTTTTATTCAACCTATAATTATTTATGTTGACATTTATTACTACATATCTTTAAAAATATAACCAACTGAATTTGGTGAGGAATTCAGTGATGCTATAATGGTCTCTGTTCTTCTGAAGATGTGTGGCTGCCAGGATAGTGGTTTGTGGAGCATCAGCTACAAATGCTCTTAGAAAGCAGCAGTGTGCATGCCAACCAGTTTATAGCCTATAAGACTGTATTCTCTTCTTATGAAGGTTGAGCATCTATTAATAGCTGAAGCTACCATTTGTGGCAGAGGCAATATTTTAATGCTTAAGAGCTGGGTTTCAAATCCTTGCTCTGCAATTTACTACAAATTACTTGCTGCCCACTGAAGCTTTTTGTTAAATGCTCATTATATTGCTGAATGCTTATTATGGGCCAGGGACTATTCTGTGCACTTTAAATTTAATCCTCCTAATAATCCCAGGATGGATGGCTAACCCCATTTTATGGAGGAGGAAACTGAGCTCAGAGAGGAAAAATGAATCATGAATGGCTGTACAATTAATAAACTGCCAAGCTGGTTTTGAACCCCAGGTGTCTCTAATAGTTTCCTCCACTACATGACACTGCAGGACCAATGAGAAACAGTATTGAGACTATATAAGAAACAGAGTCAGCTTTGTAATCAGGGCTAAGCATTTAGATCCCATACTAGCTCAACAAGGCACTGTTTCTCCAGTTCTGTCAAATTATTGACAATTTTGATTTGTAGTCCAATCTAGAATAAAATGTGCAAGGGACATATTATTGAGAGCACAAGGAAGACTATGAATGTCAGAGAGAAGAATGGAAAGGTTGATTCTGAGAGTCTAAAATAGGGAATGGGTTAGCTAGGTTAATCAAGGTAATCACAGGAGGCCTTGACCAGTTGCTCTACCTAAAACTCAGTTTCCTTCAGCTTCTGTAAAGTAGAAATAATCATACCTAGTTCATTGGGTGATTATGATCAAAAGTGTGAAAATAAGACCAGCCCCTAGCTCCATTCCTGTGCATGCACACATTGACCATAGATAGCCCTCAACTCAACCCCACGTTGATCATGCTCCATTTTTCTCAGCTGCAGTGCCCCTGAAAGGGAATCTCTGGCCACCATGAGTGATCTGGAGGAGCAGTTTCATGTCTATGCTGAGGGTGATTTCCATCCATGACATGGTCATGAGAAGGACAACAGAGACACCTTGAAAGGGACTGGAGTTGCATTTCCATAGACCAAAGACTAATGAGCCACTATCCCTTTCACTCAAGGTGACTACTGAGCAATCAGCTATGATTACACACCCCTCCATGACTGAGGATTCTGATCCTAACAAGGCATAATGGAAAATTCACTTGTGCTTCACTTCACACATGATGAAAAACTAAAATACAATGATTGGTTTTCTCTTTGTCAGCCAGATGGGTTCTTCCTAAATGCAAATCCACAGAGGCTGCCCCACTGTGATGAGGCTCTGCACTCATCATGGCAGAGACAAAGAAGGTTTGCGGGTTTGCCTGGCAGCTTGCCCGAGGCTTTGCATCGGCTTTGGGAAAACCAGAGGCCTATCTAAGCCTCAGGCTATCCATCTGCTGCCAGGTAGCCCTCCCTCTGCCTTCATCCTAAATAAATCTGTTTTGGAGGAGCCAGGAAGCTTTGGGGACAAGATCTATTCACTAACTCATATGTAAAAATGCCACCTACATCTGGCAAATTCAAATTTCTGTTTTCTGAGCACGTGTTTATACTTATTTATTGCCTCTCTTAGGTACAGTTAGATCTCCATGAACCAGTTCAATCAGACTTAATAACTTCCCCAATGATCCTAGCCAAAATAAGAATGTACCTGGGAAGAGAATCTTAGCCTCAGAACTGCAGTTCAGAAGAGCAGCTCTTCTTGAATTCTACCACATGCCTTTGAATCTCAGGAGATCTGGGCCATCAAAAGTCCATTTGGTTCCAATGTCTCACTCTCCAGAGTGTGGTTGATGAACCAGCAGCTTGGACATCCTTTGGGAGCTGTGACTAATTCTTAAAAATGCAGAATAGCAGGTCCTACCCAGACCTACTGATTCAGGGCAGCAATCTAACAAGAATCCAGGTGACTTGTGAACACACTGAAGTTTGCAAAGTACTGGTTTGGAGGTCATTCAACCATCTTATTTTCCAGAGAGGGACACTGCCAAGTGACTTTCCAGAACATCCCACAGCAGGGTCCATTTAGAATTCCAGGACTCGAATTCAGTTGTGTTGGCAAGAACATTTAGCCCTATCTTGAAATCTTCTGGGCCTTTGTTTCCGTAACACTAAAATGGGGACATTCACAACTGCCTTGCTTCCTTGTTGGTATACAATGTCATAATATATATGAAAGCATTTTATTTCAAAGCCTTATGCAAACAAATATGTCTACTGTTATATCCAACCAAACTCACTTGAATCTTAAAAGATGTGTACGTGTGTGAGTGTGTGTGTGAGCAGGAGTTCTAGGTATAGAACTGGGCCATATATGACAAATTTTGCCCTACTTTAGAATGTAACCTAATTCTCAGACTGCTTGCCAAAAAAAAAGAATCCTTTCTCCTCTAACTCTCAAAACGGTTCTTAAAATAGATGGGCCCCCCAGGGACTCCCCGACATGTTTCCACTGTTAGAGTTCAGGCAGCCTGAGATCAACGGGTTTTATTTCAGATGATGTTCGATTTGGGGACATGAGCTCAGGAGGACACGTAACAGGTTAGAGGTGAGCAGCCCTTTGTATTTTTAACTTTAAATCATGGCAGTCGCTCAAATCAACTATAGTTTAGTAGACAAAGGGAATGAGAAAGATAAATATAAGGACTGAGAGAAGAGAAAGAGGATAAACGTAAGGAGAAGGCTGCTGTTGATAGTATCCACTCATTAAAAAAATACTGAGAAGTTTATATATGTCAGACACTGCTCTAAGTATTTTGGACACGGTCATGAACAAGACCAGCAAGGGTCCTCACTGTGTATGGCTTATGTTCTGGTGGTGGTGGGTAGGAGGACAAATTGAAAAGCAAACATATGTCCAGGAAAACTTGGGGTAGGAAAACATGCTTTGAGAAACCTAGCTACTGCACAGGTTCTGCCTATGGTTGGATAGCCAGAGTGACTACTCTGAGATGGAAATTCAAATGAAACCTTAAGGAGAAGAAGCCATGTGTAGATAAGGGGGAAGAGCTTCCCAGGCAATGTGAATGCTCCGAGGTGAGAATGAGCTGGGGAGTTTCGAGAAACAGAGAGAAGGCCTGAGTGGTCAGATGGTGGTGAGCAAATGCAGAAGACGAGTTAGCAAGGTTGAGCTAGGTTGGATCATGCAGGGCCTGTGTGTACACTTAGGAATGCGGACACCTGTCTGAGTGCAGTGGAACGTCATTGCTAGCTCAACTAGTGATCCACTGAGATGTAGAAATTGGAATCTTGGAATCTCAGCACGCAGCACAGGTTAATAGACTGAAAGCAGGAAAATGGAAGTGTATTTTCTCATTCTTCTTTCTGTCCTTGATCTTTTCCTCCCTTCAGGTTTTTATCAAATTCTTATTATGTGTCAGGCACCGTGTCTTAGTGAGCAATGGACTAACCTTCTTATGAAGTTAAAATACATTCATTGGTGTGAGTTAGTACAGGATACCTATTCCAATCTAATAAAATGCAGGCCCCTAATGAAATGGGGTCCTAATCTGTGGGCCCCCATTGCCAACAGCAGTGGCTCTTAATTGCAGATTGTTACAGTGAAGACCTTGTTGCATGCAAAAATACTAGGATTCCATTCAGATGTATTGAATAAGAATCTTTGAGGATGAGCCTGCCTATATGTATTTTTAGTATACTGCATAAGTGATGCTGCCAGCTGTGAACGTCCTCTTCTTGAGCCTCTCTCTGGCATACCTGGCATACCTTCTTTGCTCCCCTAAGCTCCCCTTAGTCTTGAGGGATCAGTGCAAAGTCTGTTTCCTCTGTTATCATCACTCTAACTTACGTGACTTTGCCTGATATTCCTAGTTTTTGATGTTTTTTAGTTTTAGTTTTAGTTTTGAGATGGATTCTCACTCTGCTGTCCAGGGTGGAGTGCAGTGGTGCCATCTCGGCTCACCACAACCTCCGCCTCCCAGCTTCAAGTGATCCTCCCACCTCAGCCTTCTGAGTAGCTGGGATTACAGACATGCACCAACACTCTCGGCTAATTTTTGTACTTTTAGTAGAGATAGGGTTTCACCATGTTGCCCAGGCTGGTCTCAAACTCCTGCCCTCATGTGGTCCACCTGCCTCGGCCTCCCAAAGTGCTGGGATTACAGGCATGAGCCACCACACCTGGCTGATATTCCTAGTTGTTAAGCCCTCACCAATCACTCGTTCTCAGCTAGAGGTAAGCTCCTTGAGGACTTGAGCTGATTCCTTTTCATTTCATCCTCCTAGTACTTAGCCTACTTTACATGAATTTTTAATATGCAAATGATTATTGCCGCTGATTAAAATAACCTAAATACAGAGAAGCCTGAAAGTGTAAGGAAGCTCCTTAACTTTATTTTGGTTCCTTCTGAGATAAGGAGAATGAATCATAACAACAACAACAACAGTCAACACTGACGTTGAAATTGTTAATATGTACTGAACACTTACCACATGCACATACTGGGCTAACTACACACGGCAGCTCCTAATCTGTTATTCCTCATTTACATCCCTACATGCAGTTCCCTGCATGTGACCCTAAGAGGACCAGCTTGGTGGGAAATGTTCTCAGTAAACTTGGATCCCAGTTCCAACTCATCACTGATTAATGGTATGGTCCCTTTCAATCTCTCTGAGCCTCAGTTTACACATGTGGAAAATGAGATGGTAAACTCTTGCCTTTTCTCTTTTCCAGGGTTGCCATGGAAAGCCAACGAGGGGATACAGTCAGTGCTGTGAAAACACATGTTAAATGAAGAAGAAGAAAGATAACTCCTGCTTCTGAGGCAACACCAGAATTCCAGAAGCAGCAGACCATTGACTTTTCTGCTCCAGATTTGGACCTTATTCATTTGCAATATTTCCAAGTTGCTGGTTAAATCTGAACTTATCTAAGAAACAGGTAGTAAGTGAAAGAGAATGTGAGTCAATATAATATTGGATGCCTGAAAAGTGCAGCAAAGCAAAATTTAATAAGTATTGACCCAAATCTTTCATTTCTAGTTCAATTTGACAATAACCTTTATTTTTCAATTAATTCAGCCAGAGTTTCCCTGAGTCAAATACCAGGCTGGACTTTGCAGGACCTAGAGCTCAGCCATTGCCTCTGCTCCTATCTTTCCAGCCAGCTTTGAGGGGGCTCTTATCCGGGAGAGGAGAGATATTACCCACCACATGTGGTTGGAGGGAGCATCTTCGTTACACTCCTGCAGCATGCTGGCTGCCAGCAAATGGCCTCACATTCTGTGGGAAACAGGCTTTCTGCCTGGTGCAGCTTTGCTTAAGCACACCGTTCAGGACGTGGCCTGGGAGTCTCCCAAGGAATGGGCCAGTATCATTTGAATGGAGTCAATAAAACCTGTTAGTCACCTTATCAACAATATCAGAATCACTGTTGTTCAAAAACTGTATTATTGGAGATGACTCCCTTTGTTTTGTTTTCTCCTATTATTAAAAAAATGATAATGGTCCTATCCCCAAGAATGGTAATATATAACATATTAATATCATGTTATATGTTATTACCATATACCATGTATACCAATGTTTACCAATTGGTTCCTTTTTCTCACAAGAAGGAACTTATGGGCCTTTACAGAATACATTTCAAGCCATGTGTAAGAACCTTTCACTGCACCATTTAATGGAATCCCTGCCACCCCTTTTGTATGGCTGGAACTGAAAGTCAAGGATAGGGAGTAACTCCCTATAGGTCACACCATTGGCAAGTGGCCGTGATTTTTTGAGCACATGATTTCATATAAATGTGGCCTTTCTCCTGCTATTCCTCACAGCTCTTCTGAATAAGTGAGAGTACGGTAACAGCGACTGCTCGCATGAGAGGGAGAGGCTGAGATTTAGGCCACTTTGAAAAAAATCCTTTGCAAATACTGACGCATAGTCACAATGTTTTCTGTAGCATCTTGAAACTCTTGAATAAAATGTATTATGCTTGTGCTAGTTTAAAAAATAGTACCAGTACCCCTACATATTACTCTAACAGATTCTTTGCAGCAGAGCTGATGATAGGGTTATCCCTTCAGACTTTCTGCCTACAAGCTACATTAATTGGATGATGCAAAGATTGGACTGTAAACTAGTTCAACCATTGTGGAAGTCAGTGTGGCGATTCCTCAGGGATCTAGAACTAGAAATACCATTTGACCCAGCCATCCCATTACTGGGTATATACCCAAAGGACTATAAATCATGCTGCTATAAAGACACATGCACATGTATGTTTATCGCGGCACTATTCACAATAGCAAAGACTTGGAACCAACCCAAATGTCCAACAATGATAGACTGGATTAAGAAAATGTGGCACATATACAGCATGGAATACTATGCAGCCATAAAAAATGATGAGTTCATGTCCTTTGTAGGGACATAGATGAAATTGGAAATAACCATTCTCAGTAAACTATCGCAATAACAAAAAACCAAACACCGCATATCCTCACACATAGGTGGGAATTGAACAATGAGAATACATGGACACAGGAAGGGGAACGTCACACTCTGGGGACGGTTGGGGGGTGGGGGGAGGGGGGAGGGATAGCATTGGGAGATATACCTAATGCTAGATGACGAGTTAGTGGGTGCAGCGCACCAGCATGGCACATGTATACATATGTAACTAACCTGCACATTGTGCACATGTACCCTAAAACTTAAAGTATAATAATAAATAAATAAATAAATAAAAAAGAAAATGAAAAGGAAAGGAAATCATGAAAAACTATACAATTTTACAAAGCAATCATGAATATCACAAAATCCAGAGAAATAAAAATATTTTTTAAATTAAAAAAAAAAAAAAGAAAATACTGGTTCTTCCTGTGCAGAGAAAGGAGAATACATGCCTTCCTTACCAGGAAGATCTACAGCTATTAGCTAGCATGGAAAGGAGAATACATGTCTTCCTTACCAGGAAGATCTAGCTGTAGCTAGCATGGCTCACTATTATCTTAGCTCATTAGTCTTTTTAACCTTTTGCCTTTGCCCTTGACTTTGAGTCATGATGTTGAGTAGAAAGTGAAAAACTTGCCGAGGGGTTCATTTGATTCCGTTGTTGTGGATATTTCATTCTGTCCACTTTTCCTGGGCAGAATGAATAAGCCTGAGTTGCTTTTAATCCCTGTTGCTGTTCTTTGATATTGAAAAACATTCTACTCACAGTCGATCTGCAATCAAAATCCCCAAGCCACTGAGAAGAGATCTAACCAGATTTCTGGTGGCAATTTAACTCCAAGTTGATGCAATCAGTACTCTGCACAGGCAAGTGTGATGCCATTAAAGGCTTTTCCCCCTTTGTAGGTTCACAAACTTAGCTTTTGCAAGCAGTAGAGAGGCATGCAATGTAGAAGCCAATGAGATTATAGCCTCTGAATCAGATTTCATACTTATTAATGCAATCATAGCCTTTTGCTCCAGGACTTTTACAAAACCAACTTGACTTCTTCAAACCAATTTGATGCTGAAATGGTCAAAAAGAAAAGTAACATTAAATGCAGGGTGCACTCTCTGCTGTTTTTGCTTACCTTTTTTTCTTCCCCCATTCTCCATTTTAAAATACGCTCTTTCACAGAATACCACTCTAAAGTTACGTGGGCATTTGCTTTCCCCCAAAATTCATATATTGAAGCCCTAGCCCCCAGTGTGGCTGTATTTGAAGATGGAGTCTCTAAGAAAGTAATTAAGGTTAAATAAGGTCATAAGGTTGGGACACTGATCTAATAGGATTAGTATCTTTATAAGAAGACACGTCAGAGTGCTCTCTCTCTCTCTGTCTCTCTCTCTCTCCCTACGCCCTGCCCCACCTATACATGCATAGAAGGGAGATCATGTGAGGACACAGTGGGAAGGCAGCCATCAGCCATCCAGGAAGAGAGCCCTCACCACAAACCAACCATGCTGGTACCCCCTGGTCTGACTTGCAGGCTCCAGAACTGTGAAAAATAAGTTGTTTAAGCCACCTATTCTGTCATATTTTACAGAAGCCCAAGTTGACTAACACACTGTTAATCCAGGAAATTCTAAATATTTTAAGAAATTTGGTAGAAGTATTAGATGAATTATTCAAAAGTCCTTGGAAATGGGATTAAATGATAAAATAATACTAACGAGAAAAAGTTTGATCCTCTAGAAATGATTAAGTAAAAGATATTTTTTAAGTCTTAAATGAGAACCAGCAGCTTCTGGTCATGTAGTTTCCTTCTTAATAAAAGACTAAATGCTATTCCCCCTCCCCACACACTCCCATGTGCACACTCATATATCTTTTTTGAATAGGTGCCATCTAAGTCTGTTTAAAGGTAGAAATGTTTCTGTACAATTGAGACCTAACTAACAATATATTCTAAGTGTTTGAGTGTTGGATCTGGACTACTCTGTTTTACTGAGTTAATGAATTTACTTTTCTTATGGAAGAAAGCAAGAAAATGAGGGAAGAAAAATCTGGGTTTACTTAAGTAGTTGAAGATAGCACAATAGATTTTCAAAATGACCAGTCAAAAACCATGTATTCTAAAGGGCCCAGGATGGCTGGCTTCCTTTCTTTTCTTTTCTTTGTTTCTTGTTTTAGATATAAAGTAAATTTGTTAAAAGGCAAAGTTGGCCTTTCTCCAACAACAATAATAATATACGCTTTGCTTACTGCTACACCTCTTCCAATAACATGGTGCCTAGCACAGAGTGGGTACGCAGTAAATATAAGTGAAATATTTATAAGCGATATATAGATGAAAAAATATTATCAAGGAAAAATCCAGCTGGATTACAAATACATTTAACAGGAAAAATTAAAAAGTGACTTCTGCTTTTATTATTGATCTACAATAAAACTTGCAGTACAAGAGATTGATATAATATTAAATATTTCAACCATAATCTATATCAAGGTATTTTTTTTTCTCAAAATGATGGTGACTCACAAAAGAAGAAAGTAAAGAAACAGATTATATCTAGGCACTTCTATGTATTTAAATATTCAAAGAACAAAGGGCATTTAATTTTATCCAGATTTAGAATGACATGTTCATTATCTCAAAACTCCTTTATATAACAGCAATTCTGCATTCAATTATCACAATGTATGTACTAAAGTTATTACCATACTTATTCTTTCCCTCTGAAATACAAAATTTTACTATCTAGTAATTGATACCTTGACAAGATGTAAATTTTGCTGAAACAAAACTATATGTTCAAAGTCATAAGAAACCATGTAAGGTTGAGAAATATTAAGAGACTGATTGCTCATTATAAATGATTTATATTAATAGAAAGCATAACTTTTCCCATCACCTGACTTTATACCACTTTTGAATAACTGGTCATAATAATTTCATGCCAGATTTAAAAAATTAATTATTAATTTAATATGACAGCATTCTTTGGATGTGAGGACTCTGAAATTGTCTAACTTATTGTCTTGGTTTGTTTAGGCTGCTATAATAAAATATTTTTTTGAATAAGTAATTTATAAACAACAGAATTTATTGCTCATAGCTCTGGAGGCTGGGAAGTCTAAGATCAAGTGCTGGGAGATTCTGTGTCTGGTAAGGACCTGTTGCTCATAGATGACACCGTCTTGCTGTGTCTTCCCATGGTGGAGTGGCTGAATAAACTCCCCCAGTCCTCTTTTAATAAGGGCACTAATCCCATTTATGGGAATGGAGCCCTCATGACTTAGTCACTTCCCAAAGCCCTTACCTCTTAATACCATCATTTTGAGAATTAAAGTTTGAAAATATGAATTTTGGAGGGACACAAACATCCAGATCATAGCACTTGCTAAGGTTTCATAATGAGTCTGCATTTGAATCTTTGTCTGTTTGACTCAACTGTCTTTCCTTGCAGTCAAGTGTGAGTTACCTGTTCCTCCTCTATTATCCACTCTAACGGCTTCTGTGTCTCTCTTCAGGGAACCTCAGAGTGGCTTCGTCACTGATTGCACATTTACCTTTTTGTAGTATCTGTCTGTTTGACTTCATAATGACTAAAAGCAACTTGAGACTTCTATATGGTTGGAACCTAGCACAGTGCATAATATTCAATAAATGGACCGGGTGCAGTGGCTCACACATGTAATCCCAGCACTTTGGTATAAGCCTCCAAAGTGAGGTGGGCAGATCACTTGAGCTCAGGAGTTTGAGACTAGCCTGGGTAACATGGTGAAATCCGATCTGTACTAAATATACAAAAATTAGCCTGGCATGATGGTGGACATCTGTGGTCCCGGCTACTTGAGAGGCTGAGGCAGGAGGATTGGTTGAGCCCGGGAGGCAGAAGTTGCAGGGAGCTGAGATCGCACTCCATCTTGGGTGACAGAGAGAGACTCCGTCTCAAAAATAAATAAATATTCAATAAATACACTGTAATTTACTGAATGAATGAATGAATGCTGTTAGTAAGGGCCATCTCTGCATTTTGCAGATAAACATGCTCATTCTCACCTTATCAATATTCCCCCAAACTCAAGAACTCTTCTCCATGAAGAGCTATCAAAGGAGAGTCATTATCAAAAATGGACCAGCCCTGATTCTTCTTCTTCTCCTAGAAATGTAATTTAGCCTTTGCCCTACTGAGAGTGGGCCATGCAGGTTAGCAAGTAGAGTCACGGGAAACACTTCCCTGTGTTTTTCTCAAGAAACAGGTATCCTTTCTGTGCAGGATTTTTTTTATAAAGGCATCGTGCAAGAATCACAAATTAACATCCCTATTTCCAAGCTATGGGCATATGCATTCCATGTGATGTATGTCTCTGAGCAAAGTTATCTTCAAGAATAAGTATTACCTCAAGTGAACACAAGAGCTCATGATCAAAAATGATGGCAAGAAACCTGGAGAAGCTCAAAGTAATAAACAGAGTTCACAATCCAAAAGCAAGCACACCTTCTAAGGTGTTCAAAATCAACTTCTTAGTATTCTGTACGAAAGAAACATGTTATTTTCATAGAGGAGAGTTGGAAAGATTTCTTAAAATCCTGGGTCTCACTCAGCCTGAGACCATGAAATCAATGTGGTTTTGTGCAAAGTGAACATTACATTAGTGTTTGTTGATGGAATAATTGAAATTTTAAAGTCAAATCAATAGACACTTATTTAAGGAATATCAAGTACTCTGCAGGGTGTAGAGATGATTAAAATCACAAATAATTTATAGTTCACCTTAGTCAAGAAGGTATAATCATCATGATAATGTAAATAAATCGATCAAGGTATAATGAAACAACAACAAGAGTGCCACAAGACATTACAAAATAATCTGCCAAGCGGGTCAGGCAGCAACTGATTATAGAATACATGAGGCATTCATACAACTCTGATAGCTTCATGCCCATACTTCTGGCAGATGTCACTAATTAGTCACAGGGCTTTATCCTTCTGGGCCCAGGCGCATCCTCAAAATCTTTCTCAATTTTGTGAGTTTGGCAGCCAATTAGCTACAGCTGGCTGGCAAGATAAAGTCTATTTGTCATCCCTGCCTTATGCTATTCCTCACATGCCATGGTTTGGGTCGTGTAATCCTATTATGTGCCACCCTCTTCGATTTCTGGGAAATGATCTGAATTGACTCATCTTTTTCAACCTCCGTCTTCAGGGTCATCCTTTATTGCAGAGACTGGAAAGTGAAACACTACTTTCAATCCCTTTGCAGGTAGTATTCTGGATTTCAGCTCCACTTGAATTTGGCATGGAGGGGAGAGAGGCAGGCCCAGGGTAGAGGAAGCATAGTTCTGTGATTGTAACTCCTGGGGATGGAGGGTTCTCGTATTGCAGTGGCAGCTTCCTTGAGCATGGCAGAGGTCTGGTGGCTGGGGGTTGTTACTAGAAGCCTCACCTGCAGCCTATTCATTCAGCCCTTCTGACTAGCTTCTATGCCACTTAAACTGTGGTAATACAACCCTTTCTTAAACACGGCAAAATGTGTCTACTGTCTGTAACTAAGTCCTAATAAATGTAGCGCTTTTCCCTCAAACAGCTATTAATATGAAGTCTTCCCAGAACAGAGTACAGTGGGTCTCTACTTTCCTCTTATCTAGAAACTAGGTATCTGTGAACAGACACTGATACCCTGTTAAGTATTGGAAGCCTCCAATCATCAATTCTGCAACTAACAGTCTGCCCTTGTGTGGTTCCCTCATGCCCTCTGAGTCTCAGGTTCTTCATCTGTCAAATGAAGGGATTGGTTCTGATTGATGGTGGGGCCACTTCTATCTTGAGCACTCTTTCAACTTGATAAAATGATTTTCCAGCAAGTCCCATTCAATCCAAAATACTGAAAAATCTACTTATCTTCTAAGAAACTTTCTTGAATAGAGTGAAAAAAAAAATTGAGTAGACATAGTTGATTACCTGAGAGAGGTAAGTTGAAGCTATTTCTGAGATACAAACCTTACAGTTTAAAAAAACTTTAGGTATTCCAATTTCATTTCATAGATCTGGAAACTGGACAAATTATATGCCTAAATTCACACATCTATGGGATGGCATTCAGTTCTTTTAGTTCCATATTAAGTAATATCCTCCTTTTATTATTTTAATTTTACTTCAGAGCAAATGGGAAGGTTATAGTGCTTATTATTGGAATGGAATAAAGAAGGTAAATGGCAATTTACATTATTTCTCAGCAATGCTCATTAGTTATGTGACCAGCCCTTGTGCCAAGCCTTCTTGTGTATTCTTGACACTTACTGACCTTCTAACGCCTATCACTTCACACCTATGTGTGATTTTCTAAATTTGATTAGACCTTTTTTGACAGGGATCTATCTTTCACTCTTAGGAATCCTCTATGTGCCTTACATTATATGGGCATTCAATAAATGTTTACCAGTATTCAATTGAATTACCCTTAGGAGAAAATAAACTTTCACCTCTGTAAGAAATCAGATGTATAAAAATGCATAATGTTTTTTAAACGTTTTCTCTTGGGAGGCTGAGGTGGGTGGATCACGAGGTCAGGAGATTGAGACAATCCTGGCTAACACACTGAAACCCCATCTCTACTAAAAATACAAAAAAATTAGCCGGGCGTGGTGGCGGGTGCCCGTGGTCCCAGCTACTTGGGAGGCTGAGGCAGGAGAATGGCATAAACCCGGGAGGTGGAGCTTGCAGTGAGCCGAGATTGTGCCACTGAACTCCAGCCTGGGCGACAGTGCAAGACTTCCTTCCAAAAAAAAAAAGTTTTCTCTTACTTTATTATTATTGCATAGTTATGGCTTTATTCATTTCTTGCCACTTTATTTAAGGTGATGTTCAAAAATGTACTCACTGCAGAAGAATAAAACAATAGATTAAAAATGAGAGAGGAATCTAAGCAAGAAAATAAAAGCAAGTTAAAGAAATGTATTCTAAATCTTTTTATGATTAATAAATATGGTTTTTAAATTTGACTTTAAGCATCCTAACAGCCAAGGCAAGAAGTAAAACAACCTCTTACAAAAAACCAATGGCCGCTATTTACAAATTTATGAGATGCTGGACAGGATAGCTTTTAATAGAACTGAATAGAATAATATGGTGAAAAGAACATGTATCAGAAGTTAGAATAACACAAATAACTGCTAGCATTTGCATAGCATCTATTATATCAAAACATTTTTATATAAAGTTCACTTAGCCTCACAATTCTGATGTATATAGTTTGATTAGTAGTGTTACAATTTTTAAAGAAAGAAAGAACATTAAAGAGAAGGAAGACAAGGAAAAAGAAAGAATAGAAAAAGAAAAAGTGGAAGAAAAGAAAGTAAAAAGAAAAGAATAAAGGGAGAAAAGAAAAACAGACTTACTGGGGCTAAATAACTCACTCAGCAAAACAGATGCATTAAGTAAAAGACCAAGAACGGGTACCTCGGTTTTCTTTCTTCAGATTCCACATTCTTCCTTCAGATTCCACAGTGACCCTCTTGAGAGTGAGGGTTCTATCTAGTTCTTGTCACTGACACCACTGTTGATTTATAATCATATTAATATAGCTTATTGAATTGTTACAATTAGCAATGTGTGCTTGAATCAGACACACTATACTCATTATCTCTGGTCTTAACTTCATAATGTATGATCCCATTTTATAGTTCTGGAAACTAAGGTTCAGAGAGGTTGAGTAAAGGGTCCAAGACATACAGCTTGTTAAGTAGCTGATCAGGAATTTAAGCCTAAGATCTTATATCTAGTATATGGCAGAGAGATATTATTTCATTCCAGGTTTGCTTGGCTTCAAAGCCTATGTCCTGCTGCTAATCTGTAGCCTTCTCACCAACCAACCATATGACTTGGAACGAGCTGTTTACGCTCATTCATTTCAGTGCCCATGACCTTCAGATATGGGATAACGAGCTGTGCTTTATCTGCCATGAATGCGGTCAAATAAGGAGAGGCATATGGAAGCCATTTTGGATACTATTATAGTTATTTTAAGTACACTAATCACACTGTATATTAAGAACATTAATACTTGTAATTTAATCACCAAACTGATAAAATATAGAATTATCTAAAAATAATGGTATAATTTGCATATGTTATAGGAGATATCTTTGGCTCTTCTCATGGTATTCTCTGCTTTCTGGCCTCACATCCCTTCAGAGGTGCAGGCTTGATACAGCAAAAGACAGAAGGCAGGTGTTTGGCCTGGAGCCCTCTTAAGAGATACTTGTGAAATGAGTCTTAACTCCATCTTCTGAGAAAATGATTCAAATCATCGAGCCAGGCAAGGATTACATTTGTAAATTTTGTTAACCTTGATATGAATTGCTACTACCTGGGTCTCTTGTTTCCTTAGTAACCTTCCTCAATAAGCATTCATAGGAAAGTTTCTTATAGGAAGTGTTATAGAAAGGACTCCTGTGAAATTCACCAGACTGAGGAGATTGACTTTTATGGCTCAGAGGATGCAGTAGGCAAAGTTCCTAATGGCCAGTGAAGTTCCTCTTTCAGAGAACACAAATCCAAAGTGAATTCTGCAAAATCTACCACTGTACTTATTCCTTCATTGAGAAAATGGGGTGCTTTATGGATAAATGCATGGAAAAGTCAGACTTCGACCAAAGTCAAAGGGCAATAGAAACCCTTTGCATTCTTTCTAATGACTTCAACCTGTGGAGTTTGGAAAGTTACAGATTCCTCTGGAGGGTAACATATGTACAGGCTTTTTTCCCTATTTCTTTATAATAAAAATTGATGAAGAGGAATACGTAAAGTGTGGTTTCCCTTTAGGCAGAGTTCAGTGGAAGTAGCATTATACATAGAAGAACTTTCAGCTAAACTTAGAGAGAAACAGAGACTTTTAGGCCAATCATTTTCCTAAATGTCACTGATTTTGTGGGAGTAAGTAATAGCATCTTTCCTAGGCGTTTGTTACAGAACCACGTAAAGAGCTCTACTATTTGGGAGATATGCAAACCTCTAAAATAATCTAAGCTAATTAGAAAATATCTGTAGCTGACAAGAAGCTTTGTATCTCTGACATCAAACAGTGCCTGGAAGAGGTGTGTTGGTTTTCACCAGCATGAATACCAGCAGTGGCAGACACCTTCTTACCAAGAGAGTAAACTGATGGACATACACAGCCTATGAAAAAATTGACATTGCTGAGACAGCGCTGGGGATTAACCTTTACAGCTGTGAGATGTCAAGCAAAATTGAAATCCAACCATTGTGGAGCATGTTGAAATCAGTGGGTGTATACAAATCTCTAAATTATTACTTTGGCCAGATGGAAAAGGTTCCATTTACTGCCTGCTGGAGGAGGTTTAGTCGGTAACACTGAAGAGGGAAGGAAGATTGAAAATGAGGTATTTTTCATGTGCACTAAGGCTGCTATCCAAGAGTAGCATAAGAGAGGATAGTCACAGGCCAAATGGGTGACATGGTTCACCTCTTGGCCCCCTACTACAGGTAGCCAAAATAAATGACTGTACTTTGAAATAATTGCCTTTAGCAGCACGTGTTTACTGTCTTCTGTTATTACAATTGCTACCCTATAATGTACTTAGACAGCATTTAACTTGCTATGGTTTCAGACAGTGACACAGGTTTAAGGCTTGGCTCCAAAATGCTGAAATTGTACACAAGTTTAAGGCTTGGCCCCAAAATGCTAAAATTGTATCTGCAAGAAAGGGTATGGATGAGAATTGTTGAAAGCTAGTATATGCTAATTCACAGAGGAGACTGATTATTAAAATTCTCTCTCCTTCTATCCTAGGTATTTTTCTTCTTTTTCTACTTGGAAAACTGTTAATCATCCCTAAAATCTCATGACACACTCACTCTCTCTCTGATGCATTCCCCAGCTCCAGTAAACAGTTAGTTGCTCTATCTTTTGTTTTAATTACACCACTATCATCGCATTTTATGAGGTTTCTGTTTGTGTATCTCTCTTCCCACCTTGAACCCTTCAACACAGAAACCTTATCTTTAACGGAGTTCAATGTGGTTGTTAATAATGAGCTCTGCAAGGAGACCATGTATGCTCAAACCCTGATTTCACAGCTGTGTAACCTTGGGTGCAATCCTTAACATAATCTGTAAGATGAGGAAAATGGGAATATCCACTTCTTTGAATTATTGTAAGGATTAAACAAGATAATAAAATACAAAGTGCTTTGAAAAGCACCAAGCACCAGGCTCAGTTAAGTGTTTGCCATTATTTCATTTTTAATATCACCATTGTCTGGCTTAATATCAGGCATAGAGTAGACAGACTGTGCATAAAAAAATAAGAAAAGTTCCATAACAAATAAATACGTCAACAGTGTTTATTTTTTGCATATTTCTTCCTTAGTTCTTCAGATAGTTAGGATGAAATGAGGAGCACATATGATAAAAGCATGTGTTCCAGGACTGAGTTTGAATGCCCCCTTGTCCCAAATTGGAGTGTCTTCAATAAGCCTCCCCTTATTTTCTTAAAGTATTTTATAGGGAGTCAAAAGTATTTGTAAGCATGCTTATGCCCTCCAGAGTTTTTAAAAAAGAATTCAAGCAAGAAGAGGTGGATATGGTTGGCCAGGTTTCTATTAAATGACTTTCTTCAGAAGCATTTTGACAAAATTAGGCACAGCCAGGAAAGCAGCAAAAAATCTGTCGTTTCTCATTTGCTGAAAACGCCATTAGCTGCCTCTTCTCGCCTTCTGCTCACGGACACTTGGCTCTTGTTCCTGCTCTGCCCCCTGTGCCCAGTCTGGCAGATAATGCACCAGAAAATATTTCACCTCATGCACAGGGAGTGGGAACTCACACAAGGAAGTTTGCAAGGAATGGAAATCTGTGCAAGGCAATCCCCTCGTCCTGAGAAGGACCCCATTTAGCAGGGGCGAATATCCATTAAACTCTGATGAAAACATACTCATGCATTCAATAAATATGCAGCACCTACAAAGTGCTGGTGTTTTAGGTGCTAGGAATCCATTAGTGAACCAGAAATGAAAACAACAACTAAATGGATGTTAAACAAAATCAGTCTATTAGAAGGTAATGAGGTACTATTAAGAAAAAAGAAAGGGAGTCAGAGGGTCCTGTAAGAAGGGGCAAGAGGTGTGCAGTTTTAAATGGAAAGATTAAGGAAGTCTCTAATAAGACATTGGAGACTGATCATGAGTAGGAGGCACTTATATCAGAGTTTTTGCAGTTTCGAAAATGCATTTTGCACTTTGGTGTAATTTACTTCACAAACAAGGGATGCTCTTAAATATTTGCTTATTTAATAACTTTCTGAATACTGAGGGATATTTTCCTATTGCTTTTCCACTTCATAATTAAATATGAATTTCTTGGACAAAAACAAAAGGCCTAAGGAAAAGGAAAATAGAACTTAAGAGCTCAGTAAAAAATGTTTATTTTTTCTATCTTTTCAAAAATAATATGCAAGGCAAATCACAAAATGTGAAAGAACAAATTACTTTTATTTTTGGATTACTTAACAAACAAAAGGAAAAAAAATCTCTGGTAGGTAGCTCAAATAAAGAAAACATCCTGAATTAAAAAGCTATCTAACTTTATCCAGCCACCATCCTAATGTTCTATCACAGATCATGCCTCTGTGCAAAAAGGCCTGATTTCTGAGAGTTTAAAAGAATCTTATGGTTTTGAGAAATGAATACACTGATCTCTTGCGAAGAATGAAAAAGCCCCAAAACTCAGCAAAGGCAACAATTCAAACTACCACAGGAAATGAAAAAGAGTGTGCATTTGGAACATACACAGAGTTTTAAAAAAAACAAAAGGAAATTGATATAGATAACTCAATTTCCATTAGTGTTTCATAAATTTAAATTGCCTTGTGATCAACTGAGTGCTTGTATAAACTACAAAGCGCTGGTGTGGTCCCAAGATGAGAATGTAAAAGTATAACCAGAAAAATTAACATAGGAATCAATTACCCTGAAAATTCTGATCTCAGAGGTCCCTGGACAGAAAACAGTGCTCCCTGGAATGACATGAAAAGAAATAGACAAAATATCCATATCCACTTCTATATAAAGAGATACTAATGCACTGTATACACAACTTGGGAATATCTGCACATACTTTGATTAGAAGTGAGTTTATAATGAACAATGCTCATGTGCATTAACTCATAATACTAACACTTTTTACTGGAGATTATCAAGAGGTCAGTGATAGCCAAAGACACCTTTTCTCCCACCCCTTCAGTTTCCATGACTACGTATCTTTCCTAAACCACCCTGGCATCACTTGACTCACTTTCTTCCTCCTTGGGGAGGAATGACTTTTCTGATGGGTAAATTTAGGAAGGATAAATTTCCTGCTGTGCTCAATTTCTTTCCTGCTTTGCTCAATTTCTCCTCTTTGTCCTTCTGGGAGCAAATTGCCAAAGAAGCAGAATTCTCCACTGCTTCCAAGCCTAAGTGTCCCCTGGGCAGGACCACTCTCCCCTACACCGTGAACTGGGGATCCATCCCCATCAGCATCACTCCTGACACCTAATTGCACACAGCGAATTTTGTGACTGTCAGCATCACTCCCGACTGGGAGGCTGAGTCTGCCTAATTGTGGACCTAACCTGCAGGTTCTTGTGCTTCTTGCACTAACCAAAGCCTCCCACCTGGCTTCCATCATTAACAGAGACCTTTTCTTCTCGTTGCCCATGTTTCTGTTTTAGTCCTTATTTGTACAGAACTGAGTAGGGGTAAAGGTGATGTTATTTACTGGCTCTCTCTGAGGGACCCTGATAGTCAGAACAAGAGATGTTGTCAGGTATACATACAGACATCACAGTACTAACATTGGGCATGGATGGAAGCATTAAAACCAACAAGCCAGGTTTGTCTATCCCATTTACTTCAAAAACACACCTTAAATTTTTACTTATTTTATCATTTTGTTCATTTGAAAGTAAATTAAAAAACATAAAAATGCACACCATCAAATGACATGTTGCAGTGCTGAAAAATATGTGAAGAAAAATGTATAGATGAGCGATAACAGGATTTATAACTCAGTGACAATCTCAGCTTTACGACATTTAAATTGTGAAATCTCTAAAAGCCCTAAAGTGTTGTTCAACTCATGTCTTATCCATTTCAGTTTGGCTTACCATAAAGTATAAACATCTAGTTAGAATATTTTGACAGAAGAATATTGGTGAGTCATTCAATTTCTCTAACCGTCACTTTGTCTGTAAAATGGGGATAAAAAATTTTTTCTCTTAAGTTGCACAAAATTGAAATGGGAGCATGATTTCCGAATAGGCCAGACATGGTGGCTCACATCTGTAATCCCAGCACTTTGGGAGGCGAGGCAGGCAGATCACTTGAGGTGAGGGGTTCGAGACCAGCCTGGCCAATATGATGAAACCCTGTCTTTACTAAAAATACAAAAAAAAAAATGAGCTGGGCATGGTGACACACGCCTGTAGTCCCAGCTGCTGGGGAGGGTGAGGCATGAGAATTCCTTGAACCCGGGAATCAGAGGTTGCAGTGAGCCGAAATTGCACCACTGCACTCCAGCCTGGGCGACAGAGCGAGACTCCGTCTCAAAAAACAAAAAAAAAAACAACAAAAAAAGAAAGTATAAATAATAAAATAACACACTATTACAAATGATCATCCCTTTTGTGAACTATTATTATTCCTATTATATGAACACTTTTTTTTTAAAACTCAGGGAGTCATGTAACTCTGCTATATGTATTTCTTCAAGTTAAATAACAATGATTTATTAATGAACTCCTACATGCTCTTAGGAAAGGTGCTATGTGTACTATGGATTAAAAAAAAAGTAGTGCATGTTTCTCACATTCAAGAAGCTTTTATTTAAGAGAAGAAATGCAATAAACACAGTAGAAACTAAGTAAAAAGAAATTAGGAGAGTGGATTTTGTGCAGTGAAAGAGGAGGTTAAAAAATAAGAGGGCACTAGACATGATTTTAAGGATAACTGAGCTCAGATGGATGCAGGAGAGCAGGCTGGTGATTTCAGGGGAGGCGAATAAGTGGGAAATATTAGACGAGAATGAGCATGGTGAGAGCGCTGGAGTAGAGGGGCAAGTTGATTCTCTACTCTCTGTTTAACAGCTCTTTGAGCTTTGTTATATTTCATCAAGGTAAAATATATATATAAAAAAAAAGATGGGTGCCAACCTCTCCACATGGTGTTTGGTTAGATGTGGCAAAAGTGTGGTTTTTAAAATCTATGTAAAGAACTCCATGAATTTCCAACTTATTATACTCTAAGTATAAAAATTGCTGAATATCAATGATTATACACTACAAAAGAATTGCCATTTATGGGCTTTATTAATGTTCTAGAACCTATAAGTATTTTACATACTTATTTATACATGTGAGGTCCTCAGCCCTTAAGACAACCTTGTGAAAATTGGTTGCTGTTTTACATAGAGAAGCTTGAGTTTCAGGAAAATGGAATCACTCATGAGAGAACACAGAATGTGTAAATGGTGGAACAAGAATTCAAACCCACATCTGACTTAGAGGCTTACCCACGATGCAGTCAACACCTGACCATAGTATCCAATGACAGGGGTGGAAATTAGATTTTGACATGAAGTTAAAAACACAGTTAAAGTATGTGGTTCAAATATTTAATCATTCTGGGAGCATCATTCTTTATGGGTGCAATCCACATTCTCTTTAGAGAAGAAGGATATTACTGTGGCAACATTCAAAGAAAGTGCACTTCAGCCTGAAGCTCAGCAAGATCGTCTTTTTTGGGGGGGAGGTGGTAATTAACTGAGTGCCCTGGCCTTCATCCACTTTTCTGATGATTTCCCCAGCTACTCAGGGTTAAGCTTCTGTCACAAAAATTATTCTGAGCCATTTGTTTAGCCTGTTTGATGTTCACTACATTTATTTTCCTTAGGCAGCAGCATTGTGAATGTTGACTATATTTAACATGCTTAGCTGTACCAGGGAAATAATCATCTTTGGCTTATTTAAAATATCCAATTTTCTTAGCCTTTGAAGAAAATCTAGAGCTAATATGGAGTAATTGGTGATGAGATAGGACAGATCCAAGTGCAATTTCAAGGCTCCTAATTTTCACCTACAGAGTAAGATTTCTTTATTATGTTAGAAAATGTTTTGGAGAGATTTTTTCAATTAGGAGGCACATTAAACAAATACTGGCTAGTAGTGTACGGGTTCAGGAAGAGGGGTAAATCTCTTAGTTGCTTACTTTCTTTCAAGAAAAACTTTAAATGATTCTATTTAACCAAAGAGAAGATGGAGAGAAGGCAACATAAGAATGTAATTAAGTTTAACTTTTAACCTTCTGTTTGGGATTTGCCTCTATTCTTTCCCACCATAGTTAAGTGTGAAGATAGTCCTCATCCATATTTAGAAGAAGCCTCAAAAAGAAGCAAAGGAAGGAAAGAATAAATAGAAGTATTCACTGTCTATCCTATATTCCTGCCAATATCTGGGAGTGGCCTCAAAATAATACCCTTGCTATCTCAGAGCCTATATTGCTTTTGATACACTAGCAGTACTTCTGTGGTTTTCACGGAACACATAAGCCAAGTCCATGACTGAAGACCATGGCACCATAAGGAAATCTCACCACTGACACCATTTATAATGAAACAAATGGGTTTTCTAAGAGGAGGTAACTCATGGTATAACTGTCGTGGTACAAGGTCTCAGGCCAGGCCTTCCCACTTAAAAAATTTCCCTCCATTTCCAATCTTAGCAATTTTACAAAGAAACTGGTCAACTTTCCTTAAATAATTATTCCAGGACTTAACTTGTGCCCTAAAGAATAGACATATTCTGGTCTCTCTGGAGTGTGGAGAATGAGAAGATTTGTTTTCATGGAAAAATGTATCTACTCATTTTAGACAGCCATTGGCAAGAATAGTTCCTATTATTGTAAAATGTGTGTATTTGAAATATATTAGCTAGGCAGGTCAACTCTGAACTTTACAAAGATTTTGCAACTATAGAATTTCTTTGCTGATTTTGTGTTTTTCCTTAAATATAGCCATAAATGCTGAGCTATATGTTAGTTTTATTGTTGATGCATTGTAGAAGAGAGATACAATAATACTGAGGCTAACTTACTATTTTGAGCTTTAAACTTTTAGTCTAAAATCTCATCTGTGCAAATTCTTAATGAGGTACATTTTCAAAGAGAGCTTTAGCTATATAACCTCTGTTGTCATGAAGAAATGCATTTGGCTAATTTCCTCTGTGTCTCCTTGAAACTTTACAATAACAGGAAAAAGTTAACTCTGACTTTTCACTCAAGTAATGTTTAGAAGTTTCTGCTAATTCCAACCTCAATGCACCAGAGATATTTAGGGATTGCTGAATATTGGGAAGATAGATGTAGGATTTGGATGTTTGTTCAGGTGCCTCAGTCTTCTAATTATTTTGTCATTATGCATTTTCCCCTGTAATTTGTTTAAATTTGGAATCACATCACCAATTACTTCATTGCTGTCTGGTCTTCAATATTCTCTTGTTTATTCATTAGAGAATTTCTGTGACAGGCCATTAATAACTATGCATTTGCTGACGTATAAAGTCACATATCCTTAATTATGTTCAAATATCTGTCTGGGGAAAGTACTTGATTCTAAATGTACTATCCTGATCTTACTAATCCAGGTACCTTAGTGTATGTCTTCACTTACCATAGAGATTTAGAAAATAAAAAAAGAACACTTAGTACTAAAAGTAAGACTAGCATAGAAAAAACTTGAGCTCTAACTTCAGAAGACTGTGGTTGATTCCAATTCTACTGATTGCTAGTTCATAATGTAGTCAAGTTACTTAGCAAATTTGAAGAAATTTCCTTATCTATAAAAATGGAAAATACCTATGGACTATCTCATGTGTAACAGAACTAAGCTTATTATAACTTACAAAAGATAAATATTCAAAATCAGCATAAAGAAAATTATGTTTTTGGCAACTCTATTCACAATGTTTGGGATTCTTCCTACCTATAGTTATGTATGAAGAAGTCACACTAAAGTAACCATTAGAAAATCTGGGTTACAATACTAGGCACTTTTAATGAGTGCTTACCATTTAATGAGTACTAGGTATGTGGCTTGTCTCAAAATTATTCTGTGTCTCAGAAGCACTCTGTGAAGTTGGTATTATGATGATTTTCATCTTATGGGCAGGAGAACTGAGGTTCAGACAGGTTTGGTGATTTGCACAGGACCACAGCCAGCAGCATTTCTGGAAAAATTTGACCTGTGTATCTTCAAAGCTCAGTGTGTCCTAACCTTAGTACCATTCTGCTTCTACAACTAAGTTCTAGTATTAAGTCATAAAAGGACCCTGGGCAACTCATTACTTTATCATGACCTATATCTTAGGGAAGTTTGAATGAGCTTTCATGTCTTCTTGCTCAAAGTATGCATGATTATTGGTCTTAAACTTCGTCACATGAACACAATACCCCACACATTTACTTGAGATGAACATGGGCCTGCCTCTTATGAAAGATATTACTCTCTCGACACAAGAAATGGAAGAACATTCCATGCTCATGGATAGGAAGAATCAATATCGTGAAAATGGCCATACTGCCCAAGGTAATTTGTAGATTCAATGCAATCCCCATCAAGCTACCAATGACTTTCTTCACAGAATTGGAAAAAACTACTTTAAAGTTCATATGGAACCAAAAAAGAGCCTGCACAGCCAAGACGATCCTAAGCAAAAACAGCAAAGCTGGAGGCATCATGCTACCTGACTTCAAACTATACTACAAGGCTACAGTAACCAAAACAGCATGGTACTTGTACCAAAACACATATATAGACCAATGAAACAGAGCAGAGGCCTCAGAAATAACACCGTATGTCTACAACCATCTGATCTTTGACAAACCTGACAGAAACAAGCAATGGGGAAGGGATTCCCTATTTCACAAATGGTGCTGGTAAAACTGGCTAGCCATATGTAGAAAGCTGAAACTGGATCCCTTCCTTACACCTTATACAAAAATTAACTCAAGATGGATTAAAGACTTAAATGTAAGACCTAAAACCGTAAAAAACCTAGAAGAAAACCTAGGCAATACCATTCAGGACATAGGCATGGGCAAAGACTTCATGACTAACACACCAAAAGCAATGGCAACAAAAGCCACAATAGACAAATGGGATCTAATTAAACTAAAGAGTTTCTGTACAGCAAAAGAAACTATCATCAGAGTGAACAGGCAACCTACAGAACGGGAGAAAATTTTTGCAATCTACCCATCTGACAAAGGGCTAATATCCAGAATCTAGAAAGAACTTAAAAAAATTTACAAGAAAAAAACAACCCCATCAAAAAGTGGTCAAAGGATATGAACAAACACTTCTCAAAAGAAGACATTTATGCAGCCAAAAGACACATGAAAAAATGCTCATCATCACTGGCCATCAGAGAAATGCAAATCAAAACCACAATGAGATACCATCTCACACCAGTTAGAATGGTGATCATTAAAAAGTCAGGAAACAACAGATGCTGGAGAGGATGTGGAGAAATAGGAATGCTTTTACACTGTTGGTGGGAGTGTAAATTAGCTCAACCATTGTGGAAGACAATGTGGCGATTCCTCAAGGATCTAGAACCAGAAATACCATTTGACCCAACGATCCCATTACTAGGTATATACCCAAAGGATTATAAATCATGCTATTATAAAGACACATGCACACATATGTTTATTGCAGCACTATTCACAATAGCAAAGACTTGGAACCAACCCAAATGTCCATCAATGATAGACTGGATTAAGAAAATGTGGCACATATACACCATGGAATACTATGCAGCCATAAAAAAGGATGAGTTCATGTCCTTTGCAGGGACATGGATGAAGCTGGAAACCATCATTCTCAGCAAACTGTCACAAGGGCAGAAAACCAAACACTACATGTTCTCACTCATAGGTGGGAGTTGAACAATGAGAACACATGGACACAGGGTGGGGAACATCACACGCTGGGGCCTGTCAAGGGGTGGGGGGCTGGGGGAGGGATAGTATTAGGATAAATATCTAACGTAAATGACCAGTTAATGGGTGCAGCAAACCAGCATGGCACATGTATACCTACGTAACAAACCTGCACGTTGTACACATGTACCCTAGAACTTAAAGTATAATAAAAAATAAAAATAAAAGTAAATAGAGATATTACTCTCTCTACTGCCTCCCTGCTATTTAAATTCATCTAAGTAAACTACATCTACTACTAAGTCCCAGGAAATATTTATTTGAATATGCATAGCAATAATTTTATGCATGCCAATTTTCCTCCTAAATACAGACCCAGGAAATACTTCATCTGGTACAAAAGTATGTTATTTTTTCTTTCCATGAATAATCTAATGTCTGCTTAGTACCAGACTTGATGGTTAAAATGGATGTGATAATTGAGAAAACTGTTAGCCCTTTTCATAAAGGGAGTGCATCTGGATTGACAACAAGAAAGAAGAACAGGAAAACTAGTTTCAAGCTCCAGTGAGAATTTCATACTTACAGAAAATTAAAATTCCTAATATTGGTTTAAAAGCCATTAGCATTCCAGCCCTAAGACAAAGTTTCTTGGAATCACCAACACCCACTAACACTGAGCTTGCCAACATGTCATTAGGGCTCACCTTCCAAGTGAATCCTAATCAATAGCCTGTCCTGACACTGCAGTGACCCAAACCCCCGGTTACTCCTCACATTACAGTGGGACAGGTAAATTTGTGTGTCCCTTTTGACATGCAAATTTGCTGCGTGTGTGTTTGTGTGTGTGTGTGTGTGTGTGAAAAGACCTGAAACAGTTCATTCTCTTGTCCCATTAATTCCACTCTATGACTCCATCCTAAGAACATAATTCTAAATATATAAGGAACTTCACACACAGATAATTCATTACATAATTTTCCAAATACTAAAAAAAGAAATTACTTATTCTAAAATCAGGATTAGTAAACTATATTACACACATTTATAGACTATAATATAGGTATTAATTTATGAAAAATCTGTAATCTAATGTAAAAATACTTGTGCTCTAATACTGAATTTAAATCTATATAAAATTTTATAGTAATACAATATTATTAAGTTTAAGGGATCAGATATACATGGAGAAAAAAACTGAAAATAAACAAATGAAAATATTATCAGCAGTTTTTTTTTTTTTGAGACGGATTCTTGCTTTGTTCCCCAGGCTGGAGTGCAGTTGTGCCATCTCTGCTCACTGCAAGCTCTGCCTCCCGGGTTCACTCCATTCTCCTGCCTCAGCCTCCCAAGTAGCTGGGACTACAGGCGCCCGCCACCACGCCCGGCTAATTTTTTGTATTTTTAGTAAATACGGGGTTTCACCGTGTTAGCCAGGATGGTCTCGATCTCCTGACCTCGTGATCCACCCACCTCGGCCTCCCAAAGTGCTGGGATTACAGGTGTGAGCCACCGCGCCCGGCCAGCGGTTATTCTTAGAATGGTGGGACTGGGGGTATTTTCTTCATGTTTCTTTCTTTTCTATTTATACATTTTCCTCAATGATTGTTTATTACCTTTGTAGTAGAAAATCATATACTTCCCCAACACTCAGGTTTCATTTCCAATAATTTTCAGTGCTTTGATGTTTTCAAATTTAAATTTAGTTTGTAATTTATGAATGCGTGTATATATAAAGGCTTACAAATTGTGTTTGGTTATACCTCAACTCTATGGTTCTCAATGAGGGTTAGGGGAGTGATCTCACCTACCCTGCACCCACTGGACATTTGGCAGTGCCTCGAAACACTTTTGCTTGTCACAACTCCCAGAAAGGTGCTACTGGCATTTAATTGGTAGAGACCAGGGATGCTGTCAATCAACCTATAGTGCCGAAGACAGCACACAACTCAAAGAATTATCCAGCCCCAAGTGTTCATAGTGCCAAGGTTGAGAATCCCTGCCTAAAACAAAATGTTTAAAAATTATTAATATATTAATTCAAGCCTGTTGTGCAAATTCTGAGTAGCCTATTGTATTACCAGAGCCTCTGAATAAACTTGCCTGTCCATGATCTACCTAACAGTTCACTCACTCCCACAGGGCATTGAGGATGGAAAGATAAGTGCTCTACATATGCGGTGCTTGAAATTTAGCAAAAGAGAAAGACATAGACATCAAGTGTTTAATGCAGTTTGAAGTGCTATGAAACGGGCACTTGATCTAACTAGGTGGTTCAAAGGAGGCTTTCTGGAAAAAATACCTCCTAAGCTGAGCTTAAAGGATAAGAAGGAGTTAATCAGAATCATGTGAACACCTGAGAGATGTGTTCTAGAAGGAGGAGCATTCATACTTCAAAGAAAGGCATGAAGATGAAACAGTTTAGAGTGTTTGGAAAATGATGGGGAGTTTGCCAGCACTAGAGCATAAGATAGGCACAGAAGAAAGGGAGAAGGAGCCATAGAAGTTTCAGAGCCAGAGCCTCTTTTTTTCTGCCTGAGAAAGTCAAAGTATACTTCTCAGTATGGGGATGAGATTGAGATCAGACAAGTATGTTGATTTAAAAAGCATGTTGATTTAAAAGGACAAGTATATTGATTTAAAAGGACAATCTATTAAAGATGCAATTGAAGAACCCAGTAATACAGCCATACCTCAAAGATCATGTGGGTTCTGTTCCAGACCACTACAATAAGACAAATATCACAATCAAGCAAACCATACTTTTTTTTTTGTTTTCCTGTGAATATAAATGTTTACACAATACTGTAGTCTATTAAGTGTGCAATAGCATTATGTCTAAAAAACAATGTGCAAACTGTAATTTAAAAATACTTTACTGTTAAAAATTGATAACAATCATGTTTCTTCAGCAATCTTGCAAAAAGATTAGCAAGTATAATATTTTTGCTGGTAGAACTGGCCTTAATGTTGTTGGCTGCTGCTGATCAAGGTGATAGTTGCTGAAGGTTGGAGTAATTGTGGCAGTTTCTTAAAATAAGACAATGAAATTTGCCTCATTGATTGAACTCTTCCTTTCACAAGAGATTTCTCTTTAGCATATGATGCTGTTGACAGCATTTTATCCATGGTAGAACTTCTTTCAAAATTAGACTCAATCCTCTCAAATCCTGCTGCTGCTTTCTCAAATAAGTTTATGCAGTATTCTAAATTCTTAGCTATCAATTGAATGATGTTCATAGCCTCTTCACCAGGAGTCAATTCCATCTCAAGAAACTGCTTTCTTTGTCCATCTAGAAGACACTACTCCTCATTTGTTCTAGTTTGATCATGAGATTCCAGTAATTCAGTTAAATATTCAGGCTCCACTTCTAATTCTAGTTCTCTTGCTATTTCCACCACATTTACAGTTATTTCTTCTAATGAATTATTGAACCCCTCAAAATCATTCATGAGAGTTGAAGTCAACTTTTTCCAAACTCCTGTTAGTGTTATTTTAACCTCCAGTAATGAATTGTGGAAGTTCTTAATGGCATACAGAATGGTGAATCCTTTCCAGAAAGTTTTCAATTTATTTCGTCTAGATCTATCACAGGAATCACTCTTTATGGCAGCTATAGCCTTACAAAATGTATTTCTTAAATAATAAGATGTGAAAGTCAAAATTACTGCTTGATGCAGGGGCTGAAGAATGGATGTTGTGTTCAGAGGCATAAAAACAACATTAATCTCCTATACATCTCCATTAGAACTCCTGGACAAGCAGGTGCATTGTCACTGAGAACTAATATTTTGAAAGGAATCTCTTTGTGAGGAGTAGGTCTCAAGGGTGGGTTTAAAACTTTCAGCAAACCATGCTATAAACAGATGTGTTGTCATTCAGGCTTTGTTGTTCCACTTACAGAGCACAGGCAGAATAGATTTAGTATAGTTTTTTTTAAAAGTAGTGCGGACCCAAAGAGTGAGCAACAGCAAGATTTATTGTGAAGTGCAAAGCAATAAAGCTTCCACAGCATGGAAAGGGGACCCGAGCAAGTTGCCTGATTTAGCATAATTTTTAAGTCAGGCAAAAAGTTGACTTCAACTCTCATGAATGATTTTGAGGGGTTCAATAATTCAGTAGAGAAAGTAACTGCAAATGTGATGGAAATAGCAAGATAACTAGAATTAGAAGTGGAGCCTGAGTATTTAACTGAACTACTACAATCTCATGATCAAACTAGAACAAATGAGGACTAACTTCTTCTAGAAGGGCAAAGAAAGTGGTTTCTTGAGATGGAATCGAATCCTGGTGAAGTCTAGGTTGGAATGGTAAATGAGTACTGGCTTCAACTTAAAATCATCAGCTGCATTAGCTGCTAACAAGAGAGTCAGCGTGTCCTTTGAAGCTTTAAAGCCAGACACTGACTTCTCCTCTCTAGCTATGAAACTTTTAGACAACATCTTCTCCCAATAGAAGGTTGTTTCATCCACATTGAAAATCTGTTTAGTGTACTCACTTTAGCTAGACCTTCTAGGTAACTTGCTGTAGCTACTCCAATAGCACTTGCTGCTTCGCTTTGCACTCTTATGTTATGGAGATGACTTCTTTCCTTAAACCTCATGAGCCAAACTCTGCTAGCTTCAGACTTTTCTTCTGTAGCTTCCTTACCTCTCTCAGCCTTCACAGAGATAAAGAGAGTTAGGGCCTTGTTCTGGGTTAAGTTTTGAATTAAGGGAAGGTTGTGGCTGGTTTGATATTCTATTCAGATCCCTAAAACTTTCTCCATATCAGCAATAAGGCTGTTTTGCTTTCTCATTCTTCACGTGTTCAGTGAAGTAGCACTTTTCCTTTGAGAACTATTTCTTTGTGTTCACAATTTGGCTAACTGGCCCAAGAGGCTTAGTGTTTGGCCAGTCTTGACTTTCATCATGCGTTCCTCACTAAGCTTAATACTTTCTAGCTTTTGATTTCAAGTGAGAGATGTATGACTCTTCCCTTTACTTGAACACTTAGAGGCCATTGTAGGATTATTAATTGGCCTAATTTCATTATTGTTGTGTTTCAGGGAATAGGCCGGCCCTGTGGAGAGGGTGAGAGACTGGGGAATGGCCAGTCAGTGGAGCAGTCAGAATACACACAATATTTATAGATTAAGTTTGGAATCTTACATGGATGTAGTTCATGGTGCTCCTAATCTGAACTCGATTATTCCTGAGGTATATGGTATAAAAATTTCTCTAGTAATACCAAAGATCACTAAAATATATATAATAATAACGAAAATGTTTGAAATACCGTAAAAAATTCCAAAATGTGATACAAAGACACAAACTGAGCACATGCTGTTGGAAAAATGGCACCAAAAGGCCTGCTCAGCAGGGTTGCCACAAGCCTTCGCTTTGTAAAAAGCCCATTATCTGCAAAGCACAACAATGTGAAGTGCAAGAACACAAGGTATCTGTGTTATGCCTGTATCATTGAGCCTGGGTAACACACTCCTTATAGCTCTGGACACCGTGAAAATACAGGGAAAATTCAAACTGTACTAAGGTACAGTGTTCTCTCTTGTTCAGCTGGAGAGAAAATGAATGAACACAAATTAAGTAATTTGAGGGACAGTGCATCAGGATTCATTATTAAGTGTGTTTGCTGTACCACGTACATCAGGAGTAACTGAATTCAGATTAGAAAGAAAGGGTGGTATAAAAGAGAGGGTGGGTTTCACTTAAAGCTGAAATGGAGGAAGGGTGGCACTTGTATAGGAGAAGGAGTTCTAGGAATAATATAAGCCAGGAGTTTGAAACTGAGATCAACATCAGGTGTTCTTGGAAATGCTAAGGTAGGTTTTTTCAATTGCCAGTGGTTCTCAAGGCTGCTTGATGCTCAGTGCTAAAAGTGTTGCTCAGATGCAGCTCAAAGATCACCTCTTTGAGTCCGTTCTGATGCTCTCCACTTTCTAAATAGGATTGGTCAGTCTTTCTTTTATGTCCCTCTAAAATCTACATAGACGTGAGGCCCAGGCAATTTACTAAACTAATTTTTTGGTATGTTCATTTATATATAAACCCAATGTAGCCAAAATTATGTCTTTATGTTCTCAATGACTAGTACAGTTCTTGGTACACAGATCACACTCGAAAACCTTTCTTTCCTGGATGATTGAATACATGATTATGCTAATAATAGGTATGATGACTATGCAAAGCAAAGACAGCAATGATGTTAACACTGCAAATAATACCCAATATTTATTGAGCTCTGTGTGATAGGCACTGTGCTAAGGAGAATTTTAACAAGTATCATTTCATTTAAATTTCAAAATAATGTCATGAGGTAGCTACGACTAGTACTCCATTTTACAAATGAGAGAACTGAGGTTCAGGTGGTTATATCTTCACCAAGATCACAGCCAGTAAAAGGAAAAGCTGGAAATGAACTCTAGGTCTGTCTCACTTCAAAGACCATGATCTTATCCACTACTTATAGATCTTTTATTTTTAAGAGAGTGTAGACTTAAGGTGATTTTATTTTATTTTTTAACATTTGTTCATTGAATGTATGTGTCCTAGACTCGAAAGGCTCAATGTAGTGCAACAGTCTGAATAGTAATGTAATTTTAAAAATTAAAATGGGTCTTTAACAAATCTATGAAATAAGAGTTTGCAAACTCAATAAAAAGAGTATATTATCAACTTCTCTAAGAGACAATAATACCGAAAATGAAAACCAATAGGACAGGGCACTCAGGCATTGACTCATTGTATGACAATACCAGGCAGATGGCTTAATTTATATAACAACTATCTAAGTTGGTCCAGCAGTGTGAAGTTAGGGGAAAGGAAGTCATTTTATTGAAAAAACGCATGTGTTAATTCAAATCACTTGACAGTTTGGCAGACAATTCCACCAACCGCCTAAAAAGAGACTAGACCCCCATCCCCTCAATAGTACAGAAGGGATAGAAAAACCTAGTTAAATTTCCAAAAAACAATAAGTCATCAACCTGAGACCCCCTTCTCAATGGTTCCCTTTATTGCCAACTCTAGAACAAGGGCTGGCAAAATACAGTGGTAGGCCAAATCTAGTCTATTCTCAATTTTGGTATCACCTGCCAGCTAAACATTGTTTCACATGTAAAATAATGGTTAAAAGGGCAGACATTAAATAAATATATTGTGACATATGAAAATTGTATGGGATTCAAAGAGCATCTACAATGTTTTATTAGAACATGGCCACACCTATCTGTTTGCATATTATCTACGGCTGCTTTTGTGCTACAACAGAGTTGAGGAGTTGTGACAGACTGCATGGCCCACAAAACCCAAAATGTTTACTACTGAAAAAGCTGGCTGGCCACTGCTTGAGAATCAAGCTCAGCAGGTGTCAGACAACTTGGCACAGAACACACTGCAGATACCATGGGTTTGGCCTTTCCAACTTATTACCTAACTCAATGGTTCTCAAAGTTTGGCCCCTGGACCAGCAGCATGATCCTCAAGTAAGAACCCATTAGAAATGTGAATTATGACCCCAACCCCAGATTTACTGAATTGGAAACTCCATGGGTTGGGCCCAACAATCTGTGTCTAACAGGTCAGCTAGGTGATTCTGAAGCATTCTTCAGAGAACGGTAGTCAAACTCAAGAAACTGGAACATGGCAACTGTTGTTTCAACACAATTACAAGAAAGGCACTTATTGGCTCCTATTTGTGGATGAAGAATGGAGCTAGATATTCCACTTATATTTTAGTATTCCTACAATAATCTTCAAAGATTGGGATTATTAACCCCATTATATGGAAAAGGAAATTGAAGCTTGGGAAGATTAAGTAACTTGTTCACAGTTAGTGAATTAGGACTTCAACTCAAATCTGTCTGCTTTATAGCCTATACTCTTCCCTCTCGCCTTATTCTGCCTTCTCCCTTATTATGTGAGAGAAGGAGAAAAGCACCTGTGGGCCCCTGGAAGGAGCTGAGCTGATTTATTAGTTAGGTCTTGGTGTTTTCTTGATGATTATAAACCATTTCATAGAATATGAACATCAGAAAACACCACTGTGGACCCATGGTTGATCAATATAACAACAAGAGCACTCTATAATCATGTTTGAACAGAAGCAAAAAGATGAACTTTTTCTCTTTTTTTTGAGATGGAGTTTTGCTCTTGTTGCCCAGGCTGGAGTGCAGTGGTGTGATCTTGGATCACTGTATCCTCCACCTCCTGGGTTCAAGCGATTCTCCCACCTCAGCCTCCCGAGTAGCTGGGATTACAGGCATGCACCACCACGCCTGGCTAATTTTGTATTTTTAGTAGAGATGAAGTTTCTCCATGTTGGTCAGGCTGGTCTCAAACTCCTGACCTCAGGTGATCCACACACCTCGGTCTCCCAAGGTGCTGGGATTATAGGTGTGAGCCACTGCGCCTGGCCAAACATGAACTTTAAACCACAAAATAATCAAATACCTCCTATCCCAGCTAATATGAGTAACAGCTGCTTCTTTACCTATTACAGCTTTTGTCTCTGTCTAGTCTTCACTACTTGCAGACACAAGTTACCCAATCACAGCATGACTCTGGCTTCTTGACAGCTTCCTGTCCAGGTCAATGTCTTGCTCACTTAAACCTTCTCCAAAGGCACCAAAATGAGCTCAAACCCTGTAATAAGTCCTAACACTCTCTGAGACATTCCCCGTTTCTCTGCAGCATGTATTCTCTCTCTCTGCAATGAATAATAAATGAAAATTATTCAACCACAGGTGTGTTTCCTGATGATATTTGGCTGGAGGGCATTCCCCTTCCACTCCCCTCACTGCCCACTTAAAATTATAGCTCTCCTCTTCCAGCCTGGGTGAGGCACAAGTTACCAAAGTAAGTAAAAATAATTAGAACTGGAAAATAATAGTCCCCAGACTAATCAGTATCAAGCACATTGCCAGGTCCAAGCAGAAACTTGGTATTTTAAATAATTAATGAAATTTTCAGTGCCAATCTGATTACAAAAATGATTTCAGGAAACTGCCTGTCTTTTAAAAATATAGTTCAATTTTCTGCTTTTAGTTTCTAGTCTCTACCTGTCAAAGTTTTGGATCTCTCAACTCTTGAGATGTAAAATGTCACTTATCTTTTTGCAGCCTTCCCCAAAATCTTCTAGATGGCTCCTCTCTTTGAGTTTTCTAAAGGCCTTACTCCCTCTCACAATACTTTTTCATCTTGGATTAGTTATTCATGAGCTGTCTGGCCTCTAACCAATTCGGAAATTTCTTGAAGGCAGTAAAACACCTGACTATCCTCCCTTCCCTTCCACACAGTAATACATATTTGTTATATTTTGGCAATAAATCTAAACGTTTTTCCAGTTACAGAATTGAAAGTGTTGCTTTTCCATCAAACCAGAGCTCATATAAGCGGGGACTCTGCAACTCATTGTTGGTTATCTTAATTGAAATTATCTCCCTGGCTCAGGAGTTCTAACAAACATATGTGTTTGGTGTGCAGGTATCTTCACTTTGCCAGGGGATTTTGATGTGAAATATTACTAACAGAAAAAATATATATATAACAAAAATCTTAATCAATGAATCAACAGTTTTTAGGCTACTATGGAAACCTGAAAGTGATACTGGAAGTTACTTATTATGTGGGATAAATAGATATGAACTGGCACTATTCCTGTATGAAAGCAAATGGCATTCAGGTCATAATTTTCTTCAGTAACTTCTATTTACCAAGCACTGTGCTAAACAGCAAGGATAACTGTACAATTAAGGAGAAGGAGTAAAACAGTCAACTCCTATCCTACATTTTATCGTTGTTCCAGGAATTTCACGTGGTGTATCATGGCCCTGTGCTTGTACATGGTGTTACCTCACCCAGCGTTTTACATACAGTACTTGGATAAGCACCATTCTTATATATCAATCTTATACACTTCTCTTCATCCATAAAAGCCAGGATTAGAGGTCACCTCCACCATGGAGTCATCTCTGATTGCTTTCATCTCCTCTACTTGGACTTAATTACCTAACATTCTTCTTGGATTTTCTTGTACTGGTCTATTTACCATGATGTATTATATTTTTTATTTGTTAGTATTCTTTTTCTTCTTATGCAACTGAGAATATCTTGAAGGCAGCAACTATCTTTAATTGATCTCTATATTCTGGAGCCTAGCCTAGTGCCTGACATCCTGTAGACAATCAATAAATATTTATTAAATGCAAGCCATGTGAAAACAAGTGCCAAAGTACTGGTAATTATTAAAGTTAGATAATGAATATATGACAATTCATTACACTTTTTTCTATACCTTGTTTTATGTGTAAAATTTTTCAAAATAAAAAGTTTACAATAATCGAGGACCTTGTAAGATAGCGGATTAATCTATCCAAAGTTTTAAGTTCCTTCCACTATACCTATAGCTATGATCTCTGCGTACTCCACATTTCTTTCTTTTCTCATAAAAAAGATATTTAATAAAGCCAAACAAAGTTGCTCTGAAATAAAGTATAAGTATATTGTTTCCAAAGAGCTTCATGTCATGGATATCATTAAATAAGAACTTCTGGAAAAACTGGAAACGGACAGTTCTCCCCAAGTATTTTATTGAGGAGGGAATTCTGTGGATTTTTGTCCTTCCAATCTGCCATCTGAATTGCTACAAAAGCATAACTAGTATCTCTGCTTCCACTTTCTTTCTTTTTTTTTTTTTTTTTGAGATGGAGTCTCACTCTGTCGCCCAGGCTGGAGTGCAGTGGCGAGATCTCGGCTCACTGCAAGCTCCGCCTCCCGGGTTCACGCCACTCTCCTGCCTCAGCCTCCCGAGTAGCTGGGACTACCGGCGCCCGCCACCTCGCCCAGCTATTTTTTTGTATTTTTAGTAGAGACAGGGTTTCACCGTGTTATTCAGGATGGTCTCCATCTCCTGACCTCGTGATCCACCCGCCTCGGCCTCCCAAAGTGCTGGGATTACAGGTGTGAGCCACCGCGCCTGGCTCTGCTTGCACTTTCTTACCTGTGAACTCATCTTCACCTACCCCCAGGTTGACCTACCTAAAACATGGATCTGTCCCACTTGCTCCCCCAAAGTTGAAGTCTTTAAGTCAATGGCTCTTCAATGTTTAGGGAATAAGTGTGCACTTCTAGTGTTGAACCCCAAGTAACTTGTCCAGCCACATATTTTAATGTTCTTAGACCCATGTGCAACGAGCCATATCCAATTCACGGTCCTAATCCATGCAAGCCACCCACTGTCTGTGCTTAGATTCACAGCTCAATTTCCTTGCTCAGCTTGGAATCTTCTTCCTGGATTTTCCAATTTGGGAAACATTCTCCCACTCCAAGGTCCTGTACGACTAGTTTTTCTTCTCCATTAAACCTTCTCTGGAGTCCTTTCCAGAATGAACCTTTCTACCTGTGCTTCTACTGGCCATGGCCTGGGCCTATGCCCAGCATTATTTTCTGCTGCCTTGTTTAGTAAGTAGTCTCCTTTACCAGAATGTAAGCTTGTTGAGGGCACTTTAATGTTCATCTTGCACTTTCCCACCCTCTCAGTCAATACCCAACAGGGTACCCTGCACACGTTAGAATTCAATATGACAAGATTACAAACTAAAGTATGAAATGATGAGCTTAATCTCATGAGTGTTCTTTCTCCTTCCGCTTACTAATAAGTGGATATGTGCAAAATTTCAAATCCCTATAGTAAAATCACACTGGTTGTTTTGATCTTCTTTACAAATTGCTTTTGAGTCCTAAGTCATGAATTTCAATTAAAACTTTTTTTAAAACAAGACTATCGAAATTGGAAACTAAAACAAATAACTGTTTCTCTTAACCCTTTTCTATCTGTGTCTAATTCTAGTCAACATTAGAGATGAAAATATTAAGGCAATACTGCTTTATCTCAACATTAATATGGGCCCTCTCATTCAAATAGACTCAGAAGTACTTTCTAATGTATTATACAGAAAATCACACTGGAGAAAATATTCCATGATGGTACCATTGAGGTATCACTGCTTCCTGAGGACAACATGTAAGCTCAATGCTGCCTAAAAGAAGCTCAAATTTCTACTCTGGGCCTTTTCACCTTCACTTCTCCACCATAAAAAAAAAAAAAAGAGGCTAATTCTCTGGACTATTGTGGGTCATATTTTCTAGGTGGTGCAATCTTAGTGAAGAGTTTAGCAATTTGCATTGGGATAACCCTGTCAACCTTCATCATTTTCAGCTAGAAAGAATGAAAGCTCTGATAATCTAATTTTTTATGGTGGTTTGCACTTTAGCTGCCTTTTTTTCTCAAACCTTTACTTGACTACTGATCAAAAAGTCCAGGTTCTGTTTCTGCTTAGACAATGTCATAGTCTAAATAAACAGGCAGCAGGCCTAGGATAGAGGTGTCACCTTCTCATTGGACTTCATCCTCAGACTCTGCTTGAACTGGACATTCATCATGATTGAATGTAAGTCACATTTGGTCAAAATTCAGTGCAGATCTTAGATGTCTGACAGGGGCTGAGGAGACCACTTGGCTTGCTTTTGTCCTAATCTTGCCTCTAATCTATGACAAACATCAGTGGTCTGGCTTAGCTCATTTATATCCCATGCTTGGGTCCCATTCCTGGGTTGAGGTCAGAGCCTTGTAGAAATTACATGCCCATTATATGATTTTCTTTTAAATGCATTTGCCGAAAATATTTCACATGGTATTAGCCAATTCAGGAAAAGACTCAAGAATTCCAGAAAATTCCCATGTGCATTTTCATTTATTCCCTTTCTCAACATTAAGGAAGATGTATAAAAGTATGTTGTAGTAGGAAAAGCACTGTGTAGGATTCAGTAGTCTTTGGTTTTGATCCTGCTTCTGCTCGCAGTTACATTTGCCTTATGACAAGTCAGTTAACTTTACTGGATTGTAGTTGTCTCCTATGCAAAATAAGAGTTGGCCCAAACTAGTATTTCCTAACATGTATTTCAGAGGAAAAAGGGACTGACTCAACAAGTATATGTGGGTCTTCCCTCATGTATGGTGATAACCTGCATCCTTGTATTTTAACATGATCATGGATTCTATATTGAATTAAAAGTTTCTCCAGCTTACTGAACATTTCACATAATATCTATAAATATTTATGTACATCTCTATGTGTATGTTTGTGTGTGTAGATATAGAAATATAGATTCAGATATGGATAGGAATATGATTTAGATATCTCTCCCAAGGAAGACTTTTCAGACCAACTCAAAATTTCTATGATTCTAGTTGGGGGAGTCAGGTTTACAATTCTAATTTTCATTTTGTTGAAACTCAAATTCGAAGTTTGAATCTGCAAACCTTCAACTTTAAGTGATATGAAACAGACATTGAAGAATAAAAGCTGAATCGTTGCCCGGGGCCTTACACTTGGGACTTTTGATTTTAAATTTCTACATTATTAACTTTGACAATATAAGAACTGTGCGCTATCCTCATAATGCTGTGAAAGTTGACTTCCTCAATACATTTGTGGAGGTTGTCCTTTAGAACCTAACTCTGAAACCAAGTCAGCTCCAGTACAATGCACTGAAGTTGGGGGCTGTGGCTCAACTAAGTCCAGAGAACCAAAACGTGGTGACAAAACAGAAGCAAATTATTCCAATCATAGAAATTGAAATTGCTAGTACTGTATTAAGACACCAGCATTTAGTGCATTGAGGCAGAAATCTCAAGAGAATGCAAAATTGTGTAACATTGGAGAAACCTGCTTATGCATTGATTTCCTTCAGGGGTTAAATAAAATTACTGTGAAATATAAGAAAAGGAAAAAGAACTAAATTCTGAGGTTTTAATCCCATTACAGTATTATTTGTATTGTGTCTAAGCAGAACTTATTGAGAATAAAGAAGATACGAAGATTACAATAGAATGTATGTTCTTATATTGTCTAAACAGTTAGAACCTAATGAACTTACTTTGTAGAATAAAAGGACTTTCTGAAGATAAGATACATTGGCCATCATTAACATATTAAGAGAAACAACCTGTATACCGGATCTTGTTTGGGATGATGTCATCATAGCTATCAGGTCTTAGCTCCTATAGTTAGAAAGATTACAGAAAGCATAGGCAAGTTTAAATATTTCCATCTCCCCACATTAAACACAATGTGAGAGGTAAATATTCATTACTTGGCAATAAAATATCATATCCATATCTGGAAGAAATATTAGCAAGTATCTCATGGACGTCATTCTTTCACTTAGGAAGAAAGAGGAGATTGCATGTAGAATTGATATCAAATGATTTAGGTTTAAATGATTCAAAGGCTATTATTTTAGTAAAAGCATTATTTCATAAACAATATGTGTGTGTGTTTGATACATACATATACATTCAAATAGTTAAAGCAAAGTTAATTAACTTCTTAAAACTCTCCAATCTTTGAATAACAAAACTCATTTTGGATAGCAAGAGTAAAATTTATGTTAGATGGATCTAATTTTTATTGATAGCAACAGTCCTGTCTCGTGTGTATGAGTTCCTACTCAGGACACACATGAGCAATGAGACTCACTGGGGAATGCAAATGAAACACTTGCAAATCAAATGTTCAAAGCACATTTTTGCTGAGCACCCATTAACTCAATTTCATATCAAAAGCTTACCCATTTTATATCATAATAAACCACCCGGGTTCACCCCCACACCTCCTAACTAATGAGGGACACACAGATATTCTCTTCACAAATCAAGATACTCTTTCATAGGATGAAATCACTAATGACATTAAGGTGTGGTAACCAACATGAACTTGACAACCAAATACCAACCCATATTATCACCCCATAGGAGAGAGTCCTAACTCCCCACCTTAGAAAAATATTTAACCCACAAAATACTAAACCCAAGTAGATTTCAAATAGAAAGATAATGGTACAATATCCCTTCCCTTCTAATATCAAATATCTAGATAAACCAAAATGAACTGTCCAGCCACTAGGATGCTCTATGCCAAACATGCATATTTTAAAACTTTTACTTTGAGTATTAAGGCTTCTTAACTTCTGCAGCATCTGTATCTACTTCTAAACCAGACCTGCCCAACAGCACAGACTGGAGCGACCACTTTACCTTCCGAAAAATCAATCAGTCCCAGCAAATGAAGAAGCTTCAGAGATGCACATATAATCACAACAATACCCACTGTTTGCAGTCCTTCGGACTCCCACTCCAGAGTCAACATCCTCTGAGCTGGCAGAGCATCCCAGCCTCCAGACCCCTTTGGAGTGGAGGGAGTTAATTACAGAATCGTAGCAACGTCAGGCTTGGAACAAAGACTTGCAAGGGGAAAAAGTGAGCAGCTCCTGGCAGATGCACCCTGCAAAGCCGGCGGCCCCCCGGGGTGAGGACAGACCTGGGCTAAAGTCCAGCTTCTCATGCTGATCCTGGCATTTGGCTGGCGGGGCTTCCCCCCTGCTACCACAGCGCACGGACCTCTCCACTCTATGCTGCAGCCAGCGGGCGAGTACTTCGACTTCAGAGCTGCGAGGGAAACGTCTGTCGGAGAACTGGAGACTTTGCAGTGTCCGTGGCGAGAAGGGACACTCCTAGGAAACTTGCCCGGGAGAACACCGCGCGCTTCCCTCGCTGAGGACGCGAGGCTGGGCAGATCTGTCTGCGCGCTAGTTTTCTGCCTGAGAAGCTTGCGAATGGCCCCTTTTTGCCAAAGCTGCTGCTCTCTCCTCCCAGAGCCGCCTCTGGCAGAGAGCTCAGCTCCCTCTCTGAATGCTAGGAAACAATCAGTTCTGGTGGCTGGTGCCTACAGGCCCTTCCTGAAAGCCCCCGTGGAAGTCTAGAGGCAGCTTTTCCAGGGAGAAAAGTGCAGGAGCAAAGCTCCGTGATTCAATGACTTTGTCAAACGAGAACACCTGAGCCTCCCCCGCCACGCCACTCCTTGTTCTGGTCTCCGCTGTCACGTCGGGCGCATTATCAGGGAGATTGATTTAGTCCTTATATTATATTTACAAAGGTGGACGGAGGGCGTGGCGGAGCAGTACCCGGTAACAACTAAGATGTTCATAACTGCCCCCTGGAAGGTGTGTACCACCATCGTCCTTTAAAGTCTGGCCTCAGCCTTTCTCAAAGTTTCACAAACTTCCCTGATGATAAAAACAACCTGGGGTTGTTTATTAAAACCACGCTCATCAGAGGAGCCTGGAGTGTGTGTTATTAAGAAGCCCAGGTGACTCTTATCAACTGGGAAGTGTGGACAGCACCATCGCAAAGATGCCATGAGGTGTGCTAGTCCAAACCACTCCAAACAGACCCTGTTCTGTGCCAGGACCACACTGGCTGAATCACTTTGTTGGTTATCTCCAGTCTACTGAAGCCCAACCTAAAAACGGAGATGAAGAGAATCAACAGGGACTCTGTAGGTGAACTGGAAATATAAGGGTTTGTGAGTAATATCTCAGACCTCCAGGGTCATTTGCAAGTTCTGCTTCTTTCTTGCTATGTGATCTTGTGCAAGACACTTAACCACTCTAATAACAGGTCCTATTCTATGCAGTCAAGATCATAATACTTCATTTAAAGTTCTCCATTTAAAGGGAATTATGGGAATTAAATGTGATCACAATAATAGTTAACATGTACTAAGCACTTACTATGTGCTCATCAATATTGTAGTGACTTTTCAACAACTTACTTATCCCTACATCTCTACGTGGTAGACAAATTAATCTACCACATAAGTGGCAGATTATAAGTTAATTCTAATCATTTTAACTTTGTAGGTGAGGAAAACAAAGCATGAAGAGGTTAACTGACTTGCCAAGCAGTGGGCATAGTGACTGGAAGGCAACAGGCTTTCATTCATTCAGTTATTCATTAGCATTTATTAAGCTGCTACTATGAGCTATAAATGGTACATGAATGATCAAATGATGAATAATACTCAGCTCTGTCTTTTGGGGGCTTATAGTTTAATGAGGAGGCAGGCATGAAGTAAAATGTGACCAATAAATACACCAACACTTGAACAGATGTCTGCGCGGTACAGTGGGAAAACAAGGAGGGAAAGTCAACTCTAATTGGGAAAGGGTTTAGTGGTATCAGGAAGGAGACTTTATAGAGGCGGTAACTGTCCATAATGGTAACCTGAATCATTACTAGAAGTATTATAGTATACCATGCTCAAGTTTTGAGGTTGGTAGACCTGGGTACAATCCTAGCCTTACCCTTGCTTGCTCCATGACCTTGAAGAATACACTCCGTCTCTGAATCTTGGTTTAAAATGGGAATGCTACTGCCCCTTTCTCATGGTTGATGTAAGAATTAACTAAGTCTGCGGGGAGCTGAGCCCAGTCCCTGGGGTCCCCTGCTCACATATGGTAGTTGTGGGGTTATGACGGAAGTTCCAACTCTTCAGAGGCTCTGCAAGGTCTCCTTGGATGAAACGACTTTGCTTTTCCCTGGTCCTGCCACCCCTGCTCCAAGGTCTAGTTTCAGCGTTTTTCCCATGAAGACCTGCTGATCATCTCAACCCACAGTGTGGTTTCTTTCCCTTGAGTCCTAGAAATAAGTTGGTCCTGCCAAAGGTGCTTTTCATTTTGAATAACATATTTATAAGAGATATCCTTGTATCCACCTGCCCAATCACCCATCCATCCAAACATTTTCTTCTCCATTATATCAGCAAGCCTGTGGCGGGGAAGCAGGTTTTAGTAATTAGTAGGAAAAAAAATATTTTAGGTAACCATTTTCTGAAATTTCCACCAACGTTTAGCTACAGAAAGTCAAAAGTTAAAAAAAAATTACAGAAATTAATTAGGTCAAGTTAAATGTAAACATGTCTTTTAATCCTATATCATACCATATTGTAGTTGAAAACAACTAAAGTACTGAGAGGGGGTCACATGGTTAGAAAACCCAGAATTCAATCATTGCTTTGTCTGGCTTCCAAATTCACGCTTTTCCCTTTATTTCTATCAGCAGATTTCAGCAAATATTTGCCAATTGATCTCTTAGTTTAGAGAGTTGGTAAAGTATTTTAAAATTGCCACATCTCATTTTCCAGGATTGAAATTCCTATCTTTTTTGAAATTCACATAAAGTCCCATGAATATGATTTTGTTGGTTTCAGATAGAATTTCCCTTCAGGACAATAGCATTCTCTACTTAGAATGTGCCAGCTGATTGGAGGTCCAGCCCTTTCCTATCTGCATTAGTTACATTTACCACATGCTTTCTGAGCTGTCTCTCAGCTGTGGCTACCGGATCGAATCTGCTGGCTCCCAAGTATGCGGGGGCTCTTTCACATGCACCCCCAGCTGTGAGATTTTGTAAGGTGACAGCACCATAAGAGGAGTTTCCTGCTTCATCTAAAAAGTCTAGGGAAGCAGGGGACATCTGGGGAATGATGTTTATCTAGCGCCACTCTTGGAAAGAAGAGTTGCCTGCATAGCGCTTTGGGAGGCTTAGGTGGGAGGATAACTTAGGAGTTTGAGACCAGTCTGGGGAACATAGTGAGACTCTACCTCTATTTTTAATGTTTAAAAATTTAAAAAAGTAACTCCAGATCACGGCTCAACCATTTTACTGCAGTAACTTGCTAGCCCCAACCCAGTTTGTTATATTAAAACATCCTGGCTTTCTCCCTCATTCACTGACTCACCCCTTTCTTTACATTGTAATGAGTCCTCCAGCAGAGGTCTGTCTTTCATACCAAAGAAGGGAATACCAAAGGTACACTAAAGGCTTTTACCCATTGATTCTAAGCCAGGCACCATACTATGTAGTTTACATGTATAAATTAGTTTCAGCTCACCCCAAATCAATAGGTTAGGTGTTATTATCACTATTTCAAAGAAGAATAAAAACTAAGGCGCATTGGGATTAATTAATTTTCACAAAATTACATTCAACAAGGGACATAACCAGGATTTATACCTGATTTACTCCAAAAATAGTAGCTACCAACATTTATGGAGAACTTTTAAGTGTCAGGCACTACTCTAAAATATTTATAGATATTGGCCGGGCGCGGTGGCTCATGCCTGTAATCCCAGCATTTTGGGAGGCCGAGGCAGGCGGATCACGAGGTCAGGAGATTGAGACCATACTGGCTAACACGGTGAAACCCCGTCTCTACTAAAAATCCAAAAAAAATTAGCCGGGCGTGGTGGTGGGCGCCTGTAGTCCCAGCTATTCGGGAGGCTGAGGCAGGAGTACCTCGTGAACCCGGGAGACGGAGCTTGCAGTGAGCCGAGATCGCACCACTGCACTCCAGCCTGGGCGACACGGCGAGATTCCATCTCAAAAAAAAAAAAAAAAAAAAAATTATAGATATTAACTAATTTAATCCTTTTATAGTTCCCTGAAATAATTTGGTTTCAAGGAGAAAATTCAGGCTTTCAAAGGTTAATCCACTTGCCTGAAGCCTCATATATGGCACTTGGTAGAACTGGGATTTGAATGTGGGTATACTCGGTACCAGGTTCTGCCTACTTTATCATTCACCACCTCACTCTCAGGCCCCTCTGCACCATGTTGAATGGTTCTTTAACTGGGGCCGTTTAACTGGTTGAGAGACTCTGAAAGGAAAGTATTGACAGAAACTCTTAGGAAAGTAAAAACTCACTCCAAGGACGCATGTCCAAATCAATTGACCAGTCTGTGAAAGAGAGAGGGTCAGTAGACTTTACATTTCCTTGCCCCAATCCATTGTGATCCTTTAAATAATCTCAAATGGGATGATTTATCTAAAACCTGAAATTGATCATTTTTCCTTGTTTTTTATAGCTTCAGTTTGAAATTTCACCACGTGATAGTCTCGGTTAAGAAATATTCTTCATACTGTTTGTTGACATTATAATAAATGCAAAAATAAGTGTAGCAAGATTGAGAAAAACGTTAAAATTCGATATATTTACAATCTACCTGTTCTCTCTTCAAATACATAGAATCACAATGTATATAGAAACTAGTTAAGTCAAATTTAAATGTAAGATTATTAGCCTATGAAGGGAATCAGAAAATGTTACTCCAAAATATGTCCTTTGGCATAAGGGTTATTTTCGATTGAAGGCAACTGAAATAGGAGACTCAGGAAAAACTCTCTACCTTCCCCCTCTCTGCCTCAAGGCAGGGGATAGATGTATGAATTTCTCTTTGTAAAGTATTCCCTTCTGCTCTCCTGTATGAGAAGGATGAAACAACTATAATCACTGGGCAGAAAGTCGGCACCAGTGGGATTTGTGTAAGAAACCTTACAAATAAGCCTTATATTCCATTAGTTTCCCCTGTATATTTTTCTTCCCACAATTTACCACCCTAGAAGCCCAAATCCTTTTTTCTTTGTCTTGTCACTTCACAATTTATCACCCTTTGTTAGGATGATTATATAAGTCCCCAATTCTAAGCACCCCTTTGAGTTACTCTTCATTGAGTTCTCACATGTATATGTGCTCTGCACGTGTAAATAAACTCTATTAATCTATTTTTCCCATCAATCTGTCCTTTGTCAGTTTAATTTACAGGGTCCAACTACTAAATCTAAGAAGGAACAGAGAAAGTTTTTTTCACCCCTACATCCATATTCATACAATCTTTTAGGAATCATTTAAAGATAAAATAATATATTTTTTAAAAATTTGCAAATGCATAAAAAGGAGGTATAGAGAGCAGAGTTGGCTTGTTTAAGGTCAGGGACTTGGAAGTGGACACAGGTGGCTTTGAATCCTCTAGCTTTTCATAATCCTTGACTTGCTTAGTATAGGAAAAATCAGGATGATACACTGAAAAGTTAAAAAGAAGTAAAATTCTAGAAGGAAAATTTCTTCTCTCAGTCAATAGAAGCTAAGAGAAGCAAGCCATCAGGATGGTTGGCATTATCCGGAAGGTTGCATTGAAGAGAGAAACCTAATCTAGGTCATTGAAAATGAGTTTGGAGAGGAGCAGTGACTTTCCCAGGAACATAAATGGGCACACACAAAGACAGCATTGGCCAGGCACTGTGACTCATGCCTGTAATCCTAGCACTTTGGGAGGTTGAGGTGGGTAGATCGCTTGAGTTCACAAGTTCAAGACCAGCCCGGGCAACATGGAGAAACCCTATCTCTACAAAAATTGCAAAAGTTAGCTCGGCATGGTGACATGGGCCTGTAGTCTCAGCTACTTGGGGAGCTGAGGTGGGAGGATTGCTTGAACCTAAGAGGCAGAGGCTGCCCGTGCCACTGCACTCCAGCCTGGGCAACAGAATGAGACCCTGTCTCAAAAACAAAACAAAAACAAAACAAAAGACAGCATTCACGACAGTGGTAAAGCCAGATTGAGACCTCCAAGCCAGGCGAGAAAAATGAGATTGGATAGTTGGTGAAAGATGCCACTTAACATCAGGACTTGATGGGGCAAGTAACAAAGACAAGGTCAGTGTATGACCCTTCATGTCTCTTCACACTGTAAGATTTTCTCACCAAAATGATGAAAGTTATCTACCCGCAGGTGCCCTCTACTCTACCCTCAACATCACCTCCACATTAAAGTATATCAAGCCTTTCTATCTTGGGGTTTCTCAATTACTTTGAAAATTCCTAAATGTTCTCCAGATGAACTTTCTGCTCAAACATGATCAGACTCAAGCAGTTTCACTTAGCTGAAGGCTCATTCTGAAAGGTTAGTAAATGTGTCTTGAATGGACTTCTTTAAAATATGTATATGGATGTCCATTAAACTATTAAGTACCACAGCCTTCTGTTTTGAATGCCCTATTGAATCCACAAGGTCGATTGGATTTTCAAATAGAAAGCTGAGGGAAAAAACTACCTTCCATCCTAAGACACTTCCAGCAATATTGCACTAATGTATCTTGAAAATAGTCCTCATGAATCTTATGATCAAAGCATGTATAGTATGTAATCTTCACATAAACAAATGAGTAGACTATTTGGAAGTCCAACCAGAAAACTTGCATTAGAATATAAGCTTTCCTTAGTAGGATTTATGACATTTTTGCCATAATTTCTTTTTCCCAGCCTTTGTGGCCTAACCTGAATGAGTTCCTGGGTTTACCCATTTAATCCAGTATGCAATTTGTGGCTCTCCTGTCATATCCCTTTTGATGTAATCTCTCTGTAATAGGTGTCTGTCACATCCCACCACACTGGGCTGGCTTTAAGGCCGTGATTCTCCAGGATAATAATGATCATTATCCCTTTTATATATTATAGTTTGTAGTACAATAATACTGAATTCCTACCACGTGACACACAGTGTGCTGTGTGCATTACATAAACTGTCTCATTGAGTTGTCGCAATATCTCAATAGAATAACTAATCATTAACCCCATTATATAGATCAGAATGCTGAGATGCAAAAGCTTAAGTAACTTGCCCAAAACTACAGTGTTAGCAGTTGAGGAGCTGGGACTTGACTTCAAGAATTCTCACTCAAGAGCCAGGGTTCTTACATTGGAGGGGAAGTATGTGTCAAAGTCATCATTTTTGTTTTGTTTTATTTTATTTTTTACTGTGGCCCCATTACACAAAGAGACACAAGATTTAAAATGCGAATGACCTTCAGAAAAGTAGGATGTGACGTTAACCTCATAGTGAAGTGTAAATATTCAGTAACTAGTTCTTTCCTGGGAACAAGGTTAAGAGAGCAATGAAAACACAAATGAGATGAGGGAAGGAGCTCGGGATAGAGGTGAGAGGAAGGAGAAAAGATGAAGGGAAGGGAGAAGAGAGGAAGAAAAGGGAAAGCGAGAAATGAGAAAGAGAAGAAACAGGCAATTCTTTACTCCAGGCACTGAGAAATCTGAGGATACATAGATGAATGGGGCCTGTGTTCTGTTTGTGAGATTCTCATAGATGGCCAGGGAGACGTGATCTAAAATGAATAAAAGAGGGCTCCAGGAAAGGGCCGATCAAGGGGCTATTTCTCCTTCAATTAATCCTACCTCCGTGGTCCACCAGTCTATGCGTCTCTTATAACTAGAAATACAGAATATCTCATCAGCTTCATTTTCTCAGCCACAGCTTCAGATGACCTTGGAAATGGAACAAGTGGTTTTAAAAGTATGACAAATGGCATCTCCATGGATGTTGTAGCCATGGCTGGGGCTTGGTCCTACTTCTAGGTCTGTTCCTAGGCCCTGTCATACCTTCCTGCTCATTTGGGCCAGGGCCTTGCTGCCATAGATATACCACTTCATCAGCTTGATCCTCCCAGTTCTTGGGCACGAGATTCCAGAGACTGACTTGGGTGTCCTCAGAGCTGCGTAAGCTCATTTCTTGCACCACAACAGTACTTGGGAAACAGAACCCAGCAGGCTTTGGCTTAAATGCTTTCCAATTCTGAAGAGAAACTGAATGAATATTTTTAGCATATTTTGTTGTATAGGAGTTGTAGAGACTGTGTTAGTCCGTTCTCATACTACTATGAAGAAATACTCGAGACTGGGTAATTTATGAAGGAAAGAGGTTTACTTGACTCACACTTCCTCATTGCTGGGGAAATTCCCATGGCCTCAGGAAATTTACAATTATGGCAGAGGGCAAAGGAGAAGCAGGCACTTTCTTCACAGGGTGGCAGGATGGAGTGGGTGCAAGCAGGGGAAATGTCCGTCACTTGTAAAACCATCACATTTCATGAGAACTCACTCATTATCATGAGAACAGCATGGGGGAAACCACTTCTATGATCCAATTACCTCCACCTGGTCCCGCCCTTGACATGTGGGGATTATGGAAATTATGGGGATTACAATTCAAGATGAGATTTTGGGTGGGAACACAGCCAAACCATATCAAGATTATATGGAAAGAATATTTCATATAGTTCCCAAAACTCTCCTCCCCAAATAATTCCATGTGCTTTCTCCTGTCTCCCTCCCTTTCTGCCTCTCCCCCACCCCACATACAATTATCACCCGGATCGGATCATTTTCCTTATCTATGAGATTAGAATGGGTGAAGTCTCAATGACTTGGAAATCCCCTTTTCACCAACCTTAGAGCCCTGAACATTCTCAATGGATGATGAACAAAGAAAGCACAGAGTAGGCCGAACATGGTGGCTCATGCCTGTAATCCCAGCAATTTGGGGGGCCAAGGCAGGTGGATCATCTGAAGTCAGTAGTTCAAGACCAGCCTGGCCAACATAGTGAAACCCTGTCTCTACTAAAAATACAAAAATCAGCCGGGCGCGGCGGTGGGCACCTGTAATCCCAGCTACTCTGGAGGCTGAGGCAGGAGAATCACTTGAACCTGGGGAGTGGAGGTTGCAGTGAGCCGAGATCATGCCACTGCACTCCAGCACAGGCGACAGAGTGAGACTCCATCTCAAAAAAAAAAAAAAAAAAAAAAAAGAGAGCACAGAATAAATGTTTAGAGAATGCCTACCAGAATGCAGGGCATGGGTCATGGTAGGCCTTCACTCTCTAAGGGCTACCTATCTGAGGTCATGGCACAGGACTGGGAGCCAGACATGTAGCCTGGTTTTTGGACCATTAGTCCAGTTCTCTTTCCACTGCAACAGGGTATGAAGATGTCTATATAATAGCTAAGTTACAAGCAAAAAGGGAATATGCACTATAGAAGAGATTTCTTATAGTGAGAAGATCAGGAAAATCCCAGAGAAAGAGAAGACATATGAACTGGTCATGAAGGCCAGGATTAATATGACCTGTGTCCATATTACTGTTCATGAATGCAAACTCTTGCTAGTGCTCCCTAAATCAGAAGCATCTATGAATAGCTTCCAAGATTCATTGTAACCCAGCAATCAGTGAAGCTAGGGGTCACATCCCAATGAATCACTTTGACAAAAGGGACTAAGCCCTCTTAAAAGAAGTAGAGGAAGAAGAAAAGTTTCCCCTACCTCAGCTTCAAATACAGAGGCCCAGAGAACTGGAAACAAAATCATTCTTCTGGGAATGAGTTTTCCTAGAACTCACAGTCAGTGTTGCAGCTTATGTGCCTGAGATTGCTTATTTTCTGTTATTGTACCCATTACTATAATGCTGAAATCAGTTTGTATTTGTTTCCCGTTGCTGCTATAGTAAATTACCACAAGCCTGGTGGCTAAAACTGACACAAATTTATTATGTTACGGTTCTGGAAGTCAGAAGTTTGAAATGGTTCTCATTGGGCTTAAATCAAGGTGTTGGCAGGACCACGTTCCTATTGGAGGATCTAGGAGGGAATCAATTTTCTTGCCTTTTCCAGCTTCTAGAGGCTGCCTGCATATCTTGGCTTGTGGCCCCTTCCATTGTTAGTGCCAGCAATGACCATTTGAGTCTTTCTCACATTCCATTGCTCTGACACTGACCCATCTACCTCCCTCTTTCTTTTATCCTTGTGATTACATTGGGCCCACCTAAATAATCCACCATACAATTCTTATTTTAAGGACATCTGATGAGCAACCTTAATTTCATTCACAATACTGATTACCTTGTGTCACATAACCCAAAATAACACAAATTTACTATTTCACAATTCCTGGGTTTAGGATATGGCCATCTTTGGGGTTTTTATTCTGCCTACTATATAGATGTAATATATTAGTTATTTTTAACAGGAAACACTCTTTAAGAAGAAAAAAGATAACATAAACTGAAGCTCACGAAGACAGAGTCCACTTTATTAGGAACAAACTAGTTGAGGTAAGTGCATGTGAGTGTGAGAATGAGTGTGTGTGTTTTATTTTTAACATACAGAAAAAGAACTTTGTCTTTGAGAAGGAAAGGGCAGCTTTAATTAGCATTCCTATTTCTGAACTAATTGTCACAGAGAAAGGACTTTGAGGAAAGTACATTTCAAAATATTAAAAAGGGAACACTAAACAATTTAGAGTGTATAAACTAATGATCAGACCGAGGGACACTCTCCTTTCATTTTAGGTGCAAGCCCAGACATGAACTAGGAGTTACAGGGATAGAACCCTACAGTACCCAGAACTGGGATGTGTTCTTCCCACAAAGAATGTCCTAGAGGATTACAAAAGAAAAGAGAGGAGAAACTACTGCATAAGTAGAGAAAGGCATTCGCATGTTATCAGTCCCATCAGCTAATTCAGCCTTCTTAGGATGGATAAAACCAAAAATGAACTAAACTCTTCAGCTACTGAGTTTTTCATTTTTAGTTCAAGTGTGCAATGCTCTGAACATGAGAAAGCCATAGAGCATGACTTTCAAAGACATGGTAGCAATTAAACTCTAGGAAATGGGGGGCTTTATCCTTTGAAGAGCCATAAGACACTTTCTCCTAACACTGCCTTTAAATGTGCTTGCATCTTATACATTTCAGTTAAAAATCAGCTCTAACCCCTTCTGAATGTCTACTTTTATTCATGATTTTCCTGGAGTAAGTTTACCTATATTTACACTTTTCCAGGCTTTCTCTCACTTGTTCTTTACCGTAGGCTATTTTAAAATGAGAAAACTGAGACTAAAAAGGTTTGCATGATCTGAAATCAAAAATGGCTGCAAAACAGGGTTAAAAACAGGCATTCTGGCTCCATGCCAATTTTAGATTTTTTTTCTTTTCTAGTCTTATAGAGATCTTTTTCTCTGTTGGGTGCTGTGGGAAGTGCTTTATATCAGCGACTTATAAAATGGGGATAATAAAAGCATCTATCTCACAGTGCTGTCAGGGGCAATGAATGCGTTAATGTAGTTAAAGCATTCATTGCAGGCACAAAGCAAACACTCTGTTTCTAAAAGTAATTATTTTTTTAGTAGCCATCTCTGAGGTATTTCGATTATTATGCCCATTTGACCAATAAACTGTGATCCAGAATGGTTAAGACACTTGTTACAAAGCTGGTAAGTGAAGCTGGAACTCAGTCCTGCTATGAGAACCCGTTCCCATTTGCACAAGCCACACTCACATTGCCTCTCTGGTTTCAAAGAACCACTCTCAGTCACTCAGCTAGTTCTTGGCTTCCAAGCAAGGCAGAGCCTAAACTAACTGAGCTGTATTATTATACTTCATCTGTTTGACAAGATCCTCAGATTTCGATGCCATCGCTCAGTAATCTCTTCTTTATCTGAGGACTTTGACCTTTGCATAATTTCCACCTCACTGCATTTGTGCAAAAAAATGTTGACACCGGTTATGTACCATGCAAAATATGCAAGGGACTGTGGGGCATGAAGGGTGTGAGGAAGCTTACAGCCCAGAAGAAAAGGGAAGGAATGCACATAAGTTACTAAGTCCAAGGAAAAACATTAGTGTCCATGAGAAAATGCGTTTAAAGTGTGGTAGGATTTCAGGGGCAGGAGAGGAGTAAGAAAGTGGAAGGGTGATGTTAGTCAGGGAGTGTTGCATGGAGTCTGAGCTTGACCATGAGTGGCAGCTCAATCATTCCTTTAATGAGTCAATTAACAACACTTATGTCTGCTATATGCTAGAATATGCAAGACCCTAAACAAATCCAATCAACAAATCCCATTGGTTCCACCTCCAAAGTACATTCTGTATCTGACCAATTCTCACTAACCCTGCTAACATAGCCGTAGGCCCAAGCCACCACTCAGCAAACTCCTGTCTAATTTTGTTACTTTCGCTCTCACACCCCTAAGGTCTATTTTTACACAGCAGCCAGATTAAAGAGCATATCTTTCATATAATTTCCCTGCTTACAGTCCCTCAATAGCTGTCCATTATATTCGGGATAACATTCAAACTTCTCGCTGTGTTTTGAGTCCTCTTGGATCTCAATTCAGACCAATGTAATCCTGTCCCACACCTCCTCATCACAGTTCTCTGCCCACATAGTCTTTCGATTTATTAAATAAACTAAGACTATCCCTGCCACTGGTCTTTGTACTTTGTGATCCCCATGTGATGTTCTTTACCCCAAGATTGTCCCCTTATTTCTTAGACTGTCTCCTTATTCTTTTCTCTTTCTTGCCACTCACTTCTAGGCTCAAATGCTGTCTTCTCAGAGAGGCCTTTCCTGACCACACTATCAGAAGGATTCTGTGTTTTTGTCACCACTCCCTGGTTCCTCTTGATCAAATTGCTGTTTTTTTATTTAATTTTCTCCGTAGCACTCACCAACCTCCCTGAACTTCTTTTTTTTAAATGCCTCTTAGCACGTTCATTTCCTATCTCATCCCACTTGTGTAGATGCTCCTCACATGTGGGCCCTTTACCGACCTCATTCATCTCACTGTCTCCAGGAACTAGGAGAGAGATTGTCAGTTACAGGCTTTCTATAATGATTTGTTGAATGAATGATGGCATAAGACAGGGTTCTTTCCTCACGCAGGCATTTGAATCTCATGAAGTGCATCAGCAAAATCATAATCAGAGACTGGCAAGTAATTTTATTAAGTAGTGCAGTGGGTTCAAGGGAGAATTCATTAGACTAGGATGGGGGGAAAACTACGAAGACCTGCAAATATCTATAAGAGAGTGGAATGAGGAAGATTTAATGATCATTTCAGGCAGTTGACAGGCATGATCATGGCAGTATCTGGTCCGTTTCATCTGGTAATAGCGCAAATAAAAGCAACCACAACCATGAAAGAAAAGAGAAAGGAAACAAGAGACAGGAAAACCAGTGAGTAGGCTGTTGTAATGGTCTATACCAGATGTCCTATCAGTGGGCAGAAAGGGACTGGACACAGAAACCAGCAAAGCTGCAAAGCTGAACCCAGCAGAGCATGGTAGCGTATGTGAAGGCTGAGGCTTCACATGTCCTCAGAGGCTGAGGACAGGAGGTATCAAAGGTGATCTTAACTGATGGTGAAACATGTTGGACGTATTCTTCAACATTTCACTGGCTCTGACTAGTGAAATAATTAAAAGGTATTGTAGGGAATCTGGGATAACTCATTAACACGAAGAAAGAACTGCACAACCAAGACTTAGGAAGGGCTGGGAAAGAGGACGCTGTGAATGACCTGCAGCAGGAACTTGCTGACCTCTACCTGAGAGGGCTGCCCTTAGCATGCTTCTCTCTGGGTGTTCTTGACCATGGCATCTACCCAACTCCCAGTCTTCAAGTTTCAAACATCAACGAGGAAGATTCTGTATGTAGGTCAGACGAATGCCGTTGGATCAATCTGTTATTGTCTGGATCAATCTATTATTGCCAAGTACAAAAGAGCACTAGGGACCCGCTCCTAATGACTGGGGTCCTTTTAGGACAAAGAAAACTCTTGAAGGGCCATACAGCTGCTTCAAGTCACCTCGGGTGAAATTGAAAACAGGAACGTGTAGAGAGGTGAAGATAATTGAATTTTTGATAAAGTTGTTCTTGAGAAACCATCAGGTAATCCAGGTAGAGCTGTTAAGCTGATAACTTAAAATGTGGAGCTATGCCTTGGGAAGAGGGCCAGAGTGAGAGAGAAGATAATCTGGGATTCATCCACATAAAGGAGATAATTGAAGTGACAGTAGTGAATGAGATATTCAGGGAAGAGAGATAGAAAGAGAAAAGAGCAAATAATCAACCTTCCAGAAGAAAGGGTAGCCAACAGTGCCAGAGCAGGATTAGTAAGTGAGATGTAAGGAGAACCTAGAAAGTAATGTTTCATGGGAGTCAAGAGAAGAGAGAGCATCAGAGACGCTGGATCATTGAGTTCACTGTAGAAGCCCTATCAATCCCAAGTGAAAGTTTCGTCCCAGCACCAATTAGCTTTAGGCAAGTGTGTGTACAGGGGCCATTTCTATGTGTGTGTACATGTCCAGAGGACTGAAGGGCAGGGGTGGAATATAAAAGATAATAGTTAAAAAGATTTCAACCATAACATGTGATCTACAATAAAAGTCTATAGCCACACTATTGATTACCTATAAGGGAAAACTTCCATAAGGCAACTAGACTTTGCTTTTACATTATTTTGACAAGGTTCATGAATAGATAAGAGAAAGTAGATCTGAGGTCCATTGGTCTACTGAAGTTGTCTTCAAGTCTGAAAGAGTGAAGGGCTGAAATTTTAATTCACATCTCATTCCTTTTAATAGTCTGGCTTAAAAATAAGAAAACACTTGTCTCTTCATCAGTGGCAGAAGATGAGGACAGGGTCATAGATCTGAATAAGGATAATAGTTCTTTGCAAAGAAGTACTCCAAATGGAGGATGACTCAATGTCTTGACACCAGTGAGAATAAATTGCACAGTCGGTGCACTTAATTGTAAAGTTCTTATGCTTTTTTATTCAATCCAAGACAATTCAACAAGTATTATTGAGCATCCAGTAAGTGCCCAACATTGATGCAGGAGTTGGGAATATGATAGGTACAAATGAGCCAGCTCTTCTTTCTTGGAGCCTACAGTCAAATGGGAAATGCAGAAAAATAAAGAGGCAGTTATTAAATATTATAGTGAGAGCAAAGGTGGTTTCATCCTGGGAGCTCATTTCACAGACACTTAACTCACTCTTCATTCTAGACAGGTTTTCTGACAAAAAGACATCATCTGAACAGAGCTCTTAAGTATGAGCAGGGTCAGACAAAGATAGGAAAAATCTGTTACTTATAGAGCAAACAGTGGTTTCAACAGCTTGGAACCTAGAGGGAGATCATACTTCATCTTAGACATAGGCAAGAGCTCAGTTTCCTGAGTGAGTGTGTTTGGGTAGGAATAACACAAAGTTGATGAATTAGACAGGAATAAATCATATTTCAAGATACAGGGCTATTAACGTAAACAGGACACAGATCACGAAGGGTCTTTAGAGCACCCAAAAAAGAGGGTTTTTGTTGTGGTGGTGTTTTTTTTTTTTGTTTGTTTTTTGTTTTTTTTTTTTTTTTTTATCTTGAGAGCATGAGAGAGCCACTAAAAGGCTATAAACAGAGGCACACAGCATCAAATGTGTCCTTCAGAACGATCACCGTGGTTGCTGTGTGGACAAGTGATTGAGGGTTTGGGGGAAGAGGGTGGCTGGTCTAAAGGTAAAGGGACTAATTAAGAGGCTGTTTCAGAAATTCAGGGACAGATGATTTAGGAATGTGGCAAACTGACTGGAGAGACTTGAATGGATGTGACAGATACAGACGTGATGAAATCTATAGATATTGAAAACCAATGAACCACTAGGGCTGGAGAGGAAAAGAGTACAAGATGATATTCAAGTTTTCAGAAAAAAAAATACCATTTCTAGTTGAAAATTAAGAGGTTATTTGCAAAACTAATTACAGTATAAAAGACTAACAAAGTGTGCAAAGCTCTGAAACAAGAAGGAAACAGAACATGCACGTTGCAACTTAGAATTTTCTGGTAGAGGCAACTTAACCTTCCCAGAGTATTCATCTCCACGTTTGGGGCATCCAGCCATTGCCAAGGAAGGGCGGAAAAAAAAGAATTGAGAATATGTGCCATGTGAGTGTTTGTTCATGACCATTTAAAATCAGATGCTTCTGCAGTGTAGACCCTTCCTACGTCCCTTGTCTTAGAATGGTGAATTTTCCAGGTAGGCATATACCATCGATTCCAGCAGGTGCTAAGCAGAAGGATCTGCAGCTAACATGCAAATGATTAGCAAAAAATTTGGCTAATTCTCAGTACCACTGCCAACTCCAGACCAAAACCACCATCCTCTCCTTCATGACTCCTCTAATAAGTCGTCTCAGCCGCTGCCCTTGTCTCCCCATATTCTATTCTACAGAAAAAAAAGATAGAGTAATATTTTAAAGCATAGATCAAGTCATGTGACTCCTCTGCTCAAAACCTTCCAATAGATCTTACTAAAAAAAGAAAAAAAAAAGACACGGTGGCTCACGCCTGTAATCCCAACATTTTGGGAGGCCGAGGCAGGCAGATCACATGAGGTCAGGAGTTCGAGACCAGCCTGGCCAACATGGTGGAACCCTGTCTCTACTAAAAATACAAAAATTAGCCAGGTGTGGTGGTGCATGCCTGTAATCCCAGCTACTAGGGAGGCTGAGGCAGGAGAATGACTTGAACCCGGGAGGTGGAGGTTGCAGTGAGCCAAGATCGCGCTGTTGCACTCCAGCCTGTGCAAAAAGAACATAACTTCGTCTCAAAGAAGAAAAAAAAAAAGATAAAATCCCATTTAAAATGGGGTATGTGCCTTTTATGATAACTCTTTGATTTTTTGTCTCACTACACACCCCTTACTCACTCCAGCTACAGCGGTCTCCACTATGTGCCTTGATCATACAGACATGCTTCTATCTCAGGGATATTGCACTTGCAGTTTCCTCTTCCTAGACCTTAGTAAGTACAGCAGCTACCTTCTCTCAAATTACATGCTTCCACTCCCAATTCTTCCTCACCTCTTCCAAACCCTTTTATACTTTTTAGCAATTACCACTATCATATAAACTACATATTGTTTTTATTTATCTTGTTTTTCCCACTAGGCTCTAAACACTATTAGGCAGAATTTTTACCAGCTTTATTCATGATTCCCAGCACTGAGAACAGATTTGACATGTAGTAGGAGGTTGATAATGAGTTAATGAATGTTGCTGAAATATCTACCGAAAGCAACAAACATTTACCTTCATGAATACACATGGTTTCCCCTTAATTAACATACATAGATACAATACATCACCCTTAAATATTTTGTATTGTTATGTTAATAGAGAAAAAAGTTCAATTTCCCCTTGGGAGAAAACACTATGAAATTGCTTAATTGCTTATGAAGAAACTGAAAATGTAATAAGTAACTAAAGTTCTAAAAAAATTTGAGTGACCACAAAACCCCTTTAACCTGCCCTCCAAGTGGGTCCTGAAATGGAAAGCTCTTAATGTTTATTTGGGTGATAAGATGGATTTGGCCAGTTCATTTTGGATTTGAACTGGGCGAGGCTGAATTGCCCTGCCTAATAGAGGAAGGTGGGATTTGAAGTGGCCTACCTCCTCCTGTTTCCTGGGTGGAGCTGACTTGGTTCTGTGGATGAAAAAAGGGATGAAAATGAAGAAACAGGAACCAGAGAATGCACTCTCCTTAAGCAATGACAACAGTAATTTATTGAGTGCCTACTCTGTTAAAGATACGGTAGCAGAGTCCTCACATATATTATCCCACTTAACTGTCACAAGGACTCTGTTAGGTGTATATTATCTGCACTTAGCAGATAAGGAAATTGAGAGAAGTTCAAAGTGCTTTCGTTTTTGCACACAATTTATTGGTGCTGGGATTGAATCTAATCTGACTGCTGTAAGACCCTCTTTCTCCACCAAATGACGTTTATTTGTTCTTGGAACCTCTCGTTCCTTCTCACCACAAAGTAGAAGGCATTTTTCTTCAGAAATAACTTTAGGAATAATAATTTTGTTTCCAGTAAGTTCATTAAAACCCTTTGTAACTTATAATACAGTTGAAAGGCCAACATTGTTTCTAGGAAATGTGAGCTGGGAGCTTTAAACTGCAGACTTAACAAGTCAACTTTGTTATAGTCTGTTTCCCTCTTCTTAGAGGAGATAAATAGGCAGCACTGTTCAATTACTCAAACTCATTCTGTGTTTCATCTTTCCAGATAGCATTTAGCCTTGCTTTATTTTTTCCCACCATTGAAGTACAAAAGCTGCCTGGTTTTTCACTGCACAAAGTAAATGATGAGCCCGGAGCCAATTTCTCATCTCAGACACTGCAGTTTTCAATGTGCATTCTGAAAGCTTTGAATATGACTATAAACACATCAACCAAAACAAACTGTAATTTTTATAAAATAAGCCTCAGAGTATGTTTTGCTGAAACTTAACACCTTTTGTCTAAGGGAAAAAGCAGAAAAGGCAGTAAGAGCAGAATACTCGTACTCCATTCACTGGCAGTGCTGAATCCCATGTAAAATCTGGTAGTGCATAATCAAGACATATGGCCTCATCTTTCTTTGCCACTTCCCAGGAGTGAGGTGTTTAAGAAAACTGAGAACTCTTCCTGGCCAATTCAGAACGGGGTTGTCTGCAGCAATGCTGTTCGAAGTGTGGCATCAGCAATACGTGGGAGAGTGTTAAAAATGCAAATTCTCGGGCCCACCCCAGACCTACTCAATCAGAATCTCTGGGGTGGGTGCAGCAATCTGTTTTACAAGTACTCTGGATGATTGCGATGCAAGCTCAAGTTTGGGAAGTATAAACTAAAGGGAAGGAATTCCACCTGAACGCAGAACAATGGGATTCAAGTCACTGGAACATCAATTGACAGAGAATTATTCTGAGATAAGTCCTTTAACCTCTCTGGCTTCTGTGTTTCTTATCTTTAAATAAAGAAATTGAAACATTTTAACCCTGGATCACATCTTAACCTATTATCAGAGCATATCATGGTTACCTGACACTGGTATAAACATCCCTCACATAATGAAAGATTTGAGTATCATTTTCTGACTGCTCTTATTTTTTCTAGCTAGCATCATAATGACAATCACAGCAACAACATCATGGGAGGGCCTCCTGTGTTCGTGTACCATTTCCCAAGTTTAACACGTTTGATCTGCTGATGTCCTCTAGTAGTAATATCTCCAGTTTAGGACTGAGGAAACAGAGCTTATGTCACTTCCTGAAGGTCACAAAGAAAGTAAATTACAGGGCTGAAATTTGAACCCACATCTGATTTCAAAATCTGCTCCTCCCTTTCTACCAACGTCTATCTTCCCGGAACTGGTAACTTTCATTAATGAGAGGAAGAAAACAAAACAAAACAACACAATCCATAAGGTGGGGCTAAGCAGACCTCATTTCTGTGAACAGTGTGATTCCTTGAAGTATGTAAGGCAATTACTTTGAATACATTTAACACACGTATTGATTTCATATAAAAGCCACTTTACCTAAGAGTGATCAATAAACAACAAAGCTTACTTGTAGTTGTACTAAACTGCTGATTTATTGACAACTCTGAGATATTTTGTCCCTGGTGAAAAGACACAAAAAATAGAAACTGGAGAGAACTTTGGAAAGCTTCTGCCTTAAAGAGGTTACCATAGGCAAAAGGAAATTTAGAACTAGAGAAGCCTAGCAATTTATTTAAGGTCACATGGCTGGTTAGTGGCAGAAATATGGTTGGAATGTATCTTACTGCCCACCTGAGTTGGGGTTATTGCTGATATTATTTTATTAAGTGAAACTGGATATTGTTTCAGAGGAAGCTTATAAAGAAGTGTGGTAGTGCAGATTCTTCAATGATAAGCCAGAATTACTCACACCAATAAAGTTAAGATGCTAATTCTGGGCAGAGGCAACAGCCTAAAGCAAAGGTATGGGGGGTCTGGAATCGCATGATGTGTTTGGGGAACGATTAGAAATTCCATATTACTAAAAAATGAAAAAGTACAAACCAGGAAGCAGTTGGAAATGAGCCTGAGAGGTATGGAGTATTGAGGTTATGAAGGACTGAATATGTCATCCCAAGGCATTTGATGTTCATAAGGGGTTGCTAAAGAATTGGTGCAGGAGAATGGCATGAATAGATTTGTATTTTAGCTTGCTTTGGCTATAGTATGGATTTAAGGGGTGAGGAAAGGAGGAAGATACAGCATCCAAGACTAAAAAAGTGAGATGAGTTGGGCTTATAATATTCCAGGCAGCAAATGGTAAAGTCTGTGCAATGTCAATTTTACAAGCAATGAAGTAGAAGAGGAAGACTCAAAAGATTTTTTGAGAGGTAAAATAACCACAACTCAGTGCTCGATTCAATGAGAAAGGAGAGAGTATATGGGCGACTCCCAAATTTCTAACTTGGACAACTGATGAATGGTGATGACATAGGGAGACCAAAGAGGAATACATTGGGCCAAGTGGAAATAGTAAAACTAGTATTGAGTTCACTGTATCCCTGCACCATCGCTGTCAAGATATCCTGGAGAGACAGTCCACACAGAGGTGATGGTCCATACCATTGCAATGTGTGAGACTCCCCAAGGCAAAAGAGTAACACAGTCAAGGTGAGAGTCTTGGAGAATGTTACAGAAGAGGAGGAGCCTACAACAATTACTGTGGGAGAGAACAAAGGAGTTGGAAGCAGAGAGGGAAAGCCTTGTGTCAAAAGCCAAAAATAATTTTCTTTTTCACACTTCATGAATTATAATTAGCTTCAAATTCATAGAGTTCCACGGAAGTCAAAAGTGACTTCATTTTTGCAATATGGGTGTCACTGGTACAGAAGATCAGTAAGGATGGAAATGCAATCACATGGAGACGTTAGCTGCAGAATTGAAACAGGTGTGTTTCTGTTTTACGGGATTCAAAAATGCTAAAGGGGAGAGGACAGGACATAGGAACAAAGTGGTGCAAGCATGACATATAAACATATTGAGGAGCAAGCAGAGAGGAAGAAGTGAATGTAGGGAGAGAGGAGACAAGTGATAGAACATCTCTGAATGTGGAGGGACCAATAAGGTGTTATTTGGCTTTGGCTTAGAAAAACTGAGACTCATGTGAATAGCAAAAGTATAGACCTTTTCATATAAAATATTGTACTATTACGGGAGTTAATGCTTATATGACAGGCCAGAGGTTCCTTGTAAAAACAAACAAACAAACAAACAAAAACCCAATAAAAACAGGGGTTCCCAGATTATAATGTTAGCTGCAGATCAGATGTTTGGAAAGGCCACGAGTTTCCCCTGACATCCACCTGGTCACATGGAGTGGCTCAGTACACAGGCAGAGCTGGCCACGTGTTTTCCCTGCTTTGGTAAGCCAGTTACCTGCTTCTCAAATAATCAGGAGAATATAATCTTTGGCAGTGTGGGTATCATGCAGATAAAACTAACAAGTAATCATTGGGGCCTTCTCACTTTTTCCCACTTATTGAAGTTTTTTCTGAATAAATACCAAAAAGCCTAATCATAGAAAGCTTTAATTGGCTCAATTCTAATTAATATACAGATGATTAAGATAATTTATATTTCATATTTATTTATTACGTGAACTTCCTTAAAACACAGTATCTATCTACCATTTTTTTTTCTACATATAACCTGCCTGAGAACTCAGACCAAATGAGTTCCCAAATTATGCTGGACAGTAGGACAAGTTTGATGAATTTCACCATAAATATGGTTTGGCACAACTTTATTTGAAAATAGAATTATAGAATTTAAGAGGCCTCATATCCGGAATGCTTATATAGTTTGAATGCAGAGTGACTTTGGTTATAGTGAAGGAGGAAGGACAGGCCCTCAGTTAGGTGTCTCAAATACCTTCTTATTTAATTACAGCAGCATCTCTACCAGAGAGTATTACGCAATTATTTTTATCCTAAAACATACTCTTTCCCCTGACATTTGCATTTTTTCTGAAATTTGCATGCAAACTTTGGTTGATCTACTCATTAAAAATAATGTTTATTCTTCGCACCTCATGCCCTTAAAAGTATTTATGTCAATAGGAGAGCAATAGAGAGCCTTAAAATGGAGGCGATTGAAGCACAGAGAGACTACGCATCTCAACAAGGTACACAAACCAGAATTAGTAGAGCCAGAATTTGAACTCACGTCTATCTAACTTGAAAGCTGGTTAAGAGCAAATCTTTGCTATGTAGATGAAGGCACTATGCTGGGTCCTGATAAGGCAGCACCTGCCCTTAAGAAACCTGCATGCAGAGGAGGAAATGGACACTAAAGAATAAACAAGTAGATAAGAGAAATTTAGATGCTCCATAAATTCTACAAAGGAAATAAAACAGGGTAAGGTAATAGAGGCAGATTGGGGAGTTGCTTCTTGCTGTCCTCTTCCAAGAGGTAACTTTTGAATTTCTTCCCATTCTTGTAAAATTGGGCAACAGCACATACCATGTAAAAGAAGAGGACTTGCATAAGCCGTAAGATAGAAAGAAACTTGCTTTTGACCAACTGTAAATCAGACATTGCCACTCCTCATTGTAAGCTCTAGGTGTCTCTTTTTAAGGGACCATAATCTACTGGGGAAAACAGATAAGCCAAATTATATATGATGTTGTTATACATCAAGAGCTATAATGGAGATGTGTTCAAGATTCTACAGAAGCATGGAAGAATGGAAATTTGCTGTCGGTAGAATGAGTGTTTCAGAAGTAAAGATGGGAGTTAAGTTGGTCTTGAAGAAATAGGATTTTGCCCAGGACATGGGGCAGGGAATGGGTAAGTGCATGCCGTGCCTGGGAGATGTGTCTGTGTCATGTAACACAGCATGGAAGTCTGATGAAGGATGGCATTGGCAGTTGTATTGTCATGGCGGACCTAACTTGGGGTGCAGAATGGGGCATGACAGGGGATGTTCTGAACAAGATGTAGCACCTGGAAATAATTAAGCTTGGCAAGGTCTCACAATAAATTCTCTCTGTTCTTGAGGACAAATGTCACTGAAAATACTTCAAGTGAATTTCCTGGCAGTGCCTGGCTGACTTTCCAAGGTCTCTTGCTGAATAATGTAGAGGGAACACTGTTTGAGTCAGTGGTTCTCAGTAGAATCACCAGTAGAACTTAAAATAATATGAACACAAATTTAAAACTTTAAAAAAATACCCTTGAATAATTAAAATCAGCAGGTCTGGGAATGGGGATTGCACATTGGTGATTTTTAAAGATCTTCAAGTGAATGTAATAGTCATCCAGCGTTGAAAGGCACTATTTCTAGAAGACTTGGAAGGGAAACTGAGTTTTCCTGAAGGCCTGAGACACCGTATATGGCGGAACCTGTACAGAAAGAAGTCATCCAAGAAAAGACAAGGAACTGACAGGGACTGATCTTAGGACTGGCAGTGTCCATGTTCCAGGGTTTAGAAAAACTCATTTTTTAAACTGTTGTGTTTACATAGTAGATGTATATATTTATGGAGTATATGGGATATTTAGATAGACTATTGTCACCCTGTCATGCTTTCAAAAACTAGATCTTATTCATTCTTTCCAAGTTTTTTTGTACCCATTAAACCATCTTCTCTACTCTGCCCCCGACCCACCCAGCAACTTCCCTTCCCAGCCTCTGGTAGCCATCTTTTTACTTTAGAGAAAGTCATTCTGAAAGCAAAGCAAGTGAAAGAAATGTAATCTTTAGGCAACCAAGCTCTGAAGTCTAATGGTGAGATCCGAATTTAATGGCGCTCTGAATACTCCTCAGTAATTATCTCAGAAGAAAACAATGGCGCCAAAGGGAAGCCCTGATTTTGAACAGTCCCAGGTGACAGTAAATGAGAAGTAATCTGACTAAGAAACCAACGGAGAGTCATCCCTTGACTTTCTTTTCCATAATGACACCTGAAGCACACTTGTTTATTCTGTAAACTTTAGTTAAACAAATTTACCCTCCAAGACACTGGGGGTTTGCCAGAGAACAGTTAGTTTAATTGGAGCTCATCTGTTTTTGTTCCTAATGAGCCTCCCATTTCATAGCCTGCTCCTAGTTTGAAATAAAATGTCCCCCCTGTCTGGGATGATTAAAAACCTGGTTAAGCATACAATATACAGTAGCTGCCAAAATGTTTCCACCAGGCAATACTGCTCAGAACTGAGACCTGCAGGCAGGATTAGAAGAGAGAAATCTGTTGATTTTTTCCAGCTCAAAAACAAACAAGCAAAGAAATCACATCCAATTATCTGAGTTATATTTTATTAAAGAATCCACCGGAGAACTGCATTCACTTCTCAAGATTTGCTACCAAACCGTCTCCCCATTCTGTCTTTTAAACACTCCTCCACCCTTTTTGTTCTCTAGTTGGTTTGTAATTTAGAAAGTGTGATAAACAATTTTGGGGAGCCATTAAGTTTTACCAGTGTTTCTGTCTGAAATTAGGCTACTATGTTTGCCAAAGAGCTGCTCTGTGCTATAAAATCTTTATTAAAAATACAATTATTTACAAAATTATTAATACTTATGGATTAGAATAAATGTGACTTCATCTTGCAGCTATGGGCATTTTCTTTTTGTTTTTGTTTTTGTTTTTTTTTGAGACGGAGTCTCGCTCTGTCGCCCAGGTTGGAGTGCAGTGGTGCGATCTCGGCTCACTGCAAGCTCCGCCTCCCGGGTTCACGCCATTCTCCTGCCTCAGCCTCCCAAGTAGCTGGGACTGCAGGCGCCCGCCACCACGCCCGGCTAATTTTTTTGCATTTTTAGTAGAGACGGGGTTTCACCGTGTTATCTAGGATGGTCTCGATCTCCTGATCTGGTGATCCGCCCGCCTCGGCCTCCCAGAGTGCTAGGATTACAGACGTGAGCCACCGCGCCCAGCCGGGATTTTCTTTTTAAGAAACTGTAAGGTGCTAATCATTGGGTATTTCATTAGGAGACACATTTAAAAAATCTGATTCTCCAAGCACTTTGTTCTTAGACTCCCACATCCCTTTCACCCTCCCCCAAATTCAGGATCACAGGATTTCTTCTGTCTGCCTTATGTATTTTGCAAGCTAACTATTGCACTAGAAAAAAAATATCTTTCACAAATAATACAGAGGCAGATGTTTTCTGGATCATAATGATCAAATAGAGTGAGCTAAATTGCTCATTGATCTGTGATTCCTTGTCATTTGAAAATCCGATTAAAAGTGTAGAACTTTTAGAAAAGACAAATATACACACACTATTACATACATCATAACACTAAGCGTGAGGAGTGGGATTCATGTTATGAATACATAGCATTTGTTCTGGGAATAGCAAAAGGTTGATACTCAATACATACTTATCCAATGAATAAATGAGTGAATAAAATTTCAGGATGGATTTGGATGGCTTTGCAAGTGAGTGTCAATAAACCCTGGGTTCAGAGCCTCCATTATGAACGAAATAATTATGAAATTGAATTCTCCTGATTTCTTTTGGCCTTAAAGACTTTCTTTCCTTTACTGTGTTAAGGGTTGACCATCTCCTTCCTTTCCAAACAATTAAAATGTATGGAGGGCATATATGTTTGATTAGGTTTTCATGTAGAGAATTACAGTTACTTCCAGCCTGTCTCATGATTTCCTTGATGGGATATTTGGTTGTTCCTAAACTCCTCTGTAGTGCATTTAATTACTATCTCATAGTTTTCCTACCACATGTCTAATGTAATGCATTTTATTCTTACAGCTTCATTCTCAAAAGACATCATTTATCCCTTTATTTCCAAGTTCCTAGGGCATTTTAGTACATGTCTTGACAAAGGACATATCCCTTCTCTGCTGCTGGAATGGGCTGCCGCCTCTGAGCTGCTTCAGGCACGCATTCTGAAAAGACGTTCACACAGGGAAAAATTCCGTTCACCTTCCTTCTCATTCAACCGTCCTGATTTTGTCTGTGCCATTTTAAAAGACTTGTGTGCCTACTTTCTTTGTCAGCTACATCTGCCATAACAAAATACCAAAGACTGGGTGGCTTAAACAACAGGTATTTCTCACAGTTCTGGAGATTGGCAAGTCCACAATGAAGATGATGGCCAGTTTAGTCCCTGGTGAGGGCCCCACTCTCATGACCTAACCCAACCCTAATTACTTCCCAAAGGACTCTTCTTCAAATACCCTCATACTCGAGGTTAGGACTTCAACAGTAGGTCACACACTTACTGCTAATTAAGGATGTCTCTGAAAGCTGTAGGGGGTCACAGATGTCACTAACACCAAACAATGAAAAAGCACAAGGCGTCTTCTTTGATTCGTTGTTATAGGAACATGTCCACACTTCCCTCCCTCCCCTTCGCCAGTCACTGAAAGAATACAGGATGTGACTATAAAGTGATGTCTCCAATTTTTAACATTTAAAATAGAAAAGAAATTGTACATTTAAAGAAAATATGGTGCCTTTTCAAGAAGTCCCTTGGGGAACCACACTCTTAGTCTAATGACGCTTCTGAATGGCAGAGCACCTTTTTTTAATTCCCCAAAGAAAATGCCTGCAGACTTTGTGGCGTGTTCTTTCGAACGTCCGCTGCCAGGAAAATCCCTGACCTTTATGCGATGAATTTGATTTTGGGAAATAGCAAAATTGCCTTTGGAGACAAGTTTTGCAATCAAGTTAAGTGATCACACCAGAGAATTCTGCTTCAGGAACAAAACTGGGACAGATAATAGACTAATAAGATGCCTTCACCACCAGGCTTGTAAAACTTGTCTTGAGACCAATTACAATATAGACCTTTTCAAACTTATTTTTAGCAATAAGAGCATAGTATGGTTAGTGTGTAAATTAAGGTAAAAATATTGAAACACAAGATATATTTGAAAGCCTAAGTAATCCTATTTTTTAGTTTAACCTTTCCAAGACTGTCTTTGCACACTTGGATTTTTATTTGAAAATAACACCAATTTGAAATTCATACTAATTGATGCTACCACTTCAAGAGTTCATGAAACCAAGCAGTTTCAAGTGAATTTGCGTTGGATCACCCTGTCCTGAGAGTTACCTTTTGGAAAACATAACCTGCACATATGTCTCATTTATTCTACTCAATGCCTCCCGATGAAATCAGTAGCAACAATATATGCATAGTAGCGAAATAATTGGGCAAAAGATGAATCATAATTTTGATTGTAATTGGGGGCAGTGAGAGAGGAGGAGGAAAATACAGTCATTAAAAACATATATAAGTAATTGGCTTCTTTGCTTTCTTGTGAAATATGCTAGCCCCACAACATGATTCTTACTCATTAACTTTAGAAGTGCTGTTTCTACCGTATTCACTTCCTAGTGGCATTGCAGGAGATCCGTTTGCAATTTGTGTGACTGACTCAAGATTTCATACAACTCTTGTTTCTGAAATGTCTTCTGATCACTGAGTCATAAGAGTAACACTTCTCAAGTTGTTATTGTTCTGAAAGTCTTTGAAGGGTCTGGGATACTTGGACAATATTATTTCCATCGGTACTTTTCCATCCTCCTGTGTATGGTATTATTTCCAGCCAACTTTGGAAAAATAGCATTTCAACAGCTTTGCATATCCACATTGCACCTGCTTCTGGACTATAAATGATTACGTATAATTTAAATTTATAGAAAATGTTCACAGGAACCAGATCACAGGGCACATATGTGACTACTGATTGCTTCTATTTCTTATTTTCCAAGTATAAAAACATATTTATAATGAAAAGCTTATACTTGCTTTATCTCCAAATCAACAAAAATTAAACCTCTTTGATATTAGCCAGATAGACTACTCTTTCAACTTTGACCTTAAAGGACAATAATGAATCTCATTAAAATCATATTTCCAAAGTGGCTTTCAGAAAGTCTCCTACTCTTACACTATCCCCAGGTTCAACAAGTTTATTTTTGGATGCACTTAATGCTTTCGTTTCTTCTTTTCAGATTCTGATTTAATCACTTAGCTTCTGTGGCATAATCAAGACAAGTTGGATGAATTGTCTCCTAACTGGATTATAATGAAAGAAGCTCTAACTGGTCTTAACGTAGTTTCGATGTTTGGAGTCTTTCACAAAGAGAAACAAAAGCATGATAAGAATGTGCTAAGCTAATTCGAAAGGGAAGCAAGGGTGTCACAATTAAACAAGGGTGTCCAATTATATTGTTCCCATACATCATTCCACCACTCCAATAGGACATGGGCTTATAGAGAACAGAGTCAAGCCTTGTGGTTCCTGTTGTGCCCAGCACACACAGCATTGTGCTTGGTATATAGTAGGTGCTCAATAAACATTTGAATATAATTTAATCTAGGCTCTCCCAGGGAGAAAATATAGTTTAGGGTTCAAGGTAAAGAATCTCAACATGGCCAGCACAGTGGCTTATGCCTGTAATCCCAGCGCTTTAGGAGGCCAAAGCAAGAGGATCGCTTGAGTCCAGGAGTTCAAGACCAGCCTGGGCAGCATAATGAGTCCACATCTTCACAAAAATAAAAATAAAAAAATAAACTGGATGTGGTGGCGTGCATCTGTAGTCCCAATTAATCAGATTGCTTGAGCCTAGGAGGTCAAAGTTTCAGTAAGCAGTGATCATGCCACTGCACTCCAGCCTGGGTGACAGAGTAAGACCTTGGCTCGAATCAAAGCAAAACAAAACAAAACAAAAACCTCCAAAACATTTAAACATTAGATTCTCCAGATATATGTATGTTTTGTATATCGATCATTCTATGCCACAGGAAATGTTCAACCAGGATCTGGGTAACCAGATTAGTGTCACAAAGAAGGAGTTTGTAGATCACCTAGGAAGTAGAACTAAGTTATATCTAAGCAACCTTACAAATTGAAAATCTATCAGTCTTTGAAAACATATCTGTTCTATGTTTCTCACAGTCTTATTGGTGATGGGATAATGACCAGTTGGCCATGATCTTAACAGGAAACGACAATGTAATATGCTAGCCCTTCTAGGTAACATATTTACCCTGGCACAGAATGCCTTAATTCCAAGGTGTGACTCACTGTAATCCTGAGAATTACAGTAATTTGGGGGTGGAATATTATGGCCAAAGGCAATGAGCACAGAGGAAACTTCTCACTGCGAAGCTGAGAATGAACTGAAATGATCAAAAATTGAATGCTTGAAGTCTTTTAATAAATTATAGGTAGAAGGTAAACTCAGCTATTTCTGGACAGCAGGAAAGGGTCTAAACAGAGGAGGTAGCACAGACGCAGCAATGGAATGTGAATGAGTCATATTTCCACATCAGTAGGGCTATGAGGAGACCACTCTGAGATGATATGACAGATAGTGGCTGCATTCTTCAGCCCTAGGAAAAATGAAGATTGCAGGAATTAGGTTAGGAGGTGAAGACTTTCAGGGAGGTAGAGTGGGAACCAGAGGCCAGGGAGAGTGTTGTCAAGTATGCTGACCACACAGTGAACACAGAGGATACAGCTTGATGCTCCTGAAGTCATTACAGGCAGGGTTAAATTCCCCTCAGTGACCCACTGACCCCCAGACACCAGGCATGGGGTCGACCAGCTCTCTCCAGTTCTTCTCCACCACTACATAAGAGAAGAAGCCTTGAAAATGCCACCAAGCTTTTGGGCTCAGAATGAATCATGATGGAAGCTACTGCAGCCTTGACACTGGAAGGCATTTCAGTTCTGTCAACTCTTGCCTCAAAGGAATGTTCATTTCCTTTTACACAAGATAAAGCTTCTTTGAGGAGGATTTGTGTCAGGTAAAGAGGAACACTGAATAAACTGTTGTGGTGGATGTCAGTGTCTATTCTGTGCCTGAAATTGGAATTTGGGCTTAGAACTTAAATACAGGATGTGACTCAATGAACAGAGACCAGAGTTCCAGTACAAGATATAAAGAGACTTTGTTTTGAATCAGTTCTAGTATTTCTAGAAATTCTTGTTATATTTGATGGAGTGAAATCGGTAATTCTTTGAAACTCTTTACCTTGTCAGCTTCCATAGTACTCTGCTGTCCTCATTATCCCTTTACTTCTCTGAGCCTTCACAGAATCCTTCTTATCTTCCCAACTTACATAAATGTTGATGTTCCCCAGGAATCCATTCTCAGACCTCACTTTCTCTATATGAGCTCATCCATGCTGCTTCCTCCAATCATCAACCATATTCTGATGACATCTACATCTTTACCTCCAGTTCAGACTTTGGATCTTTAAAATCATATAATTGCTTCTACCTTCTAGGTCTGACTATCTCACAGATAAGCAAATGCAACATGATCAGGATTTATCTTCACATCCAAGAGGTCCTTCTACTACAAGACCACCACATGCCCCATGAAAGTCATACTAAAAACTTAGGAGGTGTCTTGAATTCTCCTTTCCCCTCAAAGCCCATCATATCTACTCTGTCAAGTCCTTTTCACATTCCCCCAACACTATTCATGGATGAGTCTCATCTTCTCCATCTCTGGAATCACCTCGCCTTAAAGGAAACATCCAAATTTATTTTTAAAATGGAAATGTACCCCTATGCCTGAATCACAGGAAAGCAATAATAATAACTGATTAATATTTCTGCATCACTTAAAGAATAACATTCAAAATCACATGTCTTTTATTATGGAAATGCAAATCAAATCACATTGAGATATTATGCAATACCTCTTAGGAAAGCTGATATCAAAAATTGGAAAGCATGAAGTGTTGGCAAGGATGCGTGGATATGGGAACATGAGTGCATGGCTGGTTGAAATGTAAAGTGGTGCAACTGCTGAGGAAAATGGTATGGTAGGGCCTCAAACAGTTAAACGTAGCATTACCATTGACTCAGCAATTCTACCTTTACGTGTGTGCCCAAAGAATTAAAAGCAAGGATTCAGATATTTGCACAGCATTGTTCATAGTAGCATTATTCACAATAGCCCAAACGTGGAAACAACGCCAATGTCCATTGATGGATGAAGGGATAAACAAAATATGGCATAATATACATACAATGGAATATTATTTAGCCTTAAAAAGGAATGAAATTCTGACATATGCTATGGCATTGATGAACCTTGAAAACATTATGCTAAGTGAAATAAGCCAGACACAAAAGGACGAATGTTGTTATTAGTTTTTCTCAGATTACACATATTTGAAATATCTTAGAAGAAGCAAATTCATAGAAATAGAAGGTAGGATAGTGGTGATAAGGAACTCTGCGGAGAGAAGAATAGAGAATCAGTGTTTAATGGGTAGAGCTTCAGTTTGAGATGATAAAAATATTCTGGGGATGGATAGAAGTGACTGTTGCACAACACTGTGAATGTAATTAATGCCACTGAACTGAACACTTAAAATGGACAAAATGCTAGAAATATATATATTATATATATTATAAAAATGGAGAGACAGAGAGAGAGGTAGAGAGAGCAGATGAGAAACAATGATACTCTATTTTTTTCTTCTCACAATTCCTTATAACTAATATTGGTTATATATATAACCACTATTCTATATATCATGGTTATATATAATATATATATTATATCATATAATATATAACCATATAATATATATTATATATAACACATTATAGATAGCACAGATGCAGCTATATATAATATATAATATATTATATTATTATAATTAATATAATATAGTATATTGTATTAATATAATATAATATAGTATATTGTATTAATATAATATAATATAGTATATTGTATTAATATAATATAATATAGTATATTGTATTAATATAATATAATATAGTATATTGCATTAATATAATATAATATATTAATTATATATATTTTTATTTCTAGATATATATTATATAATATGATATATAAATATATACAATATACATTTATAAATATATAAATATATATAAATATATACTATATATACCATATATAAAATATATACAATATATACAATATATAAAATATATACAATATATAAAAATATATAAATATATACAATATATACAATATAATATGTTTAATATATAAATATATATAAATTTTTTTTTATATATTAAAAAAGAGAGAAAGCTTACGGCATGTCAGGTACTATGCTTAAAAAATAAAAGAGTATATAAATATATATATTTATATATATCTAGAAAGAAAAAAAACAAATTGAAATTACATGCCATCTCCTACTTCACACCTCGGGCTCCAGCAGCTCTATCGTCACCTATGTAATCTTCATTTGCACGATACACCCTGTCCATATGAATTGACAGCTGACTGCCACTCTAGGACCCTTTTCTGCCTCCTTACAAACTGGATGAGGGCTTAGGTCGCTGACAATATTCCAAATATACCCTTTTATTTTTTAAGCATGGTACCTGGCATGCTGTAAGCTTTATTTCTTTTCTTTTTTTCTTTTTTCTTTTTTTTTTTTGAGACGGAGTCTAGCTCTGTGGCCTATGCTGGAATGCAGTGGCCCAATCTCAGCACACTGCAAGCTCTGCCTCCCGGGTTCACGCCATTCTCCTGCCTCATCCTGAGTAGCTGGGACTACAGGTGCCCGCCACCACGCCCTGCTAATTTTTTGTATTTTTAGTAGAGATAGGGTTTCACCGTGTTAGCCTGGATGGTCTCGATCTCCTGACCTCGTGATCTGCCCGCCTCGGCCTCCCAAAGTGCTGGGATTACAGGCGTGAGACACCTCACCCAGCCAAGCTTTCTTTTATTTTTATTTTTATTTTTTTCGGATGGAGTCTCACTCACACGGTTGCCTAGGCTGGAGTGCAGTGGTTCAATCTCAGCTCACTGCAACCTCCGCCTTCTGGGTTCAAGCAATTCTCCTGCCTCAGCCTCCAGTAGCTGGGATTAAAGGTGTGAGCTACCATACCCGGTTAACATGCAGTAGGCTTTCAGCAAACACTGAGGGAATAAGCTCATGAGAAGCAGCTATTTTTACAAATGTAAAATATTAAAATTGGAAGGAATCTTAAAGTTTAGTCTAAATTCTTAAGAAAAGTGCTATTTTGACATGGTAGACAAAATGGTGCCTTCCAGAGGCCTAATTTCCATTTTAAATTAAATAGCAGCCCCCTTTTTTCTTTTCCTTTTGCCAATTGATTCTACCATTTTATGAACTCATAGAAGGGTTAGATCTGAATCACACAATTCATTATGTCAAGTGTTTTCCAAACTTCAAGAAATCTTATCACATCTTCATAGTGCTTGCTCTACCCATGGACTAGCTGTTCAAATGTTCAAATAAGTTCATCTTCATCCAAAGCAATACTGTCAATAAAATATAAATTATTTTATCTTATTTTAAGTTCCAGGATACATGTGCAGGATATGCAGGTTTGTTACATAGGTAAATGTGTGCCTTAGTGGCTTGCTGCACCTATCAACCCATCACCTGGGTATTAAGTCCCACATGCATTAGCTATTTATCCTGATGCTCTCCCTTCTCCCAACCCCCTGACAGGCTCTAGTGTGTGTTGTTCTCCTCAATGTGTCCATGTGTTCTCATCAATCAGCTCTCACTTATAAGTGAGAACATGCAGTGTTTGGTTTTCTGTTCCTCTGTTAGTTTGCTGCGGATAATGGCTTCCAATTCCATCCATGTCCCTGCAAATAACATGATCTCATTCCTTTTTATGGCAGCATAGTATTCCATGGTGTGTCTGTACCACATTTTCTTTATCCAGTCTATCATCGATGGGCATTTGGCTTGATTCCATGTCTTTGCTATCGTCAATAGTGCTGCAAGGAACATATGTGTGCATGTATCTTTATAATAGAATGATTTATATTCCTTTGGGTATATACCCAGTAATAGGATTGCTGGGCCAAATCGTATTTCCAGTTCTAGGTCTTTGAAGAATGGCCACACTGTCTTCTATGATGGTTGAACTAATTTATATGTCCACCAACAGTGTAAAAGTGTTCCTGTTTCTCCACAGTCTCATCAACATCTGTTGCTTCTTGACTTTTTAATAATCGCCACTCTGACTGGCATGAGATGGTATCTCATTGTGGTTTTGATTTGCATTTCTCCAATGATCAGTGCAAATCACAGTTTTGATGTGGTGTTTATATATTTTTAGTACATTAAAATAAATAATTAACTAGTACAATAAAAACTCACGGATGTACCACCTAATGTCATTTTCTTGTACTACATGGTATGTAAATCATGCTTTGAAAAATCAATTTGAATGCATGATTGACTACTTTCTTGAATTATCCTCCAGGGTCCTGCATAGACAACTCTGATTCCTCAACAAGCTTTCACACTCTCTAAAAGCAACTCTCTAAACTCTCTCTTTTCTTTGTTGTCATCGTTTTATGTTTCTTAGCTCCTTGACGTTTGTCAAGCTCTCACCGTATTCAACAAGTATCTGTTGAATAGATATACTTGCTGCTTCTGAGATGGTATATATTATCTTCCCTTATAAAGTGAAAGCTATTTCATAAGGTTATAAAATTGGAAGGTGAGATGTCCATGAGATTGCACCTTGCAAACATTCAAGTACAAGGAGGCAATTGAATCTGGGTCGTGGCTCCTGTACTCCTGAATGTTTGCACTAAGGCCACACCTCCCACAGACTCTTTCAACCAATGACTGAACCTGTAGAGGATGCGATGGAAGGCTTCTCTCTAGGCAACATGGAACTCCTCTCATAGCCAACTTTGGTTTCAGAACTCCCTGAAAGATTGCTGAACCTATTGACACTGCACGGTGGTCTAGATCACTTCCACCAACTTCCCTTCCCCCTCTCCTTCACTTAGGGTCAGACTTGCATCATAATTTGATTGATTGTTCTCCCACTCTTTCTCTCCTCATTTTTTTGGAGGGATTTTTTCTTAATAAAGTCCCTGTATATATAGCGCTGACATGCTTCTTGGGATACTTGGACTAACATAGAAAGTATTAGTGAGAACTACATAAATGTTAGAGATATTTCAAGCTGAATTTGTCTATGAGAGTTTGGATAGGGTTAATTCTGAATTCAGACAGTGTTGAGTTAAATTTCTGAATTACTTAGTTGTATTAGTTTACTAGGGTTGCCATAACAAAATACCACACATCGGGTGGCTTAAACCACAGAAGTGTATTTTCTCACTCTTCTAGCAGCTAAAAATCTGAGTTTAATAAGTGTCCCCAGGGTTGATTTATTCTGAGGGCTTCCTCCTTGGCTTACAGATTATGATCTTCACCCTGTGTCTACACATTGTCTTCCCTCTGTGTGTATCTCTGTCCATATTTTCTATTCTTTTTTGTTGTTGTTGTTGTTGAGACGGAGTCTTGCTCTGTTGCCCATGCTGGAGTGCAGTGGCGTGATCTTGGCTCAATGCAACCTCCACCTCCCTGGTTCAAGCAATTCCCCTGTCTCAACTTCCTGAGTAGCTGGGATTACAGGCGCATGCCACCACGTCCGGCTAATTTTTTTGTATTTTTAGTAAAGACGGGGTTTCACCACGTTGGCTAGACTAGTCTTGAACTCCTAACCTCAGGTAATCTGCCTGACTCTGCCTCGCAAAGTGCTGGGATTACAGGCGTGAGCCACCGCGCCCAGCCAATAACCTCATATTAACGGAACTACCTCTTTAAAGACCCCATCTTCAAATACAGACACATTCTGAGTTACTGGGAGTGAGGACTTCAACATTTGACTTTTAGAGGAACACAATTTAGCCCATAGCACCACCTGAATAACTTTGAGCCAGTCACTTGACTTTACAGAGCCTTAGTCTGTAAAATAGGGGACAATATCTACCATATTATTTTGTTCAAATCAAATACAGTGACATATATAATGCCACTGGAACATATAAGGCAATCGTCATTAAAAAAAATCCTCCCAATTTACTAAAATCATTGCCATTACTTTATTAGAATTAATTTATATAGGGGTTCTATTATTCGCAGTATGTCTCACAGCTATATAAAGTAGCATTATATGATAAGGTTGAAAAGGAAGAGGAAAGAAGTATACAGTGTCTGATTGCATAGCTTCATGTTTATGATATGACAGTTCTATGATTCTGAGCCTGGCATATTTATTTAAGCTATACACCAGAGTTCAGAAATTGATAGTTAAGAGGCACATTTGGCCTGAAAATGTCTGTGATTTTCCAGAGAGTATTTTAAAAATCAGAATAGAAATGCCTTTAAATAAAGCATGCTTCTGCTGTTTTCCACAGTTTTTCATATCCCTAACACATGGTCACATTATACAGGTATAATACTTATCTAGCCCTTAAAAGCTTTTAAATGGACAATCTTTGAAGCACAGACCACAGGTTCAGAATGTACTGCTTCTATGTCCTTGACTATTCTCAAAAGAACATATTTTCTACCATATTATCTAAATTATCTGAGAAAGACACAGGTGCTGCTACATTGTTATCCTCTAGGGATGCTCACGTTTCTTCAATATCCACAAATTCCTCCTACAATCATCTAAGGCTGCTCCCCATTCCACCAGTAAATATTAATCAACAAAGTAACAAATAGTGCGATGTGCCAAGCATCTTTAGCGATATGCACCCTCAACTTCAAACAGAAACTATTTGGGATGATACTCCCTCTTCTGCCTGTAGATAGGTAAACACCCTCTGCACCCTAGATTTACCAAACTTCATGACGTACCCACCCTAAAAGGACACGATCTTCAGGGTACACAGAGTTTTTCTCTAGATGCTTGACGATATCGCCATTCTTCGGCTATATGAGCTTGCTTTTTAAAAACAATTACTTCAGGAATCTGGTATCCAGAAGAAAATAGGGTAGTTTTCAAACTTTCATTGCATTATTTTTCATGATCAAGATTATAAGGTAAATTGGAACTATTATCATGATTCACTCTTCCAGATGGTTATGCAAAGATTGAGTGAATGAATAGAGACAATTTTAAAGAAATGAATAAAATAACTTGTATGGTTAAGTAGCAAAGCCAAGGAGAAGTTGGGAGGAAGAGTTCCCAAATTGCCTTCCTGAGACTAGACAATTTGAGTAGGTCAAGAATGAGAATCTCTACAGAAACTTGCTAAGACTTTTAAATGCAGTCATGCTTTGCTTAAGGATGAGGATGCATTCTGAGAAATGTGTCCTTAGGGGATTCTGTTGTTGTGTGAAGATCACGGAGTGTACTTCCGCAAACCTAGAAGGCATAACCGACTACACACCTACACGATGTGATATGGCTTATTGCTCCTAGGCTGCAAACCTGTACAGCATGTTACTGTATTGAATACTATAGGCAACTGTGACACAATTTTAAGTATTTGTGTATTTTAACATACCTGAACATAGAAGAAGTACAGTACAAATACTATCTAAAAGTCCAAAAATAATACACCTGTATAGCACATTTACTGTGAATGGAGCTTGTAGGACTGGAAGTTGCTTTGAGTGAGTCATTAAGTGAGTGGTCAGTGAATATTACTTTATAAACATTGAAGACTTTATAATAAACATTGTACACAGAGGTTACCCTAAATTTAACTTAAAATTTCTTTGTTCAATAATAAATTAGCTTACTTGCAACTTTGTTACTTTTTAATTTTTTAAAAGCATTTTGACTCTTGTAATAACACTTAGCTTAAAACATAAACACATTGTATAGTTGTACAAAAATGTTTTCTTTCTTTATATTCTTATTCTATAAAATTTTTTCTATTAATTATTTTACTTTAAAAAGAAATTTTTGTTAAAGGCTAAGACACAAACACAACATTAGCCTAGACCTATACATGGCCAGGATCATCAATATCACTGTCTTCCACCTCCACATCTTGTCCTGCTGGAAGGTCTTTAGGGGCAATAACACCTGTGGAGCTGTCGTATTCTATGATGACAATGCCTTCTTCTGGAAGACCTCCTGAAGGGCCTCCCTGAGGCTATTTTACAGTTACCTCCCTTTTGAAAAAATAAGTAGAAGGTGTATGCTCTAAAATAATAATGAAAAGTATAGTATCGTATAGTATAGTATAGTATAGTATAGTATAGTATAGTATAGTATAGTATAGTACATAAACCAGTAATAAAGTCATGTATTATCATTAGCAAATATTATGTATTGTGCATAATGGTGTGTGCTATGCTTTGATCAGACTGGCAGCACAGTAGGTTTTTTTACACCAACATCACCAAAAACACTGAGTTATGATGTTATGGCGGCTACAATTTCATATGTGATAGTAATATTTCAGCTCCATTAAAACCTTGAGACCACCATTGTATTTTCAGTTCATTGTTGACCCAAGCATTGTTATGCAGCAAGTAAGTGTGTATTTAAGCTGCTTAAATTAATTTCAATTGCTGTTCCAATTTTCTTAGTCATTCCACATTTTGTTATGACACTCCTGACCATAGAAGAATGCAGCAAAACCTCACAATTCATAAAATCACATCAGCTGTGCACACAGATGATGTACATTTATTCTGTGTAAGCATCTTAAAAACAAACTCAAACCCATTCTTTTTTCCATTGCATAACCTTTAAGCACAATCCAAACATTTCATTTGATGCTATTAAAAAGATCTGCCGATGCAAAACCATATTATAGCCAGGGGTGGCGGGTTAATACTTCAAGTATTTTCAAGATAACTTTTACTGTTTTGGCTATATACAAGGTGGTGCCTTTGCACTGATTTTGTCACCCCTTAGCATGAGATGAAAATCCACAGGAATTTAAATCTAGAATTAGAACATATGAGCAAGAAAATTTGATTTCTTTCTGATGCATGCCAGAAATAGTATATTAACAATAATACAATAAAGGAAATTCAAAAAGTATTCATCTAATCCTTACTAAAGTTATTATCAATGAGTTCTAAACTTTATTTTGTCCTTTAAGAATCACAAATTATTTGTTTCAAATGATCCTAATCATCATCTAATGTGTCTTATACTGCTATCCTATAAGTTTTTTTGTTTTTGTATTTGTTTTTGTTCTTTGGAGATGGAGTCTTGCTTTTTCGCCCAGTCTGGAGTGCAGTGGTGTGATCTCGGCTCACTGCAACCTCCACCTCCCAGATTCAAGCAATTCCGCCTCAGCCTCCTGAGTACCTGGGATTACAGGCACACACCACCATGCCTGGCTAATTTTTGTATTTTTAGTAGAGACAGGGTTTCACCATGTTGGTCAGGCTGGTCTCGAAGTCTTGACTTTAGGTGATCCACCCTCCTTGGCCTCCCAAAGTGCTGGGATAAGTTTTTATCCCATAATTACCCCATAAAATTTGAATAAGAAAATGAATGCCTCAGGAAAGGCAATATAAAACAATGAAGACATTAACTAGTAGTCATTATAAATATAGTTAAAGACCTAAATGAAATCATGCTTATAGAAATAGAGAAAGCCATGACAACAACGTTTCAGCAAAGAGAGAATATCAATAAAGATATAGACATTATTTTAAAAAGAACCATCTGGAAATGCTTGAATTGAAAAATATAATAACCAAAATAAAAAATTCACTAGCAGAAAGTGAAAAGACAACCCACAAAATGGGGAAAAATTTTTGTAAATCATTTATCTGACATAGGACTTTTATCCAAAATATATAAAGAATTTCTACAGCTTAATAATCAAAAGAAAGATCACTCAATTGAAAAATTAAGAAAGGATCTGAATATAAATTTCTTCCAAAAGTATGCAAATGACCAATATGCACCTAAAAAGATGCTCAACATATTTAAACCATTAGGAAAATGAAAATCAAACTCACAATGAGGGCCAAGCACAGTGGCTCATACCTGTGATCCTAGTGCTTTGGGAGGCCCAGGCAGGAGGATTACTTGAGGCCAGGAATTTGAGACCCTATCTCTACAAAAAAATTAAAAAGTTAACCAGGCATGGTGGTGCACGCCTGTAGGTCTAGCTACTCAGGAGGTTAAGGTAGGAGGATCACTTGAACCCAGGAGTTTGAGGTTGCAGTGAGTTATGATCCTGCCACTGCACTCCAGCCTGGGCAACCGAGTGAGACTCTGTCTGAAAAAAAACGAAAAAAGAAAAATCACAATGAGTTAGCACTTCACACTCAGTAGGATGACCATAATGAGAAGCACAGAAGAACAAGTACTGGGAAGCATGCAAAGAAATTGGAACCCTCATACACTGTGGGTGAGAAGGGAAACGGCTTTGGAAAACCTTCTGGTAATTCCCAGTTAAACAAAGAGTTACCCATTATCTAGAAAGTAAGTGATTTTATATCATAGTTTCTGCTGCACAATTTTAATTCATTTATTTTACTGACAAAATTTAACAAATTTATTTTAGTGATAAAATTAGACAACTTAAAATAATTTGAAACCAAGTAAAGTAATGCTTTTTCCCTTGCGACGTCATTAGCTAGTACAATGAATTTTTGAGTATCAATCAGTAGTAGCCACCACTCTTGTCAACCAGAGTCCTCTCTTTAGCCAATTCTCTAGTTCAAGGCAATTAATGTTTTTGAGGTTGACATGGGAGTCAGGCATGACTCTGTGGTTCCTTCCAAACCATCAGTGAAATGTTTAATTATATTTAGTACCATGTTTTATGAAGTCATTTTATTCTTGGAATTTTGGCAAACCTTGAATCGTACTTATAGTCATTCCCCAACAACTAAAATATCTGATTTAGTCTTCCAGATATTAGAGTTTACATAAATATTTTTAAAGCTTACATTTTCATATGTATATATTTCCAATGAAACCCCTATATGTTTGAACCGTTTCTAAAATTGTCATTAAACACCCAGCAATAAGTCTATTATTCTCTGTACTAATTTGCTATACTTAGGCTGTGTAGAAAGTTTTCTTTAATGGTCTCTTCAAAATTTCAACTCCGCCCGCTGACATTTAGTGAATGTCAAGATGCTTAATACAGGGCTGTGCTTTCTGCTTTTTTCAATAGATCCTATTGTTATTGACTTATCCTGATGAGAAAATAATTCTATCTCAAATCTTAGAAAATGTATCTTTGGATCAAGTAAGTATGTTAGTTTCTTAAAGTGTCCAACCCTTCATCAAATTTTTTTCATTGATTAATTTTACAAATTTTAAGAGGAAAGGGAGAAGTGATCATCTTATTTTATGTAATATGTTTATTTGTTTAAATATGTAGAGCTTATTGAACTACATTAAAATAGAATGAGGCTGTGAGACCACATAGAACCTGAGAGGAGATTTACCAGTAGGTCAAAGAAGCTTTTACTTTAAGAATATCAATAATTTCCCAAGGCAAGAAAAATGTAAGATTTTACATGCTAAAGTCATATAGTCAGCATCATTTAAACTGCCAACTGTCACAATTTATGATTTGTCATTTAGGGTTTGTCTGACCCCCATACAGGTGAGGTAGGGGAGGAAGAAGAGAGAAGGTAGGTCCAGCTCAGATGCCTGCTCAGGTGGTCAGAACTCAGGAGATGAACCATACTGAGTAGCTGGAAGAGTTAAGAAACCTGTGTAAGGATGGGCCAATTGTCAAAGCAGTTGGAGCCAAATTCTATTCTTAGTCCAAGTGTTTAGCAAGTGACTTAGAGAGACAAAACTGCTGCCAGAAGTCAAGTGAACACCATTATGGTGCATGTAGTGAAAACAACTGAGAGAGAGAGAGAGAGAGAGAGAGAGAGAGAGAGAGAGAGAACTGCAAAAAGGTCACTCATTGATACTGTTTTTTTTTTTTTTTTTTTTTTTTTTTTGAGACGGAGTCTCACTCTGTTGCCCAGGCTAGAGTGCAGTGGTGCGATTTCGCCTCACTGCCAGCTCTGCCTCCCGGGTTCACGCCATTCTCCTGCCTCAGCCTCCTGAGTAGCTGGGACTACAGGCACCCACCACCACGCCCGGCTAATTTTTTTGTATTTTTAGAAGAGATGGGGTTTCACCGTGTTAGCCAGGATGGTCTCGATCTCCTGACCAGGCTATCTGCCTGCCTTGGCCTCCCTAAAGTGCTGGGATTACAGGCGTGAGCCACTGCACCCGGCCTGATACTGGTTTTTAAAATTTATTTTAATGATTTAATAACTATTTACTGAATTCTTTCAGTATGCCAGGCCTAGATTAGGCTTCAGTGATATAAACGTAAACAAAACTGGCACAGTCTTTGACATCATGGAACACCGATTCTAAGAGAAAGAGAGAAATATTAGTCTAATGGCCCTGAAAATAAAAACAAGTTACAATCATGAAGAGTGTAATAAAGGACAAAGTTGCTGTGATAACCCATAATGAGGCAACTTGACTTCTCAGGGTCCCTTGCCTTCTGGTTTCTGGTCAGATTTGACCAATGGGAGGTACCAGTACCAGAGGAGACAGCAGAGACTGAGATCTAGATATTGTTTCCTCTGCCTCATGCCAATTATGGCTTTCTAGTTCTCAGAGAAGCCTGTACATCTCCAGCAGCTCTGGCCATATTCTCTTTATGGTTCCAGCTCTCGTTATTATAGCTCTTGTTATTGTTAGTATCTGGATGGCTTGAGATTAAAGGGTCCATGGGATGTCCTGCTGCTGGCAGTGGCTCACACCTGTAATCCCAGCACTTTGGGAGGCCAAGTTAGTTTGCTCGGTTGAACCCAGGAGTTTGAGACCAGCTGGGGCAACAAGGTGAAACCCCTTCTCAACAAAAAATATAAAAATTAGCCAGGTGTGGTGGCATGTGCCTGTGATCCCAACTACTCAGGAGGCTGAGGTGGGAGGATTGTTTGAGCCCAGGAGGCAGAGGTTGCAATGAGCTGAGATCGTGCCACTGCACTCCAGCCTGGGGGGACAGAGCAAGATACTGTCTCAAAAAATAAAAATAAATAAAAATAAAATAAAAAAGGATCCATGGTAACATCTTCATTAATTTCTTTTTAGAATCTGATTGGGATATAGCCTTCTTTTTCCTGCAAGGACAATGGCTGAGAGTCAGTTAGGTGAAAACTGGGTAAAGGCAGACTAAGAATATGAAACAGCATCTGAGGTGGAGGTGACAATGGCCAGTCATAGTCACGTGAGTGTGTCTGGAACATGGAACACAACCAGTCTTGCATGAGGCAGGAGACCTAGGCAAGAGTTGGATGATGCAAACCTATGGGTCATTTGGGGGTTTTGTCTCTATTATAAAAGCATTTCTGAAGGTTTTCAGTCAGACGAGAACTTTATCAGGTTTCAATTTTCAAAAGATTATTCTGACTGTGTTGAGAAAAACATATTGGGGAATATCAACAGTGGGTGTGGATAGATCAGTTTCTTAAGAGCTTTTTGAACAGTTTGACATAGAGCTGATGATTAATTAGACTAAGATGTCGGTAATGGAGGTAGACTAAAAGAAATTGAAAGGTTTAATCGGGGTCAACAAAGTATGGCCTGTGGGTTGGCTGTCATTGTAAATAAAGTTTTATTGGCACATGGCCACACGTATTTATTATGGATTGTCTATGGCTACAACAGCAGAGTAGAGTGGTTGGAACAGAAGCTGTGCGGCCCGTGAAGTCTTAAATACTTACTCTCTTGGGCTTTAAGAAAAACTTCGTCACCCCTGGGTTAAATCAAGAGCATTTGGCATTAGATTAGATACGGGGCTGAGGGAAAAAAAGGGAGGCAGGAGAGTCAGGGACGAAGGAGACGAGGCCACAGAAGCTCTTCTTTGACAGTGATAATCTTATTTTAGGTGCATAATTTTGGGATTTATAATATACAGATATATAATGTATGTTATATATATTATAAATATATATATTATAGATACAAAATATGAAAAGATATGTAATCTTCTTGTCTTTGTCACCAAATCATCCCATTGCTGAATAAGACTTCTTCTATTGTTCTTTTGTTTTAATTGCAAAAGTCTAGTTTTCCCTTTGAAGAAAAGAAGTAGAGAAAACATTAATTCACAAGGGAAAGGACCGTTTGTCTAATTTTGTTAGAAGGTCTCAGGGCTCAGTTCTCTTCTCTTATTTATGTATATTCACTCTTCTTTGTTTTTTAAAAAAATCTTATCTAACCTCATGGCTCTAAATAATTTAACATGATGACAATTCACAGTTTATATTTCTAGTCTGAACCTCTAAAATTCCAGACAAATAATTAATTACCTTTTCAACATCGCCACTTCGATTTCTAATAGACATCTCACAATCACTGTGTCCTTAACTGAATTCTTGACTTCCCCTTAAGCAGATCTACTCACAGTTTTCCCATTTCAGTTGATGAAAGTGCCATCCTTTCAGTCATTCAGGCCAATACCACTGGGACCCTCCATTAGGAACTATGTTGCCTCTACCTTCAGAACATATCCAGAACCTCACCATCTCTCCCCTCCCCCCCAATTGTCACTGTCCTGATCAGAGATGTCATCTTTCCTAGGCTGAATTTCTGTAATAGCTTCCTAGCACGTCTACTTGCTTCTATCCTTGGCCTACCCACTGTAGTCTATTTTCAAAGAAGTAGAGTGAACCTTTTAAAATAGAAGTCAGATCTTGTCACCTCTCTACTCAAAACTCTCCAACAGCCTCTGATTTTTACTTGCTCAGACAAAGTACTTAAAACTGCACACATGACCTCACATAATCTGGCTTCCATATTCCTCTGGCTTCCAATATGTTTTATTCACTCCTCTAAATCATAGAGTCTCCTTGAATTAACATGTTCCTGATCCAATGTACTGTAGTAAAGGAGTGAAAAGTAAACATGATTCCCAGAGGCAGTTAGTGAGATGGTTGCAGGTAACCATTGCCTCCCACACTCTCTTCCTTCCTTCCATCCTGGCATAGGTTATTTAGCAAAATACTTAGTACCTTCTAATATGTGTTACATGACTGCTAGATGCCAGTGATAGGAAAATCCATACAACATAGGAACACACAATCTGGTGGGGAAAGATGATATGGAAACCAACCAATGCAAGACAATGCAAAAAGTGCAGGCATAGAATGATGGGCTGTAATTTTTAAAAACTCACCATGTCTAAGTTGGGAAGGATAGAGATTCTATATGATGGATGCAAGATCATTCCAACCAATGTAGTTTGGAAGAAACCCAAAGCATTCTAAATTATCTAGTGAACTTCATGTTGCTCTACCTAAAGTATTTCCATAGTAACCAGGCCTGTGCTCTTGTGTGGAGCATGAGTGGCTAACCACTGAATTATATTCCTTTTGTCACAGTCTAAGAGCAATATAAATTCCTCTTTTTTTCAAAATGCTTCCCAACTTGAGACACAAACATTCTACCAAGAATAGATTTGACTTAATTATCTATACGTTTAAAATGTAAATGCAGCCTTTCTAAGAGAAGCCTACATTTGTTAAATCAATCTATGAGATCACCTTCTTTCTAAGATGAGGGTAACTTCAATATTGAAGTGAAGACAGTATAGAGACACTAAGAAATCTACCCAAGGACACACAGCTGATCAGGGGCTCTGACTTAATTTTTTTCCCAAACATTAGGTTTCCTGAGTGCAAAGTTGTTATATTCGTTCCTACCTCATAAGATTGCTCTGAGCAGTAGAAGTGATAATATCTGAAACATGTAGGACACTTTCTATGATGTACTAACAGTGCAGTAATTGTTAGTTTCTCCAATGTCCCACAGCCAACCTATGCTACTGGCTGCAAATTCTAAGTTATGGACTATTAAATGATCTGGTCAAAACTGGATATGGATAAAAATGCACTTTAGAATTACTTTTGGGAAGTAGAGGTTGCCAATTAGGTGGGTGGAAATGCTTTCTGTCCTGTAAAGTCCAAGAGTTGTCTATCACCAACGACACCATTGGAGGGAAGCTGTTGAGTGCACTACCTGCCATCTGGGCCTCTGTTGTTGGACACTACTTGACTCTTTAAAAGAGGTTGCTGTCAGCATCATGTCTATTTGCACTGGTTGTTGAGCATCATTATGGAAGGTGAGTGGCCCATGTTGACCTTTATGCTCCTACACCAACTTGAGAGCCTTTAACTGCATAGAGGCCTTTGACTTAATGTAATAAAATAATGACTCTTTCCATTTCAATGTTTCCATTGGTGTTTTACTTGAATCCCTACTATACAAAAAACCTTAGTCTCAATAGTTTGAACAGTTTCTTCTATGTCCAAAACACTCAATATTGAGTTCTCTTGATAAAAACAAAACTTGGAGTTATTTAAAAAAATAGTTCAGTTGGAGACTCCCTTTGCTATCTAAGGCAGGGGTCCCCAACCCTTCGGTCATGGACTGGAACCTGTCAGTGGCCTGTTACAAACTGGGCTACACAGTAAGAGGTGAGTAGCAGGCGAGCAAGCAAAGTTTCTTCTGTATTTACAGCAGCTCCCCATGGCTTGCATTACTGCCTGAGCTCTGCCTCCTGTCAGATAAGCAGCACCATTAGATTCTCTTAGGAGCGTGAACCCTATTGTGAACTGTGCATGCAAGGGATCTCGGTTGTGTGCTCCTTATGAGAATCTAATGCCTGATGATCTGTCACCATCTCCCATTACCCTCAGATGGGACTATCTAGTGGCAAGAAAACAAGCTCATGGCTCCTACTCATTCTATATTATGTGAGTTGTATAATTATTTCATTATATATTACTATGTAATAATAGCAGAAATAAAGTGCACAATAAATGTAATGTGCTTGAATCATCCCAAAACCATCCGCTGCTCCCCACGTCCATGGAAAAAGTGCCTTCATGAAATTGGTCTCTGGTGCCAAAAAATGTTGGGGACCACTGATCTAAGGTGTTTAACAAACTGTTTCTTACTTTTAATCAAACCATACCACACTGATTGACTTCAGAAATGCTTTGTTTAACTAGAAGTGTTCAGGACTTACGCATGTTGCTTTTATCATCATCATCATTATAACTTATAACACTAATAATAACAATAAATTACCAGACTTTGAGAAAAATCTCAGAAGCTCAATGAAGTGTATAGTTCATAATCAGTACTAAATTGATAGGCTTGTGGTTTAGAATTTGTGTAGCGGAACGAGGATAAATCAGACTTCAGTATGATTTGTGTATTTGTTTACTGTAGCAGAAATATGATGTCCTGACCATGTCCCCTTGACCCACTCTGGAAGCCATGAAAGATAGTCTCATTCAGAGCTACAGCTGTCCATGGCTCTGCTTGAGGGTGTTCCCCAGGCCCAGAGAAACACCTTCAAAGGAGAGAGCATGGCATAGAAGCAACCCTCATCCAACAAAAGATAGGAATTGTCCATTTCAGGGTCAGGTTCCATCTTCCATCTGGTCTCCAAGAGGGTCCTCAAAAGACTACGCCTCCCATGACTATACAACCTTCCTTAGCTTTCCTCTCTTCCTTGTTCCCCATTCCCACTTCTTCACATGGCTTTCTGGAATTACTTCCCAAGTTCCTTGCACCTACGTGCTTGTCATAGAGTCTGGCATGCCTTAATGAAACACTCGTTAATTTTTTATTTGAGATCCATTGAATCCTCACTCTGTGCCAGACATCTTTCATTTATGAAATAGTAGCTTCTATTTTTGTACCCATTTTTGTGATAAATTAATGTTTAGAGAGATGTTAAATAATTTACAAATCACAGTGAGTGGCAAAACCTAGTCAATTTCCATTCTTCAGTTGCTTCTATTGTTTGATTGCTATCTTTTACCTTTACTCCATGAATTCAGATTGGTAAAACAAACAAGAGACTAAATGCTGTTATACTGTGACATTCTGTAAAATTCAAATCTCTGGGTGAATTTTGATCTAAGGGATATAGAGGTGTGTCTTTTTTGTTGTTACACATGCAAAGAAGGCTTCTCTCCACTGTACAATATCCCCTTGGCTTGGCTGTGAGCTCATCTGCTCTCATTTTTGACTTCAGTTTCCTCAAATGGAAAATGAAATGCCTTGGGCTAAATGAATTTTAGGATCCATTGAAAAGCTAACTTCATACAAATTCGAGTTATGTAGTCTGGTCCCTCCGGCCAACTCTACATCGCTAGCTTTTTGTTTTATGCTGAATTCTCTTGATAACAACTTCTAAAGCAAAGCTTTTCTATAAAATGCCAGATAGAAAATATTTTAGGAATTTTGAGCTGTAAGGTATCTGTTGTAATTTCTCAATTCTGCAATGTAACACAAAAGACAATATGTAAATGAATGAGTGTGGCTGTGTCCCAATGAAATTATTTATGTCAACAAGCAGCAAAGCCACTAGACGTGCTCAATGTTGCACACAGAGAACAGCCTCGAAGGGCCTCACACCAAGACATGGCAGATGAGGAATGACAGGAAAATTTCAAACATTGCTTGTATCCTCTGTGTAACTGTCCTCCTGGAAACTTTAAAGATATCGCTCACTCACATAGCTTCTCAAAGAAACAAAGGATAAAGAAAGCTTTTCTATTTCTTTCTTACATGAGCCCGGATGGCTTCTACTTGACATGGACTGTTTTGTGTTGTGTTTGCGCTGGGCTTAGAGGCTGAGAAGAGTCAATACCCAATGGGGGTGTTGTCTGGAGAGCTGGGGAATATATAAATATTGCATTTGGAATGTACTTTCCTCTTGAACAATCAACCTTTCTGCACAAGTTTGCTTGCTAAGGGTCTGTTATTGGCATTTTTCTTATAACCCCTCTAATACCAAGCCTTTTCAAAGAACATATGACTCAGAGCAAACATTCTTTTGAGGTTGAATCTGGCATTCTTGATGTTATTCAAGGAATATATTTCTTTGTATAAACTTTTCATAGAAAACTTCCTGAACCTGTTTTAGAGAGCCCAGAAAGTCCTAGAAAAAAAATTGCTGCCTCATGCTTAAGCTTCTAGTGGGTTTTGTGAACTGAGAATGCGTAAACATGGTCAAACATTATTTCTGATCCCGTTTGTACTGAAAATCTCTCCTGGGCTGGTGATTTGTAATTAATGATAGTTCAGGAAACCTTGACAACTATCTTAGAGTTGGGGAAAAGTGATACAGGCTAAGCAACGAGCTCGTTGTCATTACATGTAATCAAGCAGAAATTGAACAGCCATTCACCAATGATGCTGTTCAGAGATTTCACATCAGGTGAGACTTTAAGAAAATAGACTCTGCAGAGACTCACCTCCCTACCTGTGAGGGAGAAGCAAGGGAAGGAGTGGAACAAGGTCTAAGGCAGATTCTATACTCTCCCTTTTCTCCTCTCTCCTCTTTGAACTGGAAAAACTCAGGTTTACTTTTTTAGATATTAGACAGTTAGGAGGCTTTCTTAGGAAGAAAGTGTTCTACTACTACTAATAACAAAATGAATGAATGAATAAATAAATAAATAAAATTTAAACCACTGGACAACTGAGATCTTGAATTATGTTAATCTTAAGATTTTAAATTTTCTACAAGTAGGCTTTGACCCATTCCACATAAGAACTCATCCCTGTCTATCTTCCTCTTAGTATCTCTCTGATCTCCACAAAACAAGTATGAACTCTTTTTATCCTAGATACATTTAACAGCTACATTTGATAGAAGAGTAGAAAATTCTTCATAGGTTTTCCATTTACAAGGAATAGCCATCAGGTTTAGAATTTTGACCATCATTAATAAGTAAACTCTTCAAAAGTCAAGCAGGGCTATGTTTTTTGAGAACTCAGCCCTTTAGGGATAAAAGGAAACCTTTAGTAAATATCCATCGGTCTATTGCATCTTGGCCCTAGGGGCATGCATACTCTTCGTGTTATGTCCTCACATAACTTTTATAGCTGATTCTCTTAAAGAAGGATAGAGTCAGAGGAGACAGTGAAAACCATGAAAGTATGAACATGGAATTCAGAAAAGGTGACAATATTAGTATCAAACATATGTCAGGTATGGTAGGTACCTGATAAAAATTTACTGAATGAATGATTGAGGCCATGATTATAGACACTCTCTATATAAAGTCTTCTATAAAAAGAAGAATTTTGAAGCAACTATCATTTAATTTAAATATTGGGCCAATATGTATTTTAATGGTAATGTTGGAAAACTATTTCCAGCAACAAACTTTATAGTAATAAGCAAGCATTCTGCTTATATGAAAATCACAAACAGTGGAAGATATTGACTTGTACTTATTGTGCAGGTTCTGAAGAAAACCGCATATGGTCTCTCTGGCAAAAGCTAATGAATTTATGTTAAAAATATTTTTCTGCGTGTATTGCAAGTGTTATATACACATAATTACATGATAAATATAATTCTATTTGATTTTCCAAGTAATTAATATTTTAAATATTTGCAAAAAGGGCTATAGCACACACAAAAAAGAGAGAGACATTGAAAAATCTGTTTTAAGTATAAAACCTAAGCAGTTGGCAGAGGAGAAAAGAAAGAAATTTTTTACATCTCATTATTAGGATTCAGTGCACACTTATAGAAGAGTTCCTTCCCCCTAAACCCTAGAATTCTAGCAGAGAACAGAGCCAAAGTGAATTATATATAACCCTGAAGCTTCATCAAGAGAATCATTGGTATTTGTTTACAGATCAGTATTGAAAACAAATCAGCCTGGAGGGTTTAGCTGTATGGAAGGATGTAGTTTGCTTCTTAAATAACCCAAGCTGTGTTGAAAATGTTCTTTCTGGCCTCCTTATGTTCTTTCTGTTTTGTTTCTCCTTTCAAATGCAGAGTGAATATGATTGGAATGGTCTTTAGCTTCAGCCAAGATCTCTAATGCCCTATGACTGGGGCACCCTTGTCTTTTCCCCTGGTCTTCCTTAGCATGGTAGCCTGTGATACTTCCCAAAGTTGAGTTCTGGGTGACTGGGGACAGCCTGAGAAATGATGGTCGAATGATGGTTGAAGTGATGGTTTCTGTCAGTCACCAATGAAGGGGCCCATTAATTTTCAAGGCTTAGTGTGAGTTCCATCTGTTATCCTAATTGTTTGTGGAGATTACATGCCAGGGAAAAGAGTTACTGAATTAATTAAAAGTAAATGTCGCTTCCTAAAACTCAGCCCGGTAAACACAGCTTGGGGAAATATTTCCTTTTGCTTGAATGACAGCTCTTGGAGTTAGGTAACGTGGTGCTTTCAGACATGGTTTACACCTGCAGAAACGTACATTGCTGGACAGCTGTCCTGCCCCCTAGGGTATGGATCACTGACAGTTCTTTCTTACTGTCAATTTTGCAGAGCCCAGAGGCAGATGCCTACGTGACAGCACTTTACCATCCAGCATGATTGATAAGACAACCCAATAAGGATCCAAAGCAATTTCCTTCTCTTATCCTTGCCTCTCAACTACATTTGCTTTTAATGGACATGAGTCCAGGCTGGCAGTTGTGGAAAGATTCTGGGATGCAATGTTTTGGGGGAGAGCACCAAGCTTCATTTCTGATCTAAATTGCTAGTTGGTTCTTATTTTAATCTTAAATACACTGAAGAACAGTTGCCTTTGATGATTTTGTCAGAACTGCTAGTTTCTAACGCATCTTTGGCATTGCCTGCAATTTCCAAGGCTAATTTTAATATATATGAAAAATATTTTAGGATTAGAATGTGACATCCTACTAATCATTCAAATGAAAAAGTAGAGTGGTTGAAGTCACCATTGTTCTCTGTAGCAACAATAACAAGCAATTGTTATCTTTACTAGCTTTGTCCTACCACTCCTGTGTGGCTCTGAGATTTACAGCAATCTACAAATACATAACAATCTTCGTTTCACAAGTTATGGCTCATGTTTCATATTCCTTTGGGCCTAGCAAATTTTCATTGCTGGTGAGGTCTAGCCATTGGACAACCAAAAATTATGCCATTTTTGACCTTGAGTCTTCATTAACTAGGAGACAAGTATATATGACATAGTGGAGACTGTTTAGGAAAAGAAAGGAAAGGAAATTCATATTTATTGAGGCTTTATAATGTACGATTGTAGTGGGTACTGTTGGTGCTCTGCTCATATTCCCTGAGATTCCTGTTTACATTTTCTAGTGCCTTTTGCTGCCTTGCTAAGCTCTTCCTTCATCTAATGGCCTGCATCTGTGGCTCAGCTTGGGAGCAAGGATGGCCCTTGCATTGATGGAACCCCTGTGTCCAAGAGGCAGAGAGTGGGACGTGCTTGAGAGTTTACAGCTTCATAATATCTTCTAGCCAGATTGATTAGTTGAGGGAGGAAGACAGCCTAGCTCTCTTGCCTTAAGTCACAACAAAATCCAGAGCATAATTGGCACAAGACATTTCCTTTCTGCAGGATCACTCTGAGACTGGGACTGTGCCTGAAATTATATCCTTGCTTGACTTTTCTCCACACTCTGTTACTCCTTTCTCCTGGGAACACTTTCTCAATAAATCACTTGCTCCATAATCTTTGCCACAGAGTCTGTTTGGAACATACTTATGCTATGCCTTCTACATATACTGTATTACATATGCTATGCCTTTATGAATACTGTATATTTAATCTGCACAAAAATTCTGCTAGGAAATTCATGATCAGAGAGATCAATTAACCTGTCCAATATCATAGAAGGATTAGGTGGACTTGAACTCAAGTCTTATCCCTTAATTTATTACATTTTATGCTAAGCACAGGCAAGGGATATGGAATACGTAGATCCAATTTGGGGAATAAAGGCATTTGGAGATAGATTGCTCCTGCAAACTAGACCTGAATACCAACTTCTTACACAAAAGACATCATTTGAGAAGGAAAAGATAAGTGCAGGTTTATTTTGCTGAAAATATATCAAGCATAAAGAGTACTCTATTTTGGCACTGGAAGCAAATGAGTCTTAAAAACTGCTATGTGATTAGCTGGGCATGGGGGTGTGTGCCTGTAGTCCCAGCTACTTGGGAGGCTGAGGCAGTACAATTGCTTGAATTGGGGAGGCGGAGGTTGCAGTGAGCCGAGATGGCACCACTGCACTCCAGCCTGGGGACAGAGCGAGACTCCGTCTCAAAAAACAAACAAACAAACAAACCTGCTATATGTCTTGTTTCATGACGGCTTTTTAAAATAAAGAATACTCATGCAATGCATAATGATGCTTTGGTCAACAACAGACCACATGTATGATGATGGTCCCATAAGATTATAATTAAACTAAAAATTTATACCACCTTAGTGACATTGTAGACCTTTCTGTGGGACAAAATGTGGAGGTGGAAGATCTGATGATCTTGGCCCTGGGGTAGGCCTTGGCTAATGTGTGTGTTTGTGTCTTTGTTTTAACAAAACTCTTTAAAAGTAAAAATAAAGAAGTAAAATGAAAAAAAAATACAATAAGAATATGAAGAAAGGAAATATTTTTGTACAGCTGTACAATGTATGTGTTTTAAGCTAAGTGTGGTTATTATGAAAGAGTCAAAAGTTTAAACAATAATTGTTTATAAAGTAAAACAATTATAATTAGCTAACGTTAATTTATTACTGAAGAAAAAATATTCTTATAAATTTAATGTCGCCAAAATGTACAGTGTGTATAAAGTCTACAGGAGTTTACAGTAATGTTCTGGGCCTAAACTTTCACTCACCACTCCCCTGGCTCACCCAAAACAACTTCCAGTCCTGCAAGCTCCACTCATAGTAAGTGCCCTGCATAGGTCTACCATTTCTTATCTTTTATACCACATTTTTACTATACCTTTTCTCTGTTTAGATACACAAATACTTACCACTGTGTTACAATTGCCTGCGATACTCATACAATAGGTTGTCTATTTCCAGTATAGCAATGGGCTATATCATATAGCCTAAGTGTGTAGTAGGCTACACCCTCTAGGTTTGTGTAAGTATGCTCTATGATGTTCACACAATGACGAAATTATGTAATGATGCATTTCTTATAACGTATTCTCATTATTAAGTGAGACATAACTGTACTTGCGTTGGAAGTGGCTAGATCCAGTATCACACGCGGTCTTTGCTAGAAACAAATGAATGTTTGTAAACAGTAAATCAATCAAATCATCCTTTGCCATTCACAAAGGAAGTTAAGAAGCTTGGCAGAAAAAGGTCTCGCAAACCCTCAACTTGGATTTTTTTTTTTACAGCAAATTAGTTTAAATCAATGACCTCAAATGAAGAGAATTATTGTCAGCATTTAGCTTGATCTTTCTCATTAATGACTTCCACTGTGTTTCTCCCATAATTAGTTTTATAAACTAGCCCAAAAAACAAACATACAAAATGCTGGGGGTTTTTTTTTGTTTGTTTTTGTTTTTGTTTTTCCTTTGAGACGGAGTCTCGCTCTGTCGCCCAGGCTGGAGTGCAGTGGAGCAGCTCACTGCAACCTCTACCTCCCTTGTTCAAGTGATTCTCCTGCCTCAGCCTCCCGAGTAGCTGGGATTACAGGCATGTGCCACCACGCCCAGCTAACTTTTTTATTTTTAGTAGAGAAGGGTTTTCACCACGTTGGCCAGATGGTCTCGATCTCCTGACCTTGTGATCCACCCGCCTCAGCCTCCTAAAGTGCTGGGATTACAGGCGTGAGCCACCATGCCCGGCCAAAAATGCTTTCTGTAACTTCCACAATGAAATATTATTCTCAGATTATCACTAAATTTAACCCAAAGATTCCATTATCTCTTGCTTTTTTTATTATTATTACCTTTGGTGCTTGGGGAGTTCAGAGATGCCACAGATGCAGGACAGTTTATGACTCATAGCAGAAGCAGTACCAACAGTCTCATGAGGCTGTGACTGGTAGCCTGGCCTCCTTCTCCCACTTTCCTGGAGCATCCAGGTCATACACACAGATACTTCCCAGTTCCCCTTTGGTTGAAGGAGGGCTTCGAATCCCTTCACTAACATCCAGCAACAGCAATGTAGGCAAACAAAAGTCCTAAGGTCTGAGTTCTAGCAAGCATTTGGAGGAATGACTTACAAGGAATTAAAGTCTCAGAAAATAGGATAAGTTATAAATATTGGCTTTCCATATGTGCATTCAACTAGCACACATTAAATTCCAAGTATTTTACAAATATCTACGTTATGAGGAAAGATATTTTAATCCATTTCATAGAAGTCTGAGGTTGAGAGGGATTGTTAATTTGCTCACTCCAGTAAGTGAAAGAGTTGAGATTCCCAGCTGGAATCTCCAATCTAAACTCAGTGTTCCAGCTCCTTCACAGTGTTCTGTTGGGCTCAGAGGTCCACAGTGAAAAAAGCATCCTGTGAAGGCTGGCATCCACATCATTCTCATGTTTTTGAGAGTTCACTGCAGGCAGTTTTGTCAACGGCACCAGATTGAGAGTGAAGCTAGAAGAGGCAGACGTGGGATAGCTATATCCTTGGCAATAAGCATCAAGAGGCTGGGCGCGGTGGCTCATGCCTGTAATCCCAGCACTTTGGGAGGCTGAGGCAGGTGGATTATCTGAGGTCAGGAGTTTGAGACCAGTCTGGCCAACATGGTGAAACCCTGTCTCTACTAAAAATACAAAAAAATTAGCTGGACATGGTGGTGTGCACCTGTAATCCCAGCTACTCAGGAGGCTGAGGCAGGAGAATTGCTTGAACCAGGGAACAAGGGAGGTGGAGGTTGTAGTGAGCTGAGATCATGCCACTGCACTCCAGCCTGGGCGATGGAGCAAGACTCCGTCTCAAAAAAGAAAAAAAAAAAAAAGGAATAAGCATCAAGAGAGAGTAGCCAGAAATATCAAAAGCCCCAGATAGCCTTAATTTAAGGGCTCTAGAGTTCTCCTCTGCAAGAAACCCTTATTCTACTTTATAGTACTCTATTTATTAAATTCATTCTTATAGGGTGACTAAAATGTGCCAGATCCCCACCCTCAAAGCACTTAAAATCTAATGAGAGAGACAAACAAACTGGAAAATTTCCAGTTGTTATAACTGTTACTAATGAAATAAACAGAATGTGACAATGCAGAGTGACATTCAATTGCTCTTACTTGTTTATGTAACCACTTTCACTAACAGACCATATGAGCTCCTGGGAGTGATCTTTTGTTTTTTATTCTTCTTTATATTTCTAATGTCTAGCTAATTTTAGATCCTCAATAAATGCTCATTTAATTAATTAATAGATGAGTGAACATATAAAGCAGCCTCTCAATGATGTACTCTATATTCATCTGTTCTCATACTGCTATAAAGAACTGCCTGAGACTGGATAATTTATTAAGAAAAGAGATTTAATTGACTCACAGTTCCTCATGGCTGGGGAGGCCTCAGGAAACTTACAATCAAGGTGGAAGGGGAAGAGCTATGTCTTACATGGCGGCAGGTGAGAGAGTGCGTGTGTGAAGGAGGAACTGTCAGACACTTATAAACCATCAGATCTCATGAGAACTCACTCACCATCTCAAGAACAGCATGTGGGATGCTGCCCCCATGATCCAATCACCTCCTACCAGGTCTCTCCCTGGACATATGGTACAATTCAAGATGAGATTCGGGTGGGGAAACAAAGCCTAACCATATCATGCTCCAAAGAATTGCTAGAACAGAAATAAGTAGCTCAAAGGAAAGCCTATTTTTTTCCTTTTGAAACTGAAGCTAAAATGCTTTCAGACTTTCTCTCTTTGATACATTTGGTGTTCCCATAATGAGAGACAGACTATTTACTCTGACATATTTTCTACTAGTGGCCACTTCTCATGAACATCTTAAGGTGAACAAGGTTACAGCTGGCTATTTTCCAGAAATAATTAAGGATAATTAAAAAGAAATATTTAATCTGAGGCTTCAGAAAATTGGATTTGGGTTTCTCAATTGGTGTTAGAAGTCAAGTTTACTATCAAAATATTTTTAAAGTGCATTTTGTTTTTTACCACTAAATTTTCTGAGTTGTCTCAAACCTAAAATTGAAACAGTACCTTCATAATAAAACCTTCCTTCTTTACTGCAATGCTACTTTAGGCAAAGTATATATAAAAATGAGAATTTAAAGAAACCTATATGATCTGTACTTTAACTCAGCCTTGACTAAATCACAAGTTTCAAGTAACTAAGGACTCATGAATGGGATCCCAGGCACCCAAAACACAAAAACATGATGAAAAGTAAGAAGACGAAAATGACTAGAGTGGCTTTAAAATGGCTTATCCAAAATATAAGAAGCGTTTTTTTTTCTAAGTGGAATTTTTTTTACGCTCTCACTTATTACATTATTTTGGTTAACTGTCTTCATGTGATAAGTGCATTTTTTTGACTTAATGAAACAGAGTAAAAAAAAAAAAACATAAAAATTACCATGTAAGACCAGACCCATCAATGCCTTATATACTTTTATTGGTGCAGTTTGTCTTCTATAGCCTTTAACCCCCAACATCCCTTTCACATCTACCCTGCAGTTTCCTAGTAAGGATTTCTGGGAATGTATATGAATATCTGCAGATATTAAGTAGTGATGACACATATAATAGTGAGGCTTTCAGATGACATATATGAGCATGTGACATGTGGTAGAGATACAGTTGGCTCTCAGTGAATGATATATATTTCACACACACACACACACACACACACACACACACACGCACATGAAAATAGTTTCATTGGGGCTTCTCTATTGGCCTGTGTATTTCATGAATAACTGGCCTGTCAATAATAAAAACTGGCACAAGTATTGTGTGCACTCTATCTGCTTTCCTTGCTCAATAAAGTGTGCTATTAGAGGTTTCTCAGGCAGTTTCAAACTTAAAGATTTACCTTCACATTTCAAAAAAGTAGCCACGTAAAACAATTCCAAATTAAAGTAAATGTGTTTGGATTATGGCACAAGCAAGATAAAAGAAGGATCTTCTCAAATAAGTTACTGTTTGTACCTCAAAATCCCCACATCTGGGAAAGACACAAATAAAATTTCACTTTCTTTGTTCTGTTTGTTGCTGAGCACAATTTAATTGCAATCAGATAGAAACTCATCCTAATGACATGCAAAGAAGCTAAAAATGATCTTTCGGTGATGACAAGAAACTAAACTTTTTCGTTTGGATAGTCACTAGAAGAAAAACAATTTTGGAGAAATCATGAGGGCATAAGCAGGCAGCATACCATGCATGTCTGGGAGGCAAATATTATTTATCTAAATGAAACACATTGTGGGTTTGGCGGCCAACAGCTTCCATGATAAAATCAGTGTGAAGCAGATGTGTGTCTCAGTAGAACCGTGTTTGATGTTAGCCCTGCCACTTGCTGCTGTGATCTTATCTATAAAAATAAAGACAAAATACCTAACTTTCTTGTACAAGGATGCTGCAAGGATTGGATTAGGTGACCCAGGCATGTGCAAGCAGCCAGCACAATGCTTCCATCAGGGCTTGCTCAGTCAATAGCATTCTGTCATCTCTGGATTGATCTAGGTCTCAGTTTTCACATCTGTGAGATGGGAGCCGCCTTAAGGGTGTTGGGCATTTCCCTATGATTCACAAAGGAAGGTCATCCAGCAATCCTAGTACTGGGTATATATCCAAAGTAAATGAAATCAATAGGTTGAAAATACACTCCTATGTTAATTGCAGCACTACTCACAATAGCTAAGATATGGAATCAACCTAAGTGTCTATCAACAGATGAATGAATAAATAAAATTTGGTCTATATACACAATGAAATATTATTTGACCATTAAAAAATTAAAGTTCTGTCATTTGTGACAACATGGATAAGCCTGGGGAGCATTAGGTTAAGTGAAATAAGTCAGACACAGAAAGACAAATGTATGATCTCTTGCATATGGAATCTAAAAAGTTGCTTTCATAGAAGTAGAGAGCAGAAGAATAATAATTACCAGAAGATATGAAGCAGAGGGGGAGGGGAGATAGTAGGCACTTGGTCAATGGCTACGAAGCTACAATTTGATAGGAGCAATAAGTTCTGGTCGTCTATTGCAGTGTAGGGTGATTAGAGTTAACAATAATGCATTGCATATTTAAAGCTAGCTAGGAGAGACGTTTAGGAATGATCTCATCACGAAGAAATGATATATGATAAATGCCGATCACTCTGATTTGATCGTGCACTACTTACACGTTTTGAAACATCATGTTGTACCCCGTAAGTATGTACAATTATTATGTGTCAATCGTGAATAAGCAAAAGGAAGGTGAGAATGTGTCTCCATTATGCGATAATTTTCTTTGGGGGAAAAAAAGGATAATAAACATTATGCAACCAGACAGGGCAGAGGTAGATTTCTTTTAAAGGGGAGCAATCAGAGTTCTAAATGACATGAACATATTTTAACCATGAAGAATTTACTGTCTAGTCAAATTGATCAGTTATTGCCAAGTGCTTTGAAGGCTCTATTATCTTTAGACTACCTGGAGGAACATTCCATGTATTTCCCTATTCTGTTACATTGTGCAGCTTATTTAGCAAACAGTTACGGGAGGTGTTTTTAAGCATCAGGAGGAAACCAGGTTGTCAAGAAAGAAAGTTCTCTTGACCTGTGACAACAAGGCAGTCTCTGTCATCCTCAGATTTATGTAATGTGTAAAGAGATTCTCATTTAAATAATTCCATTGAAATAAAATAATACAAATGGATCATGACACTGATTTATGCTTTTTAAGGTTATGTTTTATTTGTATTTGTTTTTTCTGTTTGTTTGTTTGTTTGAGACGGAGTCTCACTCTGTCATCCAGGCTGGAGTGCATTGGTGCGATCTCAACACACTGCAACATCTGCCTCCCGGGTTCAAGCAATTCTCCCACCTCAGCCTCCCTAGTAGCTGGGACTACAGGAGTGCACCACCATGCCCAGCTAATTTTTTTTTTTTTTGTATTTTTAGTAAAGGTGGGATTTTGCCATGTTGGCCAGGCTGGTCTCAAACTCCTGACCTCAAGTGATCCACCCGCCTTGGCCTCTCAAAGTGCTGGGATGACAGCCGTGAGCCACTGCACCCAGCCCTGTATTTGTTTTTTAGATATGTGATAGAAGAAGAAAATAGAAGCAATGTTTTTGGATGCTAATATATGCCAGAAACTGCTATTTTTTCAGATAAATAATAATATCAGAAATAACCAGTTATGTATCAAATAGTATGCCAAATGCTTTGCATCCATTATGTCACTTAATCCTCATATGATGTGAGGAAGCTGAAGCATGAAAGAGGAAACTTGCTGAAAAGAATCAGAACCTCAAATCTATTGAACACTGAAGCTACTGTATGTCACCATGGTCCTATAGTATCCAAATCGCCTTTAAAAACTTACAGCAAAATGCCATTGGTTTCCATTGGGTGGATTAGGAATACAATGGGATTACAGCCCATGTCATAATTCTGGAGTAGAAATTCTACTCCAGGGTCCTGGAGGCTTTGACTTATCAAACATCTGAACATTTTAGGATTGGCCCCACTCACTGCTGGACAATCTGAAGAGAAGCCCTAGCAGCTCCTGGAAGGGGCAGTTTCCAGCTTTGTATCCATTCTGCTCACTCTCATCTCCACTACCATCTTCTCCACATCACTGTTGTAGGATGCATATTTGAATTCTCCAGTAGATTGTCCTATGGACTCTGTTTTCTCACCAATAATTACCTCCTGAACAGGCTGCACCTGAATCCTATCCCTTTCCCCCACAATTTTTTTTTTCTTTTGAGATGGAGTCTCACTCTGTCACCCAGACTGGAGTGCAATGGCGTGATCTTGGCTCACTGCAACCTCCACCTCCAGGGTTCAGGTGATTCTCCTACTTCAGCCTCCCAAGTAGCTGGGACTAGAGGCACCTGCCACCATGCCCGGCTAATTTTTGTATTTTTAGTAGAGACAGGGTTTCACCATGTTGGCCAGGATGGTCTCGATCTCTTGACCTCATGATCCACCCGCCTTGGCCTCCCAAAGTTCTGGGATTACAGGCATGAGCCACCATGCCCAGCCCGTTTCCCCTGTTGAACAGAATGCAGACTGACTCCACATGCTTCCAGAGCAAGAAGTCCAACCACCTACCCTACCAGTATTTACTTCCACATCAACTTGCCAGGCTGCAGCCAGACCCCTCCTGGGACTCTTTCTCTGCCTTCTCATTCCCATCTTTCTCTACTGTCTAAGCCACTCTGATCAATCTGTGAATTTCCATGTCCAGGGGAATCCTCTTCCACCCTTCAACACTCAGGGATCTTGGATATGTAGCTAGAGATTAGGTTGGGGGCCACCTGCTCCTTTCACCAACTAGGAAGCACCTTTAAAATATCAGAATTATTATCACAATGCATGCTTCTTTGGTTTGTAGTAAGGATAAATGAGATCTTACATATGGAAGAGACAAGTGAAGGGATACAAGAATGTAAGACATCCTCATGATTCATTAAGAGATGCATGCATTCTCCAGCTATGGGGACGCATAATTTTTGCTTTTATGTTTACTTTGGGAATAGTACTTTATTTTACTTCATGCTCCTCTATGAACAAGAGATCTATAGTGTGTCCTACAGGGAAATTTAATTCCCTCTTTTATTCTTGCAAACTAGTAAGTTACAGGTTTAGCCATAAAGAAGCAAGCAGGCATCTCTGTTTTCAATGCTCTCTAAAACCAAACAATCCTCTGGGGATTTTGGTAAAATGCAGATTAATTCAGTAAGTCTGGGGTGGGACCTAATATTCTGCATTTCTAACAGGCTCCCAGATGATGCTAATTTTGCTGGTGCATGGACCACACTTTGAGAAGCAAAACCCTAGAACATTACAAGAAATTCCTAATCTCCGTGATCTGCTTTGTTTCAAAATATTTCCTTTCTTCCATCTTTCATTAGCTTTTACTTATTTACTCAAGCCTTATTCCCAAGCAAAACAGGTCTCACCCAATTAGAAAGAGTCAAAGACAAAATTGCTGACAACTCTCTTGGTTTTCTATGCTACTTTCCTCTTGATCCCACTGAACGTAGATCGTGTAGAAATTTAGATGAAGGACACATTTAAGACCTACTCTTAGCACGGCTGATACAAAGTCATAGCTCTCCAGTACATATTTTATTTATTAGGAAAATTGAATCATGGAAAAATAAACAGAGAAACCTGAAGAGGAAAAATATGAATACAGCATTAAAAACATAATTTGCCTTTCAAATAGAAATAATACCAGCCATTTATTAAGTACTTTTCTTGTGCCAGGCATCTCATTTCATGAATAATGAAATATTCTGGAAATGAATTATTATCTGAGAAATTTGATAAACTCAGACCGATCCTGCCTTGTTTTGTGCTATGAGACATTAATGGGATTTTTTGCAACTGTGAAATGGTAGGTATTTAAATAGGAGAATGGGAAATTTTAATTTGATACGGTTGGCAAGGTGTTTGATGAGGCTGTCACAATGACAACAAAATTTAAATGCATTTATTGGGATTACCTGTGCTGACTGAAATGCAAAAGACAGAAAAGGATTCATTCACACTGACTTATTTTGAATGTGATGCAAATGTAAAGAGTAATATGATGTGGCATTATCATGATTTCTAGTAAGAAAACACTGCTGTTTGGTTTGGGCCAAAGAATGAGGAAACTCATAGAGGATGGCTCTGCATATTTCTAAAACCAAAAGAGGATCCAGTACAACAAAGAATCAAAACCCTGGACACTGGTTAAGAGGAGGGATGAATCACTGGAATCACTTGAGTCCTTAGTATTTTGCTGAAATGTATTATGCAATATACATCCTTTTCTCCGCCCAATTTTTGTCCTGGCTGTGAAGATAGCAGTTCTTTATGCTTTGACATTTCTGTTTTGAGTTTCAAAGTCAGAGTGATAAATAGAGTAGAAGAACTTAGGATTTAGACTTTTAAATAAAGCCAGGGAATATTCTATTAAAAAAAATAAAGAGAAACTGTTGAGGGACAGAGTTACTAGCTAATTTATTTATTTATTTATTTATTTATTTTTGAGATGGAGTTTCGCTCTTGTTGCTCAGGCAGGAGTGCAATGGCACAACCTCGGCTCACTACAATCTCTGCCTCCTAGGTTCAAGCAGTTCTCCTGCCTTGGCCCTGCAAGTAGCTGGGATTACAGGCACGCGCAACCACGCCAGGCTAATTTTGTATTTTTAGTAGAGATGGGGTTTCTCCATGCTGGTTGGGCTGGTCTCGAACTTCCGACTTCAGGTAATCCACCCGCCTCCTGGCCTTCCAAAGTGCTGGGATTACAGGCGTCAGCCACCGCGCCTGGTCAGTTGCTAGCTAATTTATATACTTTTATTACTGTTGTTTGTTTTAAGACGAAGTCTTCTGCCTGCTCACACTATACAGAATGAGCCTACAGGAACAAAACATAAGAGGTGCAATTTGAGGACTGTCACCTCTGCCTGAGAAAGTATCTCCATGGGTGCTTATTAATAATGATATATTTTAAAAAGTTGTAACAGAAAGTTCCAACAGGTTGAAAACATATTATCTTCTCATTGACAAAACAGATAGCATTTATTATACCATGTGTGGCAATTTATTTGGCACATTGTGGCATCCCTTTTTCAAAGGCTTTTCTTGCCAGCACATTCATTTACCTCTTCATGATTTTTTTGGTCTTATGTTTTTAACAAGACTGAGCAGAAAGTTGAAGACTATGTGATAGATCCCTTGTCATCTTCCACAGTGCTTACCATATAATGATTGGTATAGATAATCTTATGGATGTCATGTCTTCAATATGGCTTATAATGAAATGATAGCTACCATTTCATTGAGTGTTTCCTATGTGATAGACATTCTGATGAGTTTTGTACACATATAATTGACACATCCTACAATAATGCAGCTAAGGAGGTATTATTTTTAACACATGAGAAAATGGAGTCACAGAGACTTGAATGGTGAGTCTCATTTACATAAATAGAAAGCAGAAGAGCCAAGTTTTCTCTGACTCCAAACGTATGTATCATCACCCCCAATGCTAGAAAAGTATCTAAGAAGACTATATTTAAGAAAAGCCTCATATTGCTGGCCTATTTGATTTTAGTCTGTTGTTTTGTCAATCCAATCTAATTCCACATGCCAAAATAATTGTCACATGTTAGTCTAAAGCTAACTTCATGTCTGATAGCCTAGAGCAGCTACCACATTCATTTGCTAATAAAATCTGTCCTCCGTAGTCTGGCTTTCAAGATATTTATCCATTAATTAATTCAAATCTCATCTTTACTCATTCTCCTTTAAAGCTCATCAGATCATTTTTAAAAATAAGTTTCTGCCAATATCATGTAAATTCAGCAATCACAGTCCATCTGCAACTCCCCCATATGTGGAGGGGGCCTAGTTATATGGTGGGAAAAACAACTGGGCTTGAAAGTTTTTAGTACATTCTTACAGCAACATTTCTTAATTCCCTGACCAAGCTGTCTACAACTGTGCACCTATCTCCACAATTATTTTGTATCTTTACCCTGAGTTATTTTTCTTCATAATACTAATTAACTGTATTAGTAAGGTTAAGTAATGCTACATTATTCTGTGGAAATAAACAAACCTCAAACCTCAGTTGGTTATCATAATAAATTTTTTTGTGTGTGCTTTCCTTATAGCCTGATATGCATCAGATCTTCCTCCTCTATCTCCTTGCTGTGTGATCTGGAACATGTAAACTCTAAAGAGAAGATGACAAGAAGAGATGGAAGAGGCTGTTCACTGGCTTGGCTTGAAAGTGACGTGCATCACTTTTGTTCACCAGTCAACTGACCAGAACTTGTCACGTGGCCCTAATCTAATTGCAAATAATGCAAGGGAATGCAGATGAGCATATGTACATTTGTTACGCACTATCTCTGTCACATTACCTCACAGAACAGTATATATTTATTTGCTTCTCTCCCCTCTCTCCCTTCACTAAAAAATTCATTTATATGGCTACAGATTTTGTTGTATTTTCCATGCCAATAAGATCAAGTAGAACAGTGGCTGGTACACACTGGTACACAGTGGGTACTCAAAATAAATTGTTGAGTGAAAGAATACTTGTAAGTGATTAAAGATGGCCACACATTCTTTGATGGTTCTTTCGTTGAGAAGTGGCATGAATTTATGATAACTGTGACCAAACAATACGGCAGAAGTGACACTATGCTAACTGTAGGCCTAGCTTGCAAGAGAGTAGACAGTTTCCACTTTCTTCCTAGTGGGGCCTATCCTGAGTCCAGGAAGCACATGCTAGCCACTTGGGGATGCTGCATGGAGAGAGAGAGAGAGAGAGATCTAAACAACCCCCAGCTCTTTCAGTACCTTCTGTTTATCTTTTTTTTTTTTTTTTTTTTTTTTGAGACGGAGTCTCGCTCTGTCGCCCAGGCTGGAGTGCAGTGGCGCGATCTCGGCTCACTGCAAGCTCCGCCTCCCGGGTTCACGCCATTCTCCTGCCTCAGCCTCCCGAGTAGCTGGGACTACAGGCGCCCGCTACCACGCCCGGCTAATTTTTTGTATTTTTAGTAGAGACGGGGTTTCACCGTGTTAGCCAGGATGGTCTCGATCTCCTGACCTCGTGATCCGCCCGCCTCGGCCTCCCAAAGTGCTGGGATTACAGGCGTGAGCCACCGCGCCCGGCCCAGTACCTTCTGTTTATCTTATGTGAGGTCACAGACATTGCAGAGCAGAGATACATAGTTACCCTCCAAATCCTTGACCCACAGAATAATATATAACAATAAATAAATGTTGTTTTAAGCCCGTAAGTTTTGGTGTGGTCTTTAATATTATGCAGCAATAGATAATTGGACTAATATTCATGATGACTGACCCTTGCATGTTCAACCCCAGTACCTACAGTCTAAACTATACACATTTATTATCTCTAAGGAAGAAAGGCTCAATGTTTTTAAAAGATGCCTATTTTTTCGTATCAATGTACAAGTGTTTCTATTCTGTGAAGTCTTTACCCTCTTTCTGGTCAAATTTTGAAGACTGTCTTCTTTTATATACCCAGAAAGTTCTGCATGGATACATCCTGCCATAGCACTCAGGACACCTGATTACTTCTGTGTGTTTATTCTTTTGCTGTAATCTGTACAAGGATGTTCACTATGTGACACATTCCAGGACACATTCTCAGTGACCCCTAGTCATTCTACACTCTTTACCTTCCACTCCAGGTGGCAATTTGAAACACAAGTCAAAGAGAGTGATGTTCTTACAGGCATGGTTTTTAACCTATGCCCATGAATTAAAAACAATTTAAAAACCCAATCTTTCACTTTAGCTGTTGTTAGTTAATCTCACTTGTATACACATTTTACAAGTGACTCTCATGCATCTTGCAGCTTATATAACCACCAATTCAGACACCAGAGGTGACAGTAGCTGCTATAATATACTCATTGGTTTAAAAGTGTTTGTTTTCCTATTAGTTGCAAAACTTTTAAGGGCAGGCAGCTTGAGTCCCAGTTACCCAGTTGAGATAACCCACATCTGCTAATATTTTTACATAAAAGTCAGTGAAAATATAATTGGCAATGTCATGCAAAACTGGAAATAAATATTTACTATTTTTAAGCCATTTTGGTCTATAATTTAATCACAAGATCGTTATACTTGGAATGCAAAAGGATTGGATCATGGTGGCACTATTTTAAAGTCTCATTTAAATATAACTAAATGCTGCAATAGGTGGTCATAACTGTAGTTTGACTCTAATTAATATAAAATAATTGGAGAGTAAATTTATCCCCCTGTTCCATATCAATAGCTCTTTGGCTACAAGGCAAAAAGAATGTGAACATTTTCTCGGTATCAATAAAAATTAGCTTAAATATCTAAGTCAATTTAGAAATGATAAATCAGTCTCCATAGTTAAAGACCAAAATTTTAAATAACCATATTAAGCAAGACTCATATATTTTTAGGAATGCTCTCAAAATAAAAATCTCTCTTACAAACCAAAGGAAACAAATATAGTTGAATAATTCTATAAACCTTTCACAAAAATATGGCATTATGGCATAAGGCAAATATGATGGTTCAACCAGCTAAGTAAACACTGATTAAGAATTAAGATTGACCACAGCAATAAGGGGTATTTTCCTCTAGTCAATCACTCAGGTTCAGAAATACCAAATTTATCTTAAGACATTCTAATTAGGCAAAACTATTTGATAGATCGAGTAGTTGGAGATCAGAAGCATGCATCCAATTAAGAAGAATGTTATTGAATGATTTTCATTCACTGGCCTCTTCTGTTCTCTGTATTTTAGTTTACCTTCAGCACCTCATTGAAGAGAGCTATATCCAAATTCAATTTATTGCCCCAAGACCTCTTTCAAAAAAATGGCTCTGGAGATTCCCAGCTAGAAAAACTTTTCTCTTCTCCTAAGCTTCCATAACATGCATCAGGGATTTGGTATTTCTCCCTCTGAATTGTAATTGTTTCTAGGCACTAGCTTCTCTGCCAGCCTGGAAGTTCCTTAAGGAGCTGAGCCCATGTTTTATTCATGGTTGTTCCTCTGTGGGGCACAGCACTTGGGCTTCCCTTCTTTGAGCATCAAAAACAAGTGTCATTTTTCTTTCACTTATTTTCACATCCATGTCCTCTTCTAAGACCTTTGCAAGTCATTCGTAGTTTTAAAGAGACTACATTTAAGTTTTGATAGATAAGCAAGGTAAATGGCAAGTCCAGCAGTATAGAGAAAAACCTCTTTCCTGTAGTGGTATTTGTTATATATTTTATCTGAATTTTGAGGTTCATTTGTTTTCATTATTGACAGATGATTTCTTTGTTTGTTTAATAAAAAGCAGTAATTAATTTTCCCTTAATTACATGTTTTACTTGCCACTAGCTGGTGTATCTAGGGATTCATATTGTAAAAAGAAATGGAACTCATTGGTTTGAATCATAATGTGTGGGGGTATAGAGGTTATTTAAATATTGTTTAGTTCTTTTTTTTTATTTTACACATAATAGACAATTCTCAAAATGGCAGTAAGGAAAAAACAACTCATTCTTTATATTTTGAAAATTTTTGGCCCTGAACACAAAACTTTAATTGTAACCTTTAATTTATTAAATAAAATATTGAGCTTCTAAAACATTTGAGAGTGTGCAGCATATTGCAAAAGATACTTGGAAGAGGCAAGCTGATCTTGCTCCAAGAAGCTTCTGGTTAAATATCAATATGATGAGGTTTGAAAAAGGTACACACAACCACTACATTACAGCATGAAGTAAGATTTAGGCTGCAAGAGAGATGCAAGTTACAAATATGAAATAAGTTTGGGCTGCAAGGAAAATTGACTCTGGCACAAGTTCAGGAGCATTTTAGATTAGCAAAGTAGAATTGCTGGGAGTTCAGGTCTTAGATATTTCATAAAATAACTACACCTCAATACATTGGAATTTAGAAATAAAGAGACCATTAGTGAGATTCCATTTCTGCAATATTGTTTTTTCTAACTTTGTCCCTTGTTTTTTGTCTGTTCCTATCCTAGTATACCAAATTATCATCATATTCCCTCCCATCCATGATTCTAGCATTTTAGATAAATCGTCTTGCCATTTTCCAAGCGTTTGGAATTGAGGTCCATGCTCATGCCCTTTTCTAAGAATTCCAAACTCCTTGAGCTTAATCTTATATCTTCTTTTAATATCCCTGAACTAAATGACTCTAATCTAGAATTTGTACATATGACCAAAATGACAAAGGTACTTCCCATGAATCCCCAAACCTCCTGATATTGTATATAAAATTGTGAATTTTCCTGGAGTTAGACTACATGACTTTGGTTAAATCCTCAAAAGGAGCTCCTGCCCCACTGAATTTAAGAAGTTTTAGTACTTACAGACCATTGGGGATATATTACACACAGAGGAGGTACAGGCAATGTCTTACAAAAGGCACTTGTAATGGCAGTCTTTATGATTTCTAGGAAGTATGCAGAAAAATTTCCTGAAGGTAATGGTCATCCAAAAAGTCACCATGGAATCTCTTCTCCTGCAAGGAATTCATTACTGAGTAACTCCTTACCTCTTGGTATAATTTTGGCATGGAGTGAAAGGTCTAACCTCTCAATGCTGTTTCCCCTTCTGTACCTCCTCTGTCTCTTTCAGGCTTAATAGGATCATCTGTTGACTTGAATCAGAGTCACATTCAAAGCTGTGACCATCACTGACTTGGCACTGTCTGTATCTGTGTGAGTCTCCAGGAGAGGTGCTAGTGTCTGGGGCTGGAAGGGTGTAGGTTGCTGGTAATTCAGCCATGTGCATTTGCTCATGAATATGTGTATAATAAGAGAGAGACAGAGGGGGAGAAGAAGTGGAGAGGGGAGAGAGATGAGAGAGAGAAAGAGAGAGATCAATCTGAGAGAGAAAGATATGTATACACACACACACACATACACACACACACATATATATATATATAAATAAAAATCTGAGAGAGAGATCAAATCTGATCTGTAATTGTATCCACTTCAGACCAAAGGGACCACACAGATAAATATAAATAAGTGAAAAGATTCAGTGGGGTCAATGGAAATCAAGAAGAGGGCAGTCTTGGCAGTTTCTTCTCTATTCTCACTGATTTCATTGATTAAACGAGAAACTAATGTCAAGTCAGAGATATTTTTATGCAAAGCTGAGAATATGGATTTTTGGGTGCAATTTTCCAAAGTCTATGCATTAACAACTAATTAAAAACATGTAAAAGAATATAGAGCACATAGAGGAAAATTTTCTCAGTTTGATAAAGAATGGCTACAGAAAACGTATAGCTAACATTGTACTTAAGGTAAAAAAATCTAGACACTTTCCAATTAAGGTCAGGAACAAGGAAGGATTCCTCTCTCCACTTCTTTTCAACATTGTGCTAGAAGTGCTAGCTAAGAAAAACAAGACAAAATAGGAAATAAAATGTAAACACCTTGTAAATGAAGAAATAAAATTGTCTTTGTTCTCAGATGACATGGTCATCTCTGTAGAAAATACGAAAGAATTGATAAAAACAACTCCTGGAACTAAGAAGTGATAGTAAGGTTGCAGGATACAAGATTAGTTTATAAAAGTCAATCACATTTCTATGTACCAGCAATGAACATATAGAATTTGAAACTAAAAGTACAGTACCATGACATTAGTATCCAATAAATAAAATATCTAGGTATAAATCTAGCAAAATATGTACAAGATCTATATGAGGAAAACTACAAAACTCCGATGAACAAAATCAAAGAAGACTAAATAAGTGGAGAGCTATCCCATGCTTATGGATAGGAATACTCAATATTGTCAAGATGTAAGTTCTTCCCAATTTGATCTACAGATTTAATACAATCCTAATCATAATTCCATCAAGTTATTTTGTAGATATTGACAAAATGATTTTGTAGATATTGACAAAATGTAGATATTGACAAAATGTAGATACTGACAAAATGATTCTACATAATATTGACAAAATGTCAATATTACGTAGATATTGACAAAAGTTTATATGGAGAGGCAAAAGATACAGAATAGCCAACACAATATTGAAGGAGAAGAACAAAGTTAGAGAACTGGCACCACTCAACTTCAAGATTTACTATAATTAAGACAATAAACAAAGAGGCTGGGCATGCTGGCTCACGTCTATGATACTAGCACTTTGGGAGGCTGAGGTGGGCGGATCACTTGAGGTCAGGAGTTCGAGATCAGCCTGGCCAACATGGTGAAACCCCGTCTCTACCGAAAATACAAAAATTAGCCAGGCGTGGTGGTGGACAACTGTAATCCCAGCTACTCAGGAGGCTGAGACAAGAGAATCGCATGAACCTGGGAGGCAGAGGTTGCAGAGAGCAGAGATCACACCATTGCACTCCAACCTGGGAGACAAGAGTGAAACTCTGTCAAAGAAAAAAAAAAAAAGAATAGACAAAGAGGTGAATGGAATAGAAAAAAGAATTCAAAAATAGTCCCACATAAATTAGTCAACTGGTCTTTTACAAAGGAGCAAAGGTAATACAATGGAGTATAAATACAGTCTTTTCAACAACTGCTTCTAGGGGTGCCAGACTCAACAAACCTGAATACTCACATGCAAAAAAAAAAAAAAAAAAAGAATCTAGAGACAGACCTTATACTCTTCACAAAATTAACTAAAAGCAGATCATATATCTAAATATAAAATTCAAAACTGTAAAATTCCTAGGAGATAACATAGAAGAAAACCTAGAAGACCTTGAGAATGGTAATGACATTTTAGATACAACAGCAAAGGCATGATCTATGTTGGAAATCATTCATATGTTGGACTTCATTAAAATTAAAACCTTTTTGCTCTGCTAAAGGAAATGTTAAGAAAATGCGAGACATCATACACTGCAAGAAAATATTTGTAAAAGATACATCTGACAAAGAATCATTTTCCAAAGTATACAAAAAACTCTTAAGACTCAACAGTAAGAAAAAAACAACCCAATTAAAAAACATGTTAAAGACCATAATAAGAAGCACCTCCCAAAAGAAGATATACAGATGGGAAATAGCATATGAAAAGATGCTTCCCATCATATGTAATTACAGGAGTATAAATTAAAACAACAATGAGATACCACTAGAAATGTATTTGAATTGCCAAAATCCAAAACACTCATAACACTGAATTCTGGTGAAGATGTGGAACAACAGAAACTCCTATGCATTGCTGTTGAAAAAGGCAAAATGGTACAACCAGTTTGGAAAACCTTTTGGCAGTTTCTATAAAAACTAAACATAATGTTATCATATGATCCAGCAATTGTACTCCTTGGTATTTATCCAAAGAAGTTAAAAATTTTGACTGCAGAAAAACCTGCACATAGATATTTATAGTAGGTTTGTTCATAATTGCTAAAACTGGAAGCAACCAAGATATACCAAGAAACCAAAAAACTGAAAGTACAAAGGTGGTACATACAGACAATGAAATATTATTCAGCACTAAATATAAATGAGCTAACAAGCCACAACCAATATGGAGGAAACTTGAGTTCCTATATTTAATTCATTCTCCCTATTACTAAGTGAAGGAAGACAGTCTGAAAGGGTTGCATACTGTGTGCTTCCAACTGTAATACATTCTAGAAGATGAAAAATTATGGAAACAGTAAAATGATAAGTGGCTACCAAGGGTTGGCAGAAAGGGATAAACAGGTGACACACAGAGGATTATTAACGAAGTAAAAAATACTCTGTATGATACTGTAATGATGGACACGTGTCATTATACATACATTTGTTAAAACCCCTAGAATGTACAATATCTAGAGTGAACCCTCATATAAACTACAAACTTTGGGGAATTATGATGTGTCAGTGTAGGTTCATCAAGTGCAACAAATATGCCACTCTGGTGAGAGACGTAAATAAGAGGAGAGGCTGTGTGTCGGGGTGGGTAGGGAACATATGCAGTATCTCTGTGTCTTCCTCTTCATTTGGCTGTGAATCTAAAACTGCCCTAAAAAAGTCTTTCTTAAAAAGAGTCCAGAACAAAGACAAAACGTACATTTGTTGATATGGAACCTAGGTAGTCTGAAGTTTGCATACTTTCATCTATAGCTTAATCTCCCCACCTATTTTCCTCCACCATCTTTGTAGTAAATTTGAACTATTCTGTATCTACAAAAAAAAGCCTTGAAATTTCCTCACAGCTTATTCTTATAAAATCCTCTCAGTTTACAATTCGTTCTCTTGACTGTTCTACTTCCTTACTCTACCAGTCCCAGATTATCCGCCTCCATGATGAATCATTTTTTCTTCTAGGACCATGAAACATATAATCTCTATCATCTGCATGGCAAATTGTCACGTATTTGTCCACTGGGTATTCTTTCTGATGTTGCTGTTGTTATTTTCACATGTTCATGTGTCTGTCTCATTTCCCTTCATTATTCATTCATGCATTCATTCATTTGCCCTACATACACCCATTCTATATTCTGCATCCTTGTGCTTGACACTGAAGATTAGACCACAGAGCAAGACTCTTTCCATGCTTTGTAACTCACCGTAAGTGTACTTCTAATACACAAGATCAATCAAGAAGGCTATTATAAACCTTTGTGACCTGAAACCCTCTGAAGGCTGTTTGTATTGATATGGTGGTATGGACTGAATGTTTGTGTCCCCTCAAAATTTATATGCAGAAGCCCTAAATCCAATGTGATAATATTGGGAAGTGGGGCCTTTGGGAGATAATTAGATTTCGAGGAAGTCATGAAAGTGGGTTCCTCATGATGGGATTAGCTCCCTTATGAGAAGAGAACAGAGCAGGCTCTCTCTCAGCCTAAGGTCTGACTGATACACAACTGGTATTCAGAAATATTTATTGTTTGGTTACTTATTCTCATTTGCAATAAGTTATAACATATTAACAATATATTCCTACATTTCACAGTGTGGATGCTATTGTTGTTGCCACTGGGTATCTATGTGGGAACTAATTGAGGACCACATTTACAATGTGCCCAAATTGTAAATGTAGGAGTATCTATGTGGGAACTAATTGAACCACTGAGTATCTATGTGGGAACTAATTGAGGACCATGTTTACAATGCGTACAAATCATAAATCAATTAGTTCATATTGATTTACAAACAAGGAAGAAAAAGTATTTGTTTACATTGATACTGTCCATGTAAACTTTTTTCAATTCAAAAGAAACACATAGTTCTGTCATAAAGTAGATTTTCTATCCCTTTTATTTTCTGAGCTTATTTCAGAAAGCACTTGCAATAGCTTTGCACAGTTCAGCATTTATGAAGGAAACCTTTGTTAGCCTAAAATGTAGCTGTAATTTTTTTTCAAATAATTTCTACACAAAGCTTTTACACCTTATTTGATTACCTCAATTTTTTCCCAATGAGTGAATACGGACTTAAATTCATTTTTTATAAAAAGCATTAACCATTGTTTCTTGTAATTACACTCAGTGAGAGTCGAACAATAGTGTCTCCATTTGAAACAGACTTTTGTTATAAGGTTGAAATTGACTTTAAATTCTTTTGAAATGGCCCCAAAATAACACATAGCACAGTGGTCGTCTTTGAGGTGAGAATTATGTGTCTTATTATTGAGAGATTGGACTGTGTTTCACAGAAAAATTCTCATGACCTACTAATGTGTTTCAGTCAATTGTTCTGAAAGCACAGGATAAGAATTGTAATGATAATGATGAAAATATATGAAGACATTGAAAACTGAGGTTCTCATTGTTATAGCATGTCAGTTATCTTTATCTCATTCAACAGCATATTTTAAAATGTCACACTGATTTCCAAAGAAGGAAGAAAAATTTAAAGAGTTCAGGCAATGCATGCTAGTTAAACTTATTGTGATAATACATTCATAGACATTGAAAATATTGGACAAAGAATGAAAAAAGAGAGAAGAAAAGCATGCCTAAAGATAGTCAGTGCTTGGCCAGTATATATCTTAGGGCAGAATTCAATGACTCAGGTTGAAAAATAAAAACCTATCTAGATATTTTGGGTTTCTTCTCTCTCTGATTAATCAAAATACAACAAGGCAGAAATGAGGAAAGATGCAAACTTTTAGTGGCCAATGAGGAAATATACCTTGGGGGCATATATGGTGAGTCCAAAGATTGGTGGCCAAGAATAATAGAAAAAGAAGAGATGCAGTAGAACAAGAAGGACATATATCATCATTTATCTCTGCTCCATCTCTCCATTTATTCTGCAAGTGATGGGCGCAAAGGAAGAAAACCTGTGCAGGAATTAAAGGGGCAGCTCTACAGAGTCACTGAGAGCTCATTGTCCAGACTTGGATAAAAATGGGTTCCTAGTCCTGCCTCAGTGAGTATTACTTGTGTCCATGATCATGTCACTTACTGCTTCTAAACTCCATTTGTTTCACCTGTAAAATGGGGATAATTATGGTCCCTAAATCATAGACACTGGAGATATTAAATGATATAATGCAGAGGAAGAGGACTGAGTCAATGTCTGGCATTTACTAAGCCTCCAGTAGAGCCTAGCCATAAGGTTTCTATTATAATTAAAAACATATAAGGAATTTTAACCATTCTTTGATAAGTTTAGTTACCCAAACTTTTTTCTATAATAAGCTGTCCTATAACACTCTAGAACTGAAGACATGTATCCTCAGCCACACTATGTTTGACTCAGCTGTAGAGAGCTGTCTTGCCCAATGACTGACTGTGGTAGGAACCCCTGATTCTTCTGATTAAAAATGATATTGTTTGACAGTGTCCCCACCCAAATCTCATCTTGAATTGTAGCTCCCATAATTCTCACGTGTCATGGGAGAGACCCAGTGGGAGGTAATTGAGTCATGATAGTGAATAAGTTTCATGAGATCTGATGATTTTATGAAGGGGAATTCCCCTGCACACACTGTCTTGCCTGCTGCCATGTAAGACGTCCCTTTGCTCTTCCTTCATCTTCCAGCATGATTGTGAGGCCTCCCCAGCCATGTGGAACTGAGCCGATTAAACCTCTTTTCTTTATAAATTACCTAGTTTTGGGTATGTTATTATTAGCAAAGTTACACAAGATAACTCTGACACCACAGAACTCCCTGAGGTGTTGATTAAGACTTTGTGGGTCTAAAAATATCCGACTTTTTCCTCTGAGCAATTGTACTTCTGTACTCCCTCTTCCAGTGACGTTAATCTCTAATCCTGAATGCTGAACTTCTGGAGAACCCAATCTGGTTCATTAGCGCCAACTATTCAAATTGTCTTCAGGGAGCTAGTGCTTTCCTTCTTTCTCACAAAATTACATGGCTTACATTTTCTGCTGCTGGGGAACCCTCAGCCATGGATCCTAAGGCCAAGGATGGACGGAGAAATTCCCTGACAGTCTATTCTAGGACCATTTGAAAAAGAGGGACCCGAGACCACACCAGAGAAGGAGAGAGTTGGGGACCTAAGTCCTGGGGAAAGGAATAACAGGAATTAGGGCCTGATTACTGATCTGGGCCTGCTATTTTTAAGGAAAGTGTATTTATGGGATAGAGGGGAGGGGGAATTATTCATCATGATATTAGTTATAGATTCTAGAGATCTAGAGAAATAAGCAGAAAATAAAAACTACAAGAAGATGTTTAACCTAGAAAAATGAATAATTACTAATTAATTTATATGCATCTCTTTTCATTTCATTCATTTATCACTTTAGTCACTCAACACAATTTAACTGAGAAATTATACAACATGAGACACTGTGGTAGACTGTGTGGGGTGAAGCGTTGACTGAAACCTGGCCCTTGTCTTAAAAAAAGAAAAACTCACATTTTTGCCTCATTATCTTCCATAACAACATAAATATATTTTATTATACATATACCAGATACATTTTGTTTGTCCTAATCAATTCTGTCTTATGGGAACAACCTATACCTAAAAAGATTGGAGATTTGTATCACATAAAATGATAAAAATTTTGTTTCATTATTTTATAGTTATAGCTCAGAAGTTCCAGTTTCTTGGTGTTCTTTTCTGGTATTAGAGGTACCTGCTTAAACTTTTACAATAAAGAATGAAAGCATTGGCTAAATGCATTCCCAGAGGCTTTGAATAACAACTCTGGCAACTGGTTTGCCCACAAAATTGAGCTGATTTATAACAGCCTTAAAAAATTAATTAAATGCATAATATATATTAGCTGAATAATAGACTGAGTTGGGAAGGTTTTTCAGTAGATAATATCTTGCGGTTAACCCAGAATTTTTTCCCTACACAAAATTAGGGGCATAAATTACTATTTTATTTTTAGAGAAACTGTAGGCATCAGACTGGATGTTACAAAACAGCTTCAATAAGACATAGAAGGCCATTGCATTCCTCAGTTAAAGGGAATGTTTGTTGCAAAGATAATTATTCTTTTCACAAACACCTGTGCTTCCTTTTCAAGTGCAGAGTAATACTAGGCAGTGGCTGCCCAGCCAAGAACATTACCTGCTCCGGTTGCATATAAAGGAGTCATGTGACTGATTTCAGCCAATAGAATGCTCATAAGTAAGAATAGTTAAGAAGTAATGGGGACCCTTTCCAACTTCTCTCCCTCCAAATGCAAGCATCTAGCTAAGTACTCAGAGTCCTGAAGAGATTGCTGAAGCAATAGCTGGGAAGAGACTCACTCCTTAAAGAATTGTTTGAAAGAAAACTTCTCACGAATCAGAAACACCTGTTTAGACTTTACAAGCATGAGCTATCTCCTTCTATTTGTATATTTATTTGTTACAGCAGCAAGCATTACCTTAAAGTATATTGAAAGCGTGTGGTTGAATGTGAAAATGTTGTACGGAAAGATAGGGAAACATATGCTAATGACAAATTGGGTCCAAGATAACGAGCCTGTTAAAAGATATGCACGTCTTTTAAATGATCGAATAGAATTCATTATAACATTTTATTCCCAGTAGGAAAAATTAGATTTCTAAAAGAATGGTAGCACTTGTGGCAAGATCTTATGTTGCAAGTACAGTAGATGAATGAAGAGAAACTGCTTAACCCCCATTCTCTTAAAGATTAACATTTATAATTTGTAATTTGCCTTTTTACATGTGCATCTGTATTAACACATGCCCATCTGAAAATATATTCGGAGCTTTAAATATATACTATAGGGTTTTGTCAAGAATTATTAAAGGAGATAGGATCACATTTATTCAATGTGATAAATAATTCTAGACCCTCCCATTTGGAGAAGAAAAGAAACAAAAATAGTTTACTGGCTTATAATATGCATGCATAATTTTTCTTTTTCATAACACAATAATAATGATACAAAAAACACTATAATCCTATATAAGCAAAAGTGCTTAGTTCTGGGTCAGGCAAATTGAAAGCAAGGTGGTGAGCCAGACTCAGCACCATATTGATGAGAATCACACCTTAATAGATGGAGAAGCAAGTAGAAAGGGGTTTAGATGATCTTACATAACAGAGGCTTTTAATCAAGCTGGAACCCTGCCTACCTCTAAATTATTACATAGGAGAAAAAGACTTTTATTTTAAAAATTCAATTGTATTTTAGGACCTTTCTGTAACAACAGTGTGATCTATGCCTAAACATTATATGATCCAAATTGTGCCCCTTGAAATTTCTTATGTTGAAGCCTTAGTTCCCAGTATCTCAGAATGTGACTGTATTTGGAAATGGGGCTTTTAAAAATGTAATTAAGTTAAAATAGAGTCTTTAGGGTAAGCCCTAATTTAATGACTTGTGTCCTAATAAGAAAAGGAGATTAGAACAAAAACAACACATACAGAGGGACAACCATGTGAAGACACAGCAGGCAGATGGCCATCTACAAGCCAAAGAGAGAGCCCTCAGAAGAAATCTATCTTGTTCACATCTTGATCTTTGACTTCCAGCCTCTACAATTATGAGAAAATAAATTGCTGTTATTTAAGCCACCCAATATGTGGTACGTTGCTATGGCAGCCCTGGAAAGTGAATACAAATAATACATAATTCATGCATTCATTCCTTCAACCTTTACTTAGCACTAATTTTGTCATATGTCCTGTGCTAATGGATGTAGATGACAATGTAAATTAAATTCTCCTATGTCCTCAAGCAAATCACAGACAAATGGATAAGAAATCTCTCCTTCCATTATACAGTGGCTCCTTATTATGGAATCTTGCTATTTAAATAAAATATATTCCATCAGTGATAGGTTAAATGGTGTTCTCCCAAATTCACATGCTGAAGTCCTAGCCTCTAGTCTTTCAGATTGTGACTGTATTTGGAAATTTTGTGACTATAGATGTAATTAGTTAGGATGAGGTCAGATTGGATTAGGAGGCCAACCTAACCCATATGACTGGTGTATTAGTCAAGGTTCTCCAGAGAAACAGAACCAATCATATATGTATGTGTGTGTGCATGTGTGTGTGTGTGTGTGTGTGTGTCACACAGAGATTATTATAAGAAACTGGCACACAATTATAGAGTCAAACAAATTGCAAGATCTACATGGTGAGTCTGCAAGCAGGAGAGCCAGGAGAGCTGGTGCTATAGTTTTTGTTTGACCCTGAAGCCCTGAGAATCAGCAGAGCCAATCTTTCAACTTCAGTCTGAAGGCCAGCAGGTGCCAGACCCAGGAAGAGCTGATGTTTCAGTTTGAATTTGAAGGCAAGAACAATTCCCCTTTACTTGAGGGAGGGTCAGCCTTTTTGTTCTATTTAGGTTTTCAACAAATTGGAGGAGGCCTGCCCACATTAGGATCATTAGGAGGATGATCTGTTTTGCTCAGCCTACTGAATCAAATGTTAATCTCATCACAAAACATTCTTACAGACACACTCAGAATAATGTTTGATCAAATATCTGGGCACCCCATGGCCCAGTCAAGTTAACACATAAAATTAATCATCAAAACTGATGTTCTTATAAAAAGGGGAAATTTGGACAACAAAAAAGACAAGCATATAGGGAAGATGGGACAATGTCTTTTACCATGAGCATATCAGGCTACCAGATGCTAGGGAGAGGCAGGGAACAGCTCCCTTACAGCCCTCAGAAGGAACTGACTCTACTGACACCTTGATTTTGAGCTCCCAGAATCAAAATTCTTGTCTTACAGTAAGACAATAAGTGTCTGTTGCTTAAGCCACCCAGTTTGTGCAACTTTGTTATGGCTAGCTTTAACAGGTTACACCATCTATTCTACACTAAAGTTAAATATTTTAAATTCTGGAATCAGTAAACAAACCCTGCTACTTGCCATTTGGGGTTAGGGGAGTAAGCTATGTCAGTCCTTCACAGTTTCTTTTCTTGATATCTTTTTATCAGCAATTCACTGATATACCCACTATTCTTTCAACCAACACTTATTAAGTGTCTTCATCCATATCTCTTGTATTGTGCTATAAAGCTTATGATAAATACCACTGAGCAGAGGATGCTAATCACAGAGTTAACTGTAGTGTGATTCTTGGGGATATGTCAAACAATGAACTGAGACTGATTTATCTTTATGAATTCAAGTTGCTTATATCACACCAGTCTAAAGAAAATAAATTCCAAAAATAATATCACTTTTAAATCAAAATTGAGAGACAAGAATATCAAAGAGACTGGATAGACTCTAACTTTTATCAAAAAATGATGTAGATACCAGTGGGAAAAAAATAGAAGATTCTTAGAAGATGGTTATTTTAGAGATTTGAGGGGAAGTAAAGAGAAGAGAGAATAAAAAAATTCTTAATCAAATGACTCAAGTTTATATTAATAATATGAAATATTTTTAATTATCTCACAAACTGAATACTTGCATCCGAGTGTCCATGTCAAGGAAACAATTTTGTGTTTAAACCTCTGCAGATCCAAAGATTCATACTAACATCTCAATGGTTGAAAACTGTCATTGAAAGGAAACTTGAAAATAATTAATTCTTAAACTGCTTAATTTTTCACTTTTCATTTCACGGTTTGTCACTAAAATAGTAATTATTTTTTCTTCTCTTGCTAATCCAACAATTTCATACTGACAGCCTTTCACTGGGAAATTTACTTTCATATTACTGCTTTACACTTTAAATACAAATATTTTTCAAGATGAAATTAGATATGTTGGCAAGAAATATGATCTTTAGTTAATGATTTATGTTTCTGCTTTGGAAAAAGAAATGTCTCTTACATATATTATACAGACAAGTGGCTTCCAAACATTCTGTTGAAGTGTTCAAAGGGAATGCTTTATGATTATTGCTCAATAAAAATAGTGTGTTGGCATTTTTACTCCCGTTACCTCACAGGAAAAAAAAAAAAAGAAAATGCTGCAATAGTATGTCATAACAATTAATAGTATGTACACTGGATTTTGGTAGACCAAACTATAAGTCCTGGATTTTATTTTACCAATTCTGTGGTTTAGGTAAGTGGTTTACCATTTATGCTATAGTTATCTTAGCTATAAAATAGGACCATTGGAGTATACACCTCTGAAGGTGTCTGGAAAGACTGAATAGGAAAATTCATGGAAAGAACTTATATAGAAGGGAAATAAATAAGTGCTCAATAATTGTTAGTTGAGGCTGTAATAATAATTACTTATTGAGTGCTATTCAAGGGCCAGGGATTGGGCTATGGAGTAAAGACATAAAAATGAGGAATTCACATGTTTCTGGGACCTCGCTAAATGTATTGTGAAATTAAAAAATGGCGGTATATGTGAAATCACTTTGAAAAAGAAAAAAACTCTACATAAATACAAGAAAAATCTCTCAAGACAGATAGTAGCCAATGCACAATTTAATTCCAAAACATGGGTCAGCTTCTTACTTTGGAATGTTATAGTTTTAATTTAAATTATTGCCAATATTTAATATTAAATACATTGACCACCTGTTCATTAATTGATGAACTCAATTATACTATCACTTATGCATTCTCCAAACATGTACAAGTGTCCACTCTGTCATGGGAACTCCCCAGCCATTCTGGCAGCCCTATGTTTTGTTTCTCAAGCACGTAGTCACACCTTTCTTCCCCTTTAATGTCAGCTTATTTTTTCTTCTTGGTTGACTTTCTAGGGGTGTTCTATGACACGCTGAGCAGCTTGTGGTGAACGTACAAGTGTCTTAAAATAATCGAGTGTCCCTACACTACCAAAGTGTTAAATCTAATTGAAGAGGCCACCATGAAAATGAGTATCTGGCACAGCCTTGGCTGGGCTTAGGAAAGCAACAATTTGAGAACCTAGATGTTGGCAGATGACCGTATTAAGATCTACTGGAACTGCATTTAAAGATTTCATATGCATGACAAAGCCCATCTACTCCTACAATTGGTTTGATTTACAGCCCAAGATAATGGTGCTTCTAGTATCTCAAATACTAAAAAAATCATATTTAATTGCTTTAATTCACTATTAATCGATTATTATAATGTACTGCTAAAGGACAATTCTTTCTAAGTTCTACAAGCACAAATAACATGACCATATTATCTTTCCAAATTGCTGACTGTACAATATTGTGGGAATATAAACTACAATATAATCCAGTGGTTTAGTAGCTGTTACTACTGTGAAAAAAATATTTAGGAGGTCATTATATCATAGATTGGTATCATTTGTCTATATATATATATATATATATATATATATATATATATATAACTCAATTTTATTTTAAAAAATAGTAAAAGCAAACATCACATGAATTAAGAATGTATTTTATACTTTAAGATTTATTTTCAAAATGTGAATGTAAATCAGATCTTCCCATCACGACCCCAGAAGAATAATGATTTATTTTAATATTTGTGATTTTAGGATTTAGATACTACCTACTTACCAAGATACTCACTTGTAAAATATCTTTTAAGAATATAGAGGCAAAATAGTGTAGCATAGAAAACACATTGAAAGTTCATATTAATAGCCCCTTCGAGTTTTTATAGACCCTAGGGTAAAAACAAACAAACAAACAAACAAAAAACCTCCATCCCTTGCCTCAGTTCTCATTCATGTGGTTTGTTTATAGGATCAACAACACCGGTGGGAAATTTTACAGTATTCTTCTTATTGTGGGCAGCTCTGATGGCTCCAAGGTTCTTTCTTGTGCTGAGCAGGAACCTATTTACTGTGGCTTCCATTCAGTTTCAGTATTCCTTTTAGGGCTAAGGAAAATAATTCTCAGAAGAAGGCCAAGCAACATGGTCAAATAGAAGCACCCAGCAATTATCTCTCTTCTGCAGGAACACCACATTGACCAACTATACACACACACACAAAAGCACCTTCTTAAGAATCAAAAATCAGGTAAGTGATCACAGTAGCTGGTTTTCACATCATATTGAGGAAAGAGGCACTGAAGAGGGTAGAAAAGACAGTCTTTAATCACCTATACCATCCCTCCCCCCATCCCCCGCATCCCCCTCATCCCCTGGCATGTATTGCCATGCGGCACTGAGAGAATGTCTGCGCCTGGGGAAGGGAGAATGCAGTGATTGTGAGACTTAGCATTGGAACTCAGTGCTGTCCTGTCACAGTAAAAAGTAACATGGGGTGGAAGTCAGCCTTCATCCACAGAGGGAGCATTTAGACCAACCCTAGCCAGAGGCAAATTGCCCGTCCCAGTTGTCAGAACATGAGTTTCAGCAAGCCCTGCCACCATGGGCAAAAGGACTCTGGGGTCCTACATCAACTTGAAAGGCAGTCTAGGCCATGAGGACTGCAATCCCTGGGCAAGTCCTGGTCCTGTGCTGTGCTGGGCTCAAAGGGGCCAGGGGACTTGGAGTGCATGTGACCTGGTGAGATACCAGCCGGGATGCATGAGGGATGCTTGCACCAACCCTCCTCAACCCTAGGCAGTATAGTTCACAGCTCCAAAAGAGACTCATTCCTTCTGTTTGAGGAGAGGAGAAGGGAGAACAAAAAGAACTGTGTCTTGCAACTTGGATACCAGCTCAGCCACAGTAGGACAGCGCACCGGACAGAGTCCTGAGGCCCCATTCCAGGCCTTAGCACTCAGATGACATTTCTAGACACGCATTGGGCCAGAAGATAACCTGCTGCCTTGAAGGGAAAAACCCAGTTCTGGCAGGATTCATTATCTTCTCGCTAAAGAACCCTTGGGCCCTGAATAATCAGCAGTGGTAGCTAGGCAATACTTGCCTCTGATCTTGGGTGAGACTCAGAGGTGTGCTGACTTCAGGTGAGACCCAGCACATTCCTGGCTGTGGTGGCTATGGGGAGAGTCTCCTTCTGCCTGAGGAAGGGAGAGGAAAGAGTAAAGGGGATTTTGTCTTGCAGCTTAGGTATCAGCTCAGTTACAGTGAGATAGAGTGCCAGGCAGGCCCTAGGGTTCCTGATTCCAGGCCTTGGCTCCCAGATGGCATCTCTGGGTCTGCCCGGCATTAGGAGGAACTCATCATACTTAGGAGGAACTCATCCTCTTAGAAAGAACTCATCACACTAAAAGGAAGGACATAAGCCTGGATAACTTTGCCACCTGCTGAGTGTAGAGCCCTTGGTCCATGAGTGAAAATAGGCTGTAGCCAGGCAGTAGTCACTGCAGGCCTTAGGTGAGACCCAGTGCTGTGCAGTCCCAGTGGTGGTGGCCATAGGGATGCTTGCATTACCCCTCTCCCAGCTCCAGGAAGCTCAGCACAGAGAGAGACCCTGTTTGTTTGGAGGGAATGTGGTTCTGAATCATTATTTAGGGGAATATTGTCTGAACATGGTCTACTTTGAAGTTTCTCACCCTTTCTCATAATATGTCCCATCAACATAAATATTATCAAGCTTCATTTCCTATAATTTTCATTATGTTGCCCAAATGAAAATATTCTGTTGCAAATTATTGAAATGTAAAATTTTGTATTAAAGTATAAATTATTTGTTAAAATATTTAAAATATGATTGGTTATTCTACATACAGAAATGTCTTTGGATATCTCAGTATGTTCTCATCTTTCCCCTGTCCTATCATTATTCTTCCAGTGACTCATGCCAAGAATTGATCACAATGCTCCAAGGGTGGTCTGACCAGCAGGGAACTGAGCAGAACTGAACATGGCTTCCTGTTTTCTGTACCCAATTTCTTTCCCTTTTTCTGGTACCACTCATGTCCACATCATAATCATCTTTTGCCTGAACAATCTCAACAGGCTCTGACGTGGTCGTCCTGCTTCCCCCATGAATCCTGAGTGTTTACCTTCCACTTAGTAGCTAAAGGGCTCTTTTGAACTCATAAAGTTTATCAAGTCATCACCTCCTCAAAACGTTCTATACACTTCCCATAATAATGAGCATGAAATCCAACTCCATACCCTATGTGGTCTATATAATCTCCCTTTCCTCAGTCTCCCCTTATTCCATTCTCTCTTCACTCATGAATTTCCAGCCAAAATTTTCTTCTAATGTCTCAATGATTAGGTCAAGCAGGCTCCACACAGTAGGGTGTGTGCACTGATTGTCTTTGTGTGGAATACTTTCTCTCTCTCTGCATATTTACATGGCTGTCCTTTTCTTGTCATTTAGATTTTAGTTGATATCCCTCCTCTTCAATGAGGACTTTCATGGCCTCCAAATAGTAAGTAGCTTCTTTCATCAACTTTTATCATGTCACCCTAAATGTAGTAATAGTACTTGCCACCATAAAATATTCTTATTTATTTGTTTATTGTCTAGCTGTCTAATGAGGTAAGACCCACAACAGCAGTAATCTTAATAATTTTATTTAGAATAATGTTTGGAATATAAATATTGTTGAGTGAATGAATGCATGCATGCATGACCACAGTATAGATGTGTTATTGTATATGAAGCTATTAAGATCAAAGAGTTTGAGCCTGGGCTTGAATTGCTGATCTACATTTACTATGGTGAGTCTAAACAAGTTACTTAACCTATCTGTGCCTGAGATTGTACATCTAAAAAAGGGGCAGATAAAAATGTTACTTTCTTCTCAAGGTTATTGTAAGGATTAAATAAATAAATTGCTCTTTGTAAAATGCATAGATAACTACTGTATAAATGTAGCAATAAATAGTAGTACAACCCAATTTTTAGAATTTTGGCAGCCACACTATTGACTCATATTACACCTAAAGTATAATGTAAATTCTCTAAGTTTTTTTTTTTAACGTGTGCTGCTTTGAAGTCTCACCTCTATATTTTTGTGCTTACACAGCTGCCTTTTAGAAGCCAACTACAGGATTTTATATTGGTCCGCTTTATTTGGTTTCATTCAGCACATCATTCTACTCTGTTGACAATGCTGAAGGTTTTGAGTTATTGATTAAATGTCACCTTGGATATTTGAAACCAGGACTTCAATCTAAAAATCTAAGCTACTTAACTCAAGTGACCTCAGTCTAGAGGACTCTGAGTATTCATGGGGCCAGTGTGTTGTCTTCTAGCAGTTTCCTTTCACTTGCCCGGAGAAGAGGCCTGTGAAGGCTGGCCCTGGGTCTGTAAAACACATACCAGAAGTGGGAGAGGACATAGGTTAAAAGCAGATTGACAGAGGAGGATCAAAGAAGCCATAAGTATACCTCAGCTGACAATGACCAAGCTTATGGGAAGAAGATACAGAAAAATAGAAATTTGGATGTAGAGCAAATCTTATTTTTTCACTTTTTATTTTGAAATAATGATAGATTCATAGGAAATTGCATAGTTAGTACAAAGAAGTTCTAAGTACCCTTCACCCATTTCCATCTTACATAGTACTTAACACCAAAACACGACTTTGACGTTGGTATAATGTGGGTGTGTAGTTCTGTGTCATATTAGCAAATGTGTAGATTTGTGTAATCACCACTATAATTAAGATAAAAAATATTCTATCACCACAAAGATCTCTCCCACACTTTCCTTTTACAATCACGTACCCAAACCCTCATTACTCCTGACTCTGGGCAATCACTAACCTCGGATCCAACTCGATAATTTTATCACTGAGAGACTACTATATAAATGGAATCATACCAGATGTGACCTTTCAAGATTGGAGTTTTCACTCAATATAATGCCCTTGTGATCCATCCTAGCTGTTGTGTGTATCAATAGTTTGCTCATTTTTATTGTTGAGTAGAATTCCATGCTGTGGATGTACCAGAGTTTGTTTAACTGCTCACCCACTGAGGCATATTTTGGTCTTGTTTTTGGCGATTAAAAATAAACTGCTGTGAACAATCATGTGCAGATTGTTGTGTGTCTAGGTTTTCATTTCTCTGGGATAAATGCACAGAGTACAGTTGCTGGGTTGAATGGTAACTGTATGTTTAGATTTTTTTTTTTAAAGTGTCCAACTAGTTTAACTAGTTTTTTGAGTGGTGTACTGGCTTATATTTCCATTGTCACAGTTTTTACTTTAGCTGTTCTAATAGGTATGTAGTGATATCTCATTGTCATCTTAATTTGTATTTCCCTAATGTCTGGCAATGGTGATTAGCTTTTCATGGGCTCACTGGACACCCATATTTTCTTTATGATTAAGTATGTGTTCATATCTTTTTCTCATTTTCTATTTGAATTGTCTGTTTTTACTGTTGAGTTTTGAGATTTTTTTTTTTTTTTTTTTTTTTTTTTTTTGAGACAGAGTCTTGCTCTGTCTCCCAGGCTGGAGTGCGGTGGTGCAATCTCGGCTCACTGCAAGCTCTGCCTCTCAGGTTCAAGCAATTCTCCTGCCTCAGCCTCCTGAGTAGCTGGGACTATAGGCGCCGGCTACCATGCACGGCTAATTTTTTGTATTTTTAGTAGAGATGGGGTTTCACCGTGTTAGCCAGGATGGTCTTGATCTCCTGACCTCGTGATCTGCCCACCTCGGCTTCCCAAAGTGCTGGAATTACAGGCTTGAGCCACCATGCCTGGCCTGAGTTGTGAGTTTTTAAATACATTCTAGATATGAATTCTTTGTTAGATATGTAGTTTATCAATATCTTCTCCCAGTCTGTTGCTTGTCTTTTCATCTTCTCAACAGGGATTTCAAAGAGCAAAGGTTGTTTAATTTTGATGAAATCCCATTTGGTTATTTTTTCTTGTATGGATCATGTCTAAGAACTCACAAGTCCCAGGTCCTGAAGATTTTCTCCCATGTGACCTGCTACAAGTTTCATAGCATTACGTTTTACATTTAAATCAATTGTTCATTTTAAGTTAATTTTTGTATAAAGGGTGAAGTTAAGATTGAGGTTCATTCTGTTTGTTTACCTGTTGTCCGATTTCTCAAGCATGTTTTGAAAAGATTATTATTCCTCCATTAAGTTGTTACTGTTTCTGAACCTTTGACCAAAGGTGGTTGGGCAAATTTGAGCGTCTTTTTGGGTTCTTTGTTCTGTTTCTTTAATCTGTCTTTCTGCCATACCACACAGGACTATTGCTATATACTAAGTTTTGAAGTCATGTAGAGTAACTTTACCTACGTTATTATTTTGCAAAGTAGTTTTAGCTATTGTAGTATACTTGGCTGTCTATACAATTTTTAGAATAGTTTTGTCTATGTGTATATATATCTGTTGGGATTTTATTTATTTTTTTATCTTTTGATTTTTTAAATTATACTTTAAGTTTTGGGGTACATGTGCACAATGTGCAGGTTTGTTACATATGTATACATGTGCCATGTTGGTGTGCTGCACCCATTAACTCGTCATTTACATTGGGTATATCTCCTAATGCTTTCCATCGTCCCTCCCCCTACCCCACAACAGTCCCCGGTGTGTGATGTTCCCCTTCCTGTGTCCAAGTGTTCTCATTGTTCAATTCCCATCTATGAGTGACAACATGTGGTGTTTGGTTTTTTGTCCTTGCGATAGTTTGCTGAGAATGATGGTTTACAGCTTCATCCATGTCCCTACAAAGGACATGAACTCATCCTTTTTTATGGCTACATAATATTCCATGATGTATATGTGCCACATTTTCTTAATCCAGTCTGTCATTGATGGACATTTGGGTTGGTTCCAAGTCTTTGCTATTGTGAATAGTGCCGCAATAAACATATGTGGGCATGTGTCTTTATAACAACATGATTTATAATCCTTTGGGTATATACCCAGTAATGGGATGGCTGGGTCAAATGGTATTTCTAGTTCTAGATCCTTGAGGAATCGCCACACTGTCTTCCACAATGGTTGAACTAGTTTACAGTCCCACCAACAGTGTAAAAGTGTTCCTATTTCTCCACATCCTCTCCAGCATCTGTTGTTTCCTGACATGTTAATGATTGCCATTCTAACTGGTGTGAGATGGTATCTCATTGTGGTTTTGATTTGCATTTCTCTGATGGCCAGTGATGATGAACATTTTTTCATGTGTCTGTTGGCTGCATAAATGTCTTCTTTTCAGAAGTGTCTGTTCATATCCTTCACCCTCTTTTTGATGGGGTTTTTTTTTTCTTGTAAAAAAAATTTTGTTTAAGTTCTTTGTAGATTCTGGATATTAGTCCTTTGTCAGATGAGTAGATTGCAAAAATTTTCTCCCATTCTATAGGTTGCCTGTTCACTCTGATGGTAGTCTCTTTTGCTGTGCAGAAGTTCTTTAGTTTAATTAGATCCCATTTGTCAATTTTGGTTTTTGTTGCCATTGCTTTTCGTGTTTTAAACATGAAGTCCTTGCCCATGCCTATGTCCTGAATGGTATTGCCTAGGTTTTCTCCTAGGGTTTTTATGGTTTTGGGTCTAACATGTAAGTCTTTAATCCACCTTGAATTAATTTTCATATAAGGTGTAAGGAAGGGATCCAGTTTCAGTTTTCTCCATATGGCTAGCCAGTTTTCCCAGCACCATTTATTAAATAGGGAATCCTTTCCCCATTGCTTGTTTTTGTCAGGTTTGTCAAAGATCAGATGGTTGTAGATGTGTGGTATTCTTTCTGAGGACTCTGTTCTGTTCCATTGGTCTATATCTCTGTTTTGGTACAAGTGCCATGCTGTTTTAGTTGCTGTAGCCTTGTAGTATAGTTTGAAGTCAGGTAGCATGATGCTTCCAGTTTTGTTCTTTTGGCTTAGGATTGACTTGGCAATGTGGGCTCTTTTTTGGTTCCATATGAACTTTAAAGTAGTTTTTTCCAATTCTGTGAAGAAAGTCATTGGTAGCTTGATGGGGATGGCATTGAATCTATAAATTACCTTGGGCAGTATGGCCATTTTCATGATATTGATTCTTCCTACCCATGAGCATGGAATGTTCTTCCATTATTTGTATCCTCTTCTATTTCATTGAGCAGTGGTTTGTAGTTCTCCTTGAAGAGGTCCTTCACGTCCCTTGTAAGTTGGATTCCTAGGTATTTTATTCTCTTTGAAGCAATTGTGAATGGAAGTTCACTCATGATTTGGCTCTCTGTTATTGGTGTATAAGAATGCTTGTGATTTTTGCACATTGATTCTGTACCTGAGACTTTGCTGAAGTTGCTTATCAGCTTAAGGAGATTTTGGGCTGAGACAATGGGATTTTCGAAATATACAATCATGTCATCTGCAAACAGGGACAATTTGACTTCCTCTTTTCCTAATTGAATACCCTTTATTTCTTTCTCCTGCCTGATTGCCCTGCCCAGAACTTCCAACACTATGTTGAATAGGAGTGGTGGGAGAGGGCGTCCCTGTCTTGCGCCAGTTTTTAAAGGGAATGCTTCCAGTTTTTGTCCATTCAGTATGATATTGGCCATGGGGTTATCATAAAGAGTGCTTATTATTTTGAGATATGACCCATCAATACCTAATTTATTGAGAGTTTTTAGCATGAAGGGCTGTTGAATTTTGTCAAAGGCCTTTTCTGCATCTATTGAGATAATCATGTGGTTTTTGTCTTTGGTTCTGTTTATATGCTGGATTACGTTTATTGATTTGTGTATGTTGAACCAGCCTTGCATCCCAGGGATGAAGCCCAGTTGATCATGGTGGATAAGCTTTTTGATGTGCTGCTGGATTCAGTATGCAAGTATTTTATTGAGGATTTTTGCATCAGTGTTCATCAGGGATATTGGTCTAAAATTCTCTTTTTTTGTTGTGTCTTTGCCAGGCTTTGGTATCAGGATGATGCTGGCCTCATAAAATGAGTTAGGGAGGATTCCCTCTTTTTCTTTTGACTGGAATAGTTTCAGAAGGAATGGTATCAGCTCCTCCTTGTACCTCTGGTAGAAATCGGCTGTGAATCTGTCTAGTCCTGGACTTTTTTTGGTTGGTAAGCTATTAATTATTGCCTCAATTTCAGAGCCTGTTATTGGTCTATTCAGGGATTCAACTTCTTCCTGGTTTACTCTTGGGAGACTGTATGTGTCCAGGAATTTATTCATTTCTTCTAGATTTTCTAGTTTATTTGCATAGAGGTGTTTATAGTATTCTCTGATGGTAGTTTGTATTTCTGTGGGATCGGTGGTGATATCCCCTTTATCATTTTTTATTGCGTCTATTTGATCCTTCTCTCTTTTCTTCTTTATTAGTCTTGCTAGCGCTCTATTAACTTTGTTGATCTTTTCAAAAAACCAGCTCCTGGAGTCATTGATTTTTTGAAGGGTTTTTTGTGTCTCTGTCTCCTTCAGTTCTGCTCTGATCTTAGTTATTTCTTGCCTTCTGCTAGCTTTTGAATGTGTTTGCTCTTGCTTCCCTAGTTCTTTTAATTGTGATGTTAGGGTGTCAATTTTGGATCTTTCCTGCTTTCTCTTGTGGGCATTTAGTGCTATAAATTTCCCTCTACACACTGCTTTAAATGTGTCCCAGAGATACTGCTATGTTGTGTCTTTGTTCTTGTTGGTTTCAAAGAACATCTTTATTTCTGCCTTCATTTCGTTATGTACCCAGTAGTCATTCAGGAGCAGGTTGTTCAGTTTCCATGTAGTTGAGCAGTTTTGAGCGAGTTTCTTAATCCTGAGCTCTAGTTTGATTGCACTGTGGTCTTAGAGACAGTTTGTTACAATTTCTGTTCTTTTACATTTGCTGAGGAGAGCTTTACTTCCAACTATGTGGTCAATTTTGGAATAAGTGTGATGTGGTGCTGAGAAGAATGTATATTCTGTTGATTTGGGGTGGAGAGTTCTGTAGATGTCTATTAGGTCCGCTTGGTGCAGAGCTGAGTTCAGTTCCTGGATATCTTTGTTAACTTTCTGTCTCATTGATCTGTCTAATGTTGACAGTGGGGTGTTAAAGTCTCTCATTATTATTGTGTGGGAGTCTAAGTCTCTTTGTAGGTCTCTAAGGACTTGCTTTATGAATCTGGGTGCTCTTGTATTGGGTGCATATATATTTAAGATAGTTAGCTCTTCTTGTTGAATTGATCCCTTTACCATTATGTAATGGCCTTCTTTGTCTCTTTTGATCTTTGTTGGTTTAAAGTCTGTTTTATCCGAGACTAGGATTGCAACTCCTGCCTTTTTTTTGTTTTCCATTTGCTTGGTAGATCTTCCTCCATCCCTGTATTTTGAGCCTATGTGTGTCTGTGCATATGAGATGGGTCTCCTGAATATAGCACACTGATGAGTCTTGACTCTTTATCCAATTTGCCAGTCTGTGACTTTTAAGTGGAGCATTTAGTCCATTTACATTTAAGGTTAATATTGTTATGTGTGAATTTGATCCTGTCATTATGATGTTAGCTGGTTGTTTTGCTCATTAGTTGATGCAGTTTCTTCCTAGCATCGATGGTCTTTACAATTTGGCATGTTTTTGCAGTGGCTGGTACAAGTTGTTCCTTTCCATGTTCAGTGCTTCCTTCAGGCCTCTTTTAGGGCAGGCCTGGTGGTGACAAAATCTCTCAGCATTTGCTTGTCTGTAAAGGATTTTATTTCTCCTTCACTTACGAAGCTTAGTTTGGCTGGATATGAAATTCTGGGTTGAAAATTCTTTCTTTAAGAATGTTGAATACTGGCCCCCACTCTCTTCTGGCTTGAAGAGTTTCTGCTGAGAGATCCACTGTTAGTCTGACGGGTTTCCCTTTGTGGGTAACCCGACCTTTCTCTCTGGCTACACTTAACATTTTTTCCTTCATTTCAACTTTGGTGAATCTGACAATTATGTGTCTTGGAGTTGCTCTTCTCGAGGAGTATCTTTGTGGCATTCTCTGTATTTCCTGAATTTGAATGTTGACCTGCCTTGCTAGGTTGGGGAAGTTCTCTCCTGGATAATATCCTGCAGAGTGTTTTCCAACTTGATTCAATTCTCCCCGTCACTTTCAGGTACACCAATCAGAATCTTATCAATATCCTCATCTCCCACATGAATATTCTCTGACAGTTCCAGCCCACTCTACTCTCTCATCCTTTCCTGAAATGTTATGGCTCTTATAGCCTGTGCCACAAAATTAGGCATTTAATTTTATATTGTCTTGTTTTGTTTTCTAATTATGTCATGGATATATTCTTTTCCATGCTAGATTGTGAATTCTTGGCAAGGAACCAATTTTCATGCTTTTCTGTGTCTCTTTTCAGCATTTAGAAAATATGGACATATAATTATACTCAATAAAAATTGTTAATTGACTGAACAACTTTCCTAGGTTCATTGTAACTCTTCAGTTCTATGACATTAAAGTACAGAGCACAAAATGGCCAACAATTCGTATGTTAATTATCTGAAATGATGAAATCATTCAATACACCTGGGCAGCTATGAGAAATGTCGTTGATGGTGTGAGCAGTAGTGGTGCATGCAAGGGCCATCCATCCTAAACAGCTCTCATACACTTTGAGTTTTGGACTGATTCATCAGTTATCTACCGAGTAGATTGCTTAAAAAGAAGTGTTGGGGGCTGGGTGCAGTGGCTAGTGCTTGTAATCCCAGCAATTTGGGAGGCCAAAGCAGGTGGATTGCCTAAGGTCAGGAGTTCGAGTCCAGTCTGGCAAACATGGTGAAACCCCATCTCTACTAAAAACACAAAAAAATTAGCTGGGCGTGATGGCATGAGCCAGTCATCCAAGTTACTTGGGAGGCTGAGACAGGGGAATTTCTTGAACCAGGGAGGTGGAGGTTGCAGTGACAGTGAGCTGAAATTGTTGCACTCCAACCTGGGCAACAGAATGAGACTCTGTCTCAAAAATAAAATAAAATAAATTAAATAAATAAAAATTAAAATTAAAAAAAGTATTGAGGTTTTATTGCTCCATTTATTTGTGTTGTCATCAACCATTTGGTATCCATTGCCTCGAAGTAAATCAAGGTGATCTAAAGGGTTAATTTATGATTCTTGGAAAATTCTATAATGTTCGCTTATCTCATTTGAAGAAAAAGTAAAAGTTAAAATATTTGAAGAAGTTACTACTCAGACTATAAAAATCATGTAGTCTTGCCTTCTCATTCTATTCTCAAGGTTCTGGAAGTTAAATAAAAATGGCTTATTATAATGCTGGTCTTTTTACTAACTCATAAGAAGTTCAAAATATGTAGTTTTTACTCCTCTACCTGCTAGTATTTAGATAAGCACCTCAAAACCAATATTCACGTTTCATAATCAGAGTGCCCTAGTTAAACTCCAGATTTGTTACTTACTAGCTATGTGACTCTGAGTAAATCATGTAATTTCTAAGAGCCTTCGTTGTCTTTCAGATAAAATAGGCAAAGCCATATCTACTTCTCAGTGTTCTTGCAAGAATTAATTAGCTCATATAATAAATGTGCTTATTACTATTCAAAAAACATATAAAAGCATAAAGAGTACATTACTATTTATCTGGGAATAATCCTTTTTATTATAATGTAATAATTGTTATTACAATTATTATAAAACTCATCTTTTTGAGTAGGGCATACATTATTGTTCAAAATGTAATAAAATTGGTGAAGTTTTAGAACTGGAGCAAGATGTCATAGTAGCGTAAAAGAGGGCACTTAACAAGACCTGGGTGCCAGAAAGTATATCTAAATTAGAAGATTTTTAATATGAGTTTTAGAGATTTTAAGGAAGTCATTATCAGGGCTTCTGGAGACAAGGTGGCTTGGGCACATTTATATTTTAGACATATCTAGCAGGAGGGAACATGGTTGAGCAGAGGGTGATGATGACATAAGGACACCACTGAAAGGAATTTGAGTAAAATGATGACACATATTAGGAGAGATGGGGCAGATATTACTCATTTGAGAAAAAGCCACACTTCAAGAGTGACTGGAAAGAGTCAGGGAGTGCGGGAAAAGAGTCAAAGGTGATCCTTAAGTATCTAGTTTGGGTAACTAGGATAGTGTGGCTCCAACCTGTCGTAATCAGCTTGGGCTGCTATAACAAACATTATGCTGAGTGGTGTAAACAGTGGAAATTTATCTTCTCAGAATTCTAGAGGCTCCAAAGTCTGAGATCATAAATGTCAGCATGGTTGGATTCTGTTGAGGGCCCTCTTCTTGGGTTGCAGGCAGCTGCCTTCTTATATCCTCATATTCTCAGAGAGAGAGAGAGATCATCTCTCTTGTGCCTCTTCTTATAAGAGCACTAATTCCATTCATGAGGACTCTACCCTCATGATCTAACTATCTCCCAAAGGCCCACCTCCAAATATACTTTGGAGATTAGGAACTTAACATATAAATTTTGGGAAGCACGACAATTCACCCCATAGCATACCCATTGAGAAGAACAATACAAGAAAATTTGGAGTTAACTAATTTGAGGAGAAAATGATGAGTTTACATTAAATCAAGACGAACTTGAGATGTTTTAAGAGGGAACTGCTTCTTCCCTACTACTTATATGTTCTGCCAGGAAGAGAAAATTCTGCTAGTGTGGTACTTCTAGTTTCTTCTCTTGTCCCTGTACTCACTCTGCCCCTGGGGAGGCGAATTATTTATTTGGTTGTTCAAACTGGGGAGAGTGACTCTTCTGTCTAGAAACAGCCTTCCTATGGAGAGCCTGGGCTGTCCTCTTTCACTCCATGCTTTACATCTGTAAATTCTGTAGGAGCCTCCCTCTTGGAAGCCAAATTGCCCCACAATCCAGGTCAGATTGTGGTTCATATTAGCCACTGCACTTACCCTTGTTTGAAAGTCACGTGCCCCAACTTGGTTATGGCTTGGTCTCTATCCTTCCTGCTTATTTTTCAGCTTTCTCAGTGTTGAGGCAGGAATGAAAGGTATCCTTTATAGAAAGGACTCTAGAGATTCCAACAAGGCCACTTTTGACAACACATCTATGACCCATTTTTTGGCATCTCACACAATTGGCTCATTTAAGTTTTTCAATGTTTGAGCTAATTAAAATATAAATATGATGTATGTTTTATATACTTCCAAAATGTAATAAATGCTCAGTAAGTATCTGTGGAGATTATATATTTAAAATTAGTTGGGAAACATAACTATCCTACTGTTAAACATTTTTTAGAGAGATTTAGAGATATTCATTTATTGAACTCCTATTTGGCTGGTAATTTGCTCAGTGTGACCTGCCATCCTACACTTTTTACAAACTGCCCCACTTCTCATTTTGCCAAACCAGATTGCCTTTCTCTTAATAGCTCCTTCTTTCTTGCCACTGAACCTAAACTCATGTTCTGAGCAGTAGGCAAAATAATTAACAGACCCACAAAGATGTTCTTAAGTCCCAGACCCTGTGAATATGTTATGTTACATATCAAGGGGGAATTAAGGCTGTAAATGGAATTAAGGTTGCTAATCAGTTGACTGGAATATAAAGAGATTATTCTGGATTATCCAAATCAGTTCAGTGTAACCATAATGGTTCTTATAAGTGAAAAAGGGAGGCAGGAGAGTCAGAGTCCCAGAAGGATATGTGATACCAGGAAGCAGAGGTCAAAATGATGCAACTGCTAGATTTGAACACGGAAGCACCCACAAGCCAAGTGATGGGGATGGCCTCTAGAAGCTGTGAAAGGCAAGGAAACAGACTCTCCTTCTAGAAAAGAATGCACATTGATGACATCTGATTTTAGCTTAGTGAAACCCATTTCATATTTCTGAACTGCAAAACTGAAAGATAGTAAATTTGTGCTGTTTTAAGCCACGAGGTTTGTGGCAATTTGTTGCAGCAGTAACAGGAAACAAATACATTCTGCAACTCATCTCCTGCATTTTCCCTGAGTGGCCATTTATAAATACATAGACTCTGACCCAGCCTGGCCAGAGATAAATCAGGCTCCTCCACCTCTCCAACTGCTAGCTCTGTGATCCCAGGCAAGTTATTAAATTTTTACATGACTATTTCCTCACCTATAATATGGGGATTATCATGACACCATCCTTATAGGGATGAGTTAATAGATGCAAAGTCCTTTGGAAAAGTGGGCACATAACAAACACTATAGAAGTGTACGCTAATATTTTCATTATTATGCTTACCTCTACAAATTATTTTATAAATCAGTTCAAACGCCAATTCTTCTATTTCCTTTTGGAACAATAAGATCTTTCTTCCTTAAATTTATAGAGTACTTTACCTTAACAATATTTTATAGCATGTGTTCGTTATTATGCTTACCTTTACAAATTATTTTATAAATCAGTTCAAATGCCAATTCTTCTATTTCCTTTTTGAACAATAAATTTACAGAGTACTTTACCTTAACAATGTTTTATAGCATGTGATATTTTAATTCTTATTTAATCACTTTCATACATATTGAATCCTCTCTCCTAAGATATAAGATCTTGTAAAAATTAGTGATATGCATTTTATATATTTACTTTATTTATTCTAATTTTGTTATTCCTATACTGTCTAGGCCAGTGTTTTGCATATCATAGGTGTTCAATAAACATATTTGAACTACCAATGGTGTTTTCCACTTGTGCTAATTTCAAGAAACAAACAAAATCATTCACTATTCAATGGGCAACACTCTACAGAAAGAATTAATAAAACAGAAGAATGAATAAAAACCCGAAGAGTAGCATGAAGTCTATAGAAAATATCCTCCACAAGTATGTAGTGGGATTCAGATTCTTTTTTTCACTTTCACTCTAGATGTTCAACTTTAATTTAAATAACATGTTAGATCAAGTGTGCTTTTATAAATTAGTTATTAGCCCATAAACTGTCTTATATAGTCTGCTCTGAAGGTTATCACTTTAAGAGGCATGATATACTGTGGGGACTGAATTTTAGTACTGTGCAAAGACCTGATTGGAATGAACATTTCTGAACTTCTAGAGCCTCTCCAGTAAGAATGCAGTTGTTGCTGTGAAATTGACTTTAAAAGAAGCTTCTGATGACAAGGCCTAGCTGATTATTGTTTCAGAGATGAAGTGAAAAAAGAGCAAACATAGTTACCATAGAAATAAATGTATTAAGTTCTAAAATTAACATTCTTATTAGTGATTATGCCCATATTTTTTTGATACATCTACAGTTAATCTCAAAACTTTCATCATGGGTATGGGGTTATACTTCCTGGTATGACCCAAGATGTGAAACTCAATTAAGGTCAAATGTCATTAACTTCGGTAGTATGTTTTAAAATTAACCTCAAAACGGCCCCAAATTTTGTTAAAACTATAGAAGAAGAAATTATTTATTAAGAAGGTAAGAAAAGTAATTCTTCTAAACTATGCAATCATTTATTTATTGGCTCTGATAAGAATAACATTTCAAATGGTTGTGTTTTCTGTCAGTAATTTGAAGTTCTAGTATAATATTTTTATTTAATTACATGATTACAAAACAAGTCTTTACTTACATCATATGCATTATATGCCAAATTAATTCTCCTTTGAAAAGGCCAATTGCTGATAAGAGCAATGAATTCTATTGAATAGCTCACTGAATTCTGAGAGAGTAATTAAGAAATTTTTATATACACACAGAAACACATGTGGCTCACACATTAAGATGTAGACGACAATCTTTCAAGATACCATCTAACAAATGGAGGAAATATGTTTTCAGCTTGCAAACTTCAAAGCTCTATGTCCAATAATGAGATAAATCTTCATTTCTGATGGTACTAATCCAACACTGAAAAATTAATTCTCCTTTGAAAAGGCTAATTGCTGATGATTTCGCAGAAAAGAGGTCTATTCTTTTTAGTGGATATGAATTGATCCTGCTAATGCAGAACCTGACTTTTTCAGATTCCTTTAGCCTTTAGTATGAGTGAATTTTTAAAATTTCTCTTTTGTTGTGTTAGAAATAAATATAATGATTTTTTCTCATGCTGATTTTTAAGAGTTTAAAGGAAAACAACAGCTGATAGCTCATTAAGGCTCATGAGACACCACTAAGCATATACAACTCCCATTTTGAGGCTGCATAAGCCAAACACTTTCAATTCCACTAGAAGGTGTCATTAGAAGTACTTAAGCAAAGAAAGCTACTAGGAGCAAGAACACCCCAGAGAATTTCTGTAAAGACTTTGATGCACCCATTGTCCCATAGTTTAAAATGTTGTATCACTCAAGCAGCAACCTCATTAACAGATCATTTAGATTATCATGAGTTATGATGAACTCAAGCCTCTGTAGTATTTTCTTCCCAACAATTTGCTTTATTACAGCAATATAACAGACATCTGCCTTAAAGAGAAGTCTTACTTTCCACTCTATTGGATGCCACTGAAATTTACAGTGTCTGGGGCAGGAGGAAGAAGTAATAAAGTCTTACAGGGAAAAAAAAAACTTGTTACCTAAGGGCAATATCAGAAATGATGAGAAATGAGATAAGCCAGTAGGACTAATTCAACTAGAACTGAAGAAGCTGGCTCTGAATCTGATTTGCTCTCCTCCAAAAGAAAAATATGCTCATGATAACAATAACTAATGTGTACTTAATACTTTTGAGGAAAATGACTATGTGGTGCTCCAAACTATGTGCAACATTCTGTGCCAGGTTATTCTATCTATCTATCTATCTATCTATCTATCTATCTATCTATCTATCTAAAATTTATGTATACACAGAAATATAACATTTTACATAAGTAGTAAAGTAACTCTGTATTTTAGGTCTTATCATTGCCATGTTAAATATATTTCCAGAGTAATATAGTCAGTAAGTTGTTTAAGTGGGGTTTGGATGCAGGTCTCTTTGGTTTCAAAGGCTGCAGTCTTTACCCCTCATCATATTGCCTTGCTTTTGTTGCCTTCTTCACTTCTTTTGTCTCTGTTTCTTATTCAGACAAAGGTGGGAATTGACTGTAGGTGAAGACTCTTCTTTGGCTAATTGGTTTATTTTATCCCTAAGGAAGATTCCTATTCTTGCTTCTGGTCTCTCTTCTCCCTCTCTCTCTTCCTCTCTCTTTTTTTTCTCTCCCTCTTTCCTTCCCCCTCCTCAGAAAATGACTAGACTTTACCTTTGCAATAGACTAAATCATAGCCCCTAAAAGAGATATGCCTAGGTACTAATCCCTGGGAGCTTATCCATAAAAAATGTATTTGCACACCTGATGAAATTAAGGATCTTCAAAGGAGGTTCTTGCATTGGATTATCCAAGTGGACCCTAGGTGAAGTCACATGTATCCCTTTAAAAGGGAGGGAGATCTCTGTCTCCCTCTGGGCTTCTCAGTCTAGAGGGAGGCAGATACACACAAGAGAAGAGGCAATGAGATCACTGAGTCAGAGATTGGAGTTAGGCATCCATAAACCAAGGCATTCCTGGAATTACCAGAAGCTGGAAGGCAAGGAATGGATTGTCTCCTAAAGCCATTAAAAGGAATGTGACCCTATTGGCACCTTTAATTCTGGCTTCTGGCCTTCCTAACTGAAGAGATAATAAATATCTATTGTGTTAAGCCAACAAGTTTGTGGTAGTTTCTTACAATAGTCACAGGAAACTAGCACAACTCTCTTCTTTGAAATTCTGGAATTGGCGGCAGGGGAAATTGCATGTAAAAGCACTGCATGTTTACCTCTGGCTCTGTGAAATCACAGGAAGTACAGTTAAATTCTAGGAAACACAGGGGCATTTTTACCTCTGCACAAATCTATAAAGCTCCTGAGGGTCCTGCAGTCTTTTTCCACCCTGATGTCTCCCAAGACAGCCTTCTGATTGCTGAGATATAGCCTACATTGAATAGATATTTGTTGAGCAAATCAACCTGCTTCTGCTGTGGCTCCAGCAGGACTGGAACATTTCAGGAAAGAATAAAAGGTCATTTCTCCTGAGTTAAGTGTTAATTCTTGCTTTGAATGTCAGTGGCGTGCTAACACCTGCTCTCACATGTATTTTAGGTCCATCAGCGTATCCTAACTAGAAGGCCTTGTGACTAGCAGAAAAGAAAATGTAGGTGAGCCATGCAATGATGGACGTGGACTGCTCTCAGGGCGCAGTGACAATTATGACTTAGTCATCAAAGGTGAATTGATACAAACACTTGAACATATCTTAAATTAGATTGTTCCAGGAATCCTTAAAATGCAAGAGAAATGGCAATGATGGGGCAGTGGATAAATCTAAATGACATTACGTGGGCTATGATTCCTTTCTCCATGCCATTTGGAAAGTTAGAAGAAATCATATTAGGCCTGAGAATAGACTGGGTGCTTCTCAGTGTGTATCCTTTACACCCAGAGTGCCAATCATCTAGGATGCACCGGTTCTGCCATACTGGGGATATACAGTCAAAGTCCATTCTTACTAGCTGGTACCTTGCAGGACCAGTTGTCAAATATTTTTAACAGCACCTTATTCATGCATTTTTTTCTAGAATATATATGAACTTTTTCCATCCCCAGTATTGTGGCTCCCCTCCCATCCCTATTTAGATCCTCATCTCTCACTTGGATGCCTAAAATAGCCACTTCAGCCCCTCTTTCTACATAATCATCTCCTGTAATTTATTCTCAACACATGTTTTCTTGAAGCCTTATCCAAATATATGATTCCTCTACTAAATGCATGAATACATAAAGAAAACAAACATAGAATAATTTACTGCTACTGACTTCATGTCATTCCACAGGATTAAATATAGATCCCATATTATACACACTCATATTACACTTATATAATATCTATATTATTATATATCTACATTAAATACACATATATTCTATACATTAAAAGACCCTCACAATTTGAACCACATTGTATGGACTCAATGTTTGTGCCCCACCCCCAAATTAATATGCTGAAGCCTAAACCCCAATATGATGGTATGTGGAGGTGGGATCTTTGGGAGGTAATTAGGTCACAACGGAGGAGCTCTTATGAATAGAATTAAAGCTCTTATAAAAAGAGACACAAGAGAGATTCTCTCTCTCTCTGCCAGTTGGCCATATGAGGATACATGCAGCTATCGGCAAACCAGAAAGGCCCTCATTGAAAACCCAATCATATTGGCACCCCGATCTCACACTTCCAGGCACCAAACCTGTGAGAAATAAATGTTGGTTGTTGAAGTCATTCAGTCTATATAGTATTCTGTTATTGCAGCCTGAGCTGACTAAGACACCCATCTAACTCTGCAGCCTTCTGTTCCTCTCTCTATACTGAAGTCTATTTCATTATTTCATATGTATTTCTCATGGCTTTTTGAAATCACCAGACAATTTCCTGCCTCCATGGTTTTAGAGCTGATGTCAAATGGGAACACCCTGGTGACACCAAGCCAACAGATGTCAATTCTGGTTGGTCAAGGCTGCTGCTCTATCTGATTAGTTGGTTTGGGTTACCCTAAAGGCAGATCCTGAGACAAGGAATTTCATATAAATAGTTTACTAAAGACATAATCTCAGGAAGGAGGAGTGAGAAAAGCATAGAGACTGATACAAGGATGGAGGAAAGCCAATATAAATGTATTTTGACAAAGTTACTGTGAGAAATCAGAAGTTCACACGTATGCTAGGACATGTGAGAAGCCCACCTATGAAATGACCTTATAATCATCCAGAAAGATAAGGCATCTATCCTTCCATCATTGGTTAGGTTTGTTAACTCCACTGCATTTCCAGGTTATACTGATGAACAAGATGAGGGAATTCCAACCACATCACTCCAGGCCAGGAGGCTGAATCAGAAAGATAAGTAATCGTCCATTTCCTCTGCTCCCTCACTGTGGACTGGAACGTGGATATGGTGGTGGGGAGCCAGGTTCCGTCATGTAGATATAGTGGAGCAAAAAAGCTCTAAAAATCTGGATCCCTGCATGACCTCATGGAACAGAGTAGTTGTATTTTTTTCATCCTACCACCCCTGGAGTGCCTAACGATTCTATATTGTCAAGTGAAAATTATTTCAGTCTCATTCTGGTGGCTAAACCCAAATCTTAATTAATATTATTCTCTCATGCATCTGTCCCATGCTGTTTACTTTCACTGCACTCTAGTTCCACTTCCTGTCAGACTCTATTGCAATTATCTATTTAAATGCCCATCTCCATCGTTGCATTGAAAGTTCTTGATGACAGCCACGGTGCCATTTCTGAACCCTGAGTGCCTGGTAGGTATTGGATTTACAAGAATTTTTAAATAAAATTTAAAATGTAATTGCTCCAACAGTAAAGCTGTAATACATGCAATTAAAAATATATGATACATAATCACCACTCACTGGGCTGCTTACTGTACTTTTTCTCATGAAGTATAATTTGACACAGGAAGGTTAATGAAGCATTTCCTGGGAAACATACTTTACATATAACATGACTCCAAGATGTGTTTGTACCATTCTTGTATTCTTTCCCTCTGTCACAATTAGAGAGGTGGTTCTTCTCCTAGCCAAGAAAAATTCTTCTATCTATGCTATAGATCTTCTTTTTTCTCCTACCATTAAGACCCTAAGCTCTTTTTTCGATTCCTTCAAGTTCTTTCTCTCTGTTGGTTAAAATCTCTCTAAAACAATCAAAGAATGCTACCTAGTCTTCACATGTTCCTTTAAGTGGCAGACTCTTTTCTTTCCCTCTTTCCCTCCCTCCGTCCCTCCCTTCTTTCTCCCTCTCTTTCCCTCTTTCCCTTTCCTTCTTTCTTTCTTTCTCCCTCCCTCCCTTCCTTTTCCTTCCTCTCTCTCTCTCTTTCTTTCTTTTTTTTTTTTTTGAGTCTTGCTCTGTCACCCAGGCTGAAGTGCAGTGGCACGATCTCGGCTCACTGCAACCTCCACCTCCCTGATTCAAGTGATTCTCCTGCTTTGGCCTCCCGAGTAGCTGGCATTACAGGCATGCACCACCACTGCTGGGTAATGTGTGTGTGTGTGTGTGTGTGTGTGTGTGTGTGTGTGTGTGTGTTTTGAGACAGAGTCTTGCTCTGCCACCCAGGCTGGAGTTCAGTGGCATGATCTCAGCTCACTGCAACCTCCACCTCTTCAGTTCAAGTGATTCTCCTGCCTCAGCCTCCCAAGTAGCTGGAACTACAGCCATGTGCCACCACACCTGGCTAATTTTTTGCATTTTTAGTACAGATGGGGTTTCACCGTGTTAGCCAGGATAGTCTCAATCTTCCTGACCTCATGATCTGCCCACCTCAGACTCACAAAGTGCTGGGATTATAATTTTTGTGTTTTTAGTAGACATGGGGTTTCATCATGTTGGCCCAGTTGGTCTGGAACTCCTGACCTCAGGTGACCCACCTGCCTCGGCCTCCCAAAGTGATGGGATTACAGGCGTGAGCCACTGCACCTGGCCAGGTGACAGACTCTTAATTATCCTGTGGGAGTCAAGGTTTCATAAAAGCCTTCACTTGCTGTCTGCATTTTCTCACTCACTTCACAACACAATTCCAACACAACCAGGTTTATATCGCTCTTGCCAACATTTCACAAAATTCAATGGACTTCTGTTATCATACATATCTGTCAGCAGCACTCAACACCACTCAATCCTCCCTTCAAATGTCCACTGTGTCTTCATTTCTGTTTATTCTTCTTTTCTCTCCAGCCACTCATTCTGAATGTATTTTGCTGCCTCTTATTCCCTCAGTAGACATTTAATGATAAAAATTCTCAACATTTATTTCAAGATACGCTTCCCTTCTCACTCAATATAATGTCGCTACTTATTTTTTTCCAATTCTATGGCTTCATTGGTCATGCCACAAATCCTAAATGTTCATCGCCTGGACAGACCTTGCTTCTGAGTTCCAAAAATGTCTATTCAAATGTGTACTGAGATGTCTCACTGGCAACTCAAAACCATATGCCATTGTATCTGAAATGTTGGCCCCCTTCAAGACTCTCAACCAAGAAATTGCACCATAATTTACCTCATTGTTGAAGCCAAGAAAATGGAAATCTTATATGATTTCTCATTCTGCCACCAAGAATGGCCAACCACACTGAATTGCCTGGAACTGAGGCGTCTTGTGGGAGGTAGAACTTTTAAAGCTAAAATTAAGTTAGTTGGTTACCTTCCAATCTGGCTCCTGGCTCTGTGCATTCTATTTCCTAAATATCTCTTATATTTGTTCAATTATTTCCATTTTCATGACCTCTGCTACTGTCTCTTGTACAGGGATCCGTACGTTCATTCTTGCCCTTCATTTCTCACCCTACAAATGCTTTCTGTACACAATGACCACAAGATATCAACAAAAAGCAAAACTTATGATATCAATCTCTTCCATCCTTCTCATTGTCTATGAGATAAGACCCAGCAATATCTGGGCCCTGCGTGTCTCCTCAGACTCATGATTCATTATTTCCTCTGTGTTCCAGCCCAACTAACCTTTCCATTTCTTAAATGTGCCATGAAACAGGCCTGGAATTACTCTTCCCTACTCCTTCTTCCTATTAACTCCTCATCTTTTGGGTCTCAGAATCAATGTAATTTCCTAAAGATGTTTTGCCTTCTCTCCCTAGACAAGATCAGACACATCTTTTTCCCCCCGCCCATATCAAACTGCACTGTTCCTTCACAGAATTCAACAGCATTCATTATTTGTTCAATATCCATCTTCCCAGCCACACTAGAAACTCCATGAAGCAACTATTATTGCTTTATTCTCTTACCACTGTATATACAATACCCCAATCAGTGCCTAGAAGCAAAAAACTTTTGTGAAATGAATAAATATTTTGTTATAGAATATTTCCTTATGTGATATCATGTCCTATTATAACTTCAGATAGGTTAACTAAAAATATAACTCTATTAAGGAAAGAAATAAGGCCATGGCCCCTCCTAAAATTTTAGCAAGTTTTACCATATCCCCTTTGTATGGTTTGGATTTGTGTCCCTGCCCAAATCTTGGATTGTATTCTCCAATGTTGGAGTAGGGGCCTGGTGGGAGGTAATTAGATCATGGGGGTGGACTTCCCCCTTGCTGTTCTCATGATAGTGAGTGAGTTCTCACAAGATCTGGTTCTTTAAAAGTGTTTAGCACCTCCCTCTTTGCTCTCTTCCTCCTTCTCTGGCCGTGTAAGATGTGTCTGCTTCTCTTGCACCTTCCACCACGATTGTAAATTTCCTGAGGCCTCCACAGCCAGGCTTCCTGCACAGCTTGTAAAACTGTGAGTCAATTAAAACTCTTTTATTTATAAATTATCCAGTCTCAGGTTGTTCTTTACAGCAATGTGAGAATGAACTAATACAGCACTGAATCTAAGATGTCATCAATGGTAACGTGTCATTATTTTAAGTATAACTAAGAAAGAAAAACAATGTTGAAAAATAAGTCATGAAACACCTTGACTGAAAGACACATCCAGTTTTCAGATATCAAAAAGTAAAAAACTGGGAAAGGCCACAACTTCCACAACAAATCTTGTTTGCTCACTTCTCTCTCTACTGGGTGGTCCCTCCTTGGTCCATGGAGTATCACCTCATTCTTGGGCCATTGCAACTTCCTTGTATTCTCCTAACTAGTATCTTCTCTTGTATACTTGAACCCCCAGCTTCTTTACATTTCAACCAGACTGATCATTTCACAATACAAACCTGATCACCCCAAAATGCAAAGCCTGATCTCTGGATAACCCTATACTGGTTGTCTATTCTATGACACATCACACACATACTCTCCCTTGTTTTCTGTCTTCCTGACATGGTTCCTAAAATATGCCAGCTTCTTTCCTTTATCTGGAATATTCTGCGACTTGCTGTCTTCAATCGTTCCTTCTGCTCCTTTTCATTTTATAGTGTTCATTACAAATTTCCCCTTCCCAGAACGATGTTCTGTGATTCTGTCACTGCAAATCAGTAGCCCCTCTCCCCTGCCCATGCCGTTAGAATTTTTCACACGTATAGCCTGTTCTCTTCCCTCACCGAGCTCATCTCAAGTTCTCATTACACATATTTTTTTGTGTGTTTATTTGCATAACGACTGTTGCTTCCACTGAACTTTGAGCTCCATAAGGGTAACTATCAGCATGATGTGCCAGTGCCATATACCACAGTGTGACACAGATAGATTATTTATTGAATGAATGAGGAAGTGGAACAGTTACACTTTGCTGAAACAAAGACAATAGAAAATTCAATGCACAGCCCTGAGAGGAATCTAGAAACAAGTCTGCAGCTAAAAAGAAGCAGCATATACCCCCAAAACTTAGGTAGGTGTCATAACCACATCCTCATAACCATGTGTGTTCTCACCAGATACACCTGCCTTCTAAAGACTGTTTAAAAACAATTCACACTAAAGGTACTACTTAAGAAAAATAGGCCCTTCCATCTTAAAAGAGAAAAGTTTTTATGTATTGCATTGTATGTTCCTCTCAAATATTTTAAAATTATTTTAAGTCACAGATTGTTTCATAAACATAATTTTGTTTTTCCAATAAAAAGCTTTGAAAAAACTCAGAAAATATTTTTGCAAATGTGGACCTCAATATCATTTGTTATGTCTCATTTTGAAAAATAATCAAATTTGAAATAAAATGTGTTTTAGAAGGTTAGAAATATACACATATTTTCTCTTCACACGTTTGTGAAAAAAATTAGGTAAATGACTAATGAGAAAATACTACTAGACTAAATTTACAAAGAATACAGAGCAAAAACAGAACAATCTTAATAGAATCAGTGCCAATTACATCTCACATTTCAATGGCAGTGAAAATAAATGTGATTTTGACATATGAAATTGTGTTAGGAATGTTTTTATGTAGAGGAAAATGTTATCATCCTTGGGGGCTTTTTGTTCAACCAATTTTCAACTTTCTAATGCCTGGCTGTGCCTTGTGTGGAATCAGGGAAGTCACTATTTCTCTGTCCTTGAATACTGCTCATGCATCATTCTCATAAAAATATATATTTGCCCATCCCTGAATTCATGTGTCTCTTCATTCACTCAGCATTTATGGAGAAAATTTTATATGACAAGCACTTGGCTAGCTTCTGTATATACAAAGATGAATAATTCTAGGATTAAAATATGGCAGGAAAAATAAAACCATTAACAAGTAAATTCTGAAAGTTAAATGCTAATAAAAAAGCAGTAGACATATGTACAAATATTGAATGCCATTTTATATCTCTCTTCATTTTCCAGAGAAGGGCATTAAGGCTTAAGATAACAAGGTAATTTCATGGAGATTTCATACCTAACGAATGAAAAGACTAGGGCTTGAATTCTGGTTTCTCATTTCATAACTAGTAAATCCCTTTACCGAGTGTTGTCAAACATATGTCATCCATTTTATGTATGAAATCTCCTTTCATACTATGCATCTTCACCAGTTTGAGCTGCTATAACAAAATACCATAGACTGGGTACCTTATAAACAACAGAAATTTATTTCTCACAGCTCTGGAGGCTGGAAGTCCAAAATCTGTGCCAGCATGGTCAGGTTCCAGTGAGAGCCCTATTTCATGTCACAGACTGCTGACTTCTCATTATATCCTCACATGAGGAAAGAGCAAGAGAACTCTGTGGAGTTCCTTTTATAAAGACACCAATCCATTCATGAGCACTCCACCCTCAAGACCTGATTACCTCCTACAGACCCCACCTCCTAGTATTATCACATTGAAGGTTTGATTTCAACATACGCATTTTGAGGGGAAACCAACATTCAGTCCATAAGACCATGAAAAATAACAATTTTTATTTCTGTTATACTGACAAGGAAACCAAGACTCAGATAGGCTCAGCAACTGGCCAAGCCACACAGTTAGTAAATGGCAGCACCAAAATTCAAACTCAAGTTTGTCCAACCCAGAAACTTCTGCAATGTCTACTATCACGAGCTTCCTCTCTATTCCAGTTCCCATGTATCTGTGAAATGATTTAATTATCACACATTACTAGCATTTGTTGAGCATTTATATGTCCCAAGCATTCCTTAAAGATGCTTCCAAGAATCAAGTTATTTAATTCCAAAAAAAATAATATGTAGGTACTGAGGTACCATCCTAAGGTATTGAGGTATTATCCTGATAGCACACCGAGAATGCTATCGGGTCTCCCAAAGATGGAGAATTAAAGAACGAATGTCTCTATATTCCTCAGCAGGAGTCAGTCTAAAAGGAATAATCCACCAGCCAGAGTATATGCCATTTTTAGATTACAGATACAATCCACTATAAGTTCCAAACCCAGAGTGGTCAATATTGCTTTTCTTCTTTTATATCTGTTCTGTTTTGCAAAATATATGTTATGGTTAAAGAATGAACTTGAGTGAGCTGCCCTGAAATGAGAGCCATTTGTTTAAAGTTCTGTGGTGACTCCTTCTTCCTTCCCACCTGCATCCCCAACCACATGTTGAGATTCCTGGAAATATGCTCCTTCATAAGGGTAGAGAGCCAATGAGGACCAAATGATATGTTTTCCTTTCCCTCAGCTTCAAGGGCTCAAAGTCCCAGATGAGGGGCAGGGAGCATACTCCATGACAGAAATAAACAAACAGCCAGGTGGCCCAAGTAATGACTAGCCAGGTCTCTGGAAACTCCTCAAGAACTCACCGGCTTGCAGCCTAATCTGGGAACAGTGTTGTACATGACTACATATAATATAATGTGAATAGTACTACTACAGACAGGTGGACCAACATGATCTGAAAGCACCAGTTAAGAACACATACAGAAGTATTTGATACAAGGTAAAATCTATCATTCAAAGGCATACAAGTACTTTGCAACTACGAAACACCTCTAAAAAACTAACGGCTTTGAGACAGTGCTATACATAAAGATAAATAATTTAAAAGACTATATGTACATTCTCAAAAGTTTGTCCTTGCACAAATCACTTGCTTCCCACCATAAACACTTCTGAGACCCTTCCTAATAAAACCATTAAGGTTGAGCAGGCAACATTGTTTAGAAGAACAACTGTGAGTTGTACATGACCCTTCATAAAAGCAGAGACTACTAAACATCATTAGTAGGCGATATTACAGCATCTTCAAACCCAGACATAACTGGCACCAAATTTGCAGGAAAATGAGTTACCTTCCTAATAGCCCTTAATTACAATTACAATGTGACTTTACTCGTATTCCAGTAATGAAAGCATTTACTCTCATTCCTCATCTGATTTAAAGGGCAACATAAGCTGAATGCAAGATACCTTATAAAATTAGAAAAGCAATTGAACAAACTTTAACACTGTGCCCCAGGATGACAAGAAGGAAACTTCTTCAGAAACAAGACATCAGTGTATCCAAAAAGTTCTTTGGATTTCACAGTTTGTAATCCCAGGGAAAGAAATATGGAAAAAAAAATTGAGAACTCAGTTATTTGGCCAAGCTAAATCAAACACATGTTTATAAATCTAATTTCTATTTCTTAGAGATACCGAGTTACAGATACTATATGGGCTAATGATAACGAAGATGACAAAACTTCTTTTTAGTAAAAAATAACCATTAGCTATAAAAATTAGAAAATAGAGACCAGTGAAATATAAATTGAGAATAGGGTATAATGGATATTACAACAATTAAAAGAAAAAAAGCTGGCCAGGCACGTTGGCTGACGCCTGTAATCCTAGCACTTTGGGAGGCCACGGCGGGAGGATCACAAGGTGAGGAGATCGAGACCATCCTGACTAACACGGTTAAACCCCATCTCTACTAAAAATACAAAAAATTAGCCAGGCGTGGTGGCGGGCGCCTGTAGTCCCAGCTACTCAGGAGGCTGAGGCAGGAGAATGGGGTGAACCCGGGAGGCAGAGCTTGCAGTGAGCCAAGATCACGCCACTGTACTCCAGCCTGGGCGACAGAGCAAGACTCCGTCTCAAAAAAAAAAGAAAAAAGCTTATTAAATAATTTAATTTAGTGCTATACCTTATAAAACATTGTAAAAGAAATTCCAAATCAAAATGTTATTTAAAAACAATAAATAACCCCTCTAGTTCAAAACAGAACTAAATATTTATGAACTTTTTAGAGGAATAGTGCTTTTCTGCATCAAAGAAGTGACAACAAAGGTAGTGGCAGATTCAACACAGAAAAATTACAACTTCCTCATACAATGAAAATTTTACCTAAAGCAAAGAAGGGATTAACATCTAATATGACAAAATGTTAAGATCTGAATTGTACACAAAGTGCACAGAAATTGATAAGGAGAAGCTCTGGTGACGGCTAGAAGATTGCCAGAGATGTGAACCATGTGTGGGAAAGCTCGACTGGGAGGATAATATAAAACAAGAGGAAAGAAAAGTCAGATTTAGAGTGAGAACATTGTCAATAAGAATTGCCAGGGTCCCCTAGATGGTTCCAATGAGCCTCGTCTCCTGATAATCACATCCTTGTGGGAGGGGGTCTCACATTGACTTGTGTAACCAATATGTTACTGCAGAAATGAAGTTATATGACTTCTGAGGCTAGGTTAGGAAAGATTTTGCAACTTCTGCCGTGTCTTTTCTTGTATCACTTGCTCTGGGGAAAGGCAGCTGCCACATTGTGAGGAAACTCAAGCAGCCCTATGGAGAGGTCAATATAAAAATAACTGAAACATTCTGAGAACTGAAGCCTACATCTACTTGATTATTGTACAAAGGAAGAAATTGAGGCACAGAGATTAAGAGCCTTGCCCAAGTTTACACAGGAAGGAAGTGCCAGATCTAAGATCAGGTTTCCAGAGCCTGAGTCCTTAACCTTTACATGATACTGCCTTCTCCATGGTAGAAATAGAATGAAAAAATGTTTACAATTGTATGAAACATAACAACAAAAAAGAAATGCTAAAATTCAGAAACTGATTGGATGTGAAGGCAAGGGGTGCATTGAAATGGCTTTAGTTTTTCAAATATGGATAACAAGGAGAACAGTAGGGTTATTAATTAAGATAAAGATCAGACACTCACAGTTTGAAAAGTAAAATGTGCACATAAATGTATGCATGTGTGATCATTCATGTTGTTTAGAGAGTAAAGTGATACACAGGGAATGTAGTGAGCAAGCTGGTTTGGGATTATCAGATTTGAGCTTGCCCAGGCAAGAAGAATTTCAGAGAAGCTTCATTCCACTAGCATATATTAAAAGATGGCCTCTTTCAAATGATAATGTGTATACTACTTTCCTTCTGGAGATTCATAAAACGTTGGAAATTTCCTCACTCCACTTAACCTCTTTTTTGCCCGTCTCATTCTTATCAGTCACTCTAGGCATGGATCTAATCTAAATTATTTTTAAAATATGACTCTTTAAAAACACATACTAATTAAGTAGAATTCAATAAAATTAGTTTATTTAAAACATGAATGAAATAAAAATAATTAGACTCGTTTTGCAATAACTAGAATATAAACTACTATGCAGAGTGCAAATGCTATGTTTCATTAGTGTGTAAGAGAATATTCTAAGTTTGAGAAGTGTTTTATTTCTCTAAAATTAGAAAAATTTTAGTTTTTCTTTAGTTTTTCTTCTCCCAAACATATGTGACTTTATTTCATTTTAATATATAAGTCTTTTTAATAAATACATTTCTGTCTATGGGGAGCTCGGAAAAGGCAGGTGCAGCAGGTGTTATTTTTGAAGAGTTCTGTACACGTTCACATCTGCTTAGTTGTTATGCACTGCTGCATGTAATGGCCAAGAAAATCCAACACAAATGCTGAAACCAAAATCCCCAGGAAACCAGCAGAAACGAAATTGGACAAATCCTAATACATAATGTATATACTTCAATATCCTATTGCATGTGGTTACAAATTTGAATATGGCATATAGCTTATCTTTGTATTTTACTAAAATAAAACTAAAACCCACAAACTATCTGGGGAGATTAAATTTACCGTACATAAAAATGCCCAAGGGAATGCTGCATTCCTTTTATGATAGAGGGACTAGGCAATGACCAGAGCGGTGCAATTAACCAGACTGTTGGTCATGAGTTGATATTATTGTTCCACTAGCCCCACTTGATTCACTGCCAAGCTCATCCCATACCCTCATTTGTTAGAGCCACTCCATCTTTGCTCTATTTCACTTGCATAGAAAAAAAATTCAGATCCTGAAAATCAATATGTTGTTGAATTCTAATTTTGTCTTATTTTACTTGCAGATCTTATCTCACTTGCAGCTGTTTACATTTTCCATATTGTGTTAATAGTCAAATTTTATTTCTAAACATAACCTAATTTTTGCTGTGCAGGTAACAGGCTGTTTAACAAGCTATACCTACTTTAGGGTCCTTCAGTTTTTTTATTCTGTTTGACTATGTAATGTCTTCATCAAATATCTCCTCATTTGAACATCAAAAATATTATTTTTTATTATAGCAACCACCAAGTATCATGATACAAAGCACTAAAGTTGGTTCTTCGAGAATTATTTTGAAAATAGCTCTTTTAAATGTAGAAAATAAATTTCCTTGTGTTTCTTATTTTATATACTAAATATATTCATTTACAATATATATTTGGTTTTCACTTCATATGTTCTTGCCTCCTTTGAATAATTTTAATTTAAAGAGAAGACACAATTTCCAAATGTTTAATAAAGCCTCTTAGAATTATACTTCATGCAATAGATAAATAGCTATGATACCTGATCAGAAAATCTCATGAGCAGTAATGACTGAGGAGGGCTCCTGAAGGATGCTATGTCTCCGTATCCTTCCACTTCCCCAAATATACAATTAATTTAAAGCTGGACAGACAATGGGACAAAGTTTCAGCCATTAAACTCCAAATCCCTCAAAATTTAAAAACAAAAAAATTTATCAACAAAACAAATAGCACATTTTAAAATTTAAAACTAACTTAATATATGACTATACAACCCACCAATTCCATTTCTAGCTATCTTCCCCAAAGAAATGAAAACATACATTCACACCAAGACATGTACAGAGATGTTCATAGCAACTTTATTCACAATAGCCAAAAAGTGGAAACAGGCCAAATGTCCATCAGTGAGTGAATGGATAAACAAAATGTGTCATAGCCATACAACAGAACATTACTCGGCAGTTATAAAAAAGGACAAAGATACATACTATAACATTAGTGAAACTCAATCATGTTATGCTTGGTGAAAGAAGCCAGACACAAAAGACCACATACAAAGATATCATTTTTTATTTTGTTTCATTTTATTGTGCCTTGCAGATACCACATTTTTTTTACAAACTAAAGATTTTTGGCAACCCTGCATGGAGCAAGTCTATAGGAGTCAATGGGAGTCATTCTGAACAGCATGTGCTCATTTAAAGTCTCAGTGTCACATTTTGGTAATTATTACAATATTTACAACTTTTTCACTATTATTACATCTGTCTTGGTGATCTGCGATCAGTGATCTTTGATGTGGCTACCATCATTGTTTGGGGCACCATAAACCACACTCAGATAACATGTTGAACTTAATAATAAATGTGTGTGTGTGTTGACTGCTCCACAGACCAGACATTCTCCATCTCTCTCCCTCTCCCCCAGCTTCCATATTCCCTGAGAAAAAACATTATTGAAATTAGACCAATTAATAATGCTACAATGGCCTGTAAATGTTTAAGGGCAAGGAAGAACCACCCGTCTTTTAGTTTAAATCAAATGCTAGAAATGGTTAAGTTTAGTAAGGAATGCATACTGAAAGCCAAGATAGGCCAAAAGCTAGGACTCTTGGGCCAAACAGGTAGCCAAGTTGTGAATGCAAAGGAAGAGTTCTTGAAGAAAATTAAAAGTGCTACTCCAGCAAATACACCAATGATAAGAAACTGAAACAATCTTATTGCTGATATAAAGGAAGTTTTAGGGCTCTGGGTAAAAGTTCAAACTAGCCACGATATTCCCTTAAGCCAAAGTCAAATCCAGAATAAAGTGACTTTCTTCACTTCTATGAAGGCTAAGAGAAACAAGGAAGCTACAGAAGAAAAGTTTGAAGCTAACAGTGGTTGATTAAGGAAAGAAGTTGTCTCCATAATATAAGAAGCAGCAAATGCTGATGTAGAAGTTGTAGCAAGTTACCCAGAAGATCTAGCTAAGAAAATTGATGGAGGGGGCTGCATTAAATAATAGATTTTCAAGGTAGACCAAATGGTCTTTTATTGGAAGAAAATGTTATCTAGGACTTTCATAGCTGTGGAGAAGTCAATGTCTGGCTTCAAAGTTTCAAAGTACAGGTTGACTCCTTTGTTAGGGGCTAATACAGCTGGTGACTTTAAATTGAAGCCGATACTCATTTACCATTTGAGAAATCCTAGTGTCCCTAAGAATTATGCTAAACTTACTGTGTTTGTCCTGTTTCCCATAGGTGCAACAACAAAGCCTGAATAACAGTACATCTGTTTACAATGTGACTTACTGAATATGTTAAGCCTGCTGTTGGGAACTACTGTTCAGAAAAAAAAAGATTCTTTTCAAAATATTACTGCTTATGGACAATACACCTGGTCATTCAAGAGCTCTGATGAAAACATATAAGGAGATTAATGTTGTTTTCACACCTGCTAACACAGCATCCATTCTGTAGCTCATGGATCAATGAATAATTTTGATTTTCTCATGTAATTATTTAATACAAGGACAGACACTTCTCAAAAGAAGACATTTATGTGGCCAACAAACATATGAAAAAAAGCTCAACATCACTGATCATTAGAGAAATGCAAATCAAAACCACAATGAGATACCATTTAACATCAGTCAGAATGGCAATTATTAAAAAGTCAAAAACCAACAGACACTGACGAGGCTGCAGAGAAAAAGGAACGCTTTTGCACTATTGGTGGGAGTGTAAATTACTTCAGCCATTGTGGAAGACAGTGTGGTAAATCCTCAAAGATCTAGACGCAGAAATATCATTTGACTCAGCAATCCCATCACTGGGTATATGCCCAAAGAAATATAAATCATTCTATTATAAAAATACATGCACACACATGTTAATTGCAGCACTATTCACAATAGCAAAGACATGAAATCAACCCAAATGTCCATCAATGATAGACTGAATAAAGAAAATGTGGTACATATAAACCATGGAATACTATGCAGCCATAAAAATGAATAAGATCATGCCCTTTGCACGGATGGAGCTGGAAGATGTTATCCTCAGCAAACTAATGCAGGAACAGAAAACCAAACACCGCATGTTCTCACTTTTATGTGGGAGCTGAATGATGAGAACACATGGACACATCGGGGGGAACAACACACACTGGGGCTTGTCAAGGAGGTGGGGGAAGGGAGAACATCAGGAAAAATAGCTAATGGATGCTGAGCTTAATACCTAGGTGATGGGTTGATCTGTGCAGCAAACCAACATGGCACACGTTTACCTATGTAACAAACCCACATATCCCGCACATATACCATGGAACTTAAAAAAGTTGAGGGGAACAAAAGAAAAAAGAAAGAAATAAATTTCTTAATGTTATAGCTGCCATGAAAAGTGAGTCCTCTGATGGATCTGGGAAAAGTAAACTGAAAATCTTCTGGAAAGGATTCACCATTCTAGATCCAATTAAGAATGTTCATAATTCATGGGAGAAGGTCAAAATAACACTAATTGGAGTTTGGAAGATGTTGATTCCAACCCTTGTGAATGACTTTGAAGGGTTCAATAGTTTAGTGGAGGAAGGAACTGCAAATGTGGTAGAAATAACAAGAGAACTAGAATTAGAAGTCGAGCCTGAATATGTGACTGAATATGTTACTGAGTTTGATCAATCTCATGATCAAACTACAATGGATGAGAAGTTTCTTCTTCTGGATGAGCAAGAAAATTGCCTTCTTGAGATGGAATCTACCTCTGGTGAAGATGCAGCAAACATTGTTGAAGTGACTACAAAGGATTTTGAATATTACACAAACTTCGATAAAGCAGAAGAAGGGTTTTGAGAGTCGACTCCAATTTTAAAAGTTCTATTGCAAGTAAAATGTTATCAGACAGCATTGCATGCAACGGAAAAATCTTTTGGGAAAGAGTCAGTGGGGAAACAAATTTCACTGTGGTTTTAAGAAATTGCCACAGCCTTGGCTGGGCACGGTGGCTCACACCTATAATCCCAGCACTTTGGGAGGCCAAGCCGGGCAGATTACTTGAGGTCAGGAGTTCAAGACCAGCCTGGCTAACATGGTGAAACTCTGTCTCTATCAAAAAATACAAAAAATTAGCAGGGCGTGCTGGTATGTACCTGTAGACCCAGTTACTTGGGAGACTGAGGTGGGAGAATCACTTGAACCTGGGAGGCAGAGGTTGCAGTGAGCCGAGATTGCACTACTGCATTTCAGCCTGGGTGACAGAGTGAGATGCTGTCTCAAAAAAATAAATAAATAAAAATAAATTGCCACAGCCACACAACCTTCAGCAACCATCCCTGATCAGCCAGCAGCCATCCACACTGAGATCAGGCCCTCCATTAGCAAAAAGATTATGACTTGCTGAAGGCTCAGATGATCATCAGCATTTTTTTGGCAATCAAGTATTTTAAAAATTAAGGTGTGTACATTGTTTTTTTAGACATAATACTATTGCATATTTAATAGGCAACAATATAGTTTAAACACAACTTTTAAATGCATTGGGAAACCAAAAACTTCTTGTGACTATATTTATTGCAGTCATCAGGAGCTGAACCTGCAATATGTTCAGTTCAATAGGTATGTTGTTTTGTATGATTGTTTGTGTGTGTATGTGAAGAATCTGTGTATTTATTGATTTATCACCTAAAACCTTCTTAAAATTTTATCTATTGAGGGGGTACAAGATTTCTTACATGCACATATTGCGTAGTGGTGAAGCCTGGGCTTTTAGTAAACCCATTACCTAGACAGTGAACATTGTGCCTAATAAGTAATTTTTCAACCCTCATGCCCCTGCCATCCTCCCACCTACTGAAGTTTCCAGTGTGTATTATTGCGCTGTATATGTCCATCTGTACGCATTGTTCAGCTCCCACTTATAAGTGAGAATATGTGGTATTTGACTTGCTGGGTTATTTCACTTAGGATAATGGCCTCCAGGTCTCTCCATGTTGCTTGCAAAATACATGATTCCATTCTTTTTTATGCATGAGTAGTATTTCATGTTGCATATAAATTTTATATATATATCATTTCTTTATATATAACAAAAATGTATATAAATGCATAAATATGTTTGTGTGGGTGTATACACACATACACACACACCACATTTTCTTCCATTGATGGACACTTAGGTTGATTCCAAATCTTTGTGACTGTGAATAGTGCTGCAATAAACATAAGAGTGCAAGTATATATTCTTTTATTTATATAAAATATCCAAAGAAGGGCAGATATGTAGAGACAGAAAGCAGATGAGTGGTTGCATAGTGGTGGAGAGTGTCAATGGGAGTGACTATATGCACATGAGATTTCTTTTGAAGCTGATGAAAATGTTCTATTATTAGTGTGCGGTAAGAGCTAGATAAATTATACACTTAAAACACGTGAGCTTTATGGTATATAAATTTTATTGCAGTAAAGCTATTAAAAACAAATGGCATACACTATCATAAAGCTAATATTACTATGTTTATTGAAAACCTATTATCTATAGACAACACATGACTCAGATTACAGAGGGAACAGGTCTTAAACATAGAAACTATGATTTAAGTGTATGCTGATCTCTAAATGACTGACATTAGCTCCTTTTTTTGAGATGTTTCATGGGAGAAAATGTATAGAAAGCTAAGAGAGGTGGAAAGATGGAGACACAAAAGAAGAGGACAGGGTCAGGAGGCCCAAGTGTACCTAAATCACAAGAATGAGCCTGGTGATTCACCCTGCAATCCTTTGCCTTTAGAGACCCTCTTGGATAGGAATTAGGAAGCATCTCCAGAAGGGAAGGTGACAAAGACAATGTAATACGATGTAGGTTTTTTAGTGATTCTCTTTCAACTATTGTGTCTAGTATTTGGAAAACATTAGAAAAAAGTTTTAGCTATACATCATTATTTTATATGTTGTATTTGCTGATACAGAGATTCAAATCAGTTGGGTGACTGGTGATCAGTAGATGCTCAATAAATATTTGTCCAATAGAAGAATGAAAGAACAATTATGCTATCCATAAATTACAATATTAAATATCCATGAGCTATATAATTCAAGGGCAATGGGGCATTGGCTGTGAGAGAAAATTGTGGAAGAAAAGCAGATTTGGGATAGGGTTAGAAGATAATGAGGCCAGCCTTGGACATAATGAACTTAAGCAGAGCTCGTCCCATTGACATAGAACCATCTGGAATGCATCTCAATATATGGTTCTGGATTGAGGATATAAATTAGGAAGTTTTCAGCATAGCTGAAGTCATGGAAGTCTGTGACATATAAATCAATAATGAATCAATTTATTTTAATTGATATACAAAATATTTCCATGTAATTAATTCTGTCTATAATTCTGTATTTTTTGGCTCTGATGGTAAATCTGAATAAGTCTATTAAAATCTTCAGACATTATACATTTTCTTTGAGAACAACAGTGGCTGTAAACAAAGCTGCCTTTGTTGGCTTATAAAGAACATTTGCTGTTCCCACAAATTACTTTTAATGATGCAAAAGTCCCTCTGTGACAGAGACTTGTTCTGTGGTTATGCATTTCCCTTTCTAATTTCACTTTGTTTCCTTTCTGGGGTATACTCCTTTTGAGACACCCAGAGTCTGAAAAATGTGAGTCAAACCACAGATTGGCTGGTAGGAAAAAAAGAAAATAGTTCATTTCCCCTCTTATTAAATGTTTATTCTTGTTATATATAAACTCACTTGCTCTTGCTATGTGGCATTACAATATTAGTTTTACTGGTAGGGCTTTTAAAATACTATCAATCAAATGGGGTGATAGATATATTATGGGGAACAGAACCCTGATTTGGAGTTAAAAGAACTTTTATTTAAATAACAGCTTTTCCATTTACCAACTTTGTGATCTTGGGTAAACTGTAAGGTTTCTCTGAGATTCAGTTTCTTGATCCATCAAAGTTAAGTAAATTTATGTTTCTAGTAGGTTTTTCATGATAATTACATGACATTATATATATAACATATATAATATATAATATAAAATATATATAATATATAATATACATATAATATATATAATATATAAGATATATATATTTTATATATATATCTCCAATATCTAAATAGACTGGTTGCTGACTTTATCATTAGTTGATGGTTGACAGAATTATATACATTTATTTTAATTATATCATTATTTTTCATATCTAATAAAAACTTAAATCAGTGGAGACTTTATTCAAATATACTTCCCATAAAATTCAATGTAGCGAAGTTTTTGGAGCATTTTTTACTTTATTTTATTTTATTATTATTATACTTTAAGTTTTAGGGTACATGTGCACAATGTGCAGGTTAGTTACATACGTATACATGTGCCATGCTAGTGTGCTGCACCAATTAACTCTTCATTTAGCATTAGGTATATCTCCTAATGCTATCCCTCCCCCCTCCCCCCACCACACAACAGGCCCCAGAGTGTGATGTTCCCCTTCCTGTGTCCATGTGTTCTCATTGTTCAATTCCCACCTATGAGTGAGAACATGCGGTGTTTGGTTTTTTGTCCTTGCGATAGTTTACTGAGAATGATGACTTCCAATTTCATCCATGTCCCTACGAAGGACATGAACTCATCATTTTTTATGGCTGCATAGTATTCCATGGTGTACATGGGCCACATTTTCTTAATCCAGTCTATCATTGTTGGACATTTGGGTTGGTTCCAAGTCTTTGCTATTGTGAATAGTGCCTCAATAAACATACATGTCCTTGTCTCTTTATAGCAGCATGATTTATAGTCCCTTGGGTATATGCCCAGTAATGGGATGGCTGGGTCAAATGGTATTTCTAGTTCTAGATCCCTAAGGAATCGCCACACTGTCTTCCACAATGGTTGAAATGGTTGAACTAGTTTACAGTCCCACCAACAGTATAAAAGTGTTCCTATTTCTCCACATCCTCTCCAGCACCTGTTTTTTCCTGACATTTTAATGATCGCCATTCTAACTGGTGTGAGATGGTATCTCATTGTGGTTTTGATTTGCATTTCTCTCATGGCCAGTGATGATGAACATTTTTTCATGTGTCTGTTGGCTGCACAAATGTCTTCTTTTGAGAAGTGTCTGTTCATATCCTTCATCCACTTTTTGATGGGGTTGTTTGTTTTTTTCTTGTAAATTTGTTTAAGTTCTTTGTAGATTCTGGATATTAGCCCTTTGTCAGATGAGTAGATTGCAAAAATTTTCTCCCATTCTATAGGTTGCCTGTTCACTCTGATGGTAGTTTCTTTTGCTGTGCAGAAGCTCTTTAGTTTAATTAGATCCCATTTGTCAATTTTGGCTTTTGTTGCCATTACTTTTGGTGTTTTAAACATGAAGTCCTTGCCCATGTGTATGTCCTGAATATTATTGCCTATGTTTTCTTCTAGGGTTTTTATGGTTTTAGCTCTAACATATAAGTCTTTAATCCACCTTTAATTAATTTTTGTATAAGGTGTAAGGAAGGGATCCAGTTTCAGCTTTCTCCATATGGCTAGCCAGTTTTCCCAGCACCATTTATTAAATAGGGAATCCTTTCCCCATTGCTTGTTTTTGTCAGGTTTGTCAAAGATCAGATGGTTGTAGATGTGTGGTATTCTTTCTGAGGACTCTGTTCTGTTCCATTGGTCTATATCTCTGTTTTGGTACAAGTACCATGCTGTTTTAGTTGCTGTAGCCTTGTAGTATAGTCTGAAGTCAGGTAGCGTGATGCTTCCAGCTTTGTTCTTTTGGCTTAGGATTGACTTGGCAATGTGGTCTCTTTTTTGGTTCCATATGAACCTTAAAGTAGTTTTTTTCCAATTCTGTGAAGAAAGTCATTGGTAGCTTGATGGGGATGGCATTGAATCTATAAATTACCTTGGGCAGTATGGCCATTTTCATGATATTGATTCTTCCTACCCATGAGCATGGAATGTTCTTCCATTTCTTTGTATCCTTTTTTATTTCATTGAGCAGTGGTTTGCAGTTCTCCTTGAAGAGGTCCTTCACGTCCCTTGTAAGTTGGATTCCTAGGTATTTTATTCTCTTTGAAGCAATTGTGAATGGGAATTCACTCAGGATTTGGCTCTCTGTTTGTCTGTTATTGGTGTATAAGAATGCTTGTGATTTTTGCACATCAATTTTGTATCCTGAGATTTGCTGAAGTTGCTTATCAGCTGAAGGAGATTTTGGGCTGAGACAATGGGGTTTTCTAGATATACAATCATGTCATCTGCAAACAGGGACAACTTGACTTCCTCTTTTCCTAATTGAATACCATTTATTTCCTTCTCCTGCCTAATTGCCCTGGCCAGAACTTCCAACACTATGTTGAATAGGAGTGGTGGGAGAGGGTATCCCTGTCTTGTGCCAGTTTTCAAATGGAAGGCTTCCAGTTTTTGCCCATTCAGTATGATATTGGCTGTGGGTTTGTCATAGATAGCTCTTATTATTTTGAGATACGTCCCATCAATACCTAATTTATTGAGAGTTTTTAGCATGAAGGGTTGTTGAATTTTGTCCAAGGCCTTTTCTGCATCTATTGAGATAATCATGTAGTTTTTGTCTTTGGTTCTGTTTATATGCTGGATTACATTTATTGATTTGCATATATTGAACCAGCCTTGCATCCCAGGGATGAAGCCCACTTGATCATGGTGGATAAGCTTTTTGATGTGCTGCTGGATTCGGTTTGCCAGTATTTTACTGAGGATTTTTGCATCAATGTTCATCAAGGATATTGGTCTAAAATTCTCTTTTTTGGTTGTGTCTCTGCCTGGCTTTGGTATCAGGATGACGCTGGCCTCATAAAATGAGTTAGGGAGGATTCCCTCTTTTTCTATTGATTGGAATAGTTTCAGAAGGAATGGTACCAGTTCCTCCTTGTGCCTCTGGTAGAATTCGGCTGTGAATCCATCTGGTCCTGGACTCTTTGGTTGGTAAGCTATTGATTATTGCCACAATTTCAGAGCCTCTTATTGATCTATTCAGAGATTCAGCCTCTTCCTCGTTTAGTCTTGGGAGGAGGGTGTATGTGTCGAGGAATTTATCCATTTCTTCTAGATTTTCTAGTTTATTTGCGTAAGGATGTTTGTAGTATTCTCTGATGGTAGTTTGTATTTCTGTGGGATCGGTGGTGATATCCCCTTTATCATTTTTTATCGCATCTATTTGATTCTTCTCTCTTTTATTCTTTATTAGTCTTGCTAGCAGTCTATCAATTTTGTTGATCCTTTCACAAAACCAGCTCCTGGATTCATTAATTTTTTGAAGGGTTTTTTGTGTCTCTATTTCCTTCAGGTCTGCTCTGATTTTAGTTATTTCCTGCCTTCTGCTAGCGTTTGAATGTGTTTGCTCTTGCTTTTCTAGTTCTTTTAATTGTAACGTTAGGGTGTCAGTTTTGGATCTTTCCTGCTTTCTCTTGTGGGCATTTAGTGCTATAAATTTCCCTCTACACACTGCTTTGAATGTGTCCCAGAGATTCTGGTATGTTGTGTCTTTTTTCTCGTTGGTGTCAAAGAATATCTTTATTTCTGCCTTCATTTCGTTATGTACCCAGTAGTCATTCAGGAACAGGTTGTTCAGTTTCCATGTAGTTGAGCAGTTTTGAGTGAGTTTCTTAATCCTGAGTTCTAGTTTGATTGCACTGTGGTCTGAGAGACAGTTTGTTATAATTTCTGTTCTTTTACATTTGCTGAGGAGAGCTTTACTTCCAAGTATGTGGTCAATTTTGGAATAGGTGTGGTGTGGTGCTGAAAAAAATGTATATTCTGTTGATTTGGGGTGGAGAGTTCTGTAGATGTCTATTAGGTCCGCTTGGTGCAGAGCTGAGTTCAATTCCTGGGTATCCTTTTTAACTTTCTGTCTCATTGATCTGTCTAATGTTGACAGTGGGGTGTTAAAGTCTCCCATTTTTATTGTGTGGGAGTCTAAGTCTCTTTGTAGGTCACTCAGGACTTGCTTTATGAATCTGGGTGCTCCTGTATTGGGTGCCTCTATATTTAGGATAGTTAGCTCTTCTTGTTGAATTGATCCCTTTACCATTATGTAATGACCTTCTTTGTCTCTTTTGATCTTTGCTGGTTTAAAGTCTGTTTTATCAGAAACTAGGATTGCAACCCCTGCCTTTTTTTTGTTTTCCATTTGCTCGGTAGATTTTCCTCCATCCTTTTATTTTGAGCCTATGTGTGTCTCTGCACATGAGATGGGTTTCCTGAATACAGCACACTGATGGGTCTTGACTCTTTATCCAATTTGCCAGTCTATGTCTTTTAATTGGAGCATTTAGTCCATTTACATTTAAAGTTAATATTGTTATGTATGAATTTGATCCTGTCATTAAGATGTTAGCTGGTTATTTTGCTCATTAGTTGATGCAGTTTCTTCCTAGCCTCGACGGTCTTTACAATTTGGCATGATGTTGCAGTGGCTGGTACCAGTTGATCCTTTCCATGTTTAGTGCTTCCTTCAGGAGCTCTTTTAGGGCAGGCCTGGTGGTGACAAAATCTCTCAGCATTTGCTTGTCTGTAAAGTATTTTATTTCTCCTTCACTTATGAAGCTTAGTTTGGCTGGATATGAAATTCTGGGTTAAAAATTCTCTCCTTTAAAAATGTTGAATATTGCCCCCCACTCTCTTCTGGCTTGTAGAGTTTCTGCCGAGAAATCTGCTGTTAGTCTGATGGGCTTCCCTTTGTGGGTAACCCGACCCTTTCTCTCTGGCTGCCCTTAACATTTTTTCCTTCATTTCAACTTCAGTGAATCTGACAATTATGTGTCTTGGAGTTGCTCTTCTTGAGGAGTATCTTTGTGGCGTTCTCTGTATTTCCTGTATCTGAATATTGGCCTGCCTTGCTAGATTTGGGAAGTTCTCCTGGATAATATCCTGCAGAGTGTTTTCCAACTTGGTTCCATTCTCCCCGTCACTTTCAGGTACACCAATCAGACGTAGATTTGGTCTTTTCACGTAGTCCCATATTTCTTGGAGGCTTTGCTCGTTTCTTTTTATTTTTTCTCTAAACTTCCCTTCTCGCTTCATTTCATTCATTTCATCTTCCATCACTGATACCCTTTCTTCCAGTTGATCGCATCGGCTCCTGAGGCTTCTGCATTCTTCACGTAGTTCTCGAGCCTTGGCTTTCACCTCCATCAGCTCCTTTAAGCACTTCTGTGTATTGGTTATTCTAGTTATACATTCGTCTAAATTTTTTTCAAAGTTTTTAACTTCTTTGCCTTTGGTTTGAATTTCCTCCTGTAGCTCGGAGTAGTTTGATCATCTGAAGCCATCTTCTCTCAACTTATCAAAGTCATTCTCCATCCAGCTTTGTTCCATTGCTGGTGAGGAACTGCGTTCCTTTGGAGGAGGAGAGGCACTCTGCTTTTTAGAGTTTCCAGTTCTTCTGCTCTGTTTTTTCCCCATCTTTGTGGTTTTATCTACTTTTGGTCTTTGATGATGGTGATGTACAGATGGGTTTTTGGTGTGGATGTCCTTTCTGTTTGTTGGTTTTCCTTCTGACAGACAGGACCCTCAGCTGCAGGTCTGTTGGAGTTTTCTAGAGGTCCACTCCAGACCCTGTTTGCCTGGGTAACAGCAGTGGTGGCTGCAGAACAGCGGATTTTCGTGAACCACGAATGCTGCTGTCTGATCATTCCTCTGGAAGTTTTGTCTCAGAGGAGTACCCAGCCGTGTGAGGTGTCAGTCTGCCCCTACTGGGGGGTGCCTCCCAGTTAGGCTGCTCGGGGGTCAGGGGTCAGGGACCCACTTGAGGAGGCAGTCTGCCCGTTCTCAGATCTCCAGCTGCGTGCTGGGAGAACCACTGCTCTCTTCAAAGCTGTCAGACAGGGACATTTAAGTCTGCAGAGGTTACTGCTGTCTTTTTGTTTGTCTGTGCCCTGCCCCCAGAGGTGGAGCCTACAGAGGCAGGCAGGCCTCCTTGAGCTGTGGTGGGCTCCACCCAGTTCGAGCTTCCCGGCTGCTTTGTTTACCTAAGCAAGCCTAGGCAATGGCAGGCGCCCCTCCCCCAGCCTCGCTGCTGCCTTGCAGTTTGATCTCAGACTGCTGTGCTAGCAATCAGTGAGACTCCTTGGGTGTAGGACCCTCTGAGCCAGGTGCGGGATATAATCTCCTGGTGTGCCGTTTTTTAAGCCCGTCAGAAAAGCACAGTATTAGGGTGGGAGTGACCCGATTTTCCAGGTGCCGTCTGTCACCCCTTTCTTTGACTAGGAAAGGGAATTCCCTGACCCCTTGCGCTTCCCGAGTGAGGCAATGCCTGGCCCTGCTTTGGCTCGCGCATGGTGCGCTGCACCCACTGTCCTGCACCCACTGTCTGGCACTCCCTAGTGAGACGAACCTGGTACCTCAGATGGAAATGCAGAAATCACCCGTCTTCTGCATGACTCACGCTGGGAGCTGTAGACCGGAGCTGTTCCTATTTGGCCATCTTGGCTGCCCTCCCGTATATGGAGCATTTTGAAATATAATTTTTCCTACCATATTCTTTGTGTATTTCCTCTAATTTTCCCTTCTTTTGATCTTAGATGCTTTTAGAAAGTCTCTCTTTGCTTACTTGAAACTACTCTTTCCTAAAGTAAGAAAGAACTTAAATTTTCAAAGAAAAAATGTATATATAAGGTAAATAGATATTATTGTTCATACTCCTATATTATTATTTGAAATACACAAATTTGTTGTTAGGGATGACACCAAGCCTTCTGAACCCTCATCAGGTCTTCTAGAACAATTGCCTGCTCTACTATTAACTATGTTGCTTGAGATCAAATATTTAACCCTTTGGTGCCATCTCTAAAGTAATCAGATTAGAAATTAGATCTCCAGCAGTTTATAAGTTGTTGCACTTTTTTGAGGATTTTAGATTTAGGACTTTCATTTTAATGATACAAAATAAACAATTAAAAGCATACTCTGCATTGTTAGGATGACCACTTGAGTATGACCTCTGATTTCAATGTTTATGATCATGTAGGTGGGTTTACTTCACTTGCTAGAGGCTAATGAGGAAAGAAAAAAACAGACACATATAAATGAAGCTTCCACAGCAAGGAGGGCCAAATGGTGCTGTGGCTCACTAGACCAATGAGGGTTTTGCAGAAACTTAAAAGAAAAATACTGAGAGAATTAAGTTAACACATAATCTATGGGAGTCATCGTGTCAAACTTGTGCTTACTCTTAGCAGTTAGTGCTATAGTATTCTATTACATTAGTGCCAGTTATTTCAGACTTCTCTGGCTTTTTAATTTTGTTTATATTTCATTTGTGCTATAAATGGAATGTTTGTATTCCTCCAACGTTTTTGTTGTTGTTGTGTGTTTGTTTGTTTTTTGTTAAAACCTAATCCCTAATTTGATGGCATTAGGAGGTGAGGGTCTTTGAGAGGCAATTAGGTCATGGAATAAGTACCCTTATACAGGAAATGTGAGAGCTCTCTCTCTCCTTCCACCATGTGAGGACACAACAAAAAGTTGGTTGCCTGTGGATCATGACGCAGGCCCTTACCAGACCCTGAATCTTCGAGTGTCTCAATATTGGACTTCCTACAGACCAGAACCGTGAGAAATACATTTCTGTTGTTTATAAGCCACTCAGTCTATGCCATTTTGTTATTACAACCCTAACAGCCAAGGACATTTATAAATAAGTTTTAGGCTTCTTGGTTGTTAAAGATCTGTAAACATAGAGTGTTTTATGTTTTCTCTCTATACAAATTTAAATAGAATTTTAATGAGTACAATTTTATATTTTATATTCTAGAGAACGTTTTCCTTTGAAAAGAGGTCTGTGCTTCATTGAAGTTTGAGAAATATTGAATAAAATCTTGATTTATTAATCAGTTCTGTTTTTCATTCCCAGCATTTCATTATCCCTGGATGTTTCCCTGCTTTCAACAGTCGCCAAGGAAGAGAGAACATAGGAGAAAGAGAGAACGAAAGAATTGATCCTTGGCTTTGAGTTTCAAATGGCACAGGCTCTGACGCGACAAAAGATTAAGCAGAAAATATTATCAGGGAAATGTTTATCTGCACTTTACCCTTATCCTCAGACATGGTCAAGATTCCACAGGACTAAATTCAAAAGTAGGAAGTAAGGGAGCAATAGAAATCCCAAACAGATTTAGAGAGTCAGGTATAGGAAGAATGTGGCAACCATCTCCAAGTAAAACCCAGGAAGTAGGCAATCCTTTGAAGTCCTTCTCATCTAGAACAGGTAGGAACAGAAAAAGTCTCCTGCCTGAGGTTGCAGGCAGACTGGCCTGCCTCAGTCTCTCAGTTTCCCAAACTCAGCGTGGCACTAGAAAAATTCAGTGATGCCCCAAAGAGGCTCTAAGGATAGGTTTATTACAGCCCATCATGGGATCAGGAGTAGCAGAATGCTTCCTGTGGACGCTGCCTTGGAGTAGGGGTCAGGGGTGGCTCAGAGTGCTGCCGACCAGAAGAGTTATTGCAGGCAGGAATGAACAGGACAGGGTGGAGACAGTGCGGAGAAATGATGGAGACCCAGACATGACCCACGTCATGCCCACCCATGTCCATATAGTCCTGCCAGGTCCTGGCACTACATAAGCTGCATGGAGAAGGGAAAAGAGGAACATGCTAATCCAGTGGAATCAGGCTTCTGATACCTAGTGCAATGATAGAGCAAAACAGAAATGAGGTTTACTTGCATAAAAATAACATCAAAACAAACAACAACAAATCTATCCTTTCTCTGTATCTATCTATCTATCTATCTATCTATCTATCTATCTATCTATCTATCATCTATATCATCTATCTATCTACCTGAAGTTGTAGTGGGTGAGAATCATTAGGACTCTAAGATCATAGTCAAGTTTAAGATAATGTCTATCCTTAAGAATGGAACTTGAAAGGTTAGCATGTACTAGGAAAAATGCAGCAACTTGAGGAACCCAAAGATCAATATTTTTAAGGATCTATCTTCAGGATCTATCTAGCTCTAACCATTTCTGAAATTTCTGCAGCGTTGGACTTTTGGGTCTTGATGTTGATAATACCAAGCAATCATCATGATCGAGTCCTACTGTAGAAGCAAAGTGGAGCCCACTTGTCCACTGATCCCCACTTTGTATGCGGATGGAGTTTGGGCCAAAAATCGGAGGTCCAGACCTCTGATGTCTTCCGAGTAAAGCTAAGCTTTTGTGCCATTTTGGAGATAGTAACATGCAAAGATGGGCTGCCAGCCACAATAAGATGAAAATAACGAGAAATAGATTTTGTGTACAATCAAGAAGTCTCCAAGTAGAGTGTCAATGCTGTGATTCTTGATACTGACTGTCTACTGGTAAATGGTTCCTGGGTCACTTATATTTGAATCAGGGCCACCTGGCTCTTGGGCAGATGAGTTGTGGCACTAAACTTCAGAAAGCTGATCCACTGCTCAGTCATCTGGGAAAACTGAGGCAGCCTACCAGGCCCCTAAATATAATCTGTAGTGTATTTGTCTTAAATTGATTAGAAAAACAGAAAATGGAAGGTTGTTTCCATACTCATCTGGCTTCTAGGATTGATATAACTATTTTTCCCTTTTTTTTTTCTCCAATAGCCAGGGAGGAAAAATCCAGTCTCATCCCACTGATATTAAGATAGCCAACCTTCTAGTGTTTTAGAGATCAGATTGTATTCGCTTTCTAGTTTTTCTAAGATTGTAAACCCTTAGTAGAAAGTCTTCTACACCTGATGTTTTTCTATACACAATGTCAATACTTAGTACATAAATATAAGATTTTTGATACATTTGACAATTCCTATTCTGCTGAGTCCAAATTTCCGGGAATGTCTGATAATGTACAGAGAAGCTACAATTACAGCAGGGAGATGAGGCTTGATGACTACCCAAGGGTACGAGAAGCTTTGCAGAAGGCAATGGAACAATCTAGTTTGGGGCAGGACTGCCAAGAAACAAGTTCTTTCAAAAGTAACAAAGAAAATCTCATCAAATTGGATTTCACACAGACATAAGGCTGTAATTCAGCTGAGGCAAACAGCAGGGAAAATCATTTTCTTGTCCACTTCAAGTAACAAAATGATTCCCCTCCTGTCACTTCTGAGTTGATTTTGTTCTTTTGCCTTCGAAAGCTGAATGAAATATAAAGGAGAGGTTGTGCATCTATCTATAAGTTTAAAAAAAAAAAAAAAAAAAAAAAAAGGAAAGCTATACTCAGTGGGAAAAATGGAAAGAAACAGTTGAGTTAGTATCTCTGGGACTTAATCTAGAATAAGGATTCCAAAAATCACAATTTGGTCTGCTGTTGGGGGAGAGATTGTTCCCCATGTCTTCCTTAAGCACCAAAAACAATTACACAGCTCCAGCCCATGTGCAAGCATTAGCAACTATTCTGGGATTGAATCCAAATTTGAGCATGTGTAATAGATGAGGATTTTCCACAATGTGGAATATTTGAACAGATAACATCAGAACTAACAGTTAATTTATTTTTTAAGTAAAGAAGAAACAAACCATAAAAACACAAGGCGTTTCTTGCTAAGGTTCAGAGACATATTCAGTGAAATACGCAAATACCTTAACAAGAAATAGGTGACATTTGACTTAACTCTAATACACCATAATTAGTTTCTTTCTCCATCAAAAATCAAAGTTAGTGTATTTTGATCTAAAGCTAGAATTGAGATTTCTCTGCTTTTTCTTTTGGCTGGTCATATGAATCATGCTTAAAATGGGAAAGCCAGAGGGTTTGATGTGGTCCAGACCTATCCGTAGCCTGTTTCCTATCCCTGATTCAGTCTTATCAGAGCTGTCCCATAATCTGTACAACTACCCATACAGCTTCAGAATATGATAAAGAAAATAGACAGAGGTTCTTACATACAGAAATAAGGCCTCCTCTTTTGTCTCTCCCTGCAGAGATTCTACAAATCTTTGAGCCAAGGAGATTATCAAAATGACTCACTTTTAAACAAACAAACAAACATAGCTCACCAGTGTTTTTTAGAATGCAAGAAAAAACACAAATTGGAACCAAGAAAAATCTGTTAATTGCTTAGATTCTTTATTTCCCTTTTATGTTTACTGCCACTAATTAGTCTGGATTATCCAGGGGCCTAAATAAAATAGTACGATCTAAAAATGCATGTGTTGCTTTTAGTAAGAATATCTTCACTTTTTTCTTAAAAGTGAAGTAAGACTATCTTCACTTTTCTTAAACCCATTCTATTAAAAAAGAATAAAAAAATAAAAAATAAAACAAAAAACTTTACTACATTCTCATCTGGGTCATGATCAGTGCTGAAATACTAACCACAATAGATTCTAACTTTGAAATTTTGACAATAGTTATCATACTCCGAGTGTTTACTATGTACCCAAATACCAATACTAAATATTCACTACTCAGTACTTTATTATAACCACATCACAATACTTTGAAACACAGAATCATTAAATACCATCATTTTCCGATGAAAAAACTCAGGTGTAGGAAGGTTAAGGAATTTGCTCAAAGTTATACAGCTAGTAAGTTGCAGAGACATGACTTGAACCCAAATCTCTTCGACTCTAAATTCAGAGCTGTTGAACTTGGCAGCAGTATAAAGTCACTCCTCCACTCAAGAAACACCAATGATTTTATATCTTATGCCACAATAAAAAGTAAAAAGACTCAAAAATAAAACAAAACTTAAGATTTATAGTTATCTGGCCATTTCTTGTTAGTTTAATCTTAATTTTCACCAGTCATCCACATGGGTCCCCATGCTACCACCCCATGTTCCTTAAAGTTCTTACAAGGGCCCAGTTCACTTTTGTCCCTTCCCTCACATTGTTTTCCTCACAGTAGTCTTCTGAAACGCATTTCCTGTCTCTCCTTCCCATAATCCCACTGTTACCCCATGTGCATATTAAACTCCCAGGCCATGTCTCTATAACCATACACAGTTTAATACAGTTGCAATCCAAGTTAGTGTTCATCATTTAGCTGCTATAGATAGTAGTTGGTGTCATGTAGCTTACATTTGTATTTCACCTAAAGTAAACCATTATCTATTAAGGTCAGGGACTACAAATTTATAATTTGATTTTTTACCTCAAAACACACTATGAAACTCATAGAGAGCTCTAAATAAATTCCTGTTGTTTAAATGAATAAATAAGAGTTCATTACAAATATAACAAAGTATTTTCACATGAATTTCCTAGACACTTCATATTGGTGTGAGCCACTTCAAAACAGTACAAAAGGGATTAAATACAAATATATCTTTTTAATACTTATTAAAATGTTAGACAATTCAGCTTTAGTAGGAGTTTAATTATAAAATGAAACCAAGCAAAGCCTAAATACCTAATTCAAAAGATTTCTGTTCTATAGTGAAAGACAGATCAATAATGATAAATTGGATTTTTAGCCTTTGGGAATAAATGGGGAACCAAAAAGAAAAGCAAACCTTAGTAAAGTAATTCTGGTCTACCACTAGTGAGTGGACAAAATTATTTTACAATCAGTATTACATTCTATTGGAATGAAAACAAGATATATTAAAACCTTAACATGATAAATAGATATTTGATATTATTTGTCCAATAATAATCCTTAACAGATATAAGCTTTTTTAGAACATCTATGTAACCAAATGTTTTTGAAAGAGGACCAATCCATTTGCTAAAGCCATAAAGTCATTTAGAACTACTGATAATAAACAGTGACAAACAGTGAAGGCGATGGTTTCGGAATACTTCACTTTCCTTTTCATTCCTTTTTCCCTCGCCTTTACACCAGCAAAGAAAAAGTCATCATAAAGCCAATGAAGCTAAAGCTCTAGGGCTACCTGCTTACACAGGCTTCGTCAAAGTCTATCTATTTATAAATAGCAAGTAAGATTTTTAAAATTCCTTTTCTTGAAGAGTGCCCTCCAAACTGTTTAAGCTTCAGGTCCCACAAACCTTAATTAGTCGCATCCTTGACCTGAAGCATGCATGCCCTTGGAATCCAAGAAACTTAAAATTCCATTTGGCAAAATTTGCTGTTGTTGTTGTGGCTTTCTTAGGCTGTTGGTTTCCTAATTCGTTCATTCATTCATTCTTCATTCATCCACTCATTTATCCAAGGAACAGAGACTCATCTTTTGCAGGCAGAGATCATCGTTCTTACGGCTTTAGAGTGACTACAACTTCCTGTCTCTTGTTCTATGGCTTCTGCCACTAACAGGTAAAGGCATCACGCTTTCCTCTGGATAGCTTTTCTGTACTTTATGCCTTCCGTTTTTTTCTCATCTTTTGTTGTTCTCTCTATTGACCTGTGCATTTTTGCTACAAGTAGTTACTTCATCCTATATCTGGTTTATGGTTCCCAAGATTGGTTTTGTTATATCTGTAGTTATTCCTTGTTGGGCAAAACTTTCAGAGTAGACTACCAGCAGATTATTTGCAGGCCATAATAGGCTGCTCACTATAACATGCCCTGCCCTGGTCAAACAAATGGAAGAAACCAACAATCGATGCCTTCCATGAATCCACTTTTACTTTCTTTCTTTTTCTTCCTCACAGCATTATTATTTCACCTTCATAACCAGAAAAATATAATTCTATCCAGCATTATAATTAGTCAAATATTTCATGTTTTATTTATTTTTTCTCTATCCCCACAGGGCTTAGTGTTAATTGAAATAATATCATTATAATTAATTAAAATACAAATACAGCTACCATCATCTTACTATGTGTTTGGAACACAACTATTGTTTTCATGTGTCACTTCCCCTAATTCTCTCCAAACCCCTTGAGGTAGTTGTTACTCCATTAACCATTTCACAAACGGGGAAAGTGAGACTCAGAGAGCTTAGGCAGGTTGCTCAGTTAATAAGCATGGTTGCTAGGATTTAATCTAGGAGGTCTAATTCTAGAGCAGCAACTTTCACTTGTGAACACTGGAATCACCTGAGGAGTCTTAAAAATCCAGGTCCCATCCCCAGAGTTTCTGATGGATAGAAGATGTAGCCTGGCCGGGGTTGCCGGGGGGGGGGGGGGGGGGGCGCTGTTTTTCATCTTCCTCGGTGATTCTCCTATGTCCCAGGTCTACAGACCAAGTTATTTACCATTAGGTAATAAAGAGTGAATGGACAATTGAATGCATTAATGCATGACCTCCCCATTCTCTATTTTTTAATAGATAGGTTCTGAGAGTTCCATTTAAATAAAAACATCAATAACATCTAATTGGCCTCTCAGAAAATAATGAAACCCATTTTGTCAAAATTGATTTACCCTGACCAAACCTGTTGCCAAAGAGTTAATGCTCTTTCCCGGAGAGAGGCAGTGAACAGATTCCGTAAATGACCAGCTTAGTCTAACTCCCTTTTTCACGTGGACAGGGGCCGTGTTGGGGAAGCTGCAGAGCGCATCAAACTGAAGCTGTTTGAATGGGCCCCTAGGTCCATTTCTTTGTTTTATGTCCTCCAATTCCCTCAGCCTATTATCCTTAATGTGTCATCCCTACTTGTTTTGCCTCTACTGGGGAGTGGGAGCCTCAGCGCTACAGGCAATTAGCACTCAGAGTAGGCAATGGGAGCTTCATTTTCTACCCTGCAGCCAAATTTTTTGTTAGTCACAGTCAAACCAAAGATACAGAATAAAGAACCTAGACAAAACTATAAATACTTACCAAGCACCAATTTGTTATGTGTTAGTCACTGAACTGACATTATAAAGTGACTAAGAAATTCAAGGAGTTAATAACCTGGGGTGGGTGAGAGGAGGATAGGCATGTGGAACAAGATGAGTTGTGAATATTTAACTTGTGTGTGTGTGTTTGTGTGTCTATGCGTGATTCAGTCTGATCATGCTGAGGTTTGTGAACCACCACCTTATCAACTAGTTCTACCTACTCCTTATAGAACTGAGGGGCTAACTAAACAGGCATCCAGTCAGAGCATCTGTGACAATTAGAGTCCAATCCACAAACCCTGCAGCAAACGGTCCAGGAAGCCAAACTGCAAACTCTGCAGCAATCAGCCTAGAGCAGGTAGGTCTTGGCCAATAACAACCAGCGTCCCTGACTTTTGCCTTGCTTCCAACTCAGGATCAACCAAAGAAAATTAATTATGCTCCCCAAAGCAGTCATAGAAGATGCTCCACTTCTAGGTAACCTGCCCTCAGCTTCCCTGTGCCAACAACCTCCAATCAGGGCACTCCTGAAGCCTTCCCATTTTGCATTATAAAACTTTCCCATTCCCGTGTCTGCCTTTGAGTCTTTGCCAAAATGCAAGTTGCAAGAGACAGTGGCTGACTCCCTTGCTGTAGCAAGTTCTGAATAAATAACCTCTGTTTCTTCTCATTTAAATTGCCTTTGTTTATTTTTACAGTGCAAGTGGGTGGTGGGGGGTGGTGGTGCGGATGCTGTTTTGAAATTTTAAGCTCACCCTCTCCAAGCAGGTGAACCTTCTCATATGTGTTTCCCTGAAATCTCCTTGCCTCCCCCTTAAGATGTGTGTAGGAAGGGGGAAGGCAGAATGACAGAAAGAGGGAATGGCACCTGCATCAAATCCAGACAGATCAACCCAAGGAGACAGAGGCTTGACTTCTTGCCAGTGTTACAGTGGCATTTGAATAAGAACCTAAGACCTTAGCCTCAACCTCTAAAGAGGAATGAAATCGTGAATTCAGTCACCATTATGTTTGAAATGACAGAAAAATCACGCCATCCATTGAGTTTCCTTAGATATGATGAGGTTTTTGAAACATCATATGCAATGAACATTCAAGCAGGAATCAAGTTCAGTTAGGGAGAAATACAATTATATTTTGTCATGGTTGAATACTCAGTGGTGCTAATTTGGGTTGCCTACTTTGGAAGTTTAGAGAGGACGATATGCACTGAGAAAGGGCGGAGCTCAGGGCCCAAATGGTGGAAGAGGTAGCATTTTGAGCTGACCAGGAAAGATGAGAATTTTGAGAAGTGGAACTTTAGCTTCCTCCAGGCTCCAGAGACATTGGTGCAAATGTCTTATTGAAATTAAGCACATAAGTTTAATGTAATACAGAAGTCAGTGCAGTGGCTATACCCCTGTCCCTTTGCTGGTTGTCAGCTCAGTGGGTGGGTGGATGCTGTATTCACTCAAATCTAGAAAGTTGTGAGTACACTGATGTCTGTGGGTTGGGTCACACCAACCCACAGACATCAGTGTACTCACAACTTTCTACATTTGTTGCTGAGGTTCTTTTTAATTTCTACAATTATTCAACATGTGTCTGAATGCTAAAAATAACTAGCGTAACCAAACATAGAGAGAAACATTTTCTTGTTAAGGCTGAGTTTTTAAACAAACAAAAATAATGCCTTTCCCCACTGCCTAATGTACATTTTTAAATCATAGAAATTGGGTTCTTTGTTAAATTCACTGTCCCTCTTTCTCTCCAACATTGATATTAGTAAGACAGTTTTTTTTTTCTCCCTTCTAGAAGAATGTGGCAGAATGAGCACAAAGTAATTAGCAGGTTTAGTTAGAAGTTAGAAACTGAGAGGCAAATGAAATTAAAGTTGGGGTAAATTAATTAGTAAAAGGTGCTAGAGTTGTGTGTGCTCCTTAACTAAGTGTTGTCTTTCAATGTGTCAGCACTGACAACACTTTGTGAGGTTTAGAAACACAGAAGAGGAAAGGCTGACAACCAGGGAGCCAGAACGGGAAGGTGTTGAGCAGGGTGTGAGACTCCTGGGAAGGGAAGAATAGGAACCATCCCTGGGATTGTTCTAGCCTTCCCAATCCTTTCCTCTGAGGTTCAGCAGTGCAAGGGAGACCATCAGGTCAACGTGGGGGAGGGTACTTGGCCCATGTTTCTAGACATCGGGAAATCTGTGCTGAGGAGCCTTGGAGGCCAGTGTCCATTCATAAGAGCCTAAAGTCCTTACGAAGAAACAAAAACAAAAACAAACAAAAGCTGGGCCTGTATATTAGTTTTCTAGGGCTGCCATAGCAAATATCACAGACTAGGGGGCTTAAACAACAGAGAAATCTGTTTTCTCAGTTCTGGAAGCTGTAAGTCCAAGATTAAGGTGCCAGTAGAGTGTTTTCTTCTGAGGTCTGTCTTCTCCCCGTGTCTTCACATGGTCTTCCCTCCCTGTTTTTCTGTGTCTGTATTAGTCTGTTCTCACACTGCTATAAAGAAATACTCCAGACTGGGTAATTTATAAAGGAAAGAGGTTTATTTGACTCACAGTTCTGCATGGCTGGGGAAGCTTCAGGCAACTTATAATCATGGTGGAAGGTGAAGGAGAAACAAATGCACATCTTACGTGGTGACAGGTGAGAGTGAGTGTTTGTCAGCTCAGGAAAATCTACCATTTATAAAACCATCAGCTCTCATGAGAGTTCACTCACTATCACAAAAACAGAATGAGGGAAACCGCCCTCACAATCCAATCGCTTCCCACCAGTTCTCTCCCTAAATACCTGGGGATTAAAATTCAAGATGAGATTTGGGTGGGGACACAAAGCCTAACCATATCAGTCCTAATCTCTTCTTCCTGTGAAAACACCGGTCTTACTAAATTAAGGCCCACCTCAATGACTTCAATTAATCTTACATACAAGTTTGAAGAGTCCATCTCCAAATACAGTCACATTTTGAGGCACTAGGGGTTAGAATTTCAACATGTAAATTCTGGGGAGGCACAATTCAGCCCATAACAGCTTGCTGAAGAATTCTGTAGAAAAGGAAGCTGAGTGTGTGACAGTTTGCCCCACTGTGTGCTTTAAAATGAACTAGCTTCTCGAAGAATACATAAGCCATCTTATTCTGGAATGGCATAAGTGCTTTCTTGTCCCCAATTCTCCAGCAAAACCGGCTGGGCAAGGCAGGAGACATTACAACTACCAAAGCTATTCCAATCCATACACAACCCCAGGTGACTCCTACATGAAATCAGCCGGCCCTTTGCCCCACTGCTGTCCGGCCCCCTTATGCAGAAAAAGGAGTGCAAAGGCAAAGGGAGAAGGCATATAGGAGCTTTTACACTTAGAAATTGCAGAGTAGTTATTTTTCATATGTATTAAATCCTGGTTTTCTTGGTTGATGGGCCATTATGATTAGAAATTTTACTTGATGGTATGAAAGCATCTTGCTGTTTTCTTTGTTTAATTATTTGATGGTGAGTAATCACATATTCAAGCCTAAGTCACTCGTTACATATTTTAATAAGAATCTTTTGTCTTAGAAAGTAAAAGTGCTGACTGCATGCCTTCTCATTTGGAAGGCAGCATCTTGTAATGAAGTCAGCAAAGACAGAGAACATGTTTTATTAAAATACTACTTCTAATTCCATCTGTGTGACCTTGAGCAAGTTACTTAACCTGTCGGAACTACATATTTCTCATTGGTAAAATACAATCATGTAAAGGAGAAGTAAGTGAGATATTGCATACAAAACAACAAGCATATTGCCCAAAACATAACCTTTTGCTTATCTAGGTTAATTATGCAGGTAGATTCCCATGTTTCCAGTACGATGTCATGAAAATAAAAGGACCCCATGCAAGGATCCCAAAAGCCTGATTGTAAGTCCAATTTGATATTTTGTTCAATCACTTGGCCTCTGTCAGCTTCAGAATTTTGAATGTTAAATTGGAGGCAATGGCCATCTTTTGAACTTGACACAATTTATCAAGAGGATGAAGTATGTAAAAGTATCAAAAATGAGTCACTGGCAGGCTCTGATAATGAGTTAGGAGCATCTCCTTCATCATAAAGAGTTCATTTTTGGGGACAAAGTATTAACTCTTTGCAAATTACTGGAATGATTAGGTAAAATTTACTAAAAATTTCTCTTGTAGGAATCATTTCTCAGCCAAACAATGTAGCCTAAAGAAAGTGGGGCTAATTTTGCAGATCAAGTTTTTTTTTTTTTTAAGTGCGTACACATTTTGAAAATCAATATTTTCCCCCAGGTACTCAGGGTTAAATTGCTCTTGTAGGAATCATTTCTCAACCAAAACAATGTAGCCTAAAGAAAGTGGGGCTAATTTTTGCAGATCAAGCTTTTCTTTTTAAGTGCGTATACGTTTTGAAAATCAGTATTTTCCCCCAGTTATTCAGGGTTAAATTGTTCTTGTAGGAATCATTTCTCAACCAAAACAATGTAGCCTAAAGAAAGTGGGGTTAATTTTTGCAGATCAAGTTTTTTTTTTTTTTTTTTTAAGTGCGTATACATTTTGAAAATCAATATTTTCCCCCAGTTATTCAGGGTTATCTGATAATTCTTAGCCCAGTGGAAATGGAAATGGTACCTGCACTCCACATTTCCTAAGTTCTGAATTTGTTTGATATATGTTGTTCCACAGTCATTGTTTCCAGGTCCTACCCCTGCATCCAACAATAAACCTGGTATTCAAACAAAGCAGATGTCGAGAATGAGGATGAGGAAGTGAGGTGAGAAGGGCACACATGTGAAGAGGACATAGGGCATACCCTCTAGTACTTTCAACTTTAAGTTGATTCTAGGACATTAGGATGACAACTGAGTCTGGTACCTTGCTCCAGTTCTAGTTTCTACCTGAAGGACTCTAGAGATGGGGAAGTTTCTGTCAAAGAGTTTCTTCTCTGGACATTTTTTCCCCTTTAAGCTACTGGTTAAAAATTACTGTTGACTGGCTGGGCACGGTGGCTCATGCCTGTAATCCCAGCACTTTGGGAGGCCAAGGCGGGCAGATCACAAGGTCAGGAGATCAAGACCATCCTGGCTAACATGGTGAAACCCCATCTCTACCAAAAAAAAATACAAAAAATTAACCGGACTTGGTGGCGGGCGCCTGTAGTCCCAGCTACTTGGGAGGCTGAGGCAGGAGAATGGCGTGAACCTGGAAGGCGGAGTTTGCAGTGAGCCAAGATCGTGCCACTGCACTCCAGCCTGAACGACAGAGCAAGTTAAAAAAAAAAAATTACTGTTGACTTTGACTTTTGGGTAAAATATGTATTCTTTTATTTATCTCATTTATATTTATTGAATGCCTGTAATGTGACAGGGACTGTTCTAGGAACCTGGGAAACATTTCTGAGCAAAAAACAGAAACATCCCTGTCCTCACAGAGCTTGTGATTTCAAAATTATCTTTTTCTGAGTTAAAAGTCAACCATTTGTTTTTAAAGACATGGTGGAGCATGGCAATTTTCAAACTTTTTGATTTCAGAGCCTCTTTACGCTCTTAAAAACTGTTAAAGACTGTAAAGAACTTTTGTTGATACCAGTTATATCTATCACTATTTACTATATTAAATGTTAAAACAGAAATTTAAAACAATAAACAATTTTAATTTATTAAAATAATGATATAAAACCATTACATGCCAAAAATAACTGCTACAGAATAAATATTTGTATGCCCCTAAAATTCACACGTTGAAGCCCTAACCCCCAATGTGATGATACTTGGAGGTTATTGGGTTGAGATAAGGTCATGTGGGTGGGGCCCTCGCAATGGGATTATTGTCCTTAAAGGAAGAGGAAGAGATACCAGAGTACTCTCTCTCCACTTTCATGTACCAAAGAAAGGCCGTGTGAATGTATAGCAAGCATGTGGCTGTCTCCGAGCCAAGAAGATGGCCAACACCAGAACATAACCACGCTGGCACCCTGTGCTCAGACTTCCAGCTTCCAGAACTGTGAGAAAATAAATGTCCGTTGCTTAGGTCACCCAGTCTGTAGTATTTTGTTACAGTAGCCCAAGCTAAGACAATAACATATTTTGTAAAAAAACAAAAAAACAACAAAAAAAAAACAACAAAAAAAACCTATATTTTCTTTAAAAATCATGAGAAGGACACTGTTTTACATTTTTAAAAATATATATATTTTTTGTTCTGGTTTAACAGAATAGTTGTATTTTCATGGCTGCTCCTTTATTCAACTTGTGGTATCAACGTCATACAGTGTTTGGAAAGTCCCACTATACATTTATGAGAGAATGAGAAAGAAAAAGGCAAATCATGTATTAATATTATTATGAAAATAGTTTTGTCTTCATGGATCCCCTGATGGTGTCTCAGAGATCCCTGGGGGTCCCTGGACTACGTTTTGAGAACTGATGGTATAGTGGGAAAAGTGCCTCTCTGCTAAACTGAGTTTTGATCTGTGATCTTGAGAAATTTTTTCATCTCTCTCAACCTCTGCTTCTTCCATCTGAAAATGAGTCGTTTGTCTTACAAAATGGGCAGAATCTTTCCCATCTGTGACCTTCCTTGCTCTGTCTGCCCTCTTTCCTTCTTGAGTTGGCCATTTAGTATTTTAATGGAATGGACTTAGTTTTCTTTTTCTTCTTCTTTTGCTCTCCACATTATCCCCATATTCCTGGATCTGGCACTAATCAGGGCTAGCATAAAAGAAGGGGGGTCTTTGTGATATTTGAAGCTTAAAAAGGTACAGACTCCTAGCAAAAAAGTCCAGGGCTAGTCTATGCAGCCTCACCTTGACAGTGCAGCTGACATAGTATTGACAACAGATACCTGACCCCAGAATGGACAGGTAAGGGCAGCTTTCTTTTTATTTATTTTTCCTCTCCCTCAAGAGCATGATCTCATCTACATGATCTCAACTCCATTCAGCTACATCCTGAAAAACTGTGATGACTGACAAAAGGAACCGAAGTGGGACTTTGATATGGGCAAATAAGAAGCAAAGTAGTTTAGAAATATCCAAGACAAATAGAATTCCCCGGTGAAGTCAGCCCCACTTGGAGACAGTGGCTTCATAAGTCCTGAATGATGCCTCTGCCCCTACCTTTTGCTCCAGAGAAGCCTCCCCAGTCTGAACTCTTTGCTATTGAGAAGCCAGCGTGACTAGATGAATAAGCAGTGGTTCTCGGACTTGAATGTGCATCAGAATCAGCAGGAGGGCTTTTTTTATTTTATTTTGTCTTATTTTATTTTATTTTATTTTATTTTATTTTATTTTATTTTATTGTGAGACAGAGTCTTGCCCTGTCACCTAGGCTGGAGTGCAATGGTGCCATCTCAGCTCACAGCAACCTCCGCCTCAGGGTTCAAATGATTCTCCTGCCTCAGCCTCCTGAGTAGCAGGGATTAGAGGTGCCCGCCACCATGCCCAGTTAATTTTTGTATTTTTAGTAGAGACGGGGTTTCACCATGTTGGCCAGGCTGGTCTTGAACTCCTGACCTCGTGATCTGCCCACCTCGGCCTTCCAAAGTGTTGGGATTCCAGGTGTGAGCCAACGCGCCTGGCCCATCAGGGCTTTATTAACACAGATTTCAGGGCCCATTTCCACAGCTTCTAATTCATCAGGTCTGGGGTAGAGTTAGAGCAATTGCATTTCCAACAAGTTCTCAGGTGACCGCACGTTGGGAACCAGTGCAACACAGTAAATTATAGATGATTTGAGCTAAAGGATGGCAATGAGACTTTTGGACTCTGAATGTCTCTGTAATCTGTTTACAAAACAACCATACTACCAGGCCTCCAACATAATAGTTTGTTCCATTCTAACCTCTTATGATTAAGGGTGAAGTAAAAAGGGTCACATCACTCACTATATTTTTAGAGTAGTTATTCTAAGAGGAGATTCTATAAGGAGCACACTATAACCTTTTTATAAAGCTTATTTTCTATTTTATGTTCTCCTGCTTGGGGTGGGAGGGACTTCTAGAGGGATGGCAGGGGTTACTATATGGTTAAAGCCTTAATTTGAACAATTTCTTTTTAGTCGTTACAGTGCAGATGTAAAGTATTAGCAGTGAACATGGGGCTTGAGTTCATGATTGAGACAGGGTATAAATACCCTGCAATTATCTTAGGCAGACTGAGCCTGTAATCTTTCCAGTCTGGGTTTAGCTTCATTTTTCCATGACCTTTTACCAAGTATAAACACAACGTCAAAGATTCTAATGGTTGAAATAAATGCAGTCTATTATGTTATACAAATTAAGATCAGTGTTTGGAAGTCCAGGGCTGAAATCAGAAGATTTTGTGGAGACCATTACGGCCATCTGGTAAGTTCTCCCTGGCCTTATAGGGCCAAGAGATGAGAAGATAATAAATCAGTTAAGCACTTGGCATTGTGTTTGTTTCACATACAGTATCTCATCCAATCCTGGTGATTTCTTTTGGTAGTGAGAGCGACTACAAATAGAATCCCTATTCAACATACAGGAAAAGAGAGGCTCTGAGAAATCAAACTATTTGTTTCAAGGCAGCCCAACTCAAACAGAACTCAGATTTGAGCCATTGTGTATCTGACTCTAACTCCCACAGCTCTCAGGAAACACAAAATTCAACTTTTTGACAATGAATATTTATCAATATCAACTTTGTTGAGAGAAGAGAAATAGCAAAAAAAAAAAAAAAGAAAAGAAAAAAGGTTTTTGTCTCTTGGTATTTCCAATTTAGTGAAGAGAAATAAGAGTGTTTCTGGAAGGGATCAAGTTCACCTTCTCATTTTACTCATGAGAAAACCAAGGTCCAGAGAAATCAAATGGTTTCTTTGTAGACAAAAAGCAAGTAGCAAGGGTGTCTTGATACCTTTAAATCTACAGAGAAATGCTGAACAATTCTTTCTAATGAAAAATTTGCTTATTTAAAGAATTCTTTTTGCTTTCTTGCCAAAGCAAACCTTCCAGGTAGAAAGAAGACTGGTATCTAGGCTTTTACATGGGCTCTCTGTCAAGGTCAGGCATGAATAGCAAGTCCTAAATTCTCACCTGACCTTGAAGGTCCTGAAATGCTCTTTCTGTTCCTGCAACTGGCCAAGTTGTTTTCACCTCTGGACCTTTGCATTTGCTATTCTCTCTACCTGGGATATTCTTCATTTGGATTTTCATGAGGCCAAGTCTTACTCATCACTCAGGTCTCAACTCAAGAAGATCCCCTCTAAGAGGTCTTCCCTCTTGGCTGTCCTAAGAGCCCAGGATGTCAGTTCTCTTACAGGGCAATTGCTTCTGCATCCCATTACCAGAGGGAGTGTGTTCTCTGGGATTAACTGGCTTTCCTCATTTTACTGTCTCACTTCCCCTTCTCTCACCATACTTACTGAGATCAACTCCCTAATACATCACTTGCCTTTAATTCCTTCTTTTGGGGTTTGCTTTTGTGACAACCCAAACACAGAAACGAAATCTTATTCAACCTGTCTCTCATGACTCTGATTATTTTTTATAGCACTTATTACTACTGTCTGAAATTATTGTATTTATTAACTTGTTTATCATCTGCACTTCCATCTTACCTGACTCTCCGCACTCTCCCCAACCTCCTCCACCCCATCAGACGCCTAATAGAATACAAACACTGTAGTGGCATGACTTTGCCTGTCCTGTTCACTGTGGTATCCCAAAAACTTAGAACCTAGCCCATAATAGGTGCTTAACATATGTTTATTGAAGAAATGAAAGAAACAAATGAAACTCTCCAATGTGTTAATATAAAGGAATCTTGGCTAGTAAATCGTGATTTTGAACTACTAAATCAAAGGCTTTCTCTGTTTGCTTCAGTCCCATTTAGATTCCATTGTTCTTTCCATTTTTGGAGGGAATCAATCCTTAATCAATCACTTTTTGCTAAGCATGCTGTCCCTGCACAATCAAAAGTTAACAAAGATATATAAAAATCAGTCCAGGCTTTGGAGCCAAAAAGTTCATTATCTGCCTCAATCAATATTTATAACAGGTATACTGAAGACATGCTAAAGCAGAAGTCTCTGTTCCTTTGCTTTCCTTCCATCACATTTGCCTTGCATAATCATCTATGTTTATTAAAAGGGTTCCTGGTCTGTTCCTGTTAAACATTGACCTTCAAGTGCTTGACTTAATAAGCTGGAGAATTACAATAAATCAGACAGCCTTGTTCAATCATTGATATTACAAAGAATTGCAAGGAGAAACCAGAACAGCTTGAAAACACAATAAAGTACAACAGCTTTCATAGAGAGTAAAAGGGAAAGTCAAGGGAAGAAAGTCTGTTCTCAGAGATGCTCTCATGGAATTAAGAGAGCAGAATCCCATGGCATTCAAGACTGTTTTCCCCCTGATTAAAACGTTTTGTCAAAGCAAAAATCAAATGAGTACTTGCTTATGAAGCATGCGATGTTTCAGAACATGACACAGGAATCATAAGTGTTCAAATAAATAAACCCCATTCAGGAAAAAGAGCATTTGTCACAGATTTTTCCCTATATGAAGCCAATATAGGAGACTATAAGGATTGAGGGTAAGGATGCTATTCCCTGAAATGGTTTGCCTCCATAAGAGATTATAAGGCACCAAAAGTGCAGATGTCTCTATTCTATTTACCAACTCCTTCTCATAAACCCGGTGCCTAGAAAAGGGCTTGCCACATAGTAGGTGATCAATGCATACCTCATTTAGAGAAAGAATACAGAGCTATTTGTACTTTCTTGGGAGCAAAAGATTCTCATTTGCAACATGTTTAAACTAGCATAGCCCATCTTTGGCTTACGTTATTATCAGTAAGGAGCACTATGATTATGTGCTATTTCTTACATATCTTATTGCATCCCCAGAAACAGATAATATTCCATTTAGATAAGTCTTGTGTTAAGAACTGAATTCTGTGTGATAAGTAAAAGATTAGTATTTGGAGCCAGGCGCTTACCATTCTAAGCTTTCTTTTCCTGATATTTAAAATGGGGCTATTAATGCTAATCACTTTATAGGCTTGACGGACAGATTAAATAAGGTTGTTGATATGGTTTGGCTGTGACACTACCCATATCTCACCTTGAATTGTAATAATTCCCAGGTGTCAAGGGCAGGGTCAGGTGGAGATAACTGAATCACGGCGGCGGTTCCCCCATACTGTTCTCGTGGTAGTGAATAAGTCTCATGAGATCTCATGGTTTTATAAATGGGAGTTCCCTTGCACAAGCTCTCTTGCCTACCATCATGTAGGATGTCACTTTGCTCCTCCTTTGCCTTCCACCACGATTGTGAGGCCTACCTAGCCACGTAGAACTGTGAGTCAATTAAACCTCTTTCCTTTATAAATTTCCCAGTCTCCGGTATGTCTTCATTAGCAGTGTGAAAACAGACAGCATCTATGTAGCACTCAGGACAAAGTAGACACTCAATACACATTGGTTAACCTCACATTTCACGGGTGAGAAAACTTTGGTTCAGAAGGATTGGATGACCTTCTCCAGGATCACCCCACTGGGAATTAGTGAAGACAGAATTTCAGAAAACAAAACTTCAGATCTCTCTGACCACAGAACCCATGCTCTTCATCCAAGCATCATTGTGTCCACGGCAAGGAGTGTAATTCAGGTGCAAACTTTGCATATTTTCATTTCAGTTTACCTGGCTTACATATAGTAGCTGTTGGCATCAAAAGTACTTGCTTTTAAAATGATGAACTGGCTGCTGTTGACTTTGGGAATGGGAGTGAATTTACGAAAGTTCTCAACCTTGGGGAATTTTTCTCACTTTATAATATAGATAGACAGAAAACTTGGGTCATTTTAAATGCAAGATATTTAGGAGTGGATTCGCTAAGTTTGCTATTTAAAATGTGTCTGATAAAAGTTGATGTTCTTGGGATAAATGTGTCATAAGTTGAGATAATGTAACCAGTGTTGAAGCAGAAATGTTAAAAAAAAAAACAGTGTGAATGTAAATGATGTTTTGTATATCACTGACTCAAAGACTTCTTACATACCATCCTCCTACCTATACTTCATGCTGTATTAGCTGAACTATAAAGTGGCAAGTGGCAATGTGATTTTCATTTTCTCCCGGCAAAACGTTTTGACCTAGGAGGGAGCCTTGAATGACCTTGGCCTTCCATTCCCTGATTTTTTACTGTTCCTTTTTTTTTTAATCCTTCTATATCCTCCCTCATATCCCTAAGCCATACTGAATGTCTTGCAGTTTTGTTAGTCTTGATGCTACATTAGAATCACCTCGCAAAATTGTAAAAGTTGCAGATACCTAGGCATCACTTGCAGAGAGTCTTAATCAGTTGCTTGAGGTATCATTTCTAAAGATTTCCTAAATGATTCTAATGCATAGCTGTGTTTGAGAATCACCGCAATTTTTCTGCCTCTGAACCATTACAGAAGTTAAAATTTCTTTCTTTCTCTTTATCCTCTGTGTAATTCCTAGCCATTCTTCAAAATGCAATTCAGAAGGCACTAGTTCCAAGAAACGTCATCATTGCATAATGTTGGTCTGCCTTTGTATTTAAAAATTTCTCTGTGCTTCATGCTAATCCACAATAGATTTCACTAAACTAAATTCCTTGAACATGAAGACAAGCCATGGAAATTGTTTGTTTGTATTCATAGTGCCTAGAATTGTCCATGTAGGAGCTATTTAAAAATATGTTAAAAATGAATGAGTGGTTGAGAAAGGAATTCTTAAAAAGAGGTTAATAACTCTGGGTACTTGTCCTGGCTGTGCTGTTTACAAATTTGCCCTATAACTCTGATGCTATGTTGACTGCAATTAGATTTAAAATACTATAGTATATAAAGTTAAACATATGCATATATTATGACTCAGCAATTTCCCACTTAGACATCCAAAGAAATGTATAGATAATCATTGAGTTATAATGGGGTTACAGTCCAATATATCCATCATAATTCAAAAACACTGTAAATTAAAAATTCACTTAATATCCCTCTAAACCCTTTTTAAACTTACAAAATCATAAGTCAAGCCATTGTAAGTCCAGATGCTCCTTGACTTATGCTGGGATTATAACCCCCAAAAGGCCATAATCTAGTTGAAAAATCCTAAATTGAACCATTTTAGGTCAGGGAACGTATTTCTGTATATATATGCTCCCCGAAGGTATGTAGTAGATTGTTCATAGTGGCACATTTTTAATAACCAAAAAGCAAAAGCAATCATCAATGTCCATCAGCAGCAAAACGGATAAAATATTTGTGGCATAGACACACATAGGATACCATGTAGCAACAAGAATCCTATAAACGCATGCAATGATGTAGATGAATAATAGATAACTTTGAACATATGGAGCCAATCGCAAAAAAGTACACTATTGTATGTTATACATTTACATATAGAACTAAAACCAAAAAAGCAATCTCTTCTTTAGAAGTCAGGGCAGTCGGGTGGATCACGAGGTCAGGAAATCGAGACCATCCTGGCTAACACGGTGAAACCCCGTCTCTACTAAAAATACAAAAAAATTAGCTGGGCATGCTGGCGGGCACCTGCAGTCCCAGCTACTCAGGAGATTGAGGCAGGAGAACGGAGTGAACCCGGGAGGCGGAGCTTGCAGTGAGCCGAGATTGCACCACTGCACTCCAGCCTGGGCGACAGAAGGAGACTCAGTCTCAAAACAAAAACAAAAACAAAAACAAAAATAAAAACCGGAAGAGGGCAATGATTGGAAGGAAGCACAAGGGTGGATTCTGGGGTGCTGGTTGTGCTTTTGATCTGGTCATTGATTACCCTGTTGTGTCCAGTTTATTAGAAATACATCAAGCAGTACACTTTGGATATGTATACTTTTCTGTATATACATTGTACTTCCATGAAAAGTTAATACTTTGGTATAAACAATATGATAGATTTGTATTTATAAAGTGACTTTGATCTAAACCTTAGAAACACTTGGTTAATATCTGAAAGAATTTACCTTCCAGGTATGGCTTCTCAAATGGGGCCATTGTATTGGATGGCAGTGTTAATCAGTGTTAATTTTTTCAGTCAGAGAGAGGTACCGTGGTAATGAGGAGGGCGTGTGATGGAGATTGTGTGTGAAAGATGGAGATTTATTGTGCTGTCCTGACAGATGTTTACTAAGTTTTAAAATATTTCAAAATAAATAATTTAAAATGTGAAAAAAAGAGAATTTTGTTGCCCTTGTTTCAGAATCTTCCATGCAAAATGTTTATCAAGCCTCGTAAAAGCACCAACAACAGGAATTTCACCAGCCATATAAGAACAGCCTGTTTCTGTTTAACTTGTTCTTCTATCACTTACTATTAAAAGTTTTGTCCCTTTGACAGAATCAGATTTGCCACTTGTATTTGTAATACACCACCCTATAAATCATTAAAGGCCTCCAATGTTCACCCAAATCCTCATACTTGTGGAATGAATATGCCGGATTAGGAGAAGCCATTTATCCTCTTGGATACTGGATCCAGATTATTCTCATCTGTAGAGCATTGGGTTGTATTTGATGACATTCTCAGTTTTTAACTTTGATCTAGATTATTATTAAAAGTGCCTCATTTCTCTCTCAGAGGTGTCTTGGTTTTGAAAATAATTATATGGTTTTCCTGCTTCCAAGGAATCTTCCAGATTTAGCTTTCTAGACATCTATGGTTTTAAAGATGTGAACTAGATTCAGCAGACCACTGAAGTGCGGGGTAGGCATCTCCCTGTGTGTTTGTCCTTGTGTAGCAGATGCAGATTTATAACATGTTAGAATAAGAAATTTTTGCGGCCAGGCACGGTGGCTCACGCCTGTAATCCTAGCACTTTGGGACGCTAAGGCAGGCAGATTACCTGAGCTCAGGAGTTCGAGACCAGCCTGGGCAACATGGTGAAATGTCGTCTCTACTAAACGACAAAAAAAAAAAAAAAAAAAAAATTAGCCAGGTGCCTGTAATCCCAGCTACTTGGGACGCTGAGGCAGGAGAATTGCTTGAACCCAGGAGGCAGAAGTTGCAGTCAGCTGAGATGGTGCCACTGCACCCCAGCCTGGGCAACAGAGTGAGGCTCCATCTCAGAAAAAAAAAAAAAATGTTTTGCAAATGTCAAAAATTCAAAAATAATCCCTTTTAGGGAAGGGAATTCATTAATTGCCTCATTGCTAATGATTATTACACATGCTAAGATTTCCCTTCTTGAGTGATGCTGAAAGTAGGACAGAAGGATCACGTCATTAAGACATTCCTGTTTTCAATGTCTCTGGGTTTGTCCTATTTACAATCAAAAGTTGCCTACTTCCTCACATACACAATGTTAATGCTTTATTTTCAAAACCTCCTGGGTTTAACATGTGTAATTATTAATTTATTCAACAAATGATGGAGAGAGAGAGTACATTATCTGCTATGTGCCAAGAACTTAAAAGGGTCAGGGCAGATTATTGAGGCAACCGGAAAATGAGGATGATTCCTTCAGTCCTTCTGCATCCCATATTTCCATGGAGTCCTGTGGGTCTTTATGGCAACTCTTGTTTTCTTAAACTCTTATTCCCTAGTCCACATCTTGTGCTACCTTTTCTTGTCTTCTATTCTGCCCAGGCTCCAAGGTTAGGCAATTCAACTATCATCTCCCTGAATTAATCAACCGTCTTCATCTTCCATCATCCTAATCTATACTGCTCACTTAGTAAATTTAGTAAATGCCACTTAGTAAATGCCATTCCTATTTGCTAAATACTGACAGTTAAGACAATTTTAAAAATATTACTACAATTTCTTCTGATTCTGCCATAATTTCTTGTTATGTGATCTCAGTGAAACTCATGAGATTTTTTCTCATTTCTTTTATTAAGTTGTATTTTGTTTTCTAATTTTTACTCTCAAGCCACCAACTTTCAAAGAAGGAAACATACACACTAGAAAGCCCAGACGTTTTGCTTCATGGAGTAGACTGAGGCCATTAGTTTCCTTTTCTAACTCAAAGTTTCTCTGTGTCATCATTCACATCTTTCGACTTCCCTTCTGCCCTGGAGGAAAGAATGTCTTTCTTCTTTCCCCAGTTGCTTGGACACTAGTTTCCTTCTGTACAATTCTTTCTTATCTAACCCCCCAAACCCATAAAATCTAACTTGAGTTCTCAAAATGAGACTAAATTTGTTCTGAGGTCTCCCCAGACCACCCACAGGTGACCTTTGAACAACATGGGTTTGAATGACCCAGGTCCAATTATTTGTGGATTTTTTCCACCTCTGCCACCCCTGAGATAGTAAGACCAACCCCTCCTCTTCCTCCTTCTTAGTCTACTCAATATGAAGATGACGAAGATGAAGACTTATATGATGATCCACTTCCATTTAAAAAATAGTAAACATATTTTCTCCTTCTTTTAATCTTTTTAATAACATTTCCTTTCTCTTGTTTACTTAGTTGTAAGAATACCACATACAATACACATAGCATACAAAATACATGTTGATTTACTATGTTATTGGTAAAGCTTCTGGCCAAAAGTATGTCATTACTAGTTACGTTTTGGAGGAATCAAACGTTATACATGAATTTTCAACTGCAAACGGGGGTCAGCATCCCTAACCTCTGTAAGTGTCAACTGTATTTCCAAAGCCAATAACTCTTCTAAGTTTGCTTTTACATCACTAAGGGGATTTGAAAATTGGCCATCCTGTTCTTGAAATTCTTTCTTCTCTTGGCTTCTTCTCATAGATTTTTCCTTCTCTGCTCTTCCCCAAGATTCCTGTTCCATTTCCTCTACTCTTGTTTTCTGAAAATATACATCCCCCAAGCTTGTGTCCTCTGCCCACTATTCTATCAATATAATCCCATTCACTGTTCTCATGAATCTTTAACTGTCTTTTACCTTAGAAAGCCATATTGTGAGTCAACACAGAGCTCCATGATGCATAGCCTTCGGCCATAAACACAGCTAGGAAATGAGGGCAGAAACTACCATGATGGAGTGGTACTTCTTGACCTAGGCACCTGGCCCATGCTGATGGCACCAGGAGACAAGGCTGCAAGGAAAGGTCAACTTTACAAATGGCATCAGTAGAACTAGAACATGACAATCTAGCTACAAAATTCTCACATACGGATTCAGGTAAACTCCGAGATCTTTTACAATGAACCATTCAAAGACTGGGATCACTTAAGACAGTCTGCAGAGGTCTCACAAAATGGACATTTTAGAAAAGATGGTCAGGTTCACCAGACTGCCTCTTATAAAGTATATCATTGCTGCTCTCTGCTGGTCAAAAGCATTATTCTCTTCAATTAAGATGAGCAGAGGTGTAGAATGGGTCAAAGAGGGAAAGCAGTGCTTTCAAAATGATATGGACTGGTGCTAGGTAAGACTTATTAAATGACTTCATAGACTGCAATATACATTCTTATGCAGAAACACTGATTTTAGTGAGGGTCTATTGGACCCCTAAAGTAAAGATGTGCAAAGCATCCCCATTTTTGTAGACCTTTTACTCATAGAAAATATGGGCTCTATCAGATATTTCTTCAACCACTAAACTAGTCACCACTTTTTAGTGTAGAACTTACTGTAAGGCATCATGTTTGTATTTTTGGCAGGAAAATTGGCAAGTCCTACTGAGGATTATTAACTTGATATACTGCAAAATCCTAAAATGTTATCTTAATCCTAAAATAAAGATTAAATCTACATATACGTACAATCTATTCTACTGAAAACTTATTTTTAAGAGTGTATGGGTAGTAGTTTTTGATTATTCAGAATATTTGCATACAAAGTGTCCTTCATGAGCAGCACAAAGGGGCAAATCTTGGGCTCGAAAGCCTAACACACAGGTTTACCCAGGCTCTGCCACTTACTGGCTTTATTTCCTTGGGTCAGCTCTTGAATATCCTTGAGCTCCACGTCCCTATTTTGAAATGCGGGAAATCATAATACCCACCTCCTATTGTTATTACAAATATTAATTGAAATATTCCCTATGAAATGCTTAACAGTGCTCCCTGCAAGTTAATTGGCAGTCAGTCATAACTGTTACTATTCATGTAAACAGCTTAAGTAGTAGTATTTATTACATCTTCCAAAACAAAAATATTTTACCACGGGTTTTAAATATACTATGTAGATATCTGGAGAAAGTTGTCTTTAGAGCTGTTCTTAGCTCTGACACTGGCTGTGTAATTTAAAGTAATGTCTTAAATTTTCTGAGCCTTGAAATGTTTCCGGATGCTTGCCGTGCCCTAAGGTCCTAACATGTCTCTATGTTTTAATTTTATTTACCACTGTTCAGTGGCCTATGGTACAAAGGGTTTTGTTTTCTGACCTACTGTTCCCCACCTAATGACTTGCCTGAAGAACAAATTACCACTGGAGGAAGCGAGTAATCTTTCTGGAGAATTAGCAAAGGATAATTTTTAGAAGGAACAATGGAAGCAGAAAAGTACACACGCACAATCTTGCCTTTCTCTTTTCGGATATTACCACACTAAAATATGATCTGACTCTTCTGTGTTTATTAGTTCAGCAAATAGGCATTGGGTTTTCACTGGGTTTGTAAACTAGAAGTTACAGTGTGCTGAATCTTGAGAAAACTGATTGCTAGAGGTAGAACAACAAGAATGTTCCAGATGTTTCCTGTCCTTTCCTCCATTCCTCCATTAGGTACCTCTCAAAGCCTAAGTTGATGATAATTCTCTTGGGATGCAGGTTTAGACATGTCTATATTAAGAGACATGGCAGGGAGTCCTCCTCCAGTCCAAGCAAACTCATCAAGTTCCATACTACTGCTGGAGGGTTCCAGCAATATAAATTCTACAGACAAAGCAGTGTCAGTCAGACCCCAGAGTTTTGATACGACTTAGATATAAGGGTTGAGTCAGGACAAACTATTAATTTCTGTCTTCTGTAGTCACTGTCCCTTTTCCTTGAGAATCTTCCTCATTTATTTGTGACTTCCTCCTTTCTCCAACAAGACCTCTCGTACCTTTTTATGATGCTATACAAGCTCAGCTGCCTCCATGCTCTGCCCAGGCCTGCCTTCCTTAACTGCACACTGTGGGCCCTTCTCATAACCAAACTCTGGGTTCCATTCCTTTGATCAACCCTACTGAATTCATGAACACATCAGGCTAATATTTCCCTTTTCTGTCCTGTCGTCTTGGCAAAATATTTGAACAAGAGGGATTAGGGTTGAACATGGTAAAAGATCAATTCTCATGGTTAGATTTCAAGGCCAGAAAGACCCTGAAAACCTTTCAGAATTGTGGTACCCGACGACACCACCAGTGCACTGGAAGAGCTCCCTCTATCACACAGAGCAAATGACAGAAGAAGCAACCCTTTCAATCAAAAGACAGCAGCAGTGAATAGCATTTCCACAGATGAAGAAGATGTGGAACAGAACTTAAATCCCTTCCAATGGTTTCCTCGATGCTCAAGCTTTTCTTATCAGGGAAGGCAGGGTAAATTCTTGTTCTCCCCCATACTCCATATTTTTCTTTTTTCATTTCTTTGTAATACAATATTTGATACATTTGAAGATGCCATATCTTTAGTTAAAAAAAGAGGCTTTGTTTGATTCTAATATTTATCAAATTAGTAAACTCTTTTAGCATCTTATCATCTAGTCAAAATGCCTTTAGAGTGATGTCTTAGATCTGAGTCTGTGTTAAAGTAATGTTTTAACTTTTTGGAGCCTCTGTTCATCTGCTCAACAGGTATAACAATTCCTGTTTCAGGACTTACTACAATAAAAACATGGTAAAATACAGTTATGATGAGATTACTAGCATTTTAATGAAAAAAGCAGTGGTAAACTTAGAAATAGGAAATTTTTCCATAGTAATAAAAACTCTAGATGTTATTATGAACACGTTTAGAAATAATAGTTAATAAAACATGTATTTTTCTAAAATGAAGGCTTTTTCCCTTACACAGGCTTTTTTGTTTTTTTTTTTTTGATGGAGTCTTGCTCTATTACCCAGGCTAGACTGCAATGGTATGACCTCAGCTCACTGCAACCTCTGCCTCCTAGGTTCAAGTGATTCTCCTTCCTCAGCCTCCCGAGTAGCTGGGACTACAGGCACATGCCATCACACTCGGCTAATTTTTGTATTTTTAGTAGAGACAGGGTTTCACCATGTTGGCCAGGTTAGTCTCGAACTCGTGACCTCAAGTGATCTGCCCGACTCGGCCTCCCAAAGTGCATATGCTGAGTCATTGCCATCTACATGTCTTCGCTTTGCTGGTGTTGTTTCTGCCACCTGGAATTCTTTTTTCTATTTCCAATTCCTTCTCAACTCTGTGCCCTAAGGATCCCACTCAAATAGTGTAAATATTATTAATTCCTCAAAACTCAGTTCTGTCAGATTCCCCATCTTATTTTTCTTATTGTACTTATACCTTGCTTGTCAAACTTTATATTCTTATATATTTTCAAACACAAATATGCTTTTTCATGCTGTGGTCTTTCTGTCTACAGAGCATGCCATCATTCTTGTTCCTTCTACAAATCACTTACTAATCCTAAAAGCCAAATTCTGAAGACTTTCTCAATAAGTTCTTGCACAAAGGTAAGGCACTTCTTTCTTTTTCTTCTTCTTTTTTTTGGTTGTTCTCTCACCATTGTTTTACATCCCTGTGGTTGGCAGAATTATGGCCTCATGATGTCCAAGAACTAGTCCCCAAGAACTATGAAGATGTTAACTTACATACTAAAAGGGACTTTGCGTATGTGATTACCTTAAGGATCTTGAAATGGGGAGATTATACTAGATAATCCTGGTAGGCAGAATGTATTCCTAAAGGTTGTAAACTGAAAGAGAGAGGTGGGAGGCTGAGTGTCAGGGCAATGCAGTATGAGAAGACTCGGCCGCCATGGCTGGCTTTGAAGATGGAAAGGAGTCATGAGGCAGGAGTGCGGGCAGCCTGGAGAGGATGGGAAAGGCAAGACGGATTCTCCCCTAGAGTCTCCAGAAAGAAACACGGGCCTGCCAAGAACTTCATTTTACCCTAGTGAAAGTCATTCAGACTTCTGACCTCCAAAACGATAAGGTAATAAATGTGTGTTGTTTCCAACCATTAAGTCTATGGTAATTGATTCCAGTAGCCATAGGAAGCCAATACAATCACTCCACTCTAACACTAGGTATTTTTTTAACTTGGGTTTGCATGTTGCTTTATGTTAGATTTCTTTAAAAAGAATCCCACATCACACTAAGACTCTTATTTATTTATGAGTTTTCTCTGGAGCAAAAATCAGGAAAGTGAGACCTGCAGCCTGAGCTGCCATAGGTGCATTACTCGTTTCAATTATTTGCTTTGTCCTCGGAAGACAAGAAAACGAAAAAGAGAGACAGATAAGACAAAAATAGAAACGTAAACAAAAGTAAGCACCTCTTTCAGTTTTATTATATCAGTCAGAAGTACTTCAGGTAAAATGGGAAGAATGCCAACATGTTTTTGAGCATGTACTAGGTAAAATGGTCATTAGAGAAACTGTGAATTTGGATACATGGCCCAGATGCCCCTTCAATGATGGACTTTGCCCAGTTTGCTCAGAGTACTGTCAGCAGAACACCCCCTGTGGCCAGCTCCTCAGGGATGGCTTCAGCTGTAGACGATTATCTTGCTGTGATCACACCCTTCCCAGCCCACATCCAAAGAGACATGACTTTCCATCTCGACTCAACTCAGGACAACCCTAAAGGAACGTTCTAGCCTTAGCACTGCCCCTGGAATTGGCTGAGGCTTTCTTTGAAAGTGAAACACAGCTCAACTTCTTCTGCTCGGGCTTACTGTCTTTCTCTCCGTCCGTCCATAGATGTGAATCTCAGGGGCATCCCATAATAAATATCCTACACACTAAATACCTCCTGAGGGGCTGTTTCCGAGGGACTCTAACCTATGACACTATTTTTAGAAGTGTAGAAGAAAACACAAGTGTAGAAAGGTTAATTTACTCTCCCTCAGCCACGTTTAATGATCAGTCTTTTTAACCCCAGAGTCCACATTCTTTCTAACATACTGAGCTTCTCACACTGGGCTATGTATCAAGTCAAAGTTACAGGATAGATGTCCCTGGAGAGTCAATTTTACCCAATTACCAGAAATTTAACACACTCTCTCAGATTCAAAAGTTCATAGTAGAGTGCGAAATTCAATGAGCTTTTAAGAAAAAGCATGATCTTTCAAAAAAATAGTCTTTTATTTATTACAGGCAGCTACAGTATAGATTGCCGTCAGGCTGCTTGGCTTTGAATCCATGTTTTGCTGGTTACTACCTGTGTGGCCTTATGCAATTTGCTTTCTCTTTTGGGCCTCAGCCTCTCCACCTAAAAATCAGGTTATAAAAGTACACATTCCATGAGAATATTGAGAAGAACAAAATTATATCATTCATGTAAACTTCTTAGAACAACATTTGGTACATCTTAAGTGCTCAGTAAGTGCTTACAATCTTATCAAAGCCCATCAAAGCCCATTCCCTTTCCTCTGTGTTTAGAGTACTTAATTAACTAATTAACTAATGCATCTAAAAGGATTGCACAATGTTAACATAACGCACCTCCTCTGTGCCTCGATTTTAATTTAAAACTTTATGCTAATAATTTTCTGTCTCCTCCAACGCACCCCGCTATTCTAAAAACCAGCTTGAATTTAATAATAATAATACATAAACCCTCAATATTCTCTTATCTCCTAATGAATCAAGTCCAAACACTGCAGGCTGCTTTCCAATGCCCTTTATGATCTGACCCTCATCCAGTTTTCCAGTCTTTTTTCTGAATTTGCCCTGACAAAGTGGACTACTCTAGTCCCTGCCCCCTCCTTTCTTTCTGCAAAAGTGCATTTGCTCAGGTTGGTTGCCAAGGTTGGAAAGTCCCTGTCCATCTGCTATTGATCACCTTTAAGGTCCTCTCAGTCTCAGTTTCTTCATGAAGCCCTCCCTGTCCCCTGCAGCCTGCCTCTGTCTCCACCTCCGCTAGCATGCATTATCTGGGACAGTCACTTATTGCAGTTGATCCTTTTGGTCAAGTATAACTTGTACACACAGGCATAACTTGGAGATGCTGTGAGTTTGTTTCTAGACCCTGGCAATAAAGCAAATATAGCAACAGAACAAGTCAGACAAACTTTTTGATTTCCACTGCATAAAATGTTATGTTCATAGTATACTGTAGTTTATTGTGTGTAATAGCATTATCTCTAAGGAAGAGATGCACATACCTTAGTTCAAAAACACTTTAATACTAAAAAATGGTGACACAGAGACATGAAGTGAGTACATACTGTTGGAAAAATGGCACTGATAGACTCGTTCAATGCAGGGTTGCCACAAATCTTCAATTGGTAAAATACATAATATCTGCAAAGCACAATAAAATGAGGTATGTCTGGACAAACAGACTGTGAGTGCCCTAAGAACAGGGAGTCTCTGTTTTCTGTCTTTTCATAACAAGTACTAAGATAAAAAAAAACTTATAGACATTCAATAATTATTTCTTTTGAATGTTAGTATTTACATAATCATCATTTTTTGATATTGTTTGTTCTAGTTGAGAAAAAGTGTCAGATATAATTTGAAAAAAATATGAAGAAGGAAAATTTGGTCTCTTCTCTGTAGACAATGAAATCCCTGATTTTATGTAGAAACATGTAGAGTCTACTGTGTTGGCTTAATGTTTGAATACACGCTTACCATAGAAGAACTCAGATAGGAAAAGTTTAGGAAAAGTATGACCCATCTTTTATTGAAATGTACACTTTAATTCTGTGAAAATATTTCAATGTAAAAGAAATGATGCAAGTAAATCTGCATCCATTCAACAATAAAATCTCTTTTTAGGGCATTACAAAAGGTAATGAGGTCAAGCAAGGTAACATGTGAGTTTGTATATAGTTTCAGGATAAGGAGACAACAGAAAATAACAACAAAAAAAAAAAACCCTGGCTCAAGTCTGTAATCCCAGCACTTTGGGAGGCCGAGGTGTGTGGATCACGAGGTCAGAAGTTCGAGACCAGCCTGGCCAACATAGTGAAACCCTGTCTCTACTAAAAATACTAAAAATTTGCGAGGTGTGGTGGTGTGCGCCTGTAATCCCAGCTACTCGGGAGGCTGAGGCAGGAGAATCGTGTGAACCCGGGAGGCTGAGGTTGCAGTGAGCTGAGATCGTGCCACTGCACTCCAGCCTGGGCGACAGTGCGAGACACCGTCTCAAAAAAAAAAAAAAAAAAACCCAAAAAACAAACAAAAACAAAAGTTAAACAAAATCTAGGCTGCCCTGGGCTGAGGATCTTAGAAACTACTTTGATCAGAAGAAGGACAAAAGGAGCTTCTGTATTATTTGTTCGGTGAATAGTTTGATCTGAAATGAAAAAGAGCTTAGGCCACGTAAGATTCCAGTGAGAGGTGATGAATTGGCTAGCTTTGGGAATAATCAGTACTGTGCATTACAAATAGGAGGGGTTAGTTACATCTACACATCCCAGAACTTTTATACTCCTGGAAGATGGCAGGACAGGCTTATGGCTATTCTTTGACTTTAGCTATTCTGTTTTGGGGGCTCTGTAGTGAAGATTATCTCTAATCATCAACTTGCTGCTTCAGAAATGTGATTTTCAATCAGGGTTCCTAGGGTGCTGAGAGCTCCTGGATGTGTGAGCTGTACTTAACGGCAAAGATCTGAGGTCAGAGTTGCTATCTTCCTATGTGTCTCCCGCCCTTGCCTTCCTGCCAGCATCTCTTCACCTTGTCGTGCTTTCAGAGCAGGAACTGACGCAAATTGGGTGTTGGACTCCCAAGAAACGTGTCACAGCTATTTAGAAAGTGATAATAATCCTAATGCCCTGTAATGATTTGAGGATTAAGGAATAAAACTGCAAATATGATGCATGGCATATAAATGTTGAAAGTAGGTGCTTAAATGGAGACAAAATCTGTGAAGGAGACCAACTCATTTGGCATTTTCATATTCTTACTATGTTTAGTTCATATCTATATAACATAGAGAAGTGTGGATCCTGCAAACTAAGACATGGAGGGGAATTTCTTTATACCTGCAAGAAAAAAAAATTATAAAAGACATTGAAACTGACCAAAAAGATTACTAGGTGTTGTGCAGAATCCTCAAGATAGCTCCCCCAACATTCAGGTTTCCTAGTTATTTGATCAAGCATTAATTCAGGTACTCCCTAGGAAGACATTTTGCAGACGTGAAGTCCTAAGTCAGTTGACCCTAAAATACAGAGATTATCTACATAAACTTAATCTAATAAAACCAGCCCTTAAAAGTGGAGAACAGAGAACTTCGTCCACTGGTGGCAGGGGGAGAAACAGAAAGATCCAAAGCAAGAGAAGGACTCAAAGCTCCATTGCTGGTTTGCAGATAGAGAAGATTAAGTGAGAAGTAATAAGGGTGGTCTCTAGGAGTGGAGAGTGACCATTGACCAATAGTCAGCAAGGAAATGGGGAACCTCAGTCCTACAACCACATGGAACTGAATTCTGCCAGTAACCTGAATGAGCTTGGAAGGAGATTCTTCCCCAGAGATTCCAGGCAGTAGCCCAGCCCAGCAACACCTTGATTTTGGCCTTATGAAACCCAGTGGTAAAGGCAGCTGAGATAAGCTAGACACTTGATCTACACTTGATCATAAATGGGTATTGTTTTAAGCCACTAACTTTATGGTTATTTGTTACACTGTAATAGAAAACTAATACACTTGGTGTTTTCAATGGACCACTAGGCTTTGTTTAACCACAGCCATCACAGTTTCTTTTTTTTTTTTGAGATGGAGTCTCACTCTGTCACCCAGGCTGGAGTACAGTGGCATGATCTTGGCTCACTGCAACCTCCACCTCCCAGGTTCAAGCAATTCTCTACCTCAGCCTCCTGAGTAGCTGGGATTACAGGCACCCACCACCATGCCCAGCTAGTTTTTTTTTTTTGTATTTTTAGTAGAGATGGGGTTTCACCATCTTGGCCAGGCTGGTCTTGAACTCCTGGCCTGGTGATCCACCCACCTTGGTCTCCCAAAGTGCTGCGATTACAGGCGTGAGCCACCGCGCCAGGCCCAGAGTTCTTATTCTGTGAAGTCTCTGTGCCTTTAACTCCCCTTGAGTGAGTGTACAGCTCTGTAAGTTGTAGATAACTGATAACAATACAAATATTTTTGTCTATAGATACACACATGAATTTTATCCTTCAGAAATACAACCCCCTTCTGCCCCATGCAATAAACCAGTATTATATTTGTCAGTTCACGTTGGCATTACTAATCTGCCAATATGTGAGTGGTACTTTAAATCCTTCTTTGAACCAGTTGTAACATCCATACCATGCTAAAGAGTTAAATAAAATCCTTGATGTACTTATTTTATATCTGTATAAGAGTCATTATTTTACCCTTTTATAAAACATATCATTTAATAGAGATACATTCAGAGATTTCTAAAATTTACAGGGCAAGGACTGTTTATTCATCCCAGAGTTTATGTCAAAAAAAGAGCTAAATATTGTACATAAGCTCATCTATTCCTCATGCTAAACCCCTGACCCTGGTATGAAGAGTCCCTAATTGAAATAAAGAAACCAAAACTCAGGCACATCACAAAACATACTGTAGAGCACACAGTGCTGGAGTCTTGGAGCTGAGAATTTGGCATACTGGAATATAAAGCTACTACTACTTCCGTTGTTCCATAGAGCTTTCCAATGTAAAATGGGGCTCATCTCCTTTCACCCTAACCCAGCATCTCCTCCTTATTTCTTCAGTCCATTCTTGATGTGAATATTTTCCTCCTCAGTCAAGTTTGAAAACTTAGAGCCATTTTTGTCCTTTCATTTCCTTTTCTTTCTATATCCATTGGTTATCAAATGCCTTAAGTTCAGCATCTACCATCTCTTGTAGCCTCTTCCTCTTTCTGTTTCTGCTACTATCATCTGAGTTTCTTCTCACACTAATAGCAGCTCAAATAGGCAAACAGGACCAGATCTGAGTTTTGGGAGTTTGGCACTTTTACAATTTTAGAGGGCCATCTTTAGGGAAAAAAAAAAATAGTAATATGAATACAAAATGAAACATTTATTCAGAATGAGAAAATAAGCCACAAGAAATCAACAATCTTAGAACTTCTTATTTCTTTGTTTTGAGATCTCTGATGGCAATTTACCAGAAATTTTTACATACAGGTGATTCCTGACTGTAACTCAAAACCCTTCCCCGCTCTAAACTCCCTGCAACTCCACCTACTCACAGGGGCCATGCAAAGAAGTAACCCTAATACTCAGGCTTCCGTAGCTTTAGAAACTTAGAGTCTCTACTATCAATTCTTTTTCCATTTTTAGTAAAGGAAATAAATTAAGCAATGGAAGGTCTAACAAATTATTCAGAGTTTCATGGAGGTGGGGAGAGGTTACGAACCTGGGACGTTTTAAACACTCAGATTCCTGAATTATAACCCAATATTCTAAATAAAAACCTGAGGACATCTGTATTTTTACAAGGCTCCACAGGTGAAATGGATGCAACTGACCTATGAATTACAAATTTGAAAACCACTGCTCTAGCTCAACTGCATGAAAAGTGACCTGATCCTCTGTCTCCAAAGGTTAAAGCTTTCAGAGTGCAACAGAGTCCTCCAATATTTCCTGGGCACTGTGGTCTGTACAATGCAAAATTCAGAAGCTATAAAAAATGGAGGTGAAAAGGGCCCTGATTAAAGACTGAAACAGAAGCAACTGCTTTTCTCTCTGTGCAGCTACCATACTGGTCTTGATTCAAGTAAAGCAATGTGCCTGATGAGAATCACTGAAGCACAGAAAATGGTCTGGTACTGAGAGATGAGCAAATGAATCCCAAGTATCAGGAGTACACAGGACCAGAAAAGAAGTATTTCCAATACCCACGCCTGACTAAAGATTTCACTAGCCTCTTAGCTCAAAGGGACAATAGATAAACATCAGGTCTACACTGCAAATTTGCCTGCATATTAATTATAATTTATTTCTTCTATCTTTGTCCTTGCATTAGACTGTTTAATTCCGTGTATGAATTCATTTTGAAGTGTAGAGTCCATCGTTCTCAGTAATTAGCTTTACAAAGTCTATCATCGAAAATATTGTTTTAGATTCTTTGAATACAGATTCTATGAAAGAGAAAAATCCTTAAAAGTGGGAGACTCGGCCGGGCGCAGTGGCTCACGCCTGTAACCCCATCACTTTGGGAGGCTGAGGCGGGAGGATCACGAGGTCACGAGATCGAGACCATCTTGGCTAACACAGTGAAACCCCGTCTCTACTAAAAATACAAAAAATTAGCCAGGCGTGGTGGCGGGCGCCTATAGTCCCAGCTACTCAGGAGGCTGAGGCAGGAGAATGGGGTGAACCCGGGAGGCGGAGCTTGCAGTGAGCAGAGATCACGCCATTGCACTCCAGCCTGGGCGACAGAGCGAGACTCGTCTCAAAAAAAAGAAAAAAAAAAGTGGAAGACCAATAAGAATTATTCAGATTCTACTGGCCAGAGCAGGAAGCTCAGCTACCAGCATTTATCTTTAGACTCCTACCACATATGATTGCCCCAACTGAAACACAGGTCAGAGAGTCTGCTGTACTTCTAAAGTGATGAGAACAAATCTTCCTGTCACTTTATGTCACAGTCATACAGTTCCCGAATAGCAACCCATAGATAGAGCCCTTGGCAAATTTGTTATCAGCGGTGTGTGTTTACACACATCAAGTGTCTGGGAAATAAAGAAAAAAAGGAAAATATTGACAGTGTAGAGGATGTTCTTTCTTCTGGAAACTCATAAGATTTTGAAACACAGCTGAATATTTTGAACATACCTTTATGTTCAAAATAAATTAGGAAATGATTCAATACTAAGCATAATTGAAGTCATAGAAAAGCATTTTTTATTCTTTTGCTCTATTAAGACACATTTCATTGTTTCTCATGGTTACTGAGTGGTACATCGCTGTATATACATATTTATATAAGTATATTAGATGTACCTTTTGTGTGTGTATGTATATGTATATATATGTGGGGGGCATATATTTATATATATTTATAGCAACATATACTGTATACTTCTACACACTTTGCTCTCCGTCCTGGGAGGTGGACCAGAAGGGTTAAAAAGTGCCTGTGTCCTCTGGCTTCCGGTTGGGCTCAGCCTAGGGAGTGCCTGGCCTGAGCTGGAGGGAGGTGAGGTATTCAAGATCCCTCCCTGAGGCTTGGCTGCAACTGGGTAGGGTACACTCCTTGACCAAAGGCTACAGTTCCATTCCTTGGACCTATCTACCCGATGCCCCCACCCCCAAACCTGGGTTCCAATAACTTCCCTCTTCACTCCTTCAGTTCTCGGGGAGGCCCAGTTTGCACTGCTGTTGCCAGCCAGAGAGACCGTAGCTTTCCTTATGGTTTCCCTACAACCTTTGTAAATAGTTCCTTTATTAAACTCTTTTCAAATTACCCAATTTGTGTGATCCGTATCTTCCTGACTTGGACCCTGATATTTTTACTGAATATTGACTAGTAAGTGTATTGCTCATGAACTGAACTGCTTCAGAGTTGTTGAGCTCCTAACACATAATTTATTATTTTTCTTTATTATCAAAGTTTTTAAAAATGTATTTACTCCTAATTTCTTTCAAAAATAGATTTATGACAGGAATTATTTTGATGTTATATTCCAGGCCATTAAAAGCATCAAGTACTTTGGCCAGGCGCGGTGGCTCACACCTGTTATCCCATCACTTTGGGAGGCCAAGGTGGGTGGATCTCTTTAGGTTAGGAGTTCGAGACCAGCCTGACCAACATGGTGAAACCCTGTCTCTACTAAAAATACAAAAATTAGCCGAGCATGGTGGCAGATGCCTGTAATCCCAGCTACTTGGGAGGCTGATGTGGGAGAATTGCTTGAACCTGGGAAGCAGATGTTGCAGTGAGCCAAGATCACGCCACTACACTCCAGCCTGGACAACAAAAGTGAAACTCCGTCTCAAAAAAAAAAAAAAAAAAAAAGAAAAAAAGTTCAAGTACTTTGGGAATAATAGTAAGAGGAATTAAAAAAATCAAGTACTATTTTTATGAATTCTGGGCATTTTCCCCTCCAAATCATAGACCAAAGACTACTCAATGAATACTCAGTGAATCTCTTCATGTTATGAAAATCAGGAAACTGCTGCCTAATGGCTTAACCTTTGATGTAATGATTTTCGCTCAGTAGCTTAAATCTATGACAATGTTCATATTTATTGAATTCTACTCTTTGCCTTTAGGCTAAGGAACTATATGCTTTATGACATTGTATATTATAAAGAACAATCTATACCAAAATAACAACCTTCAGAGAACAAAAAACAGAGGATGCTGGAGTCAGCAATTGCTAAGATACTGGACAGACAGCAAGGTGAGTAATGGAGTTAATAATCTGGAATATGGAATACTGACACTACTAAAACCATATTTGGGTGACTAAATTAACGCCACACTTCTCATCCACCTACATAATGTTTACGCATCCAATGATGATAGTTACGTTTATCCAATGTCAAGGCATGCTTACACCGTTCTGACATATAATACCTTTACCAAATGCTAATTATTTTATTAATTTAAAAAATATTTAAATATAAGAAGTGAAATTCCACTGTCAAGATGCATTATTCATTGTTTTTCCTGTATCAGTTCAAAAAATATTATTCTTAAAAAAGAACTGGACCAAATTCCAACTGTGATACTACAGAAGAAAAAAAAAAAAGCTGAAGTAAACAACATTAAGAAAGGCCAAGTAAAGTGACAAATCACAGCAAATAACAATTTATCCCTACTGAAAAGGACAGCACAATTCAATTTGCCAAATCATTTTATTTATCTCTGAGTGGCAATATGAATGATCAATCTGTTTTGATGAACACTAAAACTTTGCTGAATGAAAAACTGTGCTGCCTTTAACATGTCAAATTTAGGTACAGTAAAAGAAAATGTGAATTAAATTGGCTTTGAGTATACAGCATTAAAAGATAAATTGCTAGCTTAGAAATATCTTTCCCAGTAGCTTTATTTGAACCAAAATATTTTGCTTAGGAGGAATTACATAAGTGTGCAATCTATATAATAATTATTTCTTGGTCCCTAAATTTGAAATGTTCTCAAAAGCCTAAATGCAGAAAAAGGCTAAGAAGATTATATGAAGAGAAAGATCTGGTTTGATCAAAGACTTTGGCTGTGAATTAGAGAGGGTTTTATAGTTTTGGGATAAACAATTTAGCAAAACCCTGATATTCTTTCTTCCTTCATGCATTTATGCATTTAACTGTTTGTTAAAATACTCCTATGTGCAAAGTTTGTCCTAGGAAGTGGGAATTAAATATTGAAAACTCTCTGTTTTCAATAGCTCCAAAAACCACATAACTGGAGCTTTAGGACCCATCTTGTGGCTCCTGGAAAATGAATTTTAAATTGAATCCTGAGAGATTAGTAGGAGTTATCTAGGTGAACAGAGAAGGGTCTCAAGTGAAAAAGCTTCCAGGGAGACAGCAATGTCTGCAGAAGTCTAGAATGAGAAGACGCAGGACCATTCTAGGAGTTCCGAGAAGTTGATTTGGTGAAAGCAAATATGTTAAGTTTTGAAAAAGGACATGGTTGACATAAGGCGAGACCAGAAAAAAAATTTAGAATGTTGAGGTGAAAAAATTATACTGTATTAGTAATTAGTCCCAGAATCCCTGTTAGGAAGGAAGCTTTGGTTACGAACATATCCTAACTTTTAGTCCAGAGGCAAGACTAAGGAGAGTATAATGAAGTAAAGAAAAGAGGACGATGAGTTGCTCTGCATTGGAAATGAACAGGGATCTATGGTTTGGGGACACTGGAAAAATGAGAAAAGGGGAAATAAAAAAGCAGGAATAAAATTATAAAGGGAGGACAAAGGAATTATAAAAACATGGATTTTAAGTTATTTGTTTCACTGTGTTGGAAATGTCCTTTTATAACACCCTAATAATATTCAGTACTAGCTACCACAAAGACAAAAGAGAGAAATGCATTTGTAGTGTTTTGTTTTTATTTGTGGAAATACAAGTTCTATATCTGTTGTCATATCAGGGCAATGATAGAATTGCCTGTCACGGTCAGTACGTAGAGTCAAATGTTATTCAGCAAAGAGAGGATGACTCTAGCACTTGCAGACCCCTTGGAGATGGTATGAGACTTTTCACAGGGCAGTGTGCAGGGATTGGAGCCAATCTTCTAGTTCAAAGGAGCATGGAGTTCCAGCAAACACATAGGGTATGTAGAACTCCAGAAAGTTTGAGACTGATTTAAGGATAATGGGAGTGTTAATGAGGGTAATGCTTGGCTCCATTTGTCATCTGGATACACTGTACCAATGGCTGAGAGGGAGGCAGGACTGAGGCAGAGAGGCCAGTTAGGAAAGCAAGTATGTTGGGTCACTTGCAAAGCCACCATTGATTCTGATGTTCTGGGATGGCTCCCCTGACTGTGATCTCAGTTCACCTGGTTCCAACCTGGGGACACAGACCAAGTACTTAGACCTTAGTCAAAGACATTACCCCTGTCTTAGAGGAGGGAGTGATAGAGTTGGGTGATTATGTGTGTGTTTGCATGTATGCATTGGAGGAGTTTATAAGCATAAAGGGAGCAAGAAATATCAACATGGCTCAAGTGGTTATTCCTCTAAGACCATTTGTGAGTATAAAATTGTGTGTGTGGTTACCCACACAATAAGAAATTGATGAGAACTTAATTGAATCAAATTAGAAATTTACTAGCCCCACATTCTGTAATTCTGCCCTGGCAGAAAAATGGACCTAAATTCAGACTATCGGTCTTAATATGCATCTAATGAAGAAGTTTGAAATAAAGGCAATCTGCTGACTTGGGTGCTTTGAAAAAAGAAAGGACTCAAGTTGGCCATTATTTCTTGTTAATCAACACAGTAGTTAATGAATATAAAATTTACATCCTTGTTACAGTAACATTTAAGTTACATCTTTCAACCCATTTTGTATCTTGTTATCACTCAGTTTTGTTTCTGTCTAAAAATCTACTTGCTAGAAGGGAAAAAGAGCCTTTCTATAATATTAGAAGATTTATTTAAATAGTTCTAAGGACTATGGACTGTAAACTTAAAATTAATAATGTTTGCCAAAGGAAATACCTGTGTTAGAAGACTTGTGAAAGAAACCTTTGTTCTTTCACACAAGAGTTAAGTGTAGCTTGTCATAGGAGGTGGATTTTAGCCATAAATCCTAGTGACACTGATATCATCAATCGAGTCCTAAGTAACTCTACCTGTATAAGAAAATCATGATTTTATTAAAATTACAATGGTAACTAATGACTTCCACAGTTTCCCACAATCACATCAGGCCTTTACCTCCCTTAGTCTACTTGGGCTGCCATTAACTAAATACCATAGAATGGATGTCTTCAACAAAAGACAATTTTTTTTTTTTTTTTTTTTTTTTTTTTGCTGTTCTGGAGCCTGAGAAGCCCAACATCTGAGTGCTAGCATGGGTGAGATCTGGTGTGGCCTCTCCTGCTTTGCAGATGGCTGTCTTCTCTCTGTGTCCTCACACGGTGATGAGATAGAGAGCAAGCTCTTTGGTTTATAGGGGGACCAATCTTGTACAAGGGACCCACCTCCATGAGCCCATCTAAAACAAATTATCTCCCAAAGGCCTCATCTATCATCACATTGAGGATTAGGGCTTCAGCATATTAATTTTGAGGGGCACGATTCAGTCCACAGCCCTCCCTCTGTGCTTGTATCACTGCTTTTTCTTCCTTGCTGTGAATGAACTGAATGGTATGGGCTTTTATCTAAGGACACCCTCTAGCCTTGTGCATAGGCTCTGAAAAGTTCTCCTTGCACAGGGACAACATTGTCGGGACTTAGCCCTTTTTCTCCTCCATGCTCAAATTTCACTTTTCTGTTAGATCAGTTCCAACAGCCTGCACAATACTGTAAATACTTCTATATTGAAGATTAATATAAAAACAAAATAGGCTGGGTGCGGTGGCTCATGCCTATAATCCTAGCAGTTTTGGAGGCAGAGATGGGCAGATCACTTGAGGTCAGCAGTTCGAGACCAGCCTGACCAACATGGTGAAAACTTGTCTCTACTAAAAATACAAAAATTAGCCAGGCATGGTGGCACATGCCTGTAATCCCAGCTACTTGGGAGGCTGAGGCAGGAGAATTGCTTGAACCTGGGAGGCAGAGGTTGCAGTGAGCCCAGATAGCACCACTGCACTCCAGCCTGGATGACAAAGCTAGACTCCGTTTCAAAATAAATAAATAAAATAAAATTTAGGAAACTGTTGACCCTACATCCCCTTCTAACTTACTGTCTAATTTCTTCACTTTTCATTAGAGCCACTCATCTAATGTGTCTATATTCACTATCTCTAACTTCTTTTCTTCCATTCTCTCATTTTTTAAAAATAAATAAGATCATTATACAAAACTCAAACAACATAGGAAAGCAAAGGAAGTCTTGCTTCTATCACTGCCCCACCAAACTCATAATACAAGCCATTTTTTTTTTTTGGTTTCTAATTTCTAATTCTTTCCACTTTTCTAATGCAGACATCAATATACTGTATAGGCTTGTCTGCAGTTTGTTTGTTTTTACTCAGATATACCCAGGAGATTTTCCCACTGTCATTATTTAAAGAATGAGTCCCCAATCCCCAGGCCACAGACTGACAGGTCCTGGTCCGTGGCCTGTTAGGAACTGGGCTGCACAGGTGGAAATGAGCAAAAGCCAGCGGTGATTATTATCACCTGAGCTCCGCCTCTTGTCAGATGAGCCGCGGCATTAGATTCTCATACAAGAGCGAAGCCTATTGTGAACTACGCATGCGTGGGATCTATGTTGGGTATTCCCTGATGATCTGAGGTCGAACAGTTTCCTCTCGAAACAATCCCCACCCCCCAACCCTGTCTGTGGAAAAATTGTCTTTTCCACAAAACTGGTCCCTGGTGCCAAAAGGGTTGGGGACCACTAATTTAAAGAAGTTCTTCATTCTTTAATTTTACAATGGCTGTGAATGGTCATCATTGATTCAACTATTCCTTACTTGCTGGACATTGGGTTGTTGCCATTACAAACAATATCCTAATTAACTCCTTAAACACATGGCATTTGATATTTGCACAGGTGTATGCACAGGCTAGACTCCTAGTAGTAGAATTGTTGGCTCAAAGGGTAAATACATCTATAATTTATTTCATACAATACTGCCAAATTTCCTTCCGTAGGAGTTGCACCATTTTCAAATGTCACAAAGCAACATATAAAAGTATTTATTTTCCTGAAACCTTGCCAGCTGAGTGTATTTTCATATTTTGTATAGATAGATGACAAAAATTGTATTTTCAGTGTTATTTTAATTTGCATTTCTATTATGAATGACATTGAGCACTTTTTCTATGTGGTTAAAGGGCATTAGTATTTCTTTGTTAATTCTCTCTCTGTCCCTCTCTCTCTCTCTCTCTTTATATATATACATATATATGTGTATATTTATATATATATGTGTGTGTGTATATATATATATATATATATATATATGCTTTACTTGCTTTTCTATGAATTGTTGGTTCTTCTCAATTTCTTATAGCTCTCTATATACTAAACAAATTATCCCATTGTCTGGACAACAACATGCAAATCATAAATCCATCTATATTTTGCTTATCTTGAATCTGGCTTCCTAGAACCTTTGGAATTCTGGGAAAACCCCAGATTCAAAAAGAGCTTAGAAACACATATTTTACCACCTCTTGGGAGCTAAAAGTACAGCTCCTTGAGCACTCAGTCATGTAAACATGACTACAAAAAGCCAAAGGTACAAAATCACACATCATGAGTTCTTTCATCAGGTATATCCACTCAGTACCCACCATGGGTGGTCAGGTAGTGCTCTAAGTATCAGAGACTTACAGCCAAACACCCACACCGTAACTCAAGGATTTACACTGGTCACCAAATTGAAGGGCCAGTTAGTAGTTAAAAAAAAAATGGAAAAAAAAGGTAAGAAATACATTGACTGGCTTGCAGTACAAAAAAAAGAAATTATCCTATTGCTGTGATGATGAATTGCATCATCTCCATTATTCTTCGAATTTATTGCAATCAAGTTGTTTGCCCTTATATATACTAAAATTTTCTTTGTCAAGATCAAACATGACTTCTATGTAGCCAATTCTAATATCAATTCTCAGTTCACCACTAAGTGATAAATGGTTTACATGATGGATACCCCAGTTACCCAGATTGGATCATCACACATTGTATGCTTGTATCAAGATATCACATAAATGACACAAATATGTATAACTATTATGTATTCATAAAAATAAAATATTAAAAACTAAATCCCCCACAGAAACTTAAGGTAAAACGATTCCCAGAGTATATGCTGAATGGTCATTATTTATTGTATCTTCAACCCATTTCTGAATCATGCCCAGCTCTTATGTTATAGCACATTTTCATTGCACAACCCCTGTGTCATCCTCTATTGCTAGGATTCTCATTTCATTCATGTTGGAACAGTGACCTAAAGAGCTTAAATGTGCCATTATCAGATCTGCAATGGAGATGAACACTTGCCTATGCAACATCCATCTTTGTTTATAATAAACCACCATTTATATTAAAAGTGATAATCTTCCCAATTAAATATTCCATATTTCCCAATATGATACAGCTGAATCTAGTCCTCTGGGAAAATTTAATCTATGGTATGTTAGAAGTGATGTGTGGGACTTTACCAAAGCTCTTTAAATGGAACTCCTTCAGCTGAGAGTCATGCCCTCCTTGACTTTTCCTCTTTTTGTCTTTCTGCTACCTGGAATGTAAGCATAATGGCTGGAGCTCCAACAGCTGTGTTTGACCATGAGCTGAACTTGTGAGTAAAAGCTATGTTCTAGGACAGGGGTTTCCAAACTTTCTGTAACCGACAAAATAAATATTTTAGGCTTTATAGCCCACACTTGCTCTCTTTCATATTTTTCTATTTTTGCTTGATCTTCTTTTTATATACTCCTTTAAAAAGAAAAATAAAATTTTTAATTTTGCAGTCCCTACAAATGCAGTCTGGGCCAGATATGCCTGTGAGTCCTAATTTACTGAGTCACCTTACTGTAGGATGGTGGGAGAGAAAGATTAGAGAGTGCCTCATGACAGCAGAGCTGGCATGCCAGCCCTATTTTGCGTACCTCCAGACTTCCTTTATGAGAGAGAAATTAATATCCATCGGTTTAAGCTACTGTTACTTTGTGTTTTCTATTATGTGCAGATAAATGAATCCTAACTGATAAATGGCCTTCGAAGGAAATGTACATATTGCCTCTGCCAAGGAACCTTAGAAGACATTATTTTAAGGAGAAATACTATAAATACAAAAGCATGTAAATAGGAGAAAATTTCAAGGGCATATTTACAAGAGAAGGTTGAAGTGAAGAATCTTCTCTGGAGGGTATGGAAAGACGTTTTGATAAATATTATTCCATTGATATGTCAGGTGAAGCTAGTTGATTGCAGTCCTGGGAGTGAGGAGGAGCAGTTTGAACTTGATTCATTAGTTAATAAAGAGCTATTGGACGTTCTTAATCCTAGTGAGGGCATAAGAAAGCCATCATTCGGAAGGAGTCACTTGTCAGTAATATAGTCTGGACTGGAACACGGAAGCTCTATGCTGGTGATCCTGGAGGGCTGAATCTCAAAAGTTTGAAATGACAATAGAAAGAAAAAGTTGATTCTGAGAGATGTTACCAGGTAGGGGCAGAATGAGTGGACTAGCATTTGTTAGATAAATGCATGTAAACGTTGGCAGAGGAGGGAAGAGTTGGCTATATCTGCAGGTAATAAATTTCTGCTCTTATAATGTTTATAACTATTTTTGCTCCCTTGCTTATCTATCTATTATTTTCTATATTGTACACTTATTTCAACAGAACAATTCATGCTTCAACCCTCGAAAAATTGTCATTGGACACAACTTTATACCACTTAGCTGAGTTTCCTAATCTCTTTCAATAAATAGGTAAGCACAGAACCCCAGTTGTAGCTAAAGATTCTTGAATTTATTCAGGTCAATATATTGATTAAGTAATAATAATAATAACTCACAATTTTTAAGAGCATGGTATTTGACAGATGTTACAGACTACATAGATTCTGTGTTGTCTTCATAAGAATCCTATTAGATGGCAGCTGTACACAGTCAGCTTCACCTTCAATATTGTGAAACGGTTGCTTGGAAGAAGCTGTCTAGCCAGGAACTGCATTTCCCTGTATCCACACCATTTTGGTGAATGCTCATGACTGGATTTTACCAATGAATGTGAACAGGAATGTTGTTAATAGCTTCAGGGCTAAAATGGTTATGAAAGTGCAAGAGATGCTCTAAACTGTCTTTCTCTGCTCAAAGAGATTCTAGGGGATCATGAAACAATTATTTGGAGACACCCAGGATCCCAGAGTCAATGCACGGAAAGAGCTATGCATGAGAGCCACCTAACACATGTAAAACTGTGACATACATGAGAAATATACATTAATTCCCTTAAGCCACTGAGATTTTTGAGCCAAGGCTGGCCTACTGTAACTAACACAGTAGGTGTTATTAACATTACCATTTATACAAACAGAAATAAGACTTGGGAAGATCTGCCTAAGACACTAAGTAATAGAGCTGTGATTAGCATTTGAAATATTCAATTTCAGAGCCCATGTTCTTAACCATTGCCCAATATCATCATCTTTTTATATAAATTTGTAAAAGTGGTGATACTGTTTTTTTTAATAAACTAGGAAGAAATTCTAAACTCCTATATTTTGAGGTGTGTTGTTCATGTTCACAAAGCCCCATAGCCAACTAATAAGGTAATATGCATTACTAATGGGTAATATGCATTCTACATTAAAAATGGCATTTGCTTTAAGGAATTCAATGATCTAGGATTTAAATATTTTGTTCCAAGTTTAACTGATAATTCCCCCCAAGCTTTTCTCATTGGCACAATAATATGGCTTAGGGGAAAGTATGAAGGCTGAGTAATCAGAACTGCTTGGATCAGAACATGACCTCTTCGGCCTTGAGTAAGACATGTAACCTCGCTGAGGCTTCGTTTTACTCTCTGCAAAAGACAGTTAACATCACCAGCTTTTTAGGATAATTCTAAATATTAGAAATAATGCTGGAAATCTTAATAAATCACTCAGTACACATAGACAGTAATTTAATTCAATCAAGAACTATGTATTTAAATGTCTACTATAATGCATGCCAGACATTGTTGAGGCTCCAAAGATACAATAAACAAAACAGACAAAAATCCTCACCTATTTGCATTCAATGTATTCTTTTTTTTTTTTCTTTCTAACAGTTCATAATAAAAGAAACCAATATTAAGGCACTTTCAATTCTGATCAAGATGGAGTAACAGGGACAAGATTTACATTCCCATCCGAAACAACAACAACCAAACAGGCAAAATATATTAGACAATAGTTTAGGAAACACTGGCCATTAGGTAAAATAGATAGTGATCTCGGAGATACCTGGAATGAATGAGATGAGCCCTACAATTGCCCAAGCAATTATGAGACAAGGAAGAATGCAAAATGAGATTGGAAAATATTTTAAATAAAAAATAAAAACACATGATATCAAAATAGCAGGATTCTACTAATGCAATATGTACACAGAAATTGAATCACTAAATATCTATGTTCGATAGCAAAAAAGATATCAAATCAATAGCCTTAACTTCTACCTTAACAATAACATTTAATTAGAAAAAGAAGAGTAAATTAAATCCCCTGTAAGCAAAAGGTAATGATATTAATCAGAGCAGAAAACAGTAAAATAGAAACAGAAAACAATAGAAAAAATAAATGAAACCAAAATGTAGTTCTTTTAAAAAAGTCAATACAATCAATAAACCTCTAGCCAGGCTAATCAGAAAAAAAGAGAGAAAATACAAATTATCAGCATCAAGAAAGAAGGGACATAACTACAAATTTTTCTGATAGTAGAGAATAATATAGAAACATTGTGAAAAAAAAACACGCATGTGAAATGAACAATTTTCATGAAAGATAAAAACAACCAAATTTTACTCAGGAAGAAATAGGTACTCTAAATAACCCTGTATCTGTTAAACACATTAAAGTTACAGTTAAAAAATTTCTCACAAGGAATGTTCTAGGCCCAGATGGTTTTGCCTTCGATTCTACCAAACATACAACGGGGAGATTATACAAATTCAAAGCAAATTCTTCCTGAAGACAAAAGAAGGAAGACTTCCACAAATATTCTATGAGCCAGCATTACCCCAGTATCAAAGCCAGGGAAAGGCGTTACAAATAAAAAAAAATACAGAGTAATATCTCTGATGACCATTGGTGCAAAATTTCTAAAGAAAATGCCAGCAAATCAAATCTAACAGTGTATAAAATGATAATGCATTATGATCAAGTGGGGCTTATCTCAGGAATGCAGTTAGTTTAACTTTAGAAAATCAGTGTCTGTAATTTACAATATTAACAAACTAAAAAAGTGATTATTTCAATAGATACTGAAAAAGAATTTGACAAAACTGCAATGTGAATTCCTGACAAACACTCTCAGCAAATCAAGAACAAAAGGAAACTTCCTCAGTGTGATAAAAAGCATCTTTTAAAAACTTACAGCTAATTTAATGGTTATATTTAAAAAACTTAATATTTTCCCTCTAATATCATGATTATGAGAAGTTATCTACTCTTACCTGTTCGAATTGTATAGTGCAGATTCTAGCCAGTGCAACAACAAAAAAAAGAAATACAGTATTGAGCATGAAGAAGATATATTTATTTAAAGATGACAGAACTGTCTATGTATAAATTCCAATGAAATCTACATAAATATCTAATAGAAATAATTGCATGCAGTGAGACTGCAGCATACAATATCAATATAAAAATAACTTCCATTAAATTGAAATTAAATATTATTTATAATAGCTTCATAAATTGATAACTTAGTAAAGTTATCAATTTTCCCCAAATTGATTTACAGAGTCAATAAAATCCAAACCAAACTCACAGCGGGCATTGTTTATTTGGTAGAAATCAACAAGCTGATTTGAAATTAATGTGGAAATCCAATGAATCTAGACTAGCCAGGGAAATTTTAAAAGAAAAGAAAGAACAAAGTTGGAGGAATAACAGTGCCAGAATTCAAGACTGATTATAAAGCTACAATTATTAATATAGTGTGTGTCATTGGTGTAATAAAAGACAAGTTAATCAATGGAATAGAAATGGACCCATGAATATGTAGAATATTGATTTTTAATAATGCTATAGGCTAAGCAATGGAGGAAAATATCGTATTTTTAGAAAATTATACTAAAGATATGTTTGAGGGGGAGGAGCCAAGATGGCCGAATAGGAACAGCTCCGGTCTACAGCTCCCAGCGTGAGCGACGCAGAAGACGGTGATTTCTGCATTTCCATCTGAGGTACCGGGTTCATCTCACTAGGGAGTGCCAGACAGTGGGCGCAGGCCAGTGTGTGTGCGCACCGTGCGCGAGCCGAAGCAGGGCGAGGCATTGCCTCACCTGGGAAGCGCAAGGGGTCAGGGAGTTCCCTTTCCGAGTCAAAGAAAGGGGTGACGGACGCACCTGGAAAATCGGGTCACTCCCACCCGAATATTGCGCTTTTCAGACCGGCTTAAGAAACGGCGCACCACGAGACTATATCCCACACCTGGCTCGGAGGGTCCTACGCCCACGGAATCTCGCTGATTGCTAGCACAGCAGTCTGAGATCAAACTGCAAGGCGGCAACGAGGCTGGGGGAGGGGCGCCCGCCATTGCCCAGGCTTGCTTAGGTAAACAAAGCAGCCGGGAAGCTCGAACTGGGTGGAGCCCACCACAGCTCAAGGAGGCCTGCCTGCCTCTGTAGGCTCCACCTCTGGGGGCAGGGCACAGACAAACAAAAAGACAGCAGTAACCTCTGCAGACTTAAGTGTCCCTGTCTGACAGCTTTGAAGAGAGCAGTGGTTCTCCCAGCACGCAGCCGGAGATCTGAGAACGGGCAGACTGCCTCCTCAAGTGGGTCCCTGACTCCTGACCCCCGAGCAGCCTAACTGGGAGGCACCCCCCAGCAGGGGCACACTGACACCTCACACGGCAGGGTATTCCAACAGACCTGCAGCTGAGGGTCCTGTCTGTTAGAAGGAAAACTAACAACCAGAAAGGACATCTACACCGAAAACCCATCTGTACATCACCATCATCAAAGACCAAAAGTAGATAAAACCACAAAGATGGGGAAAAAACAGAACAGAAAAACTGGAAACTCTAAAACGCAGAGCGCCTCTCCTCCTCCAAAGGAACGCAGTTCCTCACCAGCAACAGAACAAAGCTGGATGGAGAATGATTTTGATGAGCTGAGAGAAGAAGGCTTCAGACGATCAAATTACTCTGAGCTACGGGAGGACATTCAAACCAAAGGCAAAGAAGTTGAAAACTTTGAAAAAAATTTAGAAGAATGTATAACTAGAATAACCAATACAGAGAAGTGCTTAAAGGAGCTGATGGAGCTGAAAACCAAGGCTCGAGAACTACGTGAAGAATGCAGAAGCCTCAGGAGCCGATGTGATCAACTGGAAGAAAGGGTATCAGCAATGGAAGATGAAATGAATGAAATGAAGCGAGAAGGGAAGTTTAGAGAAAAAAGAATAAAAAGAAATGAGCAAAGCCTCCAAGAAATATGGGACTATGTGAAAAGACCAAATCTACGTCTGATTGGTGTACCTGAAAGTGATGTGGAGAATGGAACCAAGTTGGAAAACACTCTGCAGGATATTATCCAGGAGAACTTCCCCAATCTAGCAAGGCAGGCCAACGTTCAGATTCAGGAAATACAGAGAACGCCACAAAGATACTCCTCGAGAAGAGCAACTCCAAGACACATAATTGTCAGATTCACCAAAGTTGAAATGAAGGAAAAAATGTTAAGGGCAGCCAGAGAGAAAGGTCGGGTTACCCTCAAAGGAAAGCCCATCAGACTAACAGCGGATCTCTCGGCAGAAACCCTACAAGCCAGAAGAGAGTGGGGGCCAATATTCAACATTCTTAAAGAAAAGAATTTTCAACCCAGAATTTCATATCCAGCCAAACTAAGCTTCATAAGTGAAGGAGAAATAAAATACTTTATAGACAAGCAAATGTTGAGAGATTTTGTCACCACCAGGCCTGCCCTAAAAGAGCTCCTGAAGGAAGCGCTAAACATGGAAAGGAACAACCGGTACCAGCCGCTGCAAAACCATGCCAAAATGTAAAGACCATCGAGACTAGGAAGAAACTGCATCAACTAATGAGCAAAATCACCAGCTAACATCATAATGACAGGATCAAATTCACACATAACAATATTAACTTTAAATATAAATGGACTAAATTCTGCAATTAAAAGACACAGACTGGCAAGTTGGATAAAGAGTCAAGACCCATCAGTGTGCTGTATTCAGGAAACCCATCTCACGTGCAGAGACACACATAGGCTCAAAATAAAAGGATGGAGGAAGATCTACCAAGCCAATGGAAAACAAAAAAAGGCAGGGGTTGCAATCCTAGTCTCTGATAAAACAGACTTTAAACCAACAAAGATCAAAAGAGACAAAGAAGGCCATTACATAATGGTAAAGGGATCAATTCAACAAGAGGAGCTAACTATCCTAAATATTTATGCACCCAATACAGGAGCACCCAGATTCATAAAGCAAGTCCTCAGTGACCTACAAAGAGACTTAGACTCCCACACATTAATAATGGGAGACTTTAACACCCCACTGTCAACATTAGACAGATCAACGAGACAGAAAGTCAACAAGGATACCCAGGAATTGAACTCAGCTCTGCACCAAGCAGACCTAATAGACATCTACAGAACTCTCCACCCCAAATCAACAGAATATACATTTTTTTCAGCACCACACCACACCTATTCCAAAATTGACCACATAGTTGGAAGTAAAGCTCTCCTCAGCAAATGTAAAAGAACAGAAATTATAACAAACTATCTCTCAGACCACAGTGCAATCAAACTAGAACTCAGGATTAAGAATCTCACTCAAAGCCGCTCAACTACATGGAAACTGAACAACCTGCTCCTGAATGACTACTGGGTACATAACGAAATGAAGGCAGAAATAAAGATGTTCTTTGAAACCAACGAGAACAAAGACACCACATACCAGAATCTCTGGGACGCATTCAAAGCAGTGTGTAGAGGGAAATTTATAGCACTAAATGCCTACAAGAGAAAGCAGGAAAGATCCAAAATTGACACCCTAACATCACAATTAAAAGAACTAGAAAAGCAAGAGCAAACACATTCAAAAGCTAGCAGAAGGCAAGAAATAACTAAAATCAGAGCAGAACTGAAGGAAATAGAGACACAAAAAACCCTTCAAAAAATCAATGAATCCAGGAGCTGGTTTTTTGAAAGGATCAACAAAATTGATAGACCGCTAGCAAGACTAATAAAGAAAAAAAGAGAGAAGAATCAAATAGACACAATAAAAAATGATAAAGGGGATATCACCACCGATCCCACAGAAATACAAACTACCATCAGAGAATACTACAAACACCTCTACGCAAATAAACTAGAAAATCTAGAAGAAATGGATACATTCCTCGACACATACACTCTCCCAAGACTAAACCAGGAAGAAGTTGAATCTCTGAATCGACCAATAACAGGCTCTGAAATTGTGGCAATAATCAATAGTTTACCAACCAAAAAGAGTCCAGGACCAGATGGATTCACAGCCGAATTCTACCAGAGGTACAAGGAGGAACTGGTACCATTCCTTCTGAAACTATTCCAATCAATAGAAAAAGAGGGAATCCTCCCTAACTCATTTTATGAGGCCAGCATCATTCTGATACCAAAGCCGGGCAGAGACACAACCAAAAAAGAGAATTTTAGACCAATATCCTTGATGAACATTGATGCAAAAATCCTCAATAAAATACTGGCAAACCGAATCCAGCAGCACATCAAAAAGCTTATCCACCATGATCAAGTGGGCTTCATCCCTGGGATGCAAGGCTGGTTCAATATACGCAAATCAATAAATGTAATCCAGCATATAAACAGAGCCAAAGACAAAAACCACATGATTATCTCAATAGATGCAGAAAAAGCCTTTGACAAAATTCAACAACCCTTCATGCTAAAAACTCTCAATAAACTAGGTATTGATGGGACGTATTTCAAAATAATAAGAGCTATCTATGACAAACCCACAGCCAATATCATACTGAATGGGCAAAAACTGGAAGCATTCCCTTTGAAAACCGGCACAAGACAGGGATGCCCTCTCTCACCGCTCCTATTCAACATAGTTTTGGAAGTTCTGGCCAGGGCAATCAGGCAGGAGAAGGAAATAAAGGGTATTCAATTAGGAAAAGAGGAAGTCAAATTGTCCCTGTTTGCAGACGACATGATTGTTTATCTAGAAAACCCCATCGTCTCAGCCCAAAATCTCCTTAAGCTGATAAGCAACTTCAGCAAAGTCTCAGGATACAAAATCAATGTACAAAAATCACAAGCATTCTTATACACCAACAACAGACAAACAGAGAGCCAAATCATGGGTGAACTCCCATTCACAATTGCTTCAAAGAGAATAAAATACCTAGGAATCCAACTTACAAGGGATGTGAAGGACCTCTTCAAGGAGAACTACAAACCACTGCTCAAGGAAATAAAAGAGGAGACAAACAAATGGAAGAACATTCCATGCTCATGGGTAGGAAGAATCAATATCGTGAAAATGGCCATACTGCCCAAGGTAATTTACAGATTCAATGCCATCCCCATCAAGCTACCAATGACTTTCTTCACAGAATTGGAAAAAACTACTTTAAAGTTCATATGGAACCAAAAAAGAGCCCTCATTGCCAAGTCAATCCTAAGCCAAAAGAACAAAGCTGGAGGCATCACACTACCTGACTTCAAACTATACTACAAGGCTACAGTAACCAAAACAGCATGGTACTGGTACCAAAACAGAGATATAGATCAATGGAACAGAACAGAGCCCTCAGAAATAATGCCGCATATCTACAACTATCTGATCTTTGACAAACCTGAGAAAAACAAGCAATGGGGAAAGGATTCCCTATTTAATAAATGGTGCTGGGAAAACTGGCTAGCCATATGTAGAAAGCTGAAACTGGATCCCTTCCTTACACCTTATACAAAAATCAATTCAAGATGGATTAAAGATTTAAACGTTAAACCTAAAACCATAAAAACCCTAGAAGAAAACCTAGGCATTACCATTCAGGACATAGGCGTGGGCAAGGACTTCATGTCCAAAACACCAAAAGCAATGGCAACAAAAGACAAAATTGACAAATGGGATCTAATTAAACTAAAGAGCTTCTGCACAGCAAAAGAAACTACCATCAGAGTGAACAGGCAACCTACAACATGGGAGAAAATTTTTGCAACCTACTCATCTGACAAAGGGCTAATATCCAGAATCTACAATGAACTCAAACAAATTTACAAGAAAAAAACAAACAACCCCATCAAAAAGTGGGCGAAGGACATGAACAGACACTTCTCAAAAGAAGACATTTATGCAGCCAAAAAACACATGAAGAAATGCTCATCATCACTGGCCATCAGAGAAATGCAAATCAAAACCACTATGAGATATCATCTCACACCAGTTAGAATGGCAATCATTAAAAAGTCAGGAAACAACAGGTGCTGGAGAGGATGCGGAGAAATAGGAACACTTTTACACTGTTGGTGGGACTGTAAACTAGTTCAACCATTGTGGAAGTCAGTGTGGCGATTCCTCAGGGATCTAGAACTAGAAATACCATTTGACCCAGCCATCCCATTACTGGGTATATACCCAAATGAGTATAAATCATGCTGCTATAAAGACACATGCACACGTATGTTTATTGCGGCACTATTCACAATAGCAAAGACTTGGAACCAACCCAAATGTCCAACAATGATAGACTGGATTAAGAAAATGTGGCACATATACACCATGGAATACTATGCAGCCATAAAAAATGATGAGTTCATATCCTTTGTAGGGACATGGATGAAATTGGAAACCATCATTCTCAGTAAACTATCGCAAGAACAAAAAACCAAACACCGCATATTCTCACTCATAGGTGGGAATTGAACAATGAGATCACATGGACACAGGAAGGGGAATATCACACTCTGGGGACTGTGGTGGGGTCGGGGGAGGGGGGAGGGATAGCATTGGGAGATATACCTAATGCTAGATGACACATTAGTGGGTGCAGCGCACCAGCATGGCACATGTATACATATGTAACTAACCTGCACAATGTGCACATGTACCCTAAAACTTAGAGTATAATAAAAAAAAAAAAAAAAAAAAAATCATATGTTTGAAAGCATCAAAAAAAAAAAAAAAAAAAAAAAAAAGAAAATTATACTAAAAATTAGGTATTCAAATGAAAATTATTTAATTCATACCTCACACCATGTACAAAAATTAACTCAAAATGCATCATAGATCTAAATATAAAATGATACAACTTCTAGAAAACAAGGAAAAAAATCTTAGTACTCTTGGATTAGGCAAAGGTTTTCTAGATATGAGACCAAAAACATAATCCATAAAAAAATTAAGTGGGACTCCATTAAATTTGAAAATTCTGGTCTTTTAAAGACACTGACAGGAAAATATAGTTATATAGCTAATATGGGGGAGGGAGTGGTATGGATTGAATGTTTGTGTCCTCTCTAAAATTCATGTTAAAACTAAATTTCCAATGCAGCAGCATTAAGAGGTGCGGCCTTTAAGAGATGACTTGGCCATGCTGGCTCTGCCTTCATCAATAAATTCCTGCCTTAGAAAAGTCTTGAGAGCGTGAGTTTACCTCTACTGTCCCTTCCACCTTGGGAGGACACAGTATTTATTCCTCTGGAGCATGCAGGAACAGGGCACCATCTTGGAAGCAGAAAACAGCCCTTACCAGACACTGAACCTGCAGACACCTTGATCTTAGACTTTTCAACCTCCAGAACTGTGAGCAATATATTTATGCTATTTATAAATTACCCAGTCTAAGGTTTTTTGTTATAGCATCACAAATGAACTAAGACAGGAAGAGGAGAAAACTTGTACTTAGAATATGTGAAGTGCTCTCAAAACTGAATAATAAGAAAATAAACAACCTATTTAAAGAATGGACAAGAGTTTGAGCAGACACTTCCACCAACAAAGATGTACAAAGGGCAAATAAGCACAAAGAAAGATACTCCATATATTAGTCATGAAGAAAATGCAAATTCAACCATAATGAGATACTGTTACACTCCTGGTAAACTGACTAAGTTAATATTCTGATCATACCAAGTATGGTGAGGAGGTGGAGTGACAGGAATGCTCACAAGTGCTAGTGGTAAAGTAGTTTATCTGTCTTCTAAAAAGTTAAACATGCACCTACAATATGACCCATTTATCTTACTCCTAGGGATTTACTCAAGAGAACAGAAAGCATATAGACATACAAAGGCTTGTCCACAAATATTCATAACAGCATTATTCATAATAGCCCCAAAGTGGAACAACCCAAATGCCCAACAAGAAGTGAGTGGATGGCCTGGTGCGGTGGCTCACGCCTGTAAACCCAGCACTTTGGGAGGCCAAGGCGGGCGGATCACTTGAGGTCAGGAGTTCAAAACCAGCCTTGCCAACATGGCAAAACCCCGTCTCTGCTAAAAATACAAAAATTAGCCGGGTGTAGTGGCAGGTGCCTCTAATCCCAGCTACTTGGGAGGCTGAGGCAAGAGAATCGCTTGAACCTGGGAGGTGGAGGTTGCAGTGAGCTGAGATCACGCCATTGCACTCCAGCCTGGGGGACAGAGCTACACTCCATCTCAAAAAAAAAAAAAAAAAAAAAAAAAAGAAGTGAGTGGATGGATGGATGGATAAGCAAACTGTTGTACATTTCTATAATGGTATACTATTTAGCATTAAAGTGGAATGAAATATTGATGTGCACAGCAAAACATCTCAAAATAATTATATATAAGAAGCCAGATAAAAGGGTACACATTGTGTGATCCTATTTATGTAAAATTGTCAAAACAGAAAAAAACCCACAACACCTCATGTAGAAAACAGACCCATGTTTTCCTGGGGAAGGTGGTGAGGAGGGCTGGGAGAAACAAGAGAAAGTTCCAGGGATGATAGATATATATGTTCACTACTTTGATTAGAATTATTTTACGAGTCTATACATATACCAAAACTTAGATACTTTAAATATGTACAATTTGTTGTATGTCAAGTATAGCTTACTTTAAAAATGTAAAACTATAAGACAAAAAGAATTATCATTTAGAATTTTTTACTGAATCAAAATATTTTGCAGATGCATCGAATTCTCTGCTTCCTATCATTTAGTCAACCATTTGCAGAGGCCTAGAGATAGTTTTGGCATGGAATAGATAGTGTCTTTTCATTTAGCATGGCTAACATTTAACTTAAAAATTGTAAAGATACTAACAGATTAGAAGTTAAATGCTTATTCGCTGATAACATCTTCAACATTGAGATTCAAAGCATTGTGCCCCTTAAAGATTAGTTCACCACTGGCCATCAGTAGCCACTTTTATTTAATTATATTTATAAAATTTAAATGAATCAATGCTCTTGCCTAAGAAAATTATACCCAGGAGTACAGAATGAAAAATGAAAGTCCTCCTGCTCATTTTTCATTTCTAAGTACTTCTTCACGATTAACAATGAGAGCAAGGTTGACAAAGATGATGAACTGCCATTTCTAATCCTTCCTGGCAATTGCATTCACTTATTTTCTTTTGTGAACAGGAAAGTACTTGGAGAGAAATTATACAGTGATTCATGGTTCTGGGGAAGGCTGCTGATATTTTGATCAGGCCACCTCAGTGCCCTCAGGAAATCAAAGTGTCCTATCACTCTGTATCCATTATCATTACAAAGATGGTCTGCTTTTAAACCATCTTGATTTCCAGGTAGTAAATGATTTTTTAAATAAAAGGTGTTTCTAAAAGTATTCATTTGTACTTTTTCTTCATCAAAAGAGTATTATTTTTATTTTAGGAAAGAACAACTGGAGAGAAAGAGAGAAAGGCTTCTTGCATCCCCATTTTATTTGCTTTTAATCGTTGCCTTTACCCCAGGCTTCTTGGTAATGTGATGGTGTTAACTAGGAGTCCTTATCTCTGGGGCAATGACCACAAAAGGAAAGTTTAGTAGTAGTGTCAGGGAACCACAAGTTTCAGACTTTAGTAGCTGTCCATGAAGATTGTTTAGCTCTATCCAACACTTTCTGCAACTTGATGGCCATAGTTTCCTGAGTCTGAGTCTTTAGTGCACCAAAAAGAAGTATCCATACCTGGAAAAGTTTCTGTTAGGCACAGGTATGCAGATTCTTTCTTTAACCATAGGCTAGATAGGCTATGGAAATGGATATGCAAATAAAGGACAGCTTTACCGAAACTATCTAAATTTTTCTCTTATATCCAAAGATCTGTTATCCTAGGGTAGCTGGAGTCCTAATTTCCAAAATTTTCAGAAAAGAACTCAACAACCAAAGAAAGATTAGGGAGATAACTAGTATCTACTGAGTCCCCACTATATGCTCACACAGAAACTTATATTTGTAAATCTTATATCTCAAGGCCACATTAGTCTGGAAAAAAATAAAGTGGGGTCAAGACAAGAACTAGCAACAGCATATCTGCCTCTGCCTTCACTGTCTCTTGTAGGATCTCTACACTATCTTCTTTAAACATGATTTGCTAGCAGTTCTGGGAGTCCTCTGGTGTAGCTCAAAGATGCTCACAGAGAGCATCCTCTCAGTATCTCGAAGCATCTGCCAATTCCTTCCTCCTGGCTTATCAGTCTTTGATCTATGACGGCTATCAGACCTGCTGAAAGTCATGAAACAGCTAAACTACTTCCACTCTGCCAATAGCCCTAGGGATGTTGCATTCACAGGTACATTTATTTAAAAATTCTCCCTGTGAAGAGTTGATGTACGTGCATGTTAAGTCAACCTATAGCTACAGCTTTGAACAGTTATGGCTCTCTAATCAGGAATTAAAACTCTATTTTGTTGTTGTTGTTGTTGCTGAGACAGGGTGAAGTGCAGGCTGGAGTGCAGTGGCATGATCATGGCTCACTGCAGCCTTGACCTCCTGGGCTCAAGTGATCCTCCTGCCTCAGCCTCCTAAGTAGCGAGGACTGTAGGTTGGCACCACCATGCCCAGCTAATTTTTTATTTTGTGCTGAGACGGGGCCCTTCTATGATGCCCAGGCTGGTTTGGAGCTCCTGGGCTCAAGCAACCCTCCCTCCTCAGCCTCCCAAAGTGCTGAGATTACAGGTGTGTAATCTCACCACACCCAGGCTGAATTAAAACTCTAGAGATGGTTACTTAAGCACTTAATAGTGTTATCAGAAGTTGTGCCAGAGGGTTTACTGGCAAAAATAGATATTAGAAATAAGTTTTAATTGAGTAAATGAGGTTCTAATGCTACCAAATTCAGTCACAGTCTTGGAAATTCTCTATTTGGTTTTGTTTGGGTTTCATATGTATGTAGTCATACTTTATATTTGTGTGTGTGTGTGTGTGTGTGTGTGTGTGTGTGTGTGTGTGTGTTTTATAGTGCAGCCCTCTCCTTAGGCTTCTGATATGAGAACCTGGGCCTGAACAGAAGGACATCAGAATGGTTCGTCCCAATTAGTACTCAAACACTCCCAGCCTTTGGTCCTGATTTTCTGTATTCACAATCTTTTGTGCAATCTCTACTTTGTATTACCTTAACAGAGTTATTTCCCATAATAATTTCTTTTCTCTTAAGCTTTAGACCTCTGTTAGGCCCATTCTATAATGCCCACACATGTTTATACCAAAGAAGAACACTCCTATTTCTGTGGAAAGACAAATTAAACTTCTGTCTATCAGAGCCTTAGTAAATAGAAGTTCAAAAAGCAGAGTTTTTATAGGAAAAGAAGGAATCTTGAGATTAAAGTGCATTCAAGGAAACACCAAATTATATTTAGTAGAGCTTTACCAGAGATTTATTTTTGGAAATTGTTCTGATAGTCAAACTAGATAGTAGATTCCCCATTCACGGAGTTCTATGTGGAAATACTCAAAATTATAGGTTAAGCATGGTAGATCTTTCATTAGCATCAATTTTACCAAGCTATTTTTGCCAGGATAAAGGGAAGTATTTTTATATAAGTAAAAATAGTGTACTACTGAATAATAAACATAATTTGCTTCGGTTTCTAACAGAAGTCTTTGAAGAAATGTTGTTTTCTTGGTTAGCCATTTAGTGTAAGGCCCCAGACTTTTCTGGAAAATTTAGGTAAGCACTAAAAAGCAATATTTGGGATTGTCAGCAAACATTAAATCACTGTATCTAAATATGAATCTTCTATATTTTAATTTTAACCATGATCCCTGCAATTTGAAGTGAGGTAAGAGGAAGAGAAGGAAAGATCATCCATTTTAAAGAACAAAGAGGCCAAAACAAGCAATATCATAATAAATGTAGCATAGAATTATAGAGAAACCTGAATTGAATTACATTGTGATTGCTCAGTATTATATCACAGTCATATGTATTTTAAGATGAATTGCTGGGGTTTTAATTAACATGTAGGAAATAAAACAGTGGAAAATAATTTTAAACATATTTATAACATATATGATAATACACCTGCTTTTAATAAGTCAGCTGAATTACATTTTTGTATGTAAAAGTTAATTTTCCTATTTCATAGATATGGAAGTTTGATTTGTTTTCTAATTTTTCTTTAACTCCTTGCATTAGATGAATCCTATATCTCCAAGTACTATATTTAGTCAAGTAGATTTCCTTTTTAAGTGAAAAATGGGTTTTGAGATAGAAAAGAGCTTTGCCTTAATATGCCAATTATACAGCTCTTTTTAACTCTAACTTGTAGTCTGAGAGATGGTAAGATTTTTCAGTTCAGTTGCTCTCAACAACTGAGATATTGACTGACTCAAGTTTGAGTTACAAATAAATCTACATAAAAACTTTCACTTTATTGATTCTTTTCAAAAACTTCTAATTATGCTTTCAGGTGGTTAAATGGCAAAATCTAACTGCATCTATGACAAAGTGAGCTATATTAAAACTGTGGGATAAAGGAGAAAATGACTACTAACCAGTGGGCAACTGTCAACAATACTTCCCTAAAACAACTGTTGACAAGCTGCTAGACAAATGTCAACTTAGATGAGTTCAATAAAAGTAGATCCTGCAGAATGAGAGGGAGTCCCTGTGTTGGCAGAGAGGAGCCTGTCTTTGTTAGAGACAGAATACTAAAACTGTGCTGATCTTGGGTGGCTGTACCCAAGAATTCATCCTTTCACTGGACAGTTTCCAAGTTATTGTACTTTATAAAATAATTGGCATTATCATGTTTCCATATACTAAGTCAATATAAGTGCATTTTCAGAACAGCGATGGGATCAGATTTCACTCAGAATCCCTCTGTCAGAAGAATCCAGAACTCACAAAATCCTATTGTTCCAATTAAGAACATGGATTTGGGAACACCTGGATTTGAATCCTGCCCTTCTTTTTAGCTTGGTGACCTTGGCCAAGTCACCAAGTGATCCTTTATTTGTAGAATAGGAATAGTCATAGTTAGCTCCATGTTGCCCGGGAAGAATAAATGTAGTGACATGTGTGTGAGATCTTAGTAGAGCACATGGACTCAGCACTTGCTCAGTTCATGGTAGCTCTCAACAGCCTCCAAGACACAAGGAGTCAGCTGACATTTCTATAAATACTTGTCTCAGCTCTTGGGCAAGTGGGAACTTGTGTTCTACAAACTCTGATCATTGAATCGATAGGATTTCACTTAGCATAGTTCTTTAACTTTCCTAGGAGCCAACATCTACTGAGCACTTACCATGTAACAGGCTCTATTCTGATGTTGTTTTGTTTTGTTTTGTTTTGAGACAGAGTCTCACTCTGTTGCCAAGGCTGCAGTGCAGTGGCGTGATCTTGGCTCACTGCAACCTCTGCCTCCCGGGTTCAAGCAATTCTCCTGCCTCAGCCTCCCGAGTAGCTGGGATTATAGGTATGCGCCACCATGCCTGGATGGCTAATTTTTGTATTTTTAGTAGAGAAGGGGTTTCACCACATTGGCCAGTCTGGTCTCAAACACCTGACCTCAAGCAATCCGCCGGCCTTGACCTCCCAAAGTGCTGGGATTACAGGCATGAGCCACTGTGCCCAGCCTATTCTGAATGTTTTAACTGAATTAATCCATTTAATACTGATATGAACTGTGTGAGATAGAAAGTAACCTTATTTTACAGAGAAAAATAAAATTATGTTATAGGATTGCCTTGTATTGAAAAACTAGTGGGGGGAAGAGATGGGATTGAAATGAAAATAATCTAACACATAAACTTGTGTCTTTATTGCTACTTTTATTGCCTCTCCTACTGAGATGTAATGTCCCTAAGGAAAGGATGATTTTGAATGTTTTGATGTCCTCCAAGCACTTGACATGTTGTCCTGGCACAGCATGCATGTTGTTCTTTAGGGATCTCCCAATTTATTTGAGGAGATTCAATGTGCAAGGATGGTAAAACATAATGGCATTTATAAAGCCCCACTCTGGTCCAAGTATTGGATTCGGTGGCTTATTGGCCTCATTTTATCCTCAAACTGACTTTGAACCATAGGTGTGCTTACCCTTATCTATAAGTCAATCAGGCTTCCCAGGTATCATACAGACCCCACTCCGGTGTGTTTAAACAGAAATGGAATTCATTAAAGGTAGTTCTGAGAATTTCTAAGTGAGCTGGAGCATCATACTCAGATGATTCTTGGTCAAGTTCAGTGCCCAACCTCATCCCCAGGACTGCATACGGAAGCGGCACTACAGCTCGTATGGCTAACGCTGAACATTGAAATCACTGACACTGTTTTTCTTGGCATCTGCTGGCTTTACCACAACCCTTGCCAGGAAATAGATTCTGTTTCCTCACTTCCAAATTGAAGTCTTCCAAGAGCGCATCTGATTGATGGAGGCTTAGGTCAAACATCTGCCTTAACTGCAAGGGAAGCTGAAAAAAGTGTGTGAATTTAAATTCAGAGAAGCAAGACTTGTAAACTGAGGGAATTTCCTGATTACAGGAAAGATATTAAAAAGTGCTAGGTTTGGGGGAAAAAAAACCACTTTGTAAATATCCACTACACTTCCATTTTACAGATGAGAAGACTAAAGCTCATAGGTTAGATCACTGAGTGCATATCACGTGAGTAGTAAGCAGAAGACTGAGCATATAGAGGCAGACCTGTCTCCCCACACAAAGAAATAACAAAGCGATGAGAGGTTTCAACAGTCAATAGCAGAGCAGTTCAGGGGAGGAAGGCTCCCTTCCGGGTGCGGTGATCACAAAAGGCCCAAGCAAAGTAACATCATTTGGACAGCTCCCTAGAATCCTCATCTCAAGGCTGTAAGAAAAATCTTAGGAATGATTTAGTGCACATTCTTCATTCCACGGAGGAGGAAACTGAGGCTTGTAGAAAAGAATTGCTCTGCCCAAGGTCATAGCCTCTTTGTGGCAAGTAGCTGAAAACCCAAACCCGTGACAGTAGGTCCAGTGCTCTCTGCAGCAAGCCGTGGACCCCACCTGCTAAATCACATCTCTGGCAGAACTGTCGGGCAGACTTTCTTTGAATTGACAAACAGAATGGGAGAGAAAGTCACGTGCTTCAGTCAAAGCAAAAAAGAAAAGCTTTTATTCTGTATGTGGTTTCTCATAGAATACTTCTCGCCCAGCTGCGCCCAAGTAGGTAAAAGGCTCTTGCTTATGCTAAGGAGCCTTTCTTATCTCTGCACACCCCACTCCTTTCCTGCTAATACCAAGTACAGAAGGCAATGAAAGAAAAGGTCACCTGCCTTCCTCCTAATGGGACACTGATGTTTTTAAGTGCTCACGTGATCTGTCCCAGAAAATGTCAAATTGTTCCCTTATAACTCTAAGTTGGCGGTTAGTTGAGTGGCTCTGTTGTCCAGACAATGGATCCACTCAATTTTTGCCTCTCATTTGAACACCCACATTTAAAAAAACTTGGGAAGAAAATAATGGAAAAGTTGACCTCTCAGTTTTCCGGAAAAGGTGACCATACAAATGTGTCTTTTCTGGCTGTAGGCTTTATGAAACTTCTGAGAAGAAGCGTGGTATTTTAGATAAAAACAAGGGTTTGGTTGTTAGACTGTCCTGTGGTTGAAATTCAGCTCTATCCTTGCTGGTGTGTGATCTTGGACAAAAGACTTAAACTTCCTGAGACTCAGTTTGTATGCAAAATGAGAATAATTATAAATTTGTAGGGGATTAGAAATAATGCAGATTCTTGACATTTATTATGGACTTGTTATACATGAAGGATTATTAGTTTCACTCTTTATTTCATTAACTACTTTGACTTAAGCTGGTCTCTTTGATGAACTTTCATTGACTCTCTGGTACTTGACATTTGTATAATATTACTTTCAAAAATGCATTAGTAGGCTGGGCGCAGTGGCTCATGCCTATAATCTCAGCACTTTGGGAGGCCGAGGTGGGCAGATCACCTGGGGTCAGGAACTCAGATCAAGACCAGCCTGGCCAACATGGTGAAACCTCATTTCTACTAAAAATACAAAAATTAGCCAGGCCTGGTGGTGCATGCCTGTAATCCCAGCTACTTGGGAGGCTGAGGCAGAAGAATCACTTGAACCCGTGGAGGTTGCGGTGGACCGAGATTGCACCATTGCACTCCAGCCCCTGGGTGACAGAGCGAGACACTGTCTCAAAAAAAAAAAAAAGAAAAAAAAAGCATTAGTAATATGTTAACTCATATTATTTTCAGCAAGCTTTTTAAAATATGATTTTGTTACTTTTTTTTACAGATAAGGACACTGCATTGATGAGTCCTTAAGTAACTGGTGACCAAGATGGCCTTAATGTCTCCCTCAGCTTGACTAAGGTTTACATAGGTTTCTTTTTGACTCTAGGCCACTGGCTTCTTTTTTCTTAGATAATTTACTTAAAAAAAAAAACTCTGCAATTGTAAATTATTTCTCTACAATCTAGAGATGTCTTTCTCAAGGATTTGGGACTAATTTCCTTGAAGTCATAGAAGAAAATAAGATGCCTATCTTCCTATCTTTGGGAGGGTAGAGGATCCTTAGACAAGTGACAGCCAATACAAATGGCCTAATCACATTGACCAACTACAGTAGTCCTCCCTTATCCTTATCCGTGAGGGATATGGATAATTCATTTCAGTAAATGCCTGAAACCACAGATAGTTCTGACCCCTATGTCTATTACACACAAATTTCTTTTTCCTTCACAATTTCGTGGATAGAAGATTCATTCTTACCCTAGATTTTAGCAACTTCAGCATACGATTTTTTTCCTTAACTAGACAACTTTCACCTTTTCACCCAAAGGAAATACTTTATGGCTTCTCATTGGAATATTCAAATTGCCAGTATCACTACTCTTGTGCTTTGGGGCCATGATTAAATAAAATAAGAGTTACTTGAACGCAAGCACTGCAATACTTCACAGTTCATCTGATAACTGAGAAGACTACTAAGTGACAAAGGGAGGATTCATGTCCCAAGCAGGAAAGAGTGGGCCAGGGTAAGATTTTGACATGCTACGCAGAATGCCATGCAGTTTATGACTTATAAATTGTTTATGTCTGGGATTTTCCTTTAATATTTTAGATGGCAGCTGACCACAGATAAATGAAACTACAGAAAGGGAAACCCCAAATAAGGGAGGACTATGGTATACCTCTACCGTCTTCCAGTACTTTTCCATTAGCTCATCCCAGAGTTTAAAACTCCCATTTGTTTTTTTTTAGAGTTGTGTTCACCCTTTCTCTTTCCCATTGCAATAATCTTGACCTCTACTGAAATAGTCCAGAATAAAACCTTTCTTGCCTGTCTAACTTGTCTGAGGCAATTTCTTTTACACTGGCCCAAAGTCACTGAATTAGACAAGGTAAAGCTAAGATTTTTAGTCAAGTCATTTGTGTTTTTCTCATATGGACTTAAGTTGGGCTTTAAGACCAAGACTGCAGACCAAATTTTTATTCTAAGAAAGGCATTATCCTGGAATCACAATCTAACTAAAACAGCCTTTGTTTTCTCCTCTGAAAAGTGAGAAAGCTGGACTAGATTCCTGTCTCACAGTTGGATCTTGGAGATCCTTCACAAGCCTTGATGGACTAGGGAAGAGGGGACCAAAAGAGGCCTGACTGGGGGCTCCACAATCATGCATGCTTAATAAATAAATAAAATAAATTGGGGCCATATGTTGACCTCATCAAGAAGGGTGGATGCTGCTACAAGTAAAAAAATGGAAAATCACTGGATTCTAACATTTATATGGCCTGTTCTAGCTCTATTTATTTTTTATTTTTATTTTTGTGATGGAGTTTTCACTCTTATTGCCCAGGCTAGATAGAGTGCAATGGCACAGTCTTGACTCACTGCAACCTCCACCTCCCAGGTACAACAAACTCTCCTGCCTTAGTCACCCAAGTAGCTGGGATTCAGGCATGTGCCACCACGCCCAGCTAATTTTTCCTATTTAGTGGAGACAGGGTTTCACCATGTTGCTCAGGCTCCTCTCGAACTCCTGACCTTGGGTGACCCACCCACCTCGGCCTCCCAAAGTGCTGGGATTACAGGCATGGGCCACCATGCCCGGCCTTGTTCTAGTAACACTAGCTCCTTCCTAGGACATCAAAACAAATCCAGCACACCTGTCTTTTCCTCAGAGCCTGCTTTCAAAGTTTTATCTATCTCACATGTTTACATGTTTATCTAATACTGTTGCTGATAAGCAGATATTCAGTGAGTAGGTACTCCTCAGACACTATCTATTTACATTTTCATTAAACAGGATCTACTTTGGAGATAATTTCCAAGTCAAAAAGAAGAAAAGCACTTAATTGATAGGAATTCCAGATCCCTGAACTAGGATGACAGGTGCAATTGGCTTATTCACTCAAGAGTTATTGAATGCCTACTATATATAGGATTCAAATCCCTGCATTGTGTAGGGATTTCAATATAGAGTTAAAAAAATCTGGCCCGTGGAGAATACAATCTAGTAAAAGAGATTTGCTATATACTCAAGCATTCTCAAAATCCTAAATTTAAGGAAGAAGAATTGCTGATTTAGCTTTTTGGAGTTTTAATTCAATAAGAATAAACACAAACTATGCTCAAGGTATCTTACCAAACCATATATTACAGGGAATAGGAGATGAGATTCACAGAAGCAGGAAAGATTGTTTACCTTTATATCTCTTCTCTCCTTCAACTCTCTACTTCACACCTATCTTCTTCATAGCAGGGCTCAAAACATGGCTATTAAATGCGTAAGTAAATATTTAATAACTACTTCCTGCATTAAAATTATATTACATTTGGCAAGGCACAGCGGCTCACACCTGTAGGGGTCGCAGCATTCTGGGAGGCCGAGGCAGGCAGGTTACCTGAGGTCAGGAATTTGAGACAAACCTGGCCAACATGACAAAACCCGGTCTCTACTAAAAAACAAACAAACAAAAACAAACAAACAAAAAACAACAAAAATTAGCCGGGCATGGTGGTGGATGCTTCTCAGGAGGCTGAGGCAGGAGAATGGCTTGAACCTGGGAGGTAGAGGTTGCAGTGAGCTGAGATCATGCCATTGCACTCCAGGCTGGGCAACAGAGCAAGACTATGTCTCAAAAAAAAAATTATATATATATATATATATAAAATATAACATTTAAAAAGAAAAATTTAAACAAAGTTTGCAATAATTTATCCCCCATGTTTTACAGGTTATTATACTTTTCCAAATTAAATTCAGGATTCAACTGCTAATCTTGGCTTGAGCAAGACAAATCTATTAGCATGCCCCAGGCAGGTTTATCAAAAACATCTTTTTACTATTAAAGCCTCAACCTACTTCAGCTACAAATCCCTGCAGACTTACTTAGCATAAGGCACTATCATTTCTATCTTCATTACAACACAGTTTAATTATCTGCCTTAGAAATAAGGTTCTTCCTCTTAATGAAAGTGGTTAGTCTGGTGGCTCCAAAGGGCACAAGGCAGTTTCAAGGCTTAATTCTGATTATATATGCAATTACAAGTTAGAAAATATGCTTGAAAGTCAATGAAAGTTCTTTCATCTATTTCTCCAGTTAGAAAACATAAACATTGGTTGGAACGAAGATTTTGTTGTTGATGTTTTACTTGTCTAGAGCATTGCTTTTCAAATTTGAAGATGGCGCTTCCAGGTGTCACTTAGTGTCATCTGATGTCAGTTCCATCGTTACTGGGGTTCACATGAAGGTAGTGGATTCACAGACCTCAGTTTATTTCCAGGTATAGTAACCATGTGTCCAGGATAGTTATTTAAGTCCCATGGGTTTAACTTTCTCATCTGGAGTCCTACTTTTTGGGGTTGGTGATGATATTTAAGGAAATAATAGGCATGTGATTGGTGAGAATGTTAGCTAGTAATTATATTACTTCACTTAACTTCTCCCTTCCAAAACTGCCTATTCTAAGTGTTTGCTTCCTCCTGTCCTGTCGTCAGCCATATTTCTAACATCCCATTCTCATCTGAGGACCATATCTCCTGTGTCACTGAGAAAAGGAGTCACCAGAGAACTCCTTCTAGTTTTCTGTCTTCTAACACCAAACTTTTTTTTTTTTTTTTTTTGTTTTGAGTGTCTCATTCATTGCTCAGGTTGCAGTGCAAGTGGCATGATCTCAGCTCACTGCAGCCTTGACCTCCTGGGTTCAGGTGATTCTCCCACCTCATCCTACTGAGTGGCTGGGACCACAGGTTGCACCACCATGCCCAGCTAATTTTTGTGTTTTTAGCAGAGTTTGGGTTTTGCCATGTTGCCCAGGCTGGTCTCAACATCCTGGACTCAAGCAATCCACCTGCCTTGGCCTCCCAAAGTGCTGTGATTACAGGCGTGAGCCACCACGCCCAGCAAACATCTATATTTTCTATTATCTTTCCTTCTCCCTTTTCATCTTTAAGGAATTTGGACCCCATATTCTAAGACTCATTTCTCAGCCTGGGCTTTTGCCCAACTCATTTGACCTTCATCCAGACCTTCTCCATCATTTTTCCTTGCTTCTTTTAGTGAAACCTTGCACTTTCTGCTCACTCTGGTTCATTTCCCTCAGCTTCAAACATTGAGATCATAGTAGCCAGATTCAGTTCACAAAGCATCCTTCACATAAAGTTTTGCTAAGGAAATAACAAAGATGTGTACAAAGATTTTTGATCAAGGATAGCCATTGTGGAAATATAGTAGGAAGCATTGGAAAATGCCCCAGTGGTCAACAATATAGGTTAGCTAAATAAATTAGGGCAATATTGGTTAGCTAAATAAGATGGGGTGTTTTAGAAAAATAGAAAATGTTATGGGAAATTCTTTAGTCATGGGTAAATATGTCAAGCTGGTATTAAGAATCATATAAATGCATGTGATGTCTGCAGGCAGGCACATGTGGGTGTTATGCATTGAAAAATGCATACATGCTATTTCTGGCTTGTGAGATACAGGCTAACTTTAATTTTCTTTGAATTTCCTTGTATTCTCTAAACTTCATACAAAAAAACTTATTTTCTTTCTATAATAGGTGAGAAAACAATGTTTTTTAAAAAATGCTTCTTTGCCCTTGTGTCCTTTCAAATGTCAACTCATTTATTTCTTTCTCTTAGCTATCTTTCTCCTTAAAGTACAGTTTACATAAGCTACCTCCTTCCACTTCTTTCCTGATTATTTACTTTTCAATCTAATGCCAGTTCATTGAGCCCCCATCATGGGTCATGCACTGAGCAAAGCACAGAGCAAGTCACTGAGGATACAAGGATGGTGGTGGCTGAAAAAATAATGTTTTTTTCCATCAAGAGCTTTAACAGGCTGCTAAGAAATGAAGTACTCTCTCCGTTGAATCTATCCCAAGAAATAAGTCCACAAAGACCACAAATATACCACAATGTTTATGATAACACCAGTTTAATAAGTACCTAAAAATGTAATTACTGAAACTCTCATAAATCTCACTTCTGCATCATTCCAAAATCCATAAACAAACACAAAAATGCTCTTAAAGTAATTCCAGATTAATAACATGAATCAAGCTTCTAGTACTAGAGTTTATGACTAGAATCCTAATAATAGTTTTTCATTGATGTTGCTTAAAAATAAGAAAAAAGATTGATTTATAGTAATAACATAGATATAAATATCTGTATCCCTAGAGTTCTGCTTTGCAAATATTAAAGAATTTTTTTATGGTGAGAAACCAATATACATTTATTAGATAATACTTGCCAATAAGTAAAAAGTAAATAAAATAAGAATCACACATATATATGAGTATAAATTAATCATTTTGGAGTGGAATTTACAGCTTCAGTTTTTACAGATAGTTTCTTTCTTTCTTTCATTATCTGGGTTAAACAAAGGAAGAAGAAACTACTGTTGGCAAGTTGCAATGGCTTCTTTCCTCTAATGTTTATATGTGTGTGTGTGTGTGTATTTGTGTGTATATATAATATATTTAGTATATTTGTGTATATATATAGTATAGTGTATTTGTGTATATATATTTGTGTATATATGTGTACATTTAGTATATATATTTGTATATACATACAGACATATATATATAAATCTTATCCTTATGTAGTGAATACAATACTATGTGAATACACTATGATTATGAAGTGATTATATAGTAACATTCTAATCTCCTGGTTATGAAAAAAATACTTAAAAGTTTATACTGAAAGGGGAGGATGTGTTAATCTGTTTTAAGTTTAGGCTACAGGCAGAATATGACTTCTCCCAACCAAAGGCAACATTCTTGCTAACTTTAGTATATGTTAGGTTTCAAATACCAAGAACAGAACTTGGAACAACATGGACATTTACAGGGCAATCACAGTAAAACCTGCTGCAGTAGAGGCACCTCAGATGGATGCTTAACCAGCCTTATAGGTCAGGAATATCCTCCTGAGGGAAATAGCATAAAGACATTTAAGCTGAGTCTTACAATGTTAGCTAGTCTGAGAGGAAACCAAGATAGGGTGACAAGTTTTTTTTTCCCACTTAATATCATTTGATTAAGTGTCCTTGATTTGATTAAGTGTCCATGCTTGGCTCCAAACATGGAAACTGGGAAGCTAAAAAATAGTCATTCTCTAGACATTAAAGCTGCAGCTTCTCTTAAGGCTGATTCTCAGTGATATTTTAGCTCTTGATCACATTACCTTACCGGGTTTGATCATCTCTAAGATTCTACTATAGGTGGGAGTATCACATGGATTGCACTGACTTTCAGGATCTTTGGATTCTCATCCATACGTTCATGCATCCATCCATCCATCCATCCAAACCATATGTACTCATATGTTGAAAGGGGTCATGGTTGATACCATGGTATAATGAGCTGTGAAGCTTCTCCATTTAGGGAGTTTTTCATGTAATAGGTAGGGCTAAGTCGAGTGCATGTGGCAGGCACAAGCAGAATCTGCAGAAGTTCTGAGAGTCCATGTAATCGAAACAGTCTCCTCTTTGACAACAAGGCAGTTTTTCTTCTGACTTCACTGCATTCATTACATACCATTACTACAGATACTGTAATTCTTTCCTTTGGGCCTTTAACATTCTCTGTGGGAACATTATTTATCAAAGAGTAAAATTTTGAAACTTAATAAAACAAACATAGGAGAGATTCATGACTAACACTGGTACAATAGTGCCCTTGGGTCAAACATTTGCTTTACTAAAATGCCAAACAGTCTCCAGTTTCTACCAATAAAACATGACTTCATTTGCTTTCAGCACTGTTGGAATGCCTCTACTATAGCCCTTAGTCAGAGGAGATATAATTATGACTATAGCTTCACTGATATTGGATGTTATAAGTGGACATTCAGACCAATTAGAAAGAGGAATGTCTGGGAAAGAACAGTCAAGGGAAGGAAGACTGTTGGCCTTGCAACAGGAGACCTAGCCAAGGGTATTTGACACATTAGATGCAGGATGCCTAGTGAAATACCTTGAGAAACAATAGTGAAGCTATGAATTGGAAGGAAACATTTCAGCAGAAGCAATCTGAATGATGCACACGATCATATCATTTTCTTGCTCAAAACAACCCAGTGATTCCTCTTTGGAATTAGAATAGGTCTCTTCAGGGGGACTGACAGCATCCTTGCAGTCCAGACCATACATTTTCTTTTTCCTTACTTTCAACTTTTCCTCTTTTCCCTCCCCCTGTCCTTTCCTTTCCCTTCCTTTCCTGTCTTTCTTTTCCTTTCCTTTCCTTCTAATAATACATTTAAGGGGTACAAGTACAGTTTTGTTACATGGATATATTGTGTAGTCATGAAGTATGGGCTTTCCATGTAACCATCACATGAATGGTGTACATTGTACCCATTAAGTAATTTTCTCATCTCCCAACCCCCTCTACCCTTCCAGCCTCACATCCTTCCAAGTCTCCAATGTCTATTATTCCATTCTCCATGTCCGTGTGTACACATTATTTTCAACTTCATCTATTCCATATTATCTTCTTAAAGTGTTTTAAAAAATTATTTTTAAATTGTTAAAATAGTATATATAGTATATATTTATCATATGTAACATGATGTTTTGAAATACGTATGCATCATGGAATGGTTCAAGAGAGATAATTTACATATGCATGCTCTCATTTTTTGTACTGAGAACATTAAAAATCTACTCAGCAATTTTCAAAAATATGTTATTAACTGTAGTCACATTGTTTGCAATAGATCTCTAAGTTATTCCTCCTATCTAAATGAAAATTTGTATCCTTTCACTTACATCTAACCCACCACCACTCCCAGCTCCAGACCCTGTTAATCACCGTTTTACTTTCTACTTCTATAAGATCAAGTGTTTTAGATTTCACATATATGTGATCTCTTGCAGCACACGTCTTTGTGTGCCTGGCTTCTTTCACTAAACATAATGTCCTAAAGGTACCTACATGTTGTTGTAAATGACAGAATTTCCCTCTTTTTAAAAGGCCAGATAGTATTCTATTGTGTATATGTACCACATTTTATTTATCCATTCATCTGTCAATTGACTCCGTAGTCTAGCCATTGTGAATAATGCTGCAATGAACATGAGTGTGCAGGTATCTCTCTTCAATTTATTTTTTTTCCTTTGGATATATTTATTTTCCTTTGGATATATACCCAGAAGTAAGATTTGCTGGATCACATGGAATTTCTATTTTTAATTTTTGGAGGAACTTTATGCAGTTTTCTGTAATGGCTGTGTTGTTTTTGTTTTTTTTTTTTTTGGTTTTTGGAGACAGAGTCTTGCTCTGTTGCCCAGGATGAAGTGCAGTGGAGTGATCTCAGCTCACTGCACCTCTGCATAATGGCTGTAATTTATATTTCCACCAAAAGTGTACTAGGGTCCTCCTTTTTTCCACATATCTGCCAGTACTTGTCATCTTTTGTCTTTTTGATAACAGCCATTCTAACAGGTGTGAAATGGTATCTCATTGTTCCCCCCCATTCTTGTTCCCTGATTTCCAATTGCAGGTCTTATCCTTCTGCTCCTTAAGCCTTCCCAGGCATTCCTCTTGCCTTGGAACTTGCTGTTCCTTCTACCTGGGAGTCTTTTCTCTGATCTTTACAATATGGATTCTCTCTTATGTAGATCTTAGCTCTAATGTCATCTCTTCAGAGATACTTCTGGTCACCCTGTCTACAGCAGCCCCTCCTTTCCTCTCCCTTCTCAGGCCATCACTCTCTATTCCTTTGCAATAATTGATTTTCCTTATATCGTATCTCACTACCAAAAATTGTTGTTTATTAATTTTCTTGTATATTGCTGCTTGTTTTCTTATTTATTGACAGGCAGTACAAAGCAGTGGTTAAGGATAAGAATAAACTCCAGAGTCAGCTTGGGTTTGAATCCCATCTCTATCACTATGCAGGTGACCATGGCAAGTTACTTAATTTCCCTATGTTTCAATTTTATCATTAATAAAATTGGGATAAAAATAGTACCTGCCTCATAGGATTATTGTGAGAATTAAATGAGCCAATCAGCATAAATCACTTAGAACAGTACCTGAAACATAGTAGCACTAAATAAATTGTTATTATTATTTGTCTTTTACATTAGAATAACAGTAAGAATCTTAGCCCTCTAGTTCAAATGCTGAATTCTCTAGCATCTAGCATAGTGTTTTGCAATAGCAGATACTCAATCAATACTTGAATAAATGTTTTATAGGAGATTGCCTAGAGGAGGAGAAGAAATTTTCAGGGGACTAGATCTGAAAAAGCAATTTAAGTCACAGATGAAAAGAAATTCGCTATTACGTAATGAAGACGAGAGATGGGAGGGGTTGTTAGCACAATTAGCTGTAACCTGGTATTAATGAGGCCAAGGTGATAGGTTTGGCACTTTTGTGTGTTCCACTTAGGTTCGTTCTCTGCCATGATCATTTGTTCTGCATTTGTATGGCTAGTCAGCTGTCTTATGCATCAATGCCCACAATCAGGAAGAGAGAGAACAAAGAAATACATTTATCAATTATGGCTAAGGAAAATCCATCTGAAAGTGTCTTCCTGATAAACAGTGGTGATTCTTGGTGTTGTCAATATGGCATATTTCAGTACTAGCTCTCTACTGAGTTCAAACCACCTAGCACAGGTGATCTCATACTAATAATATTTCCAGTGCTTAAACAACCCCCTCCTGAGATGGAAGTTGGGTTTGAGAAATTAGGATGAGCATTCCCAATTTCTTCTCCCTTCCTGAAATATTTTTGGTTGCCACCAGGTGGTACTAGGTAAGCACATCCGAACAGGACAATGTAGTTTTATTATACAAAAGATTGCCAAGAGTTGCAAAAAAATTCCTACGTATAACTTCTAGAAAGATTACTATTGTATAAGACAGAATACACTTCACTTTTGGTTTAGACTTTTAAAACAATGTTTCATACTATCTAATATTCAAATTGTGCTAAGGTTTGGGAGAAGACTCCATCTTCCTATGATGAACGCTTTCATTTTGGAGTAGCTTTTGTCTTAAGCAGGAATTAAAAATCCTAAGTCATGACAATTTCAGGTCTCCAGAGAAAGCCTTCTCATTTTCCCTTAGAAATTTACTTGGAATTTCGTCAGGAGTTTTCTTCCCCTCCTTTTCTTCTTTATCTTCCTCTTCCTCCTTTTCTGCTCATTCTCCTCCTCCTACTCCCTCTTCCTCTTCTTCCTCTCTGTCCTCTTCCTCTTCTTTTTCTTCCTCCTCCCTTTTCTTCTTCTTCTTCCTCCTCCTCCCCCTCCTCTTCTCCTTTTTCTCTTTTTCCTTCTCCTTCTTCTAATCTCCTATTTTCCTTCTCTGCTTCATAGACACGTGCTTTTGCCTGTCTTAGTTTACTCATCTGAGAAATGGGGCTAGAAATACATGCCTAACTAGGTTCTTTAAATGTGAAAGCATGTATTTGAGTGAGTAGTCAGTAAAAGATAGCTTGTCTTTGTCATCATCATTCTAATGGACATTTTCAACTAATCCTTAGGGTCAAAATTATTCCAGTTCATTTTCTTTATTTGATAGGATTTTAACTGTCTTTTTATCCATTTCCATAATTGGCAAATGAGTTCACATGAGGCATCTACTGTATCAGCATGCAGCTATGAGAAGAAGCATCAGAAAAAATAATTGCCACTGCCTGGGCACAAATTTTTCCCTCCCTGTCTTAACAAACTGCTTTATTTCTGACCCCTTAACTACAGTGTTTCTTGTTCAATGCTGAGTACATCTTGCAAACCAAGCTTGAAACACAGACCTGCTCTCTATCCTAGAGAGTAACCTTCTTTCTTTAATCTGAAACATAAATAACCTACCTCTTATTTCCAGGTGAATAGCTGTCTATTTCTATTTGACTTTCTGATCATGTGTCCACTTTTCCAAGCTTATATCCTCAATATCCCTTTTACAAAGATTTACCCTGTCTTTCCTTTTCCTCTGAGTATAATACTATTTTAAGAACTTTCTGCTCAGAACTTTTATTATCCTGAAGACTACAGCCAAATTGTCATAAGGAAACAGTGACTTTGTGAAAGAAGTATGTACTTTTCAAAGCTCAACTCCTTGTCCAGACACATCTGGCAACACCTACAAATACTGTCAGCTAAGGCTCCTGCTGTGGTCATAGAACTACAGCATTATCTCAGAGAGTCTGTAAAGTCCTCTTATTCTGGGGAAGTGGGTAAGAAAGTCGAAGTAGGGATGGAATAAGGGAAAGAGAGTGTAGATAAAAGAAATTCTCCTGAAGAGTATGTCACCTTTTCAAGCATCTCTAAGTGAAATTGGTTCAGATTCCTAATCTTACATACAATTCAATAATTAAAGAAGGGTTAAGATAAATTCAAATCGGCATCACTTATGCATTTAAAGAACACGTACAATTTTCCTTTCTGCTTTCTCAACCCTTTTTAAGTTTATTTGTTTATTTTTGAGACAGGATCTCACTCTGTCACCCAGGCTAAAGTGCAGTGGTGCAGTCCCATCTCACAGCGGCCTTCACCTGCCACGCTCAAGCAATCCTCTCACCTCAGTCTCCCAAGTAGCTGGGACTACAGGCATATGCCACCATGTCCAGTTAATTTTTTAAATTTTCTTTTGTAGAGACAGAGTCTTACTATGTTGCCCAGGCTGATCTTGAACTCCTGGGCTCAAGGGATCCCTCATCCCAAAGTGCTGGGATCACAGGTGTGAGACACTGGGCCCAGCTCAATCTTTTTATTTAATAGCCCAACTTCACAGGATTTAGAAAAAATAGTCACCAAATATCCTATTTTAGGGTAGCATGAGCATTTTCTTTTTCCTGAACTCCATATGTTTGGCTTAAGGCAATGTGGATATTTTCTCATTTTATTTTATTCTCAGCAATATAGCAAGAAGTAATTCATTTATTTTGTTAAATCTCTAATGTATAGCTTAGCTGAAGTCAATAAAAGTCAAAGTTACCATTCACATAGGCTATGGTCCATTTCTGACAATCTCAAAACCATGCCATGGCACTTAAAAAAACCTGCTATTTTATATGTATACTTAGGTTTCTCATTCAAAACTAAGCAAACATGGAATTCAAAGGAAGTTAATCATGTGTGACTGCAGAGTGGAAATAAAATGAAATTTCTAATGGTAACAAATATATAATCAGATCATTAATGTTTATTAAGGGCAAAGGGACATTCCAAACACTGCGGCAAATTGTAAAGTGCTGTAACCTCTAAGAGTGAGACCTGCTCTGTCATCCTCACTGAGATTTCTACCTAATTCGTTAAAATTCATTTTTGTTTATTTTAAGTATGCATACTTGCCCTCTGCTAGGAACAGAGGGAAATGCGTGAAAAGGTTAATGGGGTTTTGATTACTTGAATGGGCAGAGGAGAATTCCTTGTCAGGAGCACATTGCCTGTAGGTCAAACTGGTTACAATAATGCCCTATGGTTTTAGGGCATTTAGATTCTCCTTACTAATTCTTCAGAATCCTCATTTTTTTTTTCTGCAGGTATTTTTCTCTGCCTGCAGATCATGCACTCTCTATGCTCAATACATTCTGACAACACACTAGTCCTGCTCTAATTCACCTGAGACAAAATGGCAGCAAATACAAAATAACCTTCCAGGCTGGCTCGAAATTAGCATAGGCTCTGTAGCCCAACGGCCCCAGGGCTGAAAACTGTACCCTTTACTAGACAGATAACTTTGGGAAAGTCACTCAATTTTTCTGAACTTCAGTTTTATCATCTGTCAAATGGGTCTAACTATCAATAATGACAATTGCTGCCAATTCCCAGTTCATCAGGTAGATGTGACAGTAATATGAGAAAACTTTTACAAATCATGTAGCACATAGTCAACAGATCAGTATTTACTAATACTACTTAAGTATGTGGAGGAAATGCTTGTCATATTTAATAATTTTTAGTTATTTATCTTAGTCATGAGTTTTGATTATTGACAACATTGCTCCAAAGAGTTTTGTTTTAATTGCCTTACAGATGCTGTGTTATAAAGGAGGACAGTTTTGTGCTGGAGTGAAGGATAAACACAGGGGAAAGGCACATTTTCAAAGCAGCAATCTCTTGACTAGCCATATCCTGCTTTTTACTCACTTAAACCTCTAAATCCACAGCTGCAAGCAACCAAAGGCCACAAGTCCCAAAGAAGCAATCTAATCAAAGAAAACATTGAATCAAACTGGCTTCTCTCCCTTCTCCTCAACTGGCATGAAAAATGCTAAAGGTGGTAATAATAATAATATATTTAACATTTCTCATGTTTTTTGTTTCTAAAACATATGGTTTCTTGCTACATGTAGAGAATTGCTAAGACATTCATTTCAGCTTTCAGCTCTTGCAAATTAAACATACGTTGTGTAAAAACTACTTTAAATGAATGATTTTTGAAATGAAGTTTTAAAAAGTACTCTTTGAGAGATGAACTCCCTTTTTTCCATATATGTATCTGGATTTCTTTATGTCTTTTTTGAGTAGCATCCCCTCACAAGAGTAGCATCCCGAAGGAAACTTCATAGCATTAACCATCATGGTAATAGATTAATTACTAATACAAGTATTTGTTTAAGGTCTAACTTATTAACTAGAGGGTGAGATCTCTAACAGCAGGGGTCCTGCCTGTTCACCACTTCATCATCAAAATCTAGAAAGGAGCTAGGCACATAGTAGAACCTCAAAAAAGTTTGGAAAGGCAGAACAGGTTGTGGTGAGGAGACAGCTGTAGAGTTAGAAAGTCCTAGAATTGAATCTGAATAAAACCTTACACACTCTTTGCATACTTGGGCAAAATTCTTAAGTTCCCTAATCAGTTTCCTCTTTGATAAAATAAGGAGAATAATACTTATGTTGCAGAGCTATTGTAAAAAGAGTAAAATAATAATGTATCTAAAGCATACAGAATTATACCTGATGCATTCCAAGTGTTTTATAAATAATTGCTATTATAATTATCATGATTACTGTATAGTGGATACATGTAGAATTAATTATTTAATGTGATGCTGAGGACCAGGCCTTGACTATTGAGTCTTTTTAAAGGCATTGTCTCCCAGTTTCCCATCTGCTTCACAGCTCCATCCATATGCCTTTTTGAAATACACATCCAGCTCCTGGTCCTTTTTAAACTTCGAGAAAAAGCATCTTATGTCATCAAATGTCAATGTAATATTAAAGGCATTTGTATCTCTGTTTAAGATCCCACATCTGTTATCAGTTAATATTTTGAGAGATTCTTACTAGCAGCAGTTTCTGATCCATGCCATAAAAAATGCTTTTCATAAAATTGTGTACAAAACCCACTTATGTTTTAAAAGCCCAATGATAGCTCACTAAGTATAGTGATTTCTTCAACATGATGTTGTCATCTGATAGGTGTGTAGGGAAGCAAAGCACATTTGCACTTGTCCTAAGAAATAAAAAGGGTCCTTCTGAAGTTCATTTAACTCAACTTTTCTATTCTCCTCAGTTAAAAGGTTTTGCCACTTGAGAGTGAAAAATTATGACCATAGAAATTACATTTTAGTAATTACTCAGATTTATAAAATCATTTTTCAAATACCAAAGGTCTAGTAAAACATTAACATTCAGGGATTTCACTTTCCCCTTTATTTCTAAAATTTGCATTTTATGTTATGCCTTCAGCTTTTCTAATGAGGATTCAAAACATGTTCATCATCAAACCATTGATGCATCTGGATGTCTACAACTTTGTAGTTTAAGTCCATCCCTTATACAGTAGATAACTATTGAAGAAAACCAAAACTAATGTAATCTTTGTGAAGAAACAGGGTTTTTTTCAGAAATATGAGACTAGAGACCCAAAGATTTCAAAATTTCTGTGGGAGTGTTGATGGCCGTGGCCATTTCCCACTCCTGAATACTAATTTTGCATGTTCCCAAACTGCAATTCTTTGGAGTCTCTTGAGTCATCTTTTAGTTGGTAATATTGTTGTTGCTTCCTTTGCTAAGTATAATCTACTAAACAATCTTGGAGTTCTGATTACAGACCACTGCAGTATCTTTTAAGTAACTCTGGGAAACATGAAGCCTAATGTTTTGGTTCGTTAGTATTGGTTAGTATTCATTAGTATTGGTTCGTTGGTATTGGTTAGTATTCATTAGTATTGGTTCGTTGGTATTTGGTTCAGCAGTATTGGTTAATATGATTTCAAGTATGGAGGAGAGCACCGCCCAACAAGAATGCTGTGTGTGCCACACCTCCCTTACCATTTGAACTAAGTGCAACCTTTCATTGTTTCTTTTTGCGAGTGGGTGGGGGGGGGCACTGAGGGTGGGAGGGCAACTCCTATGTACCAGACATGGAATCAGGTGCTGGAGATTCAGTGATAAACCAGGAAAGATGAATGAAACCCAAAAACCAAACTAGAAAGGTTAGCAAACAGTTATCAACCAACATTCTAAACCCCAATGGCTTTAAAGGTAAGTCTAGGGATGTTGTACTTTATTTGCCATCTCTTAAAAAAGGAATTAAAAAATACAAGAAGAAAGAAACTCTAATGGCCAGTAGCCATAAAATCTATTTACATATTCTTCCACCTCTCAAGTCTCATGCAAATTAATGTGTAATTACATTTAGATGGCGCAGCTGCTCTGACACTCTGCTCCCAGCTTTTATTTCTGAGTTTCAAAGGTTTCATAAGGAAACCTTGAAAGAAAAAAGTAAATATTTTGAAAAGGAGTTACAATTTGTCAGCAGTAATCCTTCCCTGGATAGGCAAAGAAAGGCAAATCTTGGTAGATGAGAGAATTGTGGCTTTTGAAAATAATAGCATTACACTGAAATTTAATCTGCTAGCGTTATTTTTTCCAAGCAAACCCTCTTTGCATTCAATTTGTCATTTATTACAGTAAGAAGCAACAGGGTCCAAAAGAGAATTGTTTGCAGTAAGCACAGAGATATTCTCAACAAAGGTAGAATTTGATAGCATGCACAAAACAACACATTACTTATCCAGCATTCTGAGTCACCTTTTCAGCAAAGAACCTTGTGTATTTGATAGCAAAGGGAGAAGAAATCGTGTTTATTGGAATGTTAAAATGCGTGATAGGGCGGACATTCTATTTTAAAGAAATATGAGACTGGAATATTGATTCTGCCACATACGAAGGCTGGAAAGTATTCATAAATGATCAATTGCCTATAGTTTAATGACGGAAGATAGGCATTGGTTTCCCAAACCTTTTTATGCTACAACAAAACCGCACACCAAGCCCTGCCGGAGGGTGCTGTATAATCATCAGAGCCCTTTCTGAGTATGTCAGGATGATGCGCCCTAGTGCTGAAAGATGGTGGTTACATGAGCAACAGAATGCTAGTTAGCAAGGCAATGAGGAGCTGAGGTCCACATTAACCATGGTCGGTGCACCTAATCATGAATCACAGCTGTGCCACCCTTGGCAGATGAACAATCTCTTACAGATAAGACAAATTTTATCTGGGATCAGTATAGTCTTTTAAATGATGTATGAAACCAATTTAAGAAAGGCTGAGTTATTCCAAATAGTATGGCTTTTATTCTTTATTTGTCAGTTTCATCATTCCCTCCTTGCTGACTATTCAGATACATGTAAAGGAGACAGCCAATGGTTTGGCACATAGTTGGCACACAATGAATGGCAGAGATCCTTGTTTGTGTTAGTATTTTGATTATTTTTCTTACCACAATAACATGACCTGAACCATGATCAATCTGTCTTTATGCTTCCAGTAGAGATCTTGATTCATAGCTCTCCCTAATATTAATCCATTTCATATTGTTTTATATTATAGTTAACATGAATTGATTTTGAATCCTTTCCTCTAGAAGTATAACTTGTTTGAGACACTTACAAGCAGACATTCAATTATATTCAGAGGGAAAATTTATAACAGTTCAGGAGAGGAATTTAACTGTCATGTATTCCACCAGCAGGTAATGTCAGCATTTTCTTATAGTTAAATGGCTTCATCAAGTTACTCTATTGCTTTAATTCTAGGATGCCATCAATTTTAGGGCACATTATCAGTTGAGTCTCAATTCTTTTACACTCTTGAGGAAAACACTCCATTTAAGGTATGGATTAATTATAAATGATATCCTGGTTTAGAAACATTCTAAGATAAACTGCATTTTTTTAAAGTTGAAATTGATAGTAATTTGTGAGCATGACGTAAGTGCACAAAATCTTACATGCTTTATGGTCTTTAATGTTGACTTAAAACTATAATATCAAAAGAGAAAAATTAACAGAGCCTAATTACTCTCAATTTATAAAGGACAGGTTTCATTTTCAATCACTCTCCAGTTTTCTCAGGTTTCTTATTCAGCCGTATAATGTCAGGCAGGATACTAACCAGATTAGGCTTTATCCTCATATCTTTGAAAACATAAGTTCCATAACAAAATTTTCCCTAGAGGTTACTTCCAGTATTACAGCATCTAAGTGATTCATTATAAGCACTGAAAAGGGTCACATGTATTACTTTATTCATTTAAATGAAAAGAAATAAAAAAATTCTTTATTTAAAAAGAAAAATAATGGCAGGCCTTGGCCACTCATGCCTGTAATCCCAGCACTTTGGGAGGCTGAGGCTGGAGGACTGCTTGAACCCAGGGGTTTGAGACCAACTTGGGTAACATAACAAGACCCACACACCACCCCCCAGCCCTGCCGCCCCGTCTCTACTACTACTACTACTACTACTACTACTACTACTACTAATAATAATAATAATTAGTTGGGTGTGGTGGCACATGCCTGTCGTTCCAGCTACTCAGGAGGCTGAGGCAGGAGGACAGCTTGAGACAGGAGGATGAGGATGTTGTGAGCAGTGATTGCACCACTGCACTCCAGCCTGGGAGACAGAGCAAGACCCTGGCTAAAAAAAAAAAAAAGTCTGGTTGTTTGTTTTAGAAGAGTAATAATGAAGACTCATAAATGATCACAGCCTAGGAGGCCCTACAAAATGGCTGCAATTATTCTGCTGATGTTGGACAAGCTATTTTTTAGGATCAATTAGTTAATTGTGTGTTGCTTTAATTACTTACACTCTTTTTAAAGCTTTCTTTGTGTCACAGCTGAGCTCAGGAGAAAAAGTAAAGCTTGCAGAGCAATTCTTTAAGTGTGGATGTAAAATATACTAATGGATTTACTTGCTAGCTGGCACAGTGTTTAAATAGGGTCCTGCTCACGCTGAGAAAAAATATTTTATCAGCACCTGACTCCAAAGAGTCAAGAATATGGAGAAACTCACATTTCTCTCATGATGGGTAATTTCTGGGTATGCAAAGCTCCCTGTAGCAGTCATTCAGTATGGATCACTTATTGCAATTTTAAATTTTTTTTTTTTTTTTTTTTGAGACGGAGTCTCACTCTTGGCCAGGCTGGAGTGCAGTGGCGCAATCTGGGCTCACTGCAAGCTCCGCCTCCTGGGTTCACGCCATTCTCCTGCCTCAGCCTCCCGAGTAGCCGGGACTACAGGCGCCAGCCACCACGCCCGGCTAATTTTTTGTATTTTTAGTAGAGACGGGGTTTCACCATGTTAGCCAGGATGGTCTCGATCTCCTGACCTCGTGATCCACCCACCTCGGCCTCCCAAAGTGCTGGGATTACAGGCGTGAGCCACAGCGCCTGGCCTAAAATTTATTTTTAAACTACAAGAAGGGAATGGCAAAGTATTACATGTTTCTTAACATGCATCTAGTCAATTAGCAAAGCAAGTCAATCGTTTAAGCTTTTCATTGTGTAAAGGGGGAGGTTTTATACACGGCAATTTGAATGGCTATGCCTAGAACACGTGGAAGCACAGAGAAATTTCAAAGATTATGAACAATAGAATGGCACTAAAGACACTTTTACAAATGTTGCTTTATCAAGTGGGTTTTGTTTTCTTGTTTTTCAAGAAAAACAGTCTTCCTTACTTTAAATGTTTTTTTCCCATAATTCTGTTTACTATTGATAAGAATTTAATTTAAGCACCAATGGGCAATTATGGTTTTCTCCTCAATTGATTATCCAAAATGTTCAATGAAAAATGTTTGCCTGTGGGTCCTCTCACATTTTTGTTTATAACCTATGACTCCTGCCACTTCCATACACCCTACTAGTCTCTGCATAAAAATGAGGTTTATTGACGATTGGCCATCACTTAATACAGGTACTTGATGAATGTGTGAAAAATAATGGATGAAAGAATAAATAAATGAGTAAAGGAATCAACCTCTATCTTAACTCAGCCACAAGTAATAAACAATCTCGGGTCCTAATGGTCTCAGTAAAAATCTATATAAGGTCTCCTAACTTCGAATTATTTTCTTAAATTATTATTTGTCCATAGGTGTGGTCATACCTTGTGGCCATGTTCCTGAGACAGGGTAATCGGAATATAAGTGGAAGTGGCATAGTCTTTTTCCAAATCTAGCTCATGAGACCATCCCACACTACCCCCATGCGCTTTGCCTTCCCTTCTCTGCAGCTTGATTATCAATGCACAAACTGGCATTGGAGCTCATGCATTAAAGATGGTGGAACATCAGTCAGCCCAGGTTCCTGAATGATAGCATGACACAGCGAACCCTGCTGCAATTTTGGCCTACAGAAACAAGGAATAAACAGCTGTCATGTTAAGGCACTGTTATTTCAAGGTTTATTTGTTAGAGCAGCCATTTTTTTCTTTTAACACACGTCCTCTGCTTTCACTAAGTTCCCACTCACCAAAGGGTTTTACTCCTACTATTCTAATGATGTCCTGTGAATCCTGACCCATGGGTTAGATCTCAGCTCAAGTGTGGCTTCTCAAAGGGAAACTTCTCTTCCTCCTTAATGAAGTCATTTCTCCTCTATATTCTCCTGGGAATCACATGACCCTACTCCTTAGCACTTGTCCAGGAAATCTTCATTGCCGCAAATGTTCTCTCCCTCAAGGTCATTGATGAGGTACAGATGCCAGTCACTTCAGGAGCTGTGGGCATCACCCAGGAGGCCAGGGCAGCAATGCAGGTGAGCACTTATGAAATGCCCCTTAGGACACCCACAGATAACTGAAGGAGATGACTGCCAATGCAATTCAATTGGGAATATATGTGTACTCAAATATTAATACAGATAAAGTCTTATTTATGTCAGCAGGCTTCTAAAGTTTTGGAAAGTTCATGTGACCTAGGTTTGCCGAATAAAAGACTTAGCAACAATATAGTCATCTATTAAGGAGCTAGGAAAAATTTTACAAAATGTCTCAGCACTGATGTTCATTTGTGAGCCCAGGTAGCTCAGATGCACTGTGCATTAATTTTAACTGCATGTGTGTTTTATGCCATTGGATCTTCAAAAGGCTCTTATTGATTGGACATGTGGTAGAAAACAGAGGCATTGATAAAAATGGAAACATTCAGTGCCATTCAAGAAATCAAAGAAAGGAACCAATAACAAAGTTATATTTTTATTTTGTTATTTAATTTTATTTCGCTTTTTTGCCTTGAGGGTGATAGTTATTCACCTTCTACAAGAAAATTGCCTTCACTTTGATTCCAACTAGAACGCCTGGTTGCAATGGCTCATTAAGAATGTTGCAACTTCTTTCCGCCCAAGTAGACTCTCAATTCTCCTCTTTGCTGAACCCTGAGGCTACTCATGAGGGTTACATGAGTAACCCAGCAACACCCAGCTGGCTGGCTTTTACTTTTTGTCGAGTAAGCATCATTCCTGCAAGGAAGCAGTCAGCGACCAGATTTGGGCAACTCAAGTTTCCCGGCTTCTCTTTTTGTTTTTCATATTTTGTTCTCTTGATCTCTTCCTGCTCATTTCTTACAACAAAAACTTTGCTCTGGAGGCATGGACTTCTTAAAGAATTTTAGAGTATTTTAATGATTAAAGTAGTATACAGTATTACGAATCTTCAATTAGTGAAGCAAAAGTTATCATTAGTCCACAAGCTATTTTAGCATTCTAGCTTATTATCACTTAACGATTTCAATGTTTCCTTCCTGGGATGGCAATAATGGCATGTTTCATTTTAATAGAACACATGTTTTCTGTTCATAGTGCTGATTTAAATTTGTCCCTCCTTAATTAAGTCATTCTATCTAATCAGCTTTGGCATATTTTCTCATAGTAAGTATTTACCCTTTTGCCTTTTTGATGGAGTGGAAATATACCTTAGTCATTCAACTTGATAGGACACAACCTCTTTAACACAAAATGATACCACCCCAGGAAGAACCAGGGATTTTTATCATTTACTTTACACCATGCAGATGCCTCATCTTAGCAAGACTTTCTTACTTTCGAGGATATCTTCAAATTTATCTGTGCAAGACTGGCTTCATGGGTGTGCAACCTGTATAACACACAGAGCTCCGTGCCTAGAATGTTCTGACACTTGGTTTGCTGTTCTGATATTGCCATCAATAAATTCTTAACAATATTTGAATAAGGAAATTATATTTTCACTTTACCCTAGGCCCTTTCTGTACTCAAATACCTATGCAAGGCAAAGATGTAGATTCAAATTTCATATAATGCTCATTGTTCAGGGAAAATAGGTGTAGTCTTGTCTCTTTATTCAATTTAACATTGAGGTAGAAAATACAGCACATAAAACTTAAGTGTACACTCTGATGCATTTGTACATGCACACACACACAGTTGTAACCACCAATCATTTTAAGATACAGACATTATCAGCTGATCATCTGTCTCCCTCATCCTTCTTCCCACTCAATCTCTGCACCTTCTATGGGTAAATATTATGCTGATATATCACCAAATTTTGAACTTAATGTAAACGGAATCGTAAACAATATAGCTTTTTGTGCTTTTTTGGCATTCTATTTGTGAGATTTATCCAAGATCTAACAGAGATGTATTTTTTTAAAGCCGTATAATATTCAATTATATGAATATATCACAATTTATCCATTCTATTGCAGTGGGTGTCTGGGTTGTTTCTAATATTTGGTTATTGTGAATATTAACTATTGCGAACATTCTTGCACATATCTTTTGATAGATATATGCACTATTTTCTTTTGGGTATATAACTAGGAGTGGAATTGCTAGCTCAGAGTATGTACTTATGTTTAACTTTAGTAGACATCAGTAGTGACCTTTGAATGCATATTATAACTTTTTGCCAAGCTGTATCCATGCCTTCATCATGTAAGATTTATTTTGTCTTCAATACAGCACGTTGGATTGCTTCCAATAGCTCTTTTAAACGTCACAACCATTTGGGATAGAACTTTTCTCTATTTTTACAGATTTTTTTCAATATTGAAATTTAGAGGACTTACAACCAGACCAAGATTTCAGAGTCTGAAAGAATACATTGATTCTAGTTCTGTTACTAGTTTAGTTTCCATAAATACAGCAAATCAGCTGTATTTATTGCAAATATATATTAATCAGTAGTCACAGAAAGAAAGAGAAAGTTTCAGCAGAGCTCCAATCCAAATTCCTGGTACATATTAAATGCTTAATTAATGCTTGATTCTGTGAATATGTATTAAACTGTGACTATCCTACCGTTAGAAACAATAAGAAAAATACTCATAATAAATAATCTATGTTTTTCTGAGCATTTTAAGTTATTATTTACAGTTCTAGGAATAGCTTAACTTTGGACTCAGTTAGAACTATCATCCCAAGGGCACAAGTATGCTTGAGTTTCAGTAATAAGTCAATAAAACCTAAATATATTGCCAAAATCTTAGAATGAGAAATCACTTATTTAACAACTTCATTTGAGGGGCAACAATATTCTTGAGACACATTTTAAAAAGAAGTGTTAACAAGGATATATGGGCTTCTGTAGAGACCACTCTAGCCAAATACACATACGCTATACATATGAGTAATTTTCAGAAAATTCAGGTAAGGACCTGAAATCCAAATTACTGCATGTTGCAGACACTTGTCATTCCAAGAGTAAAAATGTACAATAACATTATTCTCGCTTCTAACAATTAGTCCAGGAGGACATGTTTTCTAAACTCTCCATGGAGCCCTCCTTCAAATAATTAACACTGTTAGAAAAAAATTTTACCCCTGAGAGTTTTAACCTCTAGAGCCACTGCTAGCATTAGTGCTCCCTCTGTTTACAATTGATAATGAGAACAGAGAGACATAATTTAATTGGGAGGGTAAAGGGGAATTTGGAAAATGATCAGGGTGATATGCAAATGTTCGTTTATTTGGGGTGACCATTGAGTGCTGTGTCACTGTGTTAGACATGATGTTTAGTACTTTATAGACTTTTTGTCTTCTCCCATTTATTCCTCACAGCACATTTATGAGACAGGCACTGTATTGTGCCCCAGAGGAAGGCAGTCTCCTGTATGCAAGTCTTTAGACCTCTTGCTTATCTGTAAAAGTAGGCCTTGGGTCTGGAACACTTCCTTACCAAGAGATAGAGTCCTCATGACCTGCGCTGGACTTACCACCTTGTGTGGAATAACTTTCCCTGTTTTGTTCTGCTGGAGCCTGTGCATCATGTGGCACCTGGTCAACCCCACTGTTATATCTATCCTCTTCCAGGAGGGGATGAGGTGCTTCTTCTGCAGCACAGAAAGGGCACCTATAGGCCAATTGTTCTGCATCAGCCTCCAGGAGGGACCTTCTGGCTTTGGGGGACTGACATGCAGTACTGACACTGACCTGGCGCTGTCCTTTCTCTATCTGAGGAGTAAAGTACTGACACTGATCTGGCGCTGTCCTTTCTCTGTGTGAGGAGTAAAGTACTGACACTGATCTGGCGCTGTCCTTTCTCTATGTGAGGAGTAAAGTACTGACACTGATCTGGTGCTGTCCTTTCTCTTTGTGAGGAGTAAAAAACATCGTTCCTTTGGGTATATACCCAGTAATGGGATGGCTGGGTCAAATGGTATTTCAAGTTCGAGATCCTTGAGGAATCGCCACACTAACTTCCACAATGGATGAACTAATTTACAGTGCTACCGACAGTGTAAAAGTGTTCCTATTTCTCCACATCCTCTCCAGCATCTGTTGTTTCCTGACTTTTTAATGATCGCCATTCTAACTAGTGTGAGATGGTATCTCATTGTGGTTTTGATTTGCATTTCTCTGATGGCCAGTGATGATGAGCATTTTTTCATGTGTCTGTTGGCTGCATAAATGTCTTGAGAACTATCTGTTCATATCCTTCCCCCACTTTTTGATGGGGTTGTTTGATTTTTTCTTGTAAATTTGTTTAAGTTCTTTGTAGATTCTGGATATTAGCCCTTTGTCAGATCAGTAGATTGTGAAAATTTTCTCCCATTCTATAGGTTGCCTGTTCATTCTGATGGTAGTTTCTTTTGCTGTGCAGAAGCTCTTTAGTTTAATTAGATCCCATTTGTCAATTTTGGCTTTTGTTGCCATTGCTTTTGGTGTTTTAGTCATGAAGTCCTTGCTAATGCCTATGTCTTGAATGGTATTGCCTAGGTTTTCTTCTAGAGTTTTTATGGTTTTAAGTCTAATATAAATCATGCTGCTATAAAGATACATGCACACATATGTTTATTGCAGCACTACTCACAATAGCAAAGACTTGGAACCAACCCAAATGTCCATCAATGATAGACTGGATTAAGAAAATGTGGCATATATACACCATGGAATACTATGCAGCCATAAAAAAGGAGGAGTTCATGTCCTTTGCAGGGACATGGATGAAGCTGGAAACCATCATTCTCAGCAAACTATTGCAAGAACAAAAAACCAAACACTGCATGCTCTCACTCATAGGTGGGAATTGAACAATGAGAACACCTGGACACAGGAAGGGGAACATCACACACTGGGGCCTGTTGTGGGGTGGGGGAAGCGGGGAGGGATAGCATTAGGAGATATACCTAATGTAAATGACAAGTTAATGGGTGCAGCACACCAACACGGCACATGTATACATATGTAACAAACCTGCACATTGTGCACATGTACCCTAGAATTTAAAGTATTAAAAAAAAGACACCTGCATGCATATTTTTATCACAACACGATTCACAATTGCAAAGATAAGGAATCAACTGATGAGTGGATAAAGAAAATGTGATGTGTGTGTGTGTGTGTGTATATATATACATACATATATGTGTGTATATATATATACATACATATATGTGTGTATATATATATACATACATATATGTGTGTATATATATATATACATACATATATGTGTGTATATATATACATTACATACATCTACCATGGGATACTACACAGCCATAAAAAAGAATAAAATAATGTCTTTTGCAACAACTTGGATGGAACTGGAGTCTATAATCCTAAGTGAAATAACTCAGGAATGGAAAACCAATATTGCATGTTCTCACTAAGTGGGAGCTAAACTATGGGTATGAAAAGGCATACAGAGTGGTATAATGGAAATGGGAGACTCAAAGAAGAGAGGGAGGGTGAGGGTGGTTAAGGAAAGAAAAATTATCTATTGGGTACGAGGTAGGCTACTCTGGTGATGCGTACATTAAAATTTCAGACTTCACCACAATACAATTCATGCATGTAACAAAAAACCACTTGTACCCCTAAAGCTACTGAAATAAAAAAAATAAAAATTTTTTTTTTTAAAAAAAGCATCGTTCCATCCAGTGCCTGATTGTGTTGTGTTTTCCTTGGTGACTCCAATATTAAAATCAAATAGGCAGAAATGCTGATTTCTACTTCTGATATAGGCAAGAGATGCCACTTCCTCCACAGTCCCTACTTTGCAAAAGAAGAAACTGAGTCAAAGAGTACTTAAGTGACTTGTCCAAGGTCACCCAGTGAATAAGAGGTTGAGATTCAATAGGCCAGACCTATTTTATTCAAAAAAATGGGCTTTAATCCACACTTTTCTCCCTATAAGCTTTTCTTATGTAACTTACCATTCCAATAAAGAAGGAATGTGGAGGATTCAGATGAGATTGCAGATGCCTATGTATCAATGAGCTTCATGAAGCTTTCTGTTTTAGCAGTATCTGTTATAGCCCAATATGCTTTAAACTGAGGCACTAGTGTGGCATAAAGCTAACTCAAATCTATTTATTGCTACAATCAAGAGGTTGACATGCTTTGAGAACATTCAAGTTAAAAGAACAGGAGGTGAAATATAATGAAAGAGAAGGATACAGAAAGAAAGGACTGAAAATATGATTAAATGTCAGAGAAGAATTCAGAAGTGGTGTTGTAGAACTCCTAAGTGCTCACACATTTTCATTAATCATACCATTGCAGGATACTATGAATTGTGATCATCTACTGCCCATTTATTTTTATTTTGTTTTTGAGATGGACTCTCGCTCTCTGTTGCTCAGGCTGGAGTGCAGTGGCATGATCTCGGCTCACTGCAAGCTCCGCCTCCCAGGTTCACGCCATTCTCCTGCCTCAGCCTCCCAAGTAGCTGGGACTACAGTTGCCCGCCACCATGCCTGGCTAATTTTTTGTGTTTTTAGTAGAGACAGGGTTTCACCATGTTAGCCAGGAAGGTTTCGACCTCCTGACCTCATAATCCACTCACCTTGGCCTCCCAAAATGCTGGGATTATAGGCGTGAGCCACCACACCCGGCCCATCACAGGTATTTTCTAAGTTGTAAGATCTATTTCCTCATTATCCTTCACACAATAAATAACTACCTTTATAAAATACCTAATGTGTGTGAAGTATCCTTGTACATGCTATTCATAACTATATCCCATCACCCATCATAATTTTATAAGGTAGGTAAAACTTTAAACTTCATTTTAGAAACATGATTTGGAGAAAAGAGAATGCTTATGCACTATTGGTGGGAATGTGAATTAGTTCAGCCCCTGTGGAGAGCAGTTGGAGATTTCTCAAAGAACGAAGAGTTGAATTACCATTTGACCCAACAGTCCCATTACTGGATATATACCCAAAGGAAAACAAATAATTCTATCAAAAAGACACATGCACCCCAATGTCCATCACAGCTGTCTGTAATGTTGGACTGGATAAAGAAAATGTGGGATGTATACACCATGGAATACTATGCAGCCATACAAAAGAGCAAAATCTTGTCCTTTGCAGCAACATGGATGCAGCTGGAGGCTATTATTCTAAGTGAACTAATGCAGAAACAGAAAACCAAATATCACGTGTTCTCACCTATTAGTGGAAGCTGGACACTGGGTACACTTGGACATAAAGATGGAAACAATAGGCACTGAGGAATACAAGAGGAGAGAGGCATGGAGCAGGACGGGAGTTGAAAAGCTACCTCTTGGGTACAATGCTCACTTCTTGGGTAACAGGTTCAATGGTACTCCAAACCTCATCACCATGCAATATACCTTTGTAACAAACTTGCACATCTACCCCCAGAATCCAAAATAAAAGTAGAAAAAGAAGGAAAAGATACCTGATTCTTTTTAAGCAATGTGGACAAGGCCCCAGAGCAGTGACAGTCCAGGGTCTGGTGCTCAGATCCGTCTCAGTCTAACGATTAACCATGTTCTTTCCACTTGTTTATATGGCTTCTATCTTATTCCTCTATGCTCAATGGATCTCTATACCTCTAGTTATAAATCCCATAATGGGCAGGGTAGGTATCCTGCTGGCTGTGTCACTCAATAGAAAACAAAGAGACAGAATCTACAAGGGCTACTAGGCCCACGCCTCACATTTGTTGGCCACAATAGGAATATATACAGAGGCTCTTGGCCCACAGCCTGCTCTCCTCCATTGTCACCTCTAGCTCAGTCCTGCACTGTAAAGATCCTTGCATACATATCTATGCCCACCCCAGGCCACAAGTCCAAGCTCAGTTCACATCCTCCACAAATAACGAATACTTGGCTACTCTCCTGAGCTGTAACCGTGCACACTTTTGTGCAATTCACCATTCAGAGTTGGACTCAGGAAAATGACTCATGCAGGTTCTGAAAAATTGGCTTGTGCCACCCACTTGCATAACAGATTCTGGGATCCCAAGTACCTGCAATGTGGAATAGAAGGCTGTGTGTGGGCTCTGGACAGGCAGGTCTCACCTTGGCCCTGTGGGGAACTGCACAGCAGGAAGAGACTCAGAGTGAACCGCTCAAAGTCACAGTGCCCATGGATCTTCAAGAGGTGTGTATTGACTGGATGATTGGCAGAAAAAAGGGGCATTGCAACAAATGAGATCATTACAGGAATCAAAGAGCCCAAATCATAGTTTTTAAAAGATTTTTCCTTGGAGTTGCTAATTATTCGTAATCTACAAGGCAACCTCAGCTTATTCTACTTTGATTCCAACTGAGAACAGCCAGGTTGCAATGCCTCATTAAGAATGTTGTGATTTCTTTTCTGACTGGGTAGACACACATCTCTAGCTTGCTGAACCTGCATGTTACCACTAGAGCTCTGCCTCTGAAAGGCAAGGAATTGCCCTGTTCTTGCCCCTGCTGGCTCTCACTCTGTGGGGAGCAGGCACTGCTTCTGCAGGGATGCAAGGCAAGTAATCACACATCCTTCTAAGAACCTTATATCAGATACTATGCCCATGATGCAACTTCCTATCTATGTCTTATGAATGTCTTAAAGAATTTTCATAAACTTGAATGATACAAGTGATATGAGGTTAGAGGGAAGTCAGAGGTGGTGGACTCACTTACATTTGCTGATTAAATACATCTCAGTTTTCTGTTTTGGTAATAAAAATTATCTAAAGTTCAACTCCCGGGAAGGGCTGCTTCTCTTTTTCCCCTTCTCCGTCCCAGAATGGCTCCAGGTACAGGAAAACACCTACTAGTGTTGTAGATGAAATGAGAATGAAACTTGCATTATGCTCATCGCTGGGTTGGTTTCCATTGCAAGGCATGGTTGTTCTAATCCTGGAATGTGCCCCAGTCGGTACTTGATGAGGGCTAGTGGGCAGGAATCCCTTTTGGCTGCTGCCTCTACTCACTTTGAATATACTTCTATTTTGTATTTCCTCCACTCTTCCTATTTTTTTTTAAGAGTTCTCTCTCTTTAATGCATGTGCTTAGTTCAGTCCAATGAAAGGGGAAAGGATTGAATCTGATGACCTGGGTTCACTCCTAGCTTTACTATTTCCCAGCTATAGAATATTGGGAGTCCCTGGACTTCCTTGAGACTTAGTTTGTTTCTCTGAAATATAAGGGCATAATGTTTGTCCTTTATACAGCATAGATTTAAAGATCAAAAAGCTGTAGTTTTTTTGTAGGTCAAAGGGGCTCTGTAAATCGTAAAGTGCTTGCAGAATGGTGAAGTGGAAATACGGTGGGATTAACGTTTAGATGACCCAGCCTTAAATCCAGGCTCTGCCAATGATTGGTTTTAGATTCCTAATATTTAGAATGACTAGATAACTTTGACTTTCCTTAGAGGTCTAATAATCCATGAAATTAAAATTTCAAGTATTCAAAAATAATTTAAATTCAACCTCTGAGTCAGGAAATGAAAACTGATCTCTTTAGATTTCAAGGTTTTAAATATGATAAAGTATACATAAGCAGAAGGAAACATTGGAAATAGATGTTTCACTTGAAATGGGCAGCTTTTTTAGAAAGGGAAACATACAGGATCCCTCCTCATTTAATTCATGTGTTCAACAAACATTTACTGAGCATCTACTAGTAAGGATGTAGAAATGTTCCCGATATAGTTGGGAGATATAAAAATTAGTATGTTTGGGAGCCTTTATATCAAGGGATTTACCATTCATTAATGGAGAGAAGCTCAAGAATAACTACAATAAGTGGGACTTTCAAAATTGCTACCAATGAGAGTTATTTTTAAAAGTTCCACTGGGAGGTAAGAAAAGAAGGAATATATTTGCTCTGTGGCAGACTTAACTGTGAATTTCTGGAAGTTTCAACGAAAAGCTGGTTCATCAAGAATGCACGGAGGAATAAGAATATGACTGTGGAGTAAATACTGGGTCGAACCTCATTGTTCTACAATTTTCTGAGTGTAATTCCACAAATGTCCTATATTTCTTAGCAAACATCCATTTAATTCTTTTCTGAGAGCACGTTCTAAGTTTGGGCATGAATATGTCTGTGTTGACGTGTATATATATGACTTTGCCTGCATCTTTATATCTTTTTTCCTCTTTTACAAAAATTAATATAGAAAGTTCTGTCATGATCCCAAGGTATAACATGACAGACGCTTCAGGAGGTGTCTGGTCTAGTTGGTGAGATAAAAGCCAAGATGATAATTCTTTGGTGTATGCCAAATGCCATGCATACATGATCCCATTTATCTTTCACAACTGTGTAAGCCAGGCACTGTGACTAGACCCGTTCTCCAGATGAGGAGCCTAAGTCTTAGAAAGGCTGAATAACTTCTACTAAGAATGTAGCTTGTATGTGTTGGGTTTACGCCTCAGGACTATATTTAACAAATACTTAAAACTTACCACGTGCTTTACAAATACTAACTCCTTTGTTATATCTCTCTAACTAGTCTATGAGTAGATGCAGTCTTATCTCCATTTTATAGTTGAAGAAATTAAGGAACAGAGACTCAGCAACTTGCCTGAGGTCACACGGTTAATAAGTGGTACACAGCTGGTGTTTGAAGCCAGGCGGTCTGTCTCCCAGTCCATGCTCCTAACCACTCTGAGGGCAGCTTCTCAAATCCCGCTAGATTGGGCTTCAAAGCCCTATGGTTAATCACTGTACAAATGGCCTCTTTGTGCTATCACCTGAACAGAAACAAATATAACATCCGTGACATCGAGAGAGCTGCTAATCCAACCATCTGCATTCAGGTTCTGCCTCTGTGCTCAGCCAGCCTGCCTCTGTAAGGCACTAACACACATTCTTTCTACCACTGACCTGCACTTTGGCATTCTCATCCTGTGGCTTTAATTAAATGTTAACATTCATTTGCCCTTTTCCATTGTGTTAAAGATAACCTTTGCTTCCTGTCGCGTCTAGATAAGCTTCACTCCATGACAGGTACCAAATAGGTTCATCTTGATATAAAGTAAAGAATGGAGACTCTTTGATCCTCTCTGCTGACATATTTTAAAATGCCAGTATGAATATTTGTTTTGTACTTACTTCTTTTACGGAATGTCAGGATAATAAATTATTTCTGGATACTGCAGTAGCTGAAAGGTTCAAGTCCAAATTAGTCATACTAAGTGGCTTTGACCCTTCCTGAGAGTCAAACAGACTTATCTCTGAGACACTTTTGTTTCTAATAGTTGAAAATACATTATGGAGAGAGGTGCTGGTTGGGATTTAGAGGGTCACAATTTGCTGGTTTGGAGGAAGGTTATAAAGAGGTTTTCTGGATCTTTACTCATACATTCACTCTATTGGATGGGGGATGGCTTCTTGCTAAAGTGAGAAGAGCATTAGACTGAGAATCAGGCCTAGATTCCAGCCTCATTTTTGCCACAGATGCATTATGTGAGCTTGAACAAGTCTCTTATTTTCTCTGAACCCCAGTTGCTTTATTGTTTTAACAATTATATTTCATTAACAGTACATAATTGAAGGATGTTATCTGATTTGCTCATCAGAATAAACTCATGAGATGCAGATTTGTATTCACATTTTACAGAAAAGAAAACTGATCTTTAGAGAAGTTAAGCAATATTCCCAAGGTCATAACACAGCTAGTAAAGGAGGTGGAGCCAGAATTCAATCGTGGGGCTATCCAATTTGGAAATCCATGCTCTTCACCATTATAGCTACATTCATTGTTGGAGAGTTCTACATGTTTATGAGTGTACTCATTGTCGCTTTAGAGATGCTGCATGTATCTCCTAAAAATGTTTTTGGCAGATGATCACTGTCTTTGATAGCCCATTGCAGTGATGCCATCTCTAATAGCATTTACTTTCCTAGCCTCGGAAAATTAGACACCCCCCTGGTTAGTCAGGGTGGTTATTGGCAGCATATATAAAATTATCTTGAATTTTACAGAAAGAAGAGAATTCTCTGTGTTTCTGAATTTTGGTACTAGGAGAAATATTATATTTTTATAAGTTATAATGTATTAGAAAAAGGATATTTTAAAATGTAAGAGAAAACAAGAGTTAAAGATGAGCTTGGAAAAGGAGAAATGGCAGAAGAGATTCCTCTTTGGAATGCATCTTACAACAACTAAATATACACAGAGTATCTATGACAATAAAACACTTCAAAATATTAGTAATATTTTATGTAGGTGATGGGATTATAGAATTTCTCATTTCTTTTTTCTTTTTAAGCTTTGCTAAATTTTCTGTAATACATATGCATTGTTTTTGTGCTAAAAATAAGTGAAACACACACTTATGTACATGTCTGCAGCAAGCAAACAATAAACCATCTAGTAGTCTTAGGCTAGCTAACATCCCAGACAGCAATTTGTCTATGGCACATATCTAGACTAGGCTAACTGCCCAGGTTGGTCACATCAAAAAACATATGTCCCTTTGTTAATCTCTCTGATGTCATCCATTATTTCCAACCTAATTTCATATTAGATTATTAGTGCAAGGCTTTCCTAAAGCAATACACCTCTTAAATGATTACATGACAGGAAGTCTTCAGACTAAGAGCCTATTTTAATCAGTTATTTCCACTTCTAAAAATTATATTTACTTTCTTTTTCATTTTCTTTTTTTTTTCTCCTTTTTTCTTTTTCTTTTTTTTTTTTTTTCTGAGACATAGTCTGGCTCTATTGCCCAGGCTGGAGTGCACTGGCATGAGCTCAGCTCACTGCAACCTCCACCTCTGGGACTCAAGCCATCCTCCCATCTCAGCCTCCCAAATAGCTGGGACTATAGGTGTACGCCACCAGGCCCACATAATTTTTGTATTTTTTGTAGATACGGGGTTGTGCCATGTTACCCAGGCTGGTCTCGGACTCATGAGCTCAAGTGACCTGCCTGCCTCAGCCTCCCAATTACAGGGATTACAGGTGTGCGCCACTGCACCTGGCCTATATTTACTTTCTAGTCATTGAAATAGATCAAGTTTTTTCAATGCAATTAATGAAATGCATTATCCTTTATTTATGCTAATTTTGTCCTCCATTCCATATGTCTAGACCCCTTGTACTAATTTTTGGCTATCCCACAGTTTCGTAATTGGCCTTACTCTTTCTCATGATTCACCAGCCATAGGCACAATGTCACTAGACTACTCTTTCTAAGATACATCAAGTGGGTCAATGCAGTCTTTGAGAATGTATGGTATTTGCCCCAATACCTATAATCCCCTCCAAAATAGCAGACAAAATAGTCTCTTCATAACCTGGTCCTCTAAGTTTGGTATCAAATCACATTTCCTTGATCTTCTAACATGCTTCAACCACACCTGCCTTTCTGCCACATGGTCATACTTTACTCAGCCCCTGGCCTTCTGCTTTGATTCTTATTTTTTTCTGGTCATTGACGGTCTTTTTTTCCCCTTCTGCTTATTTTCTTTCTAGTGTTATCTCTTCCTAAAGCCTTCTGCAATTACCGTGCCTATTGAAATTGCTCTTTTTCATCAGTCTTTAGTAATTAAACTCTTTTGTATTAGTCCATTTTCATACTGCTGTAAAGAACTGCCCAAGATTAGGTAATTTATAAAGGAAAGAGATTTAATGGACTCATAGTTCAGCATGGCTCAGGAGGCGTCAGGAAACTTACAATCATGGCAGAAAGCAAAGGGGTAGCAAGACACCTTCTTCACAAGGCAGCAGGAAGGAGAAGAGCAAGCAGGGGAAATGCCAGACACTTATAAAACCATCAGATCTCATAAGAACTCACTCTCTATAAAGAGAACAGCATGGGGGAAACCATCCCCATGTTCCAATTACTTCCACCTGGTCCCATCCTTGACACTCAGGGATTATAAGGATTATGGAGATTACAATTCAAGATGAGATTTTGGGTGGGAACACAACAAAACCATATCATCTTTACTAAATATTTATTGTTGTTTTTTAACTAACACATAATAATTTACATATTTATAGGGTACATAGTGATGTTTCTATACACACCATGTATAGTGATCAGATCAGGGTAATTAACATATCCGTCATCTTAAAACATTTATCATTCTTTTGTGTTGGGAACACTCAGTATCCTTCTAACTATTTGAAACTAATATATCATTAACTATAGTCATCCTATAGTGCTATAAAACACTAGAACTTATTCCTCCTATCTAGCTGTAATTTTGTATCCTTTAGCAAATTTCCCCCTACCCCTCTTTCCCCAACACTCTTCCCAGTCTTTACAATCCTTTGTTCTACTTTTTATTCTGTGAGATTAACTTATTTTAGCTTCCATATATGAATGAGAACTTTCTGTTCCTGGTTTATTTCACTTAATATGATGCCCTTCAGTTCCATATTGATATTCTGTCATTTAGTAAGATTTCTTTTATTATTCTCTAGGTCATATCTCTATCTATCTATCTATCTATTTATCTATTTATCTATCTATCTATCATATCTGTATGCTGTGGCTCCCCAATATGGCTGTTAGTTGTAGAAAGGTAGGAGTGTAATCTGTATATTGTATTTTCTTTTTATCCCTATCAGTGTCTTGTACAGTGTTGAGAATATAGTAGGTACTTGATAAAATTTTGCTAAATCATATTTAGGTTCGTGATAACTGAGTTTAATCCTCCACCAAATAAATGAGATTTCGTCATTAGTAAATCAAATTTTAAGTACAAAGATCATTTAATTTTTAAAAAGTTCAATAATTATTCACTTATTTTATCTGTTTTTGACTATAAACAGAGCATTGTTCATGCTCAAATGCTTAACTGGTTGAAAGAAGCTCTTCCTCTGACAACTTCCTGTCAAACGGTTATTTAAAACTCTCAAGTGTGTTGCTCTAGGAGAATGACACCACGGTGATTTAACATGGGATGATGCCTAAACAATGGATGACAGAAGAGTTATTAACAGGAAGCAACTATATTGCAGTGTCCTCAAAGACTCCTAAATAACAGGAAAGTTATCTTCACTCAACTAGCTGCCTGGTAAAGACTGTTGCCTCATTAACAATTGTTGCCTCTTTTATTTTACTGCCTTTATTTTTCTTTTACTATACTTTGCTGCTGTGGTTATTAAACTGCCAAAGCCAGTATGGAAGGAGGAGCTGTGTTTTGGAACCCAGTGTTCTCATCTGCATTCTCCCTCAGCGAGATTTTCTGTCATCAAATTAGCCTAGAGAAATAGCATGCTGATTAAAAATAAGCTTTAAGTTCCATTGAAAGCTAGAAGTCTATTATTTGCCTAGATCCAGGCATAGAAAGGAAGACACTCAATATAAAAGAATTACCAGTTACATTCTGATTTCCATTGTCCTTTTAAAGTTAAATTATTTAAAAAATCTTATAGCAGAAAAATGGCTTGAAGTAGGTTTTATCTAATAACTTAGGTGGATAAACAAAAAAAATCAATTTGATCATTATTGCCCAATATTGCGTCTTATGTGCAGAACTTTATATTACTATAAAAATTTATTTTAGTATTCCTTCCAAGTATCCACTGAAAGAGCTATATGTTTTCCCTCCTTCCACCTTCAGCCCATGAAGACAGATCCTATTTTCTCAAATAATTTCTTAATGTTTAATGAATAATTAAACTGAATTTCAAATATGTAAAGAGCTAAAGAGATCTCATGAGAGTTATGGACAGAAACCACCATATGTAAAATGCAAAAAAAGATTAAAATTTATCAATGGAGAATGATCAACACTGAAACTGATGATGCCCACTTATATATTTTTTAGAATTTTTAGAAATTAATTGAATTTTATACTTGAAAAATAAGGATTTGTAAGCAATATTAAGCAATAGTGAAGTTTAGCTCTAGGTTTAGAATCAGAGAAACTGAATTTGACTTCTAGTGACATAATCTCTTACCAGGTGATAGGTTGGTCATGTGATATCTTTTTCTGATTCTTAATAATGAGGATAATGTCATTCTTACTTTTTTCACCAGGTGATCTTTCAGAATAAGACTGTGAAAGTAGTTTGTACTCATAAGGTGCTCTAGAAATGTAAGTTATTATTTCTCCCATATCTATTGCTATATAAACTGTGCACTTTAAAGTTTTATCTATATGGAATAATTCTACCCTATGAGAGGGGCTCCCAACCCCCGGGCCACAGACCTGTACCAGTGTGTGTCCTGTTAGGAACTGGGATGCACAGCAAGAGGTGAGTGAGCATTACTGCCTGAGCTCTACCTTCTGTTGGATCAGCTGTGGCATTAGAGTCTCATAAAAGTGCGGACCCGATTGTGAGCTGCGTATGTGAGGGATCCAGGTTGCATGCTCCTTATGAGAATGCCTGATGATTGATGATCTCTGAAGTGGAACAGTTTCATTCCAAAACCATCCCTCCACTGTCGCCTAGGTGGAAAAATTGTCTTCCAGGAAACCGATTGGTCCCTGCTGCCAAAAAGATTGGGAACTGCTGCCCTATGACATCTAAGAAAGCAAAGCTGTTTAGAAAGAAAACATAGTAGTTTATGCTGGGCACTAGCTATATGCTAGGCATTGTGCAAGCAGTATTTAACTTCATCTTCAAAATAACCCTCTGAGTTAGGGACACAATTATATCCGGTTTACAGGTGAAGAAATATAAGCCCAAAGAGGTTAAAAACTTGCCCAAATCAGGGCATAAATAGTAGAGTCAGCTGCATCCTAGATTTTCTCCAAATGCTGTCCCCTTCCCCACCATATTGCATTGGAGATCTTTTCTTTCATCACAGGATTTATAAAAGCAAAAGTCCACTTCAGGGAGGAGCCAACCCCCTTGATAAAGACATGAGGGGGACTTGCCCATCAACAAAGAAGGTGCCAGATGCTTCCCTCTCAGATGGCCCTGGCAGCATGCCTGTTCCATAAATTGCCTCAGTGAGGCTTCTGCTACTACATCCCTTTATTAAGGCCTTTCTGTGATTACTCTGCTGCTTTCTTTCCAATCTCTCAGATAAAAGAGCAAATAAGCAGATGAAAAATGCAGTCTAAAGGCTGAGTTAGAAAGAAACTGCACTATGAGAAGCAGGGAAAGTAACTAATATTTTCTAAGTCACTGTCATGTCTCTGCTTCTAAGTTGTCTTAATCCATTCACAACAATTTCCTAGAGCTGTATTATTATTACCACTTTTCACAGAATACATTTGCACTCAAAAAGATTAGGTAATTTCTCTTGGAACCTGGTTTGATTCAAATTGTTTCCAAAGTCTCCCTTTGTGTTATTACAATAGAATGCAAAACAAGGAATGAAGTACAGTGTAAGTTATTCATTATCAAGAGGGCTTCGTCAGTCCCAAAAGGGTAAAACATTGTTTCACGGTTGTCTTCATCTGTTTGGATTGCTACAATGAATATCACAAACTGGGTAGCTTCTAAACAACAGGAATATATTTCTCAGAGTACTACAAGCTAGGAAGTCCAAGATGAAGGCACTGGCAGATATGGCATCTGGTGAGGGCCCATTTCCTCACCAGACACCTTCTTGCCATATCCTCACCTAGTCGAAGGGCTGAGGGTCTCTTTAAGGAGGACTGTTTTATAAAGTCACTAATCCCATTCATGAGGACTCCACCCTCATGACCTGATCATCTCCCAAAGTCTCGACTCTTAATACCATTACAGTGGGTTAGGATTTCAAAATATACATTTTGGGGAAACACATTCAGACCACTGCAATATCTAAAAATCTTTCTCTTGCTATGTGTAAGGCATAGATATGCATATAGCACATAAACAAATATACAGTATACATGGGGTATTAAAATTTCATTGGAGAGGTGATTAGGAGAAAACATTTGAAAAAGCTTTTTAGGAGGACAAGGATGAAAAAAGGCTAAGAAACACAGGTGTAAAGAAAGAAATAATAACTAAAGTGAACTAAACTTGCAGGGATTTTGGCTCTCATCAAGGTCCGGACGAGGTGCATGCTGTTTCTCCACTGCGTCAGCCATGGGAGATATCATCGTATATTTTAGAGCACATGAGGCAAAGTTGGGGGCACTTCTCAAAACCTGGTGAAATTCCATCGAATCCAATCAAAGTCCAGAAGAATCAGCACTATTTTTCTTTCTTTCTTTCATTCTTTCTTTATTTTTATTTTATTGATTGATTGATTGATTTTTTTGAGATGGGATCTTGCTCTGTCACCCAGCCTGGAGTGCAGTGGTGTGATCTTGGCTCACTGCAACCTCTGCCTGCCAGGTTCAAGCAATTCTCCTGCCTCAGCCTTCCAAGTAGCTGGGATTACAGACGCACACCACCATGCCCAGCTAATTTTTGTATTTTTAGTAGAAATGGGGTTTCACCAAGTTGGCCAGGCTGGTCTCGAACTCTTGACCTCAGGTGATCCACCTGCCTTGCCCTCCCAAAGTGCTGTGATTACAGGCGTGAGCCACCATGCACGGCCGAAAGCACTACTTCTAAACTGTTAAACTCCTAGAATCAAGCAATCCTCCAGCCTCAGCCTCCCAAAGCTTTGGGATTACAGGCATAAACCACCATACCCAGCCCAAGTTATTTTCAGTTAAAGAAACACAGAGAAATGGTTTGGCCCATGTATGGGCAAACCAAGTCTTTGCTGTGCTCCTCTCTCCACACACAACGTTCTACCATCACATCACAACCTGCCTTTCATTCTTTCATCCGTCTCCCAGGATGGAGTCAGCCCCTAGATTCATGCCTCAAAAAATCCTTGATTTCTCCACCTCACATTCTTCTTTTGCCTCTTGGAATGTCCCATGTCTGCACAGAGTGTCGTACAGCCCAGACACTGCATTTACAAAGACCTGGATTTGAATTCTGACTCTGCAATGAATGACTGGGTGCAATTGATATATCCTCTTCTTATGCCTCAGTTTTTCCTTATGTAAAATGGGACTACTGATTTTTACCTTATGAGACAGTCATGAAGAGAGAACATGGAAGCCATTTAGCACTGTGTCTGGTCAGTAGTAAGTATTTATTTGATGTTAATATACCAGGAATTTTGACAACTAAGTTATTCTCTTCTTAGATCTGAAACAATGTGTATGTGTATTACATATCAAACAATAAACATGTGTGAGCCATGAAAAATCATAACTCAGATGACATCTCCTTCAGGAAATCCACATCCATATCCCTGTCTCCTCTCATCTACCTCTGAGCTGGTATACCTTTCTTTTGTTGTGTTCTTTAAACTGTGTTATAAATGGTCCGTTTACGTTCTGTCTCTTTCATTAGGCTGACTTCCCCGTCAAAAAAAATTCTGCCTTATGAAATTTCCTATTTTTACTACCTAAAATAAAGGTTTTTCATAACTTACTGTTAAATGATGAATGTTGGTGATATGTTTCCACTAGTTTGATTACCTGTGTTGCATGGATGTAGCATATATTTTCATCTTTGTCAGAAAGAATTTTATCCCTGTATCTTAAAGCTGGGACAAAAGGCCTTACCATTGAATACAATCTTACTTCTGTTGATTTAAAACTTGACTATATATGTTAAACCTCTTAATATAGAGAGAGGTATATATGAAATTTATCTTAAACCATAAAAACCTACACAGTTTATACTTCTTTCTTATTTCAGGATGTTTTCTCATTTATTATCAGTCTGTTTCATATACCATGCATAATTCCAGGGAGAGACATGCAGGAGGTAATTTCTTTCTATCCTTTCTTGGGCTTCACAGCTAATTTTAGCAAATGCATTTGGCAAACTTTTTGTAGAGGTTCATAGTATTTATTTTGCAATTTTTCATTATGAGTTTCAAGAGCACAAAACCCAAATATCAGGGAGAAGAATGCATACTGATATCAGACATGCAGTGTTCACTAGTAGCCCTTATCTACTGAATCGTAACAGCACTTAATCTTATAGGTACATATTGACAGCCAATTTATCTAATTACTCACATTCACAAATTAATTGGAGTGATAACAGGATATATTATCCTCACTCTGACATGTTTTTGGAGGTCTTCAGGGAGACTTATTTCTTGAAACAACTGAACTCTTGAAGTCGTTTAAAAGGATCTGATTTATAATCATGGCTTAGAACGTATCTTCATTCCCTTGCTGTCCTTTTTTTTTCAATTAATGAAGATACTTCAATTAGAAAGTCATACAGCTTTGTTGGAATGACAATGTGAACCTTTTCATGGTTAAGCTCAATAGCCAATGTTACAATCTACACTTCTTTGAGATTTAACTAAAAGACATATTCATTGATTCAAGCAAATGCGTGTTCTTTTCCTAGTAACACTTTCTTCTTTATCCTTTGAAACTCCATGCAAATGCAAACATCACTTTCTCAGAAGCCTTTCTGGACTCCTTCCATATGTGATGAGGTTGGAAGCTTCTTCTCTGTGTTCACCTGGAACTCTGTGCATGCTGGGCACATTATACCATTTCACTGTGATCTTTTATCTCTTCTGTTGTTAAGCAACAGATCAAGGACTGTTGCCTGGCACATCTTACAGGATAGGTACTAGGTCAGGGAAAAGGGATAAAAATCAGAAAAAAGGGGACCTTTCCTTGAGGAATCACATTTTACTAGGAAATACATAAAAGTAAACTAGCAATTAAAATTAAAGGTTAAAGTCTATGACCAAGATATTCTTTGTTGTTGTTGTTGTTTGTTTGTTTGTTTGTTTTGAGACAGGGTCTTGCTTTGTCCCCCAGGCTGGAGTGTAGTGGATCCTCCATGGCCTACTGCAGCCTCAACCTCCTAGCCCAAGCCATCCTCCTACTTCAGCCTCCCAAGTAGCTGGGACCACAGGCATGTGCCTTTTTTAGAGATGGGGTCTTGCTATGTTTTCCAGGCTGGTCTTGAACTCCAGGAATCAAGCAATCCTCCAGCCTCAGCCTCCCAAAGTGTTGGGATTACAGGCATGAGCCACCACGCCCAGCCCAAGATATTTTCACAGTTCAATGAATGCAAAGGGCGGTTGAGAAATGACTTTGCGTTGGTGCGGGTTTTTACAAGGATCAGGTTTTTTGGGCTATTAGTTTGTTTGCTATGAGAGATAACTCCATGGATATTTCTGATGTGCTATTATTAAATTACACATTTAAAAAGATAGCTTAATAGCAAGCACCTGAGCAGCTAATACTTTTATATTCTAATGTGTCCTCACTGTGTACATGGCCATTTGCTTTCACTATATGTAATTTTTAAAACGTAGTTTAATTCAATATTTCCTAAACACTAACTATAAGTGTGTTAATTGCTGTGAATGACATGAGGCTGAGTAAATTTGTCATCTTGGGAACTTATTTTGAGCTGGACCCTGTCTACATAATAGGTACTATACTAGTATTTGTCCTAGGCCAGATTATTTAATTCTTGTGAAGACACGGGGAGGAAGATATTATCATTTCTATTTCAGAGATTAGAAAATTGATAATCAGAATAGTTAGGTAACTTGTTCAATGTCACACAGCTGAGAAGGGGGTAGAACGAGAACTAGGATCCTTTCACCCAAGCCTGGCTTCTTGTTAAACTAGTATATGGTTTCCCAGAGGAGTCACCATGCTATCTAGTGGTGGAAGATAAGACATGAACCCAAGTGGCCCTGTTATAAGAAGACTGTCCTAAACCCTGAATAAACCAAGAACATTGACATTTAAGATAGAAAAATCCATAAAGGCTTCATGAAGAAGGCTTCATGCAAGAAAGTGGGAAAGATTTCCCAAAGACACGGTAAAAGGGAGATAGGAACATCTAACATAATCTATAGTATCTATACTTCTGACAAGTTTCATACTGAAAAATAAGTAATAATTACTGTACTCTGAATACCTATTGTGATTTCAATTATAATCAATATTCACTGAATGACTACTATGCATCTGGTAGTGAATGAAGCTGCATTATCTTATCTACTTTTCATTACGAGCTACGAAGTAGATGTTATTGTATCTCATTCAATATATGAGGAAACTGAGGTAAAGGATTTAAGTAACTTGCCCAAGCCTCACAGTAAAATAAACTGCAGAGCTAGCATTCAAAACACTGTATTACTTGACCTACTGTTAATATTTACGAAGTGCTTATCTCTGTGTCAGTCCCATAATAAGGGCTCAATAATAAGAGTTGCTACCATTTATTGCACATTATTACAAAAGGCATGAAAGCAAGACTATGTACAACAATCTCAAAGAAGTCTACATGGTCGTTTTTGATGAGGGATTGGTGTTGGGAGGAGACATGTGGGCAAAGGCAAGTTGGGAGCACAAAAGAAGAATTTTCAAGGTCAGAAAGCATTTGACCTTGATTTGAGAAACGACTATCAAACAACAATGGTGTTACAGCAGGCCAGTAACCTGTAGAACCCAACTTATAAAGTGCGCATTTAAAATGCACATTTGAAAGTGAGAGATGATTGACCTAGACTTGGAAAGTGATTGAACATGAGCTGCAAGGGGGAAGGAAGATTAAAAGATGAGTTTTGGGGAATTGAGCTTAGGTAGATGAGTGGGATATGGTGGTAGATTAAATTAAATACAAGGCAAAGAGCAATAAAATCAGCCTTGGGTTGGGGCTGGGTCAAAGGCATGGAAGGAATTAACAGAAGGAAAATGACAACCCTGTTTGGAGAAACTTTGATTTATAGGAGCCAATGTGGTGTACATCTAATGATGTTCAGCAGGTTGTTAAAAATATGTGTGACTTAGTATAGCCCATGAGAGAAAAGGACAGGGTTAATTATATAGATTTTGAAATGATACAGAACTGTGCAATATTGCTCACTAAATTATTACTCATTGTGTCCAAAGTAGCTTTTGGTCACCATCCCCCTGTATAGTTTTTTTTTTTAAATTTATTTATTTATTTATTATTATTATTTTTTTAGACGGAGTTTCCCTGTTGTTGCCCAGGCTGGAGTGCAATGGTAGGATCTCGGCTACCCACAACCTCCGCCTCCTGGGTTCAAGTGATTCTCCTGCCTCAGTCTCCCGAGTAGCTGGAATTACAGGCACCCGCCACCATGCCTGGCTAATTTTGTATTTTTAGTAGAGACAGAGTTTCACCATGTTGGCCAGGTTGGTCTCGAACTCCTGACCTCAGGTGACCCACCCGCCTCGGCCTTCCAAAGTGCTGGGATTACAGACATGAGCCACTGCACCCAGCCTGTATAGTTTTATTTATTTATATTTGGTGTGCTTTCCAGTACCTGAAATTATGTACACCATATACATTTATCTTTATTTTTATTATCAGTATTCTTCATTTCATTATTATAAGGAATTTATTTGACATTTTCATCACTGTATTTATAGATTCTAGATAAAACTTGGCATATTAGAGGGCATTCAATGCATACATTTCATATGAATGAATGAGTATATAAATCAATGGGTCTCAGTTTTTATATCCCTAATGTAAAACACACATTCTTTATCACTAATAGGCCATTGATACTCCTAAGACCATGAGGAAATCTATGCACTATCTGCTCAGAAAAAGGCACAGACACTGCAATTTCTCATATACGTACAAAGGATTCACAGACATCTCAAGGCCCATAGATTCATCTAGAATTTGAGATGCAAAGCTATGGGCTCATCCAGCATTTCTCTCACTGTGAACCTTGAGGGAAACCTAAACTTAGGGATTTTGATTGTTTTTATAACTGATTTCCAAATATCTTAGTAAAAGTAGTGTGATATATATATGTGGGAGTATTAACTCTGGTTTCTACCCTAAAGCATGTGGGTGTTTGAAATACCCAAATTGGGAGTTCAAATTCCAGAGATGGCTATTGCAAATCTTGACAATATTTTTAGGACTTCTAGAAATATTATAAATTCGTAAATTTAATCAATTTATAATATTGATAAATTTAATTATAAATTGATAAAATTCATTGGTTTTAAAAACTGTGGTTGGCTTAAATGACCACAAAAGCAACAAAGGTTGCTTTTGTGAACAAAATATGCAACCCAGCAAACCCAGCAGCCCTGCGTTCTGGAAACAAGCTCTGTGGCTGGGGTTCTGATGGGTCCATGTATGGAAGATCTCTGAAACTTAGCTGTGTGAAAGGTAAGCTGACCCTGCTGTTAGAACATGTTCTGTCCACCACAGGGATAAACCCTTCCTGCAAGGTGCTCGTCAAAAAGCCTAAATGACAGAGATTGGAGACCCCACTGATGTCACAGAAAGAATGGCTTGATATGCACATATTTGTTTGGGTGTGTGTGTTTGCCAAATAATGGGTGGAATTATTGGGTCTGATATTTGCTTTCACTGTAACATAAAGAGAAGAAGATTTGGTTAATTATATGAATTTTTGAATGATCCAGGTTTCATGTCCTATAAAGCCCAAGAGCAAAGTAAGAGGTCAAATAGCCTTCACCATTCACTAATGGTTAAAGCTTACAAATCCTTGCCAATTATACATTCTCAAATTAACCTACATTCATTTGCAACTGGTTGAGAGAAGAAAGGGGACACGATTAAATTGTAAGGAGACCTCAGAGAAATGGGAGGAGAGATAGAAAAGCACCACAACATTGAAAAAACAGCAGGAAGGTTTCAAGTGGGAAGGTGTTTGGTGGAGTTGACAAATGCTTCATACTTTGAAACATATAAGCACTAAGGGGAAAACTTTAGTTTTAAAATTAGAGATAAAATTGATTCCTTTTAAGAAAAAAAAATCAATAGAATGGCAGTGGAGTGGAAATTTTCAGAAAAAGAAATATTAAAAACTTACTGAGTTCTTCTTCTGTATAAAATACTGTGTCAGGTTTTGTTAGGAGAACACAATATATAAGACAGATTTTCTGAATTTTAACAATATTTGAATTGGGGATTTCTTCAACTGCAAAAGGAGATGTTATGAAAAATAGTGTCCAAGAATAATGAAACACAAAGAAGTTATTAATTATTTGTTTGGTTGCTTTTTCACTTATTCTGTTCTAATTTATTTATTTTATCCAGTTTATTCAATCTCCTTTTGGTAAAGTCGTACCAGGTTCTCCCTTTAGGTAGGTGCTTATACTCCATTTTCACTATATGGCTAGTACAGTGACTATGTGACTATGTGATACATACCACCAGCTCTAACCATGGGCACAAATTGGGTTGAGACAATTGATATAATGCTTCACTGATAATAATTGATTAAGGGATGAACCTATGGCTAAATTCAGGGCAATAAGAACGAGGTTCAGGAATTCTATTAGATACCTAAGGAATAGAAGTTCTCACACACCGGGGCCTGTTATGGGGTCAGGAGACGGGGGAGGGATAGCGTTAGGAGATATACCTAATGTAAATGATGAGTTAATGGGTGCAGCACACCAACATGGCACATGTATACATATGTAACAAACCTGCACGTTGTGCAAATGTACCCTAAAACTTAAAGTATAATAATAAATAATAATAATAATAATAAAGAAGTTCTCTTTTTTTACAGTTGATAGGAGGAATTTAGGTTCAAAACTAAACCTTTTTTGTGCTACTTGAGGCTGAGCCTAGAATTCCCAGAGGTTCTCAGTCTGAAACACAGAATCAAAGAAGAGGGGAAACAGGAATTAGGTGACATTATTTTAGCTGCTGAATTAAGCTTCACCTGAAGCTTCACTTTTAGTTTCTAAAAGTTTAGAAATGTCTTTAAACTTTTCAGCTATGTGAGTTAATATATTCTCATTGTTATTGAAACCAGTTTGATTTGAATTTTTTAAACTTGACATTAAAAAAAAGTCCTAATGGAGAAATGTCTTTCAGAGATTCTGGAAAAGCCAAGGTAGGGATGAAAGTTTATGAAGGCAAACAATGGGCTAAATCTAGAAAAATAGGTTGGAACCAGCAATAAAGAGCCCTCCAAGCCTCCAAGGTATTTAAATTAGCTACAGATTGGGCTTTTAAATAATTCATCGTTCATTCCTCTGTGCTCTTAACACCTGCTCCTTAGGCCTCCAGTGGTTACTGATGTTGCCCAGTCATGGATTACAGCTCATTGTTCAAATGTTTCTTTTATCCACTAGATTGAATGAAAACTCCTCCAGTTTTTTTGAGGGCAGGGGTTATTTTTTACTCAAACTACTAACCTCACATCTCCTAGCATAATGCCTGTTACATAGTAAGTAGTTGTAGCAGGGAGGAATGAAGTGAGAACATGTATTAATCCGTTTTCATACTGCTATAAATAACTGCCTGAGATGGGGTAATTTATAAAAGGAAAGAGGTTTAATCGATTCACAGTTCAGCATGCCTGGGGAGGCCTCAGGAAACTTACAATCATGGTGGAAGGGGAAGGGGAAGCAAGGCACCTTCTTCACAAAGCAGTAGGAGGGACAAGTGCCTAGCAAAGAGGGGAGAGCCCCTTATAAAACTATCAGATCTTGTGAGAACTCACTCACTATCATGAGAACAGCACAGGGGAACCGCACCCATGATTCAATTACCTCCACCTGGTCTCTCCCTTGACATGTGGAGATTATAGGGATTGCAATTCAAGATGATATTCGGGTGGGGACACAAAGCCTAACCATATCAGAGCATCATTTTGGCAACTCCACTCTGGCAGCAGTGGATTGAAAGGCTGGAATGAAATAAAAAGGAATGAGAAGAGAAGGTATGCATTTCAGTATTTCAGAGAGAATGGAAAAGGGCTCAGAGAAATAACTCAAGAAAATGCTACAATCTGAATCTAGGCAGCCCCATGAATAAAATGGAGATGGCCACACGAATAAGTTTTCATACAGTGATCCTTTTTCCTGTTCCTGTTCTTTTTTATTCATGTAAAGTTCTGAAAACTGTTGCCCATGGTAACATTCAGTGGAAAGCTGACCAGTATTTAGACACATCTATCAGATCAAACGTTGATGAAAAAGCCCTGTATCTTTCTTTTTTCTAGAGTCAGTTCTAAATATAGACAGGATGGGCTCCTTAGAGCAATAGAAGTGACTAACATTGAGTTGCAGTATTGACAATGTCCTTTTCTCCCCTAAATACAAGCAAATTTGAAATAAAAAATAGGATAACCCCAAAGAGATAAGTGTTTTAAGCATGCCAGATATTTTCCAGTTTTTGTTGTATTTTAGAGTGTTGATCTCGCACTTTCTGCCATGAGAGCAGGATGTTCAGTAAAAAGAGGAATTAGCAATCAAAGGAAGCACTGGTCTTAAAGAAGCTTTAATGCATTTGAGTAAGAGATATTACTTTCTAGAGTAAACTTTAGAAATAGGTCCAGTATACATTGTCATAGCTGATTGAGAAAATTTTCTAAAGACTCAGTCTTAGAAGGCAGCACATACCTCACCCTATTTATAAAATTTCTTTCAATTTTATAAATGTTAAGGTAATATCCTATTACTTCAGAACACTTGGAAAATACAGAGAAAAAAACACAAGGTGTTTTACTCATGATGTAATCTGTTCATGCAACTACTGTTAACATGTTTTTAAATTTTTTTCTTTAGAATATTATTTACTTAAACACAACTAAGTAAAATTTTTTACACTCTGTGTCTTTGCTTAGATAAGTCTTCCCTGACTTTCAATTTGTAATTTTATCCCTTCCCTGTCCCCACTATTCTTTTTCCCTAGCATGTTTGTTTTTGCTTTGTAGAACTTAACACAATTTTTAACAGTGGTTGTACATTTTTTATGCCAGTTTTTCACATAAGGACAGAATCACAGTTGTGTTTTGCAATATTGCCTACCCAACAGGAGGCAAGTTGTTGGCATATAGCATGCACAGAAGGTAGACGACTAAAGTTTTCAGGCATTGTGGTGCAGTGGTTTAAAGCAGCAGGCTCTGCAGCCTGGCTTCCTGGATTTGAACCCTTTGAGAAAGGCAGAATACTGGCCTCCCAAAGATGTCCACATCCTAATTCCCAGAGCCTCTAAATATGTTACCTTACATAATACAAATAACTTTGTGAGTGTGACTAAGTTAACTATCTCAAGATGAGGAAATCTTCTTAGGATATCTGATGGGTCCAGACAAATCACAGGGGTCCTTATAAGTGGGAGGCAAGTGGGGCAGGGTCAGAAAAAGGTGATATAATCCTGGAAGCAGAGAGAGAGCAAGATACTGGAAGGGGCCATGCTGCTGACTTTGAAGATAGAGGATAAGGCCACAAGCCAAGGAATGTAGGTGACTGCTAAGAATCTGGAAAAGATAAGGACAAAGATTCTACCCTGGAGTCTCCATAAGAAACCAGCCCTGCTAGCTTATTTTAGACTTCTGACCTCCAGAACTGTAACAGAATAAATCTGTGTTGTTTAAGGCACTATGCATGTGGTCATTTGTTCCAGCAGCAATAGGAAATTAATATGCCTGCTTTGCATATGAATCGTCTCAGCAGTTCAATCATTCTCTCTGTGCATCAGTTTCCTCATCTGTAAAATGAAGAAGAAAGTGGCACCTGCCTCACAGCATAGTTTAAGTCCATAAATACTGCAAAGCATGTAGAACAGTGCTTGGTATGTCCCATGTTATCAATAAATATTAATTGCTGTTGAAAGTATATATTATCAAACAAACAAAATGACAGTCAGTTACTCCTTTCTAATTCTTTAATTTACCAATGCAATCTATCGGTGTTAAATTTCTCAATCTTTCTTACTTAGTTGATGAATAGGGTGTGTGTGAGTGTGTGTGTGTGTCTTTCTTGGTATCACAGTTTTTAATTTGACTGTTTAGTTCATCTGCTGGGAGGAGGAAGAGCCCTTAGTCATCTTTGTTCTGTGGTTCACCTTTAGCCGCCCACTCCTTGCCCACATTGGAGGTCACGGTTGACCCTATACCAGCTCCTAAGGCCACCTGCTTATCAGCCGAGGAATCTTCTCTAGTCAACCTCACATTCTTTGCATTTGGGAGGAAGAAAAAGGTGATTGCTTTTATTGGCCTACATCTGGATTCCCTCTTTCTCTCTGCCTTGCTTTTCAGTTACCTCATCCTCAGTTTTAAGAATCTGCCCAGCCCTTCAAGATGATGCTTTGTGTTGTCCCCGTCTCCATCAGTTTGGGTTGCCGTAACAAAAATATCACAGAATCGGCAGTTTAAACAATAGAAATTTATTTCTCACACTTCTGGGGACTGGGAAGCCCAAAGCCAAGGTGCTGGAAAATTCTGTGTCTGGTGAGGGCCTGCTTCCTGTCTTGTAGACAGCCATCTTCTTGCAGAGAGGAAGAGAGAGCAATCCTGTGTTTCTTCTTTTTTAAATAAGGGCTTCAATCCCATCCTGAGGGCCCCACCCTCATGACCTAATTAAATTACCTAAGCCAACTTACCTCCCCAAAGCCTCATCTCCCAATGCCATTACATTAGAGACTACAGTTTCACCCTATGAGTTTGGGTTGGACACAAACATTCCACCCATAACAGTCCCCTTCACTCTACAGATATTCCCCCATGGTTCTACTTACAATTTTTCAACTGTTTTTTTTTTTTTTTTTTTTTTTTTTCAGATGGAGTCTTGCTCTGTCACCCAGGCTGGAGTGCAATGGTGCCATCTCAGCTCACTGCAGCCTCCACCTCCTGGGTTCAAGCAATTCTCCTGCCTCAGCCTCCCAAGTAGCTGGGATTATAGATGCGCACCACCATGCCTGGCTAATTTTTGTATTTTTAGTAGAGACGGGGTTTCACCATGTTGGCCAGGCTGCTCTTGAACTTCTGACCTCAAATGATCCACCCTCCTTGGCCTACCAAAGTGCTGAGATTACAGGCATGAGCCACCACACCTGGCCCCAATTTTTCAACTTTACGATGATGCAAAACCATCACAATTTTGAGGTAATGTACAGTATTCAATAAATTACATGAAGTATTCAACACCTTATTATAAAATAGACCTTGTGTTACATCATCTTGCTCTAGTGTGGGCTACTGTAAGTGTTCTGAGCATGTTTAAGGTAGGCTATGTTAAGCTATGATATCTGGTAAGCAAAGTGCATTAAATGCATTTTTGACTAATGATATTTTCAATTCACAACAGGTTTTTTGGGGCATAACCCTATTGTAAATTGAGGAGCATCTGTATTTAACACCTCCAGAGGTTACTGATGCCCTGATCCTTTATCCACCTCAGGTATTCAGGTTTTCATATTAGTGTCCTGATTTTCATTTTTACCAGGACAGTAGTCCTCAGGCCAGTATAATACAAACATAAAAAGGAAGATCCTTTCAACCTAAATTTTGTTAAACTCAGGGGTTTAGAGATTGTCTTGTGTTTGAATTTGGGCTCCACAACTCTTTTATCCACAGGGAGAATGACGATATACCCCATATTACCTAAGACAATCCCAATTTATAACTATGGATCCATAGTTATGGATCAATATAGTTGTGATTATAACTATTGTAATTATTAATGGCATCCCCTGTTACTCTTAGAAGTATCCTGGTTTTTATAATAAATTCTATAATCGCTGGATTTTTGATGTTGAATGAGTCCCTTTATTCCTCATCTGTAAATTACAATGATGACACTCCTCTTATAGGATGCTGGGTGCAGTAACATGAGCAATAATCATGGTGCATAGCAGATGCTCAATCTAGGTTAGATTCATTGCTTTTAAATAATGACTGAGCTCCCTAAAACCAAGAAGAAAAATGGAGCCAGACTGGGGAAAACTGAATAATTTGATTTGGAAGAAGGTATTTAAAAGCAGTATTTAGTTGGAGACAAGATAGGCTTAGTCAACTTGCCAACGGCTTAATGCCAGGAAGGCCCAGTAGGGTCACAGAATCTCAGAAATGGATGAAACCATACTTATTATCAAGTCTCTTCCCCCTGCTCATGCAAAAAGCTTCAACAATCTGTGACAAAGCCATCACCTAATTATTAATATTAATGGCTAACATTTATAGGACATGGTGCTAAGCACCCCAGGTGGATTACCTTAAATCTTCTTCATTCGAACTCTATAAGGCAGATACTGTGATTGCCTCACTGTAGAGATGAAGAGACTGATCTATGGTTGCATGAGATTTGCAAGTTCATGTAGTTAGAATTCAGTATCTTCATTTTGGGTGGCTGAGGCAAAGGGATTGTTTGAGGGCAGGAAGTCGAGGCCAGCCTGGGCAGCATAGGGGGAGGGAGGGGGGGAGGGAGGGAGGGAGGGAGGGAGGGCGGGAGACAGAGAGAGAGAGAAAGGGAGAAAGAGAAGAGAGGAAAGAAAGGGAAGGGAAGGAAGGGAAGGAAGAGAAGGAAGAGAAGGAAGGAAGGAAGGAAGGAAGGAAGGAAATAATTCGGTGTCCTGCCTACTAGTGAGCTTTTGGTTGCCACATAGGATTTTGATGATACAATTATGAACGTGAAATTTGTATTTGAGGAGTTCAAAATGCCCTTAAAAAGTCTAAATAATTGACAAGAGTTTCTTTATTGTAAAGGATGCTTTATTTTTATGGATTTTATTTGGCAAATGTTACTTCCTATTTGCTACTAGTTTTTTAAGCACAATGAAATGCTATAATATCTTGAAACATAGGGAGGACTTCTGTAGTTAAGAGGCAATGATGAAAATGACACATTGGATACTTTTTCCACAACAATCTACTGGTTTCAGGGCCTGGGAGAATGTGTTATCTATTGAGAAATTTACAATGCAATGAATGGATAGTTAACAGAAGCACTGAGGTGTAGTGAAAATTGTTCAGGGTTTCACAGACAAAACAACTTAATTCAACTTGATGTGAAATAGCTGACTGTGTGAATTTGAACCAGTAATTTTTTTTTTACTCTGCACCTTAGGTACCCTTTCTGTAAAATGGAAGATGGGCTAGATTATTAACACCTTTTCAAGTTTGACCAGCCTCTGATTCTCTGAAATACAGCCTAGATTCCTTGCAAATTGTCAGTTTGGCAACAAACGGTGGTGCTTAGAAAAAGCTCAGGGCATTCAGTAGAATTCAATTTTATATGTCACAGATGGAAGCTAATTGAAATTATGTAGGTAGATCAAGTGTAACAACAAATGCTTGCACCAGCATGTAGCAGACCTTTAGCCCAGAACTGCTTCAGTCTGTCAACAGCACTGAGCATGTTGCAGTAAAGTTGGTAATCATCTGTCTTTCTTACAGAAAGTCATTGCTGAGAGCAGAGTTTTGTTGGGTCAAGGACACCAGGTTGCTTATTTTGAAAGGAATCATGCTCAGAATCTCGCAAACCAAAAGCACTTTTCCAATTCTGCATTAATAGATGTTTAACTTGGCCCAGAGCAGGAGCAACAGTGCCAAAAGGGAAGCATGCCCACTAACAAGACTGGACTGTGGCCTGAGACTTTGAAGACTTCTAGTTTTAACTTCCCCCTGTCTGTATCTTGAGTGCCTGCACCTCCAAGAGTTTTTTTGAAGCATGCAAATGGTCTGCCTGCTCTAGCTCCACTTCATGGCTCTTCTCTCTTTTGTGGCATCTAATGAGGATTACCTCTTGCTGCTTTTGCCTGCTTGTGTCTGTTCATTTATCTTAAGTTCCAGGACTGTGACTTCTGCCCAAGTGGTCAGCCTAAAACTGCTCTCTCCGCAGTTAAAAAACAAAACAAAACAAAACAAAAAGCAAAAAACCAACTAGTTATCAAAATCAATTCCATTCTAGTTATTTATTGATTGCATGTAGTATGCTCTACACTATGCTTGAAGCTGGGGGTTCAGAAAGGATTCAGATATATCCCTTCCTTTTCCACATAGAGCTGACATACTCCTGGAGGAGCGGACAGATCAACTATCCTTTATGTCAGGAGATGTACTAGTTTTATAGAACAGAGCTTCTCAAACTATATGTAGTGAAGGATCAGTTTTGTTCCTTATTTTTTTTCTGTCCAATTCATTGTACAGTGATACTTTTGTAAAATAAAAAATAACACTTATGTGTACTGCAACAATATCACATTGCTGCGATTGCTTCTAAATGCTTACATTCAATTTCTGCATTTTGTTGTTGTGAATGAGTAGGCGACAATTTGCAAAACAGCCTGATGTGATTTGGCTCTGTGTCACCACCCAAATCTCATCTTGAATTTTAACCCCCAGTGTTGGAGAAGGGGCCTAGTGGGAGGTCATTGAATCATGTGGGTGGACTTCCTCCTTACTGTTCTCATGATAGTGAGTGAGTTCTTACAAGATCTGATGGTTTAAAAATGTGTGGCACTTCCCCTGTTGCTATCTCTCTCCTGCTCTGCCACGGTAAAACATGATTGCTTCCCCTTCACCTTCTGCCATGATTGTAAGTTTCCTGAGGCCTCCAGTCATGCTTCCTGTTAAACCTGCAGAACTGTGAGTCAATGAAACCTCTCTTCTTCATAAACTACCCAGTCTCAGGTAGTTCTTTATAGCAGTGTGAGAATGGACTAATACACAGCCCCATCCTGCAGTCAACCACTCAAGGCAGCACTTGACTGAAACAGCTTAAATAAAATGCTGTTGAAACACACATGAGTACACAGTTCATCCCCTCTGGGGTATGAGCTCTATCTCAGGGAGAAACACCAGGGAATATCTTTTAGTTCTCTTCTTCCTTCATCTTTGCTTCATTCAAGGCCAACAACTACCTCCATCTTCCAGTCCGGTTTTACTTTGCTTCGATCAGATTGCACTAAACCTAGTGTTCTCCTCCCTTCCATATAACACTTTTGTTCTTTTGTTAATATCATTTTCTCCTTCCGCTTATCCAATCACACTGGTTCCTCAGCCTGGTGCTGTCCTTACACTCTACACTGACTCCTTCAGACTTCTTCCAAGCCCGTTGTGATCAGGTGAAGCTCTTCACACAAAGGCAGATAGCTCTGAACACACCATTACTCTGTTACACTCCTGGAATGTCTGTGCACGGTCACTCAAGGCCTCTTTGATCTAATTCTCACCTAAATTTTCAGTTGTTCTTCACCACAATGATTGAATCCATTTGCAATGCTGCACTGAAGCTGCATTATTTGCTGTTTTCCACATGGATCCTGGACCTACATACCTTCATGACTATAATCATGCTTTTTGCCCCTTCTGCCTTAAAACTTACCCCACATCATCATCATTTCCCAGTGCCCTGACTTGCCCCACTCATCCGTCTTCACAAATAATGCCTATTCCTTAATACCCAGCTTCAATGCCACATCTATCGGGAAATATTCTCTAGAGATCATTCCACATTTGTAATAATAGCTCAATCTGCTAATTCCCAATGTATTTCATTTTGCTTGTTTTCTGGCACTAGGTAGGGATTGTCTGTCTTCAGCTATGGTGATTTGTAGGCACATCACTTATCATCCATGTAGGCTCTCTGAGGTCAGAATTCATGCATTACTTACTCTCTGTAAGTGTCTCACACAGTGCCCTGTTAATTTGATTATTTATTCATTTGCAAACACAGACGTTTTTGAACCTATAATGTGCTGTTCACATCTTACCAACCTTATAAGAACTTATCATCTATTGGGAGAAATCGGATAACAAACATAGTTATCAAGCTATTTGGCAAGTGCAAAGAGTGTTTTGCACTGCATAATACAGAAGATGGAGAGAGGATGCACAGCCAGCAATGCAGATGACCATGTGTTCAGGGAGTGTTTCTTTAGAAGGCATCATTGGAGGCGAGAGTAAAAAGATGAGCAAGCCCAAGATAGGCACCTCATAGCTACCTGATTGCTATTCTATTTGATTTGATTCCTTTGCACAGTTCTGAGAGTCCCACTCAGATTTCCTCTCTGAGTCTTCTTCGCATACTTACAGGCAGCTGTAATCTACTTGTTGTATACAGTTTACAGTCCATTTAACCAACCAGAATTTCAAATAAAGCAGTATAAGCAACTGTATTGGGTTAAATAGTGTCCACCCAACATTCATATCTACCTGGAAGTCAGAATGTAATCTTATTTGGAAATAGGGTGTTTGCAGATGAAATTAATTAAGATGACCTCATCGTAGATGAAGGTGGTCAAATCCAATGGCTGGTGTCCTTATAAGGGGAGGGAGATTTGAGGATAGAGAGACACACATGCAATAGGAATACAGCCTTTGGAAGACAGAGGCGGAAACTGGAGGGATGCAGCTATCAGCCAAGAAATGCCAAGGACTGCCAGAAACTCCCAGAAGCTGAGAATCCAAGGAAGAATTCTCTCCTGGAGCCTTTGTAGAGTTCATTCCCCTGCTTGTGCTTTCCAGGTTTGTTCTCAGACTTGCAGCCTCCAGAACTATGGGAGGATAATTATTATTTTTAAATTTAATTTAAGTTCCAGGAAACATGTGCAGGATGTGCAGGTTTGTTACATAGGTAAACGTGTGCAAGAGTGGTTTGCTGAACCTATCAACCCATCACCTAGGAGTTAAGTCCCGCGTGCATTAGCTATTTATCCTAATGCTCTGCCTCTCCCTAATCCCCTGACAGGAGAGTCAGGGGAGTGGGGGAAGGGAGCATGTTGTTCCCCTCCTTGTGTCCATGTGTTCCTATTGTTCAGCTCCCACTTATAAGTGACAACATATGGTGTTTGGTTTTTCTGTTCCTGCATTACTTTGCTGAGCATAATGGCCTCCAGCTCCATCCATGTCCCTGCAAAGGACATCTCATTCCTTTTTATGGCTGCATAGTATTCCATGCTGTATATGTACCACATTTTCTTTACCCAGTCTATCATCTATGGACATTTGGCTTGATTCCATGTCTTTGCTATTGTGACTAGTGCTGCAATGAACATACAGGTGAATGTATCTTTATAATAGAATGATTTATATTCCTTTGGTTATATACCCAGTAATAGGATTTCTGGATCAAATGGTATTTCTGGTTATAGGTCTTTGAGGAATCGCCACATTGTCTTCCAAATGGTTGAACTAATTTACATTTCCACCAACAGTGTAAAAGCGTTCCTATTGGGGAATAAATTTATATGGTCTTACGCCACCCAATTTCTGGGAATTTGTTACAGCAGTCCTAGGAAACTAATATAGCAGCCTCAAGAGATAATGCATGTACATCCTCATTCTTAATTTGGCCTGACTATCATAGAAATGTCTTCTCCTTTATTGTCCTAGATGGCTTAATTTCTACAGAGCGCTCTGCTGATTTTGCACAAATTGGAGGCATGCCAAAATTCTCTTAAAGGGCTATGAATTTATTCTTATTTTCTTAATGCAAAAAAATTAAGTAAATAACTATCATTTAAGTTAAAAATATTGTTTTATCACATTTTCCAAGTATTAAAACTTTTACATTCTTTGTATCTATGTATGTTCCTCGCACAAAGTTGTTCCAGGTTCAGTATACATTTTGTCAAATTGTACCCAAGGTGCTATTTCCCAAATCATATTGCTTAACTGAATGAGTAGCGTTACTTTTTTATGGAAAATATCCAAGTTTGTGAATATGTACAGTAAACATTTTTATTAAAATACATTGTAAAGATGAAAGTTCTAATATTTCTTAAAACTGTGCCTTGGTATTGGGTTGGCTCTTTTGTAAAAAAAGAAATTGAAATTACTCCTTTTCTGGTAGTAGTAGGAGACCATTGGGTTCTTCTCAGTAGGCTTATCATATACATTTACAGGAATATTTGAAATGATAAAAACTCTGTTTAGAAATTTCTGCCTATTCTTGAAAACATCACTGTAGCATTCATTTCATTTGATAAAGATGTGAAGCCATTTGTCAGGAGGCAAGAGAGAGGGCGGCAAGGAACTTGAAATTGCAATAACATTAATAATTTGTGGAAGCTTTGGTCTATTTATTGTTAATGTTCAAACCTTGTGCACAGATGCCTGACTTTCCCAATCTGTGGTCAATGTCAAGACATAGATAAGTGCATGCACTCAATCAGAGGAAGAAAGGAAGCTGGCCGATAGACAAGGGCACACATAAAGTATATGAACAGGTTAATAATGCTTTCTTTAATCAGCTGGAATTAACTGTTCTTTACCCCGATGCTTGTATTTGACAGGCGGCCTTGATTCACCACTGCCGATAAATTGCTGGGTAGAATGAATGCCTCAGTGCTCAGGCCCTGTCATGTGTTGGAGACAAATGTTTTTGTTCATTTCCCTGGTAAGCACAGGTACAAATTCCTTAACAAAGGCTTTAACTTTAATGGTGTAAAGTATCTGTGTCACTCTGAAAAAGGTGTTGTGCACACAGAAGAGAAATGTAATCGATTTGTTGAGTTAAAAAAATAAACATATATCATGCTTTAATTAAGACAAAACATTTTAATCTACCTATAAAATAGTTCTTTATCAATGACCATATTGCCATGGACTTTATCATTGACTATACAGATAAAAAGAAGGAATTCAATAAAAGAAATTGTTCAATAATTGTTAAAATGATTGGCTACTGGGACTATGTCTAAAATAGGCAAAATATGTCCAAATTTAAGAATGATTTTTACATATAATTCAATAATTTTAATGTATATCAATTATGAACAAAATATAACTTATTCAACAAATTATTATTGAGAATTTACTATGTATTAGAACACTTCCATAGATCTGGGATTTAATTCATTGCTGATGAAATTATAGAAGAATTTATTTCATTCATTTATTCATATGTTCACTCAGAAGCATTCTTAGAGCACAGACCCTGTGCAAAGCGTTAAGAGTTATTCTTGCCTTCGAAGAAATTTCCCAGTCTAGTACAGAAGATGGATAAGAAAGTAATTAGCTAAAATGCAATATGATGTATATGTATATGAGGTGCAATATGATATCTGTGTACAGAAGTATCATATATGAGATTTGGTGATAACAGCACAGGGACAGCAGAGAGAATGAGGGGATTACCGAATGTAGGTCTGAGTGAAAGGACCAAGGGAGGTGGAGAGGTTCACTGAGGGGGCAACACTTAATCTGGAATTTGAAGGATGATGAAAACTTTACTAAAAGAACATCAGAGACAAGAAGCATTCCAGTGAGAGGGACAATATGTGCAATAAAAGAGAAACAGGAAGCAGGAAAACGGGTCACTTGCTAGGTTGATATTACTGATAGTAAGGTGTTAGCCAAACTGGCCTGAAATGCAAAGAACAGAGAAATAAGCAAAGATCAAGTAAGACAAAGATTGGGAAATGTCCACTGAGTTTGGGATTTAAGTTGTCACTGATGACATGTGAAAAAGCTCTTTCAGTGGGGTGGAAGGAACTGAAGCCAGAATGTAGTGGGTGGTGAGATTGTATGTCCAAGGGGGGAGGCCCAACCCACATCACCTGAACACAAACGATGTCTACTAAATACTTCCTCACTGTTTAACAGATACATCCATAGTATTTTAATGTAAATACAAGAAAGAAGATAATACGAGGCATTAAGAAGCAAGGGTCATAGTTTGGGGGAGATTTCTGAGTATATTTATAGAATTGTTGCCAGGGAAAAGGTAGAGGGTGAGGATTCAGAAGAGAGAGAGGCTGAGGCTCAAGGACCAGAGCCCAGGAGAGGTGGTTAAAAAACCAAAGAACAAAGATATTAAAAATGCTGGTAGAAAGATAAGGCTTGAAGCAGAAAGAACACATTTCTTTCTCAGTCTGTTCATCAAGAAACATTTATAGGACATTTTCTATGACCTGGGGACTGTAAGATTTCTTAGAGACATTCATAAATCCTACCTCTTGTCACTATGCTTCTACCTTAATCCACTGACCTTCAAAATATTTTTATTACATTAAAACATTATTATATATAATATAGTATATAATATAATTATTATATATTATATAATATATATTACACTATATAGTCAATATGACTTTGAGATATCCATAACTAATATATATCACATATAACTAATATATATTATATATTATGTAATTATATTATATAAATATTACATATAACATATATAACATATATTATATAACATATATAACATATAACATGTATAATATATAACATATATAACATATATTATATATAACATATATAACATATATAACACATAACATATATAACATAACATAACATATAACGTATATTATATATAACATATATAACGTATATTATATATAACATATATAACGTATATTATATATAACATATATAACGTATATTATATATAACATATATAACGTATATTATATATAACATATATAACGTATATTATATATAACATATATAACATATATATAACATATATTATATATAACATATATAACATATATTATATATAACATATATTATATATAACATATATAACATATATATAACATATATAAATTATATATAACATACATTATATATAACATATATAATATATAACATACATCATACATAACATATATAATATATTATATAACATATACTATATATATTACATATAACGTATATAATATATATTACATATAACGTATATAATATATAGTACATATAACGTATATAATATATATTACATATAACGTATATAATATATATTACATATAACGTATATAATATATATTACATATAACGTATATAATATATATTACATATAACGTATATAATATATATTACATATAACGTATATAATATATATTACATATAACATAAGAATATATATATGTTATATATATATTTTAGTCAGACCCTCACTGTCACCCAGGCTGGAGTACAGTGGTGCAATCTCAGCTCACCACAACCTCTGCCTCCTGGGTTCAAGAGATTCTCCTGCCTCAGCCTCCTGAGTAGCTGAGATTACAGGTGCCCGCTACCATGCCCAGCTAATTTTTGTATTTTTAGTAGAAACAGGGTTTTATCATGTTGTCCAGGCTGGATTCAAACTCCAGACCTCAAGTGATCCACCCGCCTCGGCCTCCCAAAGTGTTGGGATTATAGGCATACGCCACCACTTCTGGCCATATTTTTTTAACGTATAAAATAAAACATATAAGGTTAAAAAGAAAACCAATTATACTACAAAGCAGTTATCAAAATATTAAAAATACACATGTAGATCAGGTCTTATAACTACTATAACATAAAAGTAGTCAATATAATGACTATTTGAGAAATCCGTAACTAAACATATTTCAGTGTCTATTGGCTATGAAGTCACAGGTGCTACTAATAATACTGTGGTTTGTTCTCTACATTCACAATTAAATGATATGCTAAATTTCTGTTGAGGTTAATGAAAATAAAGATGGCATGCTCTTTGCACTTAGGTTTACAGACCCCTGAATGCTCTGATCCACCTACCCAGGATAAGGCTCCTGTGCTGATGGGAGCTTGAGAACTGGCTCCTGGCTCTCTCTCTCTACCTCAGTTCCTCCACTCTTATGCTCACACACCTCATTCTAGTTACCTCAGCCTTCTTCCCTTTTGTCAAACATTTGGCGAGTGCTTCTGCTTCAGGGATTTTGCATCTACTAGGCTTTCTTGTGTCTACAATGTTCTCCCCAGATATCCATGACTTGCTTCTTCATTGTGTTCAAGTCCTCATCAAACGTCCCTCCTCAGAGATGCCAACTTGACTGGCTTATAGTATGACCCACTCCGTCCTTCTCTACTCATTTACCATGCTATATTTCTCTTGACAACACTCATTTACCTAACAGCGTATCATAAACTGTCAGCTTATTTGGTTAGTGACTCCCCTACTAGGATGTAACTTCTATGAGGCAAGGATTTCTTTGGCTTAACAATATCACAGTGACTGTCACATAGCAAGGGCTCAGTTATTATTTGTTGAAATAGATCATTTCAACTGGCTATGGAAAGTGCTTACATGTGAGGCATATCCATTATCCTGGGGCCTCAGAGAGGAGGAAGTACTGCTTCTAGGAGAAGGCATTGCCTAGGTACAGTCTTGAGATCATTAGAGATTCAAGGAAAGGAGAAAATTGAACATATCAGTTGGAAATATGTATAGGTTCTGACCTAGATAAGGTCTAAAGTCATGCTTAATAAAAATAAATGGCCTTGCTGGGCACGGTGGCTCATGCCTGTAATCTCATCAGTTTGGGAGGCTGAGGCAGGCAGATCGCTTGAGTTCAGGAGTTGGAGACCAGCCTAGGCAACATGGTAAAATCCTGCCTCTACAAGAAGATACAAAAATAAAAATAATAAAAAATGGCTTTATCAGTCATACTTTAATGGTCTTAATTTTGCATTTTATCCCTACTCCCTAAACTTTTTTCTTTAAAGATCTTATAAGAAGCAACCCAAAATAGGCATATATAAATAATATAGATGGCAATGTGAATTTCACATAAGCATTTAGGAAGATGAGTTCCATTAACAAAGAACTGGACTGGTGACATTTGTATAACATTGTATTGATACAACCACTTTACTTTTCATAATGTCAATTTCATTTATTTTTCCACTAAAACATATTACAACCATTCAAATGAATGAATGGAAATGCAACTTTTGAGTGACTCCACTGATTTTTCCCCCATTCAAATGGTTTTTGGATTCTTATATTAAGCAGTCTTGAGATAAGCTTCATTTTATGCTGATTTAGAGAGTGTTTCAAGATGAAATGTCAGCAAGCCTTATCTGCAAACACCAGATCCAATAAGCTATATCTGGTACTAAAAATCAGAAATTGACACAATTTTAATTAGCCTCCAGTTAGTGAACAGATATTTAATAAATGGTCACTTCAGCTTACCTTTTAAGATATACATTCAGGCCGGGCGCGGTGGCTCATGTCTGTTATCCCAGCACTTTGGGAGGCTGAGGTGGGTGGATCACAAGGTCAGGAGCTCAAGACCAGCCTGACCAAGATGGTGAAACCCCACCTCTACTAAAAAAAAAAAAAAATACCAAAAAATTAGCAGGTGCCTGTAATGCCAATTACTCGGGAGGCTGAGGCAGAGAATTGCTTGAACCTGGGAGGCAGAGGTTACAGTGAGCCGAGATCGTGCCACTGCACTCCAGCCTGGGTGACAGAGGGAGACTCCATCATGGAAAAAAAAAAAAAAGATATACATTCAACGGGTACAAATTATTCTCTAAATTACAGCCCTTTGTCCTTCAAGAGCATATTATAAAACCACAGAAATGAACATAAACAGAGAAAATACCTGAAGATATATAACAAACGGTTAATCAGTAAATAATTAATTACGTACTTTCATTCTTTGATTCTACAAAGATTACTTGATGCCAGAACAATGCTGGGTGATGTGCTAAGGTGCTGGAGATATAAACGAAACAAGTTAGACAAGGTGCTTGTCTCATGGAGCTTATTTTATAACGAGGGAGATGAATAATGAACAAACACATATATAAACGAGTTCAGGCACTTACAAGTGCTATAAATACAATCAAATAGGTAATAACATAATAATGTAATTTTGGTCCACATAGATCTCCAGTCTCTTAGCGTAAAGACAACTTAATTTAATTCCTGGTCCTATCAAGCCCTCACACATTAAAAGTAGCTGCCTGTTAAAGAAGAAAAGAGAGAAGAATCAAATACACGCAATAAAAAATGATAACGGGGATATCACCACCAACCCCACAGAAATAGAAACTACCATCAGAGAATACTATAAACACCTCTATGCAAATAAACTAGAAAATCTAGAAGAAATGGATAAATTCCTCGACACATACACCCTCCCAAGACAAAACCAGGAAAAAGTTGAATCTCTGAATAGACCAATAACAGGCTCTGAAATTGAGGCAATAATTAATAGCTTACCAACCAAAAAAGTCCAGGACCAGATGGATTCACAGCCGAATTCTACCAGAGGTACAAGGAGGAGCTGTTATCATTCCTTCTGAAACTATTCCAATCAATAGAAAAAGAGGGAATCCTCCCTAATTCATTTTATGAGGCCAGTATCATCCTGATACCAAAGCCTGGCAGAGATACAACAAAAAAATAGAATTTTAGACCAATATCCTTGATGAACATTGATGCAAAAATCCTCAATAAAATACTGGCAAACCGAATCCAGCAGCACATCAAAAAGCTTATCCACCATGATCAAGTGGGCTTCATCCCTGGGATGCAAGGCTGGTTCAACATACGCAAATCAATAAATGTAATCCAGCATATAAACAGAACCAAAGACAAAAACCACATGATTACCTCAATAGATGCAGAAAAGGCCTTTGATAAAATTCAACAAGGCTTCATGCTAAAAACTCTCAATAAATTAGGTATTGATGGGATGTATCTCAAAATAATAAGAGCTATTTATGACAAACCCACAGCCAATATCATACTGAATGGGCAAAAACTGGAAGCATTCCCTTTGAAAACTGGCACAAGACAGGGATGCCCTCTCTCACCACTCCTATTCAACATAATGTTGGAAGTGCTGGCCAGGGCAATCAGGCAGGAGAAGGAAATAAAGGGTATTCAATTAGGAAAAGAGGAAGTCAAATTGTCCCTGTTTGCAGATGACATGATTGTATATCTAGAAAACCTCATCGTCTCAGCTCAAAATCTCCTTAAGCTGATAAGCAACTTCAGCAAAGTCTCAGGATACAAAATCAATGTGCAAAAATCACAAGCATTCTTATACACCAATAACAGACAAACAGAGCCAAATCATGAGTGAACTCCCATTCACAATTGCTTCAAAGAGAATAAAATACCTAGGAATCCAACTTACAAGGGATGTGAAGAACCTCTTCAAGGAGAACTACAAACCACTGCTCAATGAAATAAAAGAGGATACAAACAAATGGAAGAACATTCCATGCTCATGGGTAGGAAGAATCAATATCATGAAAATGGCTATACTGCCCAAGGTAATTTATAAATTCAATGCCATCCCCATCAAGCTACCAATGACTTTCTTCACAGAATTGGAAAAAAACTAAAGTTCATATGGAACCAAAACAGAGCCCACATTGCTGAGTCAATCCTAAGCCAAAAGAACAAAGCTGGAGGCATCACGCTACTTGACTTCAAACTATACTACAAGGCTACAGTAACCAAAACAGCATGGTACTGGTACCAAAACAGAGATATAGACCAATGGAACAGAACAGAGCCCTCAGAAATAATGCTGCATATCTACAACTATCTGATCTTTGACAAACCTGACAAAAACAAGCAATGGGGAAAGGATTCCCTATTTAACAAATGGTGCTGGGAAAACTGGCTAGCCATAGGTAGAAAGCTGAAACTGGATCCCTTCCTTACACCTTATACAAAAATTAATTCAAGATGGATTAAAGACTTACATGTTGGAGCTAAAACCATAAAAACCCTAGAAGAAAACCTAGGCAATACCATTCAGGACATAGGCATGGGCAAGGACTTCATGTCTAAAACACCAAAAGCAATGGCAACAAAAGCCAAAATTGACAAATGGGATCTAATTAAACTAAAGAGCTTCTGCACAGCAAAAGAAACTACCATCAGAGTGAACAGGCAACCTACAGAATGGGAGAAAATTTTTGCAACTTACTCATCTGACAAAGGGCTAATATCCAGAATCTACAATGAACTCAAGCGAATTTACAAGAAAAAAACAAACAACCCCATCAAAAAGTGGGGAAGGATATAAACAAACACTTCTCAAAAGAAGACATTTATGCAGCCAACAGACACATGAAAAAATGCTCATCATCACTGACCATCAGATAAATGCAAATCAAACCACAATGAGATACCATCTCACAGTAGTTAGAAGGGCAATCATTAAAAAGTCAGGAAACAACAGGTGCTGGAGAGGATGTGGAGAAATAGGAACACTTTTACACTGTTGGTGGGACTGTAAACTAGTTCAACCATTGTGGAAGACAGTGTGGTGATTCCTCAGGGATCTAGAACTAGAAATACCATTTGACCCAGCCATCCCATTACTGGGTATATACCCAAAGGACTATAAATCGTGCTGCTATAAAGACACATGCACATGTATGTTTATTGCAGCACTATTCACAATAGCAAAGACTTGGAACCAACCCAAATGTCCAACAATGATAGATTGGATTAAGCAAATGTGGCACATATACACCATGGAATACTATGCAGCCATAAAAAATGATGAGTTCATGTCCTTTGTAGGGACATGGATGAAGCTGGAAACCATCATTCTTGGCAAACTATCGCAAAGACAAAAAACCAAACACCGCATGTTCTCACTCATAGGTGGGAACTGAACAATGAGAACACATGGACACAGGAAGAGGAACATCACACACTGGGGACTGTTGTGGGGTGGGGGGAGGGGGGAGGGATAGCATTAGGAGATATACCTAATGCTAAATGACGAGTCAATGGGTGCAGCACACCAACATGGCACATGTATACATATGTAACAAAACCTGCACATTGTGCACATGTACCCTAAAACTTAAAGTATAATAATAATAAAATGAAAAAATTTAAAAAGTAGCTGCCTGTAGAAGACAGGAGGATTCCTGCATTCTTTTAAACATGCTAGCCATCTGCAGCAGATAACAGACCCCATGTAGCAAAAATTCCTTTTTGAAATCCAGTCTCATCAGCAAGTTACTCAGGCAAATAATTTTTTCACCAGCAATTTTCCCATCCCCTTTAGTCTGTTGATGTTGCTTTCTCGTCCTGAGCTTTGAGTCCTGTTGATTTTTCTTAAGAAATCCTAGATAGGGTACAATTTATTAGAGAAGGCTTCCTGGCTTCCATGTAACAGTGTGGAAACTGATGGCAGATTGAACTGGAGAACATGGAAAAATTACCTCCTAATAGTGCAGCCAACTCAAAAGTACCTTCCCCAGCATTTCTGAAGACAATGCAAAAATATGATGCCTTATAGGCAGCCATGCCTCAGAACATTATTGAAACACTTGTTTCTTAAAAATTTACATTTGCTTTAATGTTGAAGTTTTTCTTCTCAAAGTCTACTGTAAAAAATTAATGAGATGCAGTCAGATGGTTATCCATAAAAATGTTCATTTCATTGTAATTTATAACACAAAAAAGTGCAAAATAAGAACCAAATTAGGCCAAAATAAGGAACTAGTTAGATAAATTAATATATATCCTTATTTTGAGTGCTTATATACTGGCATACTACAGAGTCACTACATGTTTTGTTGCTAAAGAATATTTAATGACATGGAATTTTGTTGATGGTAGAGTTTGGTAAAAAGACAAAAAAAAAGGAAAAAGAATTTTCTATATAGTATGTACAGTGTAATTCAAATTGTATGTTTGTTCACAGAAAAATTAGTGAGCAGATATATAATCAAAAATTAATAGTGGTCAATTGGGTAACTTACAAAGCAACAATAACCTTTTTGAGGCATTTCTCAAGACTTAAAAATTTTTTTTCTAAAGTTTATATGGGTTTTCTTTGCAATCAGTTAAAGATGTTATTTTGAAATGCTTCTTCTTTTGAGTGGTGAACACTTCTTGAAGAGGAAATGGGTTCATTCTTTGACATTCACAGAGGGGTTAGAATCAAGTCAGAGGCTAATGGCTGAGTCACCAGGTAAGGAAGGTGTAGGCAAGAGATGGAAACATAGAAAGGGGCTCATCGCAAACTCCAGTCTTTTCAGAGGAATAAGCCAGCTGACGTGAGGAACTGCTGACAAATGACACTAATGAATCATAGTGGCATTGGGAATTAGCTTGGGAGGGGAGGTTAATTCATATTGTGAAGAAATTTAGTGTGCAGAATTTGTCATTCTCTAAGATGAAATGGGCATTATTTTTAGTTTTCTTTTGTTTAAAGCTCTGAGTGGGGCCTTGAGGTACCAGCTAGAAGTTCCAGGGCTTGAGTCCTAGGCCTCTTTTCTTGGATTTGCTATCAAAAGTGGTGTGGAATATTTATCCGCAAAAACTGCAGTATGCTCGTCTATATCATGGGATTAAGAATGTCTTCTTATGTTGGCCGGGCGTGGTGGCTCACGCCTGTAATCCCAGCACTTTGGGAGGCCAAGGCGGGTGGATCATGAAGACAGAGATTGAGACCATCCTGGCTAACACGGTGAAAACCTGTCTCTACTAAAAATACAAAAAAATTAGCCAGGCGTGGTGGTGGGTGCCTGCAGTCCCAGCTACTCTGGAGGCTGAGGCAGGAGAATGGCGTGAACCCAGGAGGCGGAGCTTGCAGTGAGCCGAGATTGCGCCACTGCACTCCATCCTGGGCGACAGAGCGAAATTCTGTCTCAAAAAAAAAAAAAAAAAAAAAAAGAATGTCTTCTTATGTTCCTTAACTCTCAGGGTTGTTGGGAGGGCCAAAGAAATGTGAAGCATTTCTCTGAGCATATACTATACATCGATAACCCAAAACAACACTCCAAACAAGCCTACATTAAAAAAAGAAATCTTTGCTATCTGTAAACACTGCACTTAGTTAAGACCTTGAGCAAATACAATGCATTTTTTTGAGACTGCCTTATCAGCGGTAAGATAAGGATAATAATAGTCATGGTGGTTAGTTTTCTGTGTCAACTTGACTGCACCAAGAAATGTCCAGATTAAATGTCATTTCTGGGTATGCCTGTGAAGGTGTCTCCATGTGAGATTAGCATTGGATCAGTGGACTCAGTTAAGTAGATTGCCACCTCCAATGTGTTTGGGGATCAACCAATCCATTGAGAGTCTGAATAGAACAAAAAGGTAGAGAAAGGGGAAACTTACCCCTTTTCTTTCTCTTGCCTGCCTTTCCTAGCTGGGAAATTGTTCTTTCACTGACAATGGACTAAGATTTACACCATTGGCTCCTCTGGTTCTCAGACCTTTGGACTTGAAATGGAATGAAATCAAGGGTTTTCCTAGGACTCCAGCTTGCAGACTGCAAATCATGAAACTTCTCAGCCTCTATAATTACATGAGGCAATTCCTCAAAATAAATACATCTCTTTCTCACACATGTGTGTGTATCTGTGTGTGTGTGTGTGTGTGTGTGTGTGTGTGTGTGTATTGCTTTTTTCCTCTGGAGAACCCTAACTAGTACAACAGTAACCAGTCAACAAGTTGTTATGATGATTGAATATATCAATTTATATAATATACCAAGCAGAATATCTAGCACATATTAGTGATCAATATTTCTTATCACTAACGTTATTATCATTATCAATATCAGATTTATAGATATTATTCTTAATAAAGTTATAATTTCCCTCAAGGTTATTCAAACCAGTAGCTGATATTTCTCTCAGGTGTATTTATTCTATGAACAGTAATAACTTCTCTACAATAGAGGCCTCTCTTTATGATACATATAAGAAATTTTCATTAATTTATTGTGATCATCAAAGGTACAATAAAGACTTCAAAGTAGAAGCTGCTTCAGTTGGTACAGAACCCTTTATAGAATAGTTTCACAGGTAGATCGAGTTCTTTTTACTGTTTAAAGATAGAAATGATGAAACAAATTTATATTTTGGTGGAAATATCTTTGTTAATAATTATTAAGCAGATGGCATTGTACATAAAGTTTGCAAAGAAGCCTACTAAAATACAGATTGGCTTCCTTATAACTGGGCTTATCCTCAGTGTATCACAGAATGGTTTAGAACCTGGGAATGTCAGCATTAGAATGGGGCATGGAGGTTGACTAGTCCACTTTAATCTATCGTATCAACCCATTTATTAGAGCCTTATATGCAGTAACTCCAGAACTAGAAACTCTCAGCTGTAATTATCAGTTGCATTAAATGCTTTCCACAGTGCAGGAAACAACACATAACCAAAATCAAGTTCCCCATGTACTCTGGCTCTTCCATAGCTAGTGATATGAAGCTGTTCATATCTCTTGATTGTCTGAGCATAATATTACTGATGATTACAAAACCAAAAATCAACAAAAACCCTGTTTCTTGAGAGAGCATATTGCATGCTAGAGGCCTCGGTGTTTGGAGAAAATTAATGGTCAGTTTTTTGGAGAGAAAATAACATGTGCCAAGCCCCACAGGTGAGGAGTATAGACTTCACAGCAAGATCATCGAATGTCTCAAGGTAAGGAGAGCTCAGAAAGTTGTAGCAAACATGGATAAATTGCTAGTGAGGCAAGCACTTGCTGAAATGGCTTTCCATAGAGGAGTAAGAAAATTAGCACTGGCCCATTCGGTTAACCCAATATTTTAACAAAATGTTCATTTTTACTATCATTCATTTTTAAATTTATCTTTACTTGTATTGATATATAACAGTTGTAATAGATTGAGGGTACACGTGAAATTTTGATACCTGTATAAAATGTGTAATGATCAAATCAGCATAATTGGGATAGTCATCACCCCAAACATTTCATTTTTCTTGCTCGTGGAAGATTAAACAATGCTGGCAAAGAAATGGTTTCCTTTCCTGCCACTTTTCCATGAAAACCAGGCTATAGATGGCTAAAGGCCAATGTCACTCCTAAAACAGTTTCATTATAAGTCATTCAGCAATCTGAATACTTTATTGTTGCATTTCAGATAGACAAATGTTTACTATCCATGATGCTATATTACAATCACAGATATTCTACATTTACAACAGTAGGAAGACATAATTTTGGAAAAAGCTGTTTGCAATTGACTGTGGATCCATTCTATTTATAATATTGAATATAAACATGCTAATACTACAGAGAGGAAAATGTCTTCCCAGTTGAATTCCCTAACAAGCTGAGACATAGAATATTAATTCTGCACCAATGTTGATGAATTCTGATTCTAAAAATATTTCTTTTAATGAATCATGAAATTCTTAAGTTTCAGGTTCGTTGAAACAATTAGAATATGTTTCAGTTTTTAGAACAAATGCTTTATTAAAATGCACATTTAAATGAGACACTTCTCTAAGACCTGATACTTTAAGATGCTAAGTCCTCAATAACAATAATTAAAGCTTACATCTCATTACTAATAAAGTGAAAAATTGAATATTGCTTATGCACTATTAAAATTCAATTTTATTTTATAAAAAAGTATTAAATGCTACTGAATCAAAAGTCAACACTGATTGATAATTTGTCTGCATCTATTACATGAAAGCTATGGCCAAATTAGGGATACAAATAGAGAAACACATGCCTTTCTATCGTATACGAGTAACAACCCAGGGCATGGGTTTTAGTGTGATGAAGATGTGGTCTCCTATCTCAGCTTCATGACTTATCAGCTATTTGACCTAGGGCTGCATTCTTTAGCTTAGCTTTACCTTTTATTAAATGTGGCCACTAATGCCTACCACAGTAACTTGCTGTGAGGTTAAAATGGGAAAACACATGTCATTTTCTTGCCTTTCACCAGGGAGTGAGACATAAACTGTTTCTCTGTAGGGTTACTCTTATCTTAGGCCTTCACTTCCTGCCTTGGCCGCATCACATTCCTCCATTATAAACACTTTTTCACACTTAGAAGAATTTTACTTGCTCATTTGTTCCGATTTGGGGGTAAGAAGATAGATATTGCAAATTTAAATATAAGCTCCATGAATGCAATTACTGTGTTTCATTTGCTTTTGCTTTGCTTTTTCATTTTTACTCAAACTTTTGTATTTTGTGCTTCTGCTGTGACTGTCATATAATAGGTGCATAAGATGAATAATAAATACTTGTTGAATAAACAAACACGTAAAAATCCCTGTAGGTCATGGGTGATACATTTTTAAGAGGGGAATAATATTCAAAACTAACAATGAAGGTCAAATGAGAAGAAGTGGAATATGTCAGACCAGGAACTAGGAATTCAGGAGAAGTGTCTGGGGCAACACCAAGAATGAGAGTATCTGGGGGAAGCACGTGGCAGACAGACCCAGGTGACCGTGCAAATCCTCTATCGCTAACAACAAAAGCTTTAGTGAATGTATCCACAGCATTACTTTGAAATTCAAAGGCAACACGTAGCTAGGGTGTCATCTGCAAGTAGCAACATTTCTCTATTGATACTATAAATTATTACATAAAAACTAGCAAAGGAAGACAAGGATAGTCTTTAGAGATTTTGCAAATACCCGGAGGAGTTTTCTTAATGAAGAGGAAATATTCCGACATATGACAGAAATCTCATAACCAGGTATAAGCATCCTATAAAAAAAGGAGGATTTTTTTTAACTTACAGAGCTGTACCTCTGTAGAACACGATAGCTAATTCTGCTGCACATTAGGCAGATGAAGAGACCTGATTCTTCCAGTCTACAGATGGGTCACAGTCACATTTGCAAGAGTAGTCTGTCACCCAGAAATGTGGAGGCCAACAGAGCACCAGCCCAGGACACCCTTTCCCTACACACAGGTGGCAGAAATATGTGGCCCTGGCTTGCTGGAAGTTCTCTACTTTAAAACCAACTAGCTTCTCTCTCTCCTGAGTCCCAAAAGACAGACTGCCTGGCAGCCTCAACAGCTGTTGCAATCACGCCAGTCCAGAGGGGAAGAGACCCACAAAACCTTCAAACACTTCGAAGCTTAAGCTGATTTTGTCAACTAGAATTTAGTTTTACATGATTCATCATTTGAACCATTACTGCAAAATACTTATGTGTGCTAAAAGAAAATCTTTGAAGACCTGATGCCTAAATCACTGAAGAACCATTATCGATTTAGGCCACACAGTTGCTATGAGCTGTTTTTGAATGATGCTATTTTTGCATTTTTTTCCCTCAAGCAGCAGGCAATTTTGATACACCTACTCCTTGCCAGGCACTATGTTAGCCTTAGAGATTGGAAGGGTTAAACATAGTGCAATGCTTCCATTGTCACAAAATAAAGATGCTGGGCCCACAGATGTAAGGTAACAGATCCACCACTGAGTAAAAGGGTTTGATTGTAAAAGTTGAAAAAATAATGAAAAAGAAAAATTAGTTCTTCAGAAAATAAGAATGTAAAATTGGACCTAATTTTTCTTTTCACAAGCACTAATAGTTAAAATTCTGTTCATAAGTGAAACATAGACTCTCAACTATTATCATTTAAAATGCAATTATGAAAATATAATAAGTAATTTTTCATTTCTTTTTTCTTTTGTCTAAGTTTCTCTACATTATTTATTAATTAGTTCTTGCAAGGATCTCAAGAGATAAGGATTATATTGCTAATATCCTGGTTGTAGAGATTTTAATAACTTAACTCAAATCAGCAAAGTTAAGATTAAAATAGGAATGAAATGAACAAGGGAAGTTATTTTATTGTATAAAAGAATTTCAGAGTTGGAAGAGGTTTTGTAGAGTACCTAATCCAACCTTTGCATTATATAAAATAAGACTGTGAAGATGAGCAACTTGTTTATAGGTCACACAGTTGCTGACAGGTCCAATTTCAAAACCACCTCAAATTACTGTACATTTCTCATTGCTTCTGTTAGCCATCCATACCAGTCATTGCCTAACAATTTAAGACTAGATACTGGGCAAGGTGTTGTGATTTTGTGAACCAGAAATGCAGTTCTTGTTCATTAGGACTCTTCTCTATAGGAGGGTACAATAAAGGGTTTGAACATTGCAATGGAAGAGCAGGAAACTTCATGAACTAAGAGAGACAGGTGTAGTTCTTGTTCCCTAGAAATAAATCCCAATATGCATGCAGAGGGACGATATGGCCCAGGAACATTTACAAGAAATATGTATATCTATATATTTATATAGATATAAATACATATATATATATATACACCACAGATGGTATATATATTTATATCTATATATTTAGATATATCTATATATTTATATCTATATATTTAGATATATCTATATATAGATATATTTATATCTATATAAATATAAAAAGCAAAGCAAAAGCAATCCACAGGTGGATATATATATATATATATATATATACACCCCACAGGTGTTTTTTATATATATACACCACAGGTGGATATATATATATATATATATACACACACACACAGACACCACAGGTGGAGATATATATATATATATACACACACACACACACACCACAGGTAGATATATATATATATATACACACACACACATATATATATACACACATATATATATACACACACATATATATATACACACACATATATATATACACACACACACACACACACACCCCCCACAGGTGGATATATATATATGTGTACACCACAGGTGGAGCATATATATATATGTGTGTGTGTGTGTGTGTTCTGCACAGCATGAGTACACATGCAATAATATAAAATAATATAAGTGGTAAGGGCCCTGGTCACTAGAGATTGCCTTCTGTATTTAAAATGAGAGCAACCATACTCAGGCGTACCTCTCTCTTGCCTTGTGTGGGCATGAGCTCCATGTCACCAGATTTGATTTTTTTTTTCCAGAGACATCAACAGTATAGACTTTAGGAGATGGTCTAAAGCTCTTAGCTTGGTTGCTCGCCTGAGAGAAGCAGAGTTAGAACAAGTGAAGTCTACCCAGTTAGCAAAAGCACAATATATAAAGATCGTCTTTAAAATTATTTGTGTTTAAATTCACACCTTCCCCTTGGGAATCTTCGCACGGATTTGCTAATTGGGTTTCTCTGAATATTCAGTTGTTCACCGCTGACTGACTAGACTTCCCAAAGCCTTGATAACTGGAGAATTTCCAAATGCTGCATTTTTTTCAGCCAGGCAGATGGCATGGTAATGGTAGATGTGAACTTATGTCCTTTTTCCTTTTATAGCAGTGCCTGAGTATCTGACTGACCTACTGGGATTAATTTACTCTTACAATAGGTGATAATAGAGCCCAATTCCAGAAGTGGGGTGCTCAGCAGTTCTTGCTACCATGTACCATTTTCACAGCCTTAATGTGGGACCAGAGCAGTATAAGGGCTTAACATATATTTTCTCCTTTATTCAAACATTACTCCTAAGTACTATTATTGTTCAAATTCAGCTAGAAAACTGAGACTCACAGAGGTTAGTTAAACAACTTTCAAAGTCAAACACCTATTAAATGGTTGAGAGTGACTGAAATCTGGATACCTTAATTTTAAAAGTCAGTGCTTTCGCTGTTGTATCTCCCCATGAGGCCAACCCAAGTGGTCAACCAGTAAAAAATTTGGTAAGTATCATGTGATTTTCTCTACAAAACAGTGAACAATCTAGTGGACAACATTTTTCTTTTCAGTTTAAACTAGAAATTCGTATTTTCTTTAAAGTGTAAGGTAGAAATGACTAGATTTCCTGGTATCTTGTAAAGGAGGCAAAATCAACAGTAAGAAGGGGGCTAATATTTTCAGTCTCTGGGGACCAATTATTACATTGGGTATACTTCCATTATAATAAAGATAGATATACAAACATGCATGCATACATACATACATATAACCATATCAAAAACAGGCTTGGGTAACAGAAAACTAACAGGAAAAAAATCCTATAGTTTGAAAGGGAGGTATCGAAGTTCAAAGTAGCACTCTCTCTTCCGATGCATTAGTGATGGTGTTGGAAATGGCAGTGGGCTGGGGAAGGGTAAAAGCGATGGTATGTATGTATTAAGGTTCTCTTCCTCTAACCTTGGAATCACATTAAGTTTCAAATACTTGTCCCATACCCTGCTAACTCTATGAATTTTGGCAAGCAATAACCATGTCAGGCCTTTTTTTCGTTGATCTTGGTGGAAAGAATAAATGAAATAATGTATATCAAGTGCCTGACAGTGTCCAGCACAGAGTAGGTACCCATAATAATCACTTCTTCTCTTTCCTCCTCCTTTACTGATTCTCTGCTCAGCAGTGGAGGAGTTTCAAAGCATGGGGCATATTAATATGGTAAGATTATTTGAAGATGTTCATTTAGAATATGCACCAGTATTTTCATTTAAATTAGTTCACTCTTCAAATCAGCATGGTGCTCCAAAAGGTAACAATGTTTTGGCGATGAATATGTGCCAGCAACTTGGATTATTTTAAGGCTTGTATAATATTTATCTATGAAAAAATTTTCCCCTTTAAACATTCAATAAGCTCATAGCCATTTGCTTAAGTATTCCATCCAAGCATAAAAGCTTCCCAATGAACGAGAGCACTGTCTTGTGACAAAGCTTATTTCTGTGTATTTTTAATAAGAAAGGGTTCAGAATGGTGATTTCTTGATATCCATTCAGGCTTTGAAAAGAGATCTTATCCAAGCAATACATTTTCTGAAAGTGTAAAGGGAGTGGTAAACTGTTCAGAAAGGGAGGAGGATCTCATTTCTTTCTTTTTTTTTTTCCCCCAGGAAAAAGTTCTCTGCAAAACCACAGGTGGACATAAAAGTATCCAGACAACTACACTCTCGCAGAGATCTTAGGACTGTTAAAAAAAAAAAAAAGGAAATATACATATATATGCACAAAATTGCTGATAACCATAATAAAAATAATGCAGAAATTCTCCAGACTTGGAAAGTTTAAAACATTATGAAACTTCTTCCTTACAGTTACATAGCACAATTATTTGTGTATTCAGCTCTGAAATTTTCGTCTTCACAAATGACAGTGAATATTCTGCTGTAGCAGATGCTTAATCCATTAAATAAGTGGGAGTCACTAAAAAATCCCTGTCTCATGAAGTGGAATCCTACTATTTGGCTGAATTTTCCTCTGGTTTTCCAGGAGGAATACGCAGGATACAAAATTTGATACTGACTTCTTTATGGTATCAAGAGTGACAGTTACATAAAAACATATCTGGTCTTTCTGACTTTTCAAAACTATATTTTTACTTAAATTACAAACAGAAAACAGATTTTCATGTTATTGGCTGGCGATTTTATGGGATGGAGGATTTAACAGAGCTGTGATTTAGAATTAATTGTTTGCTTTTCTAAAAAAAACATAGTCAACAACTACCCTAGGAGATCTGACCCAGTAGGTACTTAAAGCGAGGATGGGAAAGGCTGTATTTTCTTTTTAAATCTTCTCAGAAAAAGTAGCAATATATATCAAACATATGTTAAAATAGTAAAATATATGTAATATAAATATATATTATACTCATATATGTTTCTATATTATATGCATATATTTAAATATACATATACAAATATGTATATATCTACACTGTATCTCAGAAATTATCTACAAATATGTCATTTATCTTGACATGTAAAAGTACACATATACAGAACTGTTCATGACAGCTTTTTTTAAATTATTGAAGAAATAGACTCAATTTGAATGGCCACCAGTGGGGAATGCGTTTAAACGAATTATGATACAGCCATATAATGGAGTGCCATGTAACTAGTAGAAACACAATGTTAGATTTATATAGTTGAAATAGATTAAATAAAAGCTATCCAACAAATCTATCTATATTGTTAGATTATGGTATATTGTAGAGTAAGGCAGAAAATTTTAGGAAAATTATACAGGAGAGGAGATCTTTATTTTCATCTTAATTCCTTCTCTGTGAGCTAAATGCTATTGTTTTCATTTGTATTTGCATGCATTACTTTTTACTTTAACGGATAAAACAAATTAAAAAATGCACACAGCAATCCTGATGTTCAGCCAGTACCGAGAACACTGTGGCCCTCATATCATGTTAAGGTGCTAGAACAAGGTTTAATCACTAGAGTGTTTGTTGCTCCATCAACCTAAAATATTAATACAAATTTTGCCCGGGGTAAAAAAGTATTCATTTCATATTAAGAATGTTTCAAAATATTTTGTTTCAAAACATTTTTGAAACTTAAAATGTTTTGAATCATAAAGCAACCTTGAGTAGGTAGCCTACAGAAAATGTGGCACATATACACCATGGAATACTACGCAGCCATAAAAAATGATAAGTTCAAGTCCTTTGTAGGGACATGGATGAAATTGGAAATCATCATTCTCAGTAAACTATCACAAGAACAAAAAACCAAACACCGCATATTCTCACTCATAGGTGGGAATTGAACAATGAGAACACATGGACACAGGAAGGGGAACATCACACTCTAGGGACTGTGGTGGGGTGTGGGGAGGGGGGAGGGATAGCATTAGGAGTATACCTAATGCTAAATGACGAGTTAATGGGTGCAGCACACCAGCATGGCACATGTATACACATGTAACTAACCTGCACATTGTGCACATGTACCCTAAAACTTAAAGTATAATAATAATAATAATAAAAGAAATATAATGGGAAAAAAAACATAACTGAGATGTTTTGATGTTTTAAGTAACTACCTGAGGTATGTTTAAGCAACATTTAAGTAACATGAATGAGGTTTTGTTTTTTTTTTTTTTTTTGAGACAGAGTCTCGCTCTGTTGCCAGGCTGGAGTGCAGTGGCGCAATCTCGGCTCACTGCAATCTCCGCCTCCCGAGTTCAAGCGATTCTTCTGCCTCAGCCTCCCGAGTAGCCAGGATTACAGGCGGGCACCTCCACACCCTGCTAACTTTTGTATTTTTAGTAGAGACAGCGTTTCACCACGTTGGCCAGGATGGTCTCGATCTCCTAACCTCGTGATCCGCCCGCCTCGGCCTCCCAAAGTACTGGGATTACAGGTGTGAGCCCCTTCCCTCGCCCGGCCAAGGTATGTTTTAAGTAGACTACCTGCTTGAGGTAGATTTATGATACATACCCATTATCGTGACAATGAAATAAAATGAAATGTGATGAGAAAGTGAACCATTCCACACCATCACCTAAGCAGGGCAGCACACGAAGACCTGATGTAACGCTGACAATGTTAACACCCCTGTGTGATGTCCAACTAAAAATAATAAAAAAAGAAGGTGAAAAATTTCCCCATGCTGTCAATCAATAATGATGTCATCATGACCCTGATAGAAAACTCAGTCCAGGAGGTTGATGGTACTAAATTAGAAATATCCATCTTTCCCTTTGGCAAATCCTCTTTTTTTTTTTTTTTTTTGTCGTAAGTATTACATGCTAACCTTGTAATGAGAGGGCAGAGAGGTAATGGGGACCAACAGCAAGGACCCTCTGGAAGCCTAGAGCCTTGGGTCCCATCCTAAAAGATAAGCACTGAGCACATCACACTTAACCTCTCAGCATTTCAACTTTCCTATCATCTATGAGATGAGAATAATACTTGCTATCTACCCCATAAAGGGGTTGAAAGGGATGCTGAGAAAGTCCATGGAAAGCACTTTGAACTTCTCAGAAGTAAGATTTTACAGAAGTACAAAGCCTCACATCAAAAGACACACTCATACCTTTCTGTGACATCAATGAGTGTTTCATAGATAGGATTATGCATAGGTCTGACGCTGAATGTGCTTTATCATTAAAATAATTTCTACGGCAATTTCTTTTCTTTTTACCTGGACATATGAATGCATATGCAGCCTTGACAAATCTTATACTCCTTCTCAGATCACTGTGAGGGGTCTCTGAGGCTCATTTTTGGCTCACCAAGCTGTGTTATTTAGCCAACAGGTATAAAATGTGGTACCCCCTACTTCTATCTTTAGGCATTGCTAGAAAGTAATCTTCTGGAGAAAGAAAAGTAGAATAAATTTCAGTAGGTTATTGATGACATCATGTGTTATGGCCATATTTGACACAGAACAGAACTAATTCATTCAAACTCCTTGTTAGCACCAACCTCTTCTGAAATTACAGCTGTTTCTACTGCTATCTAGTCTACATTATTAAGTACCACCTGTGCACTCAGCCCTATAGAGGAATGTTCCATCAGTCTTGGAAAAGGAATTTGTCTGCTAGATAGTGTTAAAATTACATAGCCATTCAAATCTTTCTTCGATACCTTGAAAATAGATTCTTAATACTGGCTATGTATTAAAATCACCTGAGTCCACTGGAGAGGAGCTAAATCATAATCTCTGTGGCTGCTTCTGCCACACAGAGATGTTTTATGAGATTCCACATGTGCATGTTAATAGCAGCACTACTCATAATAGCCAAGTAGTGGAAACAGCCAAATGTCCATTTGCAGATAAATGAATAAACCAGCTAGATATGTGGGATGTTATTCAGATGTAAACAAATAAATGGATTACTGATATGCTACAACATGGATGGACCTCAAAAACATCACACTAAGTGGGAAAAAAAGACACAAAAGGTCACAGGTTGTGCAATTCCATTTATATGAAATATCCAGAATAGGTAAGTGTGTAGACACAGAATTCAGATTTGTGATTGCCAGGGGTAAGGGAGAGGTGAGAAACGAAGAACAACTGCTTAATGAGTATAGATTATCCCTTTGGTATGATAAGAATATTTTGGAACTAGATTGAAAATGTTGATGCATGACATTGTAAATGTATATATATGCATACATGCATACATTCAGACATAGATTTCCAGGTGTTTACAAAGCAATCTGTGCTAAGAGTCATGGTCTAGAGTTTCAAACATGGTTGTTGCACCAGTACCATTGCAACTGTACAGTGCTGGCCCAGTACTATGCATTGCCTTCAATCACCAGTGCATTTCTTAATGCTTTTCTTGGTGTGACATAGGGAGCATCACCTGAAGTACTGAGCATCTTATATGAGCATCACCTGGAGTATTTGCTTGTGATGAATGCATATTCCCAGTCTTCACTGCAGACCTACAGACTCATAATCTCATAGGAGTAATAGGGCACGGTTATGCATTTAAAATCATTCCTCCAAGTTATTCTTATGCATTTCATTTTTATTTTTAATTGACAAATAAAAATGCACTACATTTTAAAACTTGAAGGCCCTACTTTGGACTTTGCCTTACTCTTCCCTATTTATCATTTTTTGAGCTTTATTCATGACCTACCTCCACTGCTTAATGCTGAGTATCCATTATCTCTTTTAAGCTTCACAAATGACAGCAGTCTTCATTTATAGGAGAGAAAATTAAGGCTGAGAAGAGGAAAATGAGTTGCCCCCAAGAGTTCACATTTAGAAACTGGAAAAACCTGTAACCAAACTTTGGTTTTTCTCAGAAAACTTTAAACCCTTTACTCTTTCACACCTTATCCCTTCCAAGGACCAGTTCCTGGTCTCTCATTGTCCCATTGTCGCTATCTTCTAATATTTCCCTGTAATCATCGCAGTCACCAGATAATCACTGCCACCCGTCCCCAGACTCATCAACTGATGAACCACTATTTTCAATCATCTTTTCTTGAAATTTCCAGGGCTATTTGACTTCAGGTAAAGTTGACCGTCTCCACTTTAACCTGTTGAGACCAAGTCAGTCTTGAATGAGCTCCTCTACCCCCACCCTGGCTGTTGCATTTAATCTTTGCACCTCCCTCTGCCCATTTTGCCCAACTATAGAGGGAGACGAGGCCCTACCTGTGTCCCATCCCTTCTCACTACCTGAGCACCCTTCCTCCCAAGCTCATGCCCCCATCCTTGACTCTCTCCCTCTCCATGAGGTCTAATATGACCTTTGATTAAACATGCTTAAATTGTACCCCACTTCCAAGTAATAACAGCTAAGTTTAAAAGCCGTGTTGCTTCTTCTTTCTTAAATATTATCTTATACCTATCCTTTGTATTTTTTCATCACCAGTTTTTTTCTTATCTCCCCTCTCCTCCCAATGCTGCTCTCCTTAAAGTTATCAAAAATCCATCTTCAGGCCAAATCCATTTGTCAATGTTCAGTTCCTCCTCAACACCTGCTTCATCTGACATTTAATCTCCTTAAACTCTCCCCTCCCTCAGCCTCAGCCTCTGGGTGATCAGTCTTTGTTTTCTTTTTCTTTTTATTTGTCTCTTCTCCAGTAAGTCCCTTAAACTTTTCTGACCCTTAGTATCTTTACCTTTAAAATAGAAAAAAAAAAAAACTAATTCAGGATGTTGTTATAGAGGCTCAACCAGGCAAAACCTACTTTGTGTATGTGCTCATTGAACAGACATTTGTTGCACATCTCTTGTATGCACAGTACTGAGTTAAACACTGGGGTATAAAGATGACATTGACGCGGTCCCCAATGTTGAAGAACTGTAAATTGACTTGAAGAAACATGTTGACAATAACCCGGATGCTTTATTCATTCATTTATTAATTCAATTAATTTTGATCAAGTGCCTATAATATGTCAAGCAGTTATCCAGGCACTGAAGATAAAACAGTGAACCAGTCTGAATAAATCACTGCCCTTGTGTAGCTTACATTTTAGTGACAAGAACCACATAGCAGGCTAGATAACATCAGGGAACATAAATGCTAGCAAGGTAAAAAAAAAAATTAGGATAATAAAATACAGAGTTGTAGCAGTGAGATGTGCTAGAAGTGGGGTAAGAAACTACTTCTATGTGGAAATGACGTTAGTCCAAGTCCTAAATGATGACAAGAAGAATCAGATATTGAGAAAGTGTGCTATATGAGGAGGACACTGCAAGTACAAATTTCCTGGGGTTAAAATGAACTTAGCATATCAAACGGGCAGAAAGGAAGCCAAAGGAGCTTTCTGAACAGTGAAGAGAAAAGTGGCTCATGCCTGTAATATCAGCATTTGGGGAGGCCCACATTCCGGGATGATGGCTTGAGCCAGGAGTTTGAGTCCAGCCTGGGCAACATAATGAGATCCCATCCCTGCTTAAAAAAAAAAAAAAAAAAGGACAAAGACAAAGAAAAAGGCAGGCATGGTGCACACCTGTAGTTCCAGCTACTGGGGAGGCTGAGGTGGGAGGATTGCTGGAGTCCAGGAGCTTAAGCTAGCAGTGAGCTATGATTATGCCATTGCACTTCAGCCTGGGTGACAGAGTAAGACAGTCTCAAGAAAAGAAAAAAAAGAGAGATAAGTAAGAGAATTTGGAGAGGTTTTGGATACCATGCTAATTAAGGAGTCTAGATTTAATTTTAATGCGAAGGAAAGCCACTGGGAGGTTTTAGGTAGGAGAATGTGGTAATCCAACAAATGCTTTAAAGATTATCTGAAAGCTGCATGGATAATTGATTGTGCTTTGGGAGCAGCAGAAACAGGATGACTACTTATGTCCACCTTAGTAGCTCAGGCAAGAGATGATGGCTGAGATTGGGCTGATGGCTGTGGAAATGGTGTGAAATGCTCAAATTTTGGTTGCTGAATGTGCTTTCTAAGGTCTCTCTATATGCGTACTTGTTGTTTTCCATTTTACCTATCAGAATTTATATTTTTTGAGCACTAGGACTTTGCTTTGGTCATTTTTCCATGCCACAATCGCTAGAACAGTGCCTGACACACAGTAGGTGCTAAATAAATAAACATTTGTTGAATTAAAGAATGAATAGCTTGCATGTGGATGCTGAGATAAACTCTTAAATTTGGTGCTTGAGCACTTTCATTGACAGTGTGTCATCAACTGAGATGGGAAAGACTAAAAAAGGCACAAGTTTGTGAATAAAAAGCAAGAGTTCCACTTTTGGCATGTTCGATTTGAGACGTCTCTTGAGAGCAGACACTTCTATACACATGTCTGGAGCTCAGGGCCTGATATTTTTTTCATTCATTCATGTTTTGTTTCCCTATTTGCTGTGAAAGCTTGGCAAGACCAGGGTCTCCTTAAGTGTACCCCCCAGACAAGTGATATCAACATAACCTGCAACTTGTTAGAGATGCAATGTTTTGGGCTCCACCTCAGACCAACTGTATCAGAAACTCTAGGCTGCGGGGCGTGGTGGCTCACACCTGTAATCCCGGCACTTTGGGAGGCTGAGGCAAGTGGATCACCTGAGGTCAGGAGTTTGAGGCCAGCCTGACAAATATGGTGAAACCCTGTCCTCTACTAAAAAATACAAAAATTAGCTGGGTATGGTGGCATGCGACTGTAGTCCCAGCTACTCGGGAGGCTGAGACAGAAGAATTGCTTGAACCCAGGAGGCGGAGGTTGCAGTGAGCCGAGATCATGCCATTGTACTCTAGCCTGGGTGACACAGCAAGACTCAGTCTCAAAAAAAAAAAAAAAAGAAAGAAAGAAAAAGAAACACCAGGAGATGAGTTCAGCATTCTGCATTTAACCAGACCTGTTCATGACTCTGATGTGCATCAAGGTTTAGGAACCACTGGTCTAAAACACTGCCAGACATAGCCATAAGAAAGAGCTGAACATGATTTGGGGCAGCTATGCAAAGTAGCAAGCCGTTCTGATTGTTTTTTCTTGCCTCTCATCAAATCTCTCTTTATCATTTGAACTTTCTTAGCTGCTTTACTTTGTCCTTAGAATCAAATATTTTCTCTTCTTTTAAATTATGTAACTATGGTTAACAGCAGAACTTTAAAAAAAATTAGCCTTTCCAAACACTTTCTCATCTGTCACTTAATTTTAGCTTCTGAGAGCTATGAAACAGTAGGGATGGGAATTCTAGCCCCACTTCACATACAAATATATGTAGGCAAAATCCCATTAGGTGATTTATTGATGATCACATAAATTTAGGTAGATTTGAGACATAAAAAACATTGACCTCAAGCTTTACTCTTAACACTGATACTACCGAGTAAACAGTAGGTGCTCAATACATATTTAATGACTAAGTGAATGATTCCTCAAATAGATGCTGCAGGATTCAAGAAAATGCAAATTTACTTTATCATGTATGTACGCGTGGAAACCAGAATACTACGTGACCCCGACCTTTTCTTTAATTGGACACCCACTTCCAAGCTCTACCCATATTATCCAGCAATATGGGAATTTTATGAGGGAGGCAGATTATAACCTAAAGTTATGAATAATCAGTTTCTTATATCTTTAAGACAATAATTGATATAGTGTGCTCTAATTCTTAATGTGGCTACACTTCTCATTCTGTCAATTACTTGTGCATTTGAAAACAGAGGTCAGTGTTCCATGTCCTGACCTCTGTTTTGAATTACTTGAAGAAGGCAAAAAACTGGTGATGCTGAGACTGATTCTTGCCAATGTTATCTGTCTCTCTTTATTTTAAAACTTAAATCGCTTCCCTACCCCTACTGGAATGCTTTTAGCCTATCGTACCCATGATAATAATGAAACATTCCTACATTTGCATAAAGCTGTCTCATTTAGCTTAGCTTAGACACAGATTTTAAAAAACCCAGTAGACATTGAAACATAGCTAGAATACGGAAACATTAATGATGTCAATAATAATAATAATAGAAAACATTTTTTGAATGTTCACTATGTTCCAACCACTGGGATGCTGGATGTGGATGGTAACATTTACCCGGGATGTGAAGGACTTACTATTTTTCGTATTTCACAGATGGTCAAGCTATAGCTCAGAGAGTTTAAATACTTTTCACGTCATACTGATAGTTCATAGTGAAGCTGTGATTTGAATCCAGGACTGTCAGACTCCAAAACCCATGGCATTCACCACTTTTCCACTTCAAGACTGTCAGCCTCCAAAATTTATGGTATGAACTACTTTCCCACTCCTACCTCATTAAAACAATTAGCATTACATCCGTGAATGCCTGTCATCTGTGTTAACAACTCAGGCAATGAGAAGACTGGCCTAGTTCATGTGGTCAAATACAGTGGGTCTATTTTAATTATACTCATGCTCCATTGGGTCACATGGACATAAATACATCTGGTTAGAGTTTTTTTGTTTATGCCTTCAATTACCTGGTTTAAAGCCTAGTCACAAACATGCTCCAGCTCTTTCATTATGGTGGTTGGCCATCTCAAGTTTTTACACCATTTAATCCTACCTCCAATCTTTGTTTTTCACCAGCTTCTCCAGTCCCTTTCTGCCATTGGCTACTGGTTGTATGCTGGAACTCTTGTTATTACAGAAAAAAACACATTTTCAGCTTCTATTGCATAGCAGGCCTATTTTGAGCATGATGGATACAGCAATGAAGAAAAGCATTACCTTTTCTAAAGTGCCTTACGGTCAGGTGGGGACGAGAGACATGTAAACAAATAAGGCATTCAGTTTTTCCATATTTTAGCCTCAGCTCTTTGCAACTTGTCTTGGCTGTCACCCTGGGTGTCAGCTGCGCAGGTTCTTTCCAACAAAAGAAACTCCTGCTTCTCCTTCTATCAAAGGGAACACTATCCTGCTGATTGAAAGTTTGGCAAAGCGCCCAAGACTGTGTGTGTGTGTGTGTGTGTGTGTGTGTGTGTGTGCACGTGCGCTTATGTGCATTGTGCAATGTCTAAACACTCAAACAGGATATTTGGAACAGAACTGTGTGATTGTTTCTTATCAGACCTCTTTATAAGTGACCAATTTAAAGCTGAAGATGCATTAAAACACAGGCTTCAGGTGATCATCTGTAATTTAAACGGAGAAGGTGAGATGGTCAGGAATTTAGTTCTGAGAGTTTTGACCTTATCATCAATAGAAATGAGCGTTTATGGTCTTTCTATTTAGGAAAGAGTCTCTGGCTTTAAGCGGCTATGCCTTACTGTGCTTTCATAAAAGGTCAATTTGAAACATTCTGGGCTTTTAATGTACCAATGAATTACGGGCAAAAGCCTTTATCCTAAAACTATTAGATAAAAATTATATCTTTAGTTTTGGGATAATATGAAGAGGCAAAGCCTTCTTCAGGGGACTATACATAGCTATTTATAAGTATTCGTGATTGCTGTATTGCACAGTACTGTTAATTTAAGGCAAACATTTTTGCGTTGTTTAGGATTTTTGAATGACATGCCCATGACGTAGTTTGCGAGAAAGGGAAAACACTTGGATGTAGGGCTTGAGATGAACTTCGGACTCTTCCAGCGGCCAAGTGTAAATGTTAGGCCACATGAGCATAAACACATCTGGCTGGAACTTTTCTTAATGCCTTCAATTACCTGGCTTTAAGACTAGTCACAAACATGCACCAGTTCTGATGTCCATAGTAGACAGAGCTTATCTACTAGGGTACATTATTTTGCTGAATCCAGAGATAGTCTCAGAATCCTTCTCAGCACAGTGCTTCAGACATTCACTGATGATGTAGGTAAGTGGGCCCATGAGATGGAATATTTTTGTCATTCCAACTATAATTCAAACTCTTTTCGTTTACAGAGGACAAGACTGATATTCCTAATGGTGATGTGACTTATTTAAGATCAAACAGATAAGCAGTCAAGTTGTCACTACAGCCAAGGATACACACTGCTTCTACTTCTTGGCCCAAGTGCTTTGAAAAAGGGAATCATTTTAGGCAAGGAGACGTTTTCTGACTGAGTTGTCAGCTCTTCTTTTCAGCTAAACATTTATATTAAGAGATTTCCATTGGCAGAGCCCCTTCTCACCCCCATGATGATCCTAGAATTTAACAGCCGGTTTTGGAGTTCACTGTGTCTAATATTGTCTGCTCTTATTTTTGCAGAGGCTATTCTATTTCCATAGAAGGCTTGATTATAAAATCACACAGTATAGAAAATAGTTGTGTAAAAAACCTTCAACAGAAACACTGAAGGGACTCTGGCTTTAAATCAATGCTTGGCTTTAAATAGGGAAGCAAATATCATTGCGTAAAAAAGATAACTAAAATATGACTCATTGCTGGGAGAAAAGGGGATACTTTTGAGAAAAGATTTCTTTAAGATTATGTCTTACAGAGCTGCTTACACATCATACAGAGTATTAGAATGGTTTCATTACTACAAGTTAAGAGTCAGATTAGAATAATCATTAAAAGGGAATTCCCTGTATTAAAACCACCACCTTCCACTGAATCAATTACACTCCTGTGTCATGAACATCACCAAGAATCCTAGATTCAACACAGCATTGAAAGCTGGCATGAAGATTATTTATTAACCTTAGCATTATCCCAATTTGACTTGTCTTACTAATTTTTGTTTCATCCAGTCTCACTAATGGTCACCCCATTCTCCCAGTCACTATACCCAGAAACCCAAATATTATGTTCGACTTCTTTCATTCTCTCCCTCATACACCTAATCTATTAAGTCCTATTGGCTCTACGTCTACAATACAAGCTAGTGCCATCAACCTCTTCCCATCTTCATTATTCCCCCACCCTAGTTAATGCTACTGTCACTTCTCCCCAGACTATAAAATAAATTACAGAATGACAGCCCTGCTTCTCCTCTTTCCTTCCACTCCAATTTACACTTCTCATGGTGGTTAGACTGATTTTCCTACAACCTGAATCAGATAATGTCACTCCAATGCCTGAAATTTTCAAATAGCAACTGACTGCAATCTGAATCAATACAAACTCCTTTAGATAGCTTACAAATTTCTGGACCCTGCACATTTCCCCAGTCTTATCTCATAATGTTCTTCTGTTCACTCACCATGCTCCCAACAGATACATCCTTTCAATATTTTAAACGCATGCTCTTTCCTATCGCAATGACTTCCCATAAACAGTTCCTTTTTATTTATTTTTTTTGAAAACCTTTTTCCCCTTTCTACACAAGAGTGGATCCTGCTCATCTTTCAGGTCTTGGTTTTGATGTCATCTCATCAGATACCACCCCTCCACACCCCATAGCAGATGCTTTCAATACTCTGCTCATATCACCTTGGGTTGCCCTCTTATCTTCCTGAACATGAATATTCACTCCCAACTGCCAGCATCTGTGTCTCTTTGTTGGAGGATGACCTTCAGGCTTCCAGAATGCCTTTGACTGTACATGGAGAGCCTGAAGTGGCTGTGGATTTGTATCCCGCTTCACCCCAGAGTGCAGCCTTAGCCAATGACTGATGGATGAGGAGTATAAATGCTCCAGCTTCCTGGCTTCATGATGGATTTAGCTCTGCAATTGAAATGTACTTCCCTTACATCTTCCCTGCAGGATTGAGCCAGTTATCCTCTGAGGATCTTTGCTTGATATTGTGTTCTTATTTATTCTCCTTCCCTTTCTGGACCTATTTTTTACTTCCCTACCACTTCTCTGGGAGCAATTTCTAATAAATCACATTGACACAAAATCTCATCTCAGGATCTGCTTCTGCAAAAGCACGCTAAGAGACAACTCCAACTTTTACTCAATTACTCTCCATCAGTGAATCCCATTTATTTTATTCCAAGCATTTATCAAAAACTGTTGTTATATATTGAATTTCTTGTTCACTTGTCTATATCTCTCATTCAACTGTGAACAAACTGAGGACATGGACTGTATCCTTTTAAAACTAGTATACCTCCAGCACCTAGCACACTGTTTGGACATAGTAGTTGCCTAACTAATGTTTATTTTTAAGAGTGAATGAATAAATAACAAAATCCTTCCTGGTCCCCCTGTTCATCCAGGCTGAATTCCTTCTTCCTGCTCTGGTTTCCATGATGTCCATCAAGTAGCTTCTGATCAGAATTCAGGTTTTCATGGAGCTTGACTATAAGGGTAGCATATCTTGGTCACACTGACATGAGTAATTGGTCCATATGATAATTCTCCTTGTTGTAATATGCCGTTCTCCTTTGAGAATACACTATATGCCAGGCAGCACTAAGGTAGAGACACAATATTTTATTAAATCCTAGCAAACAGCTTTGTGAGGAAGATACATTACCTTTGTTTTTCAGAAGAGAAAACTAATATTCAGAGCTAAGGAATGTGCCCAAGGTCATCCAAATGGTTAGTGGCGAAGGCTGTATTAGAATCCAAGAGTGACTGCAAACCCGTGTTCTTAACCTTCATCATGCCACCTCTGTTCTATGTGAAGTTTACTTAGCTTCTTGAGCCATTCTCTTGGGAATAATTAAGTTAAAAGACTAAGCTTCTGGGCCTTCAAAGTAGAGGGCCAAATCCTAGAATGTTATGACTTATTTGAGCCACTACTCAGCTCCAGCTGGCCTTGACCTTCAAATCGGCACCACCACTTTCTGTTCCTGCCAGAGCCGGTGCTCTAAGACAACTTGTATAACTCTAAATGTATAGCCAACTTTCTGTTTAATTTTTTAATTTTATTTTTTGCGACAGGGTCTCACTGTGTCATGCAGGCTAGAGTGATCGTAGCTCACTATGGACTCCAACTCCTGGCTCAAGTGATCCTCACCCTCAGCCCCCTGAGCTTCTGGGACTAGAGGCATGCACCACCATGCCTGACTAATTAAATTTTTTTTCTTTTTTTGGTAGAGATGAGATTTCACTGTGTTTTCCAAGCTGGTCTGGAATTCCTGGCCTTAAGCACCTTAGACTCCCAAAGTGCTGGGATTACAGGTGTGAGCCACCATGCCCAGCCCAATATATATATACGTGTGTGTGTGTGTGTGTGTGTGTATCCTTATCTGTGGTAGACATTGGCTATATAGCCATCCAAATCGTTAGTGGTGAAGGCTCTATTGAATCCAAGTCTGACTGCAAAGCTCATGTTCTTAAACCTCATCATGCAGCCTCTGTCCTATGTGAAGTTTGCTTAGCAAACTCTACACATCCCAATTTCTACCACAGAGAATGGAGGCTAAAGAGTTGTTCTGATATTCAGCAATCTACAAATAAATTTTCAGCTGATGGTCAAAAGAGACAACAGTCTGGAAAACATGAAAAGCCAAAGGAATGACTTAGGAATAGAAATAATTCACTAATTTATTCAATTAATGATATTTATCCAACATCTAGATATGCCAAGTATGCACTTGATACAAGAAAGACAAAGCAAAATGAGAATCAGAAAGGGTCCTTACAACACTGGCATGGAGATGATTAGCATGGTGGTTAGGAACGTGATGTAGAGGCTGAGAGTTCATGTTTAGACAACTCACTGCTGAACTGGAATGCAGGCTCTGTCTCTTCCTTACTGGCTGTGTTATTTAATCTGTGCCACATTTATTCCTGTGTAAAATGAGGATGAAAATACTACACCCACCATGCTCATCAAGGTGTCCTAAAGATTAAATGACTTAATGTTTATAAAGTTTTTGGAGCAGTCTCTGACACATATGATAGCCATGTAAGTTTGTTCAATAAACAAAGCAGAGATTGGAGCTAAAATAAAATAAATGAAAGATATTATGGGGATGCAGAAAAGAGAAACTTAGCCTGGCGAGAAGGTGCAAAAACCAGAAAAGGATCACAAAGATGTAACATTTAAAGCGGGTCTTAAGGCCAGGCACAGTGGCTCACACCTGTAATCCCAGCAGTTTGGGAGGCTGAGGCAGGTAGATCACTTTAGGTCAGGTGTTCGAGACCAGCCTGGCCAACATGGTGAAACTCCCATCTCTACTAAAAATAAAACACTTAGCCAGGCGTGGTGACTTGCGCCTGTGATCCCGGCAACTCGGGAGGCTGAGGCACAAGAATTGCTTGAATCCAAAAGGTGAACATTGCAGTGAGCCGAGATCATACCACTGCATTCCAGCCTGAGTGACAGAGCGAGACTCTGCCTCAAATAATAATAATAATAATAATAACAACAATAATAATAACGTGAGTCCTAAAAGATGGTTTGGAATTCACCAATGAAAGAAGTGAGAGGAAAAAAAAGAGGGAGACAGGCCCCAGCACCAGCACAGGCAAAAGCAGGCAGGAGGGAAGCTACTGGTTGTTTACCTGAATGTGTTTGCATAAGAAGTGAGAGGATGGGGAGTGATGAGATATTAGGTTATTGCTTAAAAGGAATTAGGACATTAAGGGCCTTGGGAAGCAATAAAGAAGTTTGACTTCATGTTATCTAGAAGTAACTTTAAGAAAATTTTAAGTAAAAATAATTTCACGATCGGAGTTACAAACTACAAAGTCCACTCTGGCCACAGTATGGAAGATGGCTTTTGTTGAGTGAAGTCATCCACTTACCGAGTTGCCAGATTAAGCCAGGTAAGAATGACAGGAGCCTTAAATAATGAACTATCACTGGAAAGTATATTTATAGGAAATAATAGCAACAGACAAGCCAATTTTGTTTTCAATGGTCAAATTAGCAGTAGTTCATTTTGAATAAAGTTATTGACCTCTGAGGCAAAGAGATAGAATCATAATGGAAAATAAGTTCCACAATCAGAAGTCAGCACTCCAAATTAAAAGCCAGTCTTCACCTATTTGATGGGTGGAAGGACACTTAAACAATCACTGTTTGTTTCTGACTTTTGAACACATCAAAGAAAGCATCAATTTTTATGTTACCTGAGACACTGAAGAAACAATTACATATTTAAAAGGGCTAAGGAACTTTGCAAAGTGTCTATAAACAAGGTAATTATTCAGAATTAATTCAGTAAGACCATAATAATGATTGTTACAATTTCTTGAGCACTTGCTCATTTCCATTGTGCTAGCAATTTACATATATTATCTCATTTATATTATTATCTCACAATAATTCAATAAGGTAGGTACTATCAGTCCCATTTAACAGATGAAAAATGGGGGTTTAAAGAGATTTAGATACTCACTTAAATGTCAAGAGGTAGAGCAGAAAACCCAAGTCTTTCCACATGTACAGAGCCCACACTGATAACATCTGTGGTATCAGTTCTCACTGTGAATTTATTTGAACTCAGACATTCTTTTTAAGGAAATAAAAATGCAACTTTACGAAGCGTACAATGGAGAGTAAAGAGGATGCTTTTCCTATTATAGTCATTTTTGCACAAATTATCCTTCTCACTTTTCATATACTAATGATGTTTTCACTGAGGCTGAGCATTTGACTAAAGTAACAAATTATTCCTTAAAAACAAAATGCCAAGGAAACAAAAAAAAACATGAAAATACATTGAGGACAACTCAGACTGTCAATTTGATAGCAGTTACCTGTTAACAGAAAGGGTTATACTATAGTGATGACAACTTGGATTCCCTGGATTTAGCCAGAATGGAATGTGACTCTCAGCTCTATTATTTACAAACTGGGCAAAAACTTATGGCTAAAGCTAAGAAGTAAAAAATGAGGACGTTTGACCTAGGCTAAAGTGCATGTGGGGTGTATCTATTAGGCAGAAGGAGCTGCATCTGCGAATGTCCCAAGTACAGGTAGATCTTGTCTTAATTATAAACCTACAAGTACTTCAGCATAGCTGGAAAATAAAGCACACAAGATGGTGTGTCAAGAGGTTAAACCAGAACAATGGCAGAGGCCTTGGACACCATGGTAAGGAGCCTGCCCATGGTTTTATAGGGGAGAGTGATGCAATCATAATTTGGCTATAGTGAGGAAGAAGGACTGGAAAGCTACTAGAAAGGTAAGGAAACATCTTAAGACATTGCCTTAACGATCCAAGTGAAACGTGGTTAGCTAAGGTCTTGGGCTAGTCACGTAGTCTATGTCTCAGTTTCCTTATCTGTAAAATGAGATGACAGCTGCTATAATGTAGGTTATGTGTGAGATTGAATGAGATGATATGGTCAAAGTGCCCAGCTCAGCTATGACCACTGTAAATAGAACGATGTGATGCTTGATGAACACAATGGATGCTGACTCAAGTTTATATTTCTTTCAAATATGACTGACTCAAAAATGTCATGTTGTTAAAATTTGTCCAGCTAGAAGAATATTCATAGTGACAGTCCTCTACTGTTTAATGTGTATTTTAATTGAATTTGTTTCTTATTGAAGAGTGCATTAAGCTGCCTTTTAATTCTCTCATGACAATAATACCATGGTGTTATGTTTGACTAACCTCGGGTCCTGCATGAATAAAGGTAGATTAAAAAAAAAAAAACTCTTCTGACACTATGTTGAATAGGAGTGGTGGGAGAGGGCATCCCTGTCTTGTGCCAGTTTTCAAAGGGAATGCTTCCAGTTTTTGCCCATTCAGTATGATATTGGCTGTGGGTTTGTCATAAATAGCTCTTATTATTTTGAGATACGTCCCATCAATACCTAATTTATTGAGAGTTTTTAGCATGAAGCGTTGTTGAATTTTGTCAAAGGCCTTTTCTGCATCTGTTGAGATAATCATGTGGTTTTTGTCTTTGGTTCTGTTTATATGCTGGATTACATTTATTGATTTGCGTATATTGAACCAGCCTTGCATCCCAGGGATGAAGCCCACTTGATCGTGGTGGATAAGCTTTTTGATGTGCTGCTGGATTCGGTTTGCCAGTATTTTATTGAGGATTTTTGCATCAATGTTCATCAAGGATATTGGTCTAAAATTCTCTTTTTTGGTTGTGTCTCTGCCCGGCTTTGGTATCAAGATGATGCTGGCCTCATAAAATGAGTTAGGGAGGATTCCCTCTTTTTCTATTGATTGGAATAGTTTCAGAAGGAATGGTACCAGTTCCTCCTTGTACCTCTGGTAGAATTCAGCTGTGAATCCATCTGGTCCTGGACTCTTTTTGGTTGGTATGCTATTGATTATTGCCACAATATCAGATCCTGTTATTGGTCTATTCAGAGATTCAACTTCTTCCTGGGGAGTTATTCTTATACTTTCTATCCTGTGTACAATATAACAACCCCACAGCTAAATTTTACAACATTATAAAAGGTCACTTTTAATGATTTAGGCCTTTCATGTATCAATCTTTCTACATTAACATTTTCTGGAATTTCAACATCAGAGTTTTCTTAAACTAAGTGAATAAATATTCAAGTCTCTGTGTATTTTGAAATGACTCTTTGCATAATAATGTTTTTATATGAAAATGGAGTCTCTGGGTGCACATAAACAGGTTTTACTGATCTTTTAATGGAACCAACTGAAGCACAGAGGCCTTTAATATCAAACACAGTGCTCTCAATGTTTATAAATATTTGTATAGGGATGCCACTTCCCGTTTTAATATTTTGTTACTTTAACACCAGTACCACTGTTTCCTCTCATTAATTAGCTATTGATGTTTTCTAAAATTAACTTTGCAGACAGTGTTCACTGACAGAGTTCTAAACTAATGAGTCTGACTTTGTCTTGAGGGAGGCAGAGGAGGGGAGGTGGTCACAGACATGCAAGGAGACAGTGTTGCTTTCTGCTTCAACACTTCAAGGGGCAGAGGAACATTTCTTTTACATGTGGCCTTTGAGCCTGTGAGGCATTTGAGCAAGGAACACCTCATTCACCAATATTTTCCAAACACATTTTAAAACCCATGTGCTAAGGGTTTTGATAGAGATGGTATTGGGTGCTATGGGAAGACACCCAAGACCCACCTAGTCCAGTCCTGGCAACGGTCAAGAAAACTTCCTGGGCAAAACTATGGCTAAAGCCAAGACGTAAAGAATGAGGATGTTTGACCTAGGCTAAGGTGCATGTGGGGTGTGTCTATCAGGCAGGAGGAGCTACATCTGCAAATGTCCCAAGTACAGGTAGATCTTGTCTTAATTATAAACCTACAAGTACTTCAGCATAGCTGAAAAATAAAGCACACAAGATGGTATGTCAAGGGGTTAAGCCAGAACAGTGGAAGAGGCCTTGTATACCATGGTAAGGAGCCTGCCCATGGTTTTATAGAGGAGAGTGATATAATCACAATTTGGCTATAGTGAGAAAGAAGGACTGGAAAGCTACTAAAAAGGTGAGAAAACATCTTGAGAGGTTTCCTTAATGATCCAAGTGAAACATGGTTTGCTAATGATAGAAGAGACAGAGAAGATGTATTGAGACAAAGTAAATTAGGATATCTAATAGACAGAGTTTGCCTATTGACTAGACATCATAAGTAAGTGTGATGCGGACTATAGCTGCCCAGGTAAATCCAAGGAGTCTGTCTCTATGTTTTTCACTGACTCCTTAATTTCCAGCTTGTTTTATTTATTTTTATTTATTTATTTGGGGGGACAGGGTCTCAGTCCAATGTCCAGGTTGGAGTGCAGTGGTGTGATCATGGCTCACTGCAGCCTCAACCTCCTGGGCTCCAGCAATCTTCCCACCTCGGCCTCCCAAGTAGCTGGGCCTACAGGTGCATGCCACCATGCCCAGCTAATTTTTGTATGTTTTGTAGCATCATGTTGCCCAGGCTGATCTCCAACTCCTGAGCTCAAGCAATCCTCCCACCTCAGCCTCTTAAAGTGCTGGGATTTTAGGCATGAGCCACTGCGCCCGCCCCAGCTTCATTTTAGAGTGCTGGGTGAATACTGCCACATCTCGATAACCTAAATTAGAAATTTACAGGAAGAGAAGAAATACATGGCTCAAAAGTTGGGGGGAAGAAAAGGATGGCAGCTGCATAGAAAGAACAGGGACTCAAGAGATCAGAGCTCAAATTGGGCAGGCACAATTCTCATTACCTGTATGATTTTAAGAATTGGTTTTGGTTTTGGATGTGAGCTAAAAAGAAAGACAGTTTGGCGAAAGATCCTAAACTATATCTACATTAGTTCTTCCCTGTTACTCTTCAAATTTAGAGCAAAGCCCATTTGAATTTATTGGGTTGAGTACTTAACTCAATAAGCAAATCAGGTATTTTGGGATAAGAGCATGAGTGGGAGCATTTCATACTCTAGGTAAACAGTTTAACCACCGGGGAGTATCATAGGCTCAAAGACTTTTCAGGCTCTGACGGTGTTAAGCAATACCTAGCACAATGGTTCCCAACCATTTCTAGTCATGGACTCTGTTGGTCAAATTAACACTTACACGGAAATCCAGAATGCCAAATATAAAAAGGGATGAAAGTGGAGCTGCTTTGGTTAAGGAAGGTATGAGGTACCAGCCATTGGGCCTACCCTCAGCTGCCAAGGAAAACAATTCTGCAGAACCCAGAAGTATTGCTAATGTGCAGACATACACTCAGACTCGAGGAGTGCTGCTGAGGGTTGGTAGGTAGTAACGTAAACGTGTTAAGATGATAGAACACCTAAAACCATGCTACTGATTGTAAAACAGTTCAAAATACTATTAGATTTAATTCATCAAATAGATCAAGGTCAACTTTAACTGTAGAAAATAAGAGTTATTATGCACATGATAATTATGTATGAAGAAATACAAAGCCACCAAAATATAATCTGCCACCTTTTTCTGGTTTCTCCATTAATAAATATTTGCTATTAGCTCATTCAATTAATTTTTTTCCAGCACTTGGAAGAAGACACATTAATTTAAGAATAGATTGTACCCAGGTGCGGTGGCTCACACCTGTAATCCCAGCACATTGGGAGGCCAAGGAGGGCAGATCACTTGAGGCCAGGAGTTCAAGACCAGCCTGGCCAACAAGGTGAAAACCCGTCTCTACTAAAAATTCAAAAATTAGCCAGGAATGTGGTGTGCACCTATAGTTACAGCTATTCAGGGGGCTGAGGCAGGAGAATTGCTTGAACCTGGGAAGCAGAAGTAGCAGTGAGCTGAGATCACACCATTGTACTCCAGCCTGGTCAACAGATCAAGTCCCTGTCCCCAAAAAAAAAAAAAAAAAAGATTGTAAAAGAAAATTCTAAATTATAAAAGCTCTATCCACTTATTTTTTCCTTGTGAAACAGGAAGTGTTTGCATTATTGAATTTAGGGTAAAGAGAAGGATCTTGGTCTAACCTGAAATACTGGTACTTTCCAATAATACAGTTTGGGAACCAGAGTTTTAATCTAGTCATATGATTTTTAACACACGAAATCTGAGGCATTCAGGGGTCCCTCTGTAAGGTCATTAACCAAACCAAAGTTTATTGATTTATTTTTCTGTAACAGTGTCTGACAGGTTATGGTCAGAGACTTTCCATGTGGAATGGAGACAATCAGGTAGAAAAGATTTGCTTTTCATTTCTAGTACTGAGCTTTCAGTCTAGACAAAGTAAAGACTGTTGGTGGTCAGTAAAAAGGACTTTCTTATGCTGTGAAATATAGCATTTTAGGAGATGCAGCATTACTCGTGCAACTGTGTTCATCTGCTTTATTAACATGTGTTATTTATGATGCTCAGGGTGCCAATGCTTATAGATAGTTCTTGGAAACAATTTTACTAATGTTGTCCAAAGGTCTGATGGGGTCCAAAAAAAAGAGGCCTCTGGGGGACTGCCTGTCACAGGGTAGGGGAGAGGATATAAAGATGGGAGAGGTCTTGGCTTCATAATCACCCCCAGGTGCTTTGGGGCTACACTTCCAGAAGCTTGGGATCAATGGGAGAAATAAAATCCTTCCGTAAATAATGCAGTGTGTTTCTATAAGGCTCGCACACACATAAGAAGGAAAAGGGACAGGAACTATTGGTTGAAACAGGAAAGGAAAGTAATTATCTGCTGGTTTGGCAGTGATTTATCGAGAATGGGAAAGCAAATCATTACCAATCAAGAAAGCTCTTAGGATAGGGCAAGGCAGAGAGGTAAAACTATTAGATGCATTCAGAAAGAATTTATGTGCTTTCTTCATCAGCAACCCCATACATTTTACTGTATTTTTAAAAAATTGTCATTACTTAGAAACTGTGAAATATGAAGAATGCCTTCTTAGTCAAGTAGCATTTTTATTTGAGGTGAACTGCATTGCTAGCAGTTTATTTCGTGCAGTTTTATAGTGGTCAGGCACATGGACTCAAAGCTGGACTGCTGGGTTCCATTCATAGCTAGGTATTTTTTGGACATTTTCCTTAACCTCTCTGCCTTCGTTTCATCATACATAATTCAGGATAATAGCAGTACCGACCCCATAAAGTTGTTGGGAAGTGTAAATGAATTATTGTATGAAAAGCTCTGGGAATATTACCTAGCACATTACAAATGCTATATTAGAGTTGGCTATTATTATTTATTCATATATAAAAACAACACTAAATTATAATAATAGCTCATGTTTATTGAGTGCTTACTGTGAGTCATATATTTTCCCAAGCATTTTATATGCAAGTCAGTCATCAGATCTTCATGGCAAACTATTAGATAGAGTTATTATTATCCCCATTTTACGGATAAGGAAATTGGCAGCAAAACTCAGGCCTGGAGCTCTTTATTACTATCCCTTCATCTCTTTAATATGAATTTCCTTTTCCAGTCTTTTCACATAGTTTCCTTCTTCGTGTAGAGAAATTAACAAAATGAATGTACTTTGAAGGAGGCTAATCCAAGTAAAGAAGACTTAAGACAAGCTATGCCTGTTTAATTCAGCTCAACAATTCACACCTTCATAAGCCATGACACCATTCTCACTGTATTTCATTTTAATGCTATTATTTTGCTTGGTGACTGGTACATATAAATATTTTATACAGACTCTTCTCTTTGTGCCATTAGGATGATGAAATGTATATATGCTAATGGAATTCTAAGGTTCTCTGATTTTTCTTTTAGGGTCAATTGTCAATTATCTACAGCACAATTATTGTAAGTTGAAGCAATTCTTTCTTCCACTTTTCTCTATCAGTATCGTCTTTGTTGAGATGAAGCATTTTAGTGGCAATAGACTTACTCATAACATAGCTAGAATTGCAGTGTCTCATTTTATTGTGTCACTGCCAAGGATGATACTGGCAGATTCTTAAGGTACTGCTTTGTTGACAATGTAGTTGACACTATTTATTGTTATTCTTAATTATTACTGATAGTACATCAAAAGTGGAAAAGGACAATTGAATAAACATATCCTTATCAATTTGACCTCTTCTAAGAAATACATGATCCCCTTGACTTAACACAATTCCTGGTCAATATAAGTGTCTGCCCCACTACACCCCCATTACCTGCCTAATCAGACCTACCTACTGTATCCTCTATAGCAATTTCTTCCTAATTGTTGACTGTTCTAATGGACAGTATGTTCGGAGGAGGCAACATGGAGCAATGGAGAAATTGCTGCTGAGTTATCTCCCACAGAAAGTCTGACTTCCCTCCTGTATTATCCTATCTCAGTGAAAGCCATTTACATTCAAGTAGGCACTCAAGCCAGGATCTGAGAGTCATCTTTTAACAGTGACAGTGAGAAATGATGACTAGTAAAGGAATCGGGGGAGAGTGGCTTGACTCACTCCATAATCCTCATCATTATACTCTTTCCATGATCGTTTTACTTTCCATACCTTTATTCATAACATTTCCTCAATTCTATGTAGAATGCTATTTTAACATATTTAATACAGTGTAATATCCTTATCTCTCCAAATTGCAGAGCTTCTAAATTCCACTTACACTAAAACCTGAAGCTGCTGCAATTCTTCCAACTTTTTCTCTTACTATACCCAAATCCCATGAAAGGTGATGAAAGGTGGATCACTCGTTTCTATATACTACAGCTGTACCTCATATACACTTCTATTATTGCACTTTCCACACTTCATGTATGCATGCACGTGTGTATGTACATATGGAAGGTGTGTGTCTCCATTTGACTGGAGCTCTCCAAGGGCCAGGTCTTATTCATATCTAAATTTGAAATACGCAACACAATTCCTAGTATGCAGCAGGACAGGTGTGCTTATTAAATTATTGCAGAATAAACAGATGATGGATAAAAGAATGATTAGACTAAGGGTCTGCTTGCAGGTCTCATATGACCTTGGAAAAAATCAGGTAATTTCTCACTGCTTAAGTTTGTTCTTTCATTAAAAATACAAATTATTTTAAAGACTTATAATAATACATGTTCTATGAAACAGATGCTCCTGTGAACAACAAACTAGGATACACTTGTAAACCCTTCCACTTGCTGTGAAGTACCATGCCTGTGTGTGAGAATTAAAAATTGTGGATCCAATCAAAGAAGTATAAGGACAGAAAAACTATCCTTGAATATGTTTTCAAGATGTGTACTGTTTGAAACTATATCTCAGGTAACAATCAACAGTTTTAAGAAAGAGCTTTAGAAATCCAATCACAAAGAAAAGAATCTTTATTTCTCCCTTTGGGATATGACATTTAACAAATTAATTTAGAATTCTTTAAAACCAACGGAGCTAAGAGGAAATTGAGAACACTTGTACTAATCACTCCCAACTTAAATGTAGAAGGTCATATATCTAAAAGGTTACATTACTACAATGGAGAAATTCAATTACTACGGACTCCTAAAGGGCTTTACTTAAAATAGCACAGAACTGTAATGCTGTCAATTCCAATGAAAATAATTGCATTTCCCTAAATACTGTGAATAATTTGGTAAATACATCTATTCTCTTAAAGTACAAATTTCCAACATCTGCAGAACTCAAGAGCCCAAAACATAAATATTCAAATATTTCATCGAGAGTTTTAAATTTATTAATACCACCAAGTTTACTCAGCTGTTTCTATACTTGGATGACTGATTTTTGTCTGAAGTTTAGTAAAGAGGAGGGTATCTTGCTTCAAACTCACTATGAAGATTGTTAATTTGATTTTTTTTCTTCTTTTAACAAACAATTCTTTTAGGAATTTCTTAAAAATTAAATGTGACAATCTAGGTCCATAGAATGTTAAAATTTAAAAGAAATTGATCCTCTAATCCCATGGCACTCAAACCTAAAGCCATTACTCAAATATAGCTAATTCTGGGCCCTGGTGTTAATATTCAGATCCTGTTGGTCAGAATTGGGTACATTTGATAGGAACCATCATTGGTTCTGATATGCTGATTCATGGATCTGCATAGTTATCTATAGATTTCTAATTCAGCCTTTTATCTTTAGAGATGAAGACGTTGAGATCCTGACAGCAAAAATAATTTCTGAAAGACCCTCTGGACTCTTACAGCTGTGATTCAAAACCCAGGTCTCCTGACTTCCAGTGGAGTGCTCCTTTATACCATGAGACATCCTGGAAGGTCACACACCTGGGCATCAGTGTTCAGAGTACACTGTTATGAGCCCATGCTGAATGCCTCTAGCCACATGAGATCACATGGATTAATAGGTCTATAAAACAGGAAACCTCAATGCGAGCAACTCAGCCTAGCAAAGCAGAATGAACAAATGGGCACTCAAATCATGCAAGTGTTTACACTTCTAATTATGAAAATTGTTAACAGAGCTTCCCTTTATTAATTCTCACCACAGGCCAGGTCTAAATAAAATCAGGCAATCCTCCCAACACTCCTATGAGAAAGCCTAGTGCAATTCTTATTTTATACAGATAAGGAGGACTCTGAGCAAGGAAATCTAGCATAACAATAAATAGTAGATGGCTGGGACAAAAGTCAAACTCAGTTCTCTTTGCTATTTTCACCATTCCCCTTGTCCTTTCCTTCCTGTTGTAGGGAAATAAGATACTTCAAGGTTTAGCATTTTTGTATGAACGTTGTAGAATTCCAATTGCGGAGGCTTTGCCTTCATGCATGAGGGTCAAGCAGTACTTTACTATGAGATAGACCAAGGGTGTCCAATCTTTTGGCTTCCCTGGACCACAATGGAAAAAGAAGAATTGTCTTGGGCCAGACATAAAATACACTAACAGTAATGATAGCTGATGAGTTATAAAAGAATTGCAAAAAAAAACTCATGATGCTTTAATAAAGTTTACACATTTGTGTTGGGGCCACAGTCAAAACCATTCTGGGCTACATGTGGCCTGCAGGCAGCAGGTTGGACAAACTTGATATAGAACTTCCTCAAGCAAATGGTGCCACTACATTCTGTCCAACCGGGTAACAAAATACCCTAGGAAAATAGTAGCTTTTATTCACAACACACAACCAGGCGCCACCTTAATCCACAGTGCCTGTGAATGTGACCGTTTAAATTAAAATGCAGTCACAACCCTGCTGACACCTTGGTTCCAGACTTCTAGCCTCCAGAACTGTGAGACAATACATTTCTGTGGTTTAAGCCACCCTGTTTGTGGTAGTTTGTTTCAGTAGTCCTAGTAAACTGAGATTTTCTCTTTTTTTTTTTTTTTTTTTGGGTAGATACAGTGTTTCACCATGTTGGCCAGGCTGGTCTCGAACGCTTGACTTCAAGTAGTGATCCACCTGCCTCAGCCTCCCAAAGTGCTGGGATCACAGGCGTGAGCCACCGCACCCAGTCTTTTCATGTCTTTAGGTCAGATTCCTCATCATTGGATTCTGAGATGGTAATAGTGCTGACAAGTGCTTTGAGTTTGAAGTTGTTCAACTTGACCCTGGTCTATGTGTCTTACCTATTTTGTTTCATGTTGCAAGCACTGCTAGCTTTCCTATTCAATACCCATCCTCCCTTCTTTTTTTCTAATAGAAAGCTACTTTTGTTTGTAATGACAGTGGCCCATCTATAAACTTCAACTTCCCAGACTCCCTTGCAACTAGAAATGATTTTATGATATAGTTTTGGGCCAATGAGGTGTAAACAGAGGTCTGCTAAGGAGCTCTGAGAATTTTTGTTTGTCCGTTTACTCATCAATTCATTCCTTTATTTTAATATCAGTGTCATTCCTTCTTTCTTCACTATTTATTCTCCATCCTGTCTGGAACATGAATATGAGGTTAGAGTTGCAGCAACAATGTTGAGACTATGGATGATAAGTGTGATAAAAGCCATATGCTAAGCACGGTGTGAAGTCAAGATATAACTCTGTCAGGACTTCAGCCTTTTTATTGAGAGGAAAAATATACATATAGTTAAGCAACTAAAGTAAGATTTTTGTGTTCATATAGCCGTATTCAATTCCAACTGGCAAATAATAGGAAATCAGCTGTGGCCCCAGAGAAAAGATCCACAGATAGGAACTTTTCAGGCTCTTCTGATGAAAATGACTAGATTTTTCAACTCATCAGCCTACAGTGAAAGTCACCAATAAACAAGGTCTGCTCAGTCATACAGAATGCAATCAGCATATTATTATCTCACTCTGAAATATTCATAGAGAGCCAAGGATGGAAAAGCAGAGATCAAAACAAATAGTATAAGGAATTCAGAGGCTACAGATTCAGTGCAGGAAACAAACAAAAATAAATTTTAAAAATATATTTGATACCCTAGGGTAACATTTTTAAAAGGGTCACATAAATGGAACAAGAATAAGTAGCCATTGTATAATAAAAGAGGAAAACACAGTAATAAACAACTCTCATAAATTCAAAGAAAATTGTTAGCAGATATAAAAAGGAGTTCATTAAGGAAGAGTAAAAATAAATTTAAGAGAATCTCACATAAAGAAATACGTTTTAGAAGTGCTGCAAAGTCAGAGGTAAACAATTAGAAAATTGCAATAGCAATTCAAGAGACTCAATATCTGACTAACAGAATTTACAGAAAGACAAAGCAGAATCAATAAAAGAGAAACACATTTCAAGGAAATAAAGCAAAATAATTCGCCAGAGTTGAAGCATTAGGCCGTCAGATTCAAAGGGCCTATCAAAGGCACAAAACAGTGAAAGAAAAGAAATCCATACTGAGGCACATTTTTCTGAATTTTACAGCACCTGGATAAAGATAAAATGCTAAACAGCTTCCAGACAGAAAAAATAAAATAGGTTAGATGAAAAGAATGGCGTTCTGCTTTTAAACAAGATATGAGAATATGAAAAAGTAAAGCTTTAAAAAATCGGAAGAAAACTGTTCTCCTAAATTCCAATATAAATTATAGGTCATGTGTGATGAGATTTTTTTTTAATTGAGAGTGAAAATCTTTGTAAAAAATTCCCACTTTCTTTCTTGGGAAGTAATGGAAGACACACTTCACTAATGAGAGAGCAGCAAATCAGAAGAGGATGTGGAATGTAACCCAAGAAAGAGGTAAAGATAATTCTTTGTTAACTTTTATTTTAAGTTCAGGGGCACATGTGCAGGTTTGTCATATAGGTAAACTCATGTCACAGGAGTTTGTTGCACAGATTTTTACTCAGGAATTAAGCGTAGTACCCAATAGTTATTTGTTCTGCTCCTCTCCCTCCTCCCACCCTCCACCCTCCAGTAGGCCCCAGTGTCTATTGTTCCCCTCTCTGTGTCCATGAGTTCTCATCACTTAGCATCTATTTATAAGTGAGAACATGTGGTAATTGTTCCTGAATTAGTATGCTAAGGATAATGGCCTCCAGCTCCATCCAGGTTGCCACAAAAGACATTATCTCCTTCTTTTTTATGGCTGCATAGTATTCCATGATGTATATGTAAAATAGCAGAGACATGGAATCAACTTAAATGCCCATCAGTGACAGATTGGATAAAGAAAATGTAGTACATATACACCATGAAATACTATGCAGCAAAGAGAGTTCTAAGTGAGCCTGAGGAGACCTAGAGAACAGCTGCCAATGGCAACAAGAGGAAAGTGTTAAGGAGAGATGTCCCCAAGGGCAGAGGGGAGATGGGGAATTACAGTTTGAGATTAAAATTGAAATTGGCAAATTATACATATACAGAAACTTTGGCAAATGAAAACAAAAAGATGCCATTTTTACTCTAAGGAAAACAAGGTAGTAAATGCAATCGTATGCTATCTAGAAGAGGTGGGAATAGTATTACATGACTGTAATAATGCAAGCCCTTGAATGTTGAGTGAAAACATCAGGAGGTTGGTGATAAGGGAGAATGTGTATAGAGATAAAGGGGTGTTGTTAGAGAGGATAATCCTCATGTTCCATATGTGGAAGACAGGTAATACCTGAAATGGAAAACTCAAGGACGATGAGTAAGAACAGATGTATTATGAAAGCTTATATTAGGTTGGTGGAAACGTAATATGGCTTGCCATTACTTTTAATGGCAAAAACCACAACTACTTATTTTGCATCAACGTAATGGTAGAACAAACAGTCAAAAGTTTCAAGGAAATTGCATCTATGAAGCAGAATTCAGAGTTAGGGTAGGGTGGCACAAGTTGCTGCTTTTCTGGTTTTCTTCTTGTGTATTTTTCTGTTATAGGTGAAGGGTCACAAGCTTTAAGGTACAATTTCATTTTCTTTTTTAAAAGTTCATGTAGTACTTTAATTAAAGTCAATATTAAATAAAAATATTTGGCTTTGGATTTACTTTTTGAAAACTGAGTTTTGGTATTGGCCTATTGTTTCACCATACAGAACTTTAAAGATTATATATATATATATACATACATACATATACACACACACACATATATATATGCCCTACACATCCATAGTAGTAAAAACCTAGAAACAAGAGCTAATATTAAATATATTAATATTAATAATTTAATATCAATTAAATTATTCATCAAATATTAATTCAGCCAGCTTCTAGTCTAGGCACTGGTGATACATCAGTGGACACAGTAGATGGACCTCCCTGTTGATAACAAGTGTATATTTTGGGTGTGTTCAGATAGAATATCCTTGGCTAAGTCACGTACTATAATCTATTTGAGCCCTGGCTTCCTCTTCTGTAAAATGGGCATACAATTAACCACTCATTATTTCAAAAATTAATTATGAGGACCTGTTCAGCTTAAAATTTTTTTCCATGTTAAGATACAACATCTCACAAAGCAGCACTTTACTATTAAAAGAGTTCATTTCGCCATCATTCCTAGCACTAGCAAATTGAACTATTAGGGATGAGACCTCCAATATTACACTACTGCCACATTCCTCTTTATTATGAAAAGGCAGATTGCCAAAATCAGTTTCTAGTCACTCAGTTTGTCTAAATATTGCAGGGCTTTTTGATGTTGCATTAGCAGAATATACAGTCTACATTTATTCCATTCTTTTGTCGGCCTATGCAAAAAAATGAAATGAATCTATTCAAAATCAAGATGCACTGAACTGCATATGATGCAAAAGAAGGATTTTGCTAAACACAGCAACTATGTAATGCACCCCATTCCTTCCCCATCAGCTTGGATCCTGAGACTATTTTGTAAATCTGCAGAGATAAGAGTTTTCTATATTTATTGAAAGGTCAAAAGTTTGGGAGGTGGAGAGGTGTAAGGCAGGTAGGAATACAGTATTGTATTTATTAAACAATATGTCAGAAACAGACACATAGCAGGCACTTTGTAAAGTACAATAGAAAACAAGCACCTGTTATCTCTACCACTCTAATTTGCACCATCATTTCTAGTAACAGCAAAAGCCTCCAAAGTGGTTTTCATACTTCTACCTTTCCCATTCCCCCATGAAGACATCCATTAGAATGATCCACTGAAAATATAAACCATATCATAACACTTTTCTCTCCAAACTTTCATTATTTTCCCCAAAAGTCCAAATTTTCTTCAATAACCTACAGAAAGTATTTGTTAAATGAAAGAATCAACCCATCTAGCAACCACCAGTGAGACTTGGGTCACTAGATCCTTGCAATGTGTTAAGTAATACAATTGAAATAAAAAGCAATTAGAACACTGGAAAACCTACTATTCTATGGTATCACTACATGGTAGTACTGGGAACTAGGACATGTGTTGTGAGTAAGGACTGGAAGTTAAGAGAAGTTTATGTGGGCCATAGTGGTTTGGGTTTCTTGCGTAGCAGAGACTCAAGTGTGAGTTGGAGATGTGAATGCTCCAGTCATTATGTTGTTATTTAATTAAATACAAGAAAGAAAAGAACCCATACACCTGTATATCTCAAGTCCACAGCTATCACGTCCTCAATTCTATAAGATACGCTTTATCCTCTCTATAATAGTTTAAATGATCTATTTTTAACAAAAAAAGTTACATTTTCTTCTTTTTTTTTTTTTTTTTGAGATGGAGTCTTGTTCTGTTCCCCAGGCAGGAGTGCAGTGGCGCGATCTTGGCTCACCACAACATCCACCTCCTGGGTTCAAGCAACTCTCCTTCCTCAGCCTCCCAAGTAGCTGGGACTACAGGCACGCACCACCACGCCCAGCTAATTTTTGTATTTTTTAGTAGCAATGGGGTTTCACCATATTAGCCAGGTTGGCCTTGAACTCCTGACCTCAGGTGATCCACCCACCTCAGCCTCCCAGAGTGCTGGAATTACAGGTGTGAGTCACCGCACCCAGCCAAAAAACAGCTACTCCTATGGATGCAGTAACACTGCACTGGAATAGACAGATACATAGGTGACATACATGGACTGAAATAAAATCTGATTGATGTGTCAAGTTTAGAGCAGTGACAGACTCACTGTGAAGATGGTAGAGAAACTTGAACTCCAGTAAACTCTGTTATCTGGAATCCAATAAATTGCAAAGTGATTAAGTGGTCTCTTTGCACTTAGGTACACACCTAACTGATATTCTAAGTAGTCTTTGAGACCCTGAATTTACACAACTCAAGGAGAGATTAAATTGTGTGCAGCATCATGAGAGTGTTGGGTTTATTTTATTGCATTCCAATTATTTGAAAATTGATAACCTGTGTACATATGGCAACTTCCCATTGATCTGAATATTGGATTAAGTGAAACACTCTGAAATTGCCAACTGAACTGATTGCACCTAATGAGATGGAGATGTGGAAATAGCCATGAGCTTTTCATCACCGGCTGCAAACCTGCAATTTTCTTGGTGAAGAAAGAAAACACAAAATGCTATTGGAAAGTGGTTTTCATGTCTTGCACAACCCCTTCATCCATAACCTTCAATTCTAGATGGCTGCATACTGTTCACTTGGCTAACTTCTAGAATAGAGTGGTGGATTCTAGGCAACAGGATGTGATCACTAAAAAGACATAAAACAATTCTAAAAATGTGTTTTGAAAAATATCAGGTAAGTTCTCATAAGTGAGACATTCTCAGTTTAGGTAAAGCTTAGAATTGTGTTTCCCAAATTTCAGTTAGTCACGTAGCTACCTGTAATTGCACTAGCAAATCTACATTTAATTTATATGTTATTTGTTATTTTTCTTACGTTAATTCATTTAACTTACACTTAAATACATTATTGTTAAAGGAAATATTATATCACTACCAAACTATAAGTAGATATCTTTTACCATAAAGAGATAACTACAAATATAAATAAAATATTGTCTTCAAATATTAGTTCTGAGTTCAGGACTGTGATCTCTTTGCCAAAAGAGAAATATACAAGCATTTGTGATGTGTTAAAGACTGGCACCAAAAGATGTGTGAGTGTGTGTGTGTGTGTGTGTGTGTGTGTGTGTGTGTAATGCTGTTAAAATTTAGTTAAGCTTTTAAATACATTTTTAAAATTGGTATCTTTACTATAAGGCTACTTGAAGTCTATAAAATGCTAAAAAGTATTGTTATTTTCTCAGACAGGTTTATGTTATCCAGTGTTTCACAATATGTGTAGAGCATGAAATATTTTTTAGGCAGAAAATATAAGAAGATGCATATTTCTCTCAATGTGTGCTGGCAAATTGTGCTGTTGCTTTTGCTGTTTTTCAAATTCCTTCATGCCTCTATGATACTCTTTGCTTCTGCTCAGTAAGTTAGTCACTCTTTCTTAAACATGACACAGTTTTCATCTCCATTCTTGACTCATAGTATTTCCTTCACTGCTGCCTCACTTTCAGCGGTTAAAATACATCTCTTTGCCACCCAAATACTTGCACACAAAATAGCCAAAAAGTGAGAACACCCAAATCTCCGTCAACTGCTGAATGGTTAAACACGTGGCAAACTCATAGAAGGGATACTATTTAGCAATAAAAGACTGAATTACTCACATGTGCTACTACATCAATGGGTCACAAATGCTAAGTAAAAAAGAAACAACAAAAACTAGACACAAAAGGCCCCATTTTCTATGAATATATTTGTACGAAGTATCCAGAAAAGGAAAATCTATAAAGACGGAAAGTAGATTAGTAGTTGCCTGGTGGGAGTGGAGGTTAACTGTAAATGGGTAGGTGGGATCTTATTTGGATGAAAGAACTGTCCTAAAATTGGTTAGATATCATGATTGTACAACTTGGTATATTTATAAAAATTGACTTTTATATTTAAAATGGGTGAATCTTTTGAAATATACATTTTTCCTTCATAAAATTATGTAAAAATTTCAGCCAGCTAGGTGGACAATCAACCACCTATCCATTGACCCATTCTTCCATCTTTTAACGTTTTCTCTCTCATGCCATAATCTGAAGGTGATTTATTCTTGTCTTGAGAAAACATACCATTATGTTTTCATATATCATAGATCTTTTCATTTGTCTTTCTTGTATGATATTCAAATATTTGTCTAATATCCTTACTCGACCATAAGTTTTTACAGACAAACTACTCTGAACTAGTCCATGTGAAAATAAATACTTATTGAATCTATATATACATATGAAGCAAATTCTATTTCATGGGGAGGGGGGAGGGGGGAGGGATAGCATTAGGAGATATACCTAATGCTAGATGACGAGTTAATGGGTGCAGCACACAAACATGGCACATGTATACATATGTAACAAGCCTGCACCTTGTGCACATGTACCCTAAAGCTTAAAGTATAATAATAAAATAAATAAATAAATAAATCATGCTACTATAAAGACACACACACAAAAAAAATAAAAATAAAAACAAGTAAAAATACCCATTAGCACATATTATTAAATTGCCTGCTTTGAAATCTGCAATTTACTGGCCGGGCACGGTGGCTCACACCTGTAATCCCAGTACTTTGGGAGGCCGAGGTGGGCAGATCACGAGGTCAGGAGATTGAGACCATGCTGGCTAACACGGTGAAACCCCATCTCTACCAAAAATACAAAAAATTAGCCAGGTGTGGTGGCGGGCGCCTGTAGTCCCAGCTACTTGGGAGGCTGAGGCAGGAGAATGGTGTGAACCCAGGAGGCAGAGCTTGCAGTGAGCCGAGATTGCACCACTGCACTCCAGCCTGGGCGACAGAGCGAGACTCCGTCTCAAAAAAAAAAAAAAGAAAAGAAATCTGCAATTTACTTTTTGTTATCTAACTTTGAAAAGTGGTTTAATGCCTCAACACATCAGTTATTAATTCAAAGAATGATAATAATAGCAGCAACAAAAGGTATAAGCAAGAGCAGCCGCCTTTACTGAACACTTACTTTGAACTGGCCAAGCTGTTTGGTACTTCTCATTTTGCAGATGTCATTCCAGAAAAAAGAAGCTGAGACACAATGAAGTTAAATCAACTGACTTAGGTCAAATGCCTTGGATGTAGAGCCCAAGGCAGGATTTGTATACACATGGCTTTTGAAGGGAGTGCTCTCAAGGCATGGTAGGAATGAGATGTAGGAAGGTAAAAGAGGGGAAGGGATAGGAGCTAAGATTTTTCAAGGGAAGTTTTGCTCTAGTCTGATCCATGGAGATCTCCGAGGATAAACAGGAAAGCAGAGTTTTTCCTGTCTTAAGACAAGAGAATGGACTTAAATATACCTGTTCCTGTTACTGCGCATGTGGGTGCCCTTGTGTGTGTGTGTGTGTGTGTGTGTGCGTGTGTGTGTGTGTAGCCTTGGCTGTAGTTACCCAAAAGTAATCCTGCAGAAAATGTAACCGACGTGAGCACTTGGGGGTGCCCACTTCTGGGGGATGAACACACCCACCGGGAGAAGGGATTCCAAGAGACCTGAGCAGACCCCAACAGCCTCTGCTACAGCTGTTGGCCCAAATCGCATATATAGTAAGGGGAATATCTGAGATTCAAACTTCAATAGTTCTGATGCCTATATCAGTGCCTTTAATGCCCCACCTTTTTCAGGCAGTGCCACATTTGATACACACACATAAATGTACAATATCCCCATTATGGCTTAGGTTGATCCATTAGCAAATATTTTTTAAATTAAATATTAATGCAAACTAGGATAAGAAAGTCAAGCCTATTTGGCACCCTTCTTTAATATTTTAATGAACTGATACAAATATTTTTTAATTACATGCATTATTTAAATAGTGTCTGAGGAACTTGGAGGTTGCTTGAAAAGGTCTCCCAAAATTTTAAATATTCCCCACTCCATATCTTATTTAGACTAATATATTTAAATTCATTCTGTGAATGAAGATTTGCTCAGAACCTCAGTTTGAACAGTGTGCTAATCACCATATGTTCCAAATGAGTCACTCTGAATTTCTGAAGAATTGTTATATATCTTTAGTTTTCATTTTATCAGAGATAAAACCATAAAGGCAAGAAAAATTTGATGTTAGGAAGCAGTTGATGAGCCAACTGCCTCCCAAAGGAAAACAATGCCATGAAACTACAATCTATAAAACAAACAAGGCCGGGCGTGGTGGCTCATGCCTGTAATCCCAGCATCTTGGGAGGCTGAGGTGGGTGGATCATTTGAGGTCATGAGTTCGAGATCAGCCTGGCCAACTTGGTGAAACTCCGTCTCTACTAAAAATCCAAAAACAAAACAAAAAAAAAGCCAGGCATGGTAGTAGGTGTCTGTAATCCCAGCTACTTGGGAGGCTGAGGCAGGAGAATCACTTGAACCCAGGAGGCAGAGGTTGCACTCAACCACGATCATACCACTGCACTCCAGGCTGGGTGATACAGCGAGATCCTGTCTCAAATAAAATAAAATAAACATAAATAAACAACACAAAAGCATGGCTTGATGCCTGCCATCTAGCACTGCACAAGGAGTTACCAACTTTGTTCTAAAGATAGCATGACTTATTGCAATAACACAAACACTGTGTATAAGAAATGAGACAAACTCTAAATGGAAATTGCTCGCCAGAGCACTCAGAGCCTTTGTTCATCCATTTTCATCCTTCTCCCAATCCAGCTTCTTTGCCATTTACATGTAGATACACAGGGGAATTTCCATGTCCTCCACTTATCTTGGTTACCGCTTTTTTTCTCCTTATCTTTCCTATTTTGAATGCCAGCCTCACAGCTATCAACTTTCAAATAAGTAGCCAAGAGGTCTGAATACTTGGAGTAAATAGAATGTTTGATTGGACAACATTGTGTATGCATTTCACTGAGTAAAATGCTAGTCTGGATACCTGCCTATGATAAGGCCACCGTTCCCTATTAATATGAAGCAACAATTGGTTGAGCAGGGGAGAATTAACATGGCCAAACATGTTATATAGTAGACAGCACCTCTAACTGGTCACATATTTAAGCCACACAATGGCAAATGGGGAAATAAGGTATATGGCTTTGGGGTAAAGGCAAGTATGAGGCAGAGACCAATCCCTGGAAGTATTTTCTTTGAAAAGGGAATCCTTCAGAGAGTGAGGCACCTCATTTCTATTTTAAACTATAGCCAGAAACATTTCTCCTAAATGAGAAATTTGCCCTAGGGATTCCTGATGTTTGTCAGAAACCGCTGTAAATTTATTTTCATTCACTGGAGAGAAGAGAAGGGAGGTAACATTTATGACATATGCTTGTGCTTTTCATCTGTTATTTAATTTTCACAAGTTTTTCAGGATAAAATAGTATCCTTATTTTGTTGATAAGAGAATTGAGATTTAGACAAATTAAAAATAAAACGAAAAGAAAAGACAAATTATAGCATGTAAACCAAGGGACAGATCTTGAGGTAAAATCCAGACCTTTTGGACCTGATGTTCATGTTCTTTCCATTCTTCCATGCACCCTAGGGCTTAATACATCAACTCGGAAATGTAATTGAGAGGAGGCTACAAGGAGACACCATTGTTTGGGATTAAACAAAAGCAGGCTGTTTTGTTTACTGTAAGATTCCTCAACACTTTTAAAATGCTGAAGTATATTTTGAGCTTCTGGGAAGGGCCTACAGGACAATGTGTCCAAAATTTTATGACCATAGAGTCCTCTCCCCCTGGAAGCATTGCCTGACTTTGAAATTCTACTGAAAATATTTTAGATACTACTGTTGCTCCAGTAGTGCTATACTAGAGAAGAGAAAGGCAAGGGCTAGAATGGCTTCTGTTTTTATTTCATAGACTTCTGCATCGCCTGAAATGTTGTGAGCTCACATTAATTTGGGAAATAAAATAAGTATCATTTACATGAATAAAGAATAATACCATGTACATTCCCAATAGAATGTATTTATAGATACATGAGAAGAAATATGTGTGTACTAAACATAGGTCCATATCTCATAATTATTATGCAAAAGCAAAAGAGGAAACATATTCATGTACTGTCTGATGAGTATTATAATGATACAGCAATGAACAGAGTTCTGTAAAACTGGGCACTGCTCAAAGTGAACAGCATATGTTAACTCATTTAATTATCATAATAATCCCCTGAAACATATGTAATTATCTCCATGTGTCAGATGAGGAACCTGGGACACAGGTAAGTTAATTTACGTCTCAAAAGTCCTACTAGTTACTTACGTAAGGAAGTTTGTGGAAGAACCTGATACCAAGTGTTTTTCTACAAAATTTCATACTACTTATGACTCCCACATAAACCTATTTTGCAAGGAATTCTGGAAGCCTTGTGAGGACTTCTGAAACCTACATAAAGACTAATTAGGGCTCCCAGGATGTTATTTTTGCCTTCTTTAACTTTCCATCCACCTTATCCTGCTTTTTGCACTTTGGTTATTGAGAAATCAAAAAAATATATATATAGTTAATACCAAAATATATTTTGGAAGAAACAAATACTATAAAATCTGATTTAGCAATATAAAAGTAATATTAATTTTAATGATTTGCCTGATTCTTATTCATTCATAGACATTTGATGAGCATCTACTAAGTAAAGCTGCAGGAAATATAAGTATAAATTAGAAACTCTTTCCACCTTAAAAATATGCTTGTGGGTTTACTGGAGAAGACAGGTATTTAAACATCAGCAGCTTTTTTCTACCAGTGGCAAGATTTATGTTGACTCCTGAACAGTCTCTCTTGAGGTCTTCCTTGCTACCAGAGACACATGCACACACACATCTGTATGAGGATTAGCCAGGTGGGGCTGTTAACTCATCACTGGATCACAGCACAACTATCCTTCCCCCAAGGTTATAACTGTACCCACAACCTTATAACTTGCCTATTTTTCTGTGATGCTTTAATCATGCACAGATGTATGATTAGGCTATAGGCAAAACTCATGCAAAACGTAATAAAAGGAAAAGGAGAATGAAACTAAAACAGAAGTCCCTATCATTATTACAGAACAAAAAAAGAGAGAGAAAATGGACTAACCGCTTAGACTAGATTTTGGAAAATAATTGACAGTTATGAAAAAGAATAAGAACAAATGCTTACATAGTGTTAACCTTGAGCCAGACACTGCAGGTGCTTTATATATTTTGCCTTTTTATCCTCAAGAACTCTATAAGATAAATACTATTATTATCTTCTTTTTACTGATGAAGAAACTGAGACACAGAAAGGATAAGCATGGTGCCCAACATTACAAATTGGGTAAGTTCTTGGGCCTGGGTTCAAATTCAGATGATTGCGTCAGAATCAACACTCTGGACCACCACCAGGACATCTGTGATACAAAGTTGAGTAAGTACTGACCAAGTCACCCCTCTTTGCTGGCAACTGCACCTAATGTTATACATATGTATGAGAACATGTGGTATTTGCTTTTCTGTTCCTGCATTAGTTTGCTTAGAATAATAGCCTCCAGCTCCATCCATATTGCTCCAAAGGACAGGATCTCATTTTTTCATGGCTGTATAGTATTCCATATTCACAACCAATCTATAAGGTAAATCTTATCCCCACTTGTTAATAAAGGAAAACTAAGAACAGATAACTATTATTGACTGGGTTTGGATGAAAACACAAGGCTATTTGAATTCAACACAGTGTGCTTTTAGGGGGAAATTGTCTTTGGACTTCAGTTCTGTGAAAGTACAAGTCATATCTTATTTAGTTTAGATTCTAAAACCATAGCATGTTTTTATTAATTTTTAATTATTAAGGATACATAATGGGTGTATATATTTATTTGATATTTTGATACAGGCATATAATGTGTAATGATTCAATCAGGGTAATTGGGGCATCTGTTACCTCAAGCATTTATCATTTATTTTTGTTACCAACATTCTAACTCCACTCTTTTAGTTGTTTTAAAATATAGAATAAATTATTGTCGAGTATAGTCATCCTCTTGTGCTATCAAACACTAGATTTTATTTATTCCATCTAACCATGTATTTGTACTCATTAACTATCCCATAGCATAGAGCCCCAAAGCAAGGATTTTTTTTCTACTGCAAATTGCATCAATTTGAATTAAAAGTGAACTAATCTAAGTCCCTTTTTTATTCAAGAAAATAAATCTAGTAATGAAAGAGGAAAATTATATGGATCATCCCTAAGGACAAGTTTTATAAAGTACTTTAAAAAAATGTATGAGATGTACTTAGGATTCCTGCCTAGTAAGCCATTTAATGGAATCTTTGCACTGGTCTTAAATGCGTCTGTGTACTGCTTGAAACCTCTATCACTCCTTTCCTTTTAAATCTGTTCCTCATATTAAATAATTCTTACCTAGGTTTTCACATGAATGGTGCCTAGGCAGATGCAAGAAGCTGCTGCTAGGGAAATAAAATGGAAACTCAGAAATGAAGGAAGCTGAGAATTGCCAAGCAGCCACAGACTCCCACTCTATACCCGCTTCCTCACCCCACCCTTTCCCACATGTCACATACACATTCCAATTTTCCCTTGCAGAGGAAATGAAGCAAAACACATCAATGGAGTGAAATGGTTTGTCCCTAAGAATCAGAAAACTAAAGCTTCTCTTAGCAGGTACAAAAAAAAATAGCTTTTCTTTTAGTTAAGTAAGACTCCTAGGCAAAACATCAAAATCCTGGGCTCTTGATAACTTTTTTGACATAGAAATATTTATAGAGATGGCTCTTTATCAATGATTCCAGAAACTGTTTGACTTGAAGTTGAAAAATGACTTCAAGGTATAAAAATCTGGCATTAGCACCAAGATGTTGACCCTGAATTCTCTTATTTTTAAAGATTAAAAACAAACTCATAACTCCTCAATGTTAAATATGTTTTCTGGACCCAAAAATGTTTTTCATTTTACGTTGATAAATTACTATGTTCCAAAGCGGACTGCTTTTCTCCTCCTGGGAAAAAAAAATAATGTATGTTTCATATTGATATTCTTCTCTTTTTAAAATTAACCTCCAAAAAAAGCTACATAAACACATGCCAAAAAGTGACATGTTCAAAGAAGAAATGAAAAATGTCACTGTGTGTATATACCAACCTCCCGTGTGTATACTTTTTTAATGAGATCATTATTTTGCATACTGTTTTGAAACTTGTTCTTTTAATTTAAGAAATATGTTCTGAGTATCTTTTCAACACAGTTGTATTTGCCATTCTCATGGGACTTGTGGTGAATAGATGGGAGAATTTATCAACATGCAAATGAAACAAGGCTCTTGCCCGAGCTGAGTGAACTTGGGCCAAGGAAGATGACACTGATTAGGTGAGAGAGGAAACCAAGCTTAGAAGGGGCAGAAGTCTGGGACCTAAAAGAGGCAGCCAGGAAACCACATTGGTTATGACAGAGCCTTTTCAAGGTCAGGAAGGGAAGTTCATGACCTGGCAAGCAACAACTAGGTAGATGTAAGAGCACATTACCGTGCCCTTATGAGGAGCCAGAACTAGTCATTGTAAGCTAAGCACTTCATGTCTATTAAATATGTATTCTTTACAGACAATAGTCCATGAGCTGGATCCAGCTGAGGATTTTATAGAAGAAGTAGAGGCTCAGAAAAGTTAAATAATTTGCCTGAGATCACACAGCTTGTTAGAGCAGGGATTGTAGTCAGGGTGTTTTCCTCCCAAAGGCACAGCATGTTCCATTTCAACCCACAGACAAGCTTTATTCTTTATCCAGTGCCCTTTTTCACAATGTCCCTCCTTCTGCCTCTGTACTTGTACACATGGTTAAATATAAATTCATCTCCCAGAAAATCTTCAACAGGTCTTGGTGCAAAAGACTCAGGGTTCTTCAATGAGCTCAATGCATGTTAACTGGTAAATCTCATGGCTTATGTTCATGGAGTATGTGTATGTGTGTGGAGTGTGCTAGAGTGTGCACCCATGAGTCTAGCATATGTTTATACAAACATTTGTGTACAAATAGGTATGTGTAGATGCACATACAAAATTATAAACCTCACTGATCTTAATAACCATTTTCTACATATTTTCAAAGGCAGGGAATTAGGTCTATGACAACTAGGTATCAAACTTTCCAAAAGCTAATAAGAGATGATTTACGGCTAACACAGACACAAGAGAAGTACAAATGCACCACCATTAAAAATATCTGATGATGGCCAGGTGCGGTGGCTCACGCCTGTAATCCCAGCACTTTGGGAGGCCGAGGCGGGTGGATCATGAGGTCAGGAGATCGAGACCATCCTGGATAACATGGTGAAACCCTGTCTCTATTAAAATACAAAAAAAAAAAATTAGCCAGGCATGGTGGTGGGCGCCTGTAGTCCCAGCTACTCGGGAGGCTGAGGCAGGAGAATGGCGTGAAGCCGGGAGGTGGAGGTTGCAGTGAGTCAAGATCGCGCCGCTGCACTCCAGCCTGGGCGACAGAGTTAGACTCCGCCTCAAAAAAAAAAAAAAAAAGAAAGAAAGAAAGAAAGAAAGAAAGAAAGAAAGAAAGAAAGAAAGAAAGAAAGAAAGAAAGAAAGAAAAAAAAAGAAAAAAGTCTGATGAATAAATCTTCATCACTGAAATTCAGAATACAAGTAGAAAATTCCGTCTATGTATTGGAGTTTGACTATATTTGTGAAGGCACAGTATATAAACACCTTTCAGGAATTCATCTGTTGCTTTAAGAGAAGTCTGAGAGTTTTTTCTTAAGCATTTTCAACATAATAAATAAACTACTATTTGAACACATTTTGCTGGGTCTTCTCCCTGAGATATTTTACAAATTATTTGGATCGATAGTACAAAATTGCAGTCAAACCACTAGGAAATGGGATTTTAAGTCAGTGCCTTAGCCTCATCACACATCTGGAGGACACCATTCCCATACCCTTCCTACCTTGTTCAATTTTAAGTCTTCCATGGTGGTACCTCCATCGTCTGAGCTACAATATTTGTTTTTGCAAATTTGGAGGGTTGTACTAACAGATACTCTCTACATTTCTTGCTTTTTTCCCTATTCTCTCATTTGCCACCGAGTCTTTCCCTTCTCTTTGAACACGTCTGTAAGAATGATCTTGCAGTAATATACCCAAGAAAATGCCTCCTTTATCTAAGTCAGGAAGAGTGTTCTTTTAAAACTATGACTGCGAATCTCAAATGGGCACTCAGCACTGCCCGGCAATCTTCTCACATTTGCTCGGTAAATTCACTTCCCCAGGCTCTGATAAGACTATATGGTATTTCCTTTCTCCTTGAAATATCAATTACTCCCCACCACACAAATGCTTTTCACCTCACCCTACTTCATACTAACTAAGAAGAAAGCAGTTGGACACAATATCTCTCAACTTCCCATTATGGATACACCAATATCTAAGCCTATATTCTCTGCTTTCCCTAGCATATAATGCAGAGACAGAGAGGCTTTGCTGCAACTAAAGCCAACTCCTTTACAATATCAGGGACCTCAGTGGTTTTTTCCCTATAGCATCCCCAGCACCTAGAAGAGTACCCAGCAGGAGCTCAGTAATTATAAATTCAATGAATGAATGAATGGATGAATGAATGAATATCTATGACTATGAAAGATTCTATCTGTCCTAAACGGGGAGGAGGACAAGCATCAGGACAAACAGTTTTAGGGTGATACTCGACATCTGTAGGACATGGATAGATAACCATATGTAAAACAAATGATAATAAATAGGAGATAATATTCACCCTTGCCTCATCTACTCTGTCTGTCTTATCTGGCTTCTTACATTGTATCTAATAATTAATGGTTACATTCATAGGATATATTAATAGAGCCAGCTACCTTCCATTCATCTCTATAAGTCTTAACAACAGTGACCAATTTACATAAGATGAAACTGAAGCTCAAAGGAGTCAAGTATGTTACCCAATGTCAACTCTTAAATGAAGGAGGTAGGGTTCAAGTCTATGGATTTTTTTAAATGGTAAAGTCCATACTCTCTCCACTCAGCCACGCTGTCAATCAGCCCCTGAGACCTTCCTGTAAGTCCGAGTTCAACTGAGTTTCTTAGCCAATCCTTCGGGAAATAGGACTACATTCTACTGCAGTCTACTGGAAATGTCATGCTGTCAAATAATCCCATCCTAATTGTGTCAGGCATGAAGTCTAAATGGCCACAGAGATAGGCAGAGAGACAGGGGGACCCCTAATGGGAACTTTATATCTACCCTCTGTCTTATAGGATTGGATCTTGCTTTCTGTGTTCCCAGTCATGAATTTTAATCATGTAAGAAAAGACAAGATCTTTTAAGATTACAACAGGAGCAGATCTTGGTATTGTGGGATCTGAAACACATATGATTTGGGGAAGTGGGGTCTATGAGAAAAGAATTAAAAAATCATATGTAAAATTGGGCATGGAAGTTAACATTTATTTAGACTAGGAATGGGAAGGGGTCCATGCATTTGAAAGTCTCTGTAGCTTAATCTTCATTTACTTCAAACCTAATTCTGCCTCTGATCATGATCTAGCCCTATCTGGGAGGCAGGAACACGGTGGTTGAGAGCCTTTGTTCTCCAGGTGGGCAGCCTGATTTTGAATCCCGCCTTGACCACTTCTAGTTATATGATCTTAGGTGAGTGGCTGAAATTTCACAAGCATATACTTTGTCATTTGTTAAATTTTCAAATACAACTGGATCATAAAAACTGTTAATATGAATGATCATATAAATTCTTGATCATAGTGCCTGACATATGCTCAACAAAGTGCTCATTAAGGTGTGTTTGATATTATTAGCATCTAATGCCATCTTCTTGCTTACCAGCTCTGGAACCTCTCTATTTGAGACTCCCCTACTATATTCATTTGATACCTCCTGAATGCCTGAGCACCAGGCACTTAGGATTTGACTCTGTGTCTTCCCATTATGTACCTTCAACAACAAGATCTGGGCCCTAACTCCCTGCTGAACCAAAGCCTGGTTCCCAGCCTCACTACAACTGTGTCATCGCATTTTGGCATACCTATTAGTTTTATAAGAATCCTTGTTTCTGCCTGTGTACCAGTAAACCTTCCCCATTTTCCTGGGCATAATCCAATAAAACTAGAAAAAAGTAATATCATGAAAAGCATTCACAATAGATTTTTAAGTGAAGAGCTAGAATTCCTATAATTGTGGCTAATAAGGTTGTTTTTACAGGGATATGCAAAAATTTAATACTACAAATATGTAAAATGGTGAGGTCCTCACCTAGAATATAATGATCACTCTATTATAGATAATGTAATTATTACAATATGTATGCTACCAAATAGCATTGTGATTTCTAACAAGTCAATTAACCTTCCTGGGCCTCAATTTACTCATAAAATGAGGAAGCTGGACTACACTTTCTATGATTCTTGCTAGTTCCAATAAATATGTATTAGTACATATACCTGGGATATTAATGTATCATTCACATCTCAACTTGGAATGTGCCCAATTTGAATATTTCCCTTTGAAGCTGATAAGTGAGGGAGAAGGAACTACTCAAAGGATAACAACATTGTCTTCTTTTTTTGTGTGTGAAATTCACCTTTTTACCTCTACTGTCACAATATTCTCACTATGGCAAGTGTTCAAGGAATATTATTTGACTTTTCGAAATTCCTTCTCTAGTAAAGTCCTATTAAGACAATTAACATTGCTCCTAAAAGTGTAATTATAAGTGTGGTATATATCCCAGCTTGTTGAAGCAACCTGGTAAGAAGAAATGAAGACTAGACCTGCTCACCCCATGTGGAAGGTAGAGGGAAAACCTAGATCAATGAAGAGCAGTGAAGTTTTGGCTTGCGCTCACACGAAAGATTGGGCCACAGGCAGTTGTTTCATATAAAGGAAGTCTGAAAATAAGTGTTGAATCCATGCCCTGGTGGTATCTGGTGCAGAGCAAAGAGGTGTCTTGGAGTAGGCAGCTATGGTACAGAAACAATATCAGGGCGTATAAAAGAAGGTAGAATCAGGAACTGTGTAGAGACTTTCTATTTGAACCCTTCAATGGCTTTCCAGTAACAAACAGTAAGTTCTAAAGTCCTTATAATGGCCCTGTAGGATATGACCTTGGCTCTCCCTCCATTGCTCCTCCCATTACCCTGGCAAGCTCACTCTGCTTCAGCTACACTAGCCTGCCTGTGCTCCTTGGATATATGAAGCACACTTCTAACCAGAGTCTCTTGTATGTGGCGGTTCCTTTGCCTGGAATGCTCTTATCCCAGACTCTCTCATGTCTCATGCACTCATTTAAGTATTTTCAAACAAGTCAGTTCTTTGGAAAGGCTTTCTCTGACAACCCTTTGATAAATAACACCCTGTTTCTGTCCCCATGCTATATTTTGTGCTTGTCTCTATTAAATATTGGATTATATATTCCTATATATTCCTTTATTTATATTTTTGTCTTGCTTCCCCAATAGTATATACATTTCTCAAACTCTGCAACTGTGTTCATATACTGTGCTTAGGACAACATATGGACCACAATAGAGGCACATGCAGTTAGTGAATGAATGAATGAATGAATGAATGAATGAAATCCACTACAACTACTTTGATTCTTATTTTTGTAGCATTTACGGTTTGTATCTCAAAACTCAGCAGATGAACTTGCAAGAATGGAGGCTTTATCTGTTCTGCTTATGGCTGAATCCCCACTGTCTAGAACAGTAGCTGGCACTTGGGAGTTCTCAATAGATAATCTTAAATGTTGTTTACCATGAAAAAGTTCTTGTACTCTAGTTTTAAGAACGGAAATGAATTGTTCTTTGATTTTGGTAACAAGTCACCATCAGAACCAGTTTTAAACTCAACCCAATCAATCAATGACAATTTTGCATTAGTAACCATGCTTTGGAAAGCCTAAAACTCTATATAGCAACAGCAGTGTTTGGTTTTGAGTGACAGCATCTTACAAGCACAGCTCTCACTTGTTTACCAAGCAATGAAGCAACTTTTGGTTTAAGGCATTGAGCTGTGGTCTCTCTCTCTCTCTCTTTTTTTTTTTGATGGAAAGATGATGGTTCTTAGCTATAATGGCAAAAGACAAATAACTTATTATAATCTTATACAGGGTTCTAAGCATATAGAAATACCAACTATATTAATCCACAAAACAAGCAGGAGAGGGAGGTGCTATGATTATTCCAATTTAGTAGACAAAGAAACTGAAGTACTGAGGGTTGGAGTGCTTATCCAATGTCTACAGCCAAGGTGTATTCCAGCTGGGATTATTATTAAATCCAATTATTTTGGCTTCAGAGTCTGTGTTCTTAGTTTCTACATTCTATGGCTTCCCTATGAGAACTGAAACACACACTTGTTATAATTCCAGGAGCCAGATTTGTCTTGATGATTAGTCTACTGACTTAATCAAATGCTTTTCAAATAATTGTCATAAACAGTCTGGCCGGTGGGGGTGAATTTCAAACAGAGAGGTAAGGGCAGACATCTGTGGGATGGTGGCACCAAAGCAAGCAGTTAGGAAGGTACAGAATTTAGAATTTAATAATCGGCATGTTGAACAATTAAGGTAACTGCCCTCGTGACTTGTGTGTGTGTATATATTTATATATGTATGTGTGTGTGTATACATACACACATACATAAGTACGTATGTGTGTGTGCGTGTGTTTGTGTGTGTATAAATATATGAATTTCTGGTAAGTCAAGTGCTATATCAAATATGTGTATATATATATATATATATATTTGGAAAGGAGATGAATAATTGTTATTTGAATGTGGTAACAAATACCCACCAGACCAGTTTTAAACCCAACCCAATCAATCAGTGACATATATATTTGTTATAGGACCTTGGCCTTCCAAAAATTCATCTGTGGGGTATCTGAACTGGCTACCAGATGGTAATGGCTCAGTATTACTAAACGTATTCAGACAAGTCATAGAGGTGAAAAACACCTCAATTTATGGCTAAGTCCCTCAGCCTGATAGTTCTTTGTAATGGCACCTATTTCTAACCTTAAAGTTATGCCAAAAAGCAACTTCACTATCACTCGGCCCTAAATTCTTGGACCATAAGCAGAATAACAAGAGAGCTACAATTTGAATAAGCATTTTATGAAACAGGTTATGTTTGAAGTTTATCTTCTGAATATAATTCATTAGCTTTTTCTTTGCAGAAAAGAGTTCTGTCAATAACCAATCATTTTTAGTTCATTTCGTCTCTCTGGGACTCAGTTTCCTTATCTATAAGATGATCAATTTGAAACTGGCAGTTTCTGCAGGATGTTTTGTTCTATGAAACCTTGAAAAATCAGAGCTACAATTATGTAAATTACTGATATATCTTCTCTTATTTTTCCCTCTTCCTCATTTTTCTGGGTTCACTATAGTACCTATGCTTTTACTAATGTCTCTACATAGAGCTAGAAGCAAAAAAAAAATGAATCAGATTCTTAAATACAATTTTTTTAATGGGCATATTCTGTAAGAGAAGTTCATACTGTGTATGACTTTTATGTATCTCTGTATGTTTTATCTTACTTGGGAATATTTATCTTGTGCAGTCACAATGAATGCCTTTTGGATTGGCGCTACAATAAAGATATTGGAATTAATCTAGACTCCTTCATTTACTTCCTTGTGATCTTAAGCAAGTTATTATTCTCCCTGAACTTCTAGTTTATTCATCTGCAAAATCAAAATATCACTTTCAGTCTTGCATGATTGAGATGATAATTCCAAGGCGAGGCATATGCAACACTTTTTTTCATCCTCTTTGTCTTATACAGGTTCTCAACTAAGGTAAGCTTTCTTCCCTCCCTTGTACTCTGTTCTCAATAACTAGAACCATCAGTGCTCCTTCTTGTTTTTTACTTGCTGAGAAAGGTTGGGGTGTGTGTTTTCTGTTGATGACCATCTTCATCAAGCCTTAAAACCCAATTGATGCTTGTGTTATGCTTTAATTCAATGCTGGATGCACTTACTTCAAAATATTACTCCAATATGGATCATCTTACTGCCTTCATCCATGCTTCAGTCAACCCAATCCATACATCTCAGACCTTTTCATAAATAACAGTCGTCCTGGATTCAAGGTCTCACTTTTTCTCAGTAGCATCTTATGTTGAATTTCCTCCTTTCTCCAATCACCAGCCCTTCTCTGCCCCATCTATTTCCAGCCATCCCATTTGTCTCCCAAAGCAAAACAGATCGACTCTCAGTTTGAGAATAAACATTTCTGTCTATTTTCTTTTCAAATTTTACCCCAGATCCCAACTAAAGTGTGCGCTTGATTTGACTGAAATTTAATGCTGATTTATTCATGTTACAAGAGTTTGTTTAATTTATAACATGGTGCCTTTATAATATTATTTTACTGTGTTTAGAAGATTACAGTACACATGCTTATGCTTGTTAAATAATGTAAGTGATTGAGAGTATTTCATGCATAGAATGCGTCCAAGAAAGGCTTGTGGAAAACCATTAATGGATGCCTAATTTAACACTTTCTCCCCTTTGCAAAATTATTAGCCATTGCCCTTGATGTTGTAATGCTTAGGAAATGAAAATTATGTAATAAGATACGGAGTCTGATGGCCTGAGTTTGAATTCCAGTTTTATGACTTACTAGCTGAGTTAACCTTGATCCAAATTCAGTGGACTCTATAGGTCTAAGTTTTCTTATATCTAAAGCGTAAGTGATTACCTATCTCAAAGGATTTGGTGAAGATTAAATAAGATATAGCCATACTATACTATATTACATGAATAATATATCTATACTATACTCTGTTTAACACATGTCTGACATATAGGTGATAATAAAAAGATATTAATATTATTTATAATTGTTTTATTTTATAGCTAAAAATTAGGATTATGTCAGTCAAATAATAGTCTAAAATCACATGACTAATAATAAGTGAAGCTGTGATTAGAATCCAAGTTAAATAACTTTAGATCCTCTGAGTGTAATCTCTGAATATACTAAATCTTTTTCTTCCAATAGTTCCCTTTTAGGCATTAATGTTCTTGAAATAAGAAAAGATGAACCATAAGAGACCCTAAAGGCGGTATATGTATTCCCTTTATTTCATTACTAGATGGTGTAAAAAGATTGTATGTTTAAGTTTTCTAATATAAAGTATTTTTCTCTTTCTTAAACTTTACAGTTTACAAAGACTTCTCTGATACCCCAAAACACATAAGCGTTGGCATGCCATTGCACTGGAGGAACCAGAATGCTGGGAGAATTAGAACAAGACTCTGTGAATTTCAACTAAGCTATTTGAGATGGAAATCAGCCCCTCCTAGTCATCTCTGGCCCCTTGGTCCTTATTAAGCAACATGGTCTGAACACGCCATCAGTGATGTTTTTGAATTTGCCCAACTTACTGACAGATCCAGCACTTCCCCACTTCTGTCAACAGCACAGCAGAATTAAGAACTTGGGTTCTAAAAATCCATCTTTGTGTATACAGCTAATATTTTGATTAAGCCTCTTGGGGGAAGCTTGTATTACAGTATTACAGATATTTGCTAAATAAGGTGAGTTGAATAAATACAAAAGACAGCCTAGTCCTTACCCTAAGAAGGACTTAGATTACCAGTTGATTTCTTTTTGTCTTTTTATCAAAGATAATTACCAATAACAGTGACTTTTTTCAAGTCATGTGTGATAATGCATTTTTGTGAAATTTTGCTTTTATTAAGGGTGGTAGAAGGATGGTTCTTTCTTAATTCAGTAACTGCTTCAGCATAATTTAATACATATTTAGATGAAAAGTAGATATTTTCACAGCCCAGTGTTACATATAGAGATAATGAAATTGCTTTGCCATTAAAATTTTGATTCAATTTCTCCCTGGAATGCATTAACAGAAAACCACTTTCATTTTTATAGTTGAAAGAAAAAGGCAATTTACTGTTGTGAAGTTTCAGGAGTATTCCAAACCAGCATAATTCTGGAGCCTCCTAAACTCCCCACTAAGTAGAGAGAGTCTATGAATTTAAAACACTGGCCACAGGTATTGTGTTTTATCCTTAGAAATCTGCTTCTCATTATTATTTTCATGCCTACTGCACTGGCATTAAGATTACTTTTCTTCAAAAGAAAATGTAATAAATATTAATGGAATTACCAAAAAAGTTAATAAATGAGTTAATAAATAATAATATGATGTGCTTACTTGTTATTGAAACTCTTAAGTTTCGAGAAACGGTATCATGAGGATGCCTGAAACAGCAGCCCCACACGTCAAATTCTAGAGCTACAGGAAAGGATGTTTCTCTATTCTCTTGAAATACAATGAATATTTCCCTGAGGTATGATGAATTATCCTACTATGGAAGAGAAGGAAAGATTAGTCTAACCATTATACTGTATATCAATTCCAAAATAGGCCGCTGATATCTATTTTATGGTAAATGATATGTGTTACATAAATTCTCAAATTTTAATTTCCTGTTACACTCATTGAAGTTTTGAAATTGAAAGTTCCATGGAGATTATCAAGCCCAGTTTTCTCATTTTAGAAAACTAGAGAGGTAAAGTGACTTAATCCAAGGTTAGAGAAAGCAAGAGAGTAGCAGAGGAGGCATAAGCATTTGTGCTCCAACTACTATTTTATATTCTCAGGAGAAAGAATGTTACCTGCTAACTGTAACTCTTGGGTTATAAACATATGACATGGATCTCTGTGTAGTATTATGTATTCATGAATATCACACATAGATCAGAACAGGACCCAAGACTCAAGGACCTAATCCCCAGTCTTCTACAATGAAGGAGAACTCAAATCACTTAAAGATAAGCAAATACAAATAATTTAAACTTTTATATTACCAATTTATTTTGAAGTACATGTATTCTACACATAGATAAAAGCAAAATAACAACTACATTATACAAATGTCATATTTTATATGTCCTTCAGAACAATATGCATATTTCAAATATAATAATACAAAAAAACTACATTGTGAATACCATGTATACTATAAAACAGTTGTAAGTTTACATGAGGAGGTTTAATGATTTAGGGAAAAAGTTCACAATCATCCTCATAAGGCTTTAACCTAGGTTCAAGATTTTCTACTTAATATTCAAATTCTTTCATAGGACAATTGAGCAGACAGAAATAAGAAAGGTGAAATAAATCATTATCTTCTGAACTTAGACATGCAAAATGGTGCAGGAGGAAAGGAACTCTCAGGCGAAAAGAAATCGGAATGAAATGAGCATCAGTACTTTTTTTTAAGAAAGTTTCAGAAGAAAACTATGAAGATGCTAGCTTGATAATAAACATTGCTTATCCTTCTATTAATTAAAATTAGGCTGTAACTGTAGAGTGCACACATTCTGATCTATAGACTTAAACTACACACAATCAGCTATATCAATCTATTCATTTGTTTTTTATCTCCAGCTAGCAAAGTATTTAGTCAAATTAAATCTTGTTTTAAAGGGCTTCTCACTCTAAGATTTACTTTGGAGATTTGTCTTATACAGACTTCCAAATGAAAAACACTATTGCTTTCTATCTCTGTCAACTTTTATTCATTAAATATTTCTTCCTTAATGTGGTTATCAACATTTTACTATTTATAATTACTTCCTAACAATCACTGGAAATCATATATGAAGTTTATATTAAAGTTTCTGAGATAGTGCATTCTCTCCATAGTATTAGTCCAAGATTGTCCTGGAGAATGCTGATATTGTAAAACGTAAAGTACAAGAGAGAAATTGTTCATACAAATCAGTACAGCTTTGAATTCAAGCAATAATAAAAAGGAAAGACTTCATAGAGGTTAGCAGCTCTTAGAGGAAGGAAACACAAGTTCTCATTTGGGAGAGGGAATATTTGTGCTCCTGAAACAAGCAGAACCAATACTAGAGTAGGTGTCATCACCAAATCCAGATTCAAAGCCTTCCACACAAGAGCTGAAAGAATGGCCACACAACATCCATGAAATGAGATGAAACAAGTCCCTCAACAGAGCTAGGAATTCTGAGATTGTTCCATGAATTGTCAGTCTCACAGAGAATAAAAACCAGTTCATTAAAATGGGACATCCCAATCACATTTGCCAACTAAAATAACACACACAAATGAACAGAGAAGCCAAACCAAGTTACTGGTTTCATGAGAGTGTACAACATGAAGTCAGTTTTAAAGAGCAATGGCCACTTCTAGATTTTAGAACTTATCCTCTTTCTAGAACTACAGATATTTCCATCAGAGAGGGCTACCAAAAGCATTCTGCAACTTATTTTAAAATTAAATAAACAAACCCAGCTCTCCACCATCCCCCGCCTCCTGCGCCCTGCATCCCCCGCCCCATGAGTTATAAATGTAGGTTTCTGGTAACCTACATCAGAGTGACACACTTATTTTAATTTGATGTTTGCTATTTGTAAATGCAATCTCATTTATGTTACACTGTGGCAGCCATTCTCTGGAGGGCTGGATTAGTTGTGGATGTAAATACATTTATAATGTATTTTCCTTTTTACTTAAGTTTAAAATTTGAAGCAAGGAAAATATCTAAACATAACTACGTCAAACATCATCTAGAGCTTCTTTTAAAAATTGCTCTGCCAACTTTAGAGAAACAATGACTGGCTGTATGCAAACACACTCTCAAAATGTGTTCTGAGCAGTTAGAAAATTATAATGTAAATTTACTCAGATTCCCAGAGAAACATTTAATTTAGGAAACAATAAGGACAAATACAAAATGTATTGTTTAAACAAAGAGGTGATTGATAAGGAGAACAGGAGAACAAGCCTCTAATGAACATAAACAGCAATACTTGAAAAACAATTGGCTACCTGGAATCTATGTTAAAGTCTGTTATATGAGTTAGAGTCTTTTCCCCTTAGAATCTCTGTTAGCATGTAAAATAGGTAACATTATAAACACTTCTCCAGAAGACTTTATGAAAAGCCTGTCATTCTCAGGCTCCAACCTTAGACCATAAGAAATTATGTCTATTTATTTCCATTTGATCAATGTATTTGCATAGCAAGAAATGAGTGATCTCACAATATACCCAAATAAAATTTGCCGATACAATAAAAGGAGGTACTAGATAAAATAATCAAGCATCAGTATGGACTAAATACTCTCAAAATAAGCAGGTAGATCCATTACAAACCCTTAATTACTTCAGTTTTTGTTCTGACATTTTTGATCCAAAGTGTTTCTCCTAGTTTTAACATTCTCTTGTGAAAACATTACTGCAACTTACAAAAAGTTTATTTCATTAATCTTTCCTACCCTGAAAAACCTGGCTTCCTTCATGTCCATCCCAGAGTAACATTTCTCTGATCTCATTTCAGGTGCCTCTTACATTCACCTAAGACATTTTCATTGCAAAACAGAGAATTTTTAGAAGTCACTAAAAAGCACTCCCTTACCTTCTAAACCTGCTTCAATCAGCCCAAACTGTTCCAATAATTTAACAAAAAGCACAATGACGATCAGAACTGCTATCATTTCAAGCCCTTCCAAGTTCATGGTCAGCTAGGTCATGGTCCGACCACAGCCACTGAGAAGTGCTCCTCTGCCTGGCTTTCTTTGTAAAGCCATTAAACTACATTAAGAAGGCTACTGCTGGAGAAAGGGGAGGAGGAGAGCGTATGAGAGAGAGAGAGAGAGAGAGAGAGAGAGAGAGAGAGACAGAGAGAGAGAGAGAGACAGAGAGAGAGAGAGAGAGAGACAGAGGAGAGAGAGGGAGAGAGAGAGAGAAGGGAAAAGAGACTAGATGGAGATGGAGAGGCTGAGAAAAAGGGCGTGAGTGACAGAAAATGCATTCATCCTGTCTGCTGTAGCAGAGGCCAGAAGTAGCAGCCGGATAAAGTCGGGCCTGTCGGAATTATCGGCTTCCTCATTATCACTCTTGCACAGAGAGACAGCCACGCATGAAGTCGCGGCGCAGATCACCCGAGGACCCAGGAGGTCACCAGGAACGTCCCGAGGAAACATGAGGCCCGGCGCGGAGGAGATGGCTCTGCGCCCCGGGACTCTGCGCGCCGCGCCGCCGCCACCAGTGGCTTTGTTGGGCCGGCCAGTTGCCTTGGAAACAAGAGAACCCAAGGAAGGGCTGGACTCCTGCTGCAGACAGGGAGCAGAGCACCGCACCTTGAAATACGGAGAAAAACCTGAAAACGCTGAGAGGTGGAGTGACAACTTGCATTCAGCTGTTTCAGAAACATTGTTGACCAGTAAGGAAAATCCAAATGTGTATTTTGTCCCAACTAGCTGAGTGCAGATTGCAACGAGGCTTAAGGGAGTCCTTCAATATTGACTTTCTTTCCCATGAGTCACCTTATCCGAAAGCTCAGTCACTGAGCACTAATATTCTGGTTTGAGTAGTAACTATCATATCTTTTTGAAGCATGGGAATAATAAACTAATAAGTATTCATCATATTTGCATAGTATCTTAGAGTTTAGCAGCTACCTCCTCTGCACTACTTCATACCATTCAATACACCAAAATATATACAGTATTTAATGTGTCCTTCTATCCTTTATAAATAATGATGTAAGTAAATTTGGAGCCAGGAAAAGTTTGAGAATAAAAAAAAAAAATCTGAAAAAAAGCGGAAGTTTTTGTCTCTCTCTTGCACAAACTGTTTCATCTTTTTCTTTCCTCCTAACACTGCCCAAATAGATTAGCTCCACAATGAAATACAGAATTTAAAAAAACTACAAGAGAGAGACAGCATCTTAGAAAGCCAATTAAAGTCTCCTATTTCATAGATGAACAAGCTGAGGACTGAAGAGAGCAAAAGAAATGAGGCAAAAAGGCAGAGCAGGATAGAATGAAGGCATCCTTCACTTGGGGTTGGCTTTTGAGGCAGTGGAGTATAAGTTTAGAATATAAACTCCAGGGACAGACTGCTGGGATCTCTTACTAGCTGTGTGACCTTAGGTAAGTTACTTAACATCTCAGTGTCTTAATGTCCTCATCTATGAAGAGAGGCATAATAGCACCTAGCTCATCACTCTGTTGAGGGAATTAATGAGTGACACTTTTAGAAAAGAGTGAGTGCTCAATCACTACCACCTCGGGTGCTTTTCACAAGTGTCTCCATGCTCTACTCAGACTTTGCTGGGTTGCCAGAGGAATCAATCTGGAGGAAGTGCAGTCCTCCTCTTATCATTCTCTTAATCAGAAACCTTCCATGGCTCCCTATTTGCCTACAGAACAAAGTTGAAGCTCCTTTGAAGAGCATCCTTTTCTCTCCGTGATCCGGTACCTCCTTGAGGATTGCACCTCAGTGGTCTTACTCCTGTCGATACACTCTACCTGACAGCTCAGCTTCCTTCACCCAAACTCATTCTGGGCTTTTCCATTTCTAGGACTTTGCTAAAATTGCTCTATCTATTTAGAAAAACCTTCTTACACCATCTCTGCCTGTCAAGCTCTTAAAACTCTTTCATGGAAACTTCAACCAGAATTGGATCAAATCTCTCTTTTTTGTGTTTTTACGGTACTTTTCCTACTTATGATGTATTATATGATAGCCATATGGGTATACATTCTCTCCATTAAAGGGTAGGCTGCCAGAGGGCAGAGATCATGCCTTGCTAATCTAGATAGTCACTACTGTGCCTCCATGGAGGGCACTTCTTACTTCATAGATGTTTGCTGGATAATAAAAGTCATCAATGATTAGGTGATTACTACACACCAGATGCTTTAATGCATTGCTCCTTCCTAGACATTCTAAAAGTAGGGATGATGATTTGCAGGTGTAACACTAGCCTCAGAGAACCTAAGTAGCAGGCTCAAGGTCACACAGCTGGTGAATGACGGAACCAAGCTTCAAATTCTGATGTGTTTAATGCAAAACCCATTACTTCATCCCATTATCCAACAGGGCTTTAAATGAATTAAAAATCCAAATATTGGCACAAGTGCTTATCAGCATGGGGTGAAGGTTATACCCAAAATGATCCCCCACACTGTTTTGTGACATTCTTTTTTTTGAGAGAGAGAGACAGGGTTTTGCTCTGTAGCCCAGGCTTGAGAGCAGTGGTGTGATCACAGCTCACTACAGCCTTAACCTCCAGAGCTCAAGTGATCTTCCTGTCTCAGCCTCCCAAAGTGCTGGGATTACATGCATGGGCTACCGCAACTGGCTGACACACTGTTTTAGCCATTAACTCCGGTAACTTTGGAACATGAAAAGCATCCAAACTAGTAGTTAATTAAACTCAAGGATCTTTCTTCCTCCTCATTCACAGGATTAATATTACTTAAACACACACCACCTCGGAACTCAAAAGGGAGTTGTTTTTCTAGTACAGTGAACTCTGCAGAGCCCTTCAGCTTGCCTTATATATGAATGTCCATAGTCAAGTGCTTTGTGTTCACATTTAAAGTTGATGACCTGGGGCTGAGAAACATATGTAGGCAGGAACTTTTTTTTTTTTTCTTGAGATGGTGTTTCACTCTTGTTGCCCACATTGGAGTGCAATGGTGAGCGATCTCGGCTCACCGCAACCTCCGTCTCCTGGGTTCAAGCAATTCTCCTGCCTCAGCCTCCTGAGTAGCTGGGATTACAGGCATGCACCACCACACCCAGCTAATTTTGTATTTTTAGTAGAGACGGGGTTTCTCCATGTTGGTGAGGCTGGTTTTGAACTCCCGACATCAGGTGATATGCCCACCTTGGACCCCCAAAGTCCTGGGATTACAGGCGTGAGCAACTGTGCCTGGCAACCGTGCCGGGCCGGCAGGAACTATTGAAGAGCATCAGAGTGAGAGTCCTTCCACTTGGTCTGGATGTCAAAATTACGGGTTCCTTTGCTGTTATGTTTTTCATCCCAAGGCCTGAGGGTTTTTCTTTTTTTAAATGTTTATGTCATTAGCTCCAGCCTTTGTATTTCCCTCTCTTGCAGTGCTTATCCCCATATCTTCCCATGAGTAAGTGACTTGACTTAGGTCTTAGTTCCAAAATTCCTATCACAGAGAGGCCCTTTCTAACTGTACTATATAGAAAAACCTCCCTCACCTGGCCCTGGAATCACTACCCTCTGAACCAGTGTTATTTTCCTCCAAAGCATTGTCACCACCTGGCATGTATATTTGTTTATTAAGTGTCTCCTTCTGCCAGAATTGCTACAATATAAACTCCTACCCATGAGGGTAGAGATTTTTGTTTGTCTTGTTCAATATAATATCCTCAATCCCAGAATGGTGCCTGGTGAATAAGAGGGAGTGAGTGGTTGTTGAATGAATAATCTGATTGATATTCTCACCTAAAAAGCTACCTGCTCTCTCACTGATCTGGCAGAGCCCAATTTCCTGTTACCAGCATGCCTCCTCTGCCTGGGGAGCCTGAGAGATTTCCATACTTTTTTTTTAGGAAGTCCTATTCCTACTGCTTCTTTTTAAGGTGAGCCATGAGCACTGCATGCTCACACATATTAGCTGTGCTCTATCTTCAGCATTTAATGTGAATATGATTTGTGGTTCCTGCCCACGTGAACAATGAAAGCAATACAAGGAAGGCAGCCAAGAAGGTTGCCCTGCCCAAAATATCTTAAAATCACTGGTGTGGATGATAAGTACCTTGGATAGCATCCACTCTCATCCCTTCATTTTCAGCTAAAAGAACACTGCAGTCTAAATAAGTAAAGTTACTTAACTACATATGCAACTCTTACCTTCAAGTCGCAGCGTGGATTCAAACTAAAATATTAATCCAATATATTTTCTTCCTGTAGGGCCTTGAATTCCCTTTTAAAAGAGAAATATTAAGAGCATCCAACAGAAAGAGGAAACCTAAATACTGGCTCCAAATCTTTGTCCTCGTTTGGATTACTTAAACTTGCTAAGCTTTGGTTTGCTGGTCTTCAAAATGAGGCCAATATCCCTCCTTCAGGGAAGTGTTGTGAGGATTAGGTGCAATAATATTTCTAAATGATACTTAATCTCCGTGGAGCACATACGTTTTCAAGCAGTGGGCCTAACACATAGAATCTTCCTTTCTAAATACCCCTCTTTGAGGAAGAGAGGGGTTTACATTTCCATCTTATGGATGAGGAAACAAAGGCTTGTGAAGGACTAGTCAATTTCCCCCACATCCCAAAGCATCTGAAGCCAGTGGGGCTGATAGCTGCTTGCTGATGGTCATAACATTTTCCCATGTGTCTCATGTAACAGTGGCCAGGAATACCCAAAGCATTCAATGAAACAAACATCACCAGCATAAGTAACCCAACACTTGATAGTGACTTTTTAAAAGATTTCTCGCCCTTTCTGCATTAATGTTAGATACAAGAAAGTTCTGTGCCCCTGCCGTGTGAGTGTGTGTGTGTGTGTGTGTGTGTGTGTAGCAGATAAGTATGAAGCGGCAGTGAGAGAAAAGGGACACTGTTGTGACAGTTTGCCAAAATTTTCTTCTCTGCAATGCATTCTCACGTAACTACTGAGGAGGGTGAGAGGCTGTTTCAGGCGCCCCCATTTAAAGAAGTTTCTTCAAAGCAATTTTGGGGAGTCCTTCAGCTCAGGCTCTACTGCTGCATGAAGGTTATCTCTTGCCTGTCCCCAGAAAAATGAACGTGCTTAGAGACACTCTTACTTTTGCACTTCAGAGCGTACCCCTAAAGTGCAGTTTATTCAAAATCACCAGTTAACTCACAGTAATGAACCCATTTCTGCTTTGATTCCAGCAATATGGCTTTTGGAAGAAAAATAATGTTTATAAAATGAAAGATTAGTTTGCCCTTTGATGAACTGAGGCAGGGAACAAAGGGATTTTGGCACGTTATGTCTCTCTAGATTCCAGGCTGGGAAGGCTTTAAAGAGAAGAAGAGAAAGGGGGCGAACTTTCTCTACGCTTTCACCACAGAGTCCCAGTGAGTTGGCCTTCTCAAGACCTAACCTTCATTCAGTTTGTTTCTGATTGTTCATCTTTCATTCAATTGCTAAAGTTGTGGTCCAGGTACTATATAAGCCAGTATGAGTAATAAAAAGATGAATACCCATTTTTCCATGAGCTGATTATTAAGTATTTCATACCTGTACAAAAATATCACTTGTAGCCCATAAATATATCTATGTACTCACAAAATTAAAAATTAAAAAAATATATCCTTAGTCTTCACTAGCTTAAAATCTATTAAAAACAAAATTCAGATGATAATAGCTCATGTGTGTAGAATAATCACTATCTGAGAGACTAGCACACGGAGCACTTTATATGGATTATTTCACTGTATCCTCTGTAAACCCTATGAGGCAGCTACTAATGCTATCTCCATTTTGCAAGGGGAAATTGAGGAATGGAGGCCTCATTGGGTTATACCAGGAAATATCCAGCTCGGGATTGAAACCCAAGTCTGACTCCAGTGATCAAGAGATAATATTTTAGATGCCATTGAAAACACCTGAAATTCAAAGCAGCATCTGGTAAAAGTCTTTAAGAAAGTATGGAAAGTACCATGAGATCAGGGAAAGCTGACAGGCTCTAATGGTAGTGGCAGGTAGGGGAATCGAACTAAGATCAGCTTTATAGAGATCACGTTGTGCTGATACTATGTAGATACTAGGTGGTATTTTTCTTTTCATAGGAAAGGCAATGTATATTACATGACCAATGGAGAAGAAAACTAGTCTTGCCAGATATTTTTTGGTTTTTTTGAGACAAGGCCTTGCTTTTTCACCTAGGATGGAATGCAGTGGCCCGATCTCAGCTCATTGCAACTTCCACCGCCTCCCAGGTTCAAGCAGTTCTCCTGTCTCAGCCTCCCGAGTAGCTGGGAGTGCAGGCGTGCATCACCACAACCAGCTAATTTTTGTATTTTTAGTAGAGATGGAGTTTCACCATTTCTAGGGCTAGGCTGGTCTTGAACTCCTGACCTCATGTGATCCGTCCGCCTCTGCCTCCCAAAGTGCTGGGACTACAGGTGTAAGCCACCACACCCAGCCTTGCCAGAGAATTTACCCAGAGCCTGAAAGAACAGTCAAAGCCCATCTCAAATCACTTGCCCAGGTGCTCCTGGAAAGTTTCTTCCCCTCATTTTTCAGACCATCTCCTATTCTGGTGCGCAAAATCAGCATCAGTGACCTGCCTTTAACTTCCTTTGGCACTTACTTGATCCAAGAGAAGCCTGGCTGAATCTTAGGATTGAGTGAATAGAAAGCAAATTTGACCCTTCAAAATGAACTGAAAGAAAACGAGCAGAAGGCAAAGGCATCACATAATAAATGTATTTCTTTCTTCTTCTTTTTTTTCTTTTTTTGAGACGGAATCTCACTCTGTTGCCCAGGCTGGAGTGCAGTGGCGCGATTTCGGGTCATTGCAAGCTCCGCCTCCGAGGTTCAAGCCATTCTCCTGCCTCAGCCTCCCGAGTAGCTGGGACTACAGGCACGTGCACGACGTCGGCTAATTTTTTGTATTTTAATAGAGACGGGGTTTCACCATGTTAGCCAGGACGGTCTGGATCGCCTAACCTCGTGATCCGCCCGCCTCGACCTCCCAAAGTGCTGGGATTACAGGAGTGAGCCACTATGCCTGGTCTGAGAAATGCATTTCAATAATAATGTGAAAAGACAATGAGCCGCATTTATGGCAGAGGCAGTACAATGCAGAGGTTAAGAGTATGCTTGGGTTTAAATCCCCACTTTGTTTCTTTAGAGCCTTGTGACTTTGGGCAAATTGCTGAGATAAGTCATACAAAGCACTTAGAACAGAGACTGTCACTGTGTAAATGCTCAATAAATAGTAGCTGTTATTGTTATTTATTGAGCTCTTGCTACACATCAAGTACTGTTCTAATTGAATTATCTTAATATGTCCATATAACAAACTCAATGAACCAAGTACTATTATTATTCCTAGCCACTATATGGATAAGAAGGACTAGGGCATCTGCAATTGAGGTGGAATTCTAAGGAAAACACATTGCTTATACCCACCCATGAAGCTGACCACCATCTTCACCACGAGTAATATAGGAAGAAATTATAAACTTATAATGGCTTGGTTTTTAAATTGTTCTTCTTAAAAATGATGGAAACCACCTGTTATCCCAGCACTTTGGGAGGCCTAGGTGGGCGGATCATGAGGTCAAGAGATCGAGACCATCCTGGCCAACATGGTGAAACCCCATCTCTACTAAAAATACAAAAATTAACTGGGTGTGATGGTGCGTGCCTGTAGTCCCAGCTACTTGGGAGGCTGAGGCGGGAGAATCGCTTGAACCCAGGAGATGGAGGTTGCAGTGAGCCGAGATCATGCCACTGCACTCCAGTCTGGTGTCAGGGCAAGACTCTGTCTCAAAAAAAAGAAAAAAAATGTAAAAAGCCTGAAAATAACTATCTTGAACACTGATATTTGAGGACATCTTTGTCACCTTCCATTCTGAAACATTTCACAAGATGAACAGATGCAGTGAGGTGTTGGCATGACATCAGATTACAGATTCTACTCAAATTCAAGTGGGGTTTCAAAGGGTCCTATCATCATTTCCTTGAGGAAACCCACCTTCAAGGGCATATTTGACTGCTTCATAAGTCTCATCAGCCCCATGATCTATGAATCACAATGTAGTTCTAGACTAGTCTAGTCTTATTTGGTCTAGTTCCATGACTAGACAATATCCTTAATGATGAAGGATCAACACCACACCCAGACTTCACCACCCATCCTTGTCCTAAGAATAAATAGCAAACACAAGCTGCTCAGTGGGTAAAGGTAGTTAAATGGAGGAACAATAGACAGGGACTCAAACAACTCATTTGAGCTGTACATTACCACATTCTTAAAGGACTGAAGACAAATGGGAGGAAAGGAATTGGTAGCAAGAGTGTCCAGCACTGGCAAGAGAGAACAGAGAACTAAGCTGTTATACATATGTATTGACTCGTGGTGCTCAAACTGTTATGTGCATCAGCATTAACTAGAAAGCTCCCTAAAAAGGAATCCTCAGACCTTTCCCAGAGATTCTCATTTCATAGGTCTTAGGTAGAGACCCTGGATCTCCATTTTTCTCAAAAGTTCTAATGATTCTTATGCAGGACTTCTCTGGACCACACTGTGAGAAACACTGCATTAATCTGCTCAAACACCCTCACCCATGTAAGGAACACATTCTCCCAGCTCTTCAAAACTAGCTGAGAGTCACACCTTTTACAAACTTGACATGGTTAAGAATAGACGGGGGTTCCTTCGGTTTCTCATACTTCTCTGGAAAGTTTTTTCTTCGAATAAAAGTAAGGCATTTTAAACAGATTGGGAATAGACACAAGTTTCTATTCCATATTTAAAGGGTTTTGTTTGTTTGTTTTTATTCAGGTCATTCATTTCCTGCATTCATGACAACTTTCTCTCATCAATGAGCTTTAGATACCAACTTTAGTAGAGACAGAGGACTGTGAATGATCCCACACTTTTCTGCATCACTTCATAACCTAGCTCCCATCTTTGATCTGTCCCTGGAGAATCCGTCTTTCAGCTCCAAATGTAATCACTTAAGTGAAGGGCAGAACTGATGTGCAGCCATCTTAATAGCCAAGCTAAGTGAAGTAAATAGAATTGATAGATACAAATGTTCAGAAGTGTGAAGCTGATTTAGATAAAGTAGATATTTCAGTTTGAGATCTAATAAAAAGCAAAACAGCAGCCACATGGAGCCCTTTCCCATTACTCCCTGGGTCTAATCTTTATCTAAATCAATACTATAAAAGTAACAAAAGACACAAAGTTGTCTGATGCATAATTCACTTATTATGAACTCATGTAAGATGCAAATAATTGAAACAGGATTATTTATGTGATCATTAAACCCAAGGGTAATTTCAACAGATTTTTAGCCCTGGTTAATAAAAATCTTAGTTGTGGATACATATTTAGCCAGATTTCCTTCCAAATATCGTCTCCTCCAACAAATTATTCCTCATTACAGCTGACATGCTGTACTTCCTCACTGTAATAGAGTATAAATAATTGTTTATCCTATTATTTTATTGCACCAAAGAAATATAAAATGTAAAAAGCAATATACAACAATCTCCTTGACAATTATTCATGTTTATATGCTGTAGTTTAATTACTAACAATTCTAACTACTCACTTGTTATTAACTTTGATTTTAAACACAAATATTTCAAATAAAAAACCTATGATAACCAAGTTAAACTAGAATCGAATTATGAATACTAATTAAGTATATATTTTATTTGAAAAACACACAGGACACCGTTAGTAGAACCACACTGAAAAGAAAAATTATCCTCAATGCAATGGAAATGTAACCCATTAAATAATACAAAGTGGCCTCAAAGAATTAAAGATTAGCTTGTATGGATAACTGAGAGCATGCTATGTTAAGTTTATTATGAGCAGACTAAAACTCTCTTGAAGGGTCATCAAAACAAGCCAGTCAAGCCTGACCTGCTGGTTTGATAACTCAGGATGGCACCTCTCTGAACTACGGTATTGTTTCACAGTTTTCTACTGCTGCATAGCACATCATCCCAAATTGAGTGACTTAGAACAACACAAATTTATTATTTCACAGTTTCTGTGGATAAGGAGTCTGGGTACAGGTTAGCAGAGTGCTCTATTCAGGCTTAAATCAAGATGTAGGCTCGGGCTGTGATCATATCTGAAGCTCTGTGTCCTAAGATCACAGTTTGTTGAAAGGATTCACTTCCTTGTAGTTTTATGACTGAGTTCCCCTGCTTTCTTGCTAGCTGTTGGACAGGGACCACTCTCATCTCCTAGACATTGCTCTTGGTGCCGTGTTCTGTCTGCAATGTGGTAGGTTGCTCTTTCAATGCTAGCAAGAAATGTCTTCCATGCTTCAAATTTCTCTGACCTCTTTTCAGGGCTTGGCCGATTAGGTCAGGCTCACTTGGGATTGCATCCCTTTGGATTAACTCAAAGTCAACTGATTAGGAACCTTAGTTACAGCTACAAAATCTTTTCACCCATATAGGGTACCAAAATTATGGTAGCAATATCCTATCATAGTAACAAATCCAATTCACACTTGAAGGAAAGGGATTATATAGGGTGTGTACATCAGGGTCATTTTAGGTGTGCAATCGTGAGGACTATTCTAGAATTCTGCCTACCACAACAGGTTTCCACTGTAACTGCTGAGTGGCATGCTAGGTGTTCTGTGGTTGTAGGAGGCTGAAGGATATTTTTTTTTATCTCATGCATTTTTCAAACTATATCTGAGGGGAGGCTCAGCATAGAACTACTGGACATTTGGCCACTGAATGCACAGAAGCCAACAGAAAGATGTAAAGTCCTGGAGTGTAAGCTCTCTATTAACAAGTCATGGTAACAAGGAAAGGAGAATGGCCAGAAAATGCCAATGCAAAACTCTGGCTACCTAGTGTGGTTAGACTATATGTTGAATAGCTGGCTTCATCCACTGAAATATATAAGGCAGAAAGAACTATCTAGAAAAGGATAAAGAGTACCATATTTGGGACCTTAACACTGTAGCTTGGGGCTCCATTTCTTTTAGAGCAGATTCTTCTTGTATTTATAGTTTTATTTTTATTTTTCCTGCTTCCTGTTGCTCTGCTCTGGCTATGTTTCCACTACAGTTATGGCTGATCTTATGATCTATTCACTTCCTCAAGTTAGATGATAGTGAAATACTGCCTGGACACAAATCCTAACTGGATACTTCACTGGCTACACAGCTTTGGGTAAATACCATCTTTCAGTCTCAGTTACATTACCTATACAACACAGATAGTAGTAACATCTCAGAGTTGTTAAGTTGAAATACAGTTGACCCTTGAACGACATAGGTTAGAGCCCCACAGACCAACTTATACACAGACTTCTATCTCTGCCACCTCTGAGACAGCAAGACCAACTTCTCTTCCTTCTCCCTCCTCAGCCTACTCAATGTGAAGATGACGAAGATGAAAGCCTTTATGATGATCTACTTCCACTTAATAAATGGTAAGCATAGTCTCTCTTCTTTATGATTTTTTTAATTTTTTTTACTAGCTTGCTTTCTTGTAAGAATTCAGCATATAATACATATACAACGCATGTGTTAATCCACTGTTTGTAATAGATCAGGCTTCTGGTCAACAGTAGGCTATCAATACCTCAATTTTTGGACAGCTAAAAGTTATACACAGATTTTCAACTGTGGGGGGGCCAGTGCCCTTACCTCTGCATTATTTAAAGGTCAACTGCCCTTAAAATACATCAAGCTCCCAGACAGTACCAAATCGACATTAAATAAATACTATTGTTATTGACATAATTAGTACAAGGTGGGTGTTATGGTTATTTTGCTCCCAAGGTATACCCAGAATCTAGGGCCATGTCTGATTTATGGCATCCACTCAACACATGACTGTCACAATTCTGTGAAGCCTCTCTTCCCTTCTGATCTACCCACTGTATACCTTGTTGTCAAAGTGAAAGGAACATGTAATTCCCCAGCTTCGATTTTCAGTGGTATTTTGCTGGTATATTTCATTTTGCAGAATGAAATCCGAAGTCATGGCAAGGCATTCAAAACCCCTACCAACTTTCCAAGGAACTATCCATCCTCATTTCCTGACCGACTGTGTTCACACTCTGTGTTCAGGTCATGAGAAACTACTGCTGTAACCCAAATGCCAGGGTGATTCCTCCAACTGCTTCCTTTTCCTTCTGAGAAATTCTTACCCATCATTTAAGAATCAGCTTAAATCCTTCCACTTGGGTGGAGGCTTTCATGAGCCCATCTTCCAAAGACAAGATTAACCCCTTCTTCTTTCTGCTTTGTAACTATATTCAACTACTATCCTTTCAAGATTTATGAGCAGGTTGACATACTATGTCCTGTACAAAACTATGAATCCTGGGGAGGAAGGGCCATATCTGATTTATATTTCTCTCCTCAGTACTTATCCATGTGCCTGAAATATATTAGTTGATCAGTAAATGTTGCAGTAAATGAAGGAGGAATGGAAAGGAACAAAGAAAGAAAAAAATGAATGGCATGCTATCTGGAGGGTACAAGGAAGATTTAAGCCAAAAGCATAACCCTGCAACAAAAATCACCATGTCTAGAATTCAACCATTAAAGATTTAATTTTTCACATTAAGCATTTCAGGTGTCCTGAAAATAACTCAAATGGCAGAAAACTTTAATCATTAACACCATGATATAACAGATTTTCATTTGTCACCTTTGCGCATGAAAAGTGAGACCACTGGCAACCTGGGAACTTGAAGCTGGTTGGCACTAATGTGTGAAGGCTATGTTGAGAGTCAGTCTGATAGCAAGTACAGAAGCTTAACCAGCAAAATAGCTAGCTAGTTGAACTGGAAAATCCAGAGTTATTTTAAGACAATGCAGAACGTTCCAGGACAATCCAGCAAATCACCAATATGCTAAATGATGCTTCTTCCTCCTGTTTTATTTTCTATATTAACTGTTTACTGTATTGAACATTCAAATGCATTGTCTTGAAATAATTATGTACTTGCTACCACCCTACTGATTGATACAGGCTGCCAAATTATTAAACCAAGTTTACAGAAGTCAGCTTCTGTTCTGGGAATAACTGGCTCGGGGTTTTATAATATATATTCCATTTCTTTAGGTACCCAAAAATGCCCAGCATGGTATTCTCAAAGGTAACATCAGTTTGTTCTTATGAGCTGCTCTGGCCTTCACATTTCTTAGGTGGCCATTCAGGAGATACTTACAAGACGATTTAGTGTTCTTGTGGGATATAAATGCTTGCCATTAGCAAAGGGAAAACTTGGCAACTGGTATGGAGTATCAAGTATTTCAAATAGTTTTTACTATTGAGTTGGATTTTATCAAACTCTTAACTTACATGCCAACTATCCCCTTTTCATATTTTAAATCCTTAATGATTTAACATAAAGTCCATCAGCACATTTTGATTGATGAACATAGAAATCATTTTTATTAACTAATATGAAGTTGTAAAAATATGTTTACTATTCTGTGTCCAAAAACACCTTTAATAATTTCTCCATGGGTCTCCTTATTTTGAGAAAAAAAGGTAACAATTTATGGAGGAAATCAAATGAGCAAATATCTATTTAAATAAACTAAGGATTTTTCAAGGGGTTGTTAACGATAATGTTGACAACTTGGTAAATAAGCAAACACTAACTCCTATTATACATATAAGGTGACAATGTGTGACTATAAAGAATAGAAAGTGTGCATATTTATCAAGAAATCATTGAGAAGCTATATTATGGTTATAATGGTGCTGGCCTTGCAGAAACATTTTGGAGATCCTCTTTTGAGAACTGATATGGTTTGGCTGTGTCCCCACCCAAATCTCATCTTGAATTCCCACTTGTTGTGGGAGGGACCCGGTGGGAGGTAATTGAATCACAGGAGCAGGTCTTTCCCATGCTGTTCTCATGATAGTGAATAAGTCCCAGGAGATCTGATGTTTTTAAAAACAGGAGTCTTCCTGCACAAGCTCTCTAACTCTTGTCTGCTGCCATGTGAGGCGTGTCTTTCACCTTCCACCATGATTGTGAGGCCTCCCCAGCCATGTGGAGCTGTAAGTCCAATAAACCTCTTTATTTTGTAAATTGCCCAGTCTTGGGTATGTCTTTACCAGCAGTGTGAAAACAGACTAATACAGGAACTGTCTTTAAATCCGATTTATAAATCATCCTGCCCTGCCTGCTCTAGCTGACACCTGGCTGCCCTCAGACTCAAACTTTCCAAACCTCTTCAAATCACATTTTGATGATCACTGATTTACTTCTTGTAAACAGCTTTACCAAAGAGGGAGACATTTTAAAAAAGACAGGTAAAATGACACGCAAGTAACTTAGCTATTCTCATTAGCTCATGTAAAGGTTTGCTAGGGAAAAAGATTGAAATTAATGGTTAGAATAAGCCTTTTGTGTTATCATTAAATTTCAATTATGTACAATCCTTGCTTACATTACCTGGAATAATTGGAAGTTCACAGCATCATTGTGAGTCAAAGCAATCCTAATAATTAATTTCTTGCTACTCAAGGTAGAAAGAGCCTCTATAATTCTACTCTATTTGGAAAAGGTATCATAGATTCACTATTCACTTAAGCCACTGACTTTGAATGTTTGAAATGGGATTTTGAAAAGGTCATTTTTCTATATATTTTATCAGTTATTTGCTTTTATATTTTTTGAGAGTTATGCATTGTGTATATAAGTACTGTGCCACTATTGTACCACCAAATAGTGGAAGCGAAAACGACACACTACTCGTGTTTTTTTCTTTCTAAAATCCTGGGTTTTTTTGCAGTGCTTTTTGATATGTGTCTTATTAACTGCAAGTTTATACATGAACTTAGGATTCATTTGTTAAAGAGCCTGAGCATGAAGAGAAGCTTATTTTTCTCTTCATGAGTGTAATCCTGCAGTTTTACAAGGTTAGTAAAAACCCTCTTGGGTTTTTATTTTTCCTGGACATTAGAAACATGAAGAGTCTTTCAATGAGAAATTATTTGAAAGGGAATTATATTTAGGCCATAAACAAGCTGTGAAAAAAACTCAACATAATCCCTCCTGTTAAAAAGGTTGAACTCCAGAATTTTACTAAATTGATAATGGTTGTACACACCTGTGAAGAATGAGGAACAACTCTAAGCAGATGACCTATCACGACAATTTAAAGAGAGAACTTATGAAATAAGTTGGAGAAAAATGCGCTAAAATACATTCAACGAGGCGCGAATTCTAGCCTGGCACTTAGGGCCTGCTCTATCCACAGGCAAAGGAAAATGGAAAAGATAAATCTAAAGGGAGCCAAGACCTGTCTGCTTCCCAAGGTCTACCAGGCATGGCTTGATCATGCTGGCTTTGCTTACAGCTTTGATCATTTGGTTGCAATTGACAGGTACTTGGACAAATCATGTCTGCAGTCAGAATGGACTTAAGGAATAACAAATCAACAGACACATGCTATACACAGAGTGAACCTTGCCTTCAGCCTTGCTGTGAACTTATGCTGCAGTTCTTATAACTAGTTTTCCCCTTATGTCTAAATCCATAGTTTATTCCTAGTACCTGCCTCTCAATTACCCAGAATCTTTTCCTAGAAACTCTTCTAATGCTACCACCACTCTGCAGCTCTGGAGGCTGCCTTCTCCTGGACATTCCACTGTTATGTCTAGGCCCATCATATCTTGCTGAATTCCTCAGAAATTTGAATCACCTAGTAGCCTGATAAATATCTATGCACACTGGATAGTCCTCCCCTTGTGAAGGTAAACTTCTTTCTACCCATGGTCAAGACCATCCAGTATATTCTCCTGGCCACCCTACACAGATGCACACAAGACACACACACAGATCCAAACAGACATCAGTCAAAAACTTTTCCACAACAATCAGCTCACTTCCACAAAAACAGAATCCTTTAGGGTGTGTTTTTGTTTTACAAAACTGGTCGTGTCCCACTAATGGATAGCAAAATCAACTTGATGAGTTCATGATTAGCAGTATGGAATAGAAAAGAAAAAGAAAAAAGAATAGGATAGAACTGGTGAGTGTTTTGCAAATAGAAAAGGCATTATTTTGTGAAATCCTTTTCAGTTATATTTATTTGTGTTTTTCTATATGTTCCTGGTTATGATAAAAAATGCACTTCTTACTGTAGTTCATCATCAGGAAAGTTTTCTAAACCATGTATTAGAGCATTTGGAGAGAAAAGCATCATTTCTACAGTTAACCTTATTGAAATTGTAAATTTGTGATCTGAAACAGATTACACATTAAACCAGTACTTCATTACAGACACAACAACAAACACAATTTCATCTGATAAGCAAGTTATCTTCAAGGAAGCAGATAAGCAGAGTTTGGAGGGAACAGGCATCTAAATAATTACATTTTGATGGCACAATGAGGAAATAATCTCTGTGATTGAATGGTTTACCAATTTAGGTGCTCTGGCCTGAAGGTGCCTGGCTAAGCAGGGGCTAGCATACTCGGGCACTGGGAAACTTGAAAGAGTGAGTCAAGGAAACTATAGAGAAGGGCTTGGCATAGGTGAGCTCCAAGTGTATAATCATTCTATTGCTAACAAATTGTGTTGGGTAGAACTGGTTAAGAACAATGATGGTGAGATCTTATATGTGTTTATGTGTTAGCATTTTTTAAAGGATTTTTCTACCTACTATATTGTTTTAGTGAGGCATCTTAGATGCAAAATGTAAGGTGATGCTCATTCTCAGGATTTGCAATTACCCTGTGAGCTTTGCTTGCCTGGCCCCAGTCTAGGTCCTGTACATGAGATATGACAGTATTGATTCCTAGGCCGGAAGCGGTGGCTCATGCCTGTAATCTCAGCACTTTGGGAGACCAAGGCGGGTGGATCACTTGAGGCCAGGAATTTCAGACCAGCCTGGCCAACATGGCGAAGCCCCATCTCTACTAAAAAGACAAAAATTAGCTGGGCATGGTGGTACGTGCCTGTAATCCCAGCTACTCTGAAGGCTGAGGCAGGAAAATTGCTTAAACCCGAGAGGTTGCAACAAACTGAGATGGTGCCACTGTACTCAAGCCTGGGCAATAGAGCAAGAATCTGTCTTAAAAAAAAAAAAAAAAAAGAGGAAAGTTAGTCCTACAGAATTTTAGCTGAAAGGTCATGAATTGTGGTAAATCTGAGTTTAAACCTTTGGCCTCCTGAGTTCTGGAAAAAATGCATTTTTTAATCTACTTCAAAAGACCTCAGTAAGAACTTATTCTGCATACATTTGCAAAGTAATGAACTGGCAAGATAAAGAGCCATACTATGGTTATTTGTTATGAAATGTTTGTTCAGAATGAAAGAATGGCAAAATGCAGCCAGCAAGGTTTCAGCCTTGAATCCTGCATTTAGTTTGAGGCACTTCCATTCCAGAAAGACAAAGACAAATTAAAAACCATTTAGAGAATGATAAAAAGATGAGTAGGGAAAAGAAAGGTTTGATTTATGAGGCTAGATTAAAGGAGATAAATGCCTATTATGTGGCTAAGTGACAACCAGGGAAGATAAGAATCTACAGATATTGGGAAGATGTAAATATAGGTAATAGAGAAGACATCTAAGTGTTCTACAAGATAGAACTAGTAAGAAAAACGGAATAAAATATTAAATGGGTAGACAATACGAAGAAGGCTTTTGGCAAAAGGATTAAGTGGGTAGCAATACAACATGGAAGATGGAGGGGTAGGAGGAGGAAGAGGGAGAAGAAGGGAGAATAAAAGAACAGGAGTATGAGGAAGAAGAAAATGAAGGAAGAAACAAGGAAGGAGGAAGGGAAGGAAGAATGTGAAGAGAGAGAAGGAAGGAGAGAAGGAAGGCAGGAGGGAGGCAGTGGGAGAAGTGGGGAAGGAGGGAAGGAAGGAAAGAAGGGAGGGAGGGAGAGAGGAAGGAAGGAGGGAGGGAGAAGAGGAGGGAAGGAGAAAAAGAAGAAGGGAAGGAAGGAAAGGAAGGAAGGAGAAAGGAAAAAGCAAGGAAGGAAGAAAGGAAGGAGGGAGGAAGGGACAGAGGGAAGGAAGGAAGGAAAAAGGTGGGAAGGAGGGAGGGAGGGAGAGAGAAAAGGAGGGAAAGAGAAATGGTGGAAGGGAAGGAAGAGAAGGAAAAAAGGAAGGAAGGAGGGAGGGAGGGACAGAGGCAGGGGAGGAAGGAAGGAAGAAAGGAAGGAAAGGAGGGAGGGAGGAAGAAAAGGAGGGAAGGAGAAAAAGAGGAAGGGAAGGAAGAAAGGAAGAAGGAAGGAAGGAGGGAGGGAGGGACAGAAGGAAGGAAGGAAGGAAGGAAGGAAGGAAGGAAGGAAATGAGGGACTATGTTTTGTCCCACTGTATTTAACAGAAAATATAAGAAATAGATTTCTGGCAGTTCTAAGGCAGAATGAACATCTTTCCAGAAACCTGAGCCAGCTGAGGAGATGGTATCAACAACCAACCTCAGGGGAGGAGGCCACAACTAAATCAGAAGGAGACAGTAATGAGGAGCTGAAGTGGGCTTGCAAAGCCATTACTCCTATTAAGTCCAGGGCTTGTGCACAGGCTACCTGCCAACTTTTGGCTAGCCTATAACACATAACAGTTACTGTAATTGAAACTGAATTATAATACCATCCTGGCACACATTCTCCCCTAAAAATACAACACATAATAATGCTGTTAAAATAAGGACATCTGGAAAACAATCTAGAGTCCCATTGTTTGTAGCTGGCACCGGCCTTCTAAAGGAGTCCTTCCTGCTTCGTTCTTCTACTGTATAAATGGTGACATGGTGAAAAGGGACACTTCATTTAAGTGAATCCGAAGTTTAATGTTTGTTGAGAAGCAACTAGATGCCAAACACTATACCACTCCTGTTTTTGTTAAATAACCATCTATGTGATTCAGATTCATATCCCTGTCACAAGATTAAAAATCTGGTGTCAAAGAAGTTAAGTAATACATTCTAAATCACTTAAAAGATAAGAGAAATAACCAGAAATAGAATTCTAGACTGCTTGTCCTTGTCCTCAAAATATTTCCATTATATCTAACAGCAATTTGCCCAAGGCATAACATTTAGTAAATGTTCAATTAATATGTGCATAATTGATAATTGTGCAGAATTGAATTAAAGGGAATTGATGGTATAACTGAAATCTAAAAAGAATCCCTAATGACTTCTGGTGATGAATTGATGAAGTGTTGCCAAATTTTCATCAAATGTTGAAGTATGTATGAGTCAATTATGGCCACACTGAAAAATGGCATCTCTTTTGTAAGTATATATATATATATATATGTATATATATATGGAATACATGAGATATGTATGCAGGCATGTGGTGTGTAATAATCAAATGAGATATCTCTAACCTCAAGCTTTTATCCTTTCTTTGTGTTACATACAATTCAATTATGCTCTTAGTCATTTCAAATGTACAAATTAGTGTTGACTGTAGCCACCCTGTTGTGCTATCAAATACTAGACCTTACTCACTTTATAGAATGATATTATTGTATCTATTAACCATCCCCATTCTCCCAGCCCCAGTACCCTTCTTGGACTCTTGTAACCATTATTCTACTCTGTATCTTCATGAGTTAAATTGTTTTAATTTTTAACTCCCACAATTAAGTGTGAACATGCGAAGTTTGTCTTTCTGTGCCTGGCTTATTTCACTTAACATAATTACCTCCAGTGTCATCCATATTGTTGCAAATGAGAGGATCTCAATCATTTTTATGGCTGAGTAGTACTCCATTGTGTTAATGTACTACATTTCCTTTATCCATTTGTTTTTGATAGACACATAAGTAGCTTCCGTATCTTGGATATTGTGAATAGTGCTGCGAAAAATATGGGAGCGCAGATATCTCTTTGATATACTATTATAACTTCCTTTCCTAGCAGTGGAATTTATGGATCAAATGAGTTTTAGTTTTTTTGAGGAATCATCAAACTGTTCTCCATAGGGGTTGTACTAATTTACGTTCCTACCAATAGTGTACTAGTGTTCCCTTTTCTCCATATCCTTGCCAGCATTTGTTACTGAATGTCTTTTAGATAAAAACCATTTTAACTGGGGTGAGAAAATATCTCATTGTAGTTTTGATTTGCATTTCTCTAATGACCAGTGATGTTGAGCACTTTTCATATATCTGTTTGGCAACTATACCTTTTCTTTTGAGAAATATCTACTCAAATCTTTTGCCCACTTTTAAGGTGTATTATCAGATTTTTTTCCTATGGAGTTGTTTTGAGTTCCTTATATATTCTGGTTATTAATCCTTTGTCTGATGCAGTTTGTACTTACTTTTCCCCATTCTGTAGAAGTTTCTTCACCTGGTTGACTGTTTTCTTTGCTGTGCAGAAATATTTTAATTTGATATGATTCCTTTTGTCCATTTTTGCTTTGGTTGCCTGTGTTTGTGGTATATTCCACAAGAAATCTTTGCCTATTCTAATGTCCTGGGGAATTTTCTCAACATTTTCTGTTAGTAGTTTCAAAGTTTGAAGTCTCAGATTTAAGTATTTAATCCATTTTTATTTGATTGTTGTATATTGTGTAAGATAGAGGTCTAGTTCCATTCTTCTGCATATGGATATCCAGCTTTCCCAGCACCATTTATGGAAAAGGCTCTCCTTTCATCAATGTATGTTCTTGGCCCCTTTGTCAAAAAATGAGTTGAGTGTAGATGTAAGAATTTGTTTCTGGGTTGTCTATTCTGTTCCATTGCTCTATCTGTCTGTTTTTATGCCAGTGCCTTACTGTTTTTATTACTATAGCTCTGAAACATAATTTAAAGTCAGGTAATGTGATTCCTCCAGTTTTGTTTTGTTTTTTTCTTTTACTCAGGATTGCTTTGGCTTTTCTGGGTCTTTTGTGGTTCCACATAAATTTTAGGACAGTTTTTTCTATGTCTGTGAAGACTGCCATTGGTTATTTTGATAGGAATTGCATCAAATCCATGGATTGCTTTAGGTAGTATGGACATTTTAATAATATTGTTTTTTCAATCTATGAACATGGAATATATTTCCATTTTTTATGTTCTTTTCAATTTCTTGCATCAGTGTTTTATGGTTTTCATTGTAGAGATCTTTCACTTCCTTGGTTAATTCCTAGGTATTTGATTTTATTTGCAACTATTATAAATGGGATTATTTTCTGGATTTATTTTTCAGATTGCTCACTGTTGACATATAGAAATACTATGGATTTTTATATTGACTTTGTATCCTGCAACTCACATAATATGAGTTTGGAAGTATTCCCTCCTCCTAATTTTTCAGAATAGTTTGAGTAGGACTGGTGTTAATTCTTCTTTAAATGTTTGATAGAGTTCAGCAGCGAAGCCAGTGGGTCCTGGGTTTTTTTCTTGGATATTTTTTATTACATCTTTGATCTTGGTACTTGTAATTGGCCTGCTAAGGTTTTGGGTTTCTTTGTGGTTCAATCTAGTAGGATGTATGTGTCTGTGAACTTACCTACTTATTTTAGGTTTTCCAATTTATTGGTATATAGTTGCTCATAGTAGCCTCTAGTCATCCTTTGAATTTCTGAATCATCAGTTATAATGACTCATTTTTCATCTCTGATTTTATTTATTTGGTTTTCTCTCTTTTTTGCTTCATTAGTCTGTCTAAAGTTCTGTCAATTTTATTTATCTTTTCAAGATACAAACTTTATGTTTCATTGATCTTTTTTACTGTTTTCTTTGTTTTCTTTTCATTTATTTCTGCTCTGATCTTTATTACTTCTTCTACTAACTTTGGGTTTGGTTTGCTCTTGCTCTTCTAGCTCTTTAAGATGCTTTGCTGGATTGTTTATTTGAAATTTTTCTACTTTCTTGATGTGGGCACTTACGGCCATAAATTTTCCTCTTAAGACTCCTTTTGCTATATCTCATAGGTTTTTACATGTTGTGTTTTCACTATCATTTGTTTCAAGAAATTTCTTAAATTTCCTTCTTAATTTCTTTATTGACACACTTGTCATTCAGAAGCCTGTTGTTTAATTTCTATGTGTTTGTATAGTTTTCAAAATTCCTCTTGTTACTGATTTTTAGTTTTATTCTATTGTGGTCAAAGATGATACTTGATATAATTTCAATTGTTTTGAATTTTTACAGACGTGTTTGTGGCCTAACATATTGTCTATCCTTGAGAATCCATGTGCTTAGAAGAATAATGTGTATTCTGCAGCTGGTAGAGATAATGTTCTGTAAATATCTAAGGTTCATTTAGTCTATGGCAGATTAAGTTTGATGTTTCTTTGTTGATTTTCTGTCTAGATGATCAGTTCAATGTTAAAAGTGAGTGTTGAAGTCTCCAGCTATTACATTATTGTATTGGGGTATATCTGCCATTTTAGCTCTAATAACAGTTGCTTTATACATCTGGGTGCTCTAGAGTTGGATATACATATATATATATATATACATATACGCACACATATTTGTTATACCCCCTTGCTGAATTGATCTCTTTATCTCTTCTTTGTTCTTTTTATAGTTTTTGTCTTGAAATCTATTTTGTCTAACTGTAGCCAATCCTGCTGTTTTTTGGTTTCCATTTGCATAAAACATCTTTTTTCGTACCTTTTTTTTTCAGTCTATATGTATCTTTACAGGTGAAGTGTGTATCTTTACAGGTGAAATGTGTATCTTGTAGACAACAGATCATTGGGTCTTGTTTTTTTGTTTATTTTATTTTTTTTAATTCAGTCGTCTACTCTGTCTTTTGATTGGATAATTTAATCCATTTACATTCAAGGTTATCATTGATAAATAGAGACTTACCCCTGCCATTTTGTTATGTGTTTTCTGGTTGTTTTTTCGGTTTTCTCTTCCTTTTTTCCTTCCTTTCTGTCTTCCTTTTAGTGAAGGTGTTTTTCTCTGGTGGTATGTTTTAATTTCTTGCTTTTAATTTTTTGTGTGTCTGTTGTAAGTTTTTTGATTTGAGGTTACTATGAGACTTGCAAATAATACCTTATAACCTATTATTTTAAACTGTTGTTAACACTGATTGCATAAGCAAACAAACAAGCAAAGAGAAAATAAAAGTTATGCATTTTAATTCCTCCTCTTTTTAAACTTTTTGTTGTTTCTGTTTATATCTTATTATTGTATTGTGTCTTAAAAAGTTGCTGCAGTTATATTATTTGATAGACTTATCCTTTAGTGCTTTTACTCAATATATGAGTAGTTTACACATGACGATTACAGTGATATAATATTCTGTGTTCTTAATATGTTTTTCTGTGTGCTTACTATTACCAGTGACTTTGTAACTTCATATGATATTTTCTCATTAACATACTTTTCTTTCAGATTGAAGAACTCCCTTTAGCCTTTCTTATAGGACATATGTGGTGTTGATAACATTCCTCAGCTTTTGTTTTTCTGGGAAGGTCTCTATTTTTCCTTCATGATTGAAATGTATTTTCACCAGATTTGCTATTCTAGGATAAATTTCCTTCAGCACTTTAAACATGTCATGCCAATCTCTCCTGTCTTTTAAGATTTCCACTGAGAAGTCTGATGCCATACATATTGGAGACCTATTGTATGTTATTTGTTTCTGTTTTCTTGCTGCTTTTAGGATCCTTCCTTTATCCTTGACCTTTGGGAGTTTGATTATTAAATGTTTTGAAGTAGTGTTATTTGAGGTAATTCTGCTTGATGTTCTATAAGCTTCTTGTACTTGAATAATATCTTTTTCTAGTTTGGGAAGTTCTCTGTTATTATCCATTTGAATCAAATTTCTACCCGTAGCTCTCTCTCTATATCTCCTCTTCAAGGCCAATAACTCAGATTTGCCCTTTTGAGGCTATTTTCCAGATCACGTAGGCATCCTTTGTTCTTTTTTAATTCTTTCTGATGTTTTTGTCCTATGACTGAATATTTTCAAATAGTCTGTCTTCAAGCTCACTAATTCTTTCTTCTGCTTGATCAATTCTGCTGTTAAGAAAGTCTGATGCATTCTTTAGTATGTCAATTGCATTTTTCAACTCAAGAATTTCTGCTTGATTCTAGTTAATTATTTCAATATATTTGTTAAATTTATCTAATAGATTTCTGAATTCCTTCTCTGGGTTATCTTGAATTAAGTTGTGTTTCCTCAAGACAGCTATTTTGAAATTGTCATCTGAAAAGACACATAACTCTCTCTTTCCAGGATTGGTAACTGGTGCCTTATTTAGTTCGTTTAGTGAAGTCATGTTTTCTTTTATGGTCTTGATTCTTATGGGTATTCATTGCTGTCTGGGCATTCAACAGTTAGGTATTTATTGTAGTCTTTGTGGTTGGCTTGTTTGTACCTGTCCTTCAGGGAAAGGATTTCAAGGTATTCAAAGAGACCTTGGTGTTGTGATCTAAATTTTTGGTCACTGCAGCCACATCTGCATTAGAGGGCATCCCAAGTCCAGTAATGCTATGGCTCTTGCAGATTCATGGAGATACTGCCTTGGTGGTCTCAGATAATTTCTGGAAGAATTCTCTGGATTACCAGGCAGAGGCTCTTCTTCTCTTCCCTCAACTTTCTCTGAAACAAACAGAGTCACTCTTTGTGTGCTGAGGTGCCTGGAGCTGGGGGTGGAGTGACACAAGCACCTCTGTGGCTACCACCAGTTGGACTGTACTGAGTCAGACCCAAAGACAGTACAGCACTGGTGCCTTATTTACTTTGCCCAAGGCCCACAGTAACCACTGCCTGGCTACCTGCCTGTGTTCACTCATTTCTTTAGGGCGCCACCATCAGCCTGTGGCAAATCCAGCCAGGCTTATTTCCTTCCCTTCAGGGCGGCAAGTTCCACTGGTCCCAGACAGGTCCAGAGATGACATCCAGGAGCCAGGGCCTGGAGTCAGAAACTTCAGGAATCTACCTGGTGTTCTATTCTACTGTGACTGAGCTGGCACTCAAGCCACAAAACAAAGCCCTTCCTACTCTTCTCTGTCCTTTCCACAAACAGAGGAGTCTCTTCCCTAGGCCCCAGGCCAATGGTGAGTACCACCTGGCTACCCCAGGTGTTCACTCAAGGCCCCAGGCTACTTCAGTCACCTTGTGGTAAATGCTGCTGGGCCATGACTCTCCATTCAGGGCAGTGGGCTCTAGCCCAGTGCATGTTCAGAAATGAAAAAACTGCATTTCTTGAGAGCAAAGTATCTTTGCCTTCTTTGGTATTTAAGTTATCACAAGTATATACTAGGCTTCCTCAGTCTTGCAAAAGCAAAAAATAAACCTAACATCTGAATAATTTCAATAAGTGCTAAGTCTGTGTAAAACAATGCATGCACATAATAATGACTTTATGCCTTCTACGATTGTATGCTGACTGATAAATAATACTGACAACTAATATACAACATTTAATTATCTACAATATTAAAAAATACTGTTTTATATACTTCCAAGAGGATACGGAAAAACATACACAGTTTCCATACTTATTGAACTTATGACTGTACTGGCAGGCAGGATATGAATGCATGAAAATATAAAAATAATCAAGTTTTAAATACCTATTTGAGATTTTCTTTTCAATAGATTTTACTCTACTAATATTTATGGAATACTTACTACACATCAGAGCTTGTGTTAGGTATCAGTATACAAGAAATAATACAATGAGGTTATTTCTTTCAAGAACTCCACCATCTAGAAGGGGAGGAAAACTTTCAAACACACAGTTCCAAAACATCATCAGCAGTACAGAGAACGGTATATGGTGCTATGGAATTCAGATAAGGAAAGCCTTAATTCTGCTGACAGTGGGTCTGAAGGTTTATCAAGGAAGGCTTCCCAAAGGAGGCGAGACTCACATTAGGTCTTGAAGAATGAGAGTTTCCCAGGCCAAAAAGAAAGAGCACTCCAAGAAGAGGGGATATTACATACAATACCATGCAGGTAGAAAGATTATCGAAGAGGGTGACAGACTGGGATAATTATGATAAGCATTGTTAGCCTAATTACTGTTATTCAATGGGGAAGATGATATAAAAACAACCTAAAAATGTCAATTTTACATTTTTTCAGGTCTACCAGCTTGTCAGTATAAATTGAGATGAGCTCAAGGCCTCCTTAAGTAGAATCTTAACATGGCAACTAACATATTAACAGGTTTCCCGTTCATTACCGTAGGATAATTCATTAAAAAACAATGTATTCAGACTTCATAAGCAAAAGCATACCTTCCTCTTTAGTCTAGTATATCTAATTATATGAGGACTGCTATTAACATTAAATAAATCATCTAATAGATAATTTAAATGTGCAGTAGTGTTCAAAAGCAAGTCTACTTTTTCAAAAGTAATCATAATTGCAGCAGAGGCATCACGAAATATTTGATTAGTACAACGCTAAGGAGTGAGAATCATTTCTTACAAATGTACAATTAAAGAAGTTGTCAATTATAGCATAAATTGATCAGCATGTATATGATACAAAAACATGTTAACCCGAATAAGTTTAGACTATCAGAACTACTGTTGTGAAATATTCCTTTGAAGCATTGACTGTAAAGAACACAGTGGAATCAAAGTTATAAGAGCTATAGATAATAACATTTATAGTTACAGAATTCTGATTATATGAATTCCATGAATTAAACGTTGCACCATCCACTTTCATACAAAAACAAACTGGATAAATGAGTGATGACATTCATTTTGCCAGTTTACAAGGTACAGAAAAGCTTTGTGTATTAATTCTGTCAATGAGAAAATAATAAATAATTTTGTATTTAATCCTATTTGAATTTAATTGAAACCCTATAGAGCATTCCGCATGAATGGTTTTCAACAAAAAAGTGATGTCCTTAAAGAATAAGGAGCTTAACTTCCTCTTCAAACATAAGAAGCAGTGCCATTGAACTTGCTTACTCTTACCTCAAGTGAATGATTACCTCTTGCAAATGAATTTTAGCAGAATTTTCCAACTCCAGCCTCAGTTGTTTCTTTTTGCTATTTGTTTTGTTGCTTTTTGAAATAAAGCTTCTCTTCCTTGTGCTTTGCCCATCACTTGTGGCAGGAATCAATGGTACCCTAAAGATACCGACTCATTGGTGCAGAAAGCTAAAACCTGCCCCTTTAAAGCCCAACCTGGATCAGGACCGAAATTAAATAGGATTAACTCCTAATTTGTTCCTGTGTCCTACTCTTCTATTGACTGTTTCCCAGTCCCTAATAGTTGTCCTTGTTCATGTGTAAGACACTGTGTCCTCTTCTTCCTTAGTTAATTGAGTCTTTCGTTTTGACTTTCTATTCTCAACTTTGACTATTTTTTTTTGCTCTGTGGGCTAAAACTAATATGCAGATACAGTTTTCCCTTCCTGATCTCAATAGTTCATAGTTTCTATTGAGCAGCTTATACTACATGTCACTTCAGAGCAATTTCCTTTAATGCTTTTATGAAATTTCCCTCAAGATGCTTTTTAAAATTTATTTTGTGTCTTCCTTCCCTTCCTTTCTTCCCTTGTTCTCCCTCTCTCTCAATCCTTGCAAACACATAAACACATATACTTTTACTACATTATCATGTTCCTGTTGATATTGTCTCTAGGAATTTCATATGCAAGTATATATTTTGTATCTCATTTTGACAACATGAAATCTATGCACAAGGAGTCATCTATTTCCTTTGCCCAGAAGCTGGGGCCCAGTAAATTGTATTGAGTAAGCAAAATTGTTTGGCTCATTTATTCACTAGTTTGCTCATTCATTCAACAGATATTTATTAAGTGTTTGATATGTGTCAGGTCTTATACTAAGTGCTGAATTCAATAATCAATATCGTCACAAGAAATATTGCCTTACATATGTCCTTTTTATGGAACATTCTCTTCTACCTTGTTTTTCTAGCAATTTCTGCTCATCTATCATGATTCAACTTAAATACTAGGTTTTCCATGAAATGTCTTCTAATCTTTAGACGTTTATCAGTTTCTTGTCTTTGCTGTCATCCTAGAATATGGGATGTTTCATATTTCACAGTAATTATAAATTCACATGTCTGTTTCCTCCCAATTAGACTCACTTTGTGGGAAGAGACATGATCTCTTCCCCAGTACTTGTAACAATGCATGGCACATAGTAGGTCCTTAGTCATTTGTATACATGATAATAAGAGCATCTATGTGTACAAAATTTAGTAGAAAGTCAACATCCAGCAGTTTAATAGCATTATTCATAATCAATCCCAAAACAAGTGATTCCAAGGATCTATAAAATTTTAAAAGCTAGTGTTAATCCAGACAAGTTTATTTACATAAAATGGAATCAGAAGCAGCAAACTTGATTGCCCCGTCCTCTAGAATATAACCTATTCAGAAGCCCATTGGAACTTTATATTAACCCCTCTGTTGGGACCAGATAGATACTATAAGCTAATTAATATGGTATATTATACGGAAATTAACCCAAGGATTCTGATTTTTTTTTATTGTTAGAAGAATGAAACATCCCCAACAATTTGCCTATGCCCATTACTATTTTTATGGTGATGACTCCAGATTTACACCTCCAACAGCATTCCAAGTCTCTTATCCATCTCAATGGATAAGACATGGGACCAGTTATGTCCCATGGAATAACTCAGAGATATTGTAAACATTATCTGTTTAAAAGAGAACTGTCAATTCTACCTTCAAACCTCCCTTCAATCCCCTCTCTGTAAATGGCACTGTCCAACATCTCAAGTCAGAAACACAGGCACAGCAACCCTGACTTGGTCTTGATTCCACTTTTTCTATCTCCACTCTCATCCAATCCTTAACAAGCCCTGCTGTCTTCATCCCAAATAGATTAAACCCTTCTCTCCATTTCCTGTAATGTATTACATCAGTGGAGAGTCCCATTTCTTCCTGTGTTTAGTACTGAAACAACTTCATATCTGTCCTCCTTGTTTCTGATCCTGCTGTTTCCAATTCAAAGCGTTTCTTAAAATGTGTACTATATCATACTGTTCCTCAAAACAATCCAGTGACTTCCAATTTTATTTAGAATAAAATTTCAAATTCTTTTTATGGTTTATCAAGTATTACCTGCCTCTCTAATTGTTCTTACAATGTTTCAGCTTCAATTATTTTCTTTGAACTCCTGTAATACACCAAGGTCTTTACCAGCTCGGAGCCTTTGCACAAGCTGTTCTTTCTTCCTGAAATGCTGTTTCCCTGAAGTCCTTTCATTATTGGTTCTTTCTTAGCATTTGGACCTCTGTTCATATTATCTGGTCATGCTCTTGAAATAGATGTCCCTTCAATCCCACAGAAACATGTAATTTTTCCATTTTTGATAATTTGATTGCTTCTTAATTCTCAACAGAATTGGTGATTTTGCTTTAATAATACTTGTCTTTATTCATGTCTTACTTGTTTTCCCTCCTAGAGTATAAATTTTTTTTAGGCAAGTACTCTGCCTCCCTTGTAAGTCTTTTTACCCCCAGGGACCAGTATGGAGTAAAGCATCTAAAAAAATGTGTGTTGACAAGCAAATGTGATAAAATAAAATAACCTAAAATTAAAAAAAAATCAGTAAGCCTTAATTGAACAACTACTTTCTGCACACAGATATATATCTATAAATTCATAGACCTTTAATATTCACAATAGCACTGTAAGGTACGTTGTATCATTCTCATTTAATTAATGTGAAAAGCAAGTTTCTCAAAGTGTTAGTACAACTTTTGGATTTTAATGTAAGTTCCTGAATCTAATCCCAGTCTTTTGTATTTTTTCGTTCTATACTCCCAAAGCCATAATTTAATTTAAATATAGTTTTTACCTCTTGCTGACATTTAACCATTAAATTTTTTTCCACCAGTTAAATTAAAAAGAAAAAAAAAGTCCATGGCAATACATACTGGCATTCTGTCTTTGAAAACAACCAAAAAAAAATCAATAAAAATCTTCTACATAAACCTGCCGTAATAAATTAAAGATGTGTTAAAAGGAAAGAATGGATGCTTCTGTTGATAAGGATCATGGCCAGTGGCCAAAAGGCAATCTTCTGCTGTTCTTTAATAACTCGGTGCAAAAACTTCGGAAATTTTTATACCACTACTCTATCATAGCACTTTAGTAATAGATTACAGGAAGTAATAAGCATGTTATTTTCCTAAGTGTGCTAAATTGTGAAACAAAGAGTTCTTCATCCAAGTGCCTACTGTCTGTTGCAAAGCCAGTTTAAGAAACCAGCTACAAAAACTCATCTTTTTTTTTAAATCCAATAATCATTCATAGAACACCTAACTGGCAGGCAGTGGCATGGTGGTTGAGAGTTAAAGCTCAGAAATCAAGGGTTCAAGTCTCTCCTCCACTCTGTGCCAGCTGTATGACACTGAATAAATTATTCCTTTTTCTCATTATTAAAATAGAGTTAATAATAATGTCTATCTGATAGGGTCATGGGGGGAATAAAAGGGTGAAATGATTAAAATGCCCACTATGTACTAAGATCTCCAAAAAAATAATGTTAACTTTGGCTTCAGAATGATGTGTTCTGAGGGGCATAAGTTTATGATACTCTGGGTGTTGAGAATATAAGTATTATGGAAGGGAGAGCAAGGTACCCGGCAGAGTGAATGGAGTTAAATAACCTTAAGGTCTTTTAGGAACAAGCTATTCCCTTACCATTTTTTAAAATAGCTTTTTTTGAGGTACAATTTGCACATCATAAAATTTACCCACTTAAGTGTACAACTGAATGATTTTTAGGAAATTTACAGGGTTATATAACCATCACCAAAATCTAACATCAGAATGTTTTCATTGCCTCAAAAAGATTCCTCATGCTTACTTACAGTAACAGCCGTTCACACCCCCACCCCAGGCAAACACTAGTCTACATTCTGTCTCTGTAGATTTGCCTCTTCTGGATATTTTATATAAAATGTATTATACAGTATGTGATCTTTTGTGTGTGACTTCTTTCAGATCATATAATGTGAAAGTCCAACTCTGTGGTAGCATGTCTCAGTTTGCTTCTATTGCTACATCATGTTCCATTCTGTCAATATAATACATTGTTTTGATCAATCACCAGTTGACAGACTCTGGAGTTGTTTCTAGATTTTGACTTCGACAAATCATGCTAGTAGAAACATTTGTATACAAGTCTTTTTCTACACCTGTGTTTTCATTTCTCTTCAGTACATTCCCAGGAGCTCTCCTTTTCCATTTTATAGGAAAGCTCTGCCCCTGAAAGACCCCAGTGCAACTTGTTGGAAGTGGGTAGAGTTCTAATTCCAACTCACCAGTAACTACTGAGTAGTCAGCTCACACAATTTAGTAGGAAAAAAAAATACACATCAGTTCTTGTCTCTGCCCTTTTTCCCCTAAATCCCCTTGTGACTTTGGAAGATAACTGGACCTCATAGCATCTCGGCATCTTAACTTGTGAACCAACGGCTGCAACTAGATGTTCTCTGAACTCTTTTACCTTAAAAAACTTATAATGCTCTTAGTAACTAAAATTTTATAAAGAAATCCAGAAAGCACAATCAATGGATTATCTCCCTTGCCCCTGAAATTTTCTGGGCATAGCCAGCACATAGCACAGTCACAAAAAAATATGATACCGAAAGCATTTGAATATTGTCTATTGCATGCAGAATCCAGGATTTACCAGTTGCCACCTTACACGTGCCTGTTTTGCTCTTAAAATTCTTGCATATCACTGTATTTATCTGTCCACATTTTGCTAAGGCAGTTATTTTGTTCAGAGTTAAGTGGGCATAAAACAAACATTAGTACAAGAAAATAGGTGGATTGTTTTAATAAACATTTAAAAAGTATAAATCCAAGTAACTACTGTTACCTCCAAAATAGTCACCTCACTGGATTTACATTTCTTTATTCTGATATCACTCAGAGTATACTTGGATATTTCCCTTTGGAACTGCCCTCCAAACTAGTGGTATAGCCAGTTTCTAAAATTAATTTTCAAACCTTATTATGAAATGTTTAGCTTGTAGAAAGAAGTATAAAGAATAATACAACAAGCATGCATGTACCAATCACAAAGCTTTAAAATAATTGATTACCGATGCTCTGGGGTCTATTAGTACCCTCTCTACTTTCTCTGTCCTTATCTCCAATAATTTCTGCACTTAAGCATGACTGTCCTCACACATATATTTATATTTTTTTGCATGTGGATGTTACCCTATGTAATATATGATATTGCTTTCCTAGTTTGAATATTTATATAAATCGTATCAAAATGGTATCAAACTATATGTATTATTTATCAGTTTGCTGGATTCACTCAATATCATGTTTGGTGAATTTATTTACATTGATACGTGAGTTCTAATTCGATATTCACCTTGTATAACATTAAATTTTTAATAAACCACAATTATTTATCCTATTTCCTATTGATATATATTTAGATGATATCTAGTATTTTGCTACCACAAACACTTTAGCTGTAAACATTCTTGTATCTATCTTCTCTGTGTACTTACTGAGGGGTTCCCTAGAGTTACCTTTACCTAGAGTTTCATTACCTAGGAATGAAATTTCCAGATACTGAGAAATGAACACCTTCATTTTTACTAATTACTACTGCATTTTCTCCAAACTACACCCATTTTTATTCTATTCATCAAGGTATAAAGCTCCCATTTGTGCACATCTCCCCAAAACTCAGTACTGTTAGACATTTTAATTTTCCCAGTTGCCAATTTGATTCTTAAATATCAAATTTAACCAACAATACATGACTATGTCCTCTGAATATACCTCTGTGCTTGGTTCTGTGTGGAATGCAAAACATGATATAGTGGCAGTACTACTGAAATTGGAGGAACCAAAAATTGAGCCCTCACTCCTGCCGTCTGTGAAAACCTGAGCAAGTTGTTTAACCTCTTCAAGTCTCAGTTTCTTCATCTGTAATATGAAGGGATGGACAGGAAAAATTTTCAAGCTCCTTTCACCTTCCGTCCTACTTGACTTTATGATGCTCTCTGGGAGCTTATAAGACTGGAGGAGATGCAAAACACACATACGCAACTTTAACAGCACACCTAAATATACGTGTAGAAGGTACTGGGAGAACACAGCACACAGGATCTAAATAGGGGTGAGGAAGAAACTAGAAAGGTTTCACCAAGCAGATTGAATGAGATTCACCAAGATGGTATGGATGGAATGGAGGAAAGACATTTAAGGAGAGGAAAGAGCATGGCAGGTGGGGTCGTAAAAGAAGACAGTGAAGGGAGAGGGGCAAGGATAGGGAAAGGGGCAAGGATATGGAGAGAGGCAAGGATAGGGAGAAGGGTGTGGCTGGAGCAAAAGGTGTTTAGGTACATGCTGGGAAGCGGAGAAGATGAGGCCAGTTATATTGTGATTTTTATTATGTCAAACTGTAATAAATCTTCATTATGTTATCGATAACTTGATTTTTAAACCCCTCAAAGCAATGTGGAATCAAATCTGCAAATAAGGCAGATAGTCATTTTATTTTCACTTTAAAATGATGCCATGAAACCAATTTCTTCTGAGGCCAATAGGCTGATTCTACAGTCACTTCTCAAGCAGGGCTGTTCAGGGGGTTTGAGAAATGGAAAGAAGCATTGCAGAAAAAAGAATGGAGTCTCCTTGCGTGCAAGCTTTGAACAGACATGCTCCTTTGGATTTTTGAATTTTATCAGGTGGTTTAAAAGATTCATTATTTTATAGTTATACTTGGTATTGAAAATTCTCAGAACCTGATAGAATTTTAGTATTCCCACATAAAATTTTTAAAGTACAAACTTCTTTTTTTATTACTTAGAGGAAAAAAAATGCCTCCTAAGAGGCTTCAACTGGCTATGCTAGAATGGCTGAGAATTTTGAAAAAGATAATTAATGTACCTCATTTTGAATAAACTGATTTATTATTGGTTATAAACATGGACCTCACAGGCAAAATACCTGGCTTCAAATCTGGAGTTTCCTATTGTAAAGTGGAATATTAATTTAAGCAAGTTATTTAAGATCAGTTTGTTAGCATTAGGATTGCGTTTGGCTACATGTAATAAAATACCTAAATCAATTTCTTCCACCCGTGTAAGTGTCTTGTTTTTCTTATATCATAGGAAGTCAGAGGCGGGCTGCTGAAGACCGGCTCTATGGTATCGCTAGTGACCCATGCTCCTTCCACTTTCTGCTCCACCATTCTGGATATGTAGCTTTTGTCCTTGGCTTCAAGATAGCTCCTTTATCACTAAGCATTGCTTCTGGATTTGAAAAAGAAACAAGGGAGAATGAACCAAAATCCCTCCCTTTGTAAGACTTTGTATTTTTAACTCGGGAGGCTGAGGCAGGAGAATGGCGTGAACCCGGGAGGCGCAGTTTGCAGTGAGCCAAGATCGCACCACTGCACTCCAGCCTGGGCGACCAAGCGAGACTCCTTCTCAAAAAAAAAAAAAAAAAAAAAAAGACTTTGTATTTTTATCCAGAAGGGTACCCCACTCAAGAGACTTACTTAAGTCCCACTGGCTATACATTGTGACATGGGAACCTGGAAAACCATTTTTTTTAAATACATTGCTGAGTGCATAGTGCATTGCTATCCTAAAGAAAATCAGGAATCTTTTAGTAAATGATGTCTAGCCAGGCATACTGGCATGTTCTTGTAGTCCCCGCTACTCAGGAGGCTGAGGCAGGAGAATGGCTTGAACTTGGGAACCAAAGGTTGCAGTGAGCTGGGATTGCGCCATTGCACTCCAGCCTAGGTGACAGAGTGAGACTCTGCTTCAAAAAAAAAACAAAAAACAAAAATAATAAACAAAAGCAAAATGAAAGTCATAGCATATAGTAATAATTCAATAATTCTTACTACCCAAAGGATTATACTAATGTGTAATTAATAATGTTATATATATAAATATATATATTCCTCCAAGCACACGTTAATCCTTCGTGGCCCAGATCAAATACCACATCTACTAACACCCTTCTCTGATTCTGCCACTCAGATTCTTTTTCTTCATCACTTAATCAGTTATATTTGATGAAACACAAACTAATCTGACAAGTAAACGAAAAAGGATCGTATTGGAAAGATACAAAACTATAGAATTCAGAGTAGAGTTAGCTCCTGTAGGTTCTATAGGAATCTATAGAAACATGGGAACCTAAATAAGTTTCATGGGGGTAAACACCACCGAGCTTATGTTTTTAGCTTCTTGAGCTACCATAGCAGGAAGTAAGTCCTTGATTCCTACCAGGATCCACAATGGGATTGCTCTTAAATAGGCAAGTGCTTTGCTGCTAGACAGATAAAGCATGATCGCTGTCTACTATAGGGTCACATGCAGGTAAGTGGTTGACTTTGGTCAAATGACACTATGATAGCTCAGTGTTATCCAATTGCAGAAATGCCTATTTGTTCACTGAAATTCTGCTGAGTAACTGTAATAAGAATGAGAAGGCAATTGTTTCAGAGAAAATTGTGTGAATAAATTTAGAAGAAGTAACACACGGTTTTAATTCATAGAATGACAGGTGGAATGATACAGTTTAGACGTAGGATATGGAAAGGCACTTACTAGCAGCTTACAAAGCAAAACAACTCGTCAACATAATATGCAAATTGAATATATTTGAATAGTAGCATGACAAGGTTACAACCATACCTTAAGAGACTTTTTCTGGTCTGTTAATTGTATAAAGAAGCAGAAACAATTTCCTGAATATAGGTAATAGACCTAACTATGGGATCTGAAGTGGGGATAAATAGAAAGGGAATAGGTGGGAAAATTAGGAAGACATAGTGGGGAAAAATTGCAATTGGAGATTATATTTAAGAAGCAAGGATGGAAGCTTTCAAGATCTCCTATGATTTCAAGCTTGGGTGAATTGGTGCTGCCAGAAAAGCAATGGAGAAACAAAAGGCATGATAGGCAGAGGAAGAAGAAAAGAAGATGCATGTCATGTATGTTGAGTTTGACATCCCAATAGAATATCTCTGAGAAAATATTCAGAATTTGAATTACATAACTGGTGCTTACCAAAGAACAGGGCTGATGGTATAGAAAACCTTTTGCCTTTCTTATAATTTTCTACAGTTTCCTCTACTCTTGTATTCTCATCAATCACTCAGTTATTTTGCACATGTCTAGTTCTATGTAATTTCTACATTTGTCTGTATAATGTTATCTTTGTAAGGTGACTTATCTCTGTACACCATAGGCACTATTTTCCCTACTTTACAAGAGGAAATTGAGTGTCAGAAAGAGCCTACTTACTTTTCTTCTTACTAACGAATGAAAAGGCAATGTTAATCATCATTTTTCCCCCTAATCGGTGAGCTATGAAAAAAATTTGGGGTCCATGCAAAATCATCATTATTATGTTTAAACTGTAACTCTACAAATTTATGATCTCCTAAAGCTTTCCAAGATGTAGTATCTCTCTCATCTGTTGGCAGATTTTTCAAATGAATTCCTACTCAATGAAAAACAGTTCATTTACATTTTAAAAACCTTGTCAGTATTAACCAGATTATTCCTTCTAATTATTCTTTAGGTCTGATCTTAGGAAACTATTTGAAGCCATCTGTTATTTAAATTCAAGTTTATTGCACGTAAAAGAACAGAACTTGATTTATGTTATGTCTGATTTGTTCTGATATGTATAGAATAATAACTTGGCAGGATCTCATAAACAGCAGTTATGGTATAGTACAAGGCTGTGGTATAACTGCCACTGAGATTCATTATCACACACATCTTCTAAGGGCATCTAAAGGGCATAAACATTTCAGAATTCTGTCTGTAATCACTATATGCCCTGCTGATATGCAACCAGAAAAACATTCTACTCTGAAAAAAAAAAAGGTATATTTCTAGTTTTCAGAACACAAACTTCTCAGATACACAAACAAGGCTGCAGTTTAGTGTGAGACTCAATGGCCAAGTATATTTGTGGGAACTAAAGCTTCAGTGGAAAGAAGCATTAGGTGGATTTTTCAGATTTGTCTCAACATGGCCAGCTCCGTATATTACACAGTCTATATTCTATGTGCATAGGGCAGATAAAAGGCTCTGTAATTTGTTAAATAGTATCCCAAAATATTAACATCGGTGGGAACCTCAGAATGTGACCTTATTGGAAAATATAGGGTATTTGTGGACAAAATTAGTTTTGTGGATGGATGGATGAAAGTGGGCCCTAATTTCAATAAATGGTGTTCCATAAGACCATGTGAAAACACACAGCGGAAGGAAAGCTATATGACAATAGAGTCAGATTTTGGAGTAAGTGACAAGCCAAGGAACACTGAGGATTGCCAACAACTACTAGAAGCTAGGAAGAGGGAGGGAAGGATTTTTCCCTAGAGCTTTCAGAGGGAATATAGCCCTGCAGACACCTTTCTTTAAGACTTCTGGGCTTCAGAACTATGACAGAGTATATTTATTTTGTTTTACGCCACCCAATTTTTTACAGCAGCCTAGGAAACTAACACTGGTTCTAAATGACAAATTGACAACTCTAATTCTGTTTGCTTCCCTTACATAAGCAGAGAACCACTTAAGGTGATACCATCTCCACACTCCTCCCATATCCTTGGCAAGTAATTGTGCAAACATGTGGATAAAACACATGCATTTTGATATCTTTATGCAAAAGTGTCTTCAAATAAAAAATAATTTAAGAGAAATGCTAATCAAGTTTAATATTACATTTTAAATCATTTCCTTTCATTAACAATTCTTATTACCTTCCTAAATTGCAAATTATTGGCACCCAAGGGACCCAAGGGAGTAAGAAGAGTATGACATGATGACAATATCTCCTTCTTGAAACACTTAAATTAAATCATAATAACCTGCACCTTTTGCTTCTTTCTTACCATTTCTGAGATACATGAATCAGTTCTTGGCCTCAAGTCTTTGGCAAAGTTTTGGTGGGCTTGTTTACAAACTACAAATGCTTTGTGGTTTCTGCTATCACCACAGTTTTGATGGCCCCAAATCCTCAATCTTCTTTATCATTAATCTGATTTGGAGCCTGATATCTTCAACTGCTTTCCGTAGTTGACTGACTTGTTACTTCAAACTGAACATTGTGCAGAATGCGAGATCTGCAATCAACAAGGTGCTATTTGGTAATATTAATCACATTCTTTTCTTTGTGCTTGTGTCCCCTCTTATAAGGACTATTTTTCTTTTCTGCCCCATACCAATAAGAAACAAGGATGCAACAACAACAATGACAACAGACCTAAGTGGAATCTTGGAAGCATGCTTGCAAAGCTCATGCTTCCCCCTGCATAAGCTAGCTAAGACAAGGCACGGGGTAGGAAGAAAAGAGACAAGATTGTGACTCAAAAGTGTAGATGGAGGATTCACCAGGACAGACCCAGGAAGGTGGGATCCTCAAAATGCTAGAAAAAGAACATCCATCTCAAGGGTAAGGAGAGGATGAAAGAGAGACAAAAGAATAGATTCATCCCCTAGGGGTAAAATAATTGAACGTCTTGCATACATATATAATATATACAGCATAGGAAAAAAAGTTACTTGTGACTATTCAAAGCTATTTTTATATCATTTCCTTTAATCTTCAAAAAACTCATTAATAAACATTGTCACTATTGCTCACTAGAGGAAATTGAAAGCTTAAACATCATGCCCAAGGACACACAGCTACTCACTGCTGGAGTTAGAACACACTTCCTCTGACAATAAATCCACTGTCCTCTTTCCAATTTACTTTAGTTTATAAGCCATGATTTATTTGCTTTTTTCTGTGCTCTGAGAACTTGATAAGTAAAATTACAAATGCCTTACCCAATCATTCAAGGAAAAAATGTATTCACCCCTTATTCTCTACTAATTTCATATATGAAACACCTAATCGTGTTGCTAGGCTCACAGCTTGCTATATCCCCTACAGGAAAGAAAAAAATCCTGCCACTTACGTATATGCACTTTTTTTTTCCTCTCTGTGAAATGTCCTTTTCCTGATACAAGTCCTCCCTAAATGTCAATACTCAAAACACATCATTCTCTGTCCATTTTCTTAGCTAAGGGGCAGTAGTCTAGGTGAAGGTGATTTAAGCCTAGAGCTAAGGAGCCCTAGGTAGTATCATGTGTTTTGAATAAAAAACTGTTCATTTTTTTTTCTGAGCCTTGAGTTCTCCTTCCAAGGACTACTTCCTGCTCTCCACTTCCATAAGAAAATGCTTCAGCCTGTTTGGAACCAGCAACATAAGAATAGAGAAAGAAAGGGTTTATGAAAGATGGACCCAATTATAGCAGTCTGCATTTTCTTATAATACTGGTGACAGCAGCAAACTTGTGAAGCTGCTTTTAAGTCTATGATAAATAGGCTTAAATAGAAAAAGTTCTGCAGGTCCAAAGTCAATAAAAATGTACATAATGTACTTGGAGTTAGATAGTAAATGAGGTCACAAATGCACTGAAAGTGGAACTATTGGAAAGCCACAGGTATATTTAGGTAGATACTACTTAAAAAAGGAAAGAGAGAAAAAAAATAAGAAAAAGTGAGGAGAGATGCCAGAGGAAATTCGGAAAGAAAGAAATCTATGTACTATGTCAACCTCTACCTTTGACAGGGAAAGCATCTCTTTAGGGAGTTATACATCCCCATCTTGCAAGTTTATTATCTCTCCTCAGTCAGTAAAATAGCTTCTATCATGTTGAGCCTGTTCTTTATTCTCCTTGAAACAATTCGACCCATAGAATAAAAATGCTGCTTGTCTATGAAAGTCTTTACCAGGATCCATGAGCCCAGGGCATTTCCCTAGAAGCAGTCTTTCTCAAATTTATTGTCCATGAGAATTACCTAGGAATCACAAAATGTACACTTTCTAACTTCACCCCCAGAAAGTCTCAGGGGGAGCTTCAAACATTCACATTTTTAAAGGTCCCCTGTAGATTCCGACGCAGGCTCTTTTTTGCCACACCTGAAACTTATAGGCAGGAAGAAACAAATGCTCAGAGCCCTTCCTATGTGCCAGTTATAGTTCCAAGGGCTTTCTCTGTTCTCCTGTTTTTATTAATAACTCATTAAATTATCACAACCACACTCCGAGGTAGATGCTATGAGACCCATTTTACCAATACTGGTAAAAGTCACAGTTAGTAAATAAACATAATTCAAGTCTCTGGTCTGTCTCATTGCTGTGCCTTTTCACTCCATCACATAGGAGTATGACTGTCTAGGAAAATAGGTTAACAGAGGAGACAAAGAACTCAGGAAGCATACAGTTATGTGCACAAGACATGTGCTGACAAAGGACTATAAGTACAGTCAATAAGAATTAGTGGTGGATTTTCCAATAACCACAGACCCTGATAAGTCTATAGGACCAACCTACAAAAGGAAGTTGGGTGTTGGGTGAAGGACTTTATTGGAATCCATCTAATGTGGACTGTGAGAGAAACGTTAAGTTGCCAAGGAGAATAAAAGCTTCATGTGGCTTGTTCACTATGGGAAAGGAAAGGTCAAGAGAAAAGTGGGACTTCAGAGGATGAGGAGTGAAATAAGCCCTGGAGCCATCTGTGGATGTAGCATAAGATCCATAAGCACATTATTTCATAGGATTTGCAATAGCCAAAGGTCTTGGAAACCAAATTGCAAAGATCAGGAGAGAGTTTTAAGAAACAGTGGGGCAGATAAATTATATTTGTTGAATCTAAAAGGAGCAGCCACCAATCCAAAGAAAAAAATGGAATTTATTGTATTCTGCTAATTCTGAGACAGATAGGTATGATGCAAGAAAAAGAAAAGATGGAATGAACCAATCCCAGCTGACCTGGCATATTCCCAGGTACTTTCAAGTACGTTATCTTATTAAAGCATCACAAAATCCCCGATATGTAGGCAGAATAGGCATCAGTATTCCAAATTTCCAGAAAAGGAAATTAAAGTAACAATATTGATTACTGTTGTTATTTTTAAAGGTAATTCTTAAAGTCATGTTGTTAGTAAATGTAGGATCTGGGACTGCCCACAGGCATTCTGACTCCTATGTTAGTGCTCTCTTCAAATATTGACATACACAGAGGCATAGATACTACAGAACTCAAGTCTGACAGAAAGTTCTGGTGTCCACTGCACCTATGTATTGTGTAGGTGTGATGGTTTTAAAGATACATCCATACTGTTTTCGATATTCTTCTCTTCCAGTGGTGGAGTTTACTTCCCCTTGCCTTGAGTGTGCATTGGACTTAGTGACTTGCTTCTGGACAACAGAATAATGCAGAAGTGATGGAATGTCACTTCTGAGTTTAGGTTATAAAAAGACTGTGGCTTCTGTCTTGGGAGGGCTCTCTCATACTCTCTCCTTCTTGGATCTTGCTCTGAAGGAAACCAGCTGCCATGCATGAGGATACTCCAGCAGCTTATGGAGAAGTCCATGTGGTGAGGAACTGGGGTCGGTCCACAACCACCTGAGTGAACCTGAAAGTGGATCTTCCCCTCACTCAAGCATTGAGTTGACTGCTGGCCCAACCAACAGTTTGTCTGCAACTTCATGGGAGATCCTGACTCAGAAGCACTCAATTAACTCATGAAAACGGTGAGATAAATTTTTGTTGTTTTAAGCCACTAAGTTTGAGGTGATTTGTTACATAGTAATGGATAACTAATATAGCAGGGAATCAAATGATTTTCACATCACAGGCAATTCTGATTTATTAATCAAACCACATATTTAAACAGAAAAACTTTGTCCTACTCCAATGGAAACACTTTTTAATAAAAAAAAATTAGAGCTGTAGAAATAAGGAAGCTTTGACTATCAGGGAAAGCAAATGGAGGCTGATGGCCAGGGTATGCTCCCTGTCAAAAGCTGGCCTCCTCACCAAATCACCTCAACATTGCTGAACTTGTTCCCATTTTCTTTATTATATTAGCAGAGAATGCACAAATTAGAGATTTAATTGAGCTAACAACCATCTCCTTAAAAATATGAAATTTCTCTGAGGGTGTTTAAATGACTAGTTATCCACTCATTAGTTAGAATTAAAGCCCATTACGCTCCTAATAACTCATTGCTAAAATGGCCTGTGTTGAGAAATGGAGGATTTGATGAAGGCAGGTGGCATGGTATGATTTCATTTTGGAGCACTGTGGGGGCCTGGGTAGAGGTCCACAGTGGGCTGACACTTTGGAAAGGAATGATGAAGTGGAGAGAGGCATCCTGGGTGGAGTGGCACAATGCCAAAGCCCAACTCGGGCAGTGTAATATATATATTTAAGATATTTAAGATATCTTAAATATATATAAATATATATATTTTACACTGCCTGAGTGTGTATATATATAATATATAATATATAGAAATCTGTAATATATATTATATATATAGAATTATATATATAATATATATTATATATAATTCTATATATATAATATATATTATATATATAATTCTATATATATAATATATAATATATATTCACATTTGTATATATGTATATATTCTATAGTGCCTATATTCTATTTATAGTGCCTATAATAGCCTTGTAGCCAAGAATAAAGAGCCTTTTTTCTACTTTAAAATTAACCTGGTACTCTTCATATCATGAGTTCTAATGGGCCACCCTCTAAACCTAACCAAGATTCGTAACAGAATTTGATGTGGAAATGAATTTCAAACTCACACTAACAAATAGGATTTGGAAGACAGCTTATTTGTAAGCTGGGCTAAAGTCTAAAGCACAGTGCCTTAATGTGGAAAACTTAGACTCACAAACAACTTTTTTATGGTGTTATCTTTTAAATTTTAAGGATCTTTATGCTTCACTCAAATTACATTCTTTAGTACATTGCTTCTCAAACTTTATTGTGTATACAAATCACCTGGGGAATCTTGTTAAAACATGGATTCTGATGGGACTGAGGATTATGCCTTTCTAAAAAGCTCCCAGGTGATGCTGATGCTGCCGAAACTCAGACCACACGTACAACAGCAAAACTATAACATACAATTTAAGAGAGCAACTGTAGATTTTCCAAGATAAAAAAGATGACTCAATACTGCACCTCATGGTTTTAGGTTTTTGCTACGATCAAACCACCAAATCAACATGATATTTAATAGTGAAATTCATACTTCTAGACTTAAACCTAACATCATTTTAATTATTTTTAAATTTAAATTCTGGAACACCAATATAATGGTTAAGAATATAGGTTTGAAGTTAGAAACACATGGATTAAATGTTTAGTTCTGCAACCTTCTAGCTGTGTGACCTGCGCAAGTGAACTAGACTGAGCCCAATAAAGAGAAAACCACTTCAGATATTTCAAATGGAAGAGATTTAATATAGGGAACTTACTGCCTTGGTAATGTTAATGCTTAGGAGCCAAACAATGAACAATGAGGCTACCAGGAGAGAATCATAATAGCTAGATAGGGGAAGCCATTATCTTCCCTGTGGCTAGAGGAACCAAAGGAGCAGGCAATGCTGCAGTAGCCTGGTGGAAGCTGGCACCCCAGAGGCTGTCCACAGGGAGCTAGACCCTCATAGGATATGCCACTACTACTAGAGACACTGGTGAGGTGAGAGCTGGGAATTACTCTGTCTGCTCTCTTCCTCCCACCCTTCAATCTCCCTCCAGTGTATTCCATGAGTTGAACTCAGCCATACGGCTGTCAGCAGGGAAGTCTGAGAAATGTAGCTCCTTGTGATGTGAAGCAGAGCTAGGGAGGAACAGGAAATCAATCTGAGAGCAAACTGGCAAAGGATCAACACAGTGAGTTACTGATGTGCTCTCATACTATATCCAACGCTCTAACAGGCATCTGCAGAATATGGGTGTTGTGTATTTAAGTAAGATGTTACATATAAAGCATGGAGTATAGTGCTTGGCACATTATTTTTATCAGCAGCAGCATCTTTTTGTAATGTGACAGCATTTTCCCCCTTCATTCCTTCCTCTCTTCTCACCCATTTTCCTGCTGAATAAGAGTAGGGATCATGTGGAGTCTCAGGGAGATAAGAAATAATAAAATAATACATCCAAGCTATGCCATGAGAAATTAAGAAAAAAAATCTGCTTGTTCCATCTACATGATAGAATCAGAAAAGCTTAAAGGCTTCCACTGGGCACACAGCAATAACAAGTTCTCAGTGATGTAGACTTAGGAGTCATGCTCATACCTGCAGGCCGCTTAAGGACCATCTTTTGGATTGTGCTGAAGACATGGGAGAAAATGCTTTCATCCACACATAAAGGCCAGCTGTGTGGCCTGGAAAGTGACTCAATGGAAAGGGGCAGTTATTCATGGTATCCTTACCTGGATTTCAGGAGTATTGAGCTTGACTGGTATATCGATTTTTTTCCCTCTTGACTAGGACCATATGTGCATGCATTTCCAGATGCTGTGGTCATAACTGAGAAGATATATTATTATCAAGTCACTAACAGTCTTCAATGATGAAAAGAACTGTTTTTCTCAGTAGACTTGTTTTCCAAGTTAAGTTATCAAAAGCTTACAAAATAGACACAGTTGTCTCTGCCAGGTTATACTGCAAAGAAATCAGAGTGTTGGCAAATAGCTCCTCTGTGGAAGAAAACATAAGCAAGCATATTTGTATTCTGGCCTGTGCTCCTACAGCATAGGGAATGCAGCATTCTGTTTAGCAGTTCCATCCTGGTTCATCTTGTTTGGGAGTTAGCAAGCAAAGCCTGTATACAACATAACAGTCTCCCCCTGAAGACAACCATCACAGCTTCAGCTAACTCATTCCAACCTTAAACCAAACCATCTTAATATAGAACTGTTTAAATAGCAAAAATTTTATGGAGAAGCCCATTAAGTTATTTATAAATGAGAAGCCCAAATGTATAGCTCTGTAATACTTCAGAGCTGCGCTATGATATTTTACTTATTCATTACACATTTATTGAGTTAAAAAATAAACACAAAGCAACAATCCTAGAGACTTTTACCATCTGGCCTATGCTAGGAGCCAAAATAATTGGTGCAGAAAATGAGTGCCATGAGTTCTGGGGAAAGAGAGTTAGCTGTGGGTTGAAGGAGTCAGAAGGTCTCCAAGGTAGAGAGGAATCAAGTTGGGTTTTGATAGTTTGGTTGAAGCTGGCCAGGTGGAACAAATGAAAAAGATGCTTCTGCCTGAGAGAATTGGCTTTGTCAATTACTTTGTGGTGGGAATAAACGAGTTGGTTGAGCAAGGAGATTAAATAAGATATGGTTCAAGAACCTGGAATTCATAGCTAGTCTGGCTAAGTTAGAACCTTGCCTTCACCATTTAGTAATTTATAAATAATATTGGCTGCATCACTTAATCTCAATTTCCTCAAGTCCAAAATAGGAATAGTACTAGTGCTTGATTCATGGGGTTATTTCAAGTATCTACAAAACAAATACAGAGGAACAACCTAACATATTGTAAGTGCTCAGTCAATAATCAGCTGCTATTATCACTTCCTTCTTCCAACCTATATTGAGTGCCTGCTATAGAGAAAGCAGAAGAGTAAATTGAGTCAGAATATGAAATGCTTTGACTGTAGGTGAAAGTACAGACATGTTTTCCTGCTGAAATAGAGGAGTCGCTGGAGACACTGGATTTAGGCAGGGACATGACAAGGGCTATTTTTAAGAATTAATCTACTAGTATAGTGCATGCAATGTGTCATTCAGCAGCGTCTTTTATAAACCTTTAATGAAGCCGTAGAGAAAATTGAGATGAGGAATCTCTTGGCACCATAGAAGGCATTTAATTACTAAGTAATAAATTTGGGGGCCCTTACAAATAATTGGGATTCCCACCAGTGACTAGTTATACCCCAAGGAACATACAGACTGCTAACATGGCAGCCACCAGAGCCCTGGGTGTTTCTGGGTTCTTAAAGGTAGAGTGTGCAGGGGCAGGTAACCCACAGTTCTCCCTGTACTCAAAATGTGGAGCAACAAATTGCAATGGAAGTAGCTAATATCACAGGAAATGTGGCTATCGTCTCTTCAGGGTCTTCAAGTATGGGGTACAAGCACAAGGGCTAGCATTCTCAGGGACATTAACTTTGATCCAAAGAGCTAGAGCAGCAGTTCTCAAACTTATGTTTCTGTGCTGATTTACGTAATGGAGTTTCTCATCTAGAAAACACTCCTGTGGGTGGACTAGAGTTATGAGCAATGCCCAGCCAGCTGCCTTTAACTCTACCTCCTTCTTTCTCTCAATAACATGTACCTAAATGAAAGTATATTATAATTAGAGAAATAATTACTCTAATTTATTTATTAATAAAGTAAATTATTCACCAATTTTGGTATGTTATCATTAGTAATAAATTATTTGGGAATCCAAAGAAAACTGGTATGAACATACCAGGTTATCACTGACATTTTAACTAAGAATTTTGAGTCCAAAGACTACTTGAGTCATGCTCTATCATTCAGCAACGTCTTTTATAAACTTTTAATGAAGGAGTAGAGATGATTAAGATGAGGAATCTCTTGGCACCATAAAAAGCATTTAATTACTAAGTAATAAATCTGGGTGCCCTTACAAGTAATTGAGACCCCCACCAGTGACTGAATATACCCCAAGGAATATGCAGGCTGCTAACATGGCCAGCCACCCAAACGCCCAGTTATTTATCTGGCAAGTACAAGGCATGAAACAAACTTCTGGACTCTTTTCTCTTTGCAGACTCCAGTATGAATGGTGAATGTAATTTAATGTGTCATGGAAATGCAGAGCTGTAGAACTGATTATTATGCCCAGTATAAATGGAAGAGCTCTAATCTACGAGTGGAGGTGAAGCATCCCCAGTGGCCAGGAGGACAACCTTGCCCAGTGACCTTTCCTAGAAGAAGGTATTGAAGTGCTAAGATGAGGATTTCCACAAATTTCTGCTCAGGCAACACCACCCATCATCAACTGAGTTAATGCCCATCCCTAAATGTGTGTAACATGGGCGAAGTGAATTTTTTCTTTCTCTGTCATGCTCACTTCCCACTTACCTGCTAGAGTAAGAGTATACTAGCATATTATTTAGACATCTAGTTTTTAATAATATTCATTTTCATACAACATGACCACAAAGAAGAAACTGTTATATCTTATAATGGAAGAAAATCTGACTGTGGAGAAGTTACTGAGAAATGGTACATCTGCATTATGCTTTATGGGTGATTTAAAGGATTTTCAAATATTATTTTGACTACAGGTAAAATAACTGTATAATTTATCATACAAATTTGAAAGCATTTGAGTCAGACAGGATATTAATGATAATTAGGCTGAAATGACAGGCATAAATGAAGAGCCTTCTGGTAAATTAAAATGTAGTACCATCCTAAATATTATGGGCTGAACTGTGTTTCCCTCAAATTTATATGTTAAAGTTCTAAGTCTCTGATATGGTTTGGCTGTGTCCCCACCCAAATCTCACCTTGAATTGTAATAATCCCCACATGTCGTAGGAGGAACCTGGTGGGAGGTAATTGAATCATGGGGGATAGATTTTCCCATGCTGTTCTATTGATAGTAACTCTCATGAGATCAGATGGTTTTATAAAGAGCAGTTTCCCTACACATGCTCCCTCTTGCCTGCTGCCATATAAGACATGCCTTTGGTTTTCCTTCACCTTCCACCATGATTGTGAGGCCTCCCTAGACATGCAGAACCATGAGTCCATTACACTTATTTTTCTTTATAAATTACCCAGTCTTGAATATGTCTTTAAATAGCAGTGTGAGAACATACTAATACAGTTTCCATAGTCTCCATACCTCAGAATATGACTATATTTTGGAATAGGGCATTTAAAGAGATAGTTAAGGTGAAATGAGATCATGAGGGTTGGCCCTAATCCAATATGGTTGGTGTCCTTATAAGAAAAGGAAATTAGGACACAGACATGCACATGCACAGAGGTAAGACCATTTGAAGACAATATGAGATTATGACCATCTACAAGCCAAGGACAAAGGTCCCAGAAGAACTCTAACCTGCAGACACCTAAATTTTGGACTTCCAGCCTCCAGAACATGGAGAAAATTAATTTCTTTTGTTTAACTCAGCCAGTCTGTGGTATTTTTTGATGGCAGCTATAGCAAACTAGCATACTAATGATAGTGATTTTCATTTTAACCATCAGCCTTGAAACTAATCACATCATAAGTTGAGGCTCTGCCATAACATCAGTTATGTCCTGAGGCCATTTGGTTGAATAATTGATAAACTGCTTGAAGCATGACCCTACGAATAGCCCTAACCATCCATCTCAAGGCAGAGATATTTTATCTTGTTTTATTGCCTAACAGCACTAAAAAAAGAAAAAAATCTTGGTTCCATTCCAAGATGGCCAAATAGAAACAGCTCCGGTCTGCAGCTCCCAGTGTGATCGATGCAGAAGATGGGTGACTTCTGCATTTCCAACTAAGGTACCTGGTTCATATCATTGGGACTGGTTGGACAGTGGGTGTAGCCCACGGAGGGCAAGCCAAAGCAGGGTGGGACGTCGCCTCACCCAGGAAGTGCAAGGGGTCAGGAGATTTCCCTTTCCTAGCCAAAGGAAGCCATGATAGACTGTACCTGGAAAAATGGGACACTCTCACCCAAATACTGCAATTTTCCCACAGTCTTAGCAACTGGCAGACCAGGAGATTCTCTCCTGTGCCTGGCTCAGTGGGTCCCATGACCACGTAGCCTTGCTCACTGCTAGCGCAGCAGTCTGGGATTGCCTTGCAAGGCTGCAGCCTGGCAGGGGGAGGGATGTTCACCATTGCTGAGGCTTGAGCAGGTAAACAAAGCAGCCAGGAAGCCTGAACTGGGCGGAGCCCACCACAGCTCAGCAAGGCCTGCTGCCTCTATAGATTCCACCTCTGTGGACAGGGCATAGCTGAACAAAAGGCAGCAGAAACTTCTACAGACTTAAACATCCCCGTCTGACAGCTCTGAAGAGAGCAGTGGTTCTCCCAGCACAGCATTTGAGCTCTGAGAACAGACTGCCTCCTTAAGTGGGTCCCTGATCCCAGTGTACCCAAACTGGGAGACACCTCCCAGTAAGGGCTGACAGACACTTCATACAGGTGGGTGCCCCTCTGGGATGAAGCTTCCAGAGGAAGGATCAGACAGCAACATTTGCTGTTCTGCAATATTAGCTGTTCTGTAGCCTCCTCTGGTGATACCCAGGCAAACAGGGTCTGAAGTGGACCTCCAGCAAACTCCAACAGACCTGCAGCTGAGGGATCTGACTGTTAGAAGGAAAACTAACAAACAGAAAGGAATAGCATCAACATCAACAAAAAGGACATCCAACCAAAACCCCATCTGTAGGTCACCAACATCAAGACCAAAGGTAGATAAAACCACAAAGATGGGGAGAAACCAGAGCAGAAAAGCTGAAAACTCTAAAAACCAGAGCACCTCTTCTCCTCCAAAGGATCGCAGCTCCTCACCTGTAATGGAACAATGCTGGATGGAGGATGACTTTGACGAATTGACAGAAGTAGGCTTCAGAAGGTCAGTAATAACAAACTTCTCTGAGCTAAAGGAGCATGTTCTAACCCATTGCAAGGAAGGTAAAAACCTTGAAAAAAGGTTAGATGAATGGCTAACTAGACTAAACAGTGTAGAGAAGACCTTAAATGATGTGATGGAGCTGAACACCATGGCCCAAGAACTTCATGATGCATACACAAGCTTCAATAGCTGATTTGATCAAGTGGAAGAAAGGATATCAGTGATTGAATATCAAATTAATGAAATAAAGCAAGAAGACAAGATTAGAGAAAAATAAGTAAAAAGAAATGAACAAAGCCTCCAAGAAATATGGGATTATGTGAAAAGACCAAATCTACATTTGATTGGTGTACCTGAAAGTGACAAGGAGAATGGAAACAAGTGTGAAAACACTCTTCAGGATATTATCCAGGAGAACTTCCTCAACCTAGCAAGGTAGGACAACATTCAAATTCAGGAAATACAGAGAACACCACAAAGATACGCCTTGAGAAGAGCAACCCCAAGACACACAATTATCAGATTCACCAAGGTTGAAATGAAGGAAAAAGTGTTAAGGGCAGCCAGAAAGAAAGGTCGGGTTACCCACAAAGGGAAGCCCATTAGACTAACAGTGGATCTCTTGGCAGAAACCCTACAACCCAGAAGATAGTGGGGGCCAATATTCAATATTCTTAAAGAAAACAATTTTCAACCCAGAATTTCATATCCATCCAAACTAAGCTTCATAAGTGTGGGAGAAACAAAATTCTTTACAGACAAGCAAATGCTGAGAGATTTTGTCACCACCAGGCCTGCCCTACAAGACCTCCTGAAGGAAGCAATAAACAGGGAAAGGAACAACTGGTACCAGCCACTGCAAAAACATGCCAAATTGTAAAGACCATCGATGCTATGAAGAAACTGCATCAATTAAGGGGCAAAATAACCAGATAACATCATAATGACAGGATCAAATTCACACATAACAATATTAACCTTAAATGTAAATGGGCTAAATGCCCCAATTAAAAGACATAGACTGGTAAATTGGATAAAGAGTCAAAATCCATCAGTGTGCTGTATTCAGGAGACCCATCTCACCTGCAGAGACACACATAGGCTTAAAATAAAGGGATGGAGGAAGACCTACCAAGCAAATAGAAAGCAAAAAAAGCATGGGTTGTAATCCTAGTCTCTGATAAAATAGGCTTTAAACCAACAAAGATCGAAAGAGACAAAGAAGGCCATTAAATAATGGTAAAGAGATCAATTCAACAAGAAGTGCTAACTATCCTAAAGATATATGCACCCAATACAGGAGCACCAAGATTCTTAAAGCAAGTCCTTAGAGACCTGCAAAGAGACTTAGATTCCCCCACAGTAATAATGGGAGACTTTAACACCCCACTGTCAACATTAGACAGATCAACAAGACAGAAGATTAACAAGGATATCCAGGACTTGAACTCAGCTCTGCACCAAGTGGACCTAATAGACATCTACAGAACTCTCCACCTGAAATCAACAGAATATACATTCTTCTCAGCACCACATCACACTTATTCCAAAATTGACCACATAGTTGCAAGTAAAGCACTCCTCAGCAAATGTAAAAGAACAGAAATCATAACAAACTGTCTCTCAGATTACAGTGCAATCAAATGAGAACTCAGGATTAAGAAACTCACTCAAAATCACTCAACTACATGGAAACTGAACAACCTGCTCCTGAATGACGACTACTGGGTAAATAACAAAATGAAGGCAGAAATAAATATGTTCTTTGAAACCAATGAGAACAAAGACACAATGTACCAGATTCTCTGGAACACATTTAAAGCAGTGTGTAGAGGGAAATTTATAGCACTAAATGCCCACAAGAGAAAGCAGGAAAGGTCTAAAATTGACAACCTAACATCACAATTAAAATAACTAGAGAAGCAAGAGCAAACAAATTCAAAAGCTAGCAGAAGGCAAGAAATAACTAAGATGAGAGCAGAACTGAAGGAAATAGAGACACAAAAAACCCTTCAAAACATCAGTGAATCCAGGAGCTAGTTTTTTGAAAAGACCAAACAAAATTGATAAAACGCTAGCAAGACTAATAAGAAGAAAAGAGAGAAGAATCAAATAGACGCAATAAAAAATGATAAAGGGGATATCACCACCGATCCCACAGAAATACAAAATACCATCAGAGAATACTATAAACACCTCTATGCAAATAAACTAGAAAATCTAGAAGAAATGGATAAATTCCTGGACACAAACACCCTCCCAAGACTAAACCAGGAAGAAGTTGAATCTCTGAATAGATCAATAACAGGCTCTGAAATTGAGGCAACAATTAATAGCCTACCAACCAAGAAAAAGTCTAGGACCAGATGGATTCACAGCCGAAATCTACCAGGGTACAAAGAGGAGCTGGTACCATTCTTTCTGAAACTATTCCAATCAAGAGTAAAAGAAGAAATCTTCCCTAACTCATTTTAGGAGGCCAGCATCATCCTGATCCCAAAACATGGCAGAGACACAACAAAAAAAGAGAGTTTTAGACCAATATCCCTCATGAACATCGATGCAAAAATCCTCAATAAAATACTGGCAAACCGAATCCAGCAGCACATCAAAAAGCTTATCCACCATGATCAAGTGGGCTTCATCGCTGGGATGCATGACTGGTTCAACATACGCAAATCAATAAACGTAATCCATCACATAAACAGAACCAACGACAAAAACCACGATTATTTCAATAGATGCAGAAAAGGCCTTTGACAAAAATCAACAGCCTTCGACAAAATTCAACAGCCCTTCATGCTAAAAACTCTCAAAAAAGTAAATACTGATGGAACATATCTCAAAATATTAAGAGCTATTTATGACAAACCCACAGCAAATATCATACTGAATGGGCAAAAACTGGAAGCATTTCCTTTGAAAACCAGCATAAGACAAGGATGCCCTCTCTCACCATTCCTATTCAACACAGTATTGGAAGTTGTGGCCAGGGCAATCAGGCAAGAGAAAGAAAGGGTATTCAATTAGGAAAAGAGGAAGTCAAATTGTCCCTGTTTGCAGATGCACGATTGCATATTTAGAAAACCCCATCGTCTCAGCCCAAAATCTCCTTAAGCTGATAAGCAACTTCAGTAAAATCTCAAGATACAAAATCAGTGCGCAAAAATCACAGGCATTCTTATACATCAATAACAGACAAACACAGAGCCAAATCATGAGTGAACTCCCATTCACAATTGCTTCAAAGAGAATAAAATACCTGGGAATCCAGCTTGCAAGGGATGTGAAGGACCTCTTCAAGAAGAACTACAAATCACTGCTCAATGAAATAAAAGAGGACACAAACAAATGGAGGAACATTCCATATTTGTGGATAGGAAGAATCAATATCGTGAAAATGGCCATACTGCCCAAGGTCATTTATAGATTCAATGCCATCCCCATCAAGCTACCAATGACTTTCTTCACAGAATTGGAAAAAACTACTTTAAAGTTCACAGGGAACCAAAAAAGAGCCCGCATAGCCAAGATAATCGTAAGCCAAAAGAACAAAGCTGGAGGCATCACGCTACCTGACTTCAAACTATACTACAAGGCTATAGTAACAAAAACAGCATGGTACTGGTACCAAAACAGATATATAGACCAATGGAACAGAACAGAGCCCACAGAAATAACACCACACATCTACAATCTATGATCTTTGACAAATCTTACAAAAAGTATAAATGGGTAAAGGATTCTCTATTTAATAAATGGTGCTGGGAAAACTGGCTAGCCACATGTAGAAAGCTGAAACTGGATCCCTTCCTTACAACTTATAGAAAAATTAATTCAAGATGGATTGAAGACTTAAATTTTGGACCTAAAACCATAAAAACCCTAGAAGAAAACTTAGGCAATACCATTCAGGACATAGGCTTGGGCAAAGACTTCATGACTAAAACACCAAAAGCAATGGCAACAAAAGCCAAAATTGACAAATGGGATCTAATTAAACTAAAGAGCTTCTGCACAGAAAAAGAAACTACCATCAGAGTGAAGAGGCAACCTATGGAATGGGAGAAAATTTTTGCAATCTACCCATCTGACAAATGGCTAATATCCAGAATTTACAAAGAGAACTTAAACAAATTTACAAGAAAAAGTCAAACAACCCCATCAAAAAGTGGGCAAAGGATATGAACAGACACTTCTCAAAAGAAGACATTTATACAGCCAACAGACACATGAAAAAATGCTCATCATCACTGGTCATCAGACAAATGCAAATCAAAACCAAAATGAGATACCATCTCATACCAATTAGAATGGTGATCATTGAAAGGTCAGGAAACAACAGATGCTGGAGAGGATGTGGAGAAATAGGAACACTTTTACATTGTTGGTGGGAGTTTAAATTAGTTCAACCATTGTGAAAGACAGTGTGGTGATTCCTCAAGGATAAAGAACTAGAAATACCATTTGACCCAGCCATCCTATTACTGGGTATATACCCAAAGGATTATAAATTATGCTACTATGAAGACACATGCACATGTATGTTTATTGTGGCACTATTCACAATAGCAAAAACTTGGAACTAACCCAAATGTCCATCAATGATAGACTGGATTAATAAAATGTGGCACATATACACCATGGAATACTATGCAGCCATAAAAAAGGATGAGTTCACATCCTTTGTAGGGACGTGGATGAAGCTGGAAACCATCTTTCTCAGCAAATTATCACAAGGACAGAAAATCAAACACCGCCTGTTCTCACTCATAGGTGGGAATTAAACAATGACAACACTTGGACACAGGGAAGAGAACATCACACAGCGGGGCCTGTCAGGTGGTGGGGGGCTGGTGGAGGGATAGCATTAGGAGAAATACCTAATGTAAATGACGAGTTGATGTGTGCAGCAAACCACTGTGGCACATGCATACATATGTAACAAACCTGCACATTGTGTACATGTACCCTAGAACTTAAAGTATAATAATAATAAAAAAAATCCTAAACAAAAATAAAAAGTGATTCGGGTCCTGTCTCTGACACTTGTTAAGCACATGCTTAGTTGTGCATAATCAAATAGATCCTCCGAACCTTATTTGATTCATGATTACCACAGAGCAATATTTGGTCTACTTGACTCAGAGAGTTATTACATAGCTCAAACAAGACCAAAACAGTGATATGCAAACTGCAAAGCAGTTGAGATTGTTAATTTTATGCATCAGCTTGACTGAGCCATAGGGTGACCAGATTGAACATTATTTCTGGATGTGTCTGTGAGAGTGTTTCTGAATGAGATGAGATTTGAACAGTGTGAAAGGAAAATAAATCTTGGGGCCCCCAAATCACTAAGCTAAAGGGAAAAGTCAAGCTGGGAACTGCTTAGGGCAAGCATACCTCTCTTTCTATTCAAAGTCATCCCTCTGCTCACTGAGATAAATGCATATCTGATTGCCTCCTTTGGAAAGGCTCATCAGAAACTCAAACAAATGCAATAATTTGTCTCTTATCTACCTATGACCTGGAAGACCCTTCCCCTTCAAGTTGTCCTACCTTTGCTTCGAGTTATCCTGCCTTTCCAGACCAAACCAGTGTTCATCTTATATATGTTGATTAATGTCTCATGTCTCCCCACAATGTATAAAACCAAGCTGTGCTTCGACCACCTTGGGCACATGTCATTAGGACCTCCTGAGGCTGTGTCATGGCTGTGTGTCCTTAATTTCGGCAAAATAAACTTCCTAAGACCTGTCTTAGATTTTGGGGTTTACAATAGGTATACCCAGTAAAGTAAATGGCTCTTCCCAATTTGAGTGGGGTTCATCCAATTCACTGAAGGCCTGAGTGGAACAAAAGGTAAAGAAATACATCTCCTTTTATTTTCTACTTCACTGCTTGAGCTGGGAAATTTCTTCTCATCTTCTCCTGCCCTCTGCTCCCCTGGTTCTCTGGCCTGAAGACTTAGATTAAATTACACCATTGGCATCCTAGACTCTCTAGCTTGCAGATAGCAGATTGTGGAACTTCTTAGCCTACATAATCATGTGAGCCAGTTTCTCATTTTATGTATGATTATATAAATGATGATGTATGATATGTATATATTATATTCTCTAGAGAATCCTAATACAGTGGCCCATGCTATCAGGCATCATAAACCGAATGAGAGTAAGAAAGGCCATAAGTATTTGTAAATTTTACAGGATAATTATCACACTGTAAACACTGTACCCTGGTTCTCTTTTTGGATATTAAAAATAAATCAGGAAAATATATAAAATAACACTGAAAATGTTCAAGACTGTTTAAGGTAGTTCCATTCTCTTAAACTCATCTTTGAAACAAGACTCTAATAAATGTTTCCTATGGTGAGTTTCTTGTCTTGACTTTTAACTATGTCATCAGCTCATGATGCAGTTGTAACCACACAGTGAAATAGTGTTCTTGGCAATCAAATTGGTCCTGAGGTCAAACATTTCTTGGAGAGTATTATGAAGAAATAAGATGAATGAATCAATTCTATTGTGCATTTATTGCAATTCATATAAGATGAAGAAATATAATGTAGAAAATTGGTCACTGAATTACCAGCCACTAACATGGTATTATAAAGGAAATGAGATTTAAATCTGAGAAGGGGATTGTGTGCAAGAACAAGAATTTGCAAATAGTTGACATTAGATCCATCTACTCATTCATTCATTCATAAATTCATTCAAAAATAGGTACTGAGCTCTACTGTGCGTGTAACTCCTGTCTCAAAATTTAAACTGTTGTTTCAGAATTTAGAATTAAGAGATATCTAATCTCTTACTGATTGATAGACATGACCTTGTACTTATTTGATTCTGGTAGAAAATGCTAATAAAAATAATCAAGAATTATTAGGAATCATTGACTATCCTTATTTGAACAACAAAAATAATTTTGATAAATTATCCATTATATTCTATTTGTGAATGTATTAGAAAATTAAAATCATTTAATAATAAATTTTGTTTGTATCTTACCTAATTCCAAACCAACAGCGACAAAAAACAAGAATATAAAGAGGCTTGCTTATCTATTGAAGTAAAAGTAATTCAGAACTCTTAAAAAGAATGTTGATTTTGGTCTTTAGTTTCTTGAAGTCTTCTTTTTGAAGAAGTGACATGCTGTGGGGAAAACCTCTTTTATATTTAATTGTCTTTTTTGTCCAGGAAGTATTCCTAGCCAGTGTGTCATTATCTTTTAAAAGTATGAGAATACAATGAAAATTAATGGGTTTCTTTAAACTAACAATGAACCTTCTTCATGTACCTTATCATATTCTTCAAACAGCCTCTAATGGAAAAAGAAGATTGTGTTTCTAAAAATTCCCCACAGTGCACCACCACTTCTTTTATATGTTAAAAAAATTCAAATTAATGTTATTCATAAAAACGTAGGTGAAACAGCCTAAAAATAGACCCAACTTTTTACATTGAAATTATCAGTCCTTGCCTAAACGGTCATGTTTAGACAACAGGACAATTATTTTCAAATTCTCTCAAGTAAGAGGCCAGGTGTCAATATTCCCCAGAATTATTTGCAAGTTTCAAGTCCACAAATCCATTTAATTTTGCTTTAAATCAGCATCCGCTGCTACACCCTGGCAACCCAGAGGTGTAAACTGGCTCAAATATGTGTTTTTCTTGTTCTGAACATTTATCATCATTATCGTCATCATCATCATCATCATCATTTAATTTAAATGCTTTAAGCAGTCCTCTATTTTCCAGTTTCTTATTCTGAAATTACTCATTACTGACTTATTCTTAGATAATCTAGACATGTAGAAGGTACTCAAGCTTAGGGTTAAAGACAAGCACTGGAGTCAGTTGTCTTGGTTGGTGACCTTACCTTATAACTTGTTAGCTGATTGACTCATTTTTTGATTCTTCAGATTCTCCATCTATAAAATGATGATAATAACAGTCCCTATTTCATCATAATGAAATCATAATGATTACATGCAATACTACCTGCAATTACCTCAGGAAATGGCACTTAGAAAATCCTCAAGAAATGTTAGTCATTGTTCTTATCTGCCCCCTGACAATATTTGTATCAGCAATCTCTGCTACAGTGGACTTTGCTAAAAGAAAGACATTATCTAGCACACAGTTAATACTAAAAAAAAAATTACTCTTATTAGTGTCTGGCTTCTAAAAGGATTTGTTGACTTGCAAATCCTGCTAAAGTTTACTTTGTTTAGATAACTAGGTACAATTAGGAACAAGTGGTTCTCTAGCTGTGCCTAGAGAACTAGTTACAATTTTTAAGCTGTCTGGAATCTTAAATCCTAAAGTCTCTCAGATTGTTTTTTTTTTCATTCTCCTTTTTTTTTCCCATAGCAACTAAATCAATTCCAAGAATCACAAAGAGAAAAAAGAATGACAAACCGAGGGTTGTAATCCTAGAAAATTTATAAAGTAACATAACAGCATACAGCATACATATTCTACGTTGCACTTATCATAACCCTAAAGAGTTCATATTTGTAACTAAAATTAGCAGGAATTTATACTGTCCTTCAGGAGTAAAGGCAGCTGTGAGCTCCAAATTCTTCCTTCTCTTTTCAAAACTCCTCTATAACCCGTCACACCGTCAGAGAATAAACTCACTTAGCAAAACCCCAAAGAAGTGCCTGCCTAACCACTTGCAAATTAGATACCTGCTGGGGTAAGCAAGACAGTACCCATGCAAGAATGAAGAGGAGAGGGGAGAAGGCTGGGATATGCTCTGATAAAATGCACAATTCGAGGAAATAGTCTAACTGCACACTCAGCTCCTGTTGTCTAGGGAAGACAAAGAAATATGTAAAATTCAAGCTGACATACTATGAACAGTTTCATAATGAAGCTATATCACTTATTAGAAAATTATGCAGATGAACCCTGTATTATGGCAGAGGGAGCCGCAGAATAGCCAAGAAGCTGGCTCCACATGGAGACAGACCTCATGGTCACGAAAGCAGTGAACCTTGTCTCCTGACCCAGAACTTGCCATTCTGCCAACTGCTGTTCATAAAATTGAAATAATAAGGAAGAACCACTAAAAATCATTAATTTTGCAAAACTAGTGGTATTAGAAAAGGTATGAGCTTTGGAGTCTAAGACATGTGATTTGAATTATGTTTCTTCCAGTTCTAGCTAGGTAATCTTGGGTAGAATACATTATATCTGAACCTCAGTTATAGCTGGAAAACAAGATTATGAATACCTTCCTCTTGGGGTTGAGATAAAGATTGAATTAAAAAAACTCCCCTTCCCAAAGTAAAACACGTTCAGTCTTTGTCCTCCCCTGCACAAATGAACTCATTGTCTCAGGAGTACAGCCAGGTAGACAGTCACATCCTTCTGTGGAAGTGATACAGACATCCTCACTGCATGTGAAATGGAAGAAATATTCTTGTATATTGTTTAACTGAAGGATGAAATTAAAGTTAGAAATGCAGACTAGGTAGCCCTTATCCCGCCGTTTATATGCATCCTTCCTGTCTACAGAACACAACTCAGGGAGCAAATAGGAGAACTACAATGGAGTGATAAGAAAAAATTGTCATTCTTGCATCTGTTATTTAGCCATATCTCCAGCTCACCCATTTTATTATAGTTAATAACGATGGTAATCATTCACTGAGATAAAGTACTAAGTACTTTATACATGGAATCTCACTGAATTCTCATAGTTGCTTTTGGAGATGAGTTCTTTCTTTATCTCCTTTTTGCAAATGAGAAAACAGAGCCTCAGAGAGGTTTAGAAACTTGTTTAAGATCATACAGTAGCTACTGAAGTTGAAGTCATGATTTGAATGCTTGTCTGATTCTACATTCTCTCTTCTTGTCCTTGTGTTTCCATCCCTCTGGCCTTTGACTGCCACAGCCCTGTGGCTCTCCTTCATTGAACTACCTAGTTAGGTATACCTCTCAAGATCTAGCTGTGATCCCTTCTCTTGGACATCACTTCAGGCTTGTTTCTGGCTCCAAATCTCTATGAATATAGATAAGAGATACACTCAAAACCTTTACCTAGCCTCACAGGGGTTTATCCTTGTAGCATAGACATATCTTCATGACAAAGTGAACCAGGAGTGTTTGAAGGCCTGCTTTGTAACCAACTGCATCAACATTAGGGAAATCACCAGGTGCTTTCATCATTTTCTTCTGTAAAATAAAAATTTATAATGTGCTTACAAACTACATAGCTCTTTGGGAAGTAGGCAAATTGAATTTTTCAAATTCTCAGTGGCAAGCTGGGCAGTAAAACATAATTACTGATTTTTAATATGTACTTTGTGGCCCTTGTAATTCAAAGATGATGATTTTGACTATCATCACTATCAGTGTGAAACAACAGGAGCTCAAAGAGAATCCAAAGCTTGATATCATTCCTGCCCTCATTTTAGTGTTGAAATAAAAGTTCTTAAGGATTTGAAGAACATACTTAGGAGTTCTCTCCATAGCATTTTCATAGCACTCAAGGAAGTATAAGGATTAGCTACAGTGATCCCAAATGCTAATAACATGAATTTTCCAAATCAGAAAGTAAATACTCAGGGCATAGAAAGAGCTCTCGAGTACCACTGTGAGCCCCAAGATATCTGATAAAGCATGAGTGTTTGGGTTTTGGTGGCTGGAAGGATGGAATGGAGCTAAGCTTATAGGTTAAAAGTTACTTATCTTTATTCTAAGAAAATGTGAGCCTCATAAGTTATCTCTGCCTTGATGATCCCTCTTTTACAATTCTCATTGTTAACACTTAATTTCTGTAACATTAGCTTACAAGGATTGTTTCTCAAGTGGAATTTCTGCCTCCAAACATAATAGGCTTACAACAACCATATTATTTTCTTTTTTGAAAATTCCTAAATTCATTTACGCATTTGCTCTTACACCTATCAATGCATCCAAACCATATATTTATTGAGCAGATATTTATTGAAAGCCTGTTCAGTGCTAGGTACAGGGAGTTTAAAACTGAATGGCATGGTTTCTGCCAAGAGGAATATATTAGAAATTTATAGAAGGCAGAATACTATTATATAACATCATCAGAGCTATAACAGTAGTGCAGATAAATTGTTTTGAGAAAACAAATTTGGGCAGAAGAAATTGTTTCCCATGCATAGGAAACAATAAACATGTGTTGGATGAAAAAAAGAACATGTAATCCACCGGTTAAAGATGGAAGGACCTCAGTTAGGATAGTATCTCATGATAATTTTTTTTTCTTTTTACAATATAGCACTTATTTTAATGATACGAATTGATGAATGAATAAATAAATGACAAGTCAATGCACCTATATTATGGAACAGTAGATATCAGAAAAAGCTAAAGGAAATTTCAAGAGCCATATAATCAAATAGATTATAAGGACACACAAACCAAATTAACTGTAGTGAAAGATAACATGAGACAAGAACAATGAGAAATAAATAACAAATATGGGTGATTTCATAGTATGAAGAGTACTATTTGTTAGAGGCAACTATCTTAGAAGAAAAAGTACATGAGTTGGACTTCGATGGTTGGGGTCCTTTGCATAAAGTCAGAAAAGGACATTGCAAGTGAATATAAAGATAGGAAAGCAAGGGAAAGAAGATGAGGAATTATGGTATTCGTTCAATCTTGCAGAAATGCAGGATGGAATGGAAAACTGGAAAAGCCAAGTTTATATCAAAGGAGAAAGGAGTTTTCTCCTAAGGGTTTGAAATCTATGGTGGGTAAAAGGGAGATATTAAAGTATTTGGGGATAAAGACTAACATGATTATCTCTAAAATCCAAATATGCAATTATGTGTTAAATACTAACTTCATTTTCCAGATTATATTGAAATCATCAAAGGCCAGTGCGGTGGTTCATGCCTGTAATCCCAGCACTTTGGGAGGCCGAGGTGGGCGGATCACTTGAGGTCAAGAGTTCAAGACCAGCCTGGTCAATATGATGGAACCCCATCTTTACTAAAAATACAAAGATTAGCTGGGCATGGTGGTGTGCACCTGTAATCCCAGCTACTCTGGAGGCTGAGACATGAGAATCCCTTGAACCTGAAGGGTGCAGTGAGCCAAGATCACACCACTGCACTCCAGCCTGGATAACAGAGTGAGACTGTCTCAAAAAATAAATAAATAAATAAATAAATAAATAAATAAATAAATAAATAAAAAATAAAGAAAGAAAAGAAAAAGAAAAAAAAATACTTCAAATCTTTCCTGTACCTAAAACAGTTGTATTTTTCCATCATATTTACATGTGATTTATTTGAAGCCATCTGCAGTTTGTTTCTTATTCTATTTTGTTTTCTCACCCAATAGCTATTTATTCTGTTCCCGTTGTTGTTATTAACCTTGGCAGCAAAAATTTATCTACAACACCTTCAGAATAGAAAATATACAGATTAGCAATAATTTGAAGCCTGAGATCAGGATGATATGTTTTTGTCCATTAAGGAAATGTTCATATTCCAGTTTTAAGCAGCTCATATCTGTCTACCAAACTCAAGAATACTTACATTCTGAAATATCTGAAATTACAAGTGTTAATTTTTTATGCAGATTGTTCTGCTATTCTGTTTTCTCATGCTTACCACTCAGGCTGAGCTCAAACTATGAATAAGTGATTAACTGGTGTGAACTATGTGGCCATGGTGATGTTCAGAATGGTATGCTTGATGATCCTATCATAGATAGTGTTTTGATATAAGCATTAGATTTAAGGCTTAGGAATTGCACTTTTCACACATATGTTTAAACGTAGTGACAATTTCTCCTAATGTTAAAATGCATTCTCTGATAAATAAGGCTTGAACGCTACCGGTGAATATGTGGAGCTCAGTCAGCTATCTCAGCTGCTGCAAAGATATAGCTATTACATGGTTGGTTTGACAGACAAGGAGCTATCCTCTTTAAAAAAATAAAAAAAACATACTCCAGCCTACAACCCGCAGAGGATGCTGCATGCAACGCAGTGATTATGAATCCTACCAAATTTTCAGCCATGCCAGCAATTGCCTCTTCCTCATATGGAAATCTTTGCAGCCCTGTCTTCAGAAGAAAAACAAAGGCAGAGGAAAAACAAAAAGGAAATTCCTGTGGTAAGAGAGCTCAAGATTCTTGCTCTGGCACTTAAAAGAACAAAGCCAGTAATTGCCAGAGTAGAACAGACAGAGCACTAACGATGGGACTGCAAAAAGTACTTGGGCTAGCTAGCTCAAGAAGGTGAAAGACAGGTTACACATGCTAGCCCTTGAGCTAGGAGAAACAGCTATTATCCTAAAGCTGAGGAGAACCCAATTTAGCTGTAAGACTAGGGATGAGGGAAAAAAACACAACAACAATAAATCCTATCTCTATAGTACCTGGTCTTTACCCAGTTAGAAAGCAGTAGAATGAGGAACAGAGAGAAATAGAGAAACAGAGACAGGGAGAGAGAAACAAAGAGAGAGAGAGGGGAGGGAGGGAGAGAGGTAGTTCCAGTTTATTATGTCAATTATGCACTAAAAATGGGGTTGTCATGGTCTAAATGTATTTCCTAAAACTTATATGTTGAAGTTTAATCACCAATGTGTTAGTATTAAGAGCTGAGGCATTTAGGAGGTGATTAACTCATGAGGACAGAGCCTCATGAGATCAGGGTCTTTAAAAAGGCTTGAGGGAGTGATTGGCTCTCTTCTGCCCTCCTGCCATGTGAGGACACAGCGTTTCCCTTCTGATGCAGCACTCAAGGTGCCATTTTAAAAGTGGAGAGAACAGCCCTTATCAGACACTGAATCTGCTGGCATCTTATTCTTGGACTCCCAGCATCTAGAACTGTGAGAACATAGCTTCCTATTGTTTACAAATTACCCAGTCTCAGGTTTTTTTTGTTGTAGCAGCATGAATAGACTAAGACAAAATCTTACTTTACCTTTTGACCAAATTAACATGCATGGACTGGGAAAGTAGATACATAACCTGTTTTCTTGTATCTGATTTGTCTTACTTCTACCTTTTTGCACCCACTTGATTCTTTTCTATCTTGTTGTATGCTGCTTCCTTTATTTGCCTATCTTAGTGTTATTTTCTTCATTAGGGTCTGAGCCAAGCACTGTCCTGTATGCTGGAGACTCTACCTAACTGGACATACTTATTGCCTTTCAAGAGCTTGAAAGGAAGATCAAAACCAAGGCTGGGTCAGGATATTTATTCTTAGCAAGTCATACATTTTATATTGAGAAGAATTTTATAATTTGAAGTATGTTCATCATTCCAGTGGAATTTTGATAAGAATTTCACCCAACCCATGCAACTGTGTCAAACAGAAAAATCCTGATGGAAAATCATGGCTCCATGGGGGAGTTTGCTCTGGTGGAAATACATCTGTGTAGGAGTTCCTGTTAAAAGAAGACACATCACTACATTTTACCTGTCAGGGATTTTTTTTAAGTCTACATATGCAAAGGCAAAGTTGTCACTAGCGTGTAAACACAGAATCTCTGGGAAGGATTTGCAATATGACATCTTTCCATGTCTGCTGTATTTGATTCGAGATAGCAAAAATGCAAGTGGTTCCCCAGAGACTACCTATACAGGCAGGTTTGGAGCTAGTGTTTGTATCTTGCAGGGATTGTGAAATAAAGCGTACCCATGTTTAACTCTCAACACCTCTTGCCAGGCTGAGACAAAATGGTGAAACAAGGTGGTCAGCCTGGAGTTGTGAAAAGAGGGTGGGATTTGGATTCAGCAAGATGTGAGTTTGAATTCCAGCTCTATCACTTTTAGTTGGGGAGTCTCTACAATACACTTTGATTAGGGTAGTGATACCTACTGAGTTGCAGTGATTAATGGAAACACTGCATAAAATAATCTTATTAGAATGACTAGAATTTAAGAAGCTGTTACACACACACACACACACACAATAAATATGACGTTAGTTTGACAATACTGACTACACTACACATAAAAATAAAGTTCAAATCTGTGGTTTAAGGTTATTCTTATGACATTAAGACCATTTGTGATTTAGAAAATCGTATCTAATACACGTGCTTATGTAAGGGAGACATACACTCCCCCCAAAATAGCTAAAATGTATGGAACACATAATATGTGCCAGGTCCTGTTCAAAAAAATTTACATGCATGATTCTCAACCATTTATACTAAATCCAATTATTAGTCCAATATTATCTTCACTCTGCAGCTTTGGTAACTAAGGCCCAGTAAGGTTGGGTAATTTGCCCAAGGTTACACAAATACTAAGTGATGTAGCCAAATAGATGTAGGCAGTCTGGTTCTAGAGCCTGTGAAGTTACTTATCGTACCATACTACCTAGATTTTCCCTAAAAAGTCAACAATTATTCTTAGAGCAGAGGGGAGCCTCATATAGTATCAATTTAATTAAGAAATATCACCCTTTCCTTGAGGAGTTTTAAGTTGAATAAAAAATAATGGATATAATTCTAGTTACTGTGTGGTTAATTGCTAACACATTGCAGCACAACCTATGTATGTTCTGGATTATACAGGTGAAAGAATAACAGGGCAAAATTTGGAATGGCCAAGAACAGTCTTCATTCATCTGTCCTTCTATCCATCCATAAATCCATTCATCCACTAATCCATCCATCCATTCATTTGTCAATCCATCCATCCATCCATCTACCTATCCTTTCTGATTGCAGTAAAGGGATGCAGAGCAAAATCTTACAGTTAGGTAGACCTAAATTCTAGCTCCTGTTTTATCACTTACTAGCTGAATGGTCTTGAGAAATTAAGGTAACCTGATTGAGTCTCCTAAAATGGAAAAATAATTAAAATATACTTAATGGTAGTGTTATGAGAATTACGTTTATAGACTTCTAGGCACAGTATCTGGTACAAAATTAACACTAAATAAATGATGGTTATCAATATTAACATTAAAGCTTTTATGTCAGGTACCAAATTACAGTTATGTTCTGAAGATATAAAGATTAATAAGATATATTTCTTGCCCTCTAAAAGATTCCAGAAGTTTAGTAGGGACTTTACACAAGTGTGATAAATGTGGAATGGTTAGTTCTACCATCGTTTAGGGATAAGGGAATCAAGAATACTAATAGTAGTTGGCTGGGCATGGTGGCTCACTCCTGTAATCCCAGCATTCTGGGGGGCCAAAGTGGGAGGGTCTCAGGAACCCAGGAGGTTGAGACTGCAGTGAGCCATGATTGTACCTTTACACTCCAGCCTGGGTGCCAGAGTGAGACCCTGTCTCTAAAAATTTTTTTAAAAGAAGAATGTAATTTGTTGAGATTTTCTGATGTTCAGATGCTGAGCTAAGTAGTTGTAGCACTTACTTACTATCTCATTTAATTCCAATGAGAACTATTATTACCTCTATTTTACAAAAGAGGAAAGTGAGGCTTAAAGAAATGCAGTTTGTTGTTTGGAGTCATGCATTTAAGAAAGGGAAGGGCCGAGACCTTAACCCAAATAATTTTTTTTTTTTTTTTTTTTTTAGACGGAGTCTTGCTCAGTCACCCAGGCTGGAGTTCAGTGGCACCATCTCTGCTCACTGCAAGCTCTGTCTCTGCCTCCCGGGTTCACACCATTCTCCTGCCTCAGCCTCCCGAGTAGCTGGGACTACAGGCACCTGCCACCATGCCTGGCTAATTTTTTGTATTTTTATTAGAGACGGGGTTTCACCGTGTTAGCCAGGATGGTCTCGACCTCCTGACCTCGTGATCCTCCCACCTCGGCCTCCCGAAGTGCTGGGATTACAGGCTTGAGCCACTGCACCCGGCCAACCCAAGTTATTCTTAATGTGGAAAAACTAAGAAGACTGCCTCTAAGCTACATTTTAAAAGATTACCACCCATTTTTAAGTAGATAGATATTGAGGTGTATTAAAGACACAGGAAGCAGTAAGGAAAGTGACAAAAATAAATCAAACTATGTGGCCCAGTTAGAAAATATGAGGTGATTCAGTGTTCATTCAAAAATTGTTTATTGAGGGTCCATTACATGTCAGGGATCTTTCCTAGGTACTGAAGGTGCATGGCTGTAAAACATAGACTAAAATTCCTGCCAACGTGGACCTTATTATCCATTCTCTGGGAGGGAGACACCCAAAGTAAAATTAAAAACACATGATTAAGAAGTTCATTATAAAGTAATATATACAACATATAATAAAGTATAAAAACCTATGTTCTAAGTGCTATTGAGAAAAAAAAAGAAGCAGAGAAGACATCAAAGTAGGTTGAAAGTAGGGAGATTTTCTGGTTTTAAATGGATAGTCAGGGAAGGCTTAGCCAAGAAGATGATATGCGGACATATAAGCTCTGAAGCGCTGAGAGTGAGCCATTTGGGATATCTAGCAGAAAAGCTTGCCAGGTACAGGAGGTAGCATTTGCAAAGACCCAGGAAGGAAAAATGACTGGCATGTTGGAGGAACAGACAGGAGGTCATGGATTGAAATATATATATATATATATATATATATATATATATATATATATATATATATACACACACACACACACACACACACACACACACGTGTGTGTGTGTGTGTGTGTATTAGCAGAACATAGAAAAAGAAACTAGCAATGCAAGAGAGGAAAAGGAGAATTCTAGAGCCAAATCTTTGAGCAGTGGAAGGGGTAGGGATCTAGCTCACAAATATGGTTGATGTATGAAACTTGTGCATGTCTGGTGGGGGTAGGGGTGAAGGTGGGAGTGTTTGAGGTCAAATAGGGCAATTCAGCCAGAGATTAAATTAGAGGTGTATAGGAACCAAATCTTGAAGGCTCTTCCATTACAGGCATAGATGTTTGGACTTTGTGCTAGTAAAAATGAGGATCTTTAAGGGTTTTAGGTACAGGAATGAAATATTCCAATAAGTTTCACCAGGAAAGTGAAACTTCTGCTGAGCTTTGAGGCATTTATGGGATTTGAATACATGAGAGGTAAAAGAAAGAACAATGTAGGCAAGAAGGTCAACAGTAATAATGACCCAGAATTGGAATAGTTTTGGCAGATGGGGAACCAGTTGAAGATGTGTGCTGGCAGACACCTCTGGGGGAAAGAAAGGAAAATATGAGTTATATCTAAAAGGCTCTGGAATCAATCTGCTTACCAGGTGCACACTCTATCACATACTATCTCTGTGAGCTTGAGCATGATCCCTAATTTCTTGCTATCTAATCACTTGATATAATAAAGATAATAATAGTAATTTCCTCATAAAGAAAATGAAATTAAATCATATGGATAAAATATTACCTGTATGCCTGACACACATTGTTCTCACTAAATGTTAGTTGTTATTCTATATAGCATCTTGGGAACCTGGAGAGGATGTAAGAGATTGGTTCCAGATGTATGGAATGTACTAGAAAGAAACATGATTGAAAGCACTATGATTTCAGGAGGCTGATTATATTATGTAAATCTAAATATTGATCTCTAATATTCAAATTCATCATTTTAAAGGTCAAGGCTTATAACAGAATTCATCTAGACTAACCCTGGAGATAATATAAGAATCAAAATAGCTCTTAAAGTTCAACAGTTAAGCAGTTGAGCTGTGGAAATAGGATATTTATGAGTAGCTTACACACACACACACACAAACACATATATATTGTAAATAAACACAATGGGGATCTCCATACTGCTACCAAATTTTCATATTTTATAAGCCACAATGTGCTAGAAACAAAATTTGGTGCTTCAGAAGAATGTTTGATTAATGATCATTTCTTTGTAATTAGTTATTTGAATGGACAGCAACATCAACATATGGAAGAATTCAGAAAAAAAGAACACAGCATCGTACTTCAGGAGTCTTTACATTTTCTAGAAGGCCAAATTATAAATAGAGTCTTATCTCACCTATCATGAGAGCAGATTGCTACTTATGTATCCATTTATAATTTATCTGAAAATTCCATTTTTTAAAGTTTCTGTATATTCAATGTATCAAACTGGATAGAGAGTTCTTTTTTCAAGTTTTCCAGTTTGGTGAATAGATAGATAGATAGATAGATAGATAGATAGATAGATAGTTAGATAGACAGACAGACAGATACAGATATAGATATAGATGTGTATATATATGTGTGTATGTGTGTGTATACAACATATTGCTTTTCCTTGTTAAATAGCTTGTTAAATTCAGTTCTGTTTCATGCGTTAAAGATTACAGCAGGTAGGTTTCTAAAAAGTCATCATAGATTCTACACTGTTTGGGAATACATAGCTAATATCTGCAACTAAGGTGAACGTGAGAAAAATCACTTATTTGGTTTTGCAACTACAGATCTAACTCTCAAGCATTAAGATATTTCGTCAAATTGATGTTGAAAGGTATCTAGCAAATTCATGAAATCTCATCCTTTAATCCAAAATTACTACAAGGAATATGAACTAAAAAAGCCAAAAGAGGCTATCACATAATAATTAGATACTAGATCAGGCAGTTTTTGTGTTCAGTTCTCAAAATACTGAATATCTCAAAATAGTGAGGAGTGAATACAAGAGTGTTAATCAAGTTCACAAGTAAAATTTTATTCCCAATTTGACAGGTAGGTGGGTAAATATGAAACTTAGCTGTGCCTCATATGGTTGTGTTGATAGGATTTAATTTAAGTGACTGGATGCCTACTAGATTATTGGGCAGAAAATATAATTTAAACATAATTTGGCCATTAATTAGTCTTAATGGATTGGATAAAATGGCTCAGTGAACAGATTAAAAAAAATTTTCTAATGGTAAATAATCCTGTAAGAATATCTTTAGCCTGAGCAACACAGCAAGACCTTGTCTCTACAAAAAATGTAAAAAATTATCTGGCTGTGGTGGTGTGCACTTGTAGTCCTAGCTACTTGGGAGGCTGAGGCAGGAGAATCACTTGAGCCTGGGAGTTGAGGGTTGCAGTGAGTTATCATCATGCCACTTCATGCCAGCCTGGGTAATACATAATCTGTCTCAACAAAAGAATATCCTTAAAATACAAAGATAAAATATAAAAAAAATTTTAGTGAGATTTTAGAAAGTAGAGAGATAGAGTAGACAATTTAATACAACTTTCAACTAAAAAGGTCTGAGAGACTTACAGAAGTTTGTGTTGTAGAAATCTAGTGTTTGGTTTTCTCAGCAGATATTTTCTTTTCTTTTGGTAATAGCAGTTGGGGTTTCCTTTGGGAACCGATTCCATTTCATATTGTCATGTTATTTGATATCAATAAGAAGAGCCAAAAAATTTAAGGCCAAACTACAAAGGTTCATGGCCAGGTTCTGGCCCAGTGTAATGATCAACAAGTCATATAATCTTCATAAAGGTTGGGTTTCTCATTTTCATTTTATCTTGTTTATTTATTTATTTATTTATTTTGTGATGGAGTTTCACTCTTGTTGCTCATGCTGGAGTGCAATGGCATGATTTCTGTTCACTGCAACCTCTGCCTCCCAGGTTCAAGCAATTCTCATGCCTCAGCCTCCCGAGTAACTGGGATTACAGGTGCTCCTCCATACCCAGCAAATTTTTTGTATTTTTAGTAGAGATGGGGTTTCACCATATTGGCCAGGCTGGTCTCAAACTCCTGGCCTCAAGTGATTCACCCACCTCGGCCTCCCAAGGTATTGGGATTACAGGTGTGAGCCACCACACCCAGCCTAGGGTTTCTCATTTTTAGAATAGAAGCAACATTAGCACTATGTTAGTAAAATGCCACCACAAATACTTTGCAGAATTACTGTAACAATTGCAATAGAGAAAGGATTGCTACATCGATATTAAGAACACCTAGGGGGTGCTTGCTAGTGTAAACCAACATGACTAACCACAATAGGTGAGTGTATTAGTTCATTTTCACCCTGCTGATAAAGACATACCCAAGACTGGCTAATTTACAAGGAAAAAGAGGTGTAAAGGACTCACAGTTCCATGTGGCTGGGGAGGCCTCACAAACATGGCGGAAGGTGAAAGGCAAAAGGCACAACTTACATGGCAGCAGGCAAGAGAGAGAATGAGAGCCAAGAAAAAGGGGTTTCCCCTTATAAAACCATCAGATCTAGTGAGACATATTCACTACCATGAGAACAGTATGCGGGAAACCATACCCATGATTCAGTTATCTTCCACCAGGTCCCTCCCACAATACATGGGAATTATGGGAGCTACAATTCAAGAGATTTGGGTGGGGACATAGCTAAATCATATCAGTGAGCTTCATTACAAGTTTTAAAAAATGAAGGCAACAACAGGTGAACTGTATGGTATGGGCATGATAACTTAATAGAGTGTTTTAAAATATGATGGCAGTTTATTTTCATCAATGGTTGGTCTTTTCATTATCAACATGAGAATAACAAATGTATCTTATATAAAATGAAGGATCAGGTTGATGTCTACTTGACATTCCCCATGAACTACACTGGTATTAGGGAGACATTAGATACTCCCAGATATACTGGCTTTGGCTTCCTGGGAATGGAGTGTAGCTTGGTGACAGCTGGGCAGAGAGCCTCAGGCATGCTCCCCATTCCTGTGCAGAGGGCACAGCCATGGAAAGCATTTCTTGGACTTATTTATACCATCAGTACCCTAATGACAGAAGAAATACAGCTTATTTCATATTCATTTTTAAAAGTAACCTTAAACATCAGGAACACAAAAGAAGTGGTAGAGAATTCGGAGGTAATAGGGGAACAAAAAGCATTTAGTGTGATAATTTAGAGGGTGTGTGCAAACTTCATGCAGATTTAAATTTCCCAACAGCTTGCAAATAGGTTACTCAAGTATTCAAAAGCAGAAATTTCTAGAGGTGCATTAGTCGTAAAGGCCATGGAATGTAGCCTTTTATGTTTATTGTTTTCATTTACATTCTGTCCAACCCTGAGTCTTGTAGTCTAAAAGGGTGTGACATGTGTGTTCAATTGCATCCAAGAATGTCTTCTGAAACTGAGTCCCTCCACTGTAGAATAAAAACAGCCTGGGTTCAAATAGCAGACTCACTTCCCAGTAAAGCTGGCCCATTGACTTGGGCCATTTACTTGTATTTTCTGAGCCTCAGTTTCTTCATCTGTAAACTGAGGGGCTAATAATGTACTTACACTATAGTGGTAAAGATAACATGGGAAAATATATGTCAAATGCATAGGTCCAGGGGTATAGTGCATTTGATTAAGAGCACAACAAATAATTACAATTATCATTGTTACCCTTTTTGTGAATTTTTTTCTTTTTTTTTTTTTGAGACAGAGTCTCGCTCTGTCACCCAGGCTGGAGTGCAGTGGTGCGATCTCTGCTCACTGCAAGCTCCGCCTCCCAGGTTCACCCTGTTGTCTTGCCTCAGCCTCCCGAGTAGCTGGGACTACAGGCGCCTGCCACCACGCCCAGCTAATTTTTTTTGTATTTTTAGTAGAGGCGGGGTTTCACCGTGTTACCAGGATGGTCTTGATCTCCTGACCTCGTGATTGGCCCGCCTCAGCCTCCCAAAGTGCTGGGATTACAGGCGTGAGCCACCGTGCCTGGCCTGGCCATTGTTACCCTTTTTGATACAGTTGTGAGGAGTGAAAAATACTCACGTTCAAAAAGGTACCTTTCAAGGCAGAGTCTCCCTCCTAAGAGATAAGGAATTTCAGAAACACACCAGGAATCAAGGTGGATAGAGAGTTTCTCACCTCCTGAAAATTACAGTCTAAACTTTTGACTTCTTTTACCCCAGAGTATCTTAAGTTTGGGAGGAAATGTTTGTGTTTTCTCTAAAAGAAAAGCACAGAAATATCTTCTGCCTAAATTATTATTATACAACTTGTTTTTTCTTCTTTTGAAACCTCTGTGGCAGATAAAACTTGTATGTTAAAAAGGAATTTAAAAAGATAACACTTGCAAAATTTTGTGAAACCTAATATAATCTTCTCCAAAGTGTAACGCATTAGTTTTCCTTAAAGTAGAAATGGTTTCCATTTACTCCCTTCAAGATAAAACTAAGAATCTTAGGATGGTATGCAAGTTCTTCCATGATCTGGATCCGAGATTTGGATGCTAGCATGATGCCATAAAGCATTGCCAGCCCCGTAAGCCTATTTGTAGTTTCTTAAACATAGCCAGATCTTTCAGTAATCCATGTTTTTTCATTTACAGTATTCTTCCTTCTGAACATTCATTCTTCCCCAGTCATTCAAGTTAGCTAGTTACTGCCTATCCTTCAAAATTCATCACAAGTATATGCTTTTTAAGGAGGTGTGTTCTAAATGTCTCCATCTCCCACATCTGTTAAATTACTGGCTCTTAATCTGTTTAAAGCATCCCTTCAGACCTGTATCATGAAGTTTATTATCAGTGTTACGTTTGCCTTTTTGCTGGTCTCCACAACTCATTTGTTCATGACTTGAGAATAACGGGTCTTCATATCCCAAGACCAGGCACACAGGGGACTCAGTAATTGGTCCTGTTTAGACTTGCGGATTGCACCCAATACAAAACCATGATAAGCAATGTTAAATGCCACAGCAGTGCCAGAGAATCAGTTAATAAATGCATATGACAGATTATTATATCCATAGCAGAAGAGGTTATTTTAAGAACTACTGCTTGTTTTGTGTCTGAGTAAAGATGGAATATCAAACATAATTTCTTTACGATCAAACGAAGCTTATTTCCAGATAGGAAGGCATTTTTTTTCCTTTTTTCTTTATTTTCAGTAAGGAATTAAATTAGAAAAATCATTTGCATTTTTACATTTGTCTTCTCTGAATATGCAGGGCTGGTTGAATTCTGTCTGACACCTTCACAGAACTCGCTTAAGTAAGCTTTCCATTACTAAATAAATTGCATCCATTCTAATTAAAGATATGTAGAGCATACTACTCGGACAGGAGAAGCAAAGTGCTATGAAGAGCTAGAGCTTCCATGGTAACCCTGCTAGGGATAATATAATTGATTCAAATGGTCTCTCCTGCCACATACTGATTCCATGCCAACAAGCCTTGAAAACTGTCCATCATTTCACAGAGCTAGTTATAGACCAAGTCCAGCTAAGACAAATAAATGGTGATAGAACTTCCAGAGACAATTACTACAATGAATCATGAAAGACACTCCTTGCTTTCTAGCTCATTTAGTGATTGATTACCATCAACAAGGTTTAAATAATTATGTAGTGAATATATGAGTAATTTACAGAAAGAAAGGGAAATACGTGTATCAATTCTTTTTGTATAGGGGATCTGCTGTGGGAGAAATAACTCAAAACTCAAATGGTATAGGCACCACATTAGGCTTAATATTGGTACATCATTCTGCCTCATTGCTGGTTGTTTGCGTCCAAGCTTGTCAGGCAATGTGTGAGAATATTATGCACACATAATAGGAAGTGATAAAGCCCCATGAAAATGAAGATTCAGAAAGTGAGAAAAGCACAGTACTTTTTCATTCCCCTTACAACATATTATAGTTCCTCTGGTCCTAACCAGAGTGAGATAGAGAAATGAGTTGATTTCTGTAAACCAAACTTCTCAACTCTAGTAGCTCATATTCCTGACATTCGCTTTGGTTGCTGAATTTGTCAGCAGCACTCGAGGTTGATCAGGTGGTGTTTCACTGGAAGATTGGTATTTGTGCGTAGTGGTGGTGGTGGCGGGTACTTGCTATTTAGGATGCCATTTGCACTAAACCAATTTCATCAATATCCTGGTTAGACTAACTTGTTCATTCACTTCACTCCAGGTATTTCCCACACTTTAAATTTGCTCCCGCATTGCTATCTAGGTTACACTTAATAGCCTGCTGATTTAGAAGCCAGTCTCTCAGTCAATCATCAAGTTATCAGGCAATTCGTTTAGATTAAACCTAGTGGAATACTCACATTGAGCTCTTTCAGCTTATATTTGCTTTTGAAAATCTTGAGATTTCAAGCTTTCATATATTTCACTGCCTCTTTAACAAAATGTTAGCACTATCTTTTAATATACTTTTTTCAATATGTATTGGTACCTAAAGCCATAATAAATTCCTTTAATAAAAATGCGCCAATAGATTCATTTTCTTCTTTTTTGCTGCACAATATTATCTCATAGTGTCAGTGATGGAAATCTGCTCTCTATTTTTAGAGGGTGGGATGAAGTAAAGAAGGCTTATAAGTTGGCTCTAAATTCTAGAAGCTGAAATCCAAGGATCATTCCAAAAGTCGGCAGGTGATTTCCTATCTTTGTTCTTGTTTTGCTCTGAAAGAATTCCTCTCTTAAATACTAACCTGTTGAACTACTACCATACATTTAAATACTACCTAAAACTTTCTACCTTTTCCCTTCCAATTGCATTTGATCATGCCATGTTCTCAACCTTCACAGAATTTTAAAACAGTTTCCAGCTATCCCTTAACACAAGGGATATTTATGTGTGCATTTATATATTCAAGTGATCATAGAAATTTAGTCTTTTATAAATCTCTATATACTTTTCTATTTTTGTTTAAATTAAAATATAGAAAGGAAATAGAGCAAGACACCTTTATACATACTACGTAGCTATCTACATATTTATTAACAATCTTTCAAATTAAAAAAACACAGGGTTGAAATCATATATTCTTTTCTTCTTCAGACCAAGTCCCTCCTTCTTCCTATTCTGTCCAACAGGTTAAAAACAATCGTTAATTCATTATGCATTATCCTTACAATCCATTTTTGAAATAGACACATATTATCTATGCATGAGCAATATATCATACTGTGAGATTTTTTTCTTAATTTACATAAATTCTACTCTAGTGTATTATTATGTTACATCTTATTTTTGGTGTTCTACATTAATTTTGAGATTTCTGTTATTTCATATTAACCTAGTTAATTGCTTTAACCTGCTGAATAGTATCTCCTTGTATGAATCTTTCACTATTTTGAATACTGTTAGCTCTACCTTCAAAATATATTCAAAATCCAACTACTTCTCACCACTTCCAGGCTACCACTCTGAATTATCCTGTCTTGTTTGGATTATTGAACAGTCTTCTACCGTTCTGCATGCTTCCTCTTCAGAGACCTTAAATCTATTCTCAAAACAGTCAGAGTGACTCTTTTAAAAGGTATGTCATATTATGCCACTAACCTATTTGAAATCCTCACGTGGCTTTGCCTCTCTTTCACTCAACACTTCCAACAATGCTGCATTTAAGTTTTACTACTAGGTGGGAGAGTTTCTCTAAGATGAATGCCTGTAAATGAAATTCTCTCTCTTTCATATTATTTTCCCAAGTGATTATAGAAAGATTTATAGTCACAGCAGTGACATATAAACTGTTCTTTTAAAGCCTTCATAGAACCCTAGCACATAGCTTTGTAGACAATAGATGGCAAATAATTATTTAAATCCTTCATCCTTCAAGAAACAGTTCCTGTATTAGCCACCCGCCATAACTGTTTTTCTATATCTCTTTCAGAAAGATTCATGCTTGGCCTTCCTGTATAGAAATTTTGTAAGTGCTTTCATTTTTGCATCTTCATGCTTCTTATTGTAATTATGTATGTCTGCTCCCCACCTGCCCACCCCCATCACCCACTTCCCCACCATATTAGTGCTCGTTCTCTGGAACTGGGTCTTCATTGCACCCTAGTATCTAAGAAGAAAATGAGTATATTCAAATTGGAGATGATCTACTACCAAGAACAGAGGAATTTTCTTACATATGTAATCCCCTTTTCATATCACCATAGTTGCTATTGGTGATTGACAGATATTGCTATTTTTTTCCATTTTATAGATGACAAAATTGAGGGCTATTATTTTCCCATTGATAAAGAAGTAGGAAAAGGCAGAATGTACATTGTAAAAACGCTACACTAAAACCTAAGCATATTTTACTCTTGTCTGGGACATAGAAAGTGCTTTGTATACCCTTTTACTAAAAAACTTCCTAAGATAATACTATGTAAATATTGCCATATTTGATTAGCCAATGTAAGATTTTATTTACTTTGATCATATTCTTAAGTAAAAACAGCCTCAACAACTGGAAAAAAATACAATTTTCCTGTCTTTTACCCATAGGTTGTGAGTGTGTCTCTCTGTGTGTGGCAGGGTGGGGGTCTGGGGGATGATGAGGGAGAGGGAGGGAGAGGGAGAGGGGGAGAGAGAGAGAGAGAGGGAGAGAGAGAGGGAGAGAGAGAGATCCTATATTGTGCTTCTAGTTTTAAGGTCAAGTATAGATCACTCTTAATTTGAGGGATTTTTGACAGTTATTGATGGTTTGACTTTCAAGAATAAATCAATGAAATGCTGAGAAACAAAAAGCACCTTAAAGCTTACTTCGACAAAGTGGCCATGAATGAAGAAAATGAGACATTGTTAATCTGAAGCCATAATCATATTTTTGGCTATAGATTAACTACTTACTACTCACCATATTGGACAGACCTACTTTGTTCCTATACAACCCTCAAAACTGATTTTCCTCCATGTTCCAATACCTTTCCCCACTACTCACAGATACACTATATTTCCATTGGTGACACACACACACACACACACGAATTGGCTTGAAAAATAGCCCATTTGTTTTCACAACAAAGGGAGAGGCACCTGATAAGATTGTTGCAAGGTATATGTTCTCAGCACAGCACCATTAGCTCTAGGATGCAAGCCCCAGTGTGCTTGCCTCTTTGCTTTTTTCATCTGAAGAGTCAAAGCTCTTGTTTATTGCTACTGAAAGGCAGCTGTGGGTGAAATCAGCAGTGTCATTGTCCAAAGATTCTGGCAATGGGTTTAAGTAAACAACTAAGGGATGTTCTGTGCCTTCGTTAATAACTAAATGTCGGTGTGAGAGAAGGGACGAGATGTCATTTCTTCCAGTTACCCCACTGGCTTTATTGAAAACTCAGTTTTGAACAATGATTCTCTGCCTTTTCACTGTCACCCAATTAAGCTTGAAGCTTTTATTTTACCTTTTCAAGATCTCTATACCTCTCCAGGAGGAACAGGACACAATAGAGGGTTTTCACAGCATTGCAGGCAGATAGTAGATTTGTAATGATTAGCAATGACACATTCTATTTTGGGACTAGATTTATCATTCATATGCTTTCATTCTCCAGGTAGTATTTTTACTCAACTTTTAAAAATACTTGGCATTCTTGGCTCATTCATGTACATAGAAAAGATATGTAGCATTACTCCCACCCAAATCCTTTCAAGTTATGTTGAATGTTGTCACTGAAATCATGTGTCATGTGTAACAGAGCTCAACCACTGAGCTGACAATTCCTGCAGATGAGTTAAAGTTTGAATTCACTATATTGATTTATTCTTAGTTTTAAAAGCCAACTTGGGCTTCATATCTTGCCAAAGATTACCTATTTATAATCATTATAACCATGTCAGTGGGTGCAATGGAATTGGGTCTTCTCAGCCATTTTGGAATTACCAAGGAATAAATTAATGTTTCTACGACTCCCAGCTTTATTTTCTGTCAACAGCTATTCATTGAGGAGGAGTAAGTATTAAATTGTGAGACGCCCTGGAGATACAGCAGTGAGCGCAAAGAGACCCAGTAACTCCCACATATCACCAATGGTCTAGCATGGAGTCATATATTAGTCAAACACATGCATATTTAAGTAAATCATTGAAAGTATCAACAGGCTGCAAAAGAGACAGGAGCTACAGGAGCCTAAGAAAATGGAACAGCAAATGTTGAGGAAAGGGGAAACATTTCAAAAAGTTATCCTAAGTAAATGTTGTATGACCTTGGGATGTATGCAGGATGTGGGAATGGATGGACGAACAGATTTTCCAACAGAGATAACAGCACATGCTGAAATATGTAGTACTTGGAATAAGAACAGGACAGAGAAAACTCTGCCATGGACAGAGGTCATTGAAAGAGACAGTATGGCAGGCCATGAGCCCAGTGAGGTAAACAGGAACATTCAGGACATCACAGGCCATGTTAAAGACTATGGCTTTTATTCTAAGGGCAATGGAAGATATAGATGGGCTTTAAGCAGGACAGTGATCTGACCAGGTTTATGTTAAAAGAAGAATCACTCATATTAAAATTGAGGATAGTCATATCTTGCATTGACAATATCAAAGGAGCAGTATAATGATCCAAGAGGACCAATAAGTTCAAAGTAAAAAGATAAATTCCAAGCATCCAGTAGAGTTAATAGGTGCACTCTCAGGGTATAATTGTAGCTATAAGAGTATCTGCTTCAATCTATTATTCAAAAACATACATCAATGCTCAAATTTTACAATTCTTCACTTAAAATGGAGCACCAATAGATGATCCCAAGATTTAGTAACATCTACACCTGCAGTAGCCTTTAAATCTGGTTAATAAAGATGCCTATTGCCACTTAATTGTTTTATCTACTGCACAGCAAGCTGAACCCATGGCTCAAATCTGAATTATCCATGAAACAAAATACCAGAAACTATAAATGAAGTATTACCACACATCCTTTGATATAACCATTATTAAAACCTTAAAGATAAAATTTATTAGCACATATTTATTGAGTGCCCACAATGTTCCAGATACTGTGTATACAACAGTGATTACCACCATTTGAATTGTGTCTCCCAAAATTCATATGTTGAAGTCCTAACTGCCAGTACCTCAGAATATGACTGCATTTGGAGACAGAGCATTTAAAGAGGTAGTTAAGTTAAAATGATGCCATTAGGGTGGGCTCTAATCCAATGTGACTTGTGCCTATTGTCAGAAGAAGAAATCTGGACACATAAAGAAACACCTGGGATGTACACACACAGAGAAAAGATCAAGACTCAGCAAGAAGTCGGCCATCTGCAAGCCAAGGAGTGAGGTACCCAAAGAAACCAACCCTGCTGACACCTTGATCTTGGACATGCAGCCTCCAGAACTGTGATCAATAAATTTCTGGTGTTTATGCCACACAGTCTGTGATAGTTTGTTATGGCAGCCCTAGAAAGGAATACATTTAGCAAGTTATAAATCTTTTTTTTTTTCTAACAGTTTACGATCTGGTGGGGAACAGAGATAAAGGTGCAAAAAGAGAGAGAATAGCTTCTTTGATAAGGGGAATATAAGGTGCTATGGGACACCTACCCTTAATTTCGGGGTCAGAAAATGATCACTGGAGAAATGTATCTCTATGTTGAAGTCTATGTAGGAGTAGCAAGACAAAAAAAAAAAAAAAAAAGAGGGTGGAAGAGTTTTAGAAAAAGAATGCATGCAATTACTCATGCAAAAACCCATAAGACAGGATGACAGTGTGAGGATCTGGATACTTTGCATGGAGGGGATCACTAAGTGAGTATTTGCTGATTTTTTAAATAGATTTATCTATTACATTGTGGTTAAAATACCTTCCGATTTTACCTGGATTTATGCAAATGCCTATTCATTGGTTTTCCTGCTTCCATTCTCTGTCCCTACTACGCTGTATCACCACAACACCCAGAGGGTTCATTAAAAAATCTGAATTACATCTAGTCACTGTCCTTAAGTAGGCTTGGGGGCTTCCTACAGCACTACCAAATAAGCAAATACATAGATAAATAAGCAACTAAATATATTAATAAATAACCTCTTACCTGCAAAGTTTGATATGATCTAGCTCATGCCTACCTCTCATACCTACTTTAATTCTACTCTCTGACCCACCCTACCTCACCCCATCCCCAGCCACATGGGCTTCTTGCAGGGCCACAAGAGCACGCCGAGCTCAGTCCTACCTCACAGCCTTGTACTTGTTCTTCCCTCTATCCAGAATACACTTTCACCAGGTTTTTGCATGTCTATCTCCTTATCTCATCACCTCCTCAGAAAGTCTCTAACTCACCTGTCTAAATACTCCTTCCCTCCACTCCTCTATGGAATTATGTATTGTATCACCATCATTTATTTTTTATGTTAAATAGCATTTATCCTATATTAAAACATATTAAGGGCTTTTTTCTCCTATCATCTCTCTTTCTACCCAAACTAAAATTTAAACTCTATGGGAGTAGAAGTCTCATCTGATTGTATATTGCAAATCAAAGTGACTGGAACACAGTAGATATTAAATAAGTATGTGTTGAATGAGTAATATTAAACCATCCAAGTTGACTCTGATTGTAAATTCATATAATCTATCCTAAACATGAAACAGGGAACAATGGGAAGATTTTGAACCATTCCTAGAAAGTAGAGACAAATGTAATCCCATGGTACAAAAAAGGCAGCATTAAAACTACCTCCCAGATTGATGTGGAATAACTTGTAGCATGTTAAGCCTGTGCCTGTAAGAACACATTGAACATTTACCGTGTGCTCACATATCACAGTGAATCAGAAAGGACAGAATTGATCCAGAGAATTTGCCCCAGAGAATTTGCCAACTGGTATTGTCATTTGATTCTGAGTAAGATGCTTAACCATATAAAGTGTACTGTAAATTATGGATGACAACACTGGCCACATCTACATCACATAGAGATAGTTTGGGAGGTAATGAGATTTTTACTTGAAATAGCTGAGCTCCCTGGGGAGAAGGCAGAAAGGGGAGATGAAATAAATTGCAGCCAAATACCATTAACTCTATATATTTACAACATAATTTACACTGATATACTAAGCTATCGTGTCATTAAGAGGGGCGCTTTGTCTCTTTTCTGCAGATTGCCTCCCTTATTGATCTCCATTTATTTATCTTCTACACTTTATGGAACAGGGTTTCCTGGGGCTTTGTCAATACAGACTTTCAGGGTTGACAGACAGTACTAGAAGCAACTGGGTAGAGGATAGTACTGCCACAAAGGCACATCTAGCCCAAAGGGTAATGGCATTCAGAGTTTTGGAGGCATAGATTTAGATGAAAGTGTTGCTTAAAATTGGAGTGAGAGAGGTGACCAATATTGTTCTGGTTAAAGGGTGTTCATGGCCAAACTCTATTTACCAGACTATGAGAGCAAATGCTGGGTGATTTAAGTAGGAGTCAAGACAGAACCACCAGCAGGAGGTGGGATAAATGTTAACAGAGAATGCTCCACACAAGACTCTAAGGCTCTACAAAGGGTTCTGGGCCTAGCAGAAAATAAGAATACAAAGATGAAGAGTATATAGTACAATGGTTAGGACTGTGGGCTCCCATACCGGAATGCCTGTATTTGAATCCTCTGTCTCTTCCACTTCCTAAGTTAAGGGACCTCAAGCAATTGACTTTTCTTCTTTAAAAAGAAGATTCAATTTCTTAATCTCCATAAGCGATCAGTGCTAAAACATATAGAATGATTGCGAATAGCAAAAGGATTCACATATTTAAAACATCTAGATAGGATTCAGCCACATAAGGAATAGTAAATTTTGTTTTTCATTGTCATTGTCATCACCATCATATCCCTTATCAAGGTACTAGATTGTGGCCGTGAAGCTTAGACCGAGAGATTAGATGGGGCAGGTGCTGATGGAGCCAACCAGAAACATTTCAAACCAGGTGCCACAGATTTAACTGTGGAATATCAGATACAAAAGTCTATTGGACAAATGAGTGTGTCCCAAGTGCCACTAAATTATGGAACCTAGTTTTCCAATAATTTTGCTGACCAAGTCAAAACTAGCTCAAACAAGTGATTGAGTAGATACAACTTTGGGAGAACTGGGACAAACCATGGGAACTTGATGATCTAACGGTCATCAATCAAGGAAAAAATATCACACTTGTCTCTTTCAAAGGCTATATTTTAGTCTGTAATGGGTCGTATAAATATGGGGAAATTACTTTTTAGTAGCAGATAATGTAGAAACAATAAAGAAATTAACTAACTTTTCAGAACCTTGTGGTTTGTATGCAATTGCATTTTTCATTATGTTCTTGTATCCTTGCTCTTTCTTAAGGCGGAATTACCTTTCCTCTTAGACAATAAAGAGAAATTGAACAACTGCTGAGACAATCATTTTCTTTACTAAATAGACATGAAGTTCCTCAAATAGTATATAAGAGAGATGATCTTTGTTTTACTGTTTATGGTGCCAGTCATCTGGCCTCTAAATTGACCTGCAAGCAGGGCTATACTTTGACCACTGTTTATATTCCAACCAGATGCAAGTGGAGTTATGAAAGACTGTCATAAAAAAAAAGAACTCAGGAAAATGCTCTCCATATTCTCTGTATCTCCTGTTGGCAAAACACATAATTTCCCCTGTTGTGATACACCTTAATCAAAATTCTCAATGCATTTGTTAATTCATAAAATATTTCTGAGGATTACTATTAGTCACACATGTGTTTGGCAACACCAAGGCTGCAATGAACAAGGAACATTTAGTCCCAGCCTTACAAAATCCTACTTTCTAGCAGATTCAGTATAAACAGATAACTAAGGAACATGTACATTTTCATTCCTCAGGTGAGGGAGGGGACACGACTAACATTTTTAGAGTGTTTATGGTGCCAGACACCACGCTGGACACTCTATAGATCTTTGGAGGGGCAGCTTATCTTTTTGCAGGTATACTCAGTCAACTACATCACCACTGTAGCTGCCTATCTAGCCTCAAAATCTTCAAGGAAATAAGTCCACAAAGCTTGAAAGGAACAGGACATCCAGAAAGCTCTACACATACTATCCTTCCTCCTGCACAGTGTAAACTTTGAATTCTCATTTTAGTAGCTAACCCACCAGAGAGCGATAACTTCATTTTGCTATGGGCTACAGGAGGTGAAGATAGAAACTGCATTTTGGAGGCAATGGCCTGAAGGTAGGTTATTTCCATGCCTAGACTTAGAACATGTTATCTTTAAACAGAGCAGGCAGGAGAAGGAAAGGAAGGAATATCAATTGATGCCATTGCCTTCACAAATCCTTGATGAACTGCTCAGTAGGGACTAAATAATTGGTAATAGCTATTGTGTTTATTGTGTATAGCTAAACCAGAAATGAGTGTTCATGGAAATGTCATTCTATAACCAAGAAAAAAATAAGGAACAATGATCAGTTTGACATTTTAAACAAGAGGCATATTTTCATTTGGTTCAATAAGAAAAGTTTCTAAGCAACGTTTAATTATATTTTACACCAGATTTCAGGTGTGCTTAATTGCAGTATTAACTTCTTTACCAAGGTCTCCTAAAATACACTTGGTTACTATTCTGAGAATGTCTTCAGTCTCTCTTCATGAAACTTGGTGAGACAACAAACAAATGATATGTCATCAAAATTAACTTGTTAAAGGGAACAAGAATTAAAATTATACCTTAAAAACTTTTCCATTTCTGAAAAGAAAAACAACGCACACTATTAAATTCCTGGCTCAGAAGGTGAACCAATATGAATCCTTTCTTGAATCTAATCAATCATTTTGGCTTGCTTGGGACTATAAGGTTTTGTGGACAGTGGAGTTTCAGTGTTAAAATGGCAGGGTTCCCAGAAAACCAGAATGAGTTAGTCACCTTCCTCTCTTCATAGATTTGTCGTGATAATTAAATAAAATAATGTCTATCAAAGGCATATCATAAAATACTTTGTACTCACAAGCATTGCGAAATGTCAGCCATTGTCAAAGTACTTACTATGACAGGTGTGGTGCTAAGCAGTTAGTTTTACAAGAGACCTTTCTGCTCCTGAATATCTCAGCTTGCATAATGGACGTCAGGGACAGCTCAGAGAGGGGAATGAGTGGAGAGCAATAGATATCCTTTTCTCTGGGACGGGATGAAAGGCATTTACATACAAAATTGCAATAGTAGGGACAGCTAGAGAGGGCTGCTTTGAGCCTGAGAATAGGCTCCTGAGAAAGATTTCAGGTGTGCTGAAAGATTTCAGGTGTGCTGAAAGAAAGAATGAGGGAAGCTAGTGAATTATCTATAGCTGAGTAAATTATAACGGATTACCATCACTAAAATATATTTATTTTATAGTCTAAAAGCAAATGTTATATTTTACATATATATGTAACCATATATAATAAATATATATGTAATAATAAATATATATAATTTTAAAAAGCCTCAACTGTTCCACACTAACTATACCTCTGAATCTGAATTTTCTAGGCTGTATATGACATAAGAAGTGTCCCTATTTCATAATGAGGCTTTCTTCAATGAGTAAGTGAGATAATTTATGTCTATCACTTTTCATGTTTTAAGTACTCAATATACCCATAGATTATTATCTTTTTATCTTTTTATAACAGTTTTATTGGGGTATAATCAACATATCATATAATTTAACCTGTTAAAGTGAATTATATTGAGTGAATTCAATAGTGTTCAGTACATGCACAGTTGTGCAACAGTCACCACAATTAATTTTAGAAGATCTTTGCCCTCCAAAACATCCTTCTATCCTTTTAGCTATTACCCTCCACTTTTCCCCAACACTCCAGGCCTAGGCAACCACTCTAGAGAATTGCCTATCCTGGATATTTCATGTATATTTCATTTAATTAAAATTAAACAATATGTAGTCTTTTGTGACTGGCTTCATTCATTTAGCATAATATGATGACCCATGTTGTATCAGTAAATCATTTCTTTTTATTGCTGAATAATATTTCATTGTATACATGTAATATCTTTATTTATAACTTGATAGACATTTGGGTTGTTTTCATCTTTTGAGTATTATAAATAATACTGTCATGAACATTCATGTGCAAGCTTTATGTTGACATATATTGTCTTGTTTTTTTTTTTTCTTTGAGACAGAATCTCACTCTGTTACACCAGCTGAAGTTCAGTGGCACAATCAAGGCTCATTGCAGCCTTGACCTCCCTGGGCTCAGGTGATCCTCCCACCGCAACTTCCTTAGAAGCTGGGACTATAGGTGTGTGCCACCATACCTAACTAATTTTTTTTATAGAGATAGGGGTTTCACCGTGTTGCCCAGGCAGTTCTGAAAGTCCTGGGCTCAAGCAATCCATCTGCCTCAGTCTCCCAAAGTGCCGGGATTACAAGTGTGAGCCACTGCACCCAGCACACAGACATATATTCTCATCTCTATTTTTTTTTAAATTATACTTTAAGTTCTAGGGTACATGTGCACAATGTGCAGGTTTGTTACATATGTATACATGTGCCATATTGGTGTGCTGCACCCATTAACTTGTCATTTACATTAGGTATATCTCCTAATGATATCCCTCCCCCCTCCCCCCACCCCACAACAGGCCCCAGTGTGTGATGTTCCTCTTCCTGTGTCCAAGTGTTCTTATTGTTCAATTCCCACCTATGAGTGAGAACATGCGGTGTTTGGTTTTTGTCCTGGCGATAGTTTGCTGAGAATGATGGTTTCCAGCTTCATCCATGTCCCTACAAAGGCCATGAACTCATCCTTTTTTATGGCTGCATAGTATTCCATGGTGTATATGTGCCACATTTTCTTAATCCAGTTTATCATTGATGGACATTTGCGTTGGTTCCAAGTCTTTTCTATTGCGAATAGTGCCACAATAAACATACGTGTGCATGTGTCTTTATAGCAGCATAATTTATAATCCTTTGGGCATATACCCAGTAATAGGATGGCTGGGTCAAATGGTATTTCTAGTTTTAGATCCTTGAGGAATCGCCACACTGTCTTCCACAATGATTGAACTAGTTTACAGTCCCCCCAACAGTGTAAAAGTGTTTCTATTTCTCCACATCCTCTCCAGCACCTGTTGTTTCCTGACTTTTTAATGATTGCCCTTCTAACTACTGTGAGATGGTATCTCATTGTGGTTTTGATTTGCATTTCTCTGATGGCCAGTGATGATGAGCATTTTTTTGTGTGTCTGTTGGCTGCATAAATATCTTCTTTTGAGAAGTGTCTGTTCATATCCTTTGCCCAATTTTTGATGGGGTTGTTTGTTTTTTTCTTGTAAATTTGTTGGAGTTCTTTGTAGATTCTGGATATTAGCCCTTTGTCAGATAAGTAGATTGTAAAAATTGTCTCCCATTCTATAGGTTGCCTGTTCACTCTGACGGTGGTTTCTTTTGCTGTGCAGAAGCTCTTTAGTTTACTTAGATCCCAATTGTCAATTTTGGCTTTTGTTGCCATTGCTTTTGGTGTTTTAGACATGAAGTCCTTGCCCATGCCTATGTCTTCAATGGTATTGCCTAGGTTTTCTTCTAGGGTTTTTATGGTTTTAAGTCTAACATTTAAGTCTTTAGTCCATCTTGAATTAATTTTTGTATAAGGTGTAAGGAAGGGATCCAGTTTCAGCTTTCTCCATATGGCTAGCCAGTTTTCCCAGCACCATTTATTAAATAGGGAATCCTTTCCCCATTTCTTGTTTTTGTCAGGTTTGTGAAAGATCAGATGGTTGTACATGTGTGGTATTATTTCTGAGGGCTTTGTTCTGTTCCATTGGTCTATATATCTGTTTTGGTACCAGTACCATGCTGTTTTGGTTACTATAGCCTTGTAGTATAGTTTGAAGTCAAGTAGTGTGATGCCTCCAGCTTTGTTCTTTTGGCTTAGGATTGTCTTGGCAATGCGGGCCCTTTTTTGGTTCCATATGAACATACCTTGTGTATATTTTTGGGAGTGAAACTGCTGGGTAATACAGTAATGCTATGTTTAATTTTTTGAGGAACTGTCAGATATTTTTCCAAAGTAAATGCATCATTTTACATTCCTGCCAACAGTGCATGAAGGTTCTAATTTCTCCATATACTTGCCAACATTTGTTATTATCATTGTTTTTTATTATAGCCATCCTAGTGTGTGTGAAGTGGTATGTCAATGTGGTTTTTATTTTCATTTTCTTGACAGCAGATCATGTTGAGCATCTTTTCATGTGCTTATTGGCATTTTTATATCTTCCTTGGATAAACCTCTATTGAAATCCTTTGCCCTTTTCAAATTGGGTTGATATAAAATACTATTAAGTAATTTCTATACTTAGTCAGTACTTAAAGAGTACCTACTATGTTCCAAATACTTTATAATTATAATCACTAACATGTAAAAAGTAATCCTTCAAAATAGTATTGTAATTTCCATTTAGTTTATGTTGGGACACTCAAGATCAGCATAAAAAGGAAAAACTTACTAAGCTAACAGAGGCAGATACAGGATTAGGACTAATGTTCAGCTAACATGGAAACCCAAAAAGCTCAGTAATTTTTTGATGCTAGGTGGCCACCTGAGCACACTGAAGTAAATGAACTCATCCTCTCTTCTGATACCTTCTGTGATCCTCCAAATTTTATCAGGAACGTGCCCTAAATGCACATCTTTGATGCTCCCCTAACGTGGAGAATAAAATTCACACTCCTCAGCATGCCACTGAGACCTACCCATACTTGATATGCTCCACCATCCCAGCCTCACTTGACGCCATTCCCTAACCCTGTACATCACTCAGCTGGAAAACCACAAGTTTCCCAGTGTCCTACAGGAAATTTGCACTTTTCTGTCTCCTGGAAAAATTCTACTGATTCTACGGGCAGCTCAAAAGTCTTCATCAGCTGTGCTAAATTCTTCTTGTCCCCTGCAATCACATTCCTTTCCCTCTTCAGCACACATACTGTTCCTTAATTCAACCAGTACTGCTGTGTAAGTGTGATGTTCCTGATGTGTACAAAGTAATGGAGGCATAATAGTGGACATAGTCCGGTCCCTGACACTAGGAAGCTGAAAGTCTAGCCAGAGTCTGTTTCCACTGCTATCCTGTAAACTGTCTGAGCCCAGGGATAGTATCATTAACTTTTATCACCTCACCAGCAAGCACATTCCCTGGTAAAATCTAGATTACAAAAAAGGTATTTCTGATATTTTACTGAGACTACCAACACTCATACATCTTGCAGGAGATAGACTCTTCTGCTAATGACAATAAATGGAAGGGAACTCTGGCAATAAACTGCTGAGAACTGCACAGCAGCACTTCCCAGCTATCTGCCATATGAGAATTAGAACAAAACAATGCAACCCAAATGGGAAGGTGGAAGTGCACAATGAATACACAAAGCTATAAACTAAGTGATAATTTTTGTCTTGATTGTGTGAGCTAACTATTAAGAAGATTATAATTAAGAGTTCATTTCTTATAGTACCAACAAGCATTTTAATCAACCTTGATAGCATTAGCTCCAATTACCATTAGTAAACTATAAAGATTCTGTTTTAAATTGCAATGAGTCAATAAATTCAAGATGGCACTTTAGGAGTAAATGTTAACAGGACCTTGTCATTTTCCTGAGCACTCACAAGCTATGGATGGGGGCTTCGTGAAGGCACAAGCAACAGTGGGATTTACGAAGCGCTGTGAGCTTCACAAACGCTGTTTGTACTCTGGTGTGAAACGAAAAATAATTACCCTTAAGAATGTTTGATAACTGTTTGATCTATGAATTTTTAGCTTCATAGCTTTAAAGAAAGACATTTTATTTAGCCAAACAATCTAATAGACTAACAAACTCAAAACAAAGGCTGACAAAGAGAGTCATCTGAAATTCTCATTATTAACTTACAACATTTGCATAAATTTGAACAGAGATGGATGGCTTTAAATGACGGTCACTAATTAAGAGACCGAAACAAACAAAAGACTAACAAAACATTATGTACAAAGACAAGCACATTAGCATATTCTATCTCATATCTCCCTTAAAATGACATGAAGACAAATATTCCTGATTACACCTGAAGCAATAATGTAACTAAGGCAATAAATCACTTGAAGAAACCTAAGGGGGCTTCTTTTTAAACACATTGATTTGGGTATTAGGACTGTCACTGAAATATAAACATAAAATGGAATCAAATTTGTTGTGATGATGTATCACTGAAACGTTTGCCTCTTTCCTGGAAAAATTTAATCAGTAGGTGGACATGTGACTATAACCCAGATGTATTTGTTTAAAAAGACTGCCAGATTATTAGAAAACTCTCTTTCAAATGTCCATCAGAATAGACATTTATCCCTAGTAAGGCACATCACAGGATTGAAAGTCAAGTCAAAAGTGGTTAAATGCTTGGGTGTTGCATTTTTTTGCTTCCCTTAAGAGAAGATCTAGAAGTTTTTTTTTCAATGAATTTAACTCTAAAGTCTTATTTTTAAGATGTGTAACAAAGTTCACATTGTGTGGGAAAATTTGACAGTAGGGAAGCAAAGAAAGGATAGAACACTGGGCAGAGTCTAGCTATAACTATGCAGGGGTGGCACCACCCATTTTCAGAAAGGCCACCACAAAGAGACATGGCAAGAAAGAAAGTCCCTTGTTGGATGAGCCACGGGAAATCTGTGATGCAAGGATTTCAGTATCTCAGACCTGATATCCATTAGCACCTTGGTACGCAAAACAAATTTGTTTTACAGACTAATGGTAATAACTGACATAAACCCTGAAAATTTCAAGTTATTTAGAAATGAATTTTTTTCAATCAAAATTTTGTTCTAACTTTTCCAACTATTAGAATCACACTATGATGTTATCTGTTAGAATGTTTTGTAATTTTCTTCTCTAATGTGATTATCCAGTTCTCCACTGCCATCATTGAAATTTCCCACCAATTCTATGTATAAAACATTTTACATTTAGGTAAACTTAAAAGACACCTTAGTAGAGTGTTGATAAACACTCCAATAATTAATCTTGTAAATACCCAGAATATGCAGAATCTGTATAAAAAATTTATGGTCCAGATACCCTGATCAAATGTCTGGATAATTCATTCATTTACCAAGTGTTGGTTCAATCCCTACTTGCCTACTGCGTGAAGTGTTATTCTTAGGGAAGTTACTTATTTTCCTTAAAATCAACATCTACTTTTTTGTTAATCTACTGTGCAGTCTTTAGAGAAAAAATTATGAACCTATAGAATGTTTCAGATTCTTTCAACAAATTTAAGAAAAGAGAATAACACTGCATGGTTCCATAATAACAATTTCAGTACTACCATCATTTGCATAAAGGCAATGTCTCTTTTACTATATAAGAAGGAAAAATATATCTAAAAATTCAGTGCTCCTTCAGAGGCCACAGTATCTACTATCCTGGCAATCTTTACAGTTTTCTCACTTCTTCGGGGGACAGTCTACCCTCTACTTCTTCAGCATCTCCCTATCCCTGATAGACACAACCTCAGAGTAGTTAAGTGACCCAGAACTGACCAATCAGAAGTTTCTGCATTCCTGGTTTCAGTGATTAATTCAAAAACTAAACATATTTAAAAATCAATCATGGCCAGTCAATTTTCACTGGGATTACTCATATGGAACCCAGTATAAATATGCTGTCTTATCCTGCAATGTTGCTAACCTGGGAATGTAGGGCTCCTGTGTTCCCCATGCTACTTTTAAAAAGCTAACTGTCATAGGCTCGAACAAGAGCAATATACACTGGGAAACTGAGAAATACATGATGGAACACTGATAGAAAGACAGTCCTACTCTCACTGAGTTCTAGTTCTGTTCTCCAGATGCCTGCTCCCTATAGATCATCCTTTGACTTGAACTACCCACAATGTGCTTCCTAGTAATATATGTCAATAAACTTCACTTTTAATTCAGGGTGTACATTTTCACCCTGTAACTGAAAAAGTCTTGATTGACACTTCTCCTTTAATGATGTTGAATAAATTAGCTCTCATGCTTTGGCATTCTTTTATTACATTTCCATTTATTGAACATTGACTGGGCTCACAAAGCACTGGGCTCACAAGCACTGGGCTCACAAAGACTAAGCCACAATCCTTATATTTAATAATTAAATAACATTTAATTATTTGATAATCTTTATATTGAATATAGAAAACTTAACACGTGTGGGGACCCACTCAGAACCCCAGAGTTGGTATGAAGATTATTTGATGCTGAAGAAATTTGAAATTCGACAAATGCAGAAAGAAATCTTCTTAAAACTTCTCTCATCTGAGCAGAAGCAGAAATTTGTGAGAAATAAGGCTTCCATAAATCCCTTTAGGGCAGGTCTACTCCCAGAAGAGAAACCAAGGGTAAACTACCACAGATTCCCTCTTGGGAGAGTTTCTAGGCCAAGAAAGAGTGGAAAAGGCCACTCCTACCTCCATACACAAACATTATTATCATACATCTTTTAATCTTCTGTCTGTTTTCCTAAAAATCTATTTGTCTTTCCTAAATAAACCATCTGTTCTTCCTATAGAAGCCTTTTCTCCCCCACCCCTTTCCTTTAGTAACTTAGGTATATAGGCCTCTAACCTTAGTCACCTAGCTAGCTTGCTAGTTCATTTATTAGTTCTCCTATTCATGGGAATAAGCCTTTTTTCCCCCTTTAATCCATATTTTGTCAGTTTAGTTCACAGACCTCAGAGAGCAAACTTAAGAGGGTACCAGAAAAGTTTTCCTCCCTGACACACATAAACCATTAACATAATAAAAATTTGTATATTTTATTTAAAAATGTATAGTATAAAAACTGTATATTGAGGAAATGTCCTATAGAGACAATCACATACACATATGTCATCATCATCATCATCATTATCAGCTTCATCAAAGGGCTTCTTTTAAATGATGTGGGGGTAAGGTAATCTTCAAAACAACTATAATGGATCTTGACAAAATAATTTCAAAGTTCTGAATCACTTATTTGGTTTAAATGAGATTTATTCATCACAAATTCTTTGGGTCTCATCTCATCCAAATTGATCTCAAATAGAAAACATGCTTTTTATTCTGATCATTTACTTTACGTAAAGGGCTAACACATGTATACTTCCCTTTGCAGGCAGACCATGCTGAATACTATATATATACATATATAAGACTATGTAGAGTCTCCTATATATAGTCTATATATACATATATAAGACTATGTAGAGTCTCCTATATATAGTCTATATATACATATATAAGACTATGTAGAGTCTCCTATATATAGTCTATATATACATATATAGTCCTTCTCTAGAAATACATACAAAATATCAGTTCAGTCTTCCCCAATATGACTGAGGTAGTCATTCTTATTATCCCCTTCTTAAAAATGAGGATCCTGGGCCGGGTGTGGTGGCTCACGCCTGTAATCCCAGCACTTTGGGAGACCAAGGTGGGTGGATCACCTCAGGTCAGGAGTTTGAGACCAGCCTGGCCAAGATGGTGAAACTCTGTCTCTACTAAAAATACAAAAATTAGCTGAGCATGGTGGCAGATGCCTGTAGTCCCAGCTGCTCAGGAGGCTGAGGCAGGAGAGTTGCCTGAACCCGGGAGGCGGAGGTTGCAGTGAGCTGAGATCTAGCCACTGCACTCCAGCCTGGTGACAGAGCAAGACTCCAAAAAAAAAAAAAAAAAAAGAGGATTCTGATATTTAAAGTAGAGAGATAAACTATCAAAAGTTAGAGAGATAGTTCAGGATGGAACTAGGTCTTGTCAAAGTAACCAATATCCTCTGGGTGGGCTCAAAGTTGTCACTATGACTCTTACAAGAAAACAACAGCAAGGGGGTCAGAGTCAGAGATGAAGCTGGAATGGTGAAAGCAGTGTTGGAGTAATGAGAAGCCATGAACTGAAGGCTACGGTCAGACTTCAGAAGCTGGAAGAAGGCTAGAAAACAGATTCTCTCTTAGAGATTCCAGAAGGAGCCCAGCCTTGCTGACACCTTGATTTTAGCCCAGTGAAATGAATTCAAATTTCTGGTGTGCAGAACTGTAAAAAATAAGTGTGTTATTTTAAGCTGCTCAGTTGGTGGAAATTTATTATAGCTACAATAGGAAACCAACAGAATCTCACAACATCTTTTCCCAGTGGGGAAAATAAAAAGTAATATTTACATGGCATCTGCCTTGGCAACTGGGGGTGTTCTTTCAGAACCTATAGCTGAGGCAAAAAAATAAAAAATAAAAAGAAGAATTAAGAAGATAGAGTCACATATTCAGGCCTCATTAGAAATTAAATCTGAAGCAAAAGCCCTTATACTTGATATGCTAAGTATTAATAAAAGTTATATCCAAATAGCAAGGTGACAAATTCTGGAAAACCTTTCATCTGACTCTGCAATATCAATTTAAAACACTCCATTGATGTTTCAATATTACAAAATGCCCTGGAAACACCTGGGATGATGGAGACATTGGTATTAATATTTTTTTCCATGAATAATATCATCACATTTATCAATAGCATACTAAGAGGGAGAGCATCAAGATAAATAGCTAATGTATGCAGGGCTTAACACCTAGGTGATGGGTTGATAGGTACAGCAAACCACCACGGCACACATTTATCTATGTAACAAACCTCCACATTTTGTACATGTATCCTGGAACTTAAAATTTTTTAAAAAGCATACCAAATCACTGAGTTTTTTTACAGGATCCTTCAAAACAAGATATTAAATATTTACTAATCAGTGTTAATAAATATTCTAAATATTTTTAAATATAACATTGCTTCTGCCTGATCCAATGATCTAGAGTTAATGAATTTGATGATGCTATCAAAAAGCTAAATATGGCAATAGACCATTGATCACTCTTGCTATGAAAGAATGGGGACTATAAGTCAATAAATAAGTGGGGGCTCCTGTTTTCAATAGTTCGCTGCCCTTGAGTATGCCATTTTTCCCTAAAAGGGATTGAAGATGGGTGATGGACTATATGATTAAAATTCATAAAAATGACATGTTATTCTAAGATGACTGGGTACAGAAAATCTCGTCAGCTCTTACTTAAGCAATTTTCCAAAAACTGGAAGGAAACACAGTCACACACACCGTGGGGTCACTTCCTGCAGAGATGACTTGGGGACATAGCTGAATGAGGCTGAAAAGTCAGACCTCACAAGTTCATTATAGGTTTAGCTGAGGCTGGGGCCTGTCGGACTCTTTTTTGTTTGTTTGTTTTTTGGTCAAGGTTAAGTCTGGGTAAGTCTATTCAGGTATGTTTTCCCAGAATTTAAGCTAAAATGATGAAAACTGCCTTTGAACTTGAAGGTTCTGCGGTAAGTGCACAAATTAAAAGACATCTGAAGGTAGGAAGAGGAGACGTTGCCTTTCTTCTTAATTTGAATGTTCAGAAAAACCAGTAATTAGATTCATTACGTTAAAATTGAACTTAATTCCTTTAATCTGAAAATTTCAAAGGGCTTTCAAAAGCTCACAAATTGCTGTTAATCCCAATGGCACAAAGATGACCTATGTCATTTTAATGGTATGGTATGGTTGAAATAAAAACACAAGAGTTTGATTATTCCTCTGAGGGTTCAGTTTCGTTTTGCTCTCCCATAAATTAATTTGAAGAGAAAAATCAACTTGGTGTCAGTGATTAAGCAATAATTTTAATGCATACACATGCACATGTACGTTTGCATACAGAGTGAAATTTATTCTTTAAATAGCTGTAGAGAATCTACAAAAGCAGAGTACAAACTACCCAGAGTGAATAGTTAGTATCAATAAAACTCATATTCCATTTTTACTGTGGACCATACTTCTAGCACCAGCATTTTGATCCCAAACACAAAAAGCACACTGGAATTCCTCTCTCTCTTTCTTTCTTTCTCACTTTTTCTCTCTCGTAATCTCCTTCTTGCTATCATTCATAGCGCTAGAGAATTTTAGACTAGAAAAGACTTAAGAAATCACTTATTTACTAGTTCTTCTTTTTATACCTGTGTAAACTGATCAATCAAATTAAAGCAAGTTGACTGGGTAAATGGAGTTGCTAGTTAGGAAAATAGGAATTAATGCCTACAATGACTACTGTCATCTCTTTCAAAATCTGTTTAAAAAATAATTACATAGTTTAGGAACACATAGTGTGGCAAAAGGGTTTTCTTTTTGTATTTTTCCTTTTGTTTCTATCACATAGCATCCATCTTTCCTTCTCACGTTAGCACCTCAACCTAGATTGTAGGGAACTACTGTCCCACCACAAGCCCAGGCCCCTCCAGGGGGCTTCCAGGTTGAGGCATGTGGCTCAGAAGTCTAACCACTCAGAGCATGGTGTTGCCTTGGCCAGGGTGTAGGTTCTGTTAGGGCATGTGGTCCAAAGAGGGCCAATGAGGCATGAGGCCGTTTCTTCTGAAGCCACTGGCCAGGAGGTAGCTGCTCTTCCCCACTGAGACTGACCCTCACAGGATGTGATGCAGGCATTGTCTGCAACCACCTAGCACCACGTGAAGCCAGAAAATAAAGCCATTAGAGTAGAAGCCAGAGCTGAGAGATTAAATGGATTCCTAATGACATATTAAATTAAGTTCCACCTGAAGCCCAGAACTACCACCTGGGCCTCTCAATTATTTGGGCCAAGAAATTGTGGGTTTATTTTTTGTTTTTGTTGAAGCCAGTTTGAACTGGCTTTTAAGTCACTCAAGTACTAACTGGGCTTGCCAGATAAAATACAGGAGGCTTGGTTAAATTTGAATTTCAGATAAACAGTGAATAACTTTTTTTTTTTTTTTGAGATGGAGTCTCACACTGTCGAACAGGCTGGAGTGCAGTGGCACGATCTCGGTTCAACCCAACCTCCACCTCACAGGTTCAAGCAATTCTCCTGCCTCAGCCTCCCAAGTAGCGGTATAAACATTTCCTATGCAATATTAGGAAAATCTGACAATTCTAATTCTAATCATACAGCAAGCTATTTCTAGACGTGGAGCAGGGCCAGTAGAGAAAGGAGAGAGACCCATGACAATAGCACAGAGACAGGTGCTGTCATAAGAAGTAGTAAGGTGTTGTATATACTTTCCTGGAGAGGAGAAGAGCTAGTTAGTTATTACAGTGTCATAGAGAAAAGGCAATATATTTATCAAGCTGGTGTTCCAAATCCCTTTTTCCTGCTCTGATCCCATCTCTTCCTTGGATTCAACCTCAAGTCCTGGAATTCATCCAGTAAGGAAAGAGGTAGAAACAGCCTCTATGTCAATCATGACCCACTATGAGTTCAGTTTAATTCATTGTATTCCATTAGGCATTTGCAGACATTGTGCAGAACATTGCAGGGGAGCGTGGGTGAAAAGGTCCTAATTGCCCTATTCTAAGGGCTCTAATATGTCCAGAGGAACAAATATAGGCAAAGACAACAAGATAACTGTAATGCCTGATGGATTAGTATGGATGGTGGGGGGAAAGGCCAACTCTGAAAAAGGTGGGAGTTGAGCTAGACCTTGGTGGAGAGGTATAGTATGTGGGGTGGGTGGGAGTGGTCATTTCAAACACACGTCCTCTTGCCATTTCCTATTTTTCTTTCTGTTCCTCTCCTCTCCTCTCCTCTCCTCTCCCCTCCCTTCCCCTCCCTTCCTCTTCTCTTCTCTTCTCTTCTCTTCTCTTCTCTTCTCTTCTCTTCTCTTCTCTTCTCTTCTCTTCGTTCTTTCTTTCTTCCTTCTTTTCTCCTGCTTTTCTAGTAATTATGATGTTGTTTATCAAATTAGCATCAAGTGCAAATCTATTAATGGGGGTGTGACCAAGCATCCAACTGGTGCTGGATTGGTTAGGGCTCATGAATATATAATTAAAATTCTATAAGGGTTGCATTCAGCAAATATGTAGAATTTTAAAGCTGGAAGAGACCTTTAGCAAGCCCCTGATTTTGTAGGTGAGAGAACGAATGTGAGATCAGGTAACTGGTGATAGTTGCAGATCTGGGACTAGAAACCAATGAAGTTATGCTCAGCATGGTTGCTCGTGCCTGTAATCCCAGCACTTTGGGAGGCCAAAGTGGGAGGATCACTTGAGGTCAGGAGTTTGTGACCAGCCTGGCCAACATGGTGAAACCCCGTCTCTACTAAAAATACAAAAATTAGCTGGGCATGGTGGTGGGGGCCCGTAATCCTAGCTACTCGGGAGGCTGAGGCAGGAGAGTCGCTTGAATCCAGGAGGCAGAGGTTACAGTGAGCTGACATGGTGCCACTGCACTCAGCCAAAAAAGAAATCAATGAGGTTGACTCTAGAATCCAAGCTTCCTCACCTACTAAAGGCCATTAAACTAGCAGGCTTTATGTCCTGATTTTGTTCTCTATTAAAGAGTACCAGGGGGAAATATACAGCTGAAGTTTATTTTCCATTCTCCATCAGTCTAGAATAATCTCATTTGGATATTTCTCAAATAAGGAAAAACATGGACTTTCTCTTTAAGGAATGACGATTTGTGAAGACTGTCCCATTTTACAAATCTCCGATGCCCATGTACAATGGGAAACCCAAGGGGCTCCCCAAACACTTCCATTTGTCTTTTTCTGGGGCAGACCTATTAAGGTGCCACTGTTCAGAAAACTCAGCAGCAAGTTAATTTGCCCATGTTGAATGTGAGTCTGCTGAACTTGGGGTAAATTGATATTTCCCTATTTCAGATATAAATGTAGCAAGAAAAAAAATCCCTTTCAGATTCTTAAAACACTTGGACTGATTTGCTGAGAAAAAGCCAGCAACAGGGAATTAAGGAGCAGAGTATCCCATCTGCAATGAGATGTACAGTGTAAAATCAGGTTATCAGTGAAAATGAGTCTGATGTGCTAATTCATAGCACATTCCCTATACTTACGTTGTGAGCCCATTATATAATTTAGCAAGATTCTGGGGCCTTTCTCAAGGGAGGGCAAGTTCTAGAAAACAGAGGTTCTAGGCAAGCATGAGGAAAGTCCTTTAATGAAGGAAGAAGTCAGGTCTATATTTTCCAAAAGCCCATGCTATTTATACCTCTAGCCCCTGATGTTTTAATAGTGAAAGAATGGTGCTGATTTTGACTTTTCCCTGAAGCACACACTTTCACATGCAAGGAAATGAATCTTTAGCATATCCTGGATGAAAAAGCAAGAAATGTCCTATTAACTTGAATGAGGCATTAAAGGGTCTTTGATGCAGTTCAACTTCTAAAACGCATATACTTTCTCCTCCAGGTTACTTATGGTAGACACATTCTTAACTCCTTTGAAATGCAGAATGAGAAAAAATTATTTGTCTTCTTCAAATTCACTGGCTAGATGGATTCTCTGCATGTACTTCAATTTCCCCAAACCTTAGTGCTATATTTTTTAAGGAAGTGGAGTTATTCAAAAATGATAATACACTCATGGTTGCAAATTCAGATTTCTTCAGTGGAAGCATAAATAACTATTTCTTCCGTGAATAGAAAAATGAGTCCGTGTAATACTTTGTCTCTTCATATTATCACAGTTGTGGATATTATACCAAATGGTAACACAGAATAGGAATAGCTCATCCTGGACTTCTGTTCATAGAGAAAGACAAAGCATTTAGCTGCTAACAGGCCTTGTCAATTCCCCAAGGCTTCCTTGTAGGCGGGAATAACTCCATTCTTTTGCTGGTTTCCTAACAATGGTAGTTGTATTCATAGGCTAACTCTCTTCCTTTTGCTCTTGCCCTTTACTGCTGTATTCTAAAGTTTTCAGCTCTGCAATGAAACCTTCAGCATGAAACATCCACACAATCCCACCACCAAATGTCTCACCTGTACCTGCTTACACAGCTTGCTCTCTCTGGTCATAGATGCACAACCAGGATCTGATCTTAGGCCTACTTTTTCACTGTTCTCTGGATCCCACCTCCTCTGAATGATGTACCTGCTCTCTTCTTCATCATTATTCTTCCCTCTTCACTGGATTATTAGCATATAAGCATTCTATAATACATCCTATTTTTTAAAAAAAACAAAAGACTTCCATGGGTCCCCTCATCCCTGTGTAGACTGAGATGTCCTATGTTCTTTATAATTAAGTTCTTTTGCTCTGGCATCCCTTCTTAGGCATTCCTGAGCCCACAAGCCCATTCCAGTGAGACTGTGGTCTACACCACTCTATTGTCATGATCACCAAAGACTTTTACTAGCACTTATCTTATTGAACTGATCAGCAGCATTTGGGAGTTGGTAACTGTTTCTTCCTTGAAATGTCTTCTTCCCCTGGATACAGTAAGATACTCTTGACAAAGCTTTCTGTCTCCAGGGTGTTTCTTCTCAGTCTCCATTATTTATTAAGTATAAGCTTAAATAACTTTACATCCTGGAAGGCCCCAAGGGCTGTCCTTAAATCTCTGTTATTGTCCATATCCACACCCATTGAAATTATATTGGCTATATTTGAAATATATCTAGAACCTATAACCAATTTCCACTGCTATCATCCTAGTCAATGTCACCATCTTCTCACTTCCATACAATTGAAATAGGCTCCTGAGAAGTGGCCTTACTGATGGTTTTGCCACCTACAGTCTAGTCTTTCCCAAGAGGCCAGATCTATCCTTTAAAAATACGTGCCAGATCTTGTCAGTCTTCCATTTGACACTGAGTATAACCTCATTCCTCCACTTTTCATCTAGAATAAAATTTAAAATTTCCACATGATCCACTCTGCATCATCTCTATAACCTAATAGAACGACTTCCGTGTCCTTCACCTAATACCTTAATCAATTCCTGTTGCTATGACCAAATACCACAGACTGCATAATTTATAAATAATAGACAATTATTTCTCACATTTCTAGAGGCCAGGAAGTCCAAGATCAAGGTGCAACAGATTCAGTTTCTGGTGGGGACCCATGCTCTCCTTCCAAGAGGGTGCCCTGTTTCTCCTCTGGAGGGGACAAATGCTGTGTCCACACATGGAGGAAGACCAGAGAGGCAAAAAGGGACTAAGGTGCTCTGTTCTGCTTCTTTTATACGAGCACTAATCCCATCCATGAGGGTGGAGAACTCATGACTTAATCACTCTCCCAAAGGCCTCACCTCTTAATACTGCCACACCAGAGATTAGGTTCCAACCTTAGAATTTTGAAGACACACAGGCATTCAAACCGTAGCCCATACTTTCCGGTAGCCATGCTGGATTTCTTGCTGTTCCTTGAATGCTCCAAGCACACTCCCACCTGTGGTTCTTGCTCTCACAGTTTCCTCTGCCTGGGGGGGCTCTCCCAGCAGATATCAGTAGCTTGCTTCTCCAAATAACTCAGATATCATCCAATACATTTGTCCCTTGCATCCTCATTACTCTCTGTTCTCACCCACCAGCTTCATTTTTCATAGTACTTACTATAACAAAAAATTTCACTTGTTTATTATTTTTTTCCTGCTTCTTTTAGAATACAAGCTCCTTGTTAGCAGGAATTTATTTTATTCTCTTCCATTCCCTCAAGTCTAGAACACTTCTAGTTCCTTAGTAACTGCTTAGTAAATATCTATGGTTGAATGCATCTCCATCTCTGTGATATAACCTCATCCATATCTACCTTCCTTACTGCCTTATGATGCCTCTGGATGTAATTTAGATTTTGAGTATTTTTTCTATTCCCAAGTATTCCAAACTTACACACACACACAATATGAGCTTACACATACACATCATATTTTTATAAACATGTACACGTATACATAGCATATTAACAATCTTCAATGATTTATTCAACATCTAATATAAAAAAGTATTATTATATAGGATTGTAGACAAATTCTAAGAATGTTAAAGCAATTAAAAGCTATTATGTTATAAACCAACCAATAAGTAAATTGTATACATTATTTTAGTGAGAAAAAAATTCTGGAATGATGGTTAAATATTAGTCTGGGACAGATGGCAACTGCATATGATTTGCTACATATCCAAGAATTAACTGGTAACTACACTATGACATTAGTTCTAGGATAACTAAATCTTTTTTAATAGCTTTATAATTGACAAAAATTCTTTGCTTGACCAAACTTTAGTCAGGCTTTTGAATCTTCTCCTAGGCCTATCTGTGCACTTCCTTGTAAAAACCAGTTTTAGCAAGAACCTTGATGTCAGTTTAGAAGGAACACCCCACTCACACTCTGGGTTCATCTGATCATCCCCTCAATATCTAATCTCATCCTCCATCCTCTGACCTCTCCCAGGTCTGATCACCCTGGCCTGCCTTCAGCAAGACACTTGTTAGGTTGGTTTGGCCAGAATCCCGTCTCCCTGAAGTTCTTAGTAATTTTCCGTCCACTAACATGTCACCTAACCCTGGCTCCTTAAATCTAAATCCCCACTTTCTCATGCCATGTTTGGAGTTGAGCTCAGTCTCTCTCCCCCACTGCAAAAATCTCATTGCTTTGGTAGCTATACCCATCACAATGGTCATGAATAAAATCTTCCTTATTGTGCATCCTTATTGTGTATCATTGAGTAATTCTGTCTTTAACATAACTAAACAAAAAAAAACCTCTGACAGTTTGTCCTTTAAACTAGAACCTCTCAAACACGTCAGCAGGTATTTCTTTCCTATTATTGGAGCCCGGTATATTTGGCAAGGCAGTGCTTAAGGTGATAAGGATGAAGACTGCAGTCTGTGGATTCCCACAGAAGTGACTATGTGCCACTTTCTAGTTCAGCAACTTGCTTTTCCTCTGTATGCTTCCTGAGAAGTCAAAGAAATAACATCTTTTAAACACCCAGGATCATGCATGACACATGGAAGGACCTAATAAATATCAGCCATTATCATTATCATTGCTATTTCTGTTAGTCCAAGTATTAGCTTCAAATATGTAAACTGCATATAGTTTGTTGGGGCAGTCTGAGGTTGCTCTATCTCATCATCAGGGGGTCTCAGTCCATCACAGCTAGTGGCCTGTCATCTTTTATTTTATGTTATTTATTTTTGTTTTGAGACAGAGTTTTGCTCTCGTTGCCCATGCTAGAGCGCAATGGCGCGATCTTGGCTCACTGCAAACTCCGCCTCCCGGGTTCAAGCGATTCTCCTGCCTCAGCCTCTTGAGTAGCTGGGATTACAGGCATGCACCACCAAGCCCGGCTAATTTTGTATTTTTAGTAGAGACGGGGTTTCTCCATGTTGGTCAGGGTGGTCTCGAACTCCTGACCTCAGGTGATCCACCCGCCTCAGCTTCCCAAAGTGTTAGGATTACAGGCATGAGCCACTGTACCTGGCCCCGTCATCTTTTAAACTGTAAAGACAGAGGGGCCTTGCTCTGTAGCTGAAAGTCAATGCTTCTCGGCCTCTTGCAGCTAAGTAGATAATGTGTGGCTGAGGAAAGGGAAACTTACTGAACTTTTAAAGACTATTTTTGGGGAAAAATGTCAAACTCTTTAAAAGAGAGGCATTAAAACCCTCTCCTATCTCTTCCTCCTAATCTAATAGTGCAAAAGGCATAAATAATAGCATCAACAATATAGGAATATTTTCTAACTGCTAGCATTGTAGCAGTGGCATCAAACAGCACTAGTAACCACTGTGTTCCTCACCATCACCCACGGGCAAAAAGCAAATAGGCCAGTTTCAATTAGTAATATACATAATGAAGAAAATTATGACTTTTATTAAATCACAACTCGAGCTCATCTTTATAATATTCTTTGTGACAAAATGGGAGAGATACATAAGATAATCCCATTGCCTACATAAATATGACAATTATCTCAAGGAAAAGCGCTGATGTAATTGAGTTTTGTGCTGAATTAGCCATCTTGTTCAAGAGCCAATATTTTTACTTGAGAGAGTAACTGGCAAACTATAGTTATTCAGACTCAGATATTTGGCAGCATTTTCTTAAAGATGAGCAAAGTTAGCCTGTACCTTCAAGGAAACAATTGAGAGTATTCGTGAATAATGATGAAATCTGAGCTTTCAGGCAAAAATTATTTTGGAAAACTCATATCTGCTACCAGGGGCTTGGCAGTTTTGTGATACTTCAAGTCTTTACTGACTTTTAGGTTGATGGTTATTTTAATAAATACTGATTTTTGATATCATAGAACAAAAACTTTGATAACACTTGGAAATGTATATAACTTAGTGAATCAATATTTTCCAACATTATGCATAGAGAAAAGATACATTCAAAGTTCAACATAGACCTTAAATGATTTTTATGACCACAATGATATATGGAGTGACAAGGATCTCCTCTCATCTTTTCTGTGTTTACTGCCTTCTAGCAAGATTGGACTCTTAATTTATATTTTGCTTTGTTTTATTTAGTATGCCTCTTGGCTCTACTCATAAAATTCCCTCTGCCTAGAGAACTTTCCCCCACAGAGAGTCACATGGCAGGCTCACCTCATTCAAATCTCTCAACAAATGCACCCTCCATAAATAAACCATCCAGGTTAGCCCTATCCAAAGTAACTTCCCTCTATATCTTTATTCTTCCTCATTTTACTCATAATTGCTGGGCATTTCCTAATACATTTATTAAATATTGCTAGTCTTTTCCAAGGGAACGTAAGTGCCATGAAGTAGGAAATTTGTCTCTTTTTTTCACTGTGTGTTCCACAGCCTTGAACAGTGTCTGGAGTAAATTATGTACTCAACAGATGTTTGTTGAGTGAATGAATCAATGAATAAATAAACATTGTAAGTTCTAATACACTCAGGGTGAGAGCAGCTAAATATCTTAAGCAAACTCACATAGCTTTGTTGGCTAAGCTAGAATTGGTATCAGTTTAGTGCCAGAACCTAAACTCTTAACTAATACACTATTGCACATTTTGAACTCCCTAAAAATTTACAAGTATACATTCCCTCATTTCCATTGCCACTTTTTATTTTAGTCAGATAATCTAATTTAATTGAGAAAGTCCTGCTTTTTGGTAGACAAGCCGTCCCTCTTTCAATTCATACAGTTAAGGAGAAAAAGAATAAAAGTTATAGTCAGTTGTAAGGAAACTTCAAATAATTATACAGATATAGGCTATCAGGAATGCTGAAATAAATTTGCTCATGCATTGCAACATTGGCCAAACTGATCAATATCCACAGGCTAAAAAAATAAACAACTGAATCTCTCTAGGCCACAGCTGTCTTTCTATGGATAATTTACAGAGTTAGAAAATAGCTCAAAACACACAAAGGCTCTATAGAATCAGAAAACCAAACGAAGCCGGTAGACATTGAAGACTTCCAATATTTTTGGTCCATTTCAAAATCTTGTGCAACTTTTTATATGTATTTTTAAACCAAAGGGCAATAAGTGTCTTCTAGGAGCAACAAAGTTAAGATTTGTATTATCCAGTAATATGATAATATAGAAATATTGACATTCAGAGCCTTCCCAAATTCTTTGTCACAATTTTATGCCCTCCAAGGAAAACTCAGTGTCAAGTGGTTATTGAGGGTAGCCTGTTTTGTTAATCAGGAGAATGTTCAAAGAGACAAATCGCAAGAATGAATTTAGAGCAACGTAAATTATAAAGATTCTGCAAGGAGGCACAGAGGAGAAAGAGAAGCCAAGGAAATACAGGCTAAGGATTTTGAGAGAGAGTTTCAGAAGGAGAAAAAGAGTAGAGTAGTGACATTAGGGACAGCTCCTGTGGTGTGAAGGTTTGAGGAGAGAGGTTTCAGGATGTTTTGCTGTGTTTCATTGCAAAGTAATTGTTTTCAGTGCAATTGTTTCAATTCAATGGTTTCAATGCGATGCAATTTAATTAATCTTTTAGACTTTTTTTGAGAAATGTTATTAAAGCCAAATTACTTTGCTCTGTTATGTTTAGACTTGGAATTATATTTCTTTTAGATTCAACAACCAAGTTGTGGGTCTTGATCAGAAGGAAGCCTGGTGTGATTCTCGTTACAGTGACTTGCTGAGGAAATTTCATCAGTGGAGTCTGATCAGATATAGTGTTGACACAAGCTGTATTTCTTTCTACTATTTCACTTTTAAGTAATACTTTTAGTAAAGGTTAGTTCACAAACCAGTGACATCCCAAATCTGTTTCTTTCTTCTATGATCTTGGGTTTCACTGTCAAAAATGGCAACCACAGGCCCCATATTGCTATTGGGCACTTTAAATGTGGCCAATGAGACTGAGAAACTTAATTTTTATGTTATTTGGTTTATATTTAAATTTAAAAAAGGAACACATTTAGTTTTAGGAAATCTTCAAGTTTTTTTTTGTTTTTTACTTTTTTTTTTCTTTTTTAGAGACAGGGTCTTGCTCTGTCACTCAATCTGGAATGCAATGGCATGATCATAGCTCACTGCAACCTCGACCTCCTGGGCTCAAGCCATCTCCCCACCTCAGCCTCCTGAGTATCTGGGACTACAGGTGTGTGCCACCGTATCTGGTTAATTAAAAAAAAAAAACTTCTATTTTGGAGAGGCAGGGGTCTCACTATGTTTCCCAGGTTGGTCTCAAACTCCTGGCCTCAAGTGATCCTCCCAAGGCACTGGAATTACAAGCATGCACCCAGCCTCAAGTATTATTTTGAATACTATGTTTGTGGATCCGCTTTTCTGAACTGTAAATTTTGTAAAATTTCAATAAAGATCAAGCATCTGTGCTGAAAATTTACCATATGAATTAAAATAGGTAAAAAAAATACTGCAACATTTATAAACAGTGCAGAAAAGAAAAAATAATATGTTATTAGAAATGTTATATTGAAGACATGTTGAAATAATATACTTTGGATAATTGAGTTATGAAATATTTTAATCTAATATTCATTCTGTCGTGCAACAAATGTTTAATGAGTGCTTGCTATAAAATACATCGTTAGGAAAAAAGGGGTCGATAAAATTGTGCTGAACTGAATATAATAAGGTAAAAATAAATGTATGTGAGTGTATGAGTGATGGGAACTGAGGGGACCATGCATGACAGAGATATGAGTCAACTTTTCATGGGGAATTTGAGATTCTAGTTTGCCTGTCATCAGTCCTGAGGGTTTTGAATGCCAGACCAAAGCGAAGAGGAAGAGTCTCTGTAAAGCCATGGAAGCAGCATGAAAAACAATGAGCATGAGAAGAGTAGGAAGACCTGCCTGGTTGAATGGGAACATATTTTGGGAACGTGAAAAGAGCAGAAAAATAAGCACAATTTGTACCAATTGCAGTTGATGGCACTCCTTCTACGAGAGTACAGTAAATACACTGCAGAGTTTAAAAAGCCTAGAAAGACATGGAAAATAATAGTATACTTACTATATTTTGTTCAAATTAACAATGAGACCCATGGCTTTGAATTCAAAAGTGTTCTACCTAAAGAGATACTGGAGACTGTAAAAAAAAGTATATAAAGCATATTACTAGAAATTGTGATTAAAGTTGTAGTGTTTTAAAATAGTTCTGCAAATTCTTTGACGGTCTTGCCTTGCACAGGTGTTGCTTGCTTCCCCTCCCCTGGAATGTAGGTCAGACTTAATGATCTCTTTGGAACCACAGAATGTGGCAGAATTAGTATTCTATGACTTGCAAGGTTATCAACGGGATGTAGCTTCTGCCTGGTTTTTATTCCTGCATCACTGTCTCTGGGGGAAGCCAGCTTTCATGTTGTGAAGACATTCAAGCAACACTATGGAAAAACCCACATAGTAGAACGGAGGCCGCCTGCTGGAAGCCAGTACCACCTTGTTAGCCATGTGAGTGAACCATCGAGTGGATCAGCCAGCCACAGTTAAGCCTGTAGGTGGCAGAAGCTTGGACCAACACCTTGACTGCAACCTCATCAACAACACCAAGCTAGAACCTCCCAGCCAGGCCATTTCTGAATTCCTGACCCATGTAAAACTGTGTATTATAATCAGTGCTTATTACTTTAATGAGTTATGTGGTACTTATTTTTGCAGCAATAAATAACTAGTAAAAGCATGTTATTTAAGGAGAAATTTATCCTATGTTTTCTGACCTTTCAGATATCCTGTAGGTACCTGAAGTGGCAAATGTTGGGATGAGGGTACTATCTTGGCAATAATGGTCTGGCAACATTGACAAAGGGATTGGATGGCCCACAGACAGACAACACTGAAAGGTGACAGGGTCTATTTTAGTCTTTCAAGGTAGAGGTGACCTGGAGAAAGGCAATGGCAGCAGAAATAGAGAAATAAAAGAGATGAAGCCTATAAATGCCAGGAATTATTCATTCAAAGACGATATCACATTTTTTGAGCTAGAGTGACTAATTGGTGCTGCCTTAGAGAAAAATTTTTAGGTGCTTAGGAAGAGAGGTTCGATTTTAGACAGTGAAATTTAGGGTAACAGATGTCTTGAGGCTGGAAAAGGGGCAAAGAGTTTGTGTTGATGTAAACTGAACTTTGATGTAATTGTCAAGAGGCTTTCTTGGGAGGGGTTTGTTGATATTTACTAAAAATAGCAGGAAAGCAAACTTTTAGATAGTGAGGGCCATTGATCAATATTTGGCCAGTGAGTTGGTTTGCTTATGAAACCCTGGAATCAATAATGATGGAAAATCTACCCATGAACCTTTGGCTGATGGTTCTCAACAATGTTACAGAAAGTAAATGAAGTTCTATACCACTGATATTAACAGAAACAGTGAAGACCAAAGAAAATGTCTTTCCTCAGTTCCTGTTAATAAGGAGTCAGAGTTGGCCAGGCAAATTGGCTCACACCTGTAATTCCAGCACTGTAACAGTCCAAGATGAGTGGATCGCTGGAGCCCAGGAGTTTGAGACCAGCCTGGACAACATGGCAAAACTCCATCTGTCCCCAAAACAAATAAACAAACAAACAACAACAAATACTTAGCCAGGCATATGGAGGAATGTGCCTGTGGTCTTAGCTACTTGGGGGGCCAAAGTGGGAGGATCACTTGAGCCCAGGAGGTTGAGGCTGCAGTGAGCCGTGACCATGCCACTACACTCCAGCCTGGGTGACAGAGCAAGATCCCGTCTCAAAAAAATAAAAGAAGTCAGAATTATCTTACCAGTTTTTGTTTTCTATTTCATTCACATTAAGTAGTTAAAATCTTGCCCTCTGTTCATTCATTTTCATCATAAAGCTCCTTCTAGCATCCTCATCAAAGGAGGAAGAGGAAGAGCTACAGTGTACTGAAACAAATTATCCCCACGTATGGGGCACTTGACATACTCAATTTCTCTTAGCTCTGAAGTACTCTACCATGTAAGAAAGGGATGCTTACCCTCACTCACAAATCAGAAAATGAAGTGTAAGAGAAATGAATTGTCCAGAGCCTGGATTGGAAACACTCAAGCCTCTAGTCTAACCATTTTGTAGCTCTTTGACAGCTGCTTATCATACACACAACCAACAGTCATTCTCCCCTTTGTTCCTGCTCATACCATGTTCTTACCTAACCTGCTGCTTGAAAACCTGCGATCCCATTGCATCTCATGAAAAAGCCCTCTGATCCTTTCCATGGATTCCACATGGATTCCCTTTCCAAGCTTTCTCCACATTCTTCCTTCTTTCTTGAAGATTTCTGCTACCTCAGTTCCTCACAGAAATTCATCTGACCTCTAAATTAAGAGTTGGTGACACATGGCTTGGCAGTGAAGAACTCTGGATTAGCCATTTATTAGTACTTTGGTTAATTGACTTGACTGTCTTCTGGAAAACAGGGAGAGACCATAACTTATGCTGCTGTGAATTTCTTCATACCTTGCTGATTACTGGCAATCAATTGCTTTTATATGTGTATTTGATTTTAAAAGATCCAAACTTGAAATTATGCTCAGAACCATCTCATTTGTTTCTATGATATGTAGATGCCTTTTAAATCTGTCTATAGCCTCATACTGGGTTTTATTTCCAGAAACTCCACCAGCTTTCTTGGTTAACAAAATTTTCCACAATGGTGCATGTCTTTTATATTTCTATGTTAATTTTATATGGTGTTCTGCTACTTTTAACATGACTTTTCTCCATTATTCCCTGGAAAACTGCATCCTTTAAGATTGTAGGTCATGCTGACATTGGTATACAAGCATTCCTCTATCCCTTTTCCATTCATGTAGCTACTCTGTGTTTAGATAGGAGTGAACATGACACATTGCCTCAGGGGGAGCTTCACTGCTATAAGCCAGAGAACACTGATATATCTCCTTGCCCCAGGGTTATGTGCAGGACTGGCAAGTAGCCCATATATATGTCGATTCACTGATGGCATTTCCTCGCTACAATAACTGGTTACAGAATTGGCAGGGGCCTCAGGTGGTCAAGTTAGACTAACCATCATATTTTTATTTGGTTGTTAGGGGGAGGCTATCTCTTGATGTAGACAAAGTGGCATTAGGGTAAGTAGATGTGAGACGTGGTACTGACAGAACCATTTCCAAGCTCTGAGCTAAGCTAGGCTGAGGTTGGAACTGCCACATGGAAAAGGCCAGACTCAGGAAATTCATCGAGAAATGGCCATGGAACTTTGATCCCTAGCCCTGAAGTCTGCTTTACCTCTGGGTGTTTTTAGCTACATGAACCAATAAATGCTTTTAATTGCTTAAACCTAATTGAGTTGAGTTTTCCATTACTTGTAACTGAAAGCACCTTAAAAAAATCCAGATAAAATTTAACTCCCTTTGTAAAGCCCTCTCAAATCTCTACAGGCAGGTCAGTTTACTGACCCTTCTTTTCTTCCCCATAACTTTGCTCATACAGCACTCATCCCATTGGAAGTGTTGCACTGCAATGAACTGTTTTATAATCTGTTTTTCCAGCACACTATGAGTTCAGTAAGAACAGGAACTAGATCCCATTCAGCGTCACATCCCTAGAGTGTTACACATTGCCCAGTTCTTTTAGGAGGCATCAATAAAGGAAGGAATGAATCTTCAGCTCCTTTACCCTGGTTCTTATTTCAGTCCCTGACAAGAACCCAGATATTCAACAGCTGAGGAAAGTTAGAGTTTACGTAGTGTCTGAACTGTTGTATTGCAGTCTGCAGCAGTTCAACCTATTTATCACAGGGTTATTAGTCTTTCCCCCAAACCACTTTTAACCAAGTCCCATTACACTCCAAGTCCTTCTGAAATTACTTACAGCTTCTGCAGAATAGACCATTTTTATGTCCATTCATTTATTTACTCAGCAAATATTTATCCTGCGCCTACCTGTGTCAGTCAGTAGTGTAAACACACAACATTAACGAAAAAATCTTGGCCTTACATTCTAGCAGAGGAAGTTATAAACAAAATCTATAAGTAAATATAGAGTAGGTTAGATGATGATATGTTCTATGAAAAAAAAAGCAGCGAAGTGAAACAGAAAGTACTAGAGGTGGTTTTATTGCAATTATAGGCAGAGAGGTCAGGACAGTCTCAATGAGATGGTGACAACTAAAGAAGGTAATGGAGATGTATACATATCTTAGAGAAAAAAAGTATTCAGAGAGAGTAAACATAAAGTGCAAAGACTACCAGACATATAAAACAATGTCCATAGTCATTAATCGTCAGGAAAATGCAAAACAAAATCACAATGACTTATCACCTCACATGTATCAGGATGGCTATTATGACAGAAAACAAAAGACAAGTGTTGACAAAGGTGTGGAGAAATTGAAACCCTCTCAGGCTCCTGTGGAAATACCACTGAGAGAGCAGTTGCTATGATAAACATTATGGAAGAACCACCAAAAATTAAAACTAGAACTACCATATGATACAGCAATTCACTTCTGGGTATTTATCCAAAATAATTGAAATAGGATCTTAAAGACATATTAGCACTCCCATGTTCATTGCAGCACTATTCACAATAGCCAAGAGGTGAAAACAATCTAAGTGTCCATCAATAGATGAATAGGTAAAGAAAATGTGGTACATACAATGGAATATTATTGAATCTTTAAAATGGAGATTCTATAATTTGTGACAACCTGAATGAATCTTTAATTTTTTTTCTTTTTTGAATATTTAATTTTTATGGGCACATGGTGTATATATTTATGGGGAACATGAGATATTTTGATACGGGCATACAATGCAAAATAATTACACCAGGGTAAATGGGGTATTCACCTCCTCAAGCATTCATCATTTCTTTTTTTTATGATCATTCTAATTGTACTGTCTCAGTTGTTCTAAAAGGTAAAACAAATTATCGCTGACTATAGTCACCCTGTTGTGCTATCAAATGCTAGATCTTATTCATTCTACCTAACTATATTTTTGTACCCATTAACCATCCCCATTCCCCCCCAGTCCCCACTACCCTTCCCAGCCTCTGGTAATGATAATTCTACTCTATTTGAAGGAGTCTTAGGACATTATATAAGTGAAGAAATACAGTTACAGAAAGACAAATACTGCATGATTCCACTTATATGTGGGTACCTAGAGTAATCACATTCATAGAATCAAAGAGTGGAATGAATGGTGGTTGCCAGGGGCTGGAGGAAGGAGAAAATGAGGAGCTACTTTCTGTCCATGGACAGAAAGAGTCAGTAAAAATGAATAAGCTTTAGAGATCTGTTGTACAACATTGTGCCTTTAGTAAATAATATTGCACAACTAAATATTGCATATTTAAAAAGGTAAGGGACACATTAGGAGGCTGAGGCAGGCAGATCACCTTAGGTCAGGAGTTCGAGACCAGCCTGACCAACATGGCAAAACCCCATCTCTACTAAAATTACAAAAAAAAAAAAAAATTAGCCAGGTGTGGTGGCGCACGCTTGTAATCCCAACTATTCAGGAGGCTGAGGCAAGAGAATCACTTGAATCCGGGAGACAGAGGTTGTAGTGAGCTGAGAGTGTGCCATTGCACTCCAGCCTGGGTGACAGAGTGGGACTTTGTCTCAAACAAGCAAACAAACCAAATAAACAAATAAAAAGGTAAGAGAGTAGTTCTCATTTTAAATGGTCTCACTACACACACACGTACAAACACAAATGGACACAAAACAAAGACCCTGGATGGAGCACCTGGTGTGGGAGAGGAAAAACCAGGCTGGAGAGAGGCTGGAGCAGAGTGAATGAAGAGGAGATGGGTGGGAAAGATATGGGATGATAATATCAGAGAGATAAAGCAGGTCAGTAAACCACTGAACTCTTCCGACGTAGGCATTTTAATCACGGTAAAATGAGAAGCTTCTGTAAAGATTTCACAGACAACACAGGATGACAGTCTCACCATCAGAAGGCTGGAAGGCACAGCCATGTGCATTATTCTGGGGCTAAGAAAAGCAGTTGCTTTAGCTCCACATAGGGAGGTTTTATTTAATTAGGATTTGAAAGTCATATCAAGTGGCTCTATTTCTTTCTAACAAAGCCCAATGTATTTAATTCCTATAAATATTTTAGCTAACCTGTCAGTCACATACTTTTTAATATAAGGGTAGTGGCACATAAGTGAAAATGGAATACACAAAGAGTTTCAAATTATGTGTAACTTGGTAGAGGGATTAGGAGGCATCTTGTAAAGATGTGGCATGTCTAGTGTTTCACTTTGTTTTCCCTAAGAGAAGACTGAGTAATAGAACCACCTTTTTATTTTCTCCTTCTGCAGGCCTGCTGCCTGTGATTGATAGCTATTAAATTAGGTTTTACCTCCCCAGATTGGTCCAGATTAAATACACTTATAGCACAGCAAGCCACTGAGAACAAAGGAACAAGTGGCAATTACTTTGTCTATTTTGGTCTTCTTCATAGTTAACCATCATTTAAGCATTCAAAGGAAAATGGTTGGAAGACAGGAACGAAAGGAAAATGAATGAAATGAGAATTAAACACATTTCATTGTAAGTTCCTCAAATTTATAAATATAAGCTTGCACACAAGCATATTTCTTAAGAGAACTGACTTCAAATGCAGAAGCAAAAGAGGAATCTCCTGGAATACATAAGTTTATTGAGGTGATTTGTAGTATAACCATCTTTCCTGACCTATCATGGGACTATATGTCAGTCATATTTGAAAAGAATTTATTTGGGAAGAATTCCACTTGTTCAGGACTCAGACAGAAGACAGAATCACATGCTTCCTAGACAGTGATGCCAAGGTTATTACTTTGAAATGAGTAGGGTCAAAGTCATGCTGATGAGAGAAAAATGCTTTTCTCATGTGAAATTGTGTTCTCTTAAAGATAAATAAATGAAATCATATTTGCTGTTTCAAAGTGTTTGCCTTCCGTGTTTTGTAAGGAAATGATGGCAGCCTCCACTCTTGGAAAATCGAACTGGGATTGTAGCACCCATCATTCTTCTCTTTCTCAAGAGATCAGGGTCTTCACTCCCTCTCACTCTATGAAGCCAGTAAAGTGTAGACATAGGGAATCCATATTTCACATACTGCCCAAACATAAGGTCGTGCAGAGCACAAGAAAAGAGAGAGACTGTATTTCCATCACATGTTGGAAAATTATGTTTCTTGAGGTGTGTGTGTGTGTGTGTGTCTGTTTGTCTGTGAGTTAGTGTGTCTGTGTGCTTAGTGGGTCCAGGGATGCACCAGATAAGGGACTTAGGTAAAGGTGGTAAGAAGATTAAAAAAAATAAAATAAAAAATAAAAAATAAAAAAACATCAAGAGGAAAATCTGTGTGGTTATGTCTGAGGGTCTCGTGTGTGAATTTCCTCCCGTTTTGTGGCATTAAAAATGAGTTAGTTAAATAAAGTAGCATTTGCAAGTTCTTCTCCTCTGTTCTATTTTCAGAAAGGGTCAGAGGAAGCTCATGATCTCCTGGAGAGACTCAATCAGAGCTGGATCTGGCTGGGAGGTCACATTGGCCCACCCGATGTTTGTTACTCAAGGGAGAGAATGCTCCAGAGAGCACGGTGTTTTTAGCATGAGATGTCATGAAGTAGTCCTCGGATTTTTCTCCCTTTGTGGGGCAGAAAGTAGAGCTTTGCCATATTTGCTCACAGATAATAAGGGACATATAGAACAATAAAGAATTCCACTTCTACAGTAGATCTTGGGACATCAGCTAGGGTAGGAGTCACTGTGCCAGGACATACACTTCTGGGATTGCCTCTCCTTCCCAGAAATGTGTTTCTCAGTTTGGCCTAAGTTGGACATTGTATCAGTTGAATGGAAGTAAGTATTTAAAGGGAATGCAGAAGCAAGATCCAATGCTCTATAATGTTGGATTGATCTATGTTTTGGGGGCCTCCATGCAGAAACTCAAATAGTAGAACAAAGGAATTACTCTAGAAAGCAGAATGTGTGTGTCCAGCCTTGATTTCTGTAGCCAGATAACTTAAGTCTGAAACTGTGAAGGCTCTGTGATGATAACTATCTATTTGTCTATCGATCTACACACACACTCTCTCCCTCTCTCTCTCTCTCTCTAACAGGGACATAAGACTTCTGGATCATGGATCAGACTATTTAGTCACAGAGCAGCCTGCATCCGTGCCTTATGCCCAAACACCTCCCGGGCAGTGCAGTAAGAACCAGATCTCCCTGTGCATATAATAGGTATTGTACCATTAAAAAAGGAACCCCAGTTAGTTGGGCATGATGGCAAAAGCCTATAGTCCTAGCTACTTGGGAGGCTGAGACAGAAGTATTGCTTGAACCCAGAAGGCAGAGGTTGCAGTGAGCCGTGATTGTGCCATTGCACTCCAGCCTGGGTGACAAAGCAAGACTCCATTTCAAAAAAAGAAAAAATAAATAAATAAAAGGAACCCCAGAATTATGAAACACAGAGATTATATAGGGTGCTTTTCCATCTGTCCCTGCATCGCTCTGGAGAGATATAAAGAGACTTTTGCTATGCAATTTTAAAAAATCATCTTTTGGGAGGGAAGAAAGAAGGTCTTTCCTCCAACATCCTGCCATGTAAGCAAATGTCTTCAGGGGAGAGAGGAAGTGTCTATGTCTCCGAAGCTCTCTGCCTTTACACTTTTGGACAGTTGGGGCCATTACAGTTGTCCGTCAATCACCCTTTAACCTGGGTGCTGATGTTCTTTGCTCAGAAGGCTCCAATCATACAGAAACATGAAAATATTCATAAAGAGTTGTTTCCCTACAAGAGCCAGATAATAATTCATCTCTTCAGAGTGTGGTTGTAAAGTAGAATGAGATTATTCAGGGATGGAGATAAGAAGTAATGAAAATCAAGGACCAGTCAAGGAATAGAGAAAGTATGTAATTCCTTCAGCCTCTAAGTGGAAGTAGCTTTGCCTATGTAGGGCCTTCTACTCGGGAGTTTTCACCTGTCCTCCATAATGCACTATGCATGGAATACGAATCAAGGTTGATGCATCCTTCTGCTGCAGTTGCCATTCTGCCATATTATATTTTCCTGTTTTCCATGCTTCATTGAGATTGAAACTTTCCTATTTATGACTATAGTCCAAGCTCTAGCATCAAGCATGGTACTTGGAATGTGAAGCATGTTTAATAAAATAATGACCTATGTGTTATTCCCTTCCATCCCAAACAATAGCTTCCTAGCTGGTTTCCTAGTGCATATTCCTAACTTTCATTATGTGATATATACACCAGGAAAATGATGATGATGATGATGACAACGATGATGATGGTGATGGTGATTTTGGTGGAGGAGGTGGAGATTATTGAGTTAGGGAGGCCAAATTTAATATCGCCTCTATTATTAAGCTACTTGATTTTCAAAGGTGTTGCTTCTCCACCTATAACATAAATAATAATATCAATTATATTTAATACAGTAATATCTATCTTAAAATAACTAAATAAAATTATGTAGGTACAGTACTTAGTATGGTGCCTAGTGCCCAGCAGGGTTGAAAAATGATTAGTGACTGTTATTTATCATTGTTGATTTTCTTTTTAAAAAGCAGTAAAGCATAGGAGGAAAAGTAAGGAGAGGGAGGAAAATATTGAGTTTTTTTAGGTTAATTCTATTAGGCTTTGCTCCCTGCCAAGTCATTGTTATAAACAATCCAAGGAGAGAAGGAATGTGTAGAAGAGATTTAGGAAAGAATATTATGAGACCAAATCCTCCAAATGAATCCCAGTCCATGCAGAAATTGTACTGGCGACAGCTGTTAGATTTGGGCAGAGACTAATGAAGAATTATAAAGGAGGTATAATGCTGATTTTAATTCTGAATTTGCACAGGGGTCATTCCAACGTCAAAAATAATTATAAACAAAGAGATTTCAGTTGTAGTTTTGACACTGTGCAAGAGCTAGGTCAGACCTCTCATGAGGGCTACAGCCTCCCTTATCTCTATTTTTACAATCTGTTCTATGTATCCTCACGAAATAGACAGACACTGTATACCTACTTGTCAATGTTGGTGAAATGTCCTAAGTTCCACTGAAAAAAACATATCAAAATATTAGCATTACTAAGGAATGCATTGCACTGGATATCTTATTTCTTTTTCTAATTCAACTGTAAAACACAAAATTAAAATGGCGAAATAATGTTCTTTGAATATCTTTGTATCCCTACATTTCTCCCCCTCCCACTGCCACCTCTGTACTTCACTGCAATCTAGGCTGTCATCATCTTGTTTATGAACTGCTGTAATAGCTGCCTACAGGGTTTTCTCTCTCCTGTTTTGTTCTGTCCCCTGCCTCCAGTTAATCTATTGTCCACAGCAGTCAGTACGATACATACATCAGATAAATCAATATCTTGCTGAAAAGCATTCAATATCTTCCTATTAGGGAGATTCAAAACCCTCAACATTGCATAGATCTTCCAGTTCCTACTCTGATTTCTTTGCAGTGTTCTTTATCATTTCCTGACACTCTACCCTCTGTTTCATACATCTTTCCCACTCTGGAATATGCAGTTTCTTCTAAGTGGAATAACTGCTATTCAATTTTAAGACCTTACCTTCTGTGAAACTACTAGAAGAAAACATAGGTAAAAGCTTCTCGACATTGATCTGAGCAAACTTTTTGATATAATCTCAAAAGCAAAGGCAACAAGCAAAAGCAGATAAATAAGATTAATTTAAACCAAAAAGCTTCTGTACAGGAAAGGAAACAATCAACAGAGTGAGTGAAGAGACAGCCTATGAAATGGGAGAAAATATTTGCAAACCATTTGATAAGGGGTTAATATCACAAATATATAAGAAATTGAAGTAGTTCCATGGCAAGATAACAAAAAGCATGATCATATAAAGAGCAAAGAACCTAAATAGACATTTCTTTAAAGAAGACATACAAATGGCCAACGGGCATATGAAATGCTCATCATCACTAATCATTAGGAAATGCAAATCAAAACCACAATAATATATCACTTCACACCTGTTAAAATGGCTATTATCAAAAAGAGAAAAGATAGCTAGTGTTGGTGAGGATGTAGAGAAGAGGGAACACTTGCACACTGTTGGTGGGAATGTAAAATGGAAAACAGTATGAAGAATCCTCAAAAAGTTAAAAATAGAACTATCACATGATCCAGCAATCTCATTTCTGGGTATATATCCATAGGAAAAAAATCAGTATGTTGAAGAGATATCTGCACTCTCATGTTCATGGTAGCATTAGTCACAATAGCCAGGATTTGAAAACAATCCAATTATCCATGGATGGATAAATGGATAAAGAAAATGTGGTATATATACACAATGCAATATTACTGAGCCTTTAAAAAGGAGGAAATCCTCTCATTTGTGATAATATGAATGAACCTAGAAGATATTGTGCTAAGTGAATTAAGCCAAGCACAGAAAGACAAATACTGCATGATCTCACTTATATGTAGAATCATAAAAAGTTGAACTCACACAAGAAAACTGTAGAATGGTGGTTGCTAGGGGCTGGGGTGGGGATGGAAAGCTATTGGTCAAAGGATAACATTTCAGTTAAGATAAATAAGTTCTGAATATCTTATGTGACCATACTTAAGAATATTGTATTATATATTTGAAAATTGCTAAAAAGACCATAAATGTTCTAACCACAAATACACAAAAAGATAAATATGAGGTGATAGATATTTTAATTAGCTTGATTGTGTTAATTATTTCAAAGTGTATACATATATCAAAACATCACCTCTATATGAGAAGTCACTCTTCATTCTGGATCAATATAGGACCTACTGAAACTGTCATTTCCTCCATCAGAATTCATATTTCTTCTATCATATTACTTTTTTCAATATTATCTGTAGTCTCTGATACACTAACAATATCAGTTATTTGCACCTAACCTCTCTGTTCTATGAGACATATCTCTGTTACAGAAAAATTGGAAGGAATGAAAAGAGAAAGAGATGATATTTAGCATTTTGTTTCATAAACACTAACTTGAAGCTCACAGCCTGCACACAATCATGAAAACCAAGATGCCGAAATTACAGACAGAAGTATTTTATATTATAAAATTTCTGCAGCCTACTTTTTTTTTTTTTTTTTGAGACGGAGTCTCGCTTTGTCGCCCAGGCTGGAGTGCAGTGCAGTGGCTCAATCTCGGCTCACTGCAACCTCCGCCTCCTGGGTTCAAGCCATTCTCCTGCCTCGGCCTCCTGAGTAGCTGGAATTACAGGTGCCTGCAACTATGCCTGGCTGATTTTTGTGTTTTTAGTAGAGATGGGGTTTCACCATGTTGGCCAGGCTGGTCTCCAACTCCTGACCTCACGTGATCTGCCCTCTTCGCCTCCCAAAGTGCTCAGATTACGGGCGTGAGCCACCGAGCCTGGCCCACTTACCTTTTTAACAAGCCATAGGATAGAGATGATTGGCAAGATTGCTTTAAGGGAAGATCTCATAAAGCAATCTTGGGGGTGATGCTTCAAGTGAGAGAAAGCAAGGATGGTCACAACATTGAAGTAGTTGGGGGAAACATCGTTTATGTGTGTGTTTGTGTGTGTGTGTGTGTGTGTGTGTGTGTGTCTGCATATGTGCTTGATTCCTACTTTTCATTTCGTCACCTGGGAAAACTGCAAGCCCAGCAGAGAAGCTACTATATTTACCACAATGTAACACAGTGCCACACGGACAGAAGTTTACAAACTGAGAAGCCTTACTTAGAGAACTATGGCATGGAGAAAGCAGGTAAGGGCTCCAGAGTCCCAAGAAATGTTGTGACCACTGGTTGACCAGAAGATACTACGAGTTAAGATGAAGAAGTCACAGAATGCAGGAACTTACTACCATATCTAGAACCTTAGACTTCAGTAATGAATGCCATTACATACCAAGAAAAAACAATTATGCCCAACTTTATCTCAGTAGGCTACAGTTCAACATAACCAGGGCCCAGATGGGACCAATCACACTTCATCTGATATTCTTGGAAGTCAAGAGATAGCACCTGGACAAGGGAACTCTCTTCCAATGATGAGATGATCAGTAATATTTCTTTTGCACTCAGACGCTATCTTAGATAGGTAGGAGGAAAAGCAACAAAACCCTTTTACAATAAGAGACAAAGTCTTGATTGTCACTTTCAACATTAGACTGAGTATTTATGTAAAAGGCACTAAGTTGAAAAATAATTAAAGCAAAAGAAACTGCAAAAAACATAAGTTTGAGTTCTATTGCTACTAACATTGCAAGCGAGAACGTGAGTTCACTTAAATGAGATATAACTTCTAAATTTCCATTTTGCTCTACTTACAGAATGCATTGTTCCTGATAAGGCTCATTTTTTTCCATATGTAACATTATACCTAGCACAAAGAAGCTGCCTTCTATACATTTGTTGAATGACAAAGTAAATGAGTAACTAATGCTGATTTAGGAAAGGTAACAAATTAGTGATTAACTTCTAACATGTCCTCTTAACTGTTAGCCACAAATCACTATTTCTACACCTCCTCCCATCTCTGTTCTCCATGTCCATGTCACAAAGTTCAATCCAACTGATTTTTTTTAATTTCACAGAATTTTAAAATATCAGCCATATGTTTTCACTAAAATCCATAGAGACAAAACCATGCTACCAGCCAGCATTTGCTCTTTGTTTCAATGTACAGTATCCTATATTTGAGCCATATGACTTATGAGAATTTTTTTTTTTTTTTTTGAGACGGAGTCTCGCTCTGTCGCCCAGGCTGGAGTGCAGTGGTGCAATCTTGGCTCACTGCAACCTCTGCCTCCTGGGTTCAAGCGATTCTCCTGCCTCAGCCTCCTGAGTAGCTGGGATTACAGGCGCGCGCCACCATGCCCGGCCAATTTTTTTTTTTTCTTTTTGTATTTTTAGTAGAGACTGGGTTTCACCATGTTGGTCAGGCTGGTCTGGAGCTCCTGACCTCATGATCCACCCGCCTTGGCCTCCCAAAGTGCTGGGATTACAGGCGTGAGCCACCATGCCAGGCCGAGAATTTTTAAAAATGTAGTGTTTCCTTATTTTCCCAAGACTTGATGGAGGATGGGTAAAGGGATGCATAAAAGCACATTTACCTTTTGTACTAGAAAAGGCCTGGGGTCCATATCTGGACTATCTGATCTTTTCCAATATGTGTAAATTTCTTAAAAACAAATGAGGATTGGCTGGGCATGGTGGCTCATGCCTGTAATCCCTGCAATTTGGGAGGCCAAGGTGGGACGATCACGAGGTCAGGAGTTCGAGACCAGCCTGACCAACATGGTGAAACACCATCTCTACTAAAAAAATAAAACATTAGCCAGGCATGGTGGCATGCGCCTGTAATCCCAGCTACTCAGGAGACTGAGGCAGGAGAATTGCTTGAACCCGGGAGGTGGAGGTTGCAGTTAGCTGAGATTGGCAACTGCACTCCAGCCTGGGTGACAGATCAAGACTCTGTCTGAAAAAGAGGAAAGAAAGAAAGAAAGAAAGAGAGAAAAAGAAAGAAAGAAAGAAAGAGAGAAAGCAAGCTTACTTTTTTTAGGTTCATCTCACAATATTCTTACAAAATATAAGATTTCTACAAAACCTAAGATTTATAAAATCTAAGAAAGCTGAAAGGCAAACTCAAGCATTAAAAAGTGGAACTTTAGAAAATCACAGAATGTTATCCATTTCTCCACTATTATATCATTTTAAGTTAGCAGATGTCAATCAAATATTTTCCAGATAAGACAGTCATAGTGCCACATGTTGGAAGAAACAAAAACTGGGTTGGACAATCCTGTCCCCAAATGTGCATAGGCTATTTTAATGTATTTTTTATTTTTCAATGATTCTTCATAAATTCTTTGTCCTTCACAACAAAGTTCTTTTGGCAAAACACTAAGGAGATAAAATGTATTCAGTACAGACATGAGATAGGACAAAATAATATGATGGGGGAAGGGACATTGGAGAGGAGAGGAGAAATGAGCACTCGGGAGAGAGGAAAGAAATAGAATGATCCTCAACAATCTATTTTTACTTGACCTTTGAAGGACTCTGGTTATATATTCTTTTCTCTATCTTGCCCTAACCCTTCTAAAATTATTAATAAAATAAAATTATAGGCATAAAATACTACCTAACTTAACTTTAAAATCAATATTATGAGAGATTAACAAAATAGCCAATTTTCCTAAGTAATCTTAACTCAATTAAGCACTTTTCATTAAACATTTTGACTTGTTAGGGGACAACTAAAACTGTCTGCGATAATAACACTATAGTATTTTTTATAATGTGAATCAGCAGGACATTAAAACCTAACTTTCTCTAATCTTCCTAAACATCATATCTGAAGTGAAATATGTGTTAAATATATATATGCACATAAAGTGGTAAGAATTTATTTAAGTAAAAGTAATCCTTTAAAGAATGGAGTATGAAAAAATAAAATGAATATGCAAATTTTTGGAAGATATTTTGTATATTCAAATTACATATTTGAACGTATATGCACACGTCATTAACACATATATATGTCATTAACCTTTACTATAATTCTTTCAGAAGTTATGATGATATAAATTACATTTTAAAATAAAAAAGAAACTCTTGTGAATGTCAAACACATTTGCCTTCACTGTTGTACTGCATGCTAACATATCTTAAAAGTGGCCGGACATGGTGACTCCCGTCTGTAATCCCAGCACTTTGGGAGGCCGAGGCAGTCAGATCGCTTAAGCCCAGGATATTGATACCAGCCTAGGTAATATAGCAGGACCCCATCTCTATAGAAAAAAATACAAAAAATTAGCTGTTTGTAGTGGTGCATCTCTGTCGTCCCAGGTACTCGAGAGGCTGAGGTGGGAGGATCCTTTGAGCAGGGGAGGGAGAGGTTGCAGTGAGCTGTGATCACGCCACTCACTGCACTCCAGCCTGGGCGACAGAGTGAGATCCTGTCTCAAACAAACAAAAATACCAATGTAATATGTGGAAACATTATTGAGCAATAAAAAGAAATAAAGTATTAAGACATGCTACAACATACATAAACCTCAAAAACTTTATGCTAAGGAAAATAAAGAGGCACAAAAGACCACTTTATTGTGATTCAATTTACATGAACTCTCCACCAAAAGCAAAGGCATAGAAACCAGAGTAGTTTAGTGACCGTAGATATGGACACATGGAGTCTTTCGGGTGTGATGAAAATGTTCTAAAATTGGATTGTTACAATGCTTGCACAACTCCATAGATGTAATGAAAATAATTGAATCGTATACTTAAAATATATACATAACAATATTATGACATGTAAATGACACCTTAATAAAGCTATTTTTAAAATCTGACCATTTACTCTTGGATAAAATTGTCAAATATTTAGACTACACAGAAAGGAGAAAAATGTATAACAACAGAATACTTAAATTTTGGAAACATTTTTGTGGTTTTTTTATTCTTTGAAAAAGCACCCTTTCCGAGGAGTATGTAAACATGTAACTTCTTTAGGTTAAATGGAGAAAAATGTATCCTTTGATAAAGAGGATAAATCAACATTAAACATCGTTTAAGGGAACAGTCAGAGTTAGCATTTATTTATTTAACAAATATTTATTGAGCATCTACTAAGAGCCAGGTCACGTTTTAAGCACTGGGGATAAACATGTAAAAAAAAAAAATTAGTTTTAAGGCTTTTAATTTTTTCTCCATTGTTTCCAAACCTTCAGTGAAACTACACTTAACTTCTGTAAAATCCAAGCTGCTTTTTAATGAAATATTTTAATTAAGCATGTCACTTTTTTAACTTTTTTTTTTTTTTCTTTTTCATTTAAGATGCCTTTTTCAGATCATTCCCATTCTCATTAAACTTCACACGGATCATGACTTTTCTGTTCTCACAAATGCACCCCAACTCAGTCTCAGGGCAAGACCAGCTCTTTTTGTGCAATGGTAGGGTTTACCTAATTTGGGTTGGAATTTTCAATACATGACTGAGAGAATGTTTCAGTCTACTTAGTAGGAACCTTAACAAGAAAAGTGGACCTCAGTACAGTGATGTTATGCTAGGAAATGGGTGTGTCTGTGAGGAAATTTTAGAAAAAGGTATGATTTACTTTTCCTAGGAATAGTCAGACTTAGCGTTTATTTATTTAACAAATATTTATTGAGCATCTACTATGAGCCAGGCAATGTGTTAAGCCACGGGAATAAATATGTAAAAAAAAAAAAAATTAAGGCTTTTATTTTTTCTTCATTATTTCCAAACCTTCAGTGAAACCACACTTAATGACCTTTTTAGCAGCATTGTGACTAATTAAAAAAGGGACCATACCAATGGTTGGGAAAGGCTAATGAAACCAAGTACAGTCTTCCCTACACTGCACTTCCTCCGTGGTCCCTCAGAGGTAGGGTACAGTAGTGAGAACTTCTAGGGGATACCCTGCAGGGAGCAGGCTTGGTCTTCAGCAGAAACGCACTCTGAGCAAGGGTAACTCGAAGGGACTGACTGAGAAGCAATGGTGCTCAATTATGAGGTTCAGATAAATCACCTGCAGACTCATTAAACTAAATCCCCAGGATCCAGTCTCAGAAAGATGAATACAGTAGAAGGAGTGAGTAGGAGCTAGGTCTTGACATGATAGGCATAAGAACTGTCCGCGTAGGGCAGAAGCAGGAAATGAATTTCGAGGAAGAGTTAGCCGTCCTCTTTTTCAAAGTCCTTAAGAAAACTGACAGCCAGAAACCATCATAGCCAACATGAATTCTCTTTCCAAGTTGTAAACAAATAAAGGCATACCAGCTATATAGGTTTATGAAGCTGTAGGCTGATTTTCATGGCAGCCAAAGTAAGCATAAGTCATATGAATTGTTCTTATAACTTAAAAAAAATGTTTTAAACATAAATTAAGCCGCAAGAATGGAGGGTAAAGGAGAGAGTATTTTTTTTATTAATTAAAGGGAAATTTGATACAGTGCTTGAGCAGTGACAAATACGGTAACCTGGAGAAACTGGGGCTGGCAGTATCTGAGTGGGCTTTTAGAGGGGTAGGACTCGGTCAAATGGATGGTAAAACAAAACAATGATTATTACAGGCATAGTGCTGTCTCTGTCATTTTCTCATGCTGTTCCTTCTGAGTCAGAGAATGACATCGTATAGTCGTTTTTAAAGTAGGAATTACTTGCATGCAATCCTTTTTAAATGTAATGTCTTGTTTTGCCAGTAACACAATTGTCCAGTAGGCTCATTAGACCACCAGGACACTGATAGAGTTCCACAGCTGAGGGAGGCATAAAAGTCAACCCAAATAAAAGTTAAGTTTCTTCAACTGATATTTTTTACATAAGAATAATTCATATGACTTCAGGTTACTTTGGCCAGCATTAAAATCAGCCTGCAGGCTTCAAAAACCACTACAGCTGACATGAGGGATGATGCCCACAATGACACTTGGTGGTGGGAGGAAGCTATCATGGAATCGCAATATTTGGGCAATTTACAACGCGATGCCCATAGACGCAATTGAAATTGGTAACATCCAGATTTCATTTATGGTGGTATGCTTGCTGACTAGCCACAAGGAAAGATGATATCCTGTGATGGAAATGGTAGGAATCAAGGTGCACATTTTCTAGGATGATTTTAAGCTTAGCTAAGCCTGTACAATAAGGAGGACAGACTAGACTCATTTCTGAAATGCTATTTGATTGTTTTTATGAAATAGACTTTATTTTTTAGAGAAGTTTTAGATTCACAACAAAATGGAATGAAGAGTAGAGAGTTCCCATATACTCTCTGCCCCCACACAAGCACCTACCCCATTATCAATATCTTATACCACAATGGTATACTGGTTACAATGGATGAACTTAGATTAATACATCATTATCACCCAAAGTCCACAGTTTACATTAGGGTTCATGCTTGATACTCTACATTCTATAGGTTTTGACAAATATGTAATGACATATATCCACTATTATAGTATCATACAAAATAGGTTCACTGCCTTAAAAATCCTCTGTGCGCCGCCTATTCATTGATTTCTCTCTACTCTTCCCTGGCAACCAATGAACTTTTTACTGTCTTCAAAGTTTTGACCTTTCAAGAATGTCATATAGTTGGCAGCATACATTACACAGTTACACAGTCTTTTCAGAGTAGCTTCCTTCACTTAGTCATATGCATTTAAGGTCCCTCCATTTCTTTTCATGACTTGATAACTCATTTTTTTTTAGCACTGAATAATATTCCATTGCCTGGATGCACCACAGTTTATCCATTCACTACTGAAAAATATCCTGTTTCTTCCAAGTTTTGGCAATTATGCATAAAGCTGCCATACACACTCACTAGTAGGTTATTGTGTAGACATAGGTTTTCAGCTCCTTTAAGTAAAGGCAAAGGAGTGTGATTGATGGATCATATGATAAGAGTATGTTTAGTTTGATAGGAAGCTGCCCAACTGTCTTCCAAAGTGGCTGTACCATTTTGCCTTCCCAACAACAGTGAATGAGAGTTCCTGTTGCTCCACATCCTCAACAGAATTTAGTGTTCTGGATTTTGGTAATTCTAGTGATGTGTGTAATAGTGTCCCATTTTTGTTTTAATTTGCAATTTCTGAATAACTTTTTTATTCTGATAATTTATAATTCTGCAAATTTATTTATTTAGCCCTCAAACTGGGAAGGAAATTATTTTTAAAACCCGTATCTTTAATTATTTGATGATTTATTCTTACCAAATCAAAGTTCCTAACTTTTCTTTCAATACAACTGTGTCCAATGTAACATTAATTAAGCATTTTTAATCCTGATCTTTCTGTTCATTTAATCCAGTATGCACTGAGCATCTATCTATTATCAGTCACTGTGAAGATAAAGCAATTTCCCTTAAAAGAAAATTATAAAATCATCATTTTTGACAAGGCTGATATACTTTGGTACCAATGACAAACCTAAGATAGTATCTTGTGCATAATGTTTTTAGCATTAGCAGAATTAATGTGGTTTTCTCCTCCTCTGGACTTTTATCAGGCTTGTGTTTTTATCTAGTACAATTTATTTCCCTATTGACATATCTTTTATCTTAATGAACTAAAATATTAACATGATTCAATACAAACAGTAGTCTATTCTTGCATCACGTTTTATACTTACTAGCATGTATTTTAATCATTGCCACAAAATTTCAAAGTGATAACGGCTTTTACAAATTACTTTCCTTCAAAGAGAAGGTAAAAAGAAGAAACTCTCCCTTGATAAGGGAGGGTTTATCAGTGGTATTCTATTAGCAAAGTAGAAGAGATCAGAACAGTATGGGGGGGTGGGGTCATGCAATTACCTTTGAGGAAGTAAGCCATATACCCGCTATCAACATAGTACAGCCATACTTATGACAGTGAAGAATCCTCAATTACATCAACCTGCCCCGGCTCAGTTCTATGGGTGATGCTTCAAAAGCCATTTTAAAAATATCACTCAAGTAGATATTAGCATAATTTAGCCATTATTTATGAAGGGTTTAGGGTATGTCAACTGTTCTTCCTTTTTAATCTTTAATCCTTACAATAGCCTCCGAAGGTTAAAGTCACTATAGATAAAAATGGAACACTAATAGGTAAGAAATCTGAGTCTCAGAGAGGCTTAGTAACTTACCCAAGGTCATTGAGGTGGCTAAGTGGCTAACCTAGGAGTCGAAATCCAAATAGATGGTAAACTCAGCTCTTTTCACCCACACTATACTGCTTCTAAATTGGATCATGGAATACGAGTGTGGAGCCAAAGATAAAAATAGTTACGCAATTTCAAATAAATCCAAAGACTTTCCAAAAAAAAAAGGCATTGATTTAAGGTTTTATTTACAGAAAAACTTCAAACAAAACATCAAAGCAATGTAAAAAATGGAATGGAATATGCTTCTGGTGTGCATTTCTTACCAGAACTATTTCATTCAATAATAAAAAATATGGAGGCTGAGGTTGATTGTCACAAACTTGCCATGAGCATTTCTTCAATAATATATATTGAATTAAAGAGGAACGAAGGAGAAGGGCAAGGATATCCAATAAATTTAAAAAAAAAGGAAAAGTAAGGAATATAGAACTGTGTCTATGAAGATACATAAGAACATCAAAGAGGACCATGAAAAATTCAGGGAAAAGTTAAGAGTCTGAAGAACCAAAGGATATTCTAACTAAATTCAAGAAAGCTTTTCTTGAGAACATTCCAACCACGAAAAAGTGAAATATGGAACAAATCATAAAGGCAAAAAGGGCATAAGCAAAATAATTATTTTTATAACCTCCATAGTACCAACCATAATTCTTTAGTTTGCTTTGACGTCGACCCTTCCGAGGCTTGATGTTATGAATATTTATATACTGCATAATGATAGCAAAAGACATTCATAAATGGTAGTCAATGATGTTCAGACATTTATAAATGTAGAACTGGTCTCCAAAGGCAATTTGGTCATAGATTACATGCTATGTATCCCAGAAATTATCCAGATAAGGTTGACATATTACCAGAGAGGTACAGAGCATGAGTTAGCACTAAAATGATGCAGAATGGGGATACCTAAGAAAATATAGGAGGATATTCAAATAGGGATTGAATTCCAAGATAGATTAATATTTTATGGACATATAGCCAATGGATTACAATGATTAAAGACTGAACTACCACTGCCAGGACAGATTAGTGTCCACGAACCCCATTTCTAATGAGAAACACAGATAGGGAACATTTTAGGAAAAAAAAAAGTGACTAATGATCTTAATCACAATGTTTGGTACAGTTGACCCCAAACCACAATGATTAGTCATTTAATAAAAAGCTACTGATAAATAATATTTCTCTAGTTACTGATCAATAATAATGGAGTGCAAATATGACTAAATGCCCTATACCTGCCCTATTGTTCTCATAATCTCATTAAAGAACAAAGATATAAGAATATTCATAGTGTATTCAATGTGTGAAAATGGAAGCATATATATATATATATATATATATATATATATATATATATATATATACAATCTCCTAGAAGCACACACATATGGTGGCAGAAACAGTAACCTAATTGTTTACTGGAGAAAACCACATCAAGACATTATTCCATGTGAAACTGAATAACTCCAAATAAAGCGAGGAAAAATGTAGATTAGGTTCAAGTTGCTCAATGAATAATCACACTTATTTCTCCCAAGAGCCCGATAAACATTGTTAGTCTACATTGCTTCTCAATCTTTGACCATAAAAAAGCACCTCAATTTAGCAAAGCACAATGGTTCCCACAAAGTACTTAAGGAAATCAGAATTGATTCTACTTATATTGATTTTGGGGAAGATATGTGCTACAAATGTGGAACAAAAATTATGATGTTCAACAGTCCTAATGAGTGCGTCTATTTACAAGTGCAAAACAAGGAGATACAATCTTGTTGAAATTTTAGTATCTCTGCTCAAATTAGCTGGGAAAAAGACCAGTACCAAAGGCGAAGCAAATGATTTTTCTGCATTGTGCTTACAAATGATGCTCAATGAATGGAAGGTGAAAAACCAGACATAAAATTCCTGGAGGAAAAATTTAGGAAGGCAAATTGATGTGTAATCAATAGCTCCATCAATGTGCACCAGCATTCTTGGTAAAAGCAAACAAATAAAAAACACCAAGATCAAAGCAAAGAATTTAAGAGTAGCAGGCTACAAACAGAAGGTAACATGGACCAGGTCAGATAGTTGAACCACAGTTATAATCAGGCTGATTTTTTTTTTAGTAGTGCCATCGTCATTCTATTACCAGAATAGATGATTATCAACTCCAGCCTAAGTTTCATTTCTGAATTCTGAAACAAGGTCTCTTGCAAGGGAGGCAGAAGAATCTCTAGATCGAAGGATCAGCCATACCTAAGTCTTTCTGTCATCTCAAAGGTTAACCTTGTGTAGTAGATTAACTTATTGACCCCAATTCTTTCACCTATCATAAAATTGTGTACCAATATTATTGCCTTATAGTAGGTGGAGTATAATTTACTATATGAAGAAATGAGATTCGCTTAAACCAACAGGATATTAAAAGACATGATGCAAGCTGAAGCTTGAAATATACATACGTAACTAAGTTTTCTGTTATGATTTAGTGATCAGCCATCAAAAGAACATTCCCTAGGAACTGTTGTCTATTCAGTCTGAGCCCAAGGACAAAAATATATGGGGCTGGGTGCAGTGGCTCATGCCTGTAATCCCAGAACTTTAGGAGGCCAAGGTGAGAGGAACACTTGAGACCAGGAGTTCGAGGCCAGCCTGGGCAAAATGGCAAGACCCCCATCTCTATTAAAAAACAAACAAAGAAACAAACATAAAATAGACCTAAACTGAACCTCTAGCCTTTAGCCACACCTAGCTAACCCGCAATGTGAAGAAGAGCTATAGCTTCAGCCAATTTAGATCAGACAAAATGAGTGTGAGAATAAATACTCATTGTAGTTTGGAGTTGGTTCTCAGCATTATTGTGGCTATAGCTGACTGATACACATACTCCTAGGTGTCAGTAATTGGTACCTTAATTATCTTCTCTTCTCAATCATGCCCCAGCCTTCTAGTCTATCTCCAATAACCGGGTTTATCCTCTGCTATAGCCAATTTCCTTCCTAATCTGAATCTCTTTAGCTGGATATTTGCTAACACTTGTCACACTTTCCCGATATTCTGCCTAATGAAACTTACTATCGACTTGCTTCCATATAAATAATTATCAACTGATTTATAAATAATACAAGACAAATAACAATTATTAATATTATCATTTGTTAATAAAGAGTTACAGGTCAGGCACATTTAAATATGTGTTTTGTTTAACTTTCACAATACTGCAAGGCTGATTTTATAATCGGTATTTTCTGGGTTCAATTTCTTTATTCTTTACTACTATTTTTATTCCAGGCTCTCAGCTCAGAAGTAACCTGCCCAAGATATCCCAGACAGCTGGAAGAGATGCCAGGATTCAAACCCAGATGCTGCTATTCATGCTCTTCTATGTCACATTGTTTAAACCTCAGCATGACGTTTTCAAGTAGTAAAACAGATATTCATGTTACAATTGAATAATTTTTAAGGATAAGATTTGTCCATTACATAGATCTAAGGATACTGATAAAATTCCTTTTCTCACCTGAAAGACAGTATAAACCATGTTATTTGGCAAGTAAGGTCAGAGGCATAAAGAGGGTTGGATAAGGGACAATTCTCATAAAAAATGTTATCAATTGAATATATTCTAAGAAAAATTAATAGTAAGGTTTTAGAATTTGAACTTTTTTTCTACCTGGGAAACTGCCTAGAAACATTAGCATCATGTAACATTTGAGTGCTGGGACTCTGGGACCATATAGGACCCTCTCCCCACCCAGGACCACTCTGTGGCCTGTTAGGAACCGAGCAGCACAGCAGGAGGTGAGTGGCAGGCAAGTGAGCATTACTGCCTGAGCTCTGCCTCCTGTCAGCTCAGCGGTGGCATTAGATTCTCACAGGAGCATGAACCCTGTTGTGAACTGTGCCATGCCGGGGATCTATGTTGCACGATCCTGAGGAGACTCTAATGCCTGATGCAACAGTTTCATTCCAAAACGATCCCCGCCCCCCTCCCCACAACCCTGTCTGTGGGGGGAAAAAAAAAAAAAAAGGCTTTCCATGAAACCAGTCCCCGGTGGCGAAAAGGTTGGGGACCACCGATAGAGAACTGAGTTCAAATTCTGTGTCTAACTTTTTCTGGCTGGGTGTTCTAGATAAGTTACTGCTTTCTTGACACCTTAGTTTTCTCATCTGTAAAACAGGTCTAAGAGAAGTAATAACTTCATAGAGTTGTTGAGGGAGTTAGATGAAAAGTGTCTTGTAATTTAGCACAGTATCCAGAACAGGTATATTGTGGTCATCTCAAAACATATGCACTGAAATTCTACAGCATCATTGAAAACAGGGGTCGCTCTTTTCTAAAGGAGATTGGCCCTTTCAAAGCACAGAGAAAGGCAGGGACTCATGAACAAAGATGGGGAGAAGGTAAGGAGAGGAGCAAAAAACTTAAATTGTTTTGATATAGTGTGTTGAAAAATGTAAACCAAGACATGATAGAGACATGCGGACACGTGAATATATGTTTGAGGGGGTATAGTGGGTGAAGCTTTTTAAAAGATATGACTATGGGTTACATTTCACATAAGCAACCAGATGCTATTCTAGTCAGTGGGACTAAGGAAGGGCTTTGTTTAAAGGTGGCTAGAAGCAATTTAAAATGCAGCAACTTCCACTTTGTGCTAGCAAGATCAATCCATGTTTTGAGCTGCTGTTTTCACCTCTTCATTGTTTATCAGGTTTGAGTCTAATTGGGCTTGATTGGAATCATGGGAAGCCACTAATTAAAATGATTAACAATATCAATAACAGCAAAGAGAATAGAAAAGAAAGCCTCTTATTTTTAATGGGCAGAACACGGATTCTTGGTGTCTGAATGAATAGAAGTTAATTGAGGACTGACAGTGGATAACACATTTCTGAAATGTCTATTTTCATGCTTTTAATAAAGGCACATTTTCTAGAAGAATAGGAGCTAAACCAAAATTATAAATACAGACAAGATTTTTTTTTCTCCTCCACTAATTGAATTAAAGCCAATTCTTAACCGCAGAATGTTTGCAGGCACCTTGTTATCAACGACTTCTACTGGATACCGTGCTTAACACTGGTTATATTTCAGCTTTGCCACTGACCTTTAAATTGCTCTAATCTGCTTTTATTTACAAATGTGGTTTCTGCAAATGAGCGTTGGATAGAACAGATTCGAGACACACTAACAGGACACAATCCAGGCTCAAGCAGAGGAGGAAACAGCGAGCTCCCAGATCGTCTTCTTACTATTCTGTTTGACAATGTCAGGATGCCTTATTTCCAGAACACAAGGGAAGTCATTTAGACGGCACATTTCTCTACTTAAAGTGTTCACTCTCTGGCTAAAAGGGGGTTCATCATGTTGTTCCTGATGTCTAATCCAAGTTCTGCCTTGAAGTAGATGAGCTCAATGTCAAGAAAATCATGTGTTTGCATTTGGATAGTCTTACTGACTGCTGAGACTGATATATACCTAGTCAGAGCCTGGGAAACACCTGAGCCTTCCTTTCCTTCCTACTAAAATTTAACCCAGAAGGACTCTGAATGAAGGCACAGGAATGCTTGATAAAGTTACTTAGGTTCCAGGAACTTGAGGTTGCCTTATACTTTGCTTATTACATCTTTACTCTTTTTTTGGATATTTACTTCCCATTGATATCTAACTTCTGAATTATTTCTCTCCCTTGGTGTAAGGATAACTAACATTTGCACAGAACACCATTGTTTCTAAAATGCATTCCAAAAATCACTACACATTCCCTTCTCGCCACATCTCCATTCAGGTAAAGCGATGGAGTGACTTTGTTTAGGAAACAGGTTCTGGAGTTCTGTGAACTGAATTCAAAGACTGTCTCTGCACTTTCTGTCTGTGTAACTTTGAGCAAGTTATTTAAACTCTCTATACCTCATGTCCATTCCTGTAAAATAGATGGACCTACTGAGATCGCCCTGAAGATTCTAAAGAGAGTTCTTGTAAAGGTGATTAGAATATTGCCTGGCCCAGATCAATTATCCAATAAATGTCGGCTGGTTTACTACTTGAATTATTATCACTATTCTGTGAGTTCTTTCAGGACATGGTAGCAGACCACACTTATCTTTGGATACCCCTATGCCTAACACAGTGCCTGGCAGATAGCAGGTGCTTAATGAACAACTGTGCCATCGTTTTACAAACCAACAAGTCCATATTCTAACACCTTCAATCCTTCAGATGGAGCCAGGATAGGAAAACACATTTTCTTATTCAAGTGCAATGCTTTTCCTGCCCCAGCTATATCCCATCAAGGTGATAACTTATTTATTTTGCCTCATCCCCTGGACATATTAGAATGCTCAGCAATGGAAATGCTCCTTCCATACTTGCTGAATTGAATTTTCTCTTTTCAATGCTGTCTTCTGGTGTGGCAAAAAAAGCAGAAGGTAATTGACTGTTTCACTATGCCTCTCTCACTACATTGTTTCTCAGGCACCCTATATATTTTTTCTTTTTAAAAAATATGTATCCATATTCCTTTAGCACAGCTGTTTTCAACAACAATAACAACAAAAAATTTCAAAGCAAGGCATACTTTCTTTAAATAAAATCTTTTCCAGAAGCCAATTTTTATAACAAATAAAAAGCAGTTCTTGGATATCTCTAGGAATTTCAAAAAGCAAGACTAATGGAGCCTTGAACTCGCCATGCAGCTGTTCTTCCTCCATTTCCCATTCCGTTCTCCTAAGCCCCTGAGGCAGTTTTGTTGAACCTTTAGGGTTTCAGTGAACGCTATTTTAAATCCACTGTCTCAGGCCCAGCAATTTTGGATGCTCCTAGGTGCAACTTATATTTACCGAACTTCTTTGTGTTAGTGGAACTGCTTCCGGTTTTCAGAGAGAGTAAATTGAAATATACAAATGCAGTATTAAGGATCTTCCAAAGTGGCTTAACTAAATACGCAGTGATAGTGTTCCTAAGCCAGATGGTAAAGAAACCCTAACTTTTTTGTAACAAAATAAAAGGGCTGATACATCTCTTACTTTTAATCTTGTTTTAATTAAAGCTGCAGTGGCTAAAGTGATTAGCCAACATGAAGTCAATGGAACTTAAGGTTTTATGTCTTTTTATTTTACAAGTGTGTGTGTGTGTGTGTGTGTGTGTGTGTGTGTGTGTGTGTGTTTGGTTACTGATCTGAAGGAGAATACTGATTTAACTTTCATGCTCTTGTTATTTTAGTTCATACATGTAAACTCTGTTTTCCAGCAATAAGTTCTCTGAGTCTTGTTATGATCATAAAATATTTTGCTTTTGAATCATTAGATAGTGTGCCTTGCCAGATATTTTCAAAGCGTGTGTTCATTTAAAGGCAAAGTTTCTGTCTTATAAATCTCGCTAGCTCTTCAAGACAACCTGCTTATAACTATTTACATACACCTCAAAGTTCGAATGAGGCCCAGGAAAGAGACACGAGAAGGCCATTTTGGTGGTGGGGAAGGTAATATTTCTTTACTAGAGCTAAAGATTTCTAAGGATTCTTAATGCGATTTTTAAGCAATCTGCTGCTGTTTAATAAATGTATATAAAGTTACTGAGCTATGCAATATGTTGTATAGAGATATGTGATCTTTTTAAAACTTAAGCCAATACAGTGAATTTTGTCATTTTAATAAAAGTCTAGAATAAGAAATACATATTACTGTAACAGATTCTTTCCTGTGGGAATATATGATTCAAATATGTCTTTTATTTAGGAATCTTTTTCTATTAAGAGCCAGCTGTTATGAATGTGAGATGGTCTATGCACAATTATGTTACCAATATTGTATGCTGAAAATAATCAGAAGGGAATTTTCATATGAAATCTAGATGGTTATATGAAAAAAGGTAATAATAGACTATTAACAGAATACCAGATATTTAAACTAATGTGGACTTGTAAATAAAATTAATTCAAATTTAAGTTCATTTACATAATCATTTTATTAATTATAGATAATTAACATATGCTCATTTAAATGTTCATTTGAGGTTATAACTTAGGCAACATTGCTTTAAAAAAACAATTTCAGGAGAATTTCAGGGGTACAGCCAAGTTATATTAACAGATACTGGAAATGATTAAAAAGTAGAGAAAGGACGGGGCGTGGTGGCTCACGCCTGTAATCCCAGCACTTTGGGAGGCCGAGGTGGGCAGATCACGAGGTCAGGAGATCGAGACCATCCTGGCTAACATGGTGAAACCCCTTCTCTACTAAAAATACGAAAAATTAACCGGGCGTGGCGGCGGGCGCCTGTAGTCCCAGGTACTCGGGAGGCTGAGGCAGGAGAATGGCGTGAACCTGGGAGGCGGAGCTTGCAGTGAGCCGACATCGCGCCACTGCACTCCAGCATGGGCGACAGAGCAATAATCTGTCTCAAAAAAAAAAAAAAAAAAAGTAGAGAAAGAAGCCAACAAGAGGGAGGTCCTTGTCTGGCCATCACCTGCACCTGCCTATGTCTCTCCTATGATGTGGGAATGTAGATGGCTTTTTCAAGGCTATGTTTATGAATATCGCCATTAAATATTTTTCCTGTATATCCGCATTAGTAAACGCCCTCCCAACTTCTAGTGGAATCTTAAACAGAGTTAAGTCTATCACAGTAAATGAAACTCGAGGTATGGAAACTCTTCCGTATAATTCACTGATAGTTTCAAATATGACTGGCTGACTAATACAACAAAGCCCCTTCCCAACCTCTCTTCCTTGCCAATCTCCACTGCAGAGGCTGTGAAATGTACACATCTTCCAAGACTTCCTTGCAAGTTAGGATGATCATGTGATACATTCCTGGCCAATGGGAGGTAAACAGGAGTCTGCTAATGGCTGATAAAGGCAGTGCTTCCTGATCAATGGGACTGACATGGTCAGAGCTAACACATCCCTTCTCCCTTCTTCTTGCTTTGAGTATGGATGCTATGGCTGGAATCGAGACAGCCATTTTATGAGTGAAAGATGCTCACAATAGATATCAAACTGGCTCTAATGTGGTTGATCCGTAAAACTGAAACATGTCATTAGCTTCCTTCAAATTTCTTGATACATGAGGAACTTAAGGCCTGTTTAAGGCAGTGCTGGTTTGCTTTTCTACTGCAGAGGAAGCACCTATCAGTAGATCTGTTGACAAGCTATCTATTCATAGTCCATCTACTCCACTTTATAAGCAAATTTCTGTGAATACTTCTAACTCTCACCTACCTCACCTTAGAGATCACAATCCAAGCTCAGGCTCCTCAAACACTCTGGTTTAAAAACCCAGTGAACTTGCTTATTCTCTGACCCAATGACAAAGGAAAATGAAAGCATTAAATTCAGAACCCTAGCCAAAACAATTAGGGTGAAGAAAATGGAAACTTTCAAATTCACTAGTATCCAGCTTAACATTGTTGCAATATCATTAATAGTACAAGCCATACAAATTTATGTATAAGTAATCCATTTGGACTATACATTTGAAATTGTCAAGTGAGTATATTGGTGAGTAGAACCTTTACATGTGTTCACTGTAATGAGAATAACCTTCTCTTAGGTAACCTACTACACAGAAGTACAGATCAATACTCCTAATGCAGAAACCATTTCAGGAAGTATCAAAAGCTATCAATTGTCATCTAATTGGAAGATTGTTTTTCTAAGTGAACAGCTATAAAATTCTGACTGTTCAAATCACTGTAATCATTTTATTTGCCCTATTCTCTAGAGGAACCTTAAACAAACCCTGCAGTGATTGCTTTGTTATTTCAAATCAGCCTAGTAATTTTCCAGTGTATTAAAAGACATTCAGTGTTGACACTGCTAGGAAAAAAATTGGGCGTCCGCCGGATGGAACTGTTCATTTTCAGTCAACATAATTACTCTGTATTAACACATCTGCTATTTAAACATATCACACTTTTTTGCTAATAATTAACTTGATGGGATCATACATCTCTATTCGACTTGAATAAATATCAGAATCATTTTTATATTGTTAAAATAGTGCCAAGCCAAATGAAATGATTGGGCTTGAGCTATTTATTGTCAGTAACATAACTCAATTGCATGACCTCCTTTAACAAAGCAAAACAAATCAAAACAAACCAGCCTAACTCCTAGATATATAGCAATTTATGTAATATCAGGAAAAAGAAAATTAATAAATATAAAATATTTTTTCCAAGACCTTGAAGGCTGTTTTATGTTATGAAATATGCAATCAGTACCAAAGGCTGTCAAAATCATCTTCCTTGTCCACAGTTCTGACCACATTCTTCCTTTCTCAAACCTCCAGGGCTGCCTGTCATCTTCTGTATCAAATTTAAATTATTCTCACTGCTTCAGGGTCTTCTATCTGCCCTTGTTTATGACACCTTTCTTTTTTTTTTTTTTTTCTTTTTGAGACGGAGTCTTGCTCTGTTGCCCAGGCTGGAGTTCAGTGGCGTGATCTCGGCTCACTGCAAGCTTCACCTCCCGGCTTCATGCCATTCTCCTGCCTCAGCCTCCCGAGTAGCTGGGACTACAGGTGCCCACCACCACGCCCGGCTAATTTTTTTTTTATTTTTAGTAGAGACAGGGTTTCACCGTGTTAGCCAGGATGGTCTCGATCTCCTGACCTCGTGATCCGCCCGTCTCGGCCTCCCAAAGTGCTGGGATTACAGGCATGAGCCATCGCGCCCGGCCACGACACCTTTCTTAATGTCCCTTTCCCCATTGTTCACTCACAAGAGTCCTAATTTGTAGGACTTTCACACTGCAATATAATTGATTAGAAGAATGAATGATGCATCAAAAGTCAAAAAGCACAGAATTAGGCAAATTATATTACCCTTATTGTTTTTTGCTCCTCCCATGGGAAAAAATCAAGAACTACTAACAGATATTTTTCCTACTATGTCTTTCTGTAGTAACCACTCATCCTCCTACGATTACTTTCAAATCTACTGCACATTCCTCTTCATTTCAAATAATTTGTCAGATATACTAAGCAGGATTTTGTCATTTTAATAAAAGTCTAGAATAAGAAATATACATTATTGTAACAATTTCTTTCCTGTGGGAACATATGACTCAAATATGCCTTTTATTTAGGGATCTTCTGTAAATTGTAAAGTAGGTTTGAGGCTTTGGAGAAAGATTTAATATTTGTTGAAAATCTAATATACTTACATTACTTCATTACTTCATTTAAGAAATATCCACTAAATATCATCTATAGAAAAAGACAAGATACTCAAGACTGGTCCTACTTTCCACTGCTTAATTATTTATGCTGATTTTCGTTTTGTGTTGTGTTGTATTGTTTCTTTGCTTTTAGTTTTCAAAATGTATTCTCCTTTTGCATTGTTGCTGAGATCAAGAAATTGTACTCTGCACTACTATCTTCACCTCCAGAACCTGCCAGTGAAAGCTTATTGAGTTAGAGGGTACCATAGACATCTTCCTCTCCCAGGCTTGCAGAGATTCGCCAGGAGGAAAAAAAAAGTGAGACTCTTCATAATTTTTTCCTTCCTAGCACTTGTGGTTCATCATGTTACCAAGCATCAGTGCCAAAAGCCCTGACTGATTTTTATCCACTGGGGTAATCAAAATCAGTTAGGATTCAAGTAAAGGGCAAAGATCTTTAGTCTATACCCTATGGCTTTCCATAGTTATTTTTGTTGTGTCCAATTCATCTCCTCATATTCTACCTTGAATTTGTCTAGTCAGAAACCACTGTTAGCTAGGTTGATAATGATTGCTGCATTGCTAAATACAAGAGATAATGTTAGTCCATCTGTTACTTGGCACTTCAGGAACATTTGATCCAGTTGACCACTCTCTTCTCCTACAATTTGTTGCTTCTTTAGCTTCTAGCACACAATTTCCTAATTTTCTACCATTTTCACTGATGGCTTTCCATATCCCTTTGCTGGTTCTTTGTACTTTTCTCCGCCTCTCAACACTTGAGTGTCTCAGGGTTCAGCTCATGTACCCCATTCTTCTTCTATCATTACTTATTATCTTGATGACCTTATCCAGTCTCATAGCTTTAAATACCTTTGATATGCTAGCAACTCCCAAGTTCACCTCTATGTTATGGACAGCTAAGGTTCATATTCAACTGTTCTTAAATATCTAATAGGTCCCTAAAACTTAACATGACCACAGCCAAACTCTTAAGGATTCATCTGTATCACTTCCATTTGATCTTTTCAATCTCAGTTAATGGCAAATTCCTTCTTTCAGTTTGTTTCCACATTGCTTAGGCCACATTTTCTTCTTTTTCTCTCACAACCCATATCCAATTTGTCACAAAAGCATGTGTTGTCACTACGACAAAACTTATCAACATTGGAACATTTCTCATCCTTTCCAGCTCTATCTTATCCAAACCCCACTCTCTCTAATCTGTATCATTGAAATAATCTTCCAGCTGACCTGTTCCCAGCTCAAGCCTAGTGAAGTCAGTCATCACTATTTTCTGTGCAGAGCCTCCACTAGCTTCTCATCATTCTCAAATAAAAGCCAAATATCTTGCATGGCCTGAAAGTCCTGACACTCCTATCCCTCCCTCTGTGTGAATGTACTTCTCCCAGATAAGTGCATGGCTTGCCCCTTCACTCCATACTGCTGTAGAATATGTTAGTATAATGGTTAATTCTATGTTTCAACATATCTAGGCAATGTCTTCACAGCCTAGACATTGCTGTGAAGGTATTTTTAAAATGTGATTAATATTTAAATAAGTAGACTTTGAATAAAGCAGATAACATGGGTCGACTATACCCAATCAATTGAATGCCTTAAGAGCAATGACAAAGGTTTTCTGCAGAAGGAATTCTCCTCAAGACTACAACCTAGAAACCTTGCCTGAGTTTGCGGCCTGATGCTCTAAAGAATTTGGACTCAAGATTGAACATTAACCAGGCTCTTGTAACCCCACCACACTGGGAGCCTGAGGTAAGAGAATTGCTTGAGCCCAGGAGTTCGAGACCAGCCTGGGCAACATAGTGAGACTCCATCTCCACACATACACACAAGATTAGCTGGGCATAGTCATTTGTGCCTGAAGGTCCAGCCACTTGGGAGGCTGAGGTGGGAGGTTTGTTTAAGCCTGAGAGGTTGAAGCTGCAGTGAGTCATTACATCACTGCACTCGAGCCTGGAATCAAACAGACACAATAAAAAATGATAAAGGGGATATCACCACTGATCCCACAGAAATACAAACTACCATCAGAGAATACTATAAACACCTCTATGCAAATAAACTAGAAAATCTAGAAGAAATGGATAAATTCCTCGACACATACACCCTCCCAAGACTAAACCAGGAAGAAGTTGAATCTCTGAATAGACCAATAACAGGCTCTGAAATTGAGGCAATAATTAATAGCTTACCAACCAAAAAAAGTCCAGGACCAGATGGATTCACATCCGAATTCTACCAGAGGTACAAGGAGACAGTGGTACCATTCCTTCTGAAACTATTCCAATCAATAGAAAAAGAGAGAATCCTCCCTAACTCATTTTATGAGGCCAGCATCATCCTGCTACCAAAGCCTGGCAGAGATACAACAAAAAAAGAGAATTTTAGACCAATATCCCTGATGAACATTGATGCAAAAATCCTCAATAAAATACTGGCAAATTGAATCCAGCAGCACATCAAAAAGCTTATCCACCATGATCAAGTGGGCTTCATCCCTGGGATGCAAGGCTGGTTCAACATACGCAAATCAGTAAACATAATCCAGCATATAAACAGAACCAATGACAAAAACCACATGATTATCTCAATAGATGCAGAAAAGGCTTTTGACAAAATTCAACAGCACTTCATGCTAAAAACTCTCAATAAATTAGGTATTGATGGGACGTATCTCAAAATAATAAGAGCTATTTATGATAACCCCATAGCCAATATCATACTGAATGGGCAAAAACTGGAAGCATTCCCTTTGAAAACTGGCACAAGACAGGGATGCCCTCTCTCACCACTCCTATTCAACACAGTGTTGGAAGTTCTGGCCAGGGCAATCAGGTAGGAGAAGGAAATAAAGGACATTCAATTAGGAAAAGAGGAAGTCAACTTGTCCCTGTTTGCAGATGACATGATTGTATACCTAGAAAACCCCATCATCTCAGCCCCAAATCTCCTTAAGCTGATAAGCAACTTCAGCAGTCTCAGGATACAAAATCAATGTGCAAAAATCACAAGCATTCTTATACACCAATAACAGACAAACAGAGAGCCAAATCATGAGTGAGCTCCCATTCACAATTGCTTCAAAGAGAATAAAATACCTAGGAATCCAACTTACAAGGGATGTGAAGGACCTCTTCAAGGAGAACTACAAACCACTGCTCAGTGAAATAAAAGAGGATACAAACAAATGGAAGAACATTCCATGCTCATGGGCAGGAAGAATCAATATCTTGAAAATGGCCATACTGCCCAAGGTAATTTATAGATTCAATGCCATCCCCATCAAGCTACCAATGACTTTCTCACAGAATTGGAAAAAACTACTTTAAAGTTCATATGGAACCAAAAAAGAGCCTGCATTGCCAAGTTAATCGTAAGCCAAAACAACAAAGCTGGAGGCATCACGCTACCTGACTTCAAACTATAATACAAGGCTACAGTAACCAAAACAGCATGGTACTGGTACCAAAACAGAGATATAGACCAACGGAACAGAACAGAGCCCTCAGAAATAATGCCACTTATCTACAACTATCTGATCTTTGACAAACCTGACAAAAACAAGCAATGGGGAAAGGATTCCCTATTTAACAAATGGTGCTGGGAAAACTGGCTAGCCATATGGAGAAAGCTGAAACTGGATCCCTTCCTTACACCTTATACAAAAATTAATTCAAGATGGATTAAAGACTTAAATGTTAGACCTAAAACCATAAAAACCCTAGAAGAAAACCTAGGCAATACCATTCAGGACATAGGCGTGGGCAAAGACTTCATGTCTAAAACACCAAAGCAATGGCAACAAAAGCCAAAATTGACAAATGGGATCTAATTAAACTAAAGAGCTTCTGCACAGCAAAAGAAACTACCATCAGAGTGAACAGGCAACACACAGAATGGGAGAAAATTTTTGCAATCTACTCATCTGACAAAGGGCTAATACTCAGAATCTACAAAGAACTCCAACAAATTTACAAGAAAAAAACAAACAACCCCATCAAAAACTGGGCGAAGAATATGAACAGACACTTCTCAAAAGAAGACATTTATGCAGCCAACAGACACAGGAAAAAATGCTCATCATCACTGGTCATCAGAGAAATGCAAATCAAAACCACAATGAGATACCATCTCACACCGGTTAGAATGGCGATCATTAAAACGTCAGGAAACAACAGGTGCTGGAGAGGATGTGGAGAAACAGGAACACTTTTATGCTGTTGGTGGGACTGTAAACTAGTTCAACAATTGTGGAAGTCAGTGTGGCGATTCCTCAGGGATCTAGAACTAGAAATACCATTTGACCCAGCCATCCCATTACTGGGTATATACCCAAAGGATTATAAATCATGCTGCTATAAAGACTCTTGCACACATATGTTTATTGCAGCACTATTCACAATAGCAAAGACTTGGAACCAACCCAAATGTCCAAAAATGATAGACTGGATTAAGAAAATGTGGCACATATACACCATGGAATACTATGCAGCCATAAAAAAGGAATGAGTTCATGTCCTTTGTAGGGACATGGATGAAGCTGGAAACCATCATTCTCAGCAAACTATCGCAAGCACAAAAAACCAAACACCGCATGTTCTCACTTATAGGTGGGAATTGAACAATGAGAACACTTGGACACAGGAAGGGGAACATCACACACTGGGGCCTGTTGTGGGGTGGGGGGAGGGGGGAGGGATAGCATTAGGAGATGTACCTAATGTTAATGGGTGCAGCACACCAACATGGCACATGTATACATATGTAACAAACCTGCACATTGTGCACATGTACCTTAAAACTTAAAGTATAATAAAAAAAAATTATTCCCAAACATAAAAAAAAACTTATTTCTTTCACTTAGCATATTGCATTTGAAAGTTATATATGTTATTGGGTATATTAATAGTTCATTGCTTTTTATTGTCAAGTAATACATTCTATTGTATGGCTATATCAGAATTTCTGCAATCACTTTAGTTGAAGGACATCTCGATTATTCCAGTTTCAGGTGATTATAAATAAAGCTACTATAAACAGGTGCATACAGAAAAAAAAAAAGAAAAAGAGACTGAACATCAACTGTTATCTGAATTTCTAGCCTGTCGGCCTGCCCTACAAGTTTTATACTTGCCATAGACATATTAGCCAATTCTTTAAAATAAATCTGTCTCTGACTCTCTGTCATATATGCATCTACATCCATACTTTTATCTTTATCTTTAACAGAAAGGTAGAAGGAGATTTGATAATTGAAAAAGTAGGCCATGTGAAGGTGGAGCAGAAAGAGACTTGAAGATGCTGGCCATGAAGATCGGAGTGATGAGGCCACAAGAAATGCCAGCAGCCACCCAGAAACTAGAAAAGGCATGAAAAAATTCTCTCCCAGGCCTCCAGAGGAAGTGCAACCTGCTGACAACTTGATCTTGGCCTAGCAGTGTTGATTTCAGGCATCTGGACTCCAGAATTGTGAGAGAATAAATTTCTGTTGTTTTAAGTCACCAAGTATATGCTAATTTATCATAGCAGCCACAGGAAACTAATACAGTAGTGACTTGCTCATCTGCAGGGGATACATTCCAAGCCCCCTAGTGGATGCCTGAACCACAGATAGTAGCAAATCCTATATATACAATGTTTTATTCCTATACATACACACCTATGATAAAGTTTAATTTATAATTTAGGTACAGTAAGATATTAACACCAATAATTGATAAAGTAGAACAATCATAATACACTGTAATCAAATTTACATGAATATGATCTCACTCTCTGTCTTTCTCAAAATATCTTATTATGTTGTACTCACCCTTTTTTTCTTGTGATCTGCTGACCTGCTTGAACTGAGAGCTACTAAGTGATTAACAGGCAGGTAGCTATACAGCATGGATACCTTTAACAAAGGAATGACTCACATCCCAGGCAGGATGGAGTGGGATTGCACAAGATTTCATTATGCTACTCAGAATGGCAAGCAACTTTATACTTACAAATTGGTTATTTTTGGAATTTTCCATTTAATATTTTGGACCAGGTTGACCATGGGTCACTGGAACTGAGAAAAATGAATAAGGGGAACTACTGTAGGTATTTTGATACTGCTTTGGGAAGCAAGATGAGGCTATAACAAATGCCTAAAAATGAGGAAGTAGCTTTGGAATTGAGAAACTGTTGGAGGCTGGAAGCATTTTGAGAAGCATGAAAGAAAAAGTCTAGATTACTTATAATAGATTTTTGGTAGAAATATAAGTGCTAAGGATTCTGCCAGTAAGGGATGAGAGGAAGTGAGGAGTACAATAGAGAAAGGTTCTAGCATCTTAGAGAATATCTGTATATCATCATAAACTGATTGTTGGTAGAAATATGAAAGTTAAAGGCTTTTTTAAGGGCTCAAAAGAAAATGAGAAACATGTTACTGGAAACTGGAGGAAAGGCAATCCACGTTTTACAGTGTCAGATAACTGAGCTTAATTGTGCCCTTCATAATTGGAAAGCGGAACTTATAAACTATAAACTTAGATATTTAGCTGAGAATATTTCTAAGCAAATTGTTGAATATATGGCCTGATTTCTTCTCATGGCTTATAGTAAAACGAGAGAAGAAAGAAATAAGTTGAGGAAGAAACTGTTAAGCAAAAAGAAACCAATAGCAGATGATTCAGGAAATTCTCAGCCTACCCAATATACAAAAAATGCTAAAATTATGAGATTCAGTATCAGAAAACTGTGCTCTGGACAGAAGGCCAAGGGTATGGAGGGACATCCTTTTTACTTCTGCTCAAGAGATTAGACATATAGCTGAGGGATCCACTCAACTGTCTCAGCATAAGTCAGACATAGAGAGGCAGTTATCCAGGAAAGATCTGGGGAGAACTTCTTGTTTGATGATGTAAATCCTCCTGACATATATAGGAGGTCCATCAAGTTTTTGAGAATATTATACCATCAGAAACATTGCCAGCCTGGACTGAAACGGAGAGAGACAAGGCAAAAATAAAGAAGGTTATTGGACTTCCAAATTCTACAGGCAGGAAACAGGCTGAAATGACTACTCAGCTGCAAACATTTTCTATTCTTCAAGAAAGAAGAAAAATGGCAGTGGGCTTTGTGGTGTGGCAGGCCTAGCAGTCAGGGGCCCAGGCCCAGAAGGTGCTGGTGTCAGCCCAAAGAGCAGAGGTATGGGCTGAAAGGACATAACCTTGAGCCACAGAGAGTTATTCCCAGCCCTTACACACTAATGGAGCTTACTTGGTTGAATTTTAAAATTGCCTGTGACTCTTCTTTAACTCCTATTTTTTCTCTTTTAAAATAGGAATGCCTATAACCATTATCTTATGCCTATAACCATGATCCTATGCTGGTCCCACCATTTGTATGTTGGTAACATGTTTTCTAGTTTCACAGTTCCAGAGATAGAAAAGAATTTTGCCTCAAGATGGATCATATTTAGAGTCTCACCCATACCTAATTTCGATCATTAGATAATAAGATTTAGGACTTTGGAGCTGATGATATTGTAGTAATTTGTTATAGCAGCCACAGAAAACTAATGCAGTGAGAAGCACTTTTTTAAAAATTGCAACACTCAGTCATGCTTTCTATATCCTCCCCTCCTTTATTTTTTCCACATCTCCATATCACATATATTTAAATTACTTTAAGAATAAGAAAACTTATATATATGTATATATATATATATACTACTTTTTACTCTTTTTAAAGTTATTTGTCTCCCTCACCATTGCAATATAAACTCCATAAGTGCAGCAATTTTTTTATCTTTTTGTTTTTTCACTGCTGTATCCCTGGTGCTGTGAATAGTGGTACTGGTACATAAGAGGTGCTCACAAATGTTTTTCAGTGATTAAATAAAAATTTTCCTTACGTATATCCTCATAGAATTTGTCCATCCCTCCATCTACATTCCATCCATCCATCCACCCAACCACTTTCCATCTCTGTATAAATCCATCTACCCTCTTACATGTCTATTTAATAGCAAACATTCTTTTACTCATTAGCCCCAGGATCTGTGCAAGAAATTCAATGGTAAGTAAGACTTAGAACAAGCCTACAGAGTTATTTCCTCTTCATTGGGAAAACAGTAGTTGAACTTGAACTATTAAAACAAAATGCCATAATTATCACTAGCGGGGAAACAAAGGATGCCAGGGAAGCAAATTAGAATAATACCTAATCTAGATGAGAAAGTCTTCAGAAAATACTCTCTCATTATACAAACCTGGAGTATCATCTTTCTTACAACCAACAGATAATGTAAATCTATAGAGTTCTCAAACTTACTTCTGACTATACTATAGTAAAAAAATAAGTATTTGTGAAGAAATGAGCATTTGCTTTAAAATTCATTTCAGCTTAAATAATATTCATATTTATGTAAAGAGAGATGGGTGAATCTAACTGTCCACTTAAATCTTCCTTTTAATTCCCAAGAATAAATGAACTGTCCAAAGCACAATCAATATTAAAGACAATCCAGAATACTTTAGACTTTCCGTAGGTAAATATCTTGAGATAAGAAGGAAAGTGTTTGTCTTTCCTGGTGTTCAGCATTTTTGCTGACCATGAAAAAAGATGACGAAGTAAAGGGTGGGGGCAAGAGAAGGGAGAGGAGGAGGAAGAGGAAGAAAGCAACAGCAGCATTTTAAAGGCAGACAGCTTGTAGTATATTTGAATTTAGACAATCTCGGTTAGCACGCTAAATTGGAAACCTGATAGTTCAATGGATTTAGATAAGCCACTTCACACATCAGTGCTTCAGTTTATCAGTTACAAAATGAGTTTGACATTTCCCTTGCCTATCTATGGAAGTATTATAAGAACCAAATATAAGCACGTGCAGATACTTTGAAAAGTTTAATTTCCTTACAAATGTAAGTTATTTTTCACAAAGACATTTTATTGAGATTCTATGATGTGCTGATCACCATGTATAGTTATTTGAAAATCACAAATAATTTGGGATTTGCAATTATGAGAATTGAGGGCATTAAACTTTAGATATTCTGCTTACAGATATAAGGACAAATGTGTGGTTTTAAACACAGAGCAAAAACGACATAATAGTGAATGTGCAATAGGATAACAGGTGTTTCATACATTGAGAACAACAAAAAAATTGGGGTAATGGAAATTCAATGTCCTAGTCACAGGCAGTGGGGGAATTTTCTTAGATCTGTGATAACAGCAAGTGGTTTTGTTAATGTGAAGCTAGTTTTTGTTCTGTGGTTATTGCCATTCCTGAGTAATGAGCAACGAGATCTCTTTCCCATCTGGCATTTTGTGGCTGAGAATAGCAGCAGCATAAGGTGAAATGTCAGTGGTAAGACACAGTGGTTTATGTCATTTGTAAAATATGATCACAGACTCAAACATCCATGGTGATGTGATATCCCAGAAAATATCCCAATGCAAGTGAATCCAACTCCATGGGGGCAGTGAAAAGAGATTAAAGTCAAAAAATAGTTTTGAATTTTGGTTCCACTAACTTAATTGCCTGTTTTGCTCTTGGCCCTTGATTTTTCTCATTTGTAAAATAGAAATGAAAAAATCCCTATTTTTCAAAGTCATTTGAAGAATTAAAAATGTGAATGTCCTTTAAGTTGTAACATGCTGTATAGAAGTTAGTGGTAACTGCTGTTTTTGTAGATAACCAAAAAATTGATTTTGTCCATAATAACAGATGAAAGCTTCCTTAATGAAGTTGCATTACACAGTCCCAAGCTTTACCAAACACGTCAGTGGTGTTGGTAACAGTTATCAAAACTACCTTAAGGTGGTGTCTGTAATTTTCGCTAAAGGACATGTGAGAAAATATTTTGAAAACGTCTTTACTGCTAACAACATACCAAATAGGCTTCAAGTCCATTTTCAAGCCCAAAGTCAAGTTAGGATTTAAGGAAAAGGAAACTAGAAGAGAATAATTCTTAGGACATCTGAACATTCAAGATGATTGGAGATTCTCATTCATTTAAAAGAAAAGAATGTTATTCCTTACAAAACCTTATTTACTGAAATAAGAATTTCATACTTTGATAGCTAAATCAAATAAGGGTTCTGTTTCTTCCCCCCCAACTCCGCCTTCCAGAAGCTGGGAAGGATAATTTACCTCCCTAACTGCTTGACTTAACCCACAGGGACGTAGGCACTGAGGGGATCTGTGATTATCTACACAAGATGATAATAAGCCAGATAATTTCAGAATTTAGAATTTTAAAAGAAAATAAAAAATTCTCCCTAATGATACCACTGCATTGTAAATTCTACACATCACTTTCCGTAGACATCTTCTAGCATACAGCTAAGTGTCTTATATCAAAGACCCTGCCTTCATGGAGGTGGGAGAAGGAAGTTAGAAGCTGCCAAGAGAAAAGAATCTTGGAGAGTAAAGGGTAGAAATTTCTGGAAAGGTTTGAGTCTTTCCTACTGCCATTGGCACTGCTCAGTGGGTTGGGGGCTTGGGCTCTGTCATCACACTGCTTTGGTTCCTGTCCTGGCTATGTTTACCAACTACATGGCTTCAGATGACTTAACCTGAATGGAGATAATAACACCTCCCTCATAGGGCAGTTTTGACAAATAACTGAAGAAGTAAAGCACTTAAAACAGCCCTTAGCACAAAATAAGCACATGGTAAATATCAGTTACCACTATTGTAACTACTACCATGACACCCATGGCTAAAATTATCATCACCATTATTAGTAGTACTATTATACTATTATTTGTCCTGCATGTTAAAGTGTTTCTTCAAAGAAGTCAGAGCATGGGAAGAAAGCCACATTGTCTGCTATCTCTGAAAAAAAAAAAAGAGAAGGAAAAAAAACAGAAAAAAAGAAGTCCTTTTTGAAAAAGTCCTTCATAATACTTAATACCATGCAAGTTTTCAGGGTAAAGGCTGTATGCCTTAATAAAGGGAATGCATTCTTTTGTTCTTATTTTAATTAATAGTAATAAACCTGTTTCATTCTGCATATATACTTATTCAAGAAGAGGAATGTTTTTAGTAGATGAGAGTCTTGTGGCAACCCATAGTTTAGGCACCTTTTAGCCATTATTACATTATTTTCTAATTCCTTATGGCCAGTCATTTTAGAACTACAGGCTCAAAGAAAAGGTCCCCTTGTTTTGCAAGTGAAGATTTGTTTCACAGGAATGTGTGAGTCAGCTGTCTGATAGAGTGTGCAGGTTTGAGGGGGAGGTATGTGGGGGTGAGATTTAAAGCATCTAAGATCCCTCCCAATGTTGACACTTAATTATCTGGAAGAGGATAATGACTTAAAATTCCAGAAAAGAATGATTATGACAGGAAAACATAAGTAGTAACAATATATTGAACCCTTTATATGAAAGAGGTAGAAGGTCTTGTACCTAGTGAACATAATCTCATTGAATTCCTCCAGCAATCTTAAAATATGGGTTTTATTTACCTCATATTACAGGTGAGGAAACTGAGGCACAATTTGGCGATGTCTCTGCAGAGAACTAAATGATCAGCAGAACTGAAAGCCCCATCTAGGCTTATTAAAATCCAACACCCTCACTCTTTCCAGGATGTGAAACTTCCTGGAGCCCTTCTTCATGCCAGTCTCACCCTTGGCCCTTTGCCTCAGGGAGCTCACTCAAGCCTCATCACAGAGCTAGAAGTGAGCTATGATTATCCACATGACACATGTGAGGGCACTGAGACCCCAAAGAATCCCCAGAAAGCAGATCTGGCATTCATGATCAGCAACACAATAAATGCTGCCTTATAGTGTTTGATTTTCTGGTGGCAAGTTATGTCTTCTTAAATTGCCAGATGAACGCAATGCCCATCTCCTTTCAGCTAGCACATTTTCTCTTTGCCAGGGAAGCAGTGCTGCGTGATGGCTGAGCACCTAAGCTCTAAAGTCAGACTGCCTGCCTTTAAAGCACTGTCCTGTCACTCACCAGCTGGTGAACGTGTGAAGTTTCATCCATTTCTTCATCTTGAAACAATGACCTCTGAGGCTTGTTGGGAGCATCAACTGAGTCAAGTCATGTGAAAGCATTGGGATAATGCATGGAGCCTAATGAACACTCAAAAACATTAACTACTGTTGTTGTTACAGTTGGCCCAGCTAGAATACACTTTGTCAATATGGTCCTCAGACCATTGCCTCAGAATCTCACAGGGTAAGGCACCTCTATCATTAAGCTAAAAATCCCATTTTAATTCAACAATTGAAGACGTGTCCCGAGATTTTACTTTTCTCACAATCTCCCAACAGTGCCAACGCTGCTGAACGAGGTGCTTTAAATAGCAAGGAACCAGGGAACTTTATTGACTACAGATTTAGTGGACCCTATTCCAGACCTAGTAAATCAGAAACTCTGGGGAGGAAACCCAGGGGAATAAATGTTTAACTCACTCTCTAAGAGATTCTAAGGCATGTAAAAGCTTGAGAAGGCCGTGAGAGAGGCTTCAGTTGGTTCTAACATTATTTGACAGTGCAATTCACTGGAGACACAGTCTGATCGAATTCCTGATTCATCATCTTGACTCCAGGGTAAAATGCTTCTGATATGCTAAGAAACCCTCATCCTTTTCTGTAACAAAGGTAATGAGTTAATTTTCCAAATAGGGTAAGTAGATAATCCTTCTCAATTTACCAACATAACTCACCCAATATTAAGAAGCATTAGAAAAGGCATCCATTTTGCCAGTGCAACTAAGCAGTAGTTTTCTAGCACAAATATTAGAGGCAATAAAGAATTTTATTCAAGGTTGACAGCTTTAGCAAACAGTTTCTGTTTTATATTGATGCTCTCTTATTTTCCATGTTTTCTCAGCATTCTGGATATAGCACCACTAAAAAAATTCTTTTGGTTAAATTCTGAATAGTTTAAGCTTTAAAATGCAACTTATTGGAAAGATACAGGGGTAGGAATCCAAGAAATATTTGGACAATCCTCGAGTAGGGCAGTGACCAGGTTAGCTCATAGGGTGACCAACTGCTTTAGTTTACTCAGGACCATCCTAGTATCAGCACTGAGAGTACCAAGTTCTGGAGAATCCCTCAGTCCCAGGCAAACAAGGCCAGCTGGTCCCACTAGTGCCAACCTGGCAGTAGGCTTTCTATGGATCTCTTAATATGAGTCAGATTACATTGCTCTTATTCTGTCCTTTTCCAAATTCCAGATTCCTGACAAAGAGAATTTTGCTGGATTAGCTTGGGTCAGATATCTACACCTGGCCCAATCAGAAGTAGGCAAATAACAAATTGTGCTGTCCTCCCTTTTCCTCAAGCTGTCCAGGGCCCAACACTGTGAAATAGGGACCAATTCGTAGAGAAGACAGGATCCAGGCAAGGACCCTAAAGGGCATCTATTACAGTCTTTCAGAAAGTGTCTCCAATTACTTTATAAACTCACCTTTCCTTTGCTTTGCTTTCCTGAATGCACCCAGGGATCTATGAGCTACTAAAATCAACCATGCTTCACTAGGTCACAGCAGAGGGCTTGGTTGTGATAGAAAACAACTAAAACGTGACTGACATTCATTGAGCACTTGATTTATACAACAGATATATAGATGACAGATAGATAAATAGATAGATATGTAGTTTTATCAGATAAATCCAGTGATGTAGGTTCTATTGCACTCATTTTACAGATAAAGAAACTGAAGGTTTTTTTTTTTTTCAGTTATGAAGGCTAGGAATTGAACCAAGATTTTCTAGCCCTCAACCAAGTTTCTATCTACAACACCCTTTTTTTTCTTTTTCCTCTCTCCCTCCCTTTCTTTCTCATCCTCTCTGTTCCTCTCCCTATATATGTATAGTCATATTAATGTGATAGTCTTACAGATATTCATATATATATATATATATATATATATATATATATATATATATATATATGGACTTAGATACAATTGTGTATGCTTAACAGTTAGGATTTTCCGTATTAGGCTCAGAGAGAATTGGCTAAGTTGAACATTTAGTAAGTGGAAATCTTTGACACTGCAGATTAAACTCAAATATTTTAATTCTATATCTAGTCCTCCTTCCATCGTATTTCTCCATCAAACTTTTTAATGCCTCATTATCTGTTGCTTAATACGAAGAGAAGAAAACCCACCCCATTTTTATATCTGCAATAATGGCTGAAGAATTTCTTCTATGTCTTCTCTGGGCAAAGCATTTGCTGAGCACTTGATATGGTATTACCTTCAAAGAAACTCTGCCAGTTACAGGGACATTAAGTAATTTCCCCAAATCCATACAGCAAAAATAAGGGCAGAGCAAGCCATCTGCCCTGAAATTCCTTGCCCTTTCCAGTTCACCAAATTGCATCTTTGAAGTCGGATCAAGATTTGCGTACATATCCTACCAGTCTAAGCACGTTTGAATGATGGCACATTGTCTCACTATATTGAGGCAACTCTTCCTTGCTTGGCTGTTACTCATAATTAGGAATACAGTTACATCTTTCACTTTGGTCCAATTTTTATCATATCAATGTACTACCCACCTATATATTTTCTTAATTTATATTTCTTTAAATCAACTTATTTTTTATGTCTGGCCCTAGTAATTATATCCATAAAGTCCAAGACGTAGTGAACTTATTTCATAATTTATAAGATGAATTACAATAAATATGTAAACATTTTAAAATGCATGTCTTAAGGAAATGTTTGAATCAACATCTAAGAAAAATTGGTTTGCCCAGTAAGTCGCGTATTTGTGGGGTCAGCTAGCCTGATCCAGCCTTTACAGCTCCATGTAGATTTGCTCTTCTTGACTATTGCTGGGTGGTCCCCACTGTTCTCACATAGCCAAATAAGTTATTCCATTACAAAATTATAACTAATTTTTTACAGAATGAATTATAGATTAGGGTGCTCTGCATGAATTTGCAGATTCCCAAAGATCTCAAGATGTGTCAAGAACTCCAAGGGATCTTTCACTTCGTATTTCACCGCCGGGTCACCCTGGGCTCCAGGCTATCTTGAGCTGTTTTCACATCTTCTCTGATGGAACATTTTAAATGAGGCAAATTCTGAATCTGAAAATCTTTGGTGGCCTTTGCACATATCCTCTTCAGTTGTGGAAAAAAAACATATCCATTGTATCTGACTTTTCCTTTTTCACTCTCCTTCCATTTTACTGTCTGCTTCATTGAGGAAATCTTTCATTTAGTGGAGTCTAGATTTCTTCCTTTGCTACCATCTTCATTTCCCACCAAATAAATCAGGTCTCAGCTTATGATCATTTGTCATCTGCTGCTTCTTCTCCGGGACCGCCCCTAACAGCCTAGCAGAGCTCTGGGCTGTATTCCATGATCTCTTTTAATTCCTTGTTGGCGGCTTGCTGGCCCTTTCTCTTTACCTTCCTGCCAGGTTTAATGCCTTTTAGCGTGCCAGCTCTGTTTTTCACAATTTTTCCAAAATGAGGTGGAAAATCAAATCTCTAGCTCCTAATTCTCAGTGGGCAATATTTTCAGAGAATCCTTCAACATCATTCACTCTCTCAATTCCTCATCTTCTGAGCTTCTCCATCCATAAAACAATCAGAAATGTCTTCCTCTTAATAACATAGCTCTTCTGGTATTGGGGAGTGGTGGGACTAGAAAAGAGTAGAGGTGTAAGCAATGCAATATGAGTTCATTCATGCAAATAAAAATCACACTCCCTGGACAGAATCCCTCTTTCCCGCAGATCTATCTCTTCTAGAGAGTATGGACAGATGGAAGAAGTGAGGGTATGCAGAGCTGGCGTATGGCAGTCCCAGAACAGGGTCACTATCAAAAAGCAAATGCCAACCATGTGATATATAGGACTGCTGGGAATGTAGTCCATCATTGCTCTATGGTAAAAAAGAATACCTTCTCTAACATGACATTCTCTGAACCACATATAGACATACACACATACAAAAATAATCTCTAATCATGACCATCAGTTTTTGCCTGACTGTCTCAGCATCCTGTTAGCTACGTTCCTGCCCTCCATCTTATTCCCTGTGAATCCATCTTTTATACTGATGACATGGTAACACTTTTTTTTTTATACTTTAAGTTTTAGGGTACACGTGCTCATTGCGCAGGTTAGTTACATATGTATACATGTGCCATGCTGGTGCGCTGCACCCACTAACTCGTCATCTAGCATTAGGTATATCTCCCAATGCTATCCCTCCCCCCTCCCCCCACCCTACCACAGTCCCCAGAGTGTGATATTCCCCTTCCTGTGTCCATGTGATCTCATTGTTCAATTCCCACCTATGAGTGAGAATATGCGGTGTTTGGTTGTTTGTTCTTGCGATAGTTTACTGAGAATGATGATTTCCAATTTCATCCATGTCCCTACAAAGGACAGGAACTCATCATATTTTATGGCTGCATAGTATTCCATGGTGTATATGTGCCACATTTTCTTAATCCAGTCTATCATTGTTGGACATTTGGGTTGGTTCCAAGTCTTTGCTATTGTGAATAATGCTGCAATAAACATACGTGTGCATGTGTCTTTTATGATGTAAACTGAACCATGTCAATGTCCCACCGAATAGCTCCCACCTATGACTGAAATCAGTGAGCACTTCACAAAGAGTTTTGGATGGTTGGCAAGAGGTATAGTAGGAAAAGTAGTAGTGTGCTTAAATCACACAGCCATGATGACAGGTCTCACATTAACTTCCTGATCGCTAACCTAAAAAAGCCCTCAATGCTGCCTGGCTATCTGACTACTTTACTTTAGACTTTTCATTCCCCTATTCTCACAGCCAACTGATTCTTGTTGTTTCTCACCTCCAATTTCTTACACCTGTCCCATCCTCATTCTCAGCTTAAAACTTGCTGTGAAAATAGAAGCAATCAGAAGAGAACTTCCTCTAGCTTCTACCACTAGAGATTTTCATGTACCTGTATCTAAACTCATACACCCCTCTTGTTTCTCTTAATATGGACTAACTGAACCCTTTTCTGGGAAAGACCCATTCTTCACCTGTGCACAAGACTACATCCCCTTTCACCTGCTCTAAGCTCCAGCTCTCCTCTTATTTCCCCTACGTTATCACTGTTTTTAATCAATATATAAAAACAGCATTATCTTTTAACCATCATCATCATTATCATCATCAAAACCTCACTTTTCTCATTTTCCCTCCAGCTACTGTTTCAAACTTCTCAAAAGAGTTTCTATGGCCACTCTCTTCAATTCCTTTACTCCAAATTACTTTTGAACATGATTCAATCTGGCTTTCACCTTTGTACTCATAAAAATGGCTCTCTTTAAAGTCATCAACAACTTCTCAGTCCAGATCTTACCTAACCAGTGGCAGCATTTGATAAGGTTGAAGGATCCCTCCTGGAAACACGTTCTGAATTTGGTTTCCATGACATTAAACTGTATTAGTTTTCCTATTTCTTCCCTTGTTTTTCTTCCTGTCTCCCTTGCTCTTCCTCCTCAACCCTATAAGCTCTTAATGAAGCAGTACCCCAGGGACTACATTTAGACTTTCCAGTTTGTCTGCACTCACACTCTCACTGGTTTTACCCAGTCTCATGGCTTTATGATTAACACTGACAGCTCCCAAAAGTATAGCTCCTCTTAGGACCTCTCTCCTGCCCTCCAGACTCATACATCCAATTGCCTGCTTGGCAACTCTGTTGGGTATCTCAAACTTGTCAGGTTCAAAACAGAGCTCCCGATATTTCTTACTCCCAAATATGCTCCTTCTTTACTCTCCCCCCATTTCAGGACAGGTGAAGTCTTATAATTAGTGAGGTCAAAAATGTTAGTATCATGATTGTCTTTTCTTTTCTCATGCTTCACATCTGATCTATGAGCCAGTTCTGTCAGGACTACCTTAGTAGTTTTCAGCATATTCAGAATCCAACCACTTTCACCATCACCATTGCCTCTGTGCTGCTCTGAGCCTTGTTCATCTCAAGCTTAAATTATTGCAATATCTTTCCAGGTGGTCTCCCTGGAAAGTCACAACCTTGTAATCTCCTCTCTACACAAGGGCCACAGTGATCCTGTGCAAACGCAAATTGGATGATATCACTCCTCTGGTCCAATCTTCTCATGTCTTTCAGTCTCAGAGTAAAAGCCACGATCTTGCAAAAACCTACAAGGCCTTGCAAAATCTGCCCCCCGCCCCCCATCTCTTGTGTTTTATTTTCTTTCCTATTGCTCTTTCCTCCATTCATTCTGTTCCAGCTCTTTGCACAGTTCCAAGCATCCTGCGGCCTTGGGGCATTCACAAAATTGCTTGCTCTATCTTATCATTCCCCCAATCCCTTACCCATCCCATATATTCATGGTTTTTCTCTCACCTTTAAATTTTACCCAAATGTCATCTTCTCAGTGCAATTTTATTTAATTGCAGCTCTCCCTGTTGGACCCCTTCTTGCTCCACATTTGCTTGTCTCCATTGCACTTACCACTGCCTACTTGACTCTTGTCTTAGCTCAGATTGCCATACCGAAATACCATAGACTGCATGGCTTAAACAACAGGAATTTATTTCTCATAGTTCTGGATGTTGGGAAGATCATGATATGGACTGATTCAGTTCACCCTTATGGGCTCTATTCCTGACTTACAGTCAGCCTTCTTTTTGCTACGTTCTAACATGGCAGAGAGAGAGAATGCTCTGGCCTCTCTTCCTCTTCTTATAAAGATGTTAATCCCATTATGGGAGTCCCAACTTCATGACCTCATTTAATTACCTAATTACCATCCAAAGTCCCCACCTCCAAGTACCATTCCATTGCAAATTAGGGCATTTTTACTGCAAAATTTCTCAGTAACTTTAGAGAATGTCATGTATGCATCTCCTGGGGGAGGTCTGGGCAGATAAAATTCCCAATGTTTCACACATACATTTGACCACTGGGTTGTCAGGGAATCTTTTGGGATGTATCCTTTAGACCCCTGCTAGTCATGATGTGGTTTGTGGACCAGTGCAGGTTCACAAATTATTTATTGATTGTCTGCAATAAGAGAAATACAGAAACGGAGAGTCAATATTTAGAAAACGCTATAACAAATTGACAATGCTGCCAAGAATAGTCATATGGTTTGGCTCTGTGTCTGCACCCAAATCTCACCTCAAATTGTAATTCTGACATGTCAAATGAGGGGCCTGCTGGGAGGTGAATGAATCATGGAGGTGGTCTCTAATGGTTTAGCACCATTGCCCTAGTGCTGTGTCCTGAGTTCTCATGAGATCTGGCTGTTTAAAAGTGTTCAGCATTCCCTGTGTCTCGCTCTCTCTCCACTGCTCCACCATGGGAAGATGTGCCTTGCTTCTCCTTCACCTTCTGCCATGATTGTAAGTTTCCTGAGGCCTCCCCAGCCATGCAAACTGTGAGTCAATTAAACCCATTTTCTTCTTAAATTACCCAGTCTCGGGTAGTTCTTTAAAGCAGTGCGAAAATGGACTAATACAAATATGAACAGTAGCTTGTGAAGTTTTTTTTTTTCACACTTCATTTTTCTAGTAATTCATCTTTATTGTGTTTTACAAAAGTATCAGTTCATGGCAGATTTAAAGTAATAAGAAGAAAAATCTTTCACTTACTGCAGATAATTTGGGAAGCACCTCCTCCAGGCAGATTTTAGGAAATATTGGTTAAATTCCAAAGGTAGAAAAAAATCTCTTGTAAGTCCAGTCTCTAGACTTTTTCCTAACATTCCCAGCTGCACCTTGTATGCCAACTGAGTCAACTTGCTCCTCTAAGCCCTACGTGTGTCCGGGCTGTTCATCTGCTTGCCATGTCTTTCCTGCCTCACATGCCTGATGCACATTTTATCCTTCAGAATTTGGTTAAGAGGTTAATGGTGCTAGAAAGAGTCCCCAGATTCCTCTCCATAAACTTGATGACCTCACTTTACCTCCACGACTTTCTGGTAATCTTATCCTCAAATCAGTGCTCCACTGTTGTTTTTGTTTAGATTTTATTTTTAATTGACACAAAATAATTGTTCATATTTATAAAGTACAATGTTTCAATATATGTATATAATGCATGATGATCAAATTAGAGTAATTAGAATATCTATCACCTCAATCACTTATCATTTCTTTGTGGTAAGACCATTCAAAATCCTTTATTCTAGCTGTTTTGAAATAAACAATACATTCTTATTAACTATAATCACCCTACTGTGCAATAGAACACCAGATCTTATTCCTTCTAAGTAACCGTAACTTTCTCCCCATGAACCATTTTCTACCCATTCCCCTTCCCCCATGTATTTGTGTGTTTTCACCCTGCTGATAAAGATATACCCAAGACTGGGAAATTTACAAAAGAAAAAGGTTTAATTGGACTTACAGTTCCTCATTGCTGGGGAAGCCTCACAATCACTGCGGAAGGCAAGGGGGAGCAAGTCACGTCTTACGTGGATGGCGGCAGGCAAAGAGCTTCTGCAGGAAAACTCCCTCTTATAATAACCATCAGATCTCATGAGACTTACTCACTATCACCAGAGAAGAATGGGAAAGACCTGCCCCCATGATTCAATTACCTCCCACCTGGTCCCTCCCACAACACACGGGAATTCAAGATAAGATTTTGGTGGGTACACAGCCAAACCATATCATCAACTACTCTTCCCAGCCCATGGTAGCCACTATTCAATTCTCTACATCAGTGAGATCAACGACTTTAGATTCTGCATATGAGTGAGATTATGCAGTATTTGTCTTTCTGTGTTAGGTTTATTTCAGTTAACATAATGTCTTCCAGGTTCATTTATATTGTCACAAATGATATAGGATTTTATTCTTTATGGCTAAATAGTATTCCATTGTGTGTGTGTGTGTGTGTGTGTGTGTGTGTGTGTGTGTGTATGTGTGTCTATGTGTGTTTGTATACCATATATATGCCACATTTTATTTATTCATTTATTTATTCATTTTATTTATCCATTTATTTATTCATTTTATTTATCCATAAATGTTAATGAACATTTAGGTTGATTCCATAACTTGACTATTGTGAATAGTGTTGCAACAAACATGAGAGTGAGACATCTCCTTGACATACTGATTTCATTTCCTTTGGATATATATCCAGCAGTGGGATTGCTGGATCATAAGGTAGTCCCAGTTTTAATTTTTTGAGAAATCTCCATATTGTTTTTCATAATGGCTAAACTAATTTACATTCTCACCAACAGTATTTAAGGGTACCCTTTTCTCCACATCCTTCCCAACACTTGTTATCTTTTGTATTTTTGATAGAAGTCATTCTAACTGGAGTAAGGTAATACCTCATTGTGTTTTGATTTGCATTTCCATGATGATTAGTGATGTTAAATATTTTTTTCATATACCTCTTTGTCATTTGAATGTCTTTTTTTGAGAAATGTCTAGTCAGGTCTTTCGCCTATTTTTAAACCAGATTATTTGTGTTTTTGTGATTGAGTTGTTTGAGTTCTCTTTTCTCTCCAACTTCATACCTCATCCCTGGGCAACCATTAATCTAGTTTCTGTCTCTATAGATTTCTGTATTCTGGACATTCATATAAATGGAATCATAAAAGATGTGGTCTTTTGTGTTTGGTTTCTTTCACTTAGTATAATATTTTTCAAGGTTCAACAATGTTGTAGCATGTATTCGTACTTTATTCCTTTTTATTGCCAGTGTTTGCTAGTATTTTATTGAGAAATTTTGTGTCTACATTTATAAGAGATACTGCTCTCTAGTTTTCTTTTCTTGTGCTGTTTTTACCTGGTTTTGGCATAAGGATAATGCTAGCTCCTAGAATGGGTTTGGAAATATTCCTTTGTCTTCTCTTTTTTGAAAGAGTTTGTAAAGAATTATTACTAATTCTTCTTTAAATGTTTAATCGAATTCACCAGCAAAGCCATCTGGAATTGGGCTTTAAGTTGTGGGAAATGTTTTCGTTTGAAATTAAATCATTTTACTTGTAATAAGTTTATTCAGATTTTCTATTTCACTTTGAATCAATGGTGGTTGTTTCTGGTTGTCTTTCTAGAAATTTGTCATGTCATCTAAGCTACCTAATTTGTTGGCACACAAATGTTCACAGCATTCCTATATGATCCTTTTTTATTTCTGTAAGGTTGGTAGTGATGTCTCCACTCCCATTTTTGATTTTATCAACTTATACCTTCTTTCCTTTCTTCTTCAGTCTAGCTAAAATTTTGTCAATTTTAATTTTTTTCTTAAAGAACCAATTAGAATTGATTGATTTTTTGTTTTTCTATTTCCTATTTTATTTATTTCTGTTCTAATATTTACTATTTTCTTCCTTCTGATTGTTTTGCATTTAGTTTGCTCTTCTTTTTATAGTTTTTTAAGTTGTCAGGTTAGATTATTGACTTGAGATGTTATTATATAGACATTTGTAGTTATAAATTTCTCTGTAAGTACTGTGTAAGCTACATTCTATAATTTTTCGTATGTTTTATCTTCATTTTCATTTCTCTCATAGCATTTTCTAATCTTTCTGGCATTTTTCAGACCATTGATTACTCAAGAGTGTGTTGCTTAATTTCCACATAATTGTGAATTTCTAAATTTCCTTCTGTTACTGATTTCTCATTTCATTCCACTGTGGTTGGAGACCATACTTTGTATAATTTTTTAAAAATTTATTCAGACTTGTTTTATGCCCTAGCATATAATCTATCCTGGGGAATGTTCCATATGTACTTGAAAAGAGTATATATTCTGCTGTTTTTTTCTATCACGCCTAGTTGGTGTCTATCACATCTATTTGGTGTATACTGTTGTTCAAAGAAATAGAGGACTTGAGCAACGCTATACACCAGATAGACCTGACAGACATTTACACAATGTTCCATACCAAAGCAGCAGAAATACTTGACTAGTTGTTCAGAATTTATTTTTAATTTTAATAAATATATTTCAATGCATCCATCTCACTTACTCATTTCTCATAAAAGTAATATGAGTAACACCCCTCTACGACCATGGAAAAAGTGGCTATTTTTGATTCCTCTGATTCAATAGATCACTGTAGAACATGAAGTCACCAAATATTCTTGTGTAAGAGCTCTCTGAAAATTAATCTTGACAGGATTGTTGGGGGATTACTGGCACAGGTGTAGACTGCCAGGCTGTCTCTCCTGCTTTGCACATAGCCTTTTTTGAGTATAAATAGAAGAAGAACATTACTGCTTTCTGCTATTTCAGGAAAGAACACACCCATTTATTTAGTCATTCATAAGCACTGAGTTGAATGCCTACTGTAAGACAAGCCCTAAGAGTACTTATAGTAAACATACACTTGATTCTACTATGACATAAAATCCAGAATCTGATGGCCAATCCTACTGACAGCAGCTAAGAGTAAGAACTTGACATGCTCAGCAGGTACATAAGATATACTTTCCAGATCAATGCTGGATTATGAATGCTTTCTGTCCACAGGATTCTCTACATGCTCCTTTCCTTACCTCCATCAATTTCTGATGTGGGCAAGAAGGATTGTTGTACCCAATAACTGAGTCTACAAACTCAACTCTCTTCATTATGTCTAGGGCAATGCCCAGTGTCCTAAGACCACCAGTTGCAACCTCCTACAATAACCCCATTACATTGGCTAATTTTGTTGATATATCTGAATACATACATATCTGACTATAAAACATGACTCTGAAACTTACTAGATATTGGACATTGACTTGTTCGCCTAACTTCTCCAAGCTTTCTCAGTCTTTTAATTTGGAGACCAGGCATGAAAAATATTTATTTCACAGAATTGTAGTGAGGGTTAAATATTTAAGATAAGGTACCTGACACATAGTGGGCACTCTCCAAGAGTGGTAGCTTAAAACATGCAAATAACAATTCTTGGCTCCTTATTCTGTGCTCTGGACTTACATGTGAGTTCTCAGCTAGGAGTTAAGGCTCATTCTGAAACTAAGCTAGTGACCTGGTCCTTCATGTGCTCCAGCACCTGCAAACAACGTGTATACTCTTCCCTGGAGCAAGAACACCAAAGAAGTGAGGTGGAGTGCTTCCTTCTTTTAGTCCTCTAGTTGTCAGCTGGAATACTGACTGCTATGAATGAACTGACCACCTGGTACTATGCTTCTGGTGGTCATTATCATCCAGCCCTTACAACACACAAGTTCACTATGCTCTACCCACTACCCCTAGAGATCAGGATCATTGTCCTCAGGCCTGTCCTGCCTAGTTCTTTTGCTTCCTCCTTTTCCCATTTGTTCAGGGTATTAAAATCCCAAAACCCTGCAAGACTCTGCCCAGTCAAATTATGAACACTAAACACCGAACTCCAAAGTCTAACCCACAATGTTTATAGTATGCTGTGGATACATCTGACTTATATTAAGACACTTCAGGGAACTTATGTGACTCAACACTCAATGCTGACCAAGATGGCCCCCTAATCTAGGCCAGATGGCAAACTGATCATTAACTTCATTCTGATGGACTTGTTTTCCCCAAAATGAGCTGTTATAATTAATCCTCTGTTATCTGGCATTTTATCAACAAATATCATTCATTAACTAACATTTTCCCTGCCAGTTCAACTACAATTAATTATCACAATGATAAGCTGTGGCACTAAGGGATTCTGAAATCATCTCAGGATTCAGAGAGTGACAGAAAGAGAATAAGAGAGAGAATGAGAGACAGCAAGAGAGAGAGGTCAAATCATGCTCAGTAGAATTTTAATATTAAGGGTATAAAGCATTGCTTCTGCAGTGTCCTGGAAACCCCATCCCATTTATACAAATGCCCCAGATAACGTCTCCTAATGGGGCTGTCATGTAATATATAGAAAATCAACATACTTTAGAGTTGGCTGAATTTCTTCAGCAAGCATGGCCTCATCCCCACCCTACAATCGCAGTACCCCATCCCTGGCATAGGTCAAGTCCATAGAGGTGAAGCAAATCTATCTAATCCTGGCAGAGACAATATATCACTCAGTATCATTGTATTTACCATCCTACACTTTAAAAGAAAACAAACTCCTTACCCTGATCCTACAGCTTTTCAGAATGATTAAAAATCTTTTCTGAAATATGTCATGGCCAGAATCTCAATGAAAAAAATGTGACAAACCAAAACCAAACCAAACCAAACCAAAACAAACACACACACACACACACACACACACACACACACACACACACACAAAACAGAACATAATAAAACAAACTGGATACAACAACTTTTCTTCTGGGTTTTGGAATTAATTTTTACTTCTTAAGGATTGTTAACTTCAGCAATGGGATGAGTGCCCCATTTGGTACATGGTAGGCATTGAAGGCATTTTGGTTTGTTTGTATAACAAGAGTTAATAAAAAAATGTAGGTTTCCTGCAGCCAACTTCCAAAAATATATAATAAATATTTGAATGATACGTGTTTCCAAGTTGGAAGCGGTCTGTTTTTCTGGATTTGAGTCTGTTGTAGGAGCTACACGCAGCCTGCCTCATTGCTCACAACACTACACCACAACTGTGTGGTTGACGCTGGAACTGTGGCAATGGAGCCACTTGAGGGCTACGGGGTTAGGCAGAGTAAATGAACCGGCCTCAAAACCAAGGCCGTCTCCCTCTGCAAAAAGATAAAAGGAAGGAAGCAACAAAAGGTGGATATCTTCATAAAAACATTCTCAGATAGAGCATCTCATGTAATTCACAGCAGACACGCCAAGACATGATAAGATTCTTGTTATTGGGATTTTAATGATCCCAGAGTCCTGCTGCGTCAGTGTCCTGTCATATCAGCTCTGTGGCTTTTGGAAAAAAAGAGCATGGTGTTTTCTGAAAGTCGGAAGGCCATTGTGACTCATTTCTGAGACTCTCTCCCACTTAGGTATATCAAATAGGTATGCTGCTTTGATCAGGTTAAATTTTTAAAGCCCAAGGGCACTGAGGATGTGGCCATGTTAATAATGCAGAGCCGCAAAAACTTTAGGAAATATCCTGTTATCCCATCAGTGTGGGCAGCAAGCCTTGGGTAGCACCAGCAAACCCTGAGAGATCCTGCCAGATGGAAAGCTGGCACTGATGGGAACAAATTCTGCCCCAGAGGATCTTCTTTGAGAGTAACCCTTAGGGCAAATGGATCACTCTGCAAAAAGCTTACTGGAGAAATATAGGGGTAGGTAATCACATGTTTGATTTCTTGCAATCCAGGTTCCAAGCTCAAGAAAACCTATTCCCAGATATAAAGTCAAAAAGAGAGAATAAAGCCAAAAACTAGGATGAAGGAGAATGATCACATAGTTACTAAAAGAATTAAAATGTACAAGGAAAGACAATAAACATCAGAAAGGAAGAAGAAGAGAATAAATGTGTGAAAAAGACCTGAGATCAGGCCCTTGATTAGCAGGGAGAAAAGAATCTGAACAAGGCAAGTAAGGGAACCCCTACTGCAAGGTACTGCCTCGGTACCGGAGCACAGCAGGCAAGAAAGACTGCTCGCAATCTCCAAAGAAAACATTTCAGAACAAGAGAAAATGAGGTAAGTTGTGCTTTCATCGCTTGCATTACGCGGCGGACCCAAGTTCGCTTGAATGGTAAACGAGCGATGATTTGTAATAAACGGTTTAGGCTGTGGGGTTGGCTCTTCAGTCCTAACACAGTCCCACTCTCTGGGGACGAGTCATACTAGTGGCCACATGCCTTATAGGATTTGGTGTCACCCAGAGAAAGAGAAAAAAATCTAAGACAAGCATCTCTCATTGTCACTATTAATAGGAACTTAGAGACTGATTTTTGGATCACTTGCTCTTAAACTGTATTCAGATGTTGTGAAACTGGCTGGCTGACAAATCTAATCAAATTAACTCCACCTTAAAGCAAAACCCTGTTTCGCTTTTTTGCTAGCGCACTTTTTTAATTATTCAAGCAAAACAGCTTTCTTATTCAATTTGAAATCTGTATTTGTGCACAAGTTTGTCTCACATTGCTCAACATCATCTATTAACTGTTTACACACAGCAGTGATTCTCCAAAACTATTTTTGATCTTCTAAACACATATTTAAAACACATACAAACAGAAGAAAACACTCTGAAATAAAATACACTTTATTCTATTATATTATTATATACACTATTTTATTTATTTATGTTATTATTATTTTTCTTTGAGACAGGGTCTCACTCTGTCTCCCAGGCTGGGATGAAGTGGTGCAATCGTGTCTCACTATAGCCTTAACCTCCTAGGCTCAAGTGCTCCTCCCATCTCAGCCTCCCAAGTAGCTGGGACTACAAGCACGTGCCACCATGCCTGGCTATTTTCTTCCCCCACCATATTACCCAGGTTTGTCTCAAACTCCTGGGCTCCAGTGATCTGCCAGCCTTGGCCTCCCAACATGTTAGGATTATAGGTATGAGCCACCGCACCTGGCCAATATACATTATTTTTATCATAACCAATCCTCCCTTTTTAAAATTTCCTCTGAGACTTCTTCCCAAGTTAATCATCAATTACTACAGAGTAAATTTTTTCAAGGGGAAAAAAGTCCTTCTATTTCAAATATACTATGAAATAATATCTTCATCTTAAAAACATGATTACAAGCATCTTTTAAAATATTATCCTTTCCTTTCAATGAAAACGTTTTGTACAAATAACTTGGGAAACAAAAATGCTTTTCCTGGTCAAGTAGGGATTTTTTTCAGACAGCTCCTCTGCTGCCCTCTAAAGTTCAAGAAAAACATAACAGCTCTACTTTGCAGACAGCATTTTTTTTCCACTGAAATACCAGGATTCTCTAAACTTCAAAGATAATTGGACTCATTAGTCTCTGCTCTCAATACAGTGTGGCCAGGCACGTCTGCTCAAAGTGTACATGTGATAATACCGAAATTAAAAAAAAGCTTAAAGGGCAGGTGTTGATGGTATTTTTAATGCCATTGCTACTAAATGTGTCCCTATGATTCATGTGTTACTACACAACATAATCATGTAAATAGCCAGAATTTTATGTTTGGAAAATAATCCATAACTTTTGGGATGTTCATAATTTGTGTTTTGCGCTTTTCTGTTAACTACGCCACAATTGTGGCCGAAATATAATAAAAATGAGGACAGTAGGCATAATATTGGGACTGTCTGCTAAGAAATAATACATAAAGCTATGACTCAGAAAGTGATGTATGTTGCTTCCTGAACTCACCCACTTTAATGACAGAGCCAGGGCCTTGACATCGGGACAGATTATTAGAACGTGAAGGTTGGTACTGCCGGTTCAGAGAAAGGAGGCAAGAGATTAGCAAAAAGCAGGCTGTATAATGACTAGTCTGGAGTGGAGAAGGGAGGGAGATTAGCTCCTTTCTGTTCTTTATGTTAGGGACAAGGCAGAGAGCAAAAGAAGAAAAGAGGAAAGGAGAAAGGGAAGAAAGGAAAGAGAGAAGCAAGAGGCAGGGAAGAAAATGCAATATAGAATATTCATTGAGCCTCTTCTTTGAACTAAGTACTTTAACTTGTTCACAATAATCTTGTAACATGCTACTCTCTGTTCTACAGATGAGAAAATTGAACTTCAGGAAAAATAGATAATGTGGTTTAGTTGTACAGGTTGTGTACAGTGCAGCCAAGTGCAGAAAGGAAAGGCAAATGCACTAGACATTGCTTCCTCTGCACTTCTCTATGCTTTAACCAAATAACCTTCTGAGTTCCAGCTAGGGAGCTGGCAGGAGAGATGAAGAAGCATATGAAAAAATAAAGAGAGGCACACAGTCACAGACAAGAAGGAGGATTAAGGGTAATTACAACCCCAAAGAGCTTGTGGTGACTCACTAAAAAGCCACAGGGAGAAGCAGTTAGTTACAAGAGAATTCTTGGCCAAACGCCCAATTCAAGGGCCAGCTGTTGATAATTTAACAAAAAAAAAAAAGTCCTCTTTGAAAACCTAAAATCATTAGAGAAGTACTTTTCACTTCAGCTCTGCATCAGCAGTTAGTTTGGATCAGCAGCCAGGATGGGGCATTAATGCTTTAGGTAGAGGGGGTCTCAAAATATGGCTCTTGGATCAGCAGCATCAGCATCTTCTAGGGATTGGTATAAACATAAATTCTCAATGCTCTCCCTACCTCCAGGCTCACAAAATAGGCATATCTAGGGGTGGGGTCTAGAAATCTCTGTTTTAACAAGGCTTGCAGGAGATTGTGGTGCATGCTTAAATTTGAGAACTAGGTTTGTATAAGTCCTTTAATTTGTTTGGCAAGTACTCTCTGTGGCTTTTACTATCAAGGCAAGTTTGAGAAGTTCTGTTTTTAGGAATTGAGGAAAAACTTTTGCCCTAGGCCCACTGAAAAATGCTTCCTTCCTCTGGAGAAAGCGATAGTAATTCAGATTCTCTTCCCTCATTTCAGCTGTGGATTCATTGAAATTAGGGCAGTAGAGTACTAATTCCCAGAGTCCTAATAAATTTGACTTCCTACTTCTGGGTGGAGGAACAGAATTGGGAGAGTTGCAGAAGCTAGGGAATTAAGAGAATAATAATTAGCAAATTTTATCGGAATCTTTATCTCTGTATTTCAGTTCTAGAAATTGAGTATTTTATATATTTTATCATGATTATATAAATGGAGCTAAATGAGTTTCCTGAAATTTACATTTTATGCACAGAAAACAGGCTCTGCCAATATTTATATGTTCTAGTTCCTATAGATTGTAGAGAAAGGGGAATGAGACAGTAAACAATGGGCTTAATTTCCTTTTCAACAGGGCTTCATAATTCAGTATCAATCTTGTGGAACAGATATTCCCATTTCACAGGTGAGGAAACTGAGTCTTCTCTGGCTACCTACTCAGCTATGGGCAAGATTCAAAAAGAATTCCTCCATCCCTGGATTTTAAATTCAAATGAGAGGACCTATGGTATCCCTTTGGGGTCAGAAAATACATCATACTTTATTTTATGTCCCTAATAATATCTGGTAAAACATCTGACAAACCATTTAATCGATTTCTAAATAAAAATATTCTTCTTTCTTTTTATTGGTTGCATTTGGAGAAAGAAAACAAATACTTCATGAACTGAAATGTATCTGCATCTTTTCTTGGCATGAATTCACTTTCTACTTTGTATCATCACAAAGATGACAATGTCCCATGTGGCAGAGGTGCCTTGAAGTTAACCAGAAATTCCTGAAGCTTTTTCCATAATGTAGAGTTGTTGCTGGGAATGGCTGCCCAGTCAGGGACTACATTCCTAGGCATCTTTCCTAGGGATCTATAACAAATTCTTGTTAATGGAATGAGAGTAGACACAATGTGTGTCACATTTAGGGTGGAGCAGATAAGAAGCAAGCATTACCTCCATTTCCCAATCCACTGAGTGCAGAGGACCCCGAGATCGTAGGAGATGGTAGAGCAAATAGGGGGATAGAACCTGGAATCCTGAACCATGAGAGAGAGGAAAGTCTCCAGTCCCCCCAGAGTGCTCACAACATGAGTGAGAAAACCAATTTCATTATGTTAATTGGCTGAAATGTGTGTGTGGGGGGGTTAATATTACTACAACTATCATTACCTTAATCAGTGCATTTCATTTCTTCTCTTAGATTATCATGTTTTATGTTAGATGATGAGGTTTTTGAGGGTAGTTTCCATGTTTGGAAAAATATGGATTATATAGCTGAATCAGGAGCTGGGTTTTTCACTCATGAGTTTTGAGGAAACTGGTGTTTTTTCTTCCCCTTGGCTTCTCTTCAAGGAGATACTGATTACAATAAGTTGACTATTTGAAACGCAGTTCAGGTTATCGGTAAAATCTAGGCTATGCAGTCAGCTAGATCTGTATTCAATCCTTGGTTTTTCTCTAATTAAATGTATGAACATACTCAAACTGCCCAGTTTTTCTCCTCTTCTGCAAAATGAGTGTTAAAAATCCCTATATTCTAAGATTATTATGAAGATGAGAGTTAATATTTATAAATGCCTAGTATAGTGCCTGGCTCATAGCTAGCATTAGCCACTGGTGGTAGACTTCTAAAAATATGTCCTCTACTTTTCAGGAGAGAAATATACTATGTCAAAGCCATCAGGTTTGGTCATGTGATTTAACTTGGTCAACAACGTGTAAGCAGAAAAGATGTGTCACTTGCAAGTTGAACCTGATCTCTTTCTTTCTGACATGATGATTGGCAACGTTTCGTTAGAAATTGCTCCATTATACTGGATATCGAAATGAAGATGACTTGGAGCAAAGCCACAATTACCCTACAATAGGGCAAATGTTACTTTTGCTGCTGTAAGACATTAGGATTTGGGGACCATTTGTTACTGCAGCATAACCCAACTTTTCTGAAAAATACATAAAATATATATTTCTCAGTCAGGGAATACGGGGAAATCCTTTAAACTGTCAAATTCTCTATCGGGAACTGGGGCATCTAGCCCTTTCCCTGTCCCTCCCACCTTGCCTCCTAAGAATGACTAATAATAAAAACAGCATAGGCTTTGTCCTTGCTCCCCTTCCTGGAGAGGCTGTAAAACTCTACAAAATACAGAAAATGAAATATTTTCTGATGGTAAAAGAGTTTTTTTAAAAAATCTGAAGACAGAATCAGATCTCCATGCTGTCCTTTGGGAGTTCAGATTTTAGAAAAAGAAATTGGAGCTTTACATACATTTAACATACATCATTTAATTAGAGTATATATCTTCAGTGAGCACAAGAAAACTTTAGATAAGAGTTTCATACTTTGTAGTGAAGCAAAGTTAGTATTGGAGAAGTCTTGTGGGGAGCAACACAGAAGACTGAGAATTCTTTTTTTTTTTTTTTTAAGACAGAGTCTTACTCTGTTGCCTGGGCTGAAGTGCAGTGGCGCAGTCGTGGCTTACTGGAACTTATGACTCCTGGGTTCAAGCGATTCTCCTGCCTCAGCCTCCCCAAGAGCTGAGACTACAGACAGGTGCCACTATGCCTGGCTAATTTTTGTATTTTTAGTAGGGATCAGGTTCCACCATGTTGGCCAGGCTGTCCTCAAACTCCTGACCTCAGATGATTCACCCGCCTCAGCCTCCCAAAGTGCTGACATTACAGGCGTGAGCCACCACTCCCGGCCCAGGCAACTTAACAGAGCTGAATTCTTAACAGGGCTGAGAATTTTTAACAGGGCTGTGGAGTAACAGAACTTGATGGAAAATTGGCATCTGTGTAGAATGATTCTAAAGCTTTCAGACAAATGGCAGAATCCTAGGGTAAAAATATCACCTTTATTTTCTTTCATGAACTCTATCAGTGGAATATATTTAGCTGAATTTCTACTTAAGAGCAGGCAAGACGAAAAAAATGAAGGCCACTGAGAATTGTGTCAATTACTCTAACTTTTCTGTTATTATTATTATTGAAACTGCCACAGTGCACCTAGCAATTTGCTGCTCTATGGTCCTATTAATCCAGAGTCTGCAGATGAAAAAAGCAATGTTTTTATGCTGACTTTACTATAATCACAGTGAAACAAAAAACGATCAATTCATTGAACTCCAAATATGCCTCAGGTTATGATCTTACTTTATCGGACATTCTTTGTAACACTGAAGAGATATTTCAAAACTATAAATTGTGAAAGTCTCCCTACTCTCCCTTCCACAGTGGCTAAGACATCTTAAAAAGAAAGCCTTTCCCCAAAGCATTATCTATAGTGATCATACCTTTCTGCAGAAGCTGTCCCAGGTCAGGTAAGGAAAAAGGAAGGGGCAGAACAGAAAGGAGGGAGAGACTTCACATGAGGAGGAAACAAGCACATTAAAAATAATTAAAATCGGCCAGGCGCGGTGGCTCACGCCTGTAATCCCAGCGCTTTGGGATGCCGAGGTGGGCTGATCACAAGGTCAGCAGTTTGAGACCAGCCTGGCCAACATGGTGAAACCCAGTCTCTACTAAAAATAATAAAAAAAAAATTAGCCAGGCATGGTAGCAGGCGCCTGTAATATCAGCTACTTAGGAGGCTGAGGCAGGACAATCGCTTGAACCTGGGAGGCGGAGGTTGCAGTGAGCCGAGACTGCACCACTGCACTCCAGCCTGGACAAAAGAATGAGACTCCATCTCGAAAAACAAAAAAAAAAGACGTTAATAAAATAAATTAATTAATTAAAATAAAAATAATTATAATCAATGCTTTGTTCTATGTTGCCTACCTTATATTCTTTACAGTTTTTGTTCATACTCTCTCCTAACATATTTTTATTAGGAGTTTAACAGGCCAATATATTCTTTCTAAAATACTGTTAAAAGACACACAGGAGAATATATATATCTCTACTTTTATGTAAATCAGCTTTACCATTTTCTAAGTGTTTACACATTAGAGTTGCACTTTACTCCCAAAGGTACACTGAGTTGTATCCAGATTGATGCTAATTATCATCTTACAGATGAAACTGGGGCTTAGAGAAGATGTGACAGAAGTGAAAGCGGAGCCCAGACCACCGTACCACAGCTCATTCCACATGGAAATGCCTTTACCTACCTATGAACTGATACTCAGAGCCTGGCAACAACTTTCAACCCTCCACTCACCGACTTTTCCAAATAAAAGCAAGTTACGGGTCAAAATGTTGTCATTTGACATTAACCATTATTTAACCAATGTCCCTATAATCAAGAGACACTTAGAGCATATATTTAATGTTGATCACCCTTGGCACACTGTTCAAAGACCAGTTCAGGATGATGAAAATCAAGTTCTCATTTTCAGGCCTTACAAAACTATACTCTGGAACAGTCCTCGAAATGCAAATTTGGCTATATCGCAGCTACAGAGATGAAAGCTTTGTGAAACTCTGATATTCTAGTTAAAGACTATTCATATCCATTTCTAGAGTGACTTCTGATTTTGACATATAAAAATATGTTCATATTTTTCACCCATTCTGGATGATGCAAAATCTAGCTGGTATAACCATGTTATTTAATTTTTAATTTCCGCAAACCTCACTTTAAAATGCATAAACCATTCTATCATGAAGAGCACCTTTTTTTCCAATGCGCTGTTATTAAATTCTTATTCCTGCAGTGCCTTCTCACAGACTAGTTTTCTACAAAAGAAAAAAATAAACTCATTGCTTTTCATATGAAGACCCAGGGTTCTGCCTTCTAGATTAATTACATTTGATTCAAAGGTGGCTCTCTGTAAGTAAATATCTCTAGCTCAGAAGCAAAAGGAAGGGTTCACTTCAGGTGTTTTTATCTTCGCTCAAGAGTCAAAATACCTTCTGCATTTTATATAGGTAAAGCTAGAAGAAAAGTAATCTATACTTATACCTATACTTACCTGTCTATCTATCTATCTATTGAGTTTTTCATTATGCTGCTGAAACTAGCATAAGAAAATTTGCTATCTCTGCTATGAATTAAATGTTGTCCCTCGAATATCATATGTTGAAGCCGTAACCTCCAATGTGACTAAATGTGGAGTTAGGGCTTTTAGGAGACAAGTAAGTTTAAATTAGGTTATAAAGATGGGGCCATAATCTCATAGAACTTTGGCCTCATAAGAAGAGGAAGATGTTTCTCCCCTAAGGCCCCATGTGAGGATTTAGTGAAAAGGTGGCTGTCTGCAAGCAGGATGAGCCCTCACCAGTTGGCCAGCACCTTGATCTTGGACTTACACCGTCCAGAACTGTGAGAATATAAATTTCTGTTATTTGAGCCACCTAGCCTGTGGTATTTCTTTACGGCAACCCAATAAATCCCTATTTTAAATATTAAGACTCCAAATCTCAAAGACAAGTTAATATGAGTCTATGTGCTAAACCTAGAAAACCTCAAATCTGAGTTGTTAACCAGACGCTGTGATATTCATGTTTCTTTTTGTTAGGCTTCAGCATCTTCCTTTGGGGGCCAAAATAATTGTGTGTGTCCCTTTTCTTAAGTGAAATCTGTCCCTAAAATGTAGAGCACTGTCTTCTTTGTGCTCCAGGGTTTTCTTCCTTTTCTCCTTGGCTCCGTCCTTGCTTACCTCCTTTAACAAATCCAGGCAGGACTCTGTCCTGGGCACTGTCCTAGGTGCTGAAGATGCAACAGTGACCCAAATATGGTCCCTGACCTTAAGGAGTGTCCTAAGAGACTGCTTGTTACCAGCGGTTTCTCGCTTCAAGAAGGTTTCCTGAATAAATTTTAAAAATCAATGTGTGTTGTTAAAAGCTCAGTGTTACAGTTCTGATCCATGGGTTGAGTTATAATGAATTAGAGTTCCACAATTTATGTTGACCATATTCCCAAAGCCAATTATTCTTCAGTTTTTCTATTCAGGTTTTTTCTTTTGCAAACAACCATCTTGGCTAAACTTTATGCAGCTCCCTAGGGCAACTTTGCATTGCCAAGGTATTTCTCAGGATTGTGCCTGACAGACACCGAAGCTTAGTGTCTGAAGCAAACTTAATGAGCTCATTTTATAGTCTCTCCTCTAGGTCTTGATAAAAATATTAAACCCAAGGACCAAGACTGAATACCTTTGAATATCACTGTCTTTTCTGGATTCTGAAGTTAAAAATAGCCAGTTTCTCAGTAGAACACCCTAGTCAACAGCATATCAATTAATCTGTGTATTATGGGGGCCACAACTCCACAGCTTACTGATAAGCGTATCATGGGGGCAAAATCAGTAGCCTTGCCATGGACAAAGGTGAATATATATATAACTAACTTTCCTTGACTCTCCAAACTTTTTCATTTAAGAGAGCAATAAATGAAGATGTGCTACTTGAAAAATCATTATGCTAGTTCTCACCAGGCTCCCTCAAAATATTTATGAATGGGTGTTATAATTAATTTCTTATGAGTGCACCATGTACAGAAGGTGCCTAATTCTCTGCAAAAGCAAGTCCCATTGGGGACTTATTCTCCCAGCTCCAAGCCAGTCTGAAGCATTCCCCAAGTGTCAGAATAACAGTAGGGTATTTTAGCCAAAGGAACACAAGCCTGGTGGTATTTTCTTGCTGATTTATTATAACTTTCATTCACCTTTTATTCTCTTATTTTTCTCTTATTGAAACGTTGTTATAAAACAAACCCATGAACAAAAATCTATCTTCAATGTATCTAGCCTGTTAGTGTCAACCTCTCAACATATCCTCCTACCCTTCAACAAATATTCTGTTCTTATTTATTGGAATAACCTTTGTTCTTCTTTTTGTATATTGCATTTTATTTTATTTTTTAAAAAATCTTTACTTCTATTTGATATGTTTTGGACTTTTCCTTTCTTAATCTGGTTAATTTCCCAATGTTGAACCATTTCAAATTAACACTGAAAGATACAGAACCCTAGGCTCTTTTTACTATTTATTTACATATTTATTTATTTATTTATGTGTTATTTCTTAGGTAGCATTTGTCTCAATGGAGATTTCATGTCCCCCTTTAACCTAGGACTTGGGCCTTTTGAAATCTAAAAATTTTCCTTAGTGCCTTCTAAAGTCATAATACTACACATTCTATATCATGCAAAACCCACAAGTATCTACAAGGCAGTAAGGTTCTTTTTAATGGGGTGGGGGAAATAGCAAACAAAACAAAACTGCAGCAATCAAATGTTTAGCATTAAGATGTTTTCCAAATTGTTGAAGAAGTGCTGAAGAAAACGTTTTGGCGCTCCCCAGATGGCAGCCATTCTGACTCCAAATGTTACCGTTATTTTGGCCCTCATAGGAAGTACTTTCCCCGTAAGACCTTGATTCAGTGATTGACCTTGGTTTTGATAATGTCTCATTCCCTTTTAGATTAGGAAAGTCCAAGAGAAAGCAAGACGGGGAATGCACTAATGATAAGCAGTATAAATTTCGGAATAGGTTTCTCATCTTTTCTAGTGTGATTATAGGGTTTCTAGATTCAATCTGGATCCCTTATACAGTTCTGATGGAGAGCATTTTACTAGTATGTTCTTTACAATTTGATCATCTGGATGGCAATATCATATACAGAAAAGAGAATTGGATTTCAGAGCTAGGTAACTTGGGTTAAAATTCCAACATTTTCACTTACTTTGCTGTTTTCTAATTTTAAAATGAAGGGTAGACAGTCCTTTTATTACTTCATCATTTCCACAAATACATACAGACTATAACATGCCAATCACTTTTTTCAGGTTCAGTAGGTGAACTTTAAGGTCTCTTATTATTTCTCTGTATAAACTGTTCAGCTAGACCTCTGGGCTTATATGTAAGCTTCCGTGATTCAAAGCAAACCAAAATGTGGGCCAGCCCAGTATCTGCAGGGCATAAGTCTGCCAGAAGACACCTACTATCACCAACTCCTTGTACTTTAGATTGTCTAGTCTCATCCTGCTGCTGCTCAAAAAGAACAAAACATAAAGCAAAATGGAAAATATTTTAAAATAAGGTATAAAATGTAATAAATAATGAGGAAAGCTAAAAACAATTTATTTAGCACTGGCCATTTATTTGCATAACTCTGTGGGAAAGTGAATAAGTGATGTAGTTTTTATTCTCTAATAGCAAAGCTCACATGGAATGAGATATGCATGCTAAAGGAGTGTACACGGCATGATTAAGGCTATAAAGCTGTATGGTTTAAGGAGAGAGGACCACATGAACAAAGGGTGGCTTCAAGAAGAAAGATAGTGCTTAGGCCAGTTTACAAGTACTTTATAAGCTTGCTCTTTACAACATGCACATACACACACATACAGGTAATCTCAACATCATTGTCATACAAAACAAAAATCAGGTAAAATAAAAAAGCATTAAATGGGTGGCAATTATTTCACAGTGAAACATAGTTTCACACGTATTCTTAGGAAAAAAAACATTGAAAATAAACCAAATCTTCAAATTAATAGCAGAGAAAATATGCACAAAATAAATAAAATTTTTAAGGATAGATACAAACTAGTAAAATATACAATAAAACTCAGAAAAGTTCAACAATTTAAAAAGCCAGTTATTTGAAATTATCAATAACAAAAATGAATAGTTTTAGGCACGAGAATCATTTAAGAAGTGAGAATATTAGGAATGAGAAACCAAGATAAATAATATTAGGAATATGATTGTATGTTAAAACTTAGAAAGACACAAAAGAGATTTTATTATTTTTATAATAATATATAAATTTAACAGTTTAAATTTGAAAGCAGATGAATTTCATAGGAAAATTTAAATTAATCACATTGACTAAGAAGTTTAGAAAACCTACATAAATACTGTATAAGAAATTTTAAAACTGGTCATAAATTCATAACCTATTGCATCCTAAAAAGTCAAATAAAATTGTTTTATGATAAAATGAAACCAAATTTCCAAAAACTAGCTATTCCTTACATTATTGAACAAACAGAAAGATGAACAGATTCCCAATTCATGTAATTGTACAAACTAATCCTAACTTTGATACTATAAAACAAACAAATAAAACAGACAAGACTAGTTAGAACAACAATAACAAAGTGAAAACACGAATCTTTTGTCAATAGACAAACAGAACAAATTATACTGGGCTTATAAGGAATCTCCTTAACTTGATAAAGAGTAATTAAGAGAACCTTATCAAAACATCATACTTTATAATGATGATTCATGAGAAGCAGTCAGTTTCACTAATATGACAAGAATACTCACTTGCATCAAGCAAAGCAAACATAAAATTTAGAAACAATGAGACAGTTGAATAAAGTGGTAAGGCACAAAATAATCATTGAGAATCTATAACTTTGTATACCTCAGCAATAGCCATACAGAAAATATACCAAATATTCAGTTTATAATAATGGCAAAATCTATAAAACACATAGAATATGTCTAGTTAAAATTATTAAAGACTCATATGTAGAAACTGTAAAACATAAATGGAGAACATAAAAGAAAACCTAAATAAATGAAAATACATAAATATTCCTGGTGCAGGATATTCAATATTGTAGAGATGTGACTTAGTTCTTCATCCAAAAAATTTATAAATATTTAACAGTGCCAAACAAAATCCCAAAGGATGTTCTTTTATTGCACACAGCATGGCCACTTAAAACAGGGTGATAGAATAAAGGCAGGAGAAAAGCAAAAGAAATTAAACAGAAATATGAAAGGAGACCAGTACTGCCAGATATCAAAACCATAGTTAGGCACTGATATAGGTGTAGATAATTCAATCACTGGAACAGGCTAGAGAGTTCCTAAATAACACAACGGTTATCTGGAAAGTTGAAATTAGTATAGGAAGTAGAAACTACTCAATAAGTGTCCCAAGAAAAACTGGCTATTCAAATGAAATTTAAAAACAAATCCTGCAGTGAGTTCAAGGGTTTTGGGGGACTAACCAAGGAAAAAGATATGACCACAAGGTAGTAATAGAACACAATAAGGTCTATTTGAGCAGTGCTTTGACAGGTTTACAGGAAAAGGTGAGTCCCTCACAACATGAGAACTTTCAGAGGCAATGCTGCAGGAATCACTGTCCAAAACAGAAAGGAAGGAAAGGGGACGCCTGGAGAAGACCCTTCCAGGACCAGAGAGGGGGCTTAACTAAATACATGAAGGTGGGGACGCTCTGGGTCAGAGAATTCTGAAGGGTCATAGTGGCTTGGGATCTCTCATAGCCCTGGAGTTTATCTTATCCATGTCTAACAGATGTTTGGTGCAGTTTCGTGTGATATGCAAAACAAGCAGCTCTAAATGGCTAAAAATGTGCTTAATGGGGTTATGTTTAAAACAATTGAATGTGTTAAAAATTTGAGCTTGGCACTGGTGGGCTTCTGGACTAATGGATTCCAGCCTACTGCGAAGAAGGGAAAAACACACGGCAGGTCCACTATACGGGGCCACTTGTGGCTCATTGAAATAACAAAGCCTTACCTCACTTTTCTTTGCATGCCTATCTGCTTATGCACACATCTCAGATGTATTAGAGGTAAACATGAAAAAATAATGTGAGAAATGTAGGAAATTACATTTATAATATTAGGGTGATAAAGGCTAAATCTAAAAGTCACACATTTATGAAATAAAAGGTCTCCCATTATTATTGTGTGGGAGTCTAAGTCTCTTTGTAGGTCTCTAAGGACTTGCTTTATGAATCTGGGTGCTCCTGTATTGGGTGCATATATATTTAGGATAGTTAGCTCTTCTTGTCGAATTGATCCCTTTACCATTATGTAATGGCCTTCTTTGTCTCTTTTGATCTTTGTTGGTTTAAAGTCTGTTTTATCAGAGACTAGGATTGCAACCCCTGCCTTTTTTTTGTTTTCCATTTGCTTGGTAGATCTTCCTCCATCCCTTTATTTTGAGCCTACGTGTGTCTCTGCACGTGAGATGGGTTTCCTGAATATAGCACACTGATGAGTCTTGACTCTTTATCCAATTTGCCAGTCTGTGTCTTTTAATTGGAGCATTTAGCCCATTTACATTTAAGGTTAATATTGTTATGTGTGAATTTGATCCTGTCATTATGATATTAGCAGGTTATTTTGCTCGTTAGTTGATGCAGTTTCTTCCTAGCCTTGATGGTCTTTACAATTTGGCATGTTTTTGCAGTGCCTGGTACCGGTTGTTCCTTTCCATGTTTAGTGCTTCCTTCAGGAGCTCTTGTAGGGCAGGCCTGGTGGTGACAAACTCTCTCAGCATTTGCTTGTCTGTAAAGTATTTTATTTCTCCTTCACTTATGAAGTTTAGTTTGGCTGCATATGAAATTCTGGGGTGAAAATCCTTTTCTTTAAGAATGTTGAATATTGGCCCCCACTCTCTTCTGGCTTGTAGAGTTTCTGCTGAGAGATCAGCTGTTAGTCTGATGGGCTTCCCTTTGTGGGTAACCCGACCTTTCTCTCTGGCTACCCTTAACATTTTTTCCTTCATTTCAACTTTGGTGAATCTGACAATTATGTGTCTTGGAGTTGCTCTTCTCGAGGAGTATCTTTGTGGCATCCTCTATATTTCCTGAATTTGAATGTTGGCCTGACTTGCTAGATATAATGTGGCACATATACGCCATAGAATACTATGCAGCCATAAAAAATGATGAGTTCATGTCCTTTGTAGGGACATGGATGAAGCTGGAAACCATCATTCTCAGCAAAGTATAGCAAGGACAAAAAAACAAACACCGCATAGGTGGGAATTGAACAATGAGAACACTTGGACACAGGAAGGGGAACATCACACACTGGGGCCTGTTGTGGGGTGGGGGAGGGGGGAGGGATAGCATTAGGAGATATACCTAATGTAAATGATGAGTTAATGGGTGCAGCACACCAACATGGCACATGTATACATATGTAACAAACCTGCATGTTGTGCACATGTACCCTACAACTTAAAGTATAATTTAAATATATATATATATAAAGAAATAAAAGGTTGAACTTGATGACATAAAATGTTTAAAATTCTTCATCAAATTAATAATAAGAACTGACGTTTGTTAATATGGTTTGGATCTGTGTTCCCACCTAAAACTCAGGTTGAAATGTAGTCCCTGATGCTACAGGTGGGGCCTGGTGGGAGGTGATTGAATCATGGGGGGAGTTTCCAACGATTTAGTACCATCCCTCTAGTCCTGTTCTCACGATAGAGTTCTCATGAGATCTGGTTGTTTAAAAGTGTGTGGGCCGGGCGTGGTGGTGCACGCCTGTAATCCCAGCACTTTGGGAGGCTGAAGCAAGCAGATCATGAGGTCAGAAGATAGAGATCATTCTGGCTAATATGGTGAAACCCCATCTCTACTAAAAATAAAAAAAAATTAGCCAGGTGTGGTGGCACGCACCTGTAATCCCAGCTACTTGGGAGGCTGAGGCAGGAGAATCCCTTGAACCTGGGAGGTGGAGGTTGCAGTGAGCCGAGATCATGCCACTGCACTCCAGCCTGGGCGAAAGAGACAGACTCCATCTCAAAAATAAAAATAAAAATAAAAATAAAAATAAAAATAAAAATGTGTGTGGTACCTCCCCTGTCTCTCTCTTCCTCCTGTGCTGGCCATGTAAGATGTGCCTGCTTCCTCTCAATCTTCCACCATGATTGAAAGTTTCCTGAGGCCTCCCAGGAAGCTGAGTAGATGCCAGCATCATGCTTCCTGTACAGCCTGCAGAACCATGAGCCAATTAAACCTTTTTTTTTTTTATAGATTACCCAGTTGCAGGTATTTCTTTGTAGCAGCGTGATAATGGACTAATAAATTTGGATAGCATTTATAATAATGCTTATGTATATTGAATCATGTAATTTTCACTATGATTTATGAGAAAGGGGCTGGGTGTGGTGGCTCACGCCTGTAATCCCAGCACTTTGGGAGGCTGAGGTGGGCAGATCGCCTGAGGTCAGGAGTTCAAGACCAGCTTGACTAACATGGTGAAACCCCACCTCTAGTACAAATACAAAAATTAGCCAGGTGTGGTGGCATGCACCTGCAATCCCAGCTACTCAGGAGGCTGAGGCAGGAGAATCGATTGAACCTGGGAGGTGGAGGTTGCAGTGAGGCGAGATCACGCCATTGCACTCCAGCCTGGGTGACAAGAGCGAAACTCCGTCACAATAAAAAAAAAATTAAAAGATAGGTAGTTATTCTCATTTGACTGTTAATTACATAACTCATTAAATGTATCACCACGACTAAAATAATATGCAGAAGTGTCATATAATGTTGTGCAGGTTATAGGCATACACTGTGCAACCTGACATCTGTGAGTAGGGGTTGAGGGTTGTTTGGTCGGGGGTCATTCCCGCAGCCTTTGATGCTACAGAAATGCCCTCACTCATCTACCTCATTGTTTATATGTTTAGCATTCAAGAAAATCCAAGGGCCACTTTCTCTAGAAAGTCTGTCCTGGCCCAACTTGGCACATACAACAAGGTAAAACTGACCTCTTTCTTCTCCAATGGCCCATTGTTCTTTCCACAAACTACTCTCACAGGAACTTTAACATTTTGTCTTGCTTATTTATTTACTCATCTGACTCCTTCACCAGATTGCAGGCTACTTGAGGGCAGGAACTCTTCTTATTTGTCTTTGCATAAATGTTTCCCAGCATAGGTCACACACATAGTGTTGAATAATTTTTCGTTGAATAAATACCAAGGTCCAGAGAGATATTCTACTGAATGGCAATTTGCAAGATATTGATTTTCTTTGCTCCCATTTGGTGATATTGTTAAACTTTTACTGGAGGGCAAAATTCATAGTTGTCGCTTCACATGTGAATTAGCAAGGAGGCAATCTCAGCTCTAAAATCTTTACACTTATCCTAACACCCCCATCAGCTCACACTATTAAACATTATAGATAAATACTGCAACATTAAGTTTTGTGGCAGTGCAAATAAAAGCAGTAACAAGTTATGTAATTATACCACTCTTTTTTAAAAAAATTATTAAATGCTAACACTTCTCCAATTATAACCATTCAATTACTACTCACTGCCTAATGTCCAAAATTCTTAACATGTCCTAGAATGGTCTCTAAAACCTGGCTCTTGTCTATGTCTCTAAATTTATCTCCTGCTAGCCCCTCCTACTCCCCACTCCCATCCATGCCACAGCATACATGTGCCCTATATTCAGATAACATTTTGCAAATTGAAATTGCAAGTTGCAATTGCCCTAATCCAATCTCAACTCTTTAAATCATCTCACAATTTTACGCTCTGGCATATTCTGCCACTTCAGCTCAGAATACCCTTTTCACTTTTGTAGCACTTCAAGCTGTCATTCATAATTCAAGTCTCAGCTTAAAAGCCACATCATATCCTCAATGAAACCTCCTCGCCCAGCCCTAGCAGAATCATGGGATCCTTGCTGAAAACTTCTAGGGTTCAAGGTGCACAACTTGTATCCACAGTGTTTAACACAATATTGTATTTGTCATTGTTTATCACATTTCTCATCTATCTTCCACCTTTTTGAAAGCAAGGATTGAGTTTGGCTTATTCCTGAATCCCTAATGTCTAACGAACGACCGTCATAAAGTAGCCACTTCACCAAGGAGGGATGAAGCAGCAAACAGGAAAGCCTGGTTCAGGCCCATCTTTAATCACTAGTTTTGTGAAAAAGTTCACTGCTGCTTCCCACAGCCTGGGATTTGGTTTTGACATGATTATTTTTCTTTTGCAGCATAGGAAGGAAGCTCATGAGAAGAATTTTAGAAAAATCAACCTCGATTTTTCCCATGGCTGTGCCTCACCTAGCAGACTATCTCAGGACAGCTTCCTGGAAACACAGCAGCAGAAAGTAAGCTGCATTTATTTACTTTTTTAAAAATGTGTTCTGATACTTTTTGATTATTACAAAGAATCTTGCTGGGTGATACTGCAGTGGACTGACCTGATATATGTTTCCTTCTTTTTTCAGTGAATTGTTCAGTTCTTTTTTGGAATACTGTGGGTGAGAGCTTCAGGCAGCACAGAGCCTTAGAAGTATGCTTTGGGCTTGGATTGGGACACGGATTTAGTAATTCCACAACTCAAAAGCAACTTCTGAGATAAAAGCTGAATTTGTAAATATGTGAGATACCCTGAACCTAGAAGATGAGATATAAGTAATGTAGTTTAGGTGGTTTTGGTGTATTATCTATCTCCAAAATCAAAGGAAATGGAAGGATTCCTCTAAGAATCATCAGTAAAAATGTGAGTTTTGCTCATATTTGCATTTTGCCTAATTCTAACCCTCCATAATTTATTGACTGAAAGCTAAAGAATATTAAGAGAAAATGACAAAGGTAATTTTCCTTCCACTGTGTCATTTCCTATCAACTATGCGATTTCTTTATTTTTTAAGTTTTGAAAAATTTTAGAATAGTTTTATGTTTCTATAAAAATTGCTAAGATAGTACAGATTTCCCATATATGCTGTATGCAGTATCCCTTCTTGTTAACATTTTATATTGCTATGGCACCTTGGTTACAATATTGACACATATTTATTACCTATTTTGAGATGGAGTTTTGCTCTGTCACCCAGGCTGTAGTGCAGAGGTGTGATCTCGGCTCACTGCAACCTCCATCTCCTGGGCTCAAGTGATCCTCGGTCTCCTGAGTAGCTGGGACTACAGGTGTGCATCATCACACCTGGCTAATTTTTTTTTTATTTTTGGTAGATACAGGGTTTCACCATATTGCCCAAGCTGGTCTTGAACTCCTGAGCTCAAGTGATCCTCCCACATCGGCCTCCCAAAGTGCTGGGATTACAGGTGTGAGCCTCTGTGTCCAGCCCCATGTTTTATTTATATTTATTAACTTTTTCTCTTAATCCCTTTTCTGTTCCAGGATCCCATCCAAGATACCACATTGCATTTAGTTGTCATGTCTCCTTAAGCTCTTCTTGGCTGTTAGCTTTCTCAGACTTTTTTTGTTTTTTGAGACCTCATTCGTTTTGAGGAGTAAAGGTCAGGCATCTTGTATAATGTCCTTTAGTTGGCATTTGTCATATATTTTTCTCATGATTAGAATACGCTCGTATGTTTTTGGGAAGATGAATGCAGAAGAAAAGTACCATTTACATCCCATCATGTCAAGGACACATCTTATCAACATGACTTCACTGTTGATGTTGACCTTGACTTCCTGTCTGGGGTAGTGTTTGCCATGCTACTCCACTGTAAAGTCATTCTTTTTTATCCTCCCTTTCCATAGTGCTCCCTGTGGAAGGAAGTCCCTATGTGCAGTCCACATTTAAGGAATGGGGAGCAATGTTCCATCTCTGTGAGGTTAGGAAATCCACATTATCAGAAAGTCTGCAAAATCAGATACCTACAGAAATTATTCGGAATTCTTCTGCATAGAGACTTATCTATTCTTCCCAATTTATTTATTCCATAATTTGTTTCAATATAGACTTGGATTTTTAATATATTGGGTTGTAATACAATACCACATAGCTTATTTTATTGTGCAAATTATCCCACCTTTGGTAGTTAGGAGCTCGTTCACTTGGCTCCTCTGTCCTTTTGGCATCATTGTAGATTTTTTAACTCTTTATTTATTTATTTAACACTTCCTTACTTTTTGGTACTATATAATGATTCATGTTCAACTTGCTTATGTTCTGCCCTAGTTCTAGAATCAACCATTTCTCCAAGGAGTCCTGGTTCCTTTTATTGAAAAATTGTATTAGAAACCAAAATCTGTGCACTAGATATGTTCATTGCTACTGTGGTATTCTTGCTTCTAGGCCCTCTTAATTGACATAGAAGGAGAATATATGTCTGCATACTAACCCATCTATATGTATTTACCTATATCTATAGATATTTCTATATGTACTTATCTGTACCGTTATTAAGCAAAACATGAATTCATACTGATATATCTGACTCTAATCCATTACCACACAGATCATTCTAAACTTATCCCTTTGCTTATCCATAACCTCCCACTCCAACTGTGAGAAATATGGCTCCCATATTCACCATCCATTTATTTAATTGTTCGATTCCAGTATACATCTATAGCAGCAACAGAATTATTAACTGTGTCCCCATGAACAAGAACTCAATTAATTTTAAAACTACCATTTTTAAATTATTTCCAAACTTTTTATTTCTAACTTTGAATTTTCTTAAGCCTGGGAGAAATTTTGTAGGAAAAAGAGGAATAAATGCCAAGACAAATGAAATGTCACAAAATTAAAGAATATGCATATGGCTAAAAAAAACCTCTATATTAAGCCAGGTAGAAATTCAGTAAGCCTGATAAAGAACATGGAAGAAGATATTTACATTTAGGATATTTAGATTAGTAAGCTATAATAGAAAAATAAAACCAATACGTCACAATCACATGGGAAGTAGGAATTAAGATACACACAAAAAGCATCAGTGTTGGCAGGTGGGTAAATGAATCCACACCAGAGACACAGATTCCAGAAAGCAGAGAAAAGTAAAATTCCTAATGATTAATCAAACTGTCAGAGGCCAAGAGATCTACTGAAAATAAGAAAGGGTTGAAGGGTTGAGATATCAGTATCCAGATATCCAAGCCAAGGAAAAATTTGATGGTATTCAGGCACAGGGTCTTGTCAGCACTTCACCTCAGGGATTTTACAGGGTCCTTTGAGGAAATGTCTAAGCATGTATGAATTAAGGCTTATAAGAAAATAATTTAAGAGGATTTAGCTAAAATTAAGCATTGAAGAATGTTTTTTACGATGCAACACAAAGCTGTCTCCCTCAAGAAGCCTTCTGAGATAGCCTTTTAGACACAGCACAATAGAATGTTCATATGATAGTTTTCATCAAATATTATTTGCATATGTTTGTGAGCTAGAGTGAGGTCTAGAGGATCAAGGACTGTAACTTAGTTCCTTTTGATCATCAGCACCTAGCACTGTGCTTGGCAATGAGTGATAACTCAGTACTTTTGTATCGAGTAAAAGAAAGAAAGAAAAAGAGAGAATCCCAGCCACATAAACACTCAGTTTATGAACATAGAGTTGAAAAAAAAAAAAAAAAACTCCTTCCAGCACTAAATCAATACCCTTCCAATTGAATAGGAAGTAGGGCCTTGCCATGTTGAGTTCTCCAATGACTTTTCAAAAAACCTTTATTGCTGCAATCATAGGTAATTCAGTGACTGTTTAAAACCTATGATGAAAATAAATTACCTGAGTTCTTTTCATTAATCTTATTATTCTGTAGTCCCATCATAAATAGCTCACTAGCATCTTTTATCTTTATTTTTCAGAGTGGTACAGCTAAGAAATTATATCATTATGCATTTGTGTTGTGTTCTAATTTCTGCCTGATGCATCAATAATACATTTAATTGTGTTATTCTTTTCTGCAGACAGTTCCATCTTTGGAAATTGCTTTAGTGATACAAAGGACTGGAGGGTAGATATTCTGGGTTTGTCCTCTAATTAAAATATGTCACTGGTTAGACTCAGAATACAGACAATTTTTTATCACTGGGAGTCTTTAATCCCAAACTGTTCATAGAATGAGCTTATATAAACACTGAGATTTGACACATTCTTCCAGACTTGATGAAAAAAAATATGATATCCCAAAGTTCTTGATTTGAAGAAAAAGTGAACTTTGATAACTTTGGTGAGATTTTCAATTTCTTGGCCAACTACAATTTATTTCTGAGCAGTTAATTTACTTTTTGCATAATGCTACAGAAGAATTTTGAGAACAAAGGATATGTGGAAAGCGCTCTTTTTATTTTTTGCTTTGAATGATACTCATAATATTATGCAGATAATCACTGAAGTTATAAATTTTATGCATTTAATAATTTTTATACATTTAATAATTTTAACAGATAATTTTGAAGTCTATTCATTTTCATAAACTTATAGGTTGGGAACATTGGGAAAGTCGTTTAGTTCCTTGGGCTTCTGCCAACTTATGTGTAAAAATGGGCTAACATTAATTCAACTACTTTTCTTATTTGAAAAAAGACATACCTGAATAGAAGCACTTGAATTTGATAAGGGAGAAATCACCTAGTGTGACATATTTACTTACTTTCATGGAGCACATAAATCTCTGTTCCTTTCCTTCTCACAACCCCATTGCATCCTCGACCCCAAGAAACCCACACATTAAAGCTTTTCTCTCTTAACAAGAGACTTCTAAAAATACTTCCAAGGTAGTAAGGCTGAAGGAAAAACAACAACAAACAACCACCAACAAAAACACATTACATATGTAATTTAGGAATCATTAGAAATATGAACTCATTTAGGAAATAAGATTTCTAACAACTGAATCAAATCCATTTAACAAGTCATTCTGTAAAACCACAAAAAGCCCAGAAGTGCACACTATTCATTTAATATCTGAAAAAACTCTTTGTAACAAAAGGTTTTTACTTAACCCAAAACATTTCTTTAGCCTTGGACAGGAATTAAGGCTTAGTACAGCTTGATGCAAATGAAAGGAACTGGCATTTATCATGAGTTTCCCATGAAGCTTTACAGATGCATAGAGGATGCAGGAAAAGTAGAGAGTATGTTAGTGTGTGTCTGAGTGGGTGGCCAAGTTGCTTAACTTGGAATTTAAGGAATGTCCTCTTTGAGGAGGTAATAAGTGGAGACCTCAGGTTCTATGGGAAGATTACTCAAAGCATAAAGAACAGCAGGTGCAAAGATCTGGAAATGGAACAGAAAATCTCCACATCACTCCCCAATTTAAAGTAAAATGTGGCTTATACTATTTTTTTTAAATGCATGATTATAGGAACGACAGTTTGCATACAGGTAGAATATGCCAGATGTGACAGAGATTGGCCAGCTAGTGACCAATCTCCTTTGTTCTCCCTCCTGAGAACATGTCAAGACAATACATCACAGGTACCCTTGCAGCAGGTATGGTTTCGTGAATAAATAAATGATGACCAGTGGACTCTGGTGGAAGTTTCTGGCCCATGAAAACTTCCAGGGATGATCCTTCATGGGTTTTTTGCCTTTGCCAACAACTTTGAAAGGCATGTGTGGAAGACTGCAGAGCCCAAGATGAAAGAGAACTGGGTCTCTGAAATGCCACTTGTTTTTTGTTTGTTTGAGACAAGATCTCTCTGTTGCCCAGGCTGGAGTGCAATGGTGTGATCATAGTTCACTGCAGCCTTGGTCTTCTGGGTTCAAGTGATCCTTCTGCCTCAGCCTCTCAAGTAGCTGGAACTACAAGTGTGTGCTACCATGCTGGGCAAATTTTTTTTATTTTTATTAAAGAGGTCTGGCTATGTTGCCCAGGCTGGTCTCAAAATCCTGGGCTCAAGCAATCCTCCTGCCTTGGCCTCCTAAAGTGCTGTGATTACAGGCATAAGCCACCACACCTGGCCTGAAATGACATTGGAAATAGAGCTGTATGCTTACCAGAAACACTTTTGTTCTGACAAACATCTACATTTTAAGGTTTGTTTGTTTTATCAGTGTTGGCCTCAACTAATGTGATAAGAATCATTTTCTATAGGTTTGGGTGCTGTTCTAAATAACATAATCATAATTAAGCTACCAGCAATTTAACAATGAAAAACCCAGGGGAATATCTTAGATGCAGAGCAATAACTTATTAAATGAAAAGAATAAAGCTGATGTATGTTGGGACAGTCACAGACTCATTGGATAAAATTTCATGTTTTCCAATTCCCTGGCACAGGATCTTAGAAGTGGCCATTTTACCTCCAAAGATAGATTCTCTACTGTATCCAACTAATTGTGATGTTAAACGTGAGTATCTGAGAGAAGGTTTGTTTTATAGTGGAAATCCATGGAGTTGGCCATATTAACAAAAAGGACTGAATTGTAAATATCAGTAAATAAAGAATATCTATTGATACAAGTCATTTTACTAACTCATTCCTCAAGAATTTCCTTGAGCAGATATACATATACTTTTTTGTTTTGAGACAGAGTCTCACTCTGCTGCCCAAGTTGGAGTGCAGTGGCATGATAATAGCTTACTACAGTCTTGAACTCCGGGACTCAAGTGATCCACTCACCTCAGCCTCCCCAGTAGCTAGGACTACAGACATGTATCACCATGCTTAATTTTTTATTTTATTTTATTTTTTGGAGACATAGGGCCTCTCTTTTTTGCCCAGGCTGCTCTCGAACTCCTGGCCTCAAGTGATCCTCCTGCCCTGGCATCCCAAAGTGCTGGGATTACAGGCATGAGCCATGGCACTCAGCCCACATATCATTATTGGTTATGCATTATTGGCTGTTTTGCCAAGATTTTGTTTTGTTAGTTCACAGTGTTGAGTGAATATATGTGTGACTAGTTGATTGAATGGTCTTAACTTCTTGAGGCATAACAGAAAAACAATTATTTTCCTAACTGCTACCTTTAAAATTCTTTGAAGCGTATTTCTTCCCCAACTCTGGATAATCTCTTGTGCAAATCCCAAACTATAAAGCCAATTATATTTTAGGAAAGAGTCTCATTTTAGTATCTATGTCACAATTTCCTATATTGCATGAAGCCATGAAATACAGTCTAATAAACATTTCATTCTCTAATGCAAATGTCTCCCCTGCAGTTTCCATTCAGGCCTATTCCAGACTTGTAGAGCCACAGTGGAGTAGAGAAAACCACTCTTTACTCTTCTCTCCTTTTGCTTCTTTATCCCACTTGCTCTGCTGCTTCAGATTCTTCCAAAATCTGGGCAGGAGAGGAGCTTATGAGAGAAACAGCAGGCAATAGGGTTTTTGTTATGTGGCACACCTTATAGCTTTCTCGTCTTTGGATTTCCCTTTAGGTCAGGAATCCAAATGCTGGCTCTCTCTTGGGATATAAATGGAGTCCCCATGGGGCCATCTGTAGTGCATTCTTCTCTGACATGTGTTGTACATTTCCGGGCTGACCTCTAGTAACAGCTCGTGCACCTGTTGTCAATTCAATTTACCCCACAGCCTCTAAACACTGGGGCTTCTTTGCCTGGTAGATAGCCCTCTTAGCTGAAGTGCCATTAGGTGTGTTGTGATTATCTTTTAAGACATCCGCTAGACCAATGGGAAATACATACATCCAAGCTGCATCAAGTGCAAGGAACTTCAGCTACTGCATTCCCTCTCTATCCTGCTCCCCATCACAAGAAGCTCTAGACAGACATCCATCTTCGGAATTCTCTAGAAAAAAAGCATGACCAGTCTATGCTTACATGCATTTGTACCACATAAACTCCTACAAACATTTTTAAGGCTCTCCTCAAATTGTGTCTTTACATTCCATTCTAATACACTGGATTAGCCTTTGAGTTTCTGCTGCTTGGAAAGTTTCTGGACAAGCAACAAGAGTCCTTTCTCTCCATCTAGCAGACAACTTGGTATCTTTGAGAAGACCTCTTGAAAAGCACTTCTTTCACATGAACGGAGCACAACTTTCCAATCTACAGAGGGCAGGAGAAAGGCCAAGGGTCTGCCTCAGTAGATCTAAGACTCCCTACCATAATAAGAAATTCCATTCCACAAAGACATTTGGCTTCTCTTTAATAGGGTGAATGGGAGTTCAAATATCACTTAGGCAACCTCAAGCTCTAGGGGGATTGTCTGGTGGCTCAAGCACTATTATCTGGGGCTAGAGCCCAAATATAAAGATAATAGAGAAGGTTTCATTTTCCATCCTATTACAGTTTTAAAGCAAATATTTATTATGAGCTCTGTATGAAGAATTTTATAATCATCATCTCCTTTAATCCTCATAACAATTTTATGTGGTAGAGAGGATGAGTCCCCAATTTCAGGTTTAATCACATGGCAACTCAGCAAATTGGTCCAGGTCATCAAACACCTTGTCAGTCAGCACACTAGGAATCTGACCCAGAGCTGAGTAATGTCATTCTTTTAACTGTCTCAATGTTAGAAGATTTATGAGAAGACAAATATTATAAAATCACATTTAATCAGCATGAGTGTTAGTGTTGGCTATATAAATCCAAGATAATTAACTCAAAACTTTTTAGATGTTATAAGGATTGACTTAGAAAATTTAAAATTTATAATTTTCTAAATACCAATGACAGCCAAATGGAAAATCTAATGGGAAAAAAAAAGATCTAATGCAAGACTGCACCACCAATAACATTAATAACAAAATTTACATTATTTAGAAATAGCCTTAACTAGAAATCTGAAAGTTTATATAAAAATCCCTATTAAGGTGCTGAGTGCGGTGGCTTATGCCTGTAATCCTAGCACTTTGGGAGGCTGAGGTGGGCGGACCATGAGGTCAGGAGTTCGAGACCAGCTTGGCCAACATAGTGAAACCCTGTCTGTACTAAAAATACAAAAATTAGCCTGGCATGGTGGTGCATGCCTGTAGTCCCAGTTACTCAGGAGTCTGAGGCAAGAGAATCGCTTGAACCTGGGAGGTGGAGGTTGCGGTGAGCCAAGATCGCGCCACTACACATACTCCAGCTTGGGCAACAGAGTCAGACTGTGTAAAAAAAAAAAAAAAAAATTAGTAAAATATACAATAATTATCCAAGAGATATGTTATAGATTTATTTGAAAAGTCTGAATATGTCAAAATTACTAAGTCTGTTAAAATTAATTTATAATTAATCACAATTCAAAATTAAAATATCCCAGTGGAATATAGTTGTGAATCTGACATAATATACTTCCTGGAAGTACAGGTGAGCAGGTGAGAGAAAAAAAGATAACCAAAGAAATACATTAACAAAAGACAGTACAGCAAGTTGTAAATATTCAATCTATATATTTTTAAAAGCATCATGTGTTTGCTGGTCATCAGTTTATTGACTCTGAACTCCATATCCATCCTTCTTTGCTGCTCTGTGAAAATGGAGCTGGTACCTTTCACTATTCGTTCTTTGTTGGCTGGCTGGATGTTAGGATGTTGGGTTTGGTCAGTAAAGGGTGCTAGAGAGGAACTGCAGGAGGAAAGGGTTTTACTTCTCTGTTCTGGTATTCTTGCTTGTTTGACAAAACTCCACAGTGCACCTGATTTTTCTAGCACTATTCCTGCAGTGCAGAACAGCTAGCAGATTCCTGGACCACCCCACTTTGACAGTTTTGAGTCAAGTGCCTCTGAGATACCTTCTCATGAGCTACTTTCCCTAAAATCACTGCTCTGCTCTCTCCAATCTTTGTGAGAATTGGAGGAGGGCAGGAGTCTGGATCAAACAAGGATATGGAAACAACCTTATTATCATTAATGATCCGATGATGATAAAAGATAAAGAGGTTTAGGATTTTGTGGTATGATGACCACAGTGATTGTTAAACACTTACCTTTTTTTTTTTCTGTTACAGATTGGGTTCCTACACAATTCAGAACTCAACACACCCTTTGCACTTCCTTCCTGTACAGACATGTTATTATCCACGAGTTCCAGTTTTGTTACCCCTGGAGGCTGCTTAAACAAGTAGACCTAATGCATTCTCTATTTCTTCCACAAGAGAAAATGTGAGCTACACAGAGTAAGACAGAGTCAGAGAAAAGAGAAAGAATTATTCAATCAAAATATCATTTCAGTACTGCTAAGTCCTTGATTAGAATTTCTCAAGTGGGGTCTGTTGATTGTCAGCATCAGAAGTAACTGGAAGTACCAGGTAAATAACTCTAGCTCACCTCCTAAGATTCTCATTCCAGAAGTTTGTGGGTGGGGCCCTGCAATCTGCATAATTTGAGCCTTCAGCTGATTTTGATGCAGATGGTCCAAGAGCTACTCTTTGAGAACCAATTCTGAGATAAATGAATGTTTTAGAAATATTAAAACAGATTTCAAGACATCACTAAATTGAACAAGCAAGAAAAGATGTCTTTTATATCAACACATCATCCAAAAGCTTTGGATTCCATTCCAAATGGCAGTTTATGCCTGTATCAGGAGCTAAGGTGATTGAGAGTGAGACTACAGGTAATTAGAGAAAGAAAGAAGAGAAAACCTGAGTGCTAGAGCTAGGGCTAATGTATATTGCTGAGAGTCAACAAAGAAAAAAAATAGAACAAGTCAGTGGCTTGTAATAAGACTGAATCAACAGCTTCCTGTCCTTATTGCAGGATCTAGTGGGACAGCTCAGCTTGGGGACACAGAATCAGAAAGTCAGGCCTCTCAAGTCCTAACAGCAATAAAGAGTTTAGCCCAATTCTAATGACAGGGTAGATATCTGGTAATCTCCACACTGGTGCTGTCATCTTGATCTTGGTTTGGCTTTCATCAGCTCTTGACTGATCCAACGTGACTAGTCTCCCTGCCTCCAAGCTCAATCCACTTCAATCGTTTCTCTCCCATAATATTTCAGTAGCCTCCCATTGCCTACCTACAGCAGGGGTCCCCAACCTTGGGGCTGTGGACTGGTACCAGTCCATGGCCTGTTAGGAACCGGCTGCACAGCCAGAGGTGAGCGACTGGTGAGCAGGCATTACTGCCTGAGCTCCACCTCCTGTCAGATCTGGGTGGCATTAGATTCTCACAGGAGTGTGAACCCTGTTGTGAGCTGCACATGCGAGGGATCTAGGCTGCATTCTCCTTATAAGAATCTAATGCCTGATGATCTGAGATGGAACAGTTTCATCCCCAAACCATCCCCGCCCTGCTCTGTCTGTGCAAAAATTGTCTTTCACGAAACTGGTCCCTAGTGCCAAAAAAGTTGGGGACTGCTGGCTTACAGGATAAAGTCCAGTTTCTCTCTAAGGGGCATGTGGAGGGGGTCACCTCTCCTCTATCTAAAGTAGATTAGTTGGATTTCAATCCATTTTTTATACTGACAACTGTGTGATGTTAGGCAAATGATCTAACTTCCCTGGCTGAAGTTTTCTCATCTGTAAAACATAGACATGAGACTCAATGGGACACTATTCACATGAACTATGATGTAAAGAGCATCCTCTGGAGGAGGGCAATGAAGCAGCCTGAAAATACACACTTCACATGATTGCCAGGAAGATTGATATAGTGCACACAAAGTCTATATGATAGTGCTTGGCACACACTCAGTCTTCAGTAAGGGTTGACTTGGATCATTATTGCCCCTCTGTTATTTCTTACATACCCTTGCTTTCCATTCTTACCAAGTAACTCATGATTTTTCAAATGATGCTGTTTGATACCTCACACTTTAGCTCCACTGTTTTTTCAGTGCAAATGCCCTCCCCTCTTCACATGATGAACTCCTACTCATCCCTTAAGTCCTAGCTCAGATGTCTAATCTCTGTGGCACTCCCTGATTCCACCCCAAACAGTTTTTAAACCTGTATTTTCATTAAAGCTATATAAAGTCCACACCTCCATTATTACAATAAATCCTCTCCACAGTAATAAGCCTTTCATGTTGACAGTCTTCTACAGGAAGAGTATGTCTCAAACTGTGCCATTAGTTATACCACCTTCAAAACGGATGCCATATCCTTCTAAAATTTTACTGTAATCTACTTAATCCTTTTCTGTAAATCAATTCATAATTCTACTTATATAAATTTATTTTAAATGAAACTTTATATAATTCATAAAAAATTAATGCATAGTTATTCTAAAGTAAATAATAATTACAATACAATAAAAACGTCATATCCATCTACTAACTCATCCATTAGCAGCACTCTTATGGGAAAATCTGTACTGATATATAAAAGCTCTTTCAGTGCAAAGATATCTGTCTTTATATCCCCAGTACCTATTATAATGTTGGTACAGAGCAACATCTTGACAATTTGAATTGCCATACTCCTTCAGAAAGCCCTGGCTTCAAATCTTGACTTTAACAAGGAGAAATTAATTTACAGATATTTATAAATTTAAAATCTACTATTAGAATGAGATTTTGCAGAAAATAAAATTCACCCGAATATTGTTTATCTATGGAAACAAGATTCTCAAATCTGCAACTGAGCATATAGAAAACTAATACGAAAGAATATCCTTTGAATTAACTGAGAAAAAATTTTCGTTACCCACCAAGAAACTTTTTTCTTTTGGTTATTTAGAACTATGACATTCTTCTTGGCCAATAGTTACATCAGAGTTAAATATGTGCCTCACAACAGCTGAAAGCCTGTGGTGTTTGTACACTCTTTCTGCTAGTGTTGACTTCACTTTTGAGTTTTCTCTTGTCCATTTGGGGGGTTATGTTTTACTATTAAAACTTTTAAAAAGTCATTTATCTAATATTTTTATTGAGCCAGAGAAATAACTAATTCATTAATTAAATAAGCAACCCAATAAATCAATGGATGAACAGATTGATGGATAAATACACAAGGTCATGAGCAGTCCTTAGATATGCTAATGCAATTGACCAGCTCAGCTGGGGGAAAATGAGTAAACAGACAAACCTTTTGTGACATGTAAATTAAAAAGCACCTTGATGGACATATTTTTTTCACTTCTTAGTCTCTTGTTACAACAACTTGAAGGCACAGCCTGTTGACACCAAAACCAGTTCAGTTTAGCAACTTGGGACATAGACTGTAAGAAATAACAACTGTGCAGATGAGAAACAATAGAGGTGGGTGTTGGATCTGCTAAGAAAGTGAACCACATATCTTTCTCTCCGTGAAGCACAAGACATATGAAAAGAAAAAACAAACAAACAAAAAAACCCACTAACTCTGATGCAGAAGCAAACAGATACTACAATTGTGCTGGCAAATGGTAAACTCACAGCCAGGAAAGGGGCAACTGATTTTCTTTGCTATTTATGTACTAAAATCACTGGTCCCATTGGGAACTAGCTTACTTAAAAGGCTACATAGGCTGGGTGCAGTGGCTTATGCATGTAATCCCAACACTTTGGGAGGCTGAGGTGGGCAGATCACGAGGTCAGAAGTTCGAGACAAGCCTGACCAACATGGTGAAACCCCATCTCTACTAAAAATACAAAAATTAGTCAGGCGTGGTGGCATGCGCCTGTAATCCCAGCTACTCAGGAGGCTGAGGCAGAAGAATCATTTGAACCCAGGAGACGGAGGTTGCAGTGAGCCAACATCATGTCACTGCACTCCAGTCTGGGTGACAGAGTAAGACTCCATCTCAAAAAAAAAAAAAAAACAACTACATAATATTATAATTTTATTTATTAAAATCGCTTCCACGTTTTTTATTTCAAAGCTTGAACAATACTACATATGCATTGATTACAATTCAAACTTAATGGAATTCTGTGGTAGCATAAATGCTGATTTGTTTTTAAATGATAGCATAAATGCTGATTTGTTTTAAGTATAAAACAAATCACTCAGAAAAAAACTGGAATAAAATACTTTCTTCTTCTCCAACAGAAATCTCATAATTATATCTATTTGGAAAATATATGAAACATAAATTTACATGAAGTAGAAAATAATTTGGATGTCATGTAAGAAGTCTTATATATTTTAGTATATAGAAGGATTCTATAAGCATATGAACACTATGATGAAAAAATTTCTTTTTCAGAAAGCTTATTTAAAACCAACAATTACACAGTCACTTTGAAATAGCACATTATAATTTTGCATAGACACTTTGATTTCAGAGTTAATAAATGTAACCAATACTTCAAAAAGCTGACTTATTTTCCAAGTAATATATCCAACTGTTTATGCACATTTTATTACCATCTTTCTCTCACACACTTACATATAAAAGAGAATGAATATTCACAAATCAGAATTTATCCTAAAAATTTTAGAAAATGAAGCATCCAGGAACACAGACTAAAAATCTGCAAGTAGAATTTACAACTTCCTAAAATTAATTTGAGATAATCAAAAATTCAAGTTCACATACAAAGTCAGTGTTATTGAAATCCTTTTATGAAGCCCAACATGTAGGAAGCAAGCAAAAAGGCTACACAACTGCAATAGCAAATAAAATCAACTAAAGTTATTTAAGCATTAAATTCCTACAATACTAGCGTTTCGAAAAAGCGTTGTCTTTTTATTCATCTCGAAAATGCATGTTTTTTTGAAGCCATCATGGAAACCAAGAGACAATTTCACTTAACTTTTAACGTTTATCACCTTAAAACTGGGTTTTTATAGGTGAGAGAACTGATTTGGGAGTCAAATGGCCTGGGTCTTAGTTTCTGAAATTTACTACTCATTAGCTTATTTGACCTTTAGCAACTTCATCATAAAAAACTTCTCTGAGTCTTAATTGCTTTTTCTACAAAACATTAACAAGTATCTTTGCCACCAGAAGGATTAAATTAGACAAAGTATATAGAGCAGATATGGATTCCAATCACGATTTTTTAGTTATGAAAAAGTACATGTAAGTAAAAGTCATTGCGTTATTAGAGATTGATAAGTTCATTACAGTAGAAAACTTGTTTAAATGTATGCAAAATAAACCTAGGAAATGAAGGGTACATTAGTGTTTTCTGTTTTTTAATTTCAAACTCAACAGTAAAAGTACTGTCATAAATTCTATGTAAAACACATGTGACTCTTCATATGAGCTGATTATTTAGACTTAAAATATCACTTGGGAGCTTGTCAAAGTAAAACCTGTTGAATTTAGGAAAGCCAGATTAAATTTTCGACTATGGGAAGTTAAAAATTATACTGTGAGTTGAAGAGGAGGATGACATCAATCACATCTTCTTTTGACCCATTCTTAACGTGCACTATGATGTACATCACAGCTTCATCTTCTTAACTCCTGTGTTCAAAGCATTGTTAATACAGATCAGTGTCAAAATAAAAGGTGCTTTTAAGACACTTTTTTGGGAACAGTAGCATAAATTTAGGCAAGACCTCTAATCTCTAACTTCTGAATTTCTTATAAATCAATGTATTTTTGCATTATTTACATTCATGAGGCACCTCCTCATGTTCTCTTGCCTCCCCAAGATGTTAGAGTTCTATGCCTAATCATGAATTCTTGCCTGAGTCAGTGACAATATTTAAGTCTAAAAAAAAATTTAGTTTATCAACTGCCTTTCTCTCTCTCTCTCTCTCTCTCTCTCACACACACACACACACACACACACATGCCATGTCCTAACTTGAGCAAATCACAGTTCAAGGAATCCACAAATAACTTGTCATCACTTTGCACATGTAGAAAAGAAGTGACAGAAATCACATTTGGAACGGGACACAGTACTACCCTCTTACCTTTCATCTGTCTCGTTGGCTTTATTTGAATGAAAACAGTCACCATCATATCCACCATCTTCTCATTCATGTTTAAGATGTCGCAAAATTTCTTATCAAGCTGATACATTACATTTTCCCAAATTTCACATTTAGAAAAAATTTTAAGAAATAGCGAGATGAACAAAAAGGTTTTGTTTCTCCAAAGGTCTTTCGCAGTCTTCCCAGTTCTGAATGGCAATGGTCTTCAACTCTGCAGCAATTATGGGCTGTACTCCTCAAATTCACATTTTGGGAATGCAGAAGCCTTGTGTGTGTGTGTGTGTGTGTGTGTGTGCGTTGGAAGGGGCAGTTTATATGTAATACCATGCAGATCCATAGTCTATGAACATCACCAAGGTTAACCAACCTTAAATGCAACTATCAGCCCCTTGCCAGAATCTGCAGCAACCTCCTTTTTTATATATCTGGTTCAAATTTCCCCTTGCTGACAATTTAAAAATAATTCTCTCTCTCTCTATCTCTCCATAGCTCTCTGTCACTCTGTCTTTCTGGATGAATACATACATAGACAAATGAGGGAGAATTTTCTCTCTCTCTCTCTCATGCACACGCACACACACACACACACACACAAGCACACACACACAATCACCCAATGCAGGCAGCTTGCTAAAGGATATAACTCTAATTATGGTTTCGACCCAATTCCCCCTGGAGTCCCCAAATTAAGGTTCAAAATTATGAGAGCAGTATAAAGGAGAAATTTACTTTATAAAAATTGTAATATCTTAGTAGCCCAAATCCCTTTACTATCAAAAAGAAGCTGAAAACGGCACATTCATCCCTATGTCAAGGTCTGATACATGCTCAAAATGGGAAAAAGAAAAAGAAAATGAGTTATTTTCTTCTAATTAAAAGCTTAGTTCAGAATGAGAAAATTGAGGTGGAAGGAGTCTGCTTTTTATGAAAGAAGTAATAACCAGGCACAAGATAGTTTAGATCTTGCCTAAATGAATTGAAACTGCACAGTTAACATAAAAGAGAGATGTCAAACAATCTTTGCCATTGCCAATCATTTTGCCCTAAGAATATACAAATCCCCAGATATCAGGTTTTTAGTGGGCACAGATTATATTTTCAAAATTTATTTTTTTTCTCAGATCTTTTGATTTAGCCACACTTGCCTCTTAAATGTTCCCTGAATACACGACACTCCTTCCTTCTGTGAAATTTTGCCTAAGTTATCTTTATCCGAAATGTTGTTACTTCTTGTCTCCAGGCTCCTCCATTTCAGGAATAAATTATGAAATCAGAAATGTTAATTTTCCGTAATAAGGGAATCTTATTAAAAAGACTTGAGAGCTGGAATAATTTAGACCAAAAGTTACAGGTCCTATTCCGTTTTGCCACAGAGTGCGGGCTCACTATAACCCTTAGCATGCTCTAAGGGGTTATTAGGGTCTCCAGGTAATATTGCATAATTGCTAATGCATTATAATTTTTGGAAGACATTTATACCCATAGTTTGTTGAATCTATATTTACCAGTTCTTCTGGATAAACACCTTCTGTTTTCTATTAAAAATGATTTTACCTTTACATCTAACAGTTGTCTCAGTAGGCAGGCATGAAATTAGTATGATCTTAGGAACTGAGATTTATTTAATGTGACAAAATTCCAGTCCACTGTCTTCATCTGGGATTAACTTCACATTTTAAAAGTGTATGCTGCTTCTATACTTCATTTTTATAAAGAATATTACATTTGATGGGGAATAATTAAGGCAAAATGAAAACTGAGCTATAATTTTACACCTATCATCTTGCTAAAAACTAGTCTTGTCTTGTATTTTCTTGCCTTAGCCACTCTCTTTTGCCAAATTCTCCTAAATACACCTCTCTCATTATATAAAGCAGTCACAACAATTAACTATTGGGGAGGTAAAGGTGGAAAGAGGTATTCAAAGCAAGCAAGTACCTTACATAACCTGTAGGTCCTTGAGGTACATATGCAAACAAAACTGTAATCATAGACCTCAATCATCCTAATAAGTCATGAATCATATAATAGCAATTTCAACTGTAATAAGTAACATAACCAGTTATATTTTGCACTAAAAATATCAAGTATGAAGAAGGCATCTAACTATTTATTTGTCAAACTAGACACTTAGATGGACTGTTCATTTCAAAGCATGTTTTGGGATCTTTTTTTTTCTTTTCACCAAAGGTAGTCAGTGGCTGAAATGTCTATATGGAAGAACAGAAAGCCCACCCTGCTACTTTTTAAATCTTTTATAGCAGAAAAGTGACTGATAGAAGGATTTACCAGAATGGTCATAGAGCAAGTGAGCAGGGACATAGTTTAGCATTAATTCCCTAGAATGCTAAGGCCAGATGAAATCAGATGGAGTGAACCGTGTTGATCAAGCTATGCTTCATATTTCATGAGAGCAGTGTCTTAGTGTTGGTGTTTGCTAACAGAGAAGCTATATCAAAAACAGCTTTCAGCTTTTGATTTCTGAAAAGTAGTGAATATCCACATAGAATAGTGACTGACATTTAATTACATAGATCATGTCTAAACCACAATCCAGTCCTAAGCTTCTCAAATCTTCTAGGATGTCTGTTAAAAATGTTAATTCCCATGCTCCAATTCCAAGCACTCTCATTTACTGGCTCTATAGGGCTCAAAGATCTACATTTTAAACATCTCCTGAGCAATTTAATCCACCCATCATCATATATTGCACGTCTGTACCCAGCCTGGTCAACAATGTAGTCATGATAGAGTGGTAGAAATGGGCTAGGTGCAGTGGCTCATGCCTGTAATCTCAGCACTTTGGTAGGCCAAGGCGGGTGGATCACCTGAGGTCAGGAGTTCGAGACCAGCCTGGCCAACATGGTGAAACCCCGTCTCTATTAAAAATACAAAAATTAGCTGGGCATGGTGGCGCGTGCCTGTAATCCCAGCTACTGGGGGAGCTGAGGGAGGAGGATCGTTTGAACCTGGGAAGCAGAGGTTGCAGTGAACGGAGATCATGCCACTGCACTCCAGCCTGGGCAATAGAATGACTCCAACTCAAAAAAAAAAAAAGAAAGAAAGAAAGAAAGAAAGAAAGAAAGGAAGGAAGGAAGAAAGCAAGCAAGCAAGCAAAGCAAAGCAAGAAAAGAAAGAAAGGAAGGGAAAAATAAATAAATGAATCTCTGTGTGGCTGATCTAAGTTAGGGGCCTTTCTTTAGGGAGGCTAATTCACCTGTTATCCAGTTTGAGGAAACATCCAGGCTGAACCTTTCTAGCTTCTCAAGTTAGAATACAATGATTTGGGGTTTCACACGGGATACTATCAGATGATATTTTAGATACAAATTGATGTCCTTTTAAAAAGTCATGAACAAAATGTAACTGATATTATGTTTTAATTAGCTTCAGTCAGCCTACAAATATATGCATTTTGACGATGTTACCAAATTTGCTGCCCATTTTACTTAAAATCAATAGAACAGTTTGTTGTGAATTCAACAATCCTTACAGAAAATCTGTCCTCTTTGTGGTAAGGTAGCCAATAAAAGTTTATTAATATTCACTATAGTAACAAGTAATAAAAAGGCATCTAAAATTTTTACTTTAAAAGTAATTGCTCTAGACATTTAAGTAATCTGATTGATTTAACTCTCGAGTGATGATGGTATCATATAGCCTCCATCTAATGAGCATTGAGCTGCTTTCAAAGCAGTGTCATATATATGAATTCATTTGATATTTACAAGGTCCACAGAGCATCTTAAAGTTTAGAGAGACATGTTCTTGAACTGGTTCTGTGAACTGTAGTTTCATAGATTTTTCCCCCCATTGGATTTTCTTATCACATAAAATAGCAGTACTACAGGAAAAAAAAAAAAAGATCAAGCCAAACTCAGAACTTATCAGCTCTCATACACAATCATTTTCTCCTACACCGATAGGTTGTGAGGCTGGCAAATTTCTATGAAAGAACTTTGTGACAGTCCCATTAGACAATACCCTTATGTATCCCAACAACTTTAAACTCAAGCAATATTGAACTATTCTAGTTTTCTGCAGGTGCCATGCTGTTTCATGATTACATGACTTTGTCCAACTGTCCCCTCTGCCTGGGACTTCTGGCTTCCCTCTCTTTTCTGCCTGGACAAATCCTATTTTCCCTCTAAAACTCTGTTTAAACATCATCTCCATGGAAACTTTCTTCTCTGTTCTCCATCTGTATTATTTGTTTACAAACCCAACTTCCCCTGACTTTCAGCACTCAAAAGGCAAATCATGCATCTTATTCATCTTAGTATCTTCATGGTGTCTCCTAAGGCTAAAAAATCAATGACCAATCTGAAACACAATATTAAAAGTGACTACTTTTCTCACTAAATCCATTTGAATCACATTAATAAGAATAAAATAACTAGGCCAGATGTGGTGGCTCATGCCTGTAATCCCAGCACTTTGGGAGACTGAGGCAGGTGGATCATCTGAGCTCAGGAGTTCAAGGCCAGCCTGGCCAAAATGGATAAACCCCATCTCTACTAAAAATACAAAAATTAGCAGGGTGTGGTGGCAGGCACCTGTAATCCCAGCTACTCCGGAGGCTGAGGCAGGAGAATCAATTGAACCTGGGAGGCAGAGGTTGCAGTGAGCTGAGATCGCACCACTGCACTCCAGCCTGGTGAAAGAGCAAGACTCCATCTCAAAAATAAGAATACAACAACTTAATAGAAATAATTTATGACTATTATGTGGACATGTGCTTAAAGCAGTTATCCTACAGCCAGTTGATTTTTTTTAATTTTTCATTTACATTTTCTTTTCAGTAGGAGGATATCAGAGCAGTTCAGAATGTAGATGTTGAAGCCAGACTGTGTGCAAAGCCTGACTCTTCCTCTTCATAGCCACCTGACATTGGAGAAGGCATTCAGTTATCTGGGCCTCACTCTATTTTGTGTGAAATGACTAGAATAACAGTACTTGTCTCACTGGATTTTTGCAGGGATTATGTGAGTAAATGCATGCAGAGTTCTTAAAACAATACATGGCACCTAGTGGATTCTCAATACTGGCAATTTAATAGTTAGTACATCTACTAAAATTGTTAATTACCTATGATCAAAAGTATACATACAAAACAACCCTGGATATATTTATTCCTGTCACATCCATTCATGTTCCAACATGTTCTTTTGAATAAATTCAGATGGTTTTCATTCATTTCTTTACCCCCATACTTTTACTAAAGGAGCTACATGGGTAAAACTATGTAATTAAGTATCTAAGTTATCATTGTTCCATTAAATATAATGCAAACTGCATGTACAATTGTAAATGTTCTAATAGTCACATTAAGAATAATATAAACTTACAGGTGACACAAATTTTAATATTGCTTTTTTTTTCTTTTTTGAGACAGAGTCTCTCTCTGTAGCCCAGGCTGGAGTGCAGTGGCATGATCACGGTTCACTGCAGCCTCAAACTCCTGGGCCAAAGCAATCCTTCTGTCTCAGCCTCCCAAGTAGATGGGACTACAGGTGTGCACCACCACATCCGTCTTTTTTTGTGTGTGTGCAGATGGAGTCTCACTATGTTGCCTAGGTTGGTGTCAAATTCCCAGCCTCAAGTGATCCTCCTGTCTCGGCCTCCCAAAGTGCTATCATTACAGGTGTGAGCCACCACACCCGGCAATAATACTTTTTCTTTAAAGAAATTTTAAAATTATTTTACTTTTAATATTATTAAATATTATTTTAAACATGCAATCAATATAAAAACTATTGAGATCCATTGTACTAGCCACATTTTAGGCACTCACTGGCTGCACATGGCCAGTGGTCTGGGCACTGGCAATGGCTTTATTTTTATTTTAATTTTTTTTTTTTGAGACAGAGTCTCACTCTGTTTCCCAGGCTGGAGTGTAGTGGCTCGATCTTGGCTCACTGCAACCTCCACCTCCCGGGTTCAAGCAATTCTCCTGCTTCTACCTCCCAAGTAGCTGGGACTACAGGGACATGCCGACACGACCAGCTAATTTTTAGTAGAGACAGGGTTTGACCGTGTTGCCCAGGCTGGTCTCGAACTCCTGAGCTCAGACAATCTGCCCGCTTAGGTCTCCCAAAGTGCTAGAATTACAGGCATGAGCCACTGCACCAGGCCAGGCAATGGCTTTTTAATTCAAAGATGCTATTTCAACTCAATAAGATGCAGCTTTTTAAATTTGTCACTAGGTGGTGTTGGAGACAAATACAGTACTGCTCCTTGACTAGAGGAAAAGTTCTTAAAATGATGCAGTCAAATCTTACAGTACAGTGTGCCTTTGGCTATGCTGATTACAAATTCTACAAAGATAGTTATGATGAACTAACAGGATAAAATTATCATCTTATAATAAGAAACAAGCAACATTAAGAAGCAAATACATCCTAATTCTCGTCTAACAGCTATTCTGAAGTTTGCTGGGCCCAGTTTATGTGCAAGACCATGAAGTTTTAAAATTTCATGAAGTTTTAAAATTTCTGCAATTCCTGTAAAGTGTTTAATTTCACCATATAAGTTGCATCTGATGGAATCTCTTTTTATCCCCAGAAGGCTTAGGGTGTTTAAATCACTTGTTTAGAACTACAGTTTATTTAGCCAAATTTCTTTTCCAGTTACACTCTTGAACAATACTTCACACAGCATCCAAACACCATAGCATCTGCCCTTGAGGTTTGAATAGGTGATATTTATTTTGCTTGCAAAAACTAACTAGGAACAATAGGATATTTTCACTTAAGGATGCAACTCTCAAAGGTACATGTATTTACTTTCTCATCAATTACAACAGAAATGGTTTTCAAGGGAATCATTATTTAAAACTAATTTCTAACTCCATTCCTTTAACCAATTCAAAAATGCCTCTATCTTCAGTTACTTGACTGTGTTCTTTGCTTCTCAGTCTGAAAACACGTAGACAAACAACTCAGGGTTCCAAGCTCACCGGAAATATAATTATGCTTATTATGTTACAAAGCTTCTGCACCTTTAATCAGAAATGTCCCCTCTTCCACCAAGTATGAGGATTGCACAGTGGCAGGCACTGCTAGCTGCTTACCCAATCATTCTTCCCATGTTCTTTGTAAATATAACTCAGATTTTGCTCAGATTAGCTACGTATCTAATTAAATATTCATCTTCCCACTGTTGGTTGAAGCTAGGAGTAAGTCAGACATACTCTGCTTCTTAAGATATAATAATTTGCCAAGAAATACTGAGGGAAGCATTTGCTGCTTTTGCAAGGAACAGATAGGTCTGGTACCATTCTTCTCTACTTCTTCCTGCCTTGAACATGCTGTCTGCTGCCCTGAGGCAATTAGCAAGGGGATGAAAACTATGAACAGCAAAAGAGAGAGATCTGGGCCTCTAATGCATTGTTGTGAGCTGATCAACTCTAGGATACCACCTTCCTTCAAACTTGGTATATAAAAACACATTAACTCACTATTTTATGCTGCTGTTAGTTGAGCGCTGTTACTTATAGCTAAATTTATTCCTAACATGGACACCTTCTTGCTTCTGCTCCCTAACCCTCACTTTCCTTCTCACCATTCAATAGGAGTCTGTATGCCCTCCCCTCGGAGCTGATTTCATAGGGTTTTTCCCCTCATAGGTCACTATTCATGGAGTTGAGCTAGCAAAGCTCATCCCAGCTAATAAATATATTTAATATTATTGTTATATCATAATTCTGACTCATAAGTAAATTCAAAGGTGAGATTTCTATGAAAACTGGGAAGGAATAGAAATAGATAGTGATGCTAACCAGCATGTAAGGGGCCCTTTACATTTTACAGAGGCCTTTTGCAAACACTCTTTCATTTGACCCCACAGCAGCTTTGCACAATAGGTATGATTAATAGTCAGTCCTCTTTTACAGGTATGAAAATTGAACCTTAGAAAGATTAAGTTACTCCTCACTGTCATACATCCATTATAATATAAACCTCCTGCTGGAGACTTGGTATGACAATACCATAATTTATACCATTTCTACTTAATTCCTTTGCTTGTTGGGATGATAACAAAGATTAACATTTATCAAAGAGATACCAGTGCTGTAGGCATTTGCTGGAACAAGAGTGTTATATGTGTTATTGCATTTAATCCTCACAATCCTATAGCCTGATACCATTAATATACCCATTATAGATGAGGAAAGTGAGCCATTATCCAAAAACAATCCACCCTCCTCAGCCACTCCTCAGGCTGTTCCTGACTTAATGCCTACATAGCATATCCCTATCTTTAGCTCCTAAGATGTTGGACTTTTGTTTTTGAGTGAAAACCAAGCTTCTAAACTAGACTCACCTGATCTTCTGGCCTGTGTTTGTACAATTATTTATTTCCATTGCTGTTAGACTGTAAATATCCCCTGTCTTTAAGAACGGCAACAATCTGGCCAGGAGCAGTGGCTCATGCCTGTAATCCTAGCAGTTTGGGAGGCTGAGGCGGGTGGATCACTTGAGGTCAGGAGTTCGAGACCAGCCTGGCCAACATGGTGAAACCCTGTCTCTATGAAAAATACAAAAATTAGCTGGGTGTGGTGGCGCCTGCCTGTAATCCCAGCTACTCGGAAAGCAGCAAGCCGAGATCGCACCATTGCACTCCCACTTGGGGCACAAGAGCAAAACTCCATCTCCAAAAAAAAAAAAAAAAAAAAAAGGCAGCAATCTGTCTCATATCATGTAAAATTGCAGCATTAAACTATTTGATTTTATTTTCCTATTGAAATGATGTTAATGAATTTTGGCTCTGAAAGCCTGTACTTCAAAAAAAACTCATTGGATTCCTGACTTTTAAATTAGCTTACAGTTTTCTTTCAACTCCAAGAAGAAGGTTTAATTTAAAATGTACTTAATAAGAAAGTATGCACTTCAAAGATAAGCAAATACAGTTTTCATGTGGTTTAAAACAAGGACTTTATTGATCAATACAAAGGTTGGGGTGGGGGAAGAAAAGTCAATACATAAAACAAGATACTTGTACTTATTCTACTGATACTATTGACATCGTATTACTCTTGAACAAAAAAAATCAGGCAGATTTAGACAGTGGGTGTTTTTTTTTACTTGGATATAAATATGTAAATGATTCCTTTTTGTTCTGATAACACAATGGAATAATGTGGGTTCTAGTTTTATCCAAATTCTGCCATTTACTGGTTGCTAGTTACTAGACCATTAACAAGTTGATGATACTCTCTAAGCCTCAGTTTCCTCATCTCTAAAATAAAGCTAATATGTTGACCCCTCATTTTTATTTGGAACTTTAAGTAAACTAATAGATTTAAATTGTTTGGCCAGGCATGGTGGCTCATGCCTGTAACCCAGCACTTTGGGAGGCTGAGGTGGGCAGATCACCTGAGGTCAGGAGTTTGAAACCAGCCCGGCCAACATGATGAAACCCCATCTCTGCTAAAAATACAAAATAAAAATTAAAAAAATAAAAATAAAAAGTTAGCTGGGCATGGTGGTGGGCGCATGTAGTCCCAGCTACTAGGGAGGCTGAGGCATGAGAATTGCTTGAACTCGGGAGGCAGAGGTTGTAGCGAGCTGAGATTGTTCCACTGCACTCCAGCCTGGGCGACAGAGAAAGACCCTATCTCAAAAATAAAATAAAATAATAATAATAAATCGTTTGCCACATGCCTGTATATAGTATGCATTCAGCAAGTATAATTCATACTCTTCTCTCCTTAAATCTCCCAAACTAACTTGATTATTTTAACCATGCTTCTCAGGTTTGTTAGCTTTTGAAATAAAGGTATTTCTAGAAACCTGATACTAGGAAACAGTGTATTAAAGAAATAATAAATAAAAGTCATTTTTAGGATATAGCTATCACTTTTGTGACCTAAATAAATAGTATAGGCTTCATATTATAATGACATTTTGTATGCTCTTTAAAGCAATTTTATTTATTTTCATTTTCTTTTTAAGCCCTGGTGAATGTCCTCATTCTTGGGTTTTACTTTCTAGAAATGCTTGAAAATAGATAAATAACAATATTGCATTATGTAGATGACAAAAGACACGTACATGAAAAAGTGTATATTTCCAAAGAAAATTGGAAAGATCTCCATCTTTCTATATAAAACTTTGAAATGACATTGATTAAATTATAGAGAAAGGCTTTGTTTGGTAATTTTCTTAATCCCTAGAAATTCCAATCATCTTCAACTGAAGATGGCAATAACGCTCCTTGTAAGTAGGACAACGGGAGCTCATGACATCCACAGTTGTTGGAGAATGAGATTTCTGACTTTCAGAAAATCATGTGTCTGAATTTACTGCAAATAATTTAAACTGTGGCTTTCAAAGCTGCCCCTTAGAGTCCCGTGATAACTTGTGCATAAGTCTCTCAAGCCTGCTTTACATTCTATTTTCTTTTTATATATACCTTTCTTTATCACTACAAAGTGTCCCTATTGAGATTCAGAGACAAGACTTAATTTGATTTTGTGTTAATAATACCATCCAGCATAATGGCTGACACAGGCTGATAGACAGTCGATACAATTTTAATAGAGTAAAAGAGAAAGAAAAAAAGGAAAGATGGAAGGAAGTAAGGAGTAGGGAAAGAGGGAGGAAGAGAAGGAAGGAGGGAAGGAAAAAGAATGAAGGAAGGAAGGAAGGAAAGAAGGAAGGAAGGAGGGAGGGAGGGAGGAAAAGAGTGAGGAAAAAAGGAAGGAAAGGAAAGAAGAAAGGAAGCAAGGGAGGGAGGGAGGGAGGGAGGAAGGAAGGAACGAACGAAGGAACGAACGAAGGAAGGAAGGAAGGAAGGAAGTCTCCTTTGTATCAGAATTGAAAGCTCATATTTATTTCAGTCTGCCTTTCTTAAAGTGACCACATTTTGAACTGAGTTCATTACCCAAGCAGTCATTAAAGCAATCCTATTGAAATACTATTACTCCTTTAATTTGTAATGACTTCACCTAACATCATCTTTTGTCTGAAAGGTTTTTATTTGCAGATGGCATTCAGACAAAAGGTTAGTCATTTTTTAATCAAATTTGAAGCACAGTAAATGACAATTGCTCCTTGGTAAAAGATGACAAAAAAAAAATCTAAGAAACTTATGTTTTATTTTGTACTTCTCCACAGTGTGGCAGCAGAGACTTAAGAAGTGGAAAAAGTCATTCAGAGTCTGGTTCAGGGAGACTCAGGCCACAGAGATATTCTCAACACATATACATGAGAATCAAATGGCAATAGGTTCATCTGTGCTCACAAGTCCTGAACAGAAGAAAATATTGCTTAACAAGCATCTTATGTTTGCTGTAAGATATGCATTGGCTTAGCTGAAGTTCCCGCAGCATTTAATAGGTAAAATCTATTGGAAATGTTAATATTTCTTTTGGACTGAATAAAGGTCTACATAATTGGCTGATTTATATGATATTAATCTACTGAAAGAATGTCCAGTTAATTGCAGCAAACCTTTATTAAACAATGAACACAATCTCGCTTTATGGCAGTTCTGTTAAATAAAAATAGCAGCAATCCCATATGGGTGTCACAAGGATTAGATGAGATAACACACTAGGAAGTGCATGTGGCTTGTGTGGAGTAAGCGGAAGATAAATGCTGTTACATTGTTACCATTTTCTCCACTGCTACCATTGCCATTCCACCTCCACTCACCTGATACCACTATGTTCCAGGCAGAGAAACACTAGTCATTTGTGGAGAAACAAAAATGACTAACAGGACAGCCCTGCTGTGGAAGAGTTCCTTCTCCAGTAACAGAGATGAAGGTGTAATTAAATAACCATGTCATTGTATGATATGAGAACAAATCCATCTACCTCCACATGTGGCTTGGGATTTGCCTTTACCTTTACTATTCCAGAAGACTCTCGTTCAGGCAAATAACTTAACAGCTCATTACGTTAAAGAAACTTCCTGAAAAATCCATCAGCTCTTCATGAGAAAGCATCAACAGACAACAAACTCATCTTTATCAACAGCTTGTGTTGGTGATATGTGAGAAGCTGGCATTGGACAGATAAGTACCAGAAGGTAGCATAATACACTATGCATCCTTTATCACTGGCATGAAGAAATCAGAAAAACATGGGTTTGAATCCTAGATCTGCCTCTTACTATCTGCAGGATTGTGTTCAATGTATTAAATAATCATCAGCATATTTTTGTATTCACCAATAGTATTTTCCCCAGTGGTTTGCTGTGAGAGTGGAATAGTGTAACATAGGCAGAACCTTCAGCCTTCACGTGGCATGTGCTAAATGCTCAATACATTTTTTCTCATCTTCCTCTTAATCATTCTCTATTAACTGCTCTTTCAACGTTGCTACTTTATTGTTTTTAGTTAGCTGTCATTTAGATAACCACAAGAGGAATGAAAAGAATCCAAATCCTTGGATGAACAACGGTACAAAACATATTTAGTCCACTCTGTTGGGTCTATGGATCTGTACGACCTGAAGGTAGGAGAAGGATTTAGGAGAGCTTGGTTTACTAATAAGCCTAAAATAGCACCTCCTACACAAGAAAACAGGTTAAAATTATGATCAAACACTAGTCAGGTTTCCTTTCACAAAATAGGTGTAGGTCCTTTCAACAAAAGAGCTTTGTAAATTACAGCAGATGACAAAGACCTTGAGAAAAGTGAAGGTATTAGCCTTGTGTTGTCACTCTTTCTAACGTGAGGCTGTCAGACCTTCTAAAAAACCAGAAAAATGTTAACTGTAAGATGGTCCCTGACCCTTTGGAGACAATGCGGTTTCCCTGATGTAACCTTACAAATGAACCATTTGGGTAATTTGCATGAGCTGATATTGTTTCTAAGTGGTATTTATGCTTTCAAAAATGACAGTAACATGATGTCTTTAGTAACATTTCCCAAGGAGTGAACATGTTCAGTTCAGCAGAGAAAAGCATAGTGTCACTAACTCCAGGCAATCAGATTGCTACAAGCCTAATGTTTTTCAACACAGCACACAGAGGAAAAGGACAGATATTTTAGAAAAGACATCATTGTATTATTGATATCCACACAATAAAATATAACTGCTTCAAGTAAAGTGTATGTTTCCACAGAGAACTCAGAGCCAACAAAAACAGCCCTAATGGGAAAAATAGTAACTAAATAATTATGGCTCTTCTTTCCTCAAAAGAATTAAAATTGCATTTATGGATAAGCAAACCCAATCAACACAGGGTCGTTGGAGGGTTACAGAAGAAACAAGATAAAAATAAAAACGGAAAAATTCAAAGTAAAAGGAGGGATAGAAATAGGAAGCAACTGTTAAATTAAAACAAAAAAAAGTGAAAGAAAGACTCTCTCTCAATTAGATATTCTCAGATATTTGCCCTCACCTCTCACAAAGAGAGTAGTGGAAAATATAGGCTCTCCACTCCTTCCCAAGGAAAGCATCACTATCTAAGCCTGATGTATTCATCTTCTGGGGGAGATGTGTGCCTGCAAGAAGACATTTCATTATTTACCAATTAATTAATTAACTCATTCATACTTTCTTACTTCTATCCTAAACATGACCTATGAAGTCCATTTGATTTAGCCACTACCTATTTCCCAGTATTACCTAACATAATATGTTCTTACATTCTAGCTATCCTAAATTTCTTTCAGTGGCTTCACCATCTCCCTCCTTTTCTCTAGAAATGATTTCTTCCTTCTTTACCAAGCTGGTTTCCACTTATCCTTTAGGTTGGTGCTTAACCATCGCTTCCCTAGAGATTTCCATATGCCCCTCAACTAGGCTGGAGCTCAGTGATGGGGGCTCCTGATCTGGAAAAACTCTCCACTTCTGTACTGCCATACTCATTGCATTTATAAGTTTCTTTCTCAATGGGTGCTATAGTTTGAATGTGCAAAGATCATGTGTTGGAAACTTAATTCCCAGTGCATTTGTGTTAAGAAGTAGGAACTTTAGGCTGAGTGAGGTGGCTCATGCCTGTAATCCCAGCACTTTGGGAGGCAGAGACGGGTGGATCACGAGGTCAGGAAATCGAGACCATCCTGGTTAACACGGCGAAACCCCGTCTCTACTAAAAATACAAAAAAATTAGCTATGCGTCGTTGCAGGCGCCTGTAGTCCCAGCTACTCAGGAGGCTGAGGCAGGAGAATGGCGTGAATCCTGGAGGCGGAGCTTGCAGTGAGCCGAGATTGTGTCACTGCACTCCAGCCTGTGACAGAGCGAGACTCCGTCTAAAAAAAAGAAAAGAAGTAGGAACTTGAGTAATTAGATCATAAAGGCTTCAGTCTCATAAATAGATTAATGTCATCATCACAGGACTGGTTCATTATCCCAAAAGTGGGTTCCTTAGAAAAGGAGGAGTTTGGTCCTTCTTGCCTTCTCTCTCTCTTTTGCCATCTGCTCTTCCACCATGGGATGACACTACAAGAAGGCCCTTGCTTGATGTTCATCCTTCAGCCTTGGACTTCCAGACTTCCAGAAGCATGAGACAAATAAATTTCTGTTCCTTATACATTACCCAGTCTGTGGTATTCTATTATAGTAGCACAAAATTGGCTAAGAGAATGAGGTCTGTCTCTTGTGTTCACCAGCGTGTTATCATCTTCTTGCAGACCAGCTGCAAAGAGTAGTAGCTCAATTGATTATTGTTCAATGACAGAATAAACAAATCAAGAAACTGGTTGATGAATGAAAAACATCTAGCAAGGAAACTTATGTTGAGCTCTAACCTTGAGCAAAGTGCTATGAGAAGCAAGGGTGTAGGTAAGGGAGGAATCATAGTGTCTTCCTAAATATCTTCAGAAAAAGTTGTCATTTCCCCCTTTGTTGTCCCACGAATAATACTTGTATCTCATGTATAATATACATAAGTTCTCTTCATATAGCCCAAAGTTGAGTCAATGTACAAAGTAATCCAGCTCTATTGAGTCATCTAAAATCTAGGTCAGAAACTGTCACATGTGCATATCAAAGGGCAGAATAAGTCCTACCACAACAATCACCCTTTTCCTTTCACCCACTGAAAACTAATGAAAGGACCTGGGGAGAAGTACAGGAGAGACAAGATTGGTGGATGTTCTTTTTCTCTCTCAAACTCCCCAAACTAAATTGGTTGTTGACATCTGTCAGAGTCACTAATCAATATTTAGGGTACTTATAAAAAGGAAAGGCTTGCATCAGTTTCTTCTCCTGTAGACAGCTGAGCTGAAGAATACTCAGGTCTCCCTCAGCACGAGTCAGAAAATCTGTGCAGAACCCTGTGGAGTTGTGTCTGGGAAGAGTTTTCGAACATGAAGTTATGCCTGGGAAGAGGAAGTTTAGGAACATGAAGTTGTATCTGAGAAGATTTTAGCAACACATGAAGTTTAGGAACATGGAGTTGTGTCTGAAACGGTTTAGGAATGTGAAGTTGTGCCTAGGAAAAGGAAGTTTAGGAACACGAAATTCTATCTGGGAAGAGTTTAGAAACATGAAGCTGTGTCTGGGAAGAGTTTGGAAACATACACAATATTAGAGACTGGTTCCTGATTGCACTCTGGAGAATACCAAAGACTGGTGGAGGATTGGTACAGCAGCCCATGTGTGCAGAGAATGTGATGTAGCATGCCTGGGAAAAATGGGTACAGCTCATCCCAAGTCCATGAAACACTCAGGGGATGTCAGAGAAGATCCTCATAGCTTTTTGTGAAGAACAATGGAAATTCTAAGGCTTCATGAACAGCTGAAAAGTCTAACATAGATAAAGGGGTTGTACATCCTCCATGAAGGCAGGGCCACAGTGAAGCTGAATATACACTCCCAGGAAAATAATGAGTACAACATACTCAGAAACAACCACGTCAGAGTGGGATCCAGGACCCCCTTCCTGTAAATAACCATAAACACAGGTATGAAGTATTTTTCTCCCTCCTTACTCTGCCTCACATACCAGAGGAGCCCAGTCATAAATGACACAGGAAAGAAAGCAGAGAGTTTTGAACCTGAAATGTGATTGGGAATTTCAACGTCCTAACTTTAATAACTAAAATTAATCAGAAAGTTATAGAAGATTCCCAATATGTGAATGGAGGCAAAGAAGCAGGGGAGGTACATAGTAAAATTGGAGACAGTTTGTAAAAGAAATAAAACCGTCTTGTGTTTATGCTCCAATGAATCGAGGTATTTCAATAAACTGGTATGTTTCTGTTAATCATTGATTTTTTTTATCCTGCCTAATACGAGTCATTACATGCCTACACTCCTTCAGGGTTAAGATTATGCCTTACTTATTTCTGTAACAGCAACCCTGTTGCTGACATATTGACTGACATTCATCAAGTACTTGTTGAAGAACTGCTGTGCACATAAATTCAAATCTCCCTTAACAAAAGGTTAAAGAAACAATCATGGGAGTACAATGCCACCACTAGTGCACCTGTGCTTGGTAATTACCCTCTCTGCATGCACAGCTTTCCCTGATACATTGTAGAAGACCTAAACTAGGAAACTTCTAATAACCTCTACCATTTACTGTGGGGTTTGCTATGTGGATGTTATCCTATTTATTCCACACAAAAGCCTACGGTGGTATTATTCTTCCCATCTCACACACAGGACAACGAAAGCTTTCAGAAGACAGGGGCTTGCTTCAAGGTCATACTGCTAGTAAGAATTGAACATGAGATTTCCCATCCCAAGACTTTGAGATTCCAAATCCTGCTCCTATTCCACCCTCCCACATTTTTCATAGTGCCTCATCCCTGAATTTGGAATAAGATCAAGGGTAGTACACACACCCCCTACTCCATCAAACATTCACTGGCTATCCATGGGATCAATATATTGGCCTGGCAAGTCCATAGACAGACACAGTAAGCACGAATGCCTCAAATCCGGCATCACCCTGGGGAGTTAGTTGCAGGAAATTGCTTTCTTCCCTTTCTTCTTCTTTTTTTCTTCAGCAGTCAGTTCTAAGACACCTAGTAGAAACCATTTGCATTTTCTCTACAGTGGAGGAGACCCTAACCCTCTAATCATCAAGGAAACACATATAGGCTGAACAGCAACCTGCTGGTGGGAGATGCAGCGGGTGAAGGTGAGCAGAGGAATCAGTCTATGAAAACTTGAAGCTCTCAGCCCCATTCAGCTCTCAACCACTCAGGGAGGCCTGAGGACACTGAAAGGACCTGAAGAGGTAGGACCTGCCGAGGTAAGCCATTACCACGGCGGATGAAAATATCCCTACGCTGTGGTGGAGAAGAGTCATTTTTCATCTGTATCAGGAATGGGGTTCTACTAAGCTTGTATTTGAAATTACACAATTGAATCCCCTGTAAGTCATCTCTGTTCTCTGAGCAGGCCAGTGATTTCTAAATGTAGACCACATAGGATGTGGCCGAACTGCCAGGATATTTTCGGGGACACTGAAACAGCTCCTTGATAAACCCCTGCATAGCCTGGAGCCCAACAGGAGAGAGTTTGAGCCCTACTCAAAATCATGTTCAGTTTAAGTAACAGCTAAGAGTTGACTGCCTCTTATGGACCATGCACTGTTTTAAGCACTTTAATTGATTTAGTGAATCCTCCCAACAAGCCTATAAAGAAATACCATTATTACATCCATTTATCCCACTGAGCAAACCGAAGAAAATGGGGCTTGAGTAATTTTCCCACGGTCACGGTTATCGACTGATTATTTATGTCTCTCCACCAAATTCACATGCTGAAATCCTAACCCCCAGTGTGATGGTATTAGGAGGTGGGGCCTTTGGGAGGTGATTGAGACTTAAGGGTGAAGCTCTCGTGAATGCGATTAATGCCCTTATAAAAGAGGTCCCAGGGAACTTTGTTGCTCTTTCACCCATGTGAGGATACCTTGAGAAATCAGCCATCTATAGCCCAGAAGAGCCCTGTATTAGTCAGGGTTCTCTAGAGGGACAGAAATAATAGGAGAGAGAGAGATACACACACACACACACACACACACACACACGTATATGTATGTGTATATATACATATGTGTGTATATGTATGTGTATATATACACATATGTGTGTATATGTATGTGTATATACACATATGTGTGTATGTGTATGTGTATATACACATATGTGTGTATGTGTATGTGTATATACACATATGTGTGTATGTGTATGTGTATATACACATATGTGTGTATGTGTATATATACACATATGTGTGTGTATGTATGTGTATATATACACATATGTGTGTGTATGTATGTGTATATACACAAATGTGTGTGTATGTATGTGTATATATACACGTGTGTGTATGTATGTGTATATACACACGTGTGTGTATGTATGTGTATATATACACACGTGTGTATATGTATGATACACACGTGTGTGTATGTATGTGTGTATACACACGTGTGTGTATGTGTGTGTATACACGTGTGTGTATGTGTGTGTATACACACGTGTGTGTATGTGTGTGTATATATTTATATATTTATTTATATATATAAATTATATATAATTTAATTATATATTAATTTTATATGTATAGTTAAGTATTAGCTGATCACAAGGTCCCACAATAGGCCATTTGCAAGCTAAGGAGCAAGGAAAGCCAGCCCAAGTCCCAAAACTGAAGAACTTGGAGTGCGATGTTTGAGGGAAGGAAGCATCCAGCGCAGGAGAAGGATGTAGGCTGGGAGGCTAGGCCTGTCTCTCCTTTCACGTTTTTCGGCCTGCTTTATATTCTAGCCAAGCTGGCAACTGATTAGATGGTGCCCACCCAGATTAAGACTGGGTTTGCCTTTCCCAGCCCACTGATTCAAATGTTAATCTCCTTTGGCAACACCCTCACACAGACACACCCAGGATCAATACTTTGCATCCTTCAATCCCAATCAAGTTGACACTCAGTATTAACCATCACAAGGCCCCTCACCAGAACCAGCCATACTGGCACTCTGATCTCAGTTTTCCAGCCTCCAGAGCTGTGAAAAATAAATGTTTGTCGTTTAAGCCACCAGGTCTACTGTATTTTGTTATAGTAGCCAGAATTGACTAAGACAGTCACACAGCTAAGAATTAGTGCAGCTGGGATTTGAACCCAGGTGACCTCATTCTTAAGAGCTACATCATACTCAAGTGAATAATGTCTCTGCTTTTACAGGTCTTAGTTAAAATTCACAGAAGCGTTATTTTCTGTGGGGGTATCTAATTAAGAAGTGAACTCAGAACTTGGCTTGATGTTTCAGTACAGTGTGTAGCCCTGAGTAAGCAATGTGTTATGAAGAAGCCCACAGAGGAAATTTTGCAAGACAATCTATTTCTCCTTTTACCTTTAACTTGGATAGTTTATTTTTAAATGAAAAATGCTGCCTGCCCACCTGAGAAAATAATTTAGGAAAACATTTCTACCATTCTTGTTTCAATATACTTTATCCAAAATGTGTGATATTTATAGACTACTTCAATTGGGGTAAGCAGTATTCCTGGGTTGACTTTTATGTGGGGAAAATGTATGCTCTTAAGGCATATAAAGATACCGGAGCATTCTTATTCCATTATCTTTTAATTAAATTGCCCTCTATTATCATCTTGAGAAGTAGAATTGTGAACTTGTTGAAGCATAGAATTGGGCATCCAGTACTTTTGTCATAATCACTGCATCTTCTTCAATTCATTTGTCCTTCAGAGCTTTATCTCTTTTGTGCCTTTAATTACCATCTACAACTACACCCAGCTTTGAAACACAGTGCTCCTTCCACAGGGCAGCATCCAACAGGGGCATCCAGTGACATCCAAAATATTTTCAGTGAATATTCTAAGCAAGAAACAGAACAGATACACTTTTCTCAATATTAATAACACACACTAAGAACTGTTCCATGTAATTTAATATAAACTCTCATTTTATTGTGTATACAACTGCCTTCATGTGAAAAATGGGGCCAATGATAGAATAGTCCCTTTAATTCCCACATATGGTTGTGGTAAGGATTCAATGAATTCATGACATAAACTTCATGAACGGACTTAACACACAGCATGTTCTATCAAGTGTCAGCTCTTGCTCTTTTTCTTTGATCTCTCTACTTGGAGGCTTCACAAGAATATCAAAAATAACATATCTAAAACTGAATTCATCCTGTTCCCTAGGACTACTTGCCATGCCACTACTCCCCTAACTTCTCTAACTCAGGAATAACATCATCATATCAAAAATCTGGTTGTAGGGTTGTCATCTAATTATTCCTTTCTTGCATTGCCCAATTGCAAGTCTCAGAGTGGCTGCCTCAAAAATATATCTTGACTATTCATTATCTTCACCCAAAGAACCACCTCCTCCAATTTGGACTACTGAAATGCCTTCCTAAGTGCTCTCTCCAATTTCATTCTTAATCATCTCTTACCTTTCTCTTCATAGCAGCCAGAGTAATTTCTACCCATGCAATGGATGGAAGTTGTTTCAATGATGTGTCTTTCTCAGATGTTCCAGAACAATGTGGAAAGCATGTGTGAATTGTACAAAAGCATCCTCATCCATGGAGAGCATTGTAATAAAAAAAAAAAAGCTCCATTTAATAGTTCTTAGAAGCAGCTGTCTTTCAAGGCATGATACCAACTCTACCTCCTCTAGAGGGTGATGGGGAAACATAGCAGTTTTGAGAGACAATTTAAACACTAATTACTTCAACATGTGTCTGTTATAGTTACTGCTGCATTAATAGAGGCAAATAAGTTGACAGGTGATTGTAAAATACAAGACTATTTTAATATAATATGTGTTAGGATATTTTACTTCAGTCTACACATAATCATCCCCCATGCCAATTGACTGAGGAGATTCATTTAACACTTCAGAGACTCCAGGAAAAAAAAAATTGCAGGCACCACATTTTTTAACCTCTTTATGAGAGCTTTCTAAATGAATAACATTATTGTACAAAATGTTTTAGGCAAATATGTGTAGAGCAAAATACATTTTCACCTGCCACCGTATATTCTGCAGCCTCAACTTTTTTTTTCTTCTAGAGACAGAGTCTTGCCCTGTCACCCAGGCTGGTGCACTCATAGCTCACTGCAGCCTCTAACTCCTGGGCTCAAGCGATCTTCCGGCCTCCTGAGTAGCTATGACTAAATGTGCATGCCACCACACACAGCTTACAGTATATTCTTTATGACTAATCCTTTCTACCCAAAGCAGTAAAAGAAAAAAATAAGACAAAAAATGCAAACTGCTCCTCAAATGCTCCTACCCTTACCCCATCCATCTGTAGCAAAGTGGCTAAAATCATGAGCTCTGGAGATAAATCCTACCTCTACTAGTTACTACCTGTCCAACCATAGGCAAAATTCTCCATTCCTCTAATGTTAAAAGCGTTATCTGTAAAGTGAGGATGAAAAAAAAATCACAATATGTATTTCATTAGATTATTGAATGGATTAAATAAGTTGATATTTGTAAAGTACTTAGAACATTGCTTAGCACATAGTAAAAAATATATATATTTGCTTATTTTTATTCCTGTTGCTAAGGTATAAATGTTTGTGTCCCTGAAATTCCATGTGTTGAATACTAACATTCAAGCTGATGGTGTCAGGAGATGGGGTCTTTAGGAGGTGACTAGATAATGAAGACGGAGCCCCCATAAGGGGATAAGTGCCCTTATTAAAAAAAAAGGGGGGGACACTATTCACCAACTGCAGAGAGCTAGCTAGCCCCTTCCACCATGTTAGGTTACAGCAAGAAGATTGGTCCTCATTGGACATCAAGTCCAGTTTGATCTTGAACTTCCCAGCCTCTAGAAACTGTGAGAAGTAATTTTCTGTTATTTATAAGGTACCAAGCTTATGGTATTTTGTTAAAGAATCCTGAATGAACTAAGACACCTATGGTCTTTATTTTTTATGTGTCAATGCCTCTGTGCTAGATGAGGTGATTAATTCTATAGGTTGTGTGTGTGTGTCTGTGTGTGTTTACCACCGTCAAATGCTATATTTAGTATGAGCATGCACTGTTAACAGTGACTTGATATGATTTAGTCATAAATAATATTCCCTGGAGCCAGGTTAAATGTAAATATGCATCAATTTTGGTAATTTGAAATGACTTAGTCCTCAATAATATTCACTCATCTTTTTCTTTTCTCGTTTCCTTTTCCTTCTTTGCTTCCTTCCTTCCTTCCGTCCTTCCTTTTACTTTCCTTCTTTCTCTTTCTTTTCTTTCAGACAGAATCAGTCTCTATCACCCAGGTTGGAGTGCAATAGTACAATCATAGCCCACTGACACCTCAAACTCTTGAGCTCAAGTGATCCTCCTGCCTCAGCCTCATGAGCATATGGGACTACAGGTGTGTGCCACCACACCTGGGTAATTTTTTTATTAATATTTTCAGACAAGGTCTTGCTAGGTTGTCCAGGCTGGTCTCAAACTCCTGGACTCAAGCGATCCTCTTACCTCAGCCTCCCAAAGTGCTAAGATTACAGGTGTGAGCCACTGTGCCTGGACTTTTTTGCTTTTTGACACCTTTACATGGAGGCTTTGAAGTACTCTTTTAATGATATATTGGATAATGTATTTCTTCCTTAAAACATTAATATGGATTTAGAATATCCAAAATGTATGATATTTCTGCCATGTTTCTTTGCCAACATTTTTTCCATCCTGTGAAGGGGCTCAGGTTTGGTATGAGTCTGAGCCTCTCTCCTCCTCCTTTATTTTCTCCACTCTTGAAAGAATGGAGAGACATAGACATATCTGGGTGGTAGTGTGGGAAGAATAAGCTGGCATGCTCTTCTCTGCTCACTCCTATTTTCACCTGCCTCACTGTGGTAGCCTTTCTTTGCTCCAGCCCTTCTTATGGATGGTTAACAGTGTCTATCATTCTTGGGGTTAGGGTGTGAGCCCATTTGGCTCTCACACTAAACAGATGTTTTGGCTTCCATGTTTTCCCTATTATTTCCCCATGTTTGTCCAGAATCAGATAAGAATGAGGTGCTATTTATTGTGTGTCCCCTAGACATTCCCAAAAATGTTTATGTGACTGTAAGCTCTTGCATCTGATTTTTCCTGAAGTGTTGTCTCATTGAGCTTCTTTCTGACTTATGCAATAGCCACTATGACTTTTTTTTCTTATGCTTCTTTCAATTCTGTGAATATATCCAGTTCTTTTTCATTTTTGGCTTTTACACCTGCTAATGTTTTGCCTTTTTACTCTTCACTTACTTAACACTTATTCGTTCTTTAGGTTTCATTTTAAATATAAATTCTTCAGGGAAACCTTCTAAGTCAGTCTCGTGTTATTCCCTTCCATACCATCTAATCTTTTTCTTCCTATCACTTATTTTTTGAAATATTTTCTGTCTATCTCCATTATCAGATTGTAAGGGCCATGAAAGCAAAGAGTGCTGTCTGTTTGCTTGACTAGTGATTTTTTTTTTATTTTTTGCATCATGCGTAGTGCCTTGCACATAACAGGAAGTCAATAAATATTTGTTGAATCCATGAATGACTTCTGTCTTAATTTACTTGAACAACCACAAATTCAACATATACTATGTGCAAAGAAGTCACTTTGCTATGTTAGTTATGTGCTCCTGCCCTCTGGAAGACTGTTTTCCAATAGAGCCAGTAGCAGCCCAGCTTGAAGCTATCAGAAAGTCATCTTCTCCTTCTCCTAACTTGGGGAATTTCCATGCTTTATTTGACAAATAATAACCAGCAAAGTGCACATCAATAAAGAGCCACTTATTAAAAGAATGAGCAATTTAACCAAAAATATCTCAAAAAGAGACTTCTATGTTAGATTTTATAACCACATGTAAATCACAACAGTATATGGAAAAACACTTAGATCATTATATTTCATTTATTTTGCATAGTTTATCTTTCCAACAATATGGAAAACTTCTAGGAGGCAATAGTCCTAATTTCATCTCTGTATTTTTTAAATGCTTAGTATTAGTTGGACAATTTGTAGGTATTCTGTAAACACATGTTGACTTTACTGTTCAGTACTGAAAAGTAAAATAAGGATGTTCTCATTACTTATGAACTCAAATGTGAAGAGGAGTAGAGAGGCTTACATTTGAACTTCAGGCAAAATACTCAGCCACTTTCCCAACCCCCATAAAAATATTTAAAAAATGACAGATGCCTCACAAAATAAGTGGTATCCTAAATAATTTACTCATTGGTATAGCGGCAGCTCATTTCCCAGAATCTGTAATGACATTTGTTTTTTTATTTAAAGGATAAGAATACAGCAGTGCTCATGTTATCACTAGGGTAATAATTATTGTTGCAAAAAGCAGCTCCTATTCTTCTGGTTGTTTTAAATTGGGGATTCAGAGGTGTAGGAAGAAATTATAGATTATTATTCTTTGCTTCTTAAGTGATGCACTCTTTATATACAACTGAAATAATTAATAGAAATTCAATCTTCAAGTTATTGTGACATATTTTAGGAAATCAGCAGTAATTATTTCCTATCTAATTTTTATAATCATTAGTAATCAGGTAAGAGTTTATCTTGTTTTGAAAATTAAATTTTATTGAGCTTATAAACTACATTACAACAAAGAAAAATAAGGCAATTTTCTTATTACTAAATCAAAAACATTATCCAATTTTTTTTAACTGGAAGTTTTCTTCGATGAATGAATATGCAGATGGCATATGAATGGATGCCATCATATGATGAAAGGATCCATCATGAAAGGATGGATATGTAGACAAACATATGAATAAGCACCTGATATGTTTTGGATCTGTGTCCCCACCCAAATCACAGCTTGAATTGTAATAATCCCTACATGTCATGACATGGACCCTGTGGTAGGTAACTGAATCATGCAGGTAGGTTTTTCCAGGGCTGATCTTGTGATAGTGAATAAGTCTCATAATATCTGATGGTTTAATAAAGGGGAGTTCCTCTGCACATGCTCCCTCTTGCCTGCCGCCATGTAAGATGTCCCTTTGCTCTTCCTTCATCTTCTACCATGATTTTGAGGCCTCTCCAGCCATGTGGAACTGGGAATCCATTAAACCTCTTTCTTTATAAATTATGCAGTCTCGAGTATGTCTTGATTAGCAGCATGGGAACAGACTAATATAGCATTTAATAATATTCTCATCTGTATGTAACAAAATTGAAGTTATGCACCTTTCCTTGATTGATTGATATGTATATCAATCTATTCATATATATAGATTTATATATATATAGCTTATAACTTTAATTTGTCTTAATAATCATGTATCACCTATTGTTCTTGATATTGCACCACAAGGAACACAAGTGTGAAAAAGAATTCTATGAGATCTAGGGGTTCATATTCCAGCACAATGGAGGCCATATTTACAGAGACTAAGTTAAACTCCATACATTTTCCACAAACAAAATTTAACAATTTTTAAGGAAATATTATTAAAGAACGCTGAGAGCACTCCAGGTTGTCTATGCTTCTACTCATTGAAACAACTCACTCCTCCAGTAGCAGATGAGTTTTAATGAAATGCCTGGGCAATGTGAGGAAATGCTTTTTCCTTATCAGATATAACCCACAACAAATCACAAAAGGGTACTTTTTAATAGTGTTTTCAGGGAACGGGTCTACCCCTACCCTTAGGCTGACAATAATGCTTTAAGCTTTTCCTACATACATCTGCACACTTAAGAGGAAAGAATTTGGCTTATAACATTTTAAAACTCATTAATTAGGATGCCACCATTACAAGGGTTATGGCATTCAGATAATGCCTAGGCTGCCGTTTCCATTTGAGTAAAGTAATGGTAGTAAGTGAACATATACTGTCCAAGATAATAATGAATATGATTTGTTGGGTTGTTGATTATATTAAACATAAATACAAAACTGAATAGGACCTCCTAAGGGAGACCCTCAGTTATTCTGATATTGTTCTACTCATTCCCTTACCTTGGCTAATATTTTTTTTAAAACAAGCAATAAGAAAAAGATGAAAGAATCAACAATTCCTACCACATTGAGACGTGGAATCCTTGGCCTATATTACTTTTACACTCATGGAAGATGTTGCAACATAATGGAAGGGGCATGGACTTGGGCCGCAGGAAGGACTTGGTTCAAATTCTGGTCCTGACATTTCTAGTGGGGTTGCCCTATTTTTTAATCAGTAAAATTGGACTAAAACCTATCTAAGGATTAGTATAAATGTGAAATAAATGATGGATGTAAAGAGCCTACCACAGTAGTTGGCATATAATAGGTGTTCAAAAATTGTTAAATGACTCTTACATTGTAGCTGTTACAGACGTAAAATTCAATGGATAGAATAGAAACCATTTACAATGCCTTGAAAAACTCAACTACGTCAGATTTAAAAACTGATTTGTATAATCACGAAAAGGAAAAGTAGGACAATCACATTAAATATTGTATAATCAGACTTTGCAAATTCAATCTGAATTTCTTTCTAATTAGTCAAAATTAGTGAGGTATGGTTGTTGCATCTCTTAACTACTGTACCACAGGGTCCGGTCATCACCTGCTTCTATTTATGTTTGCTGTTCCCGTAAGGAATCCTCCTAGGTACAAGTCCCATTAATAGAAGCTGGAACATTGCCTAAATGAAAAATTTTATGTATTCCTTACTTCCTGAAGGAACTGCCACGGGGTCGGTCCTAATCAGCACTTCATTTTAATACAGTATCATCGAGTTCTAAGGATTAATTTTATAAACGATTAATGAAAGTACTTAATTGAATGTCACTCTCTGCTGCCTTCAGCTATTACAGGTTGTTGCTCTCACTGATTCCAGATCGATGCTTTTTTAAACACTCAGCTTTGCAGTACTTTAAACTACTTTGCAGTCTCTAAACTTCATTTAGAGACTCACCTGTGGCTCAAATAAAACAATCTGGGATTTGAGTTATTGTTGTTGTTGTTTTTGGAATGATTGTACAATGCTTGACCAGCGACAGTTCATGTTGATTTCCTCCAACAGTTCATGTTTGCTTTCCTCCATAGAAACAGAAACTCAACCGGGCATGGTGGCTCATGCCTGTAATCCCAGCACTTTGGGAGGCCGATGCGGGTGTATCACGAGGTCAGGAGTTTGAGAGCAGCCTGGCCAATGTGGTGAAACCCTGTCTCTACCAAAAATACAAAAATTAGCTGGGTGTGGTGGCGGGCGCCTATAGTCCCAGCTACTCAGGAGGTTGAGACAGGACAATCACTTAAACTTGGGAGGTGGAGGTTGCAGTGAGCCAAGAACGCGTCACTGAACTCCAGCCTGGGCGACAGAGGGAGACTCTGTCTCATAAAAAACAAAGAAAGAAAGAAAGAAAGAAAGAAAGAAAGAAAGAAAGAAAGAAAGAAAGAAAGAAAGAAAGAAAGAAAGAAAGAAAGAAAGAAAGAAAGAAAGAAAGAAAGGAAGAAAGGAAGAAAGGAAGAAAGGAAGGAAGGAAGGAAGGAAGGAAGGAAGGAAGGAAGGAAGGAAGGAAGGAAGGAAGGAAGGAAGGAAGGGAAATTCAATTTTGGGGGTTGTGGCAAACACTACAGCTAAGCTGCAAGTTCTTGCACCCTTACAAGTGGTCATGTGGCATGGCTTTCGGCCAATGAAAAGCCTGCTTAGGATTTCTGCAAAAGTTTTGCTGTCCTTTTACAGGTTTTGCCCCTTCCTCCATATTGCTTCTGTTCTTTCCTCCTGCCCAGAGCATGAAGGAAGATACAGTGCAGCAGCTATTTTTGAATTAGGAGAATGAAGACTAAGGAGACTGGAATAGAATCAAGATTAATTCAGCAGTTACCATAATAGGCAGCAGCATGGATTTGGCCCATAGACATTATTTGCTGACCCCTACTATAGACAAATGGATTAAGTTCAGCCCAGAATCAAGACAGAATAGGAAGGGAAATGATAATACAAACTGTGCAACTGCAGAAGAGGAGAAAGGGTGCAAAATACATTAAGAACACCTGTGTCCACAGCTCACTCAGTGACGGAACATCAAGTACCAAGGATATGTACAAGTTCCAGACAGTGGTTAAAGCACACTTCCTCAGGTTAAGATAAGTTCAGGAAGTGGAAAAGTTCACACTACAGCTGAGATAATTCAGTTTTGAGATAACAGGATGAGTTGGAGCTGAAACTAATGGAATGTGCCATAAAATTGTATAGAAATCAATCTTAGTTTTTTTTATCTTCTTTTTCTTCAAAGAGGGTTTGTTATAATAAAATATTCTCAGACCTCCTTCTATCCTTGTTATACTTTTTAAGACACCCTGGATGGTAGTAAATCCTTGGATTCCATTTCAGGATATAAGCAGAAAGAGATGGGAAGAGACCATGAAATCTCTCAAGAGAGAATGTCAAGAGAGGCATTATCATCATTATGGTCTCTCTTGCATGATCTCAGGTATTATGAGATAAAATACAAGTGTACTATTGCTTTGTGAATCTGAGGCTATCTGGCCTTTCTTAACATGAAATACATCATGGCATGTCTTGAAAACTTAAGCTTTGATCATGTTCAGTGAATAGAGAGGATTGAACGTTTGATCAATCTAATGAATTGAAACACAGTTCGCGAGGAACTCTGAAGACTTTTCATTCTGTCATCATTCCACTATGTGGTAAATAATAGCTAGCACATATTGATCACTTATTAGGCATCAGGCACTTTGTAGTGCGCTGTATACAGTCTACAATTGAGCGCATCTAATCTTCCAAACAGCAGTATAAGGTGTCATGACCATGCTAACTTTTCAGACAGTCTTATAGGGAAAGGGCAAGTTTCTTAACCTCAATTTGTATGAAGCACTAAGATATTTCAATGAATATTCCGGATCAAATGTGTTTCTCCTTATAATTTTTGGTGGCAAAAAAAATCTGCTGTCAAATACATAATGTACTTTTGTTTCCTAGGTTATACAGCTCTAGCTACAGTCTTGAGCCCTACACAACCCTGAAACTGGGAGTAAACAAATGTCACAAACATGACTGTATTATTCTTTAAAACATTTTATTTACAATTCAGTTTGGTGAGTAGTTGTCTTTAAAGTTTTTATTCTTTAAATATTTGCTTTTCTTTCTATTTTATAATATATCAATACTTAGGAAAATACAGTCTGAATAAATGTGTATAACTTTTCAAAATAATTTTTAAGATACCAGCAAAAATTTGGTAAAAATTGGGCAAATAATTGTTGATATAATATATTAATGCACAAGGAAGGCAACGCATAGACCATGAGAGCTCTCAGCTCTTTGTAAATGTCTTAAAAGCTACATAGGACTCATTGTTTAAGCTAATTCTATATCATTGGATAAGGAGTTATCAAAAGCTTCCAAGTACCACAATAAAATAAGTATATTAATTTATTTGTTTATTCATTCAGTAAATATTTATTGATAATTTTTAAGGATCAGACTAAACAAGATGGACCAAGTCCTGGCTTTCTCAGCACTTGCACATCAACAGACAGCTGTGTCCACAATCAGTAAGTTGAGGATGGCAGGACAGATCACCAGAGCATAAGCAAAGGTATGAGCTACACTCACAGCTAAGACACTGAACTATCTGCCCTGGGTCTAAGCAAAGGCCACAGGGTTGGTTTTCCAGAAGCTCCAAGATAGGTGCATGTATATCCAGATCCAATGTTCACAGCTTGGAACTGTAATCTTTAAAAGCTAAGTTGAGGGCTCAAGTCAAAACATTTCTCTCCCAATAAAAATCATGACTACTTGCAGAAGGAAAAGCCTGGCTATTTGGTTTTTAGGGAGTCAGGAGCACTAACCTGCTCTTTCAGCTTGCAAGCTTGCAATTCTAGGCTTCCAAGTGAAAACCAACCTGCTTATCTTGCCTCATCTAGAATTAGAGGGGTGACAGAGGAAATTGGGAAGTAGTTTTGAAAGCTGCAGTGCCTTCCTTCCTTTCCTTCTTTCTCTCTCTCTCTTTTCTTCCTTCCTTCCTTCCTCCCTCCCTCCCTTCCCCTCCCCCTCCCTCCCTCCCTCCCTCCCTTCCTTCCTTCCTTTTTCTTTCTTTCTTGACAGTCTCTCTCTGTTGCCCAGGCTGGAGTGCAGTGGCACAGTCACAGCTCACTGCAACCTCCACCTCCTGGGTTTAAACAATTCTCCTGCCTCAACCTCCTGAGTAGCTGGTATTACAGGTGCTGGCCACCATGCCTGGCTAATTTTTGTATTTTTTAGTAGAGATGGGGTTTTGCCATGTTGGCCAGGCTGGTCTGGAACTCCTGACCTCAAATGACCCAACCACCTGGGCCTCCCAAAGTGCTGGGATTACAGGCGTGAGCCACCGCACCCGGCCTAAAGCTGCAGTTTCTTTAACTTGTTATTTACTATAATGTCAGGAAAGGGCAAGAATCTTGAATCTGAAATAATAATGATGACAATGGGGTTGAAAAAAAGTAAAAAGTTATTGCCTGGAGGTAAGATTATTTTTTTTAACCTAGTATTTTAAATATATTATTTTATTCTACTTTAGGTGTTAAATACATGAAGTAGTTAATTGTCAGCAATAATATAATGTAAAGTCAAAGTACAAGAAAGTCTTATGCTTTCAAGCCTTGATGTAAAAAATAATTATATGAAGTAAGTTAGGAATGAGGTGGGTAGGAAATTGAGGGTGCCTTGCTATTTTCAGCAACTGTCAGAGTGTTCGGTGCATGATACATATTTTCTGAATATTTTCAGAAAATCATTTCTGATGTGTCAGTATACTTTGAGTCTTGGAACACTTAACTGCAAAACGAAGTCGCTGTGATAGAGAAAAAGGAATATGTATATATAAATGCAGAGATATAATGAGATAGATGCACATTTACATTTTGAAAATCAGGTTTTCTTCACTGCAAAAATATGTGGGGTTCTTCTGAGGTTAATAATTATTACATAAGACCAATGATAAAACTGCATTTCTTTGTTATGAAGCCTAAGATATTAGGTGTGTTTTCATGCAATTGCATTTTAAAAACAATTCTTGCAATCATCTTATTTTGTAGTGATGTTCATGAACATACTTAATAATAGATACATTTTTTATTACAACAAAATACTACTTTAATAAAAACACCAAGTTATTTCGAAATGCACAGGAAAAGTTTCTCTCCATTGTTGTGCATGCTGAAAGACCACAGTGGGAAGCACACAGGCAGAGGGAAATCTCAGAAATATGAACTGTAACACCACACATAGCAGCATTCTGGTCTCACAAGTCAGTAGATACTTTCCCCACTAAAATTTTGTTTCAATAATTAATATAAGCTTTTTTCATCTGAAGTATCTCTAAATCAGAGAAGGTTAAAATCAATCTGTATGTATGAACTTGCTGACAAGCTAGTGTAGCCACTTGCCTTTAGGTTTTTATTATTTTCCCAGTGGCTGATGGGCAGGCAGCAGTGTTAAGCCTGCTAACTGAAACATATTCTAAATTATATGGATCTCTGGAGGGGATGCATTCTACTTAACCTTGGCGTTTGTTTTAAATTACAGGAATCTACCATATTATATTATCCAAGATTTTTAAAAATAGCTTTTATTCCTTTTCTAAATTGCATCTCAAGGTTGTTAGATTTCCTATTAAAAGCTAATTAATTAAAGAGAAAATACATACATATGTGTGAGTGTGTATATATATGTATATATACATATGTATATATATACTCTTCTACACCTGCCAGCCAGAACCAACAATAATATTGTCCCAAGCTATATAGTACCTGCTTCCAAAGAAGTTTAAAATCCATTTTAGAGAGCCAATTATTGATGTTTAAAGTCTGTAAATCATGAAGGTAGCAATACTTCTAAGTATCAAAATAAAAGCTATGAAATGCCATATCATGAATATATGCTCTCTCACTTAAACTGTTAGAATTTTCATTTTTTAAATAAATTTTATTGTATGTATTTCAGGTATACAACACGATGCTATTCCTGCTCTGTTTGCTATTCAAAATCTCCCCCTTTTGAAATAATATCACTAAAAGGACTAAAAGCAAATTGTTTGCTTAATGGGTTGACTGATTTTTAAAGACTAAAAGAGTCAAATATAGATGACACCAAAATGTGGTCCAGAACCAATAGCTTGTCTAGCCTGAAGACCGGATGAATTATTTTACCCCATTTTAGACCATTTCCATCTGTTATTTCCAACACAAATTAAATAAGTCACAAGAAGGTATCATGATCAAGGATACCTTTCTGGAGAATAGCCATGTTGATTTTAAACTAACAGAAATTTATTTGTGGGGTAAGTATGGATACTTAATAAGGAAAAACAGAAAAAAACTTTTAATAGTCCCTTATTTATTTCAGGTACTGTGTTAGCTAGGTATTTTACTTATTCCTTCTCAGCGAATACTATAAAACCCATTTATTAAGAAATTGAGGCTAGACGATGTAAAAGAAATGAATCTGGACCAATTCCTGCAAATCATGTTAGGAAGTTACAAGAAAGTAAAAAGATTCATAGTCAATCAAGTGCTGTGAATAGCCATTGAGCTCTGGAAAGCCATAGAAGCAGACACATTAGATACAGGATAGATGGTTCCTGTAGAAAGCTTTACAGAAACTGAAAAAGCCTAAAGCTACTTAAATGATGGTAACAGTAGGGTAGAGTAGTACTTAACCATATGACCTTTGGCTAGACTACTGTATTTGAATTACGGCTCTGTCACACACTAAATATATGATTATTGATAAGTTATTCACCATCTCAGTGCCTCAGTTTCCTTCTTTATAAAATTGCAATAGGACCTACTGTATAAAACCTGTGATAATTTGGTGTCAAATGCACATAAAACATAGCATAGCAATGTGTATAAAGTACACATATATCAAATGTTAGCTCTAATTATTTCTGTGAAGACAAATATATTGCTTGTGGAACACATGGGGAGATCGATGTTGTCTTTACAGACACTGCAGTGCACTAGAAGAGCATATCAGTAATATCTTGTTCTTTAAATAAATTACTAGCATTCATATGGTATTTATCCTGAACAGGGAATATGATAAAGACTTTTATGGATTTTATTTTCATTTAATTTTAATGGGATTTTGATGAATGTACTATTCCCATTTTGCAGGTGAGGAAATAAAGGTAAAGTGAATCTTAAGAAGTTGCTTGAGTCCATAGCTGTAGTGATAGTGCCCATATTGAAAACCAAATCATCTGATAAGTCCAGTTCCTGACCACTACATTATGGTGCCTTTCTAAGGGATAATGTGACACAGGTATAGAATGGTGACAATTGTAGCCATAAGTGCCCTTTCCATTTTCAGCCCTCCAGTGCTTCATGAAGTACTGTGTTCATGAGGGGCTGCTGAATGACTGCCTGTAGGACACATCTTCCCAGAGCACACACCCTGGCAGATCACAGCCCAGGAGAACCACGAGCCCATCTGAAACCTCAGAAATAGCCCAGTGCCTGCAGGGGATGGTGCTGCAGCTTCAGACAGGACCTCCATGAGGGGCAGAAGTTTGGTGAAGTATCCCTGATCACAGTCAGCTTCACATCGTAGGGCTTTGAAACATGATGCTGTCAATTCATCTTGAATTGTTCAAGGTCAAACTCAGGCATTCAATGCTGTATCGTTCCTCTCCACTCAATTCCATCCCTTTCCATTCCATCTCATTCCATTTTTTCCATTCGCTCCACTGTATTCCATTCCATTCCACTCCACTCTACTCCATTCTGCGCAAACTTATTAACTACTTACTACACTACTTAGTCTGTAAGCAAAAAGCAGCTGCTGCTCTAAAGATGAATAAAATTAGGCTTAACACAGGCTTAAATTAGGCTTAAATCAGGCTGACCAAGTTCCATTCAGTAGGCAAGTTTAAAGAGCCAAAATCTATAATTTTAATACTTTTAGCTCTAAAGCTAGAATTGGACACAGTGTTCTTCCAATGTATAGAAAAGTCTACTCAGAAGGCTTTATTTTTGAGGACTTGGAGAGAGTTAAATAAGGTATTTTCGACATATGTTTTCAATGAAGCATGAAAACTAGAAAGGTGTGTTTCACTGGCTGAGGATACTTCCCGGTAAGACTCAAGGTCTACCATCTCAAATTAGAGTTCTCTCAAAGGTGCTAAACTCTACTGATTTTTTTATGAATCGCATGTTTCTATATTTTTTTTGCCAAACTCTCCCTTCTGTAAAGAACCATGATTTAAGCTAGCAACGACAAATGAAGCATAGTTACCCTCATTTGATTTGCGGCATTTCAGACTCAACTATTTTTCTGAAACATCTATTTTATTTCAATAGAGACAAGAAGCCTGCTAGTTTCCTTAATCCTGCGTTTTAAAAACATACTTCTATATGAATTGGAGAAATGAAATGTGCTCCATAGTTTATGTTATTCCTTACTTTTGGAATGTATCCTAATCTCAGGATTCTTCATTACTCTGACTACATATTATATTTATTTCCATCCTAAGGTTTTTCAAAGATAGGCATGTGGATTATCTAGATCAACAATCCCTAAAGGGCTTTTAAAATGTCAATTCCTGGGCCCTACTCCATTCCTGAAAATCAAAATTTTGAAGCAGAAATCTGAGTCTCCAAATCATCTCCCTTGGTATATCTCACCTTCTATCTCCCTTTGCAATCACAAGACAGTGACCAGGTCCAGTGATGATATCATGGGCTGTCTGTCACCTGCCTGACAGTGATTCCTGGAGACTCTCACCCAAACAAACTCTCACAGAAACTAGGCAACGTAAGAGACAGGAAGGTTCAGCTGGGGAGGCTTCATTGCGTCAGGAATGCCTTATATAATTCCAGAAGGTCAACAAGAGAAAACCAGGCCAACAGAGCATAAATGTCAACATTTATGGGCCCAGCTGGTGTCCTGCTGAGGCTACGTATTTGAGATTTTGCAAGCCAGGCAATATTGCAAGTTAACATGCTGTATAGATTCTGATTCTGCAGGAAAATTCTCCTTCAGTGTTGCATAGTTGCATTTACTAATTCTGCTTTCTTAGTATTTTGTGTATTTGTTTTACTTTGTATTTTAAGTTTCAGCTAAACAAATGACAAGTAACCAAAATACGAATGAAAGGACTATTTCCTATGCAGCTACTGTGTTTACATATATTACCTCATTTAATATGGTTAACACGTCAGGGCACGGTGGCTCAAGCCTGTAATCTCAGCACTTTGGGAGGCCAAGGCAGGCAGATCGCTTGAGGCCAGGACTTCGAGAACAGTCTGGCCAACATTGCAAAACCCTGTCTTTACTAAAAATACAAAAAATATAGCTGGGTGTGGTGGTGCGTATCTGTAATCTCAGCTACTCAGAAGGCTGAGAAATGAGAATCGCTTGAACTCAGGAAACAAGGGTTGCAGTGAGCCGAGATCACGCCACTGCACTCCAGCCTGGCTGACAGGATGAGACTCTGTTTCAAAAAAAAAAAAAGTAACACTTTGAGAATAGGTTCTTATTATCTCTATATTAAAAAATAAAGCAAACAAAACGAACAGTGGATAATTACTTACCCAAAGTTAATAAATCTTAGCATTGGATCTTGAGCCCTGTTTCTTTCAAAGCCAAAATCTATATTTTATTCTATTACACTCTGCTGTTTCCAAAACAGGCCAAATAATTTCTACCCCTCAAACATTTACCAGTGGCAGAAAACAACTATGAAATCACACTGAGGCCATAAAGTAATAAGAGGAAATTTCTATAAAGCCACACAACCATCTCATTTCCCTGTGGCCACACTTTACATTCATTCAATGAAGAATCAGGATCTACACTGCACCACACATTGGGGGCTGAATAAGCACAGACATACCTGGTAATCTTTGATTTCTCAGACTCTACAGGAGATCAAGGTTCTGGCAAATGTAGAAGTACCTCAAACCTTTCTGGTCATTTTCAAACTTAAATTCTGTATACAGTACAAGCATACTGTTGAGGGTGGCTTTAATGTGTAAAACTGCTGCTTATGGATAGTGGCGATGGGTGATGTTGCCACACCTCATCACTGCATGCCATTTAATACCTTTTATCCATTAAAGTTCAGGCCACCACATCAGCACTACAATATTTTAAATCCTTATATCTGAAAGTACAGGAACCTCTCCACTTTTCTGTGTGTATAATGTAGCCCTTGGCACATTGCGGAAAACAAAAACAAAGAAAAAATACAAAAAAATATCACCATCTGTACTGGGTTGAATAGTGTTCCTTAAAATTTCGTGTCTACTTGGAATTTGTGAATATAACCTTATTTGGAAATAGAGTCTTTGCAAATATAATCAAGTCAAGATTAAGTCATACTGTATTAGAGAGGGCCCTGAACCCAATCTGACTTGTGTCCTTATCATCCTTACAAGAAGAGGGAAATTGACCTGGCGCAGTAGCTCACGCCTGTAATCCCTGAACTTTGGGAGGCCAAGGCGGCCGGATCACGAGGTCAGGAGATCGAGACCATCCTGGTCAACATGATGAAACCCCATCTCTACTAAAAATACAAGAATTAGCTGGGCTTGGTGGCACATGCCTGTAATCCCAGCTACTCGGGAGGCTGAGTCAGAAGAATAGCTTGAACCAGGGAGGCGGAGGTTGAAGTAAGCCGAGATTGCACCACTGTACTCCAGCCTAGGTGACAGAGTGAGATTCCGTCTCAAAAAAAAAAAAAAAAAAAAAAAAAAAAGACAAGGGAAATTTGGAGATGGAGATACAGATAATGAAAAGAAGGGCATGAACAGATGGAGGCAGAGATTGGAGCGATGCATTTATAAGCCTAAGAATGCTAAGGATTACCACCAACCATCAGAAGCTAGAAGAGATAAGAAAGGAGACTTCTACAGCATGTTTAGAAGTAGTATGTCCCACCAACACCTTGATCTTAGACTTCTAGTCTCCAGAAGTGTCAGATAGTAAATTTCTATTGTTTTAAACCACACAGTTTGTGATACTTTGTTATGGTCACCCTAGGAAACTAACACACCATCCATAAATATCCATGTACCACATGCAAGGTGCTATGCTCAGCGTTGAGAATATGGAACAATGGAGAGGTATACCTGGAATCTGGGACACGTATCAGTGTCTATAGACATAGAGGAGGAAGGTAAAAGAGTGTTCCACTTCATTTTAACTCCAGTGTGTTGCTTCTTTTCTAAGGAGCCACAGACAATGACTTCTCATCCTCCTCTTCCTCATTATTCCTTGGCTTACAAGCTAATGCATACATCATGGGGTTCCCAGTATTTCCTTTTCCCCCCAATATTTTATGCCCCATGCTTGTGTTTATATTGTGATATAATAAAATGGCACGAAGTAGAAACACACCCTTCACATGGAGCACACATTACCCAGTGGTTTTATTAAGACTTGTGTTTCGGCATCTGAGCTATGTGAAATCTCACTCAAGGCTCTGTAATGCCGGTATGTTCTCTATATGAATGTGGCACGACTGAAAACATAAAACTGTTATCACAAAACTGTTACATACATTGTAAAACAAACAGCTCTCTGATGTGGTTTGGCTCTGTGTCCCCACCCAAATCTCATCTCAAATTGTAATCCCTGTGTGTCAAGGGAGAGACCTGGTGGGAAGTGACTGGATCGTAGGAGTGGATTCTCCATGCTGTTCTCCTGACGGTGAATGACTTCTCACAAGATCTGATGGCTTAAAAGTGGCAGTTTCCCCTTTGCTCTCTCTCGCTCCTGCCGCCTTGTGAAGCAAGGACTTGCTTCTCCTTCTGCCATGATTGTAAGTTTCCTGAGGCCTCTCCAGCCATGCAGAACTGTGAGTCAATTAAATCTCTTTTATTTATAAATTACCCAGTCTCAGGCAATTCTTTATAACGTGTGAAAATGAACTAATACACTCTCAAAATCCATCCAATGCATAAAAGCACCATTTGAACTGCCACAAATGCAATAAGGCCTCTGAAGTTTTCTAGTTCCACCCTTTCCATCACCTCAGCTAAAGTATCTTCTCCTAAACTCCAGGACCTCCTTTTGTAAGAGTGAGAATTCCTAAATTAAAATAACCAACAGAAAGTGCCAAAGAAGGAAGGGAGAAAGGGAGGGTGGGATGGAAACAAAATTGATGAGTGCAGTTGTAAGTTTCAGGGATTCTTTACATTCCTAACATTGGTTTATTTGGTATTATAAATTAAGAAAATTTAAAAATTATCCATAATGCCCAATGACTTTGTTTACAGATTTGTATCAGATCTTACAGGAAATGGATCACTGAAATAGTCATGTCCAGATTGAGCTGACATTTACTGAGTTCCCCTTCCACTTCAAACTCAGTGTCAGATACCATTTTATATGCTGTGTAAGAATTCTTTTGTGAGGCCGGGCACAGTGGCTCACGTTTGTAATCCCAGCACTTTGGGAGGCCCAGGCAGGCGGATCCCGAGGTCAGGAGTATAAGACCAGCCTGGCCAACACAGTGAAACCCCGTTTCTACTAAAAGTACACAAATTAGCTGGGCATGGTGGCGGGCACCTGTAATCCCAGCTACTCGGAAGGCTGAAGCAGGAGAATCGCTTGAACCGGGAGGTGGCAGTTGCAGTGAGCTGAGATTGTGCCATTGCACTCCAGCTTGGGCAACAGAGCTAGACTCCTTCTCAAAAACAAACAAACAAACAGACAAAAAAAAAAAAAAAGAATTATTTTGTGCTTATTTACACAAGCTCAAATAGGAGTGAACAAAGTTTTATTAGCTTGTATGTAGTCACGCATTATTATAACCAATATTAATACTGGGTCTTAAACTTAATTAGGCCTTCAGATTTGAAAATCTCAATATTTCTTTCTACTAAACCATGTGGCCTCACCAAATATATTTCTGTATGAATCCTAGAGCACATGTTATCTTGGGAGGAGTCTGTTTTTTGCTTTTACAAAACAGTCATATTGCCAAATATTTAAAAGAAGAAGTTCTACAATTTATAGTATACGGTCACACTGTCACCTGACAACCTTTAATAACAAAAATAGACAACCTTACATGTACATAGATAACATTTCAGCAACAGTTTTCTAACAGTGAGCCACAGCTAAAATTGTGAGCATGGGTACTTCAGCATGAAGGCTCAAATCAGGAGAATACGTACAAGAGAGAGGCTCATGAGAATTTAACCTTACCTTGCATTTCCCCTAAAAACAATGGCTCTGGATTCACCAATTCAGTGTTCAAGATGACTTTATAAAATATAACTACCCTAAATAATGATGATTCACTGTACTTTATCTTACTCTTAAACATGTACAAATTTTAGTAGCTTATGAAAGGATCAAGGTAACTCCTGTAGAAAGAAAAACTAGTTTAATCTTGTTTGATCCATTATTTACCAAACGTTTTTGACTACAGATCTAACTTATAAAGAATACATATTATCACCTCACAGGACAGGAATGCATTGTTTGGAGGCCCTGCTGTAGGTGTTCAGAGGTTTTTTCAGTCCTTCTTTTGAGGCCACATGATCTATTATTTAGAGTGTTTTAAAGCATCACTCATGACCATAAATCAAGAGATGAGGCCTGGCACGGTGGCTCACGCCTGTAATCCCAGCACTTTGGGAGGCCGAGGTGGGTGGATCACCTGAGGTCAGGGGTTTGAGACCAGCCTGTCCAACATGGTGAAACATCATCTCTACTAAAAATACAAAAATTTGCCAGGCATGGTGGCGCATGCCTGTAATCCCAGCTACTTGGGAGGCTGAGGTGGGAGAATTGCTTGAATCCAGGAGACAGAGGTTGCAGCTGGCCGAGACTGTGCCATTGCACTCCAGCCTGAGCAACAGAGTGAGACTCCATCACAAAAGAAAACAAAAAAAAAAAAAAAAAGAGAGAGAGAGAGAGATGAAAAAATTACAGAGATCCTAAGACATCTCTCATCCACTTGGCTATCAATATCAACCTGAGTTGGTACTGCAGTCTGATAAAATTCCCAACTTGTTCTTTGATTAGTAGTGCTTCAGCCTTATCCCAATTTATTGACATTCCTATGCTGATAAACCTACTCTTACCCTTTTCCTTTCCCTGAGGGAATGTTTATTCTAGTCTTAAACTTGAGCCAGGCAGTCAGGCTCTGGGAGTGAGTGGAGAGTTCACTGTATAAAAGAATGTCAAAGGTAACCTTTAAGGAACGCTGTGCCACCTCCAGAGTCAGATTTATAGTGAAGTTAACGAAGCTTAGGCTTCAGACCCCTCCACTGCACAGTCCAGTATCCTACCCAATAAATTCTAGCAAAATGTTCAAGTCATATAGTCTTATAAGCTTTCTATTTATTTCTTTTCTTTTCTTTTCAAGACAGGGTCTCACTCTGTCACCCACACTGGAGTGCAGTGGCATAATCACCCTCACTGTAGCTTTGACTTCCTGGGCTCAAGTGATCCTCCTGTATAAGCCTCCTGGGTAGCTAGGAACACAGGCACCTGCCACCAGGCTCAGCTACTTTTAAAATTTTTTTGTAGAGATGGAGTCTCCTTATGTTGCTCAGGCTCATCTTCAACTCCTGGGCTCAAGCAATCCTCCAACCTCAGCCTCCAAAAATGCTAGGATTACAGGCATGAGCCACCAAGCCCCGCCTAATTTTCTAATATTTAGAAAGTAAGATAGTTTAACTATAATTAGTTAATACTGCTCCTTTTCTGCTACAAGTTTTCTATGGCACGCTTTCTTTCATATCTTTTAGACTTGAAGGCAACTGTGGACATTTTTAGAATGCAGCTAAGTAAGAGAACATGTAGTTTTATTTATGGGTTCATAGCTTTTTATGTACAGTCAGGTTATGGATGAGTGTCCTAGGGTAGGAATGGCTTCCACAGATGTGTCTACCACCCAATGTGCCAACTCATCTAGTGTCATAATTCAAAGGCGACCCAAAAGTGAAATGAGCATCACTGGAAGTCCCCAACTCTGGAAGAACAGGAATAGTGGATGGACTGCTCATTTCAAAGTCAGTTAAGCCTAATAACTTAGAGTCAAAAATATTTTAAGGCTTCAAAAATATATTTTTAAAGACTTGAAAAAATAACTCAAATAAAATCGAGCTTGAAAATATTCAAAAGCTTGAGAAAGCTCAAATATATCATTTTAATTACAATTTATAAACATGTTTTAAAATTTCAATAAAATAGCGAAAAATATAAAGCTCTTGATTAGGACGTTATGAAATTACCTTTATTGATATTTATAAAGCAAGTTATTAAAGAAGTGTGGTAGAATTTAGATTAAAGTAATAATACAATGTAAAACAAAAGTGATCAAAATAAAAAGTGAAATTGTGAACTTACGAATTACGTTGCATGAAGAAGAAAGTTGTAATAGCATCAAATATATATAAAAATATATATATAAATATATGGAACACACCAAAAGAAACAATCATTAGTACAAGAGAGAGAAATTTTTACAAGAAGTAATGAAGAAGCTCTTGGATTCAGAATAGTGAATCTAAGTAACAAAGAGGAATAAATAATGAATCAAATAATTACATTAAAAATTAATTTCATGTTGAAATGAAACAAAGTACTAACATTTATTAAAATAACAAAATGCAATACACCACCAAAATGAGACTATCAGAAGTAAACTGTTCAATGAATACTGTCAATTCAATGATGATTTTAAATTAATGTACAACAAAGCTTAAAATGTCATGAAATATTACAACTTACGTTACTAAAGGAAATCAATAGACATTCCCAAATTTGACAACAATCCTAAAAATGTATATAATATTACAAATAATGAATTATGAAGTAAAATAAAGCTTTCCTATTGACAATAAAAAATAAATGTTTATCAACTCTGTGATAAGCCTGAATTATTTTTCTATCTTCTATACTAAAAGTAGTGCAAAATCATTCAACTTTATGCAAGCAAGAACCAGGAAAACTATCACACAGATCTATAAGGCAGCTATTTTATTTTAGAATGTTACTCTTTTAATTTTTTCATATGTATATCATTTGTCAGTTTTCTAAAAACTGTAATTTCAAAATTGATCATTCCTAATCCTAACTATTCATTTTTACACTTAGTTTTATATTTTAAGCATGTATTTTTTTTTCATAAGAGAATCCTAAAACTGTGTAATCTCTGGACCCCATGAAACCTAAATTTGCTCTACAATAGAGGTATTAGATGATGTAAGTAAACTTCAAAGCCAATTCAAAAACAGGGACCTAATACTGTTTATGTTGTTTGCTTTGTTGTAGCTAATATGTCAGCTGTGAAAATAAGTAATTCAAAATTTAAGCTGCTGGAACTTTAAAATATTTTGAGCTTAAAGGGAATGTGAACTAAATCTCATAAGCAGACAGTTGTAAAGTCAGCAGGTGTAACCTTTGTTTCTCCGATTACAGATTAGCCTTTTCCTTACCTACATTGTCTTGTAAAATGTTGCAAATGACTAAAGGGTGCCAGGGAAGAAGACCTTTTTCCTTTTAAGTGTTGATTTTCATTATAGATTACCTTCCATCTTTCTTCTCTCACACATACTTCATGACTACCGCATTGTCTACGATGGAATGTTAAATATACTCTTAAATTGGAAAGGAAATAAAAATAACCTTTATGGATAAGAAAACGAACCATAATTTATTAAATTGTTGTGACTCCTAAACTAGCCTTGTACAAAAAATGTTATAATACTGTTAAATTGATTTATTTTCTGCCTATATAAGCAAGACCTTAACTTTTAACATCTGAGTACTGATCCCATTTCTCTGGAGTTCATATTTTCCGGATGGTCTTTCCCAGCTTTTTGCATGAATAAACTCTTCAAACCTGGATTCTGGTCCTTTCAATTATTTCAGGCTGACATAGCATTGAAAAATAGAGTACCACTGACCTAGAGTCAGCCTATGAGAAATTCTCTCTCTGTCTCTTTCTCTCTCTCTCTCTCTCTCTCACACACACACACAAACACATACATAAAAAATTTAAGACATTGTATTAACTTTATAGCTCCACATAACAAATTACCAAAAATTGAGTAGTTTAAAATAAGTATCTATTTATTATCTCACAGTTCTGTAGGTTGGACGTCTGGACACACTTGACTGGGTTCTCTGCTGAGAATCTCACAGGCTGAAATCCAAGTATAGCTGGCTGGGCTCTTATCTGGAAGTTCCAAGGACTAATCCACTTTCATGCTCATTCTGGTTGTTGGCAGAAGCCAATTCCTTGACATTGTAGGTCTGAGGTCACAATTGCATTGCTAGCTGTCAAACCGGGTGCTGCTCTCTGCAACCAGAGGCTGCCCTGCATTCCTTCTCACACAGAGCCTCCATCTTCAAACCTTCAAGTGCATCAAGTCCTTTGCAAAACCCTTAGTTCTGGGAATTGCCCACCCTTTTCCTGGAAAACTCATGAATAATTCACCTCTTGTTTAATGTGTAATCAAGAATCATAAAAATGGGCAACCAGCAGCTGTTGGGGCTGTTCTGCCCATGGAGTAGCCATTCTTTTATTCCTTTACTTTCATAATAAACTTGCTTCAAATCTTTCTGGCTTGTTCTTCTGCCACTGGTTGGAGAAAGCTTTATACTTTTAAGTTGTCGGAGGCATTTGAACTAGAACGACTCCATCTTGAATAGGGGCTGGGTAAAATAAGGCTGAGATCTGCTGGGCTGCATTCCCAGGAGGTTAGGCATTCTAAGTCACAGGATGAAATAGGAGGTCAGCACAAGATATACATCAAAACCCACCAAAAGCAAGATAGCAAGGAGAGTGACCTCTGGTCGTCCTCACTGCTCATTATACGCTAATTATAATGGATTAGCATGTTAAAAGACACTCCCATGACAGTTTACAAATGTCATGACAATGTCAGGAAGTTACCCTACATGGTCTAAAAAGGGGAGGAACACTCAGTTCTGGGAATTAACCACCCCTTTCCTGGAAAACTCATTAATAATCCACCCCTTGGATAACATGTAATCAAGAACCATAAAAAAGGGCAATCAGCAGCCCTCGGGGCTGCTCTGCCCATGGAGTAGCCATTCTTTTATTCCTTTACTTTCTTTTTTTATTATTATTACACTTTAAGTTCTGGGTTACATGTGCAGAACGTGCAGTTTTATTACATGGCTATACACGTGCCATGGTGGTTTGCTGCACCCATCAACCTGTCACCTACATTAGGTATTTGTCCTAATGCTCTCCCTCCCCTAGCCCCCAAACCCACGACAGGCCCGGTGAGAGATATTCCCCTCCCTGTGTCCATGTGTTCTCATTGTTCAACTCCCACTTATGAGGGAGAACACGTAGTGTTTGGTTTTCTGTTCCTGTGTTAGTTTGCTGAGAATGATGGTTTCCAGCTTCATCCATATCCCTGCAAAGGACATGAACTCATCCTTTTTTATGGCTGCATAGTATTCCATGGTGTATATGTGCCCATTTTCTTTATTCAGTCTATCACTGATGGACATTTGGGTTGGTTCCAAGTCTTTGCTATTGTGAATAGTGCTGCAATAAACATACGTGTGCGTGTGTCTTTATGGTAGAATGATTTATAATCTCTAAGGTATATACCCAGTAATGGGATTGCTGGGTCAAATGGTATTTCTAGTTCTAGATCCTTCAGGAATTGCCACACTGTCTTCCACAATGGTTGAACTAATGTACACTCCCACCAACACTTGCTTTCACTTTACTCTATGGACTTGCCTTGAATTCTTTCTTATGCGAGACCTAAGAACCCTTTATTGGGGTTTTGATCAGGATCTCTTCTTGGATAATAAAGGAATTATAGGACTAGATTTAATCACAAGATTAGATTAGACCCACTCACATAATTTTGCTATTTGAAGGTCAATCATTGGGGACCTATAATCATAGCAATGACATTTCACCATATTCTTAGGTTCTACCCACAATTATTTTGCAAGGGTGAGGGGTTATTGGGGGCCATTCTTAGAATTCTTAGAATTCTCACAGACTTTCTATCAGGATTACAAGATTTATATTGAATGGGTAGTCTAAACTAAGGAAAAGCAAAAAGTTGACTCTTCACAGGGAGTTTGAGCCCTAGTTCATATAAAGCAAAGAAAATAAATCAGAGATAGCAAGAGACCAAGACAGATAGATGTAATTCGAAGAGAGAGAAACAGAAACTAACTTGCCATGAACCGAAAGATTGTATATTCTTTTTCCTCTCTGATTCACTAATGTATGCTTTCTAGGAGAAGACATAACATATTCTAAAATGTTTGTTTTTCTTAAAAGGTATTTGCATTTCCTAATTGGCATATTATTTCATAATTATACTCATACTAAATCTGAATGTTTGAGCCATTCTTATGTCTTCCTTCCATGATAAGTTGTTTATGTTGTGGAATGTCTGAGTCTATAATTAAATTATTGTCTCTAACAAGTTAACCATATCCATGCATACATTAACATATCATTATAATGTGGGAAAACATAGATGTGTACCATAGAACATCAAGCTGAATGGGGCTCTGCAGATCTGGGTTGACGTTTCTGGTAACTGGTCTCCATTCTGGAGGTTTCAAGGGGCAGAACTAAAAACTCCAGAAGAAAGAGAAAATTTATTCTTATCTGAAATAAAGAGAAGGTATGATAATAGGAAATGTTATTTTACAAATATCTACTCCAATTTCTCTTCCTTTCTACCACGGAAAAAAATATTTCCTCATCACATTCATATTGCTGGGTTTGGCTTGGCTCTTGTGCTGTGGTGATCCACTGTGATCAAACCATGCCCCTGAGACTGGGCACTAGGACAAATGAATGTGGAGTAGAAATGCCAAAATCTGCTGTTCAACTGAGTCTCCCAGCAGAACCCAGTCTAGATCAGCTGAACCAAGTCACATACAGACCTGTGAATCTGAAGATAAATACTTGGAATTGCAAGCCCACTGTGTTTTGGGACAGTTTGTTACACAGCATTGATGCAGCCATAGCTGACTAATACAACAAAGAAAAGAAGGAAAAAATCTTCAGATACAGAATTATGTTTAAATTTAATTAAACTAAATATATACATATTTATGTCTGTACATTTATAGATTATATCTATATATATGACACATGCACTTTTTAAAAATAGCTCCTTTGGCAGAGTTTTGTGTTAATATTTTCATTAAAAGAGGCTCTTATATGATAATATTGCTCACAATGAAATGTAACAACTGTGTAGCTGGAAGCATTATCTCTCCTCTTTGGGCAACAGTCCCTGTAGTCTCTTGGTTATTCAGAATTTTAAAGGGACCATATTACCCTATAAACTTAAGCATATGCACAAAACTGCTTTTGGGGAAGGCTACGATTTCTAAACAATCTCAGATACATAAGGCCGAATGTCTGTTATCTGAAACGCTTGAGACTACAAGTGTTTTAGATTTCAGATTTTTTTTGGATTTTGGAATATTTGCATACGTATTTGCAGATAGAAGCTATTTTATAGCTTGGGGATGAGTTCCAAGCCTAAATCTAAAATTTGTTTATGTTTCATATATACCTTATACGTATAGCCTGAAGGTGACTTTATAAAATATTTTAATAATTTTGCGCCTGAAACAAAGTTTGTGTACACTGAACCATCAGAAAGCAAAGGTGTCCCAATCTCAACCACCCATGTGGACAATCTGTGGTTGTTTGGCATCATTATCATTCCTGACTCTGAATTTATATGCTATTAATAAGCATTTATTTTCTTACATTTATTCACACATAAGTACTTAACAGTAAAATATATGGCATATTGTTAATGCAGTGAAAACATAATATGTTCAGGGTAACCAAGGAGCACAGCAGTGTCACCAGAATACCTGTTATCTGTTTAAAAACACCAGCAATCAAAAATGGCAAGTCTTCACTTATTCAAAAATGTTTATATTCTGCAGCATTTCGGATCTTAAGTTTTCAGATTATGGATATTCAACTTGTAGTACATTTAATTTTGTGATTTCTTTTGTTAAATAAAAAGAAAAATCCTTGCAGATTATATGAAGGTCAGAACTGTCTCTTTGCATCAATAAAACATCAAAAGAAAAAGAGGACCACTGGGATGGGAAGAACACTTCCAATGCACTACTGAAAACAATGTAAATGGTTGGGAAAGTTGGCCACAAAGTCTTCTATTTCAATAGTTGTAATAACACATCACTGTTGCATATAAAATGTATCTGCAAATATGTCTATAATGACTGCTGATCATAAGATTTCTTGTTCTATTCACTCTGAAGTCTAAAAAAAAAAAGCAAACTATCTACATAATCCAATTGAATACTCATTACATAAAGTGCTAATAATGTATACCTTCTCATATACAAAAAAAAAATGGATGGTTTAAAATTGCTTAGATCACAAGAGCCAATTACTTGGGCAGAATGGGGAAGGTGATATGAATGCATAAATCTTACATATATGCCTTACCATGGAGGGATAGCTTATATGCATGTGGTTGAAATGAGGAAACCCTCTCTCACCTATAAATTATAATTTAAGCATTCTGTAAAAATTTAAATTCATACTTAAGATTCAAATTATTTTTTCCATACAGAGCAGGGTTTCTCAATTGCCACACTACTGATATTTGGGACTGGGTAATTCTTCACTGTGGGGAATGACATACTCATGATAAGATGCTTAGAAGAATCTCTGGCCTCCACCTACTAGATGCTAGAAGCAGTCCCCTAGTCTGGAGTTGGGACTATCAAAAATGGAGACCAGGCCAAATGTCCCCTGGGGCCAAAAGCACTCCTAGTTGAGAAGCAATGGTCTCTAGAAATACCATGCAGTACATTCCTTCTTCCAATAATAGATGCTAATCACAAGCACACAAGATAGCCACAATTATATGATGTTTACTACTTGCCAGACACATAGTAGCTCATTTTAATTTTCACAAAAGTCAAATGACCTATATACCATAACTACCTGATACAATTTGGATGCTTGTCCCCTCCAAATCTCATGTTGAAATGTGATCCCCCATGGTGAATGTGGGGCCTGGTGGGAGGGGTTTTGGTCATGGGGTGGATCCCTCACGAATGGCTCAATAACCTCCCCATAGTAATGAGTGAATTCTCACTCTATTACTTACTGTGACATCTGGTTGTTTAAAAGAGCCTGACATTTCTCTTGCTCCCTCTCTCATCATATGACATGCCTGCTCCCCCTTTGCTTTAAATAAAAGCTTCCTTAGGCCTCACTAGAAGCCAAGCAGATGCTGGTACCATGTCTCCCATACAGCCTGCAGAACTGTGACCCAACTAAACATTTTTATTTTTTAAAATAAATTACCCAGCCCCAGCAATTCCTTTATAACAATCCAAAATGGGCTAATACACTACTTCTATGTTACTAATGATGAGACTGAGTCATAGAGAAGTGACTTGTTCAGACAGTAAAGGGAGCCTGGATTTGAAAAAGGGCAGTGGGGCATAGAAGGATAAAGTCCTAAATGAGATTAACTTTGGGACAATTGGATTCCAGAGAGACTGGATACATGGGTAGTATATCCTATAGAACCCTCTGCTCACATGTTAAATCTGGGAGCTGAGCTAGATTTCAGAAGTCCCTTCCACTACTAACAATCTGTAAGTCTGTAAATTGTAGACAAATCTATTTGGTTAGATTTATTCCAATAAAAGCAAGCTGACCACATGTCAGATAAGGTCCAGCTACAGCATAATGGCATGATGGCAGCCTTCCATCTTCACTGATTTAAATTCGTGCTGTTTTAGTGCATATAACCCCCTTAGATTTGTCTGCTATGAGAAAATTCTGCAAGGAAGAGAAGGCTGCTTACAAAACAGTCTTTCAAATTTCTCCATGGATCTCATTGGCAGGTCTTCAAGGTCAGGACCAATCACAGACATGGCTGGAGAATGCCCATAAACTCTTCCTCCTCTAATAGCCAATGGGAGAAAGGGATTAACTGCTGGTCAGATGACTGTGACTATTAACATTGGAAGCAATTCTGTGCTTGAAAACTTGATCAGTCAAAGAGGGTAAACTACATTAATAATGGGCACTGGAAGGAGGGAGCTCTTTTTCACCGAAGTCCCCATGGTCACAACAAATTAGATTAGAGTGCCTGAGAATATGCTAAATTCATAGCCTCATCGAAAATTTCTCTTTAGTACTTTATCTGTCGCTAGTCTCTCTTCTCTTGCAATGGGTCATTTCAGCTGCTGCTAAAACCAGCTTTCTATTACAGTTTCTCCTCATGTCATACAATTCCTTAAAGGCTGATAGCATCATCGGTCCCTGATTCTTGTCCATTTAACCTCCCTACCCATAGATACAATCCAAGACTGGTACTCATAAATTCCAAAGGAAAAATAAAGCTGCATATTGCTACCTCTATGACAGGTTACTTTTGGGGAATAGAAGATTCCAGGACAGCTATTTCCTGTGTTTATTGATTATGAATCTTGAAGAAAGAAATTTTGTGTGAGCATAACATATACATAAATTTTAAAATTTCAAAAAAACCACAGTTCTCAATCTTTTGAATCTGCCAAAGCCAGCATGACACAGTGCCATGCCTAATTTCAGAGAGTACCTCCTCTCTCCCCTTCCGTAGTCAGTTGTATTATCATCCTTTAAAACGCTTTAGAGGGTCACTTACGGTCACTCATGGCATATTCAGATAGTTTGTAATCCAATTACATTCTTGAAGATTTAAAGAACCAGAAACAAACAAAAACATGCAAACATGAGCTACAGTTTTTATTGTATGTGTCTATATATAAGAGAGAAAAATGGAGATAGACGTAGATATATGTGAATAAATTGCTGCATATAAAAACATTAGTTAATATAAAAAACAGAAAATAAATATCTTTTTACTTCTTTATTTTAAATGCTAAAAACTTCCTTATAAGGGCATCATTATATTTGGAAAACATATAAACCCATTTAGATTATTCAAAAGGAATACAGTGATACAAATAATAAAACTGACAAGATATCTAATTGGAATTCTTTTGGTTCTTTCAGTTTACAGTGATAAATTTTACCACACTGAATAACTGTAATTTCTACCTGTGCCAAATCTATAGCCAGTCTCATATCTTCTTGCCACTACAATACTAGAAACTTTCCCTGATGAATTATTAAATGATCTTTGAAGTTGCTACAGTTCATAGAAATGTGACAGTCCAATGTGTCTTAGTGCTGTGAACTGTTACCAAAAAGACTAAACATCCTTGACAGCCTGATAAAAAATTAATTATTCTCCTTCCAATGGAAAGAATGCAACTCTGCCAAAACCTGTTAAATGTGGAGCTTTTAGAGTTCTCAATTTCTTCTCTCTTGGAGAGGGCACATTATAATTTTTCATGAGGATTAAATAGCACATGTGAAATATCTAACCTTGCCTAGTATCCACTGGATCTTTAGACCTTAGTTCCTTTTCCTACCTTAGAATTTTTGTTCCCCTAACCGCACTATACTAAATGCCAATGCATATTAGAATAGAGGTGGCAGTGCAAAATAGAAGAATAAAAGAAATATTGTATTATTGCGAGAAAGGATACCAGTGAAGAGATGTTTACTTCAGATACAGTAAAATATTCAAATACTCCAAGCAAGTTTTTCCCCAGTGAGCCTCTGTTTCTGCCTATGTAGACATCATTCGACCTGTCCAGTTATATCTAGGTTATTGTGAAGATTGAAAAAACAAGGGAGAGCTTTTTTTAAAAAAAAAAAAAACAAAAAACAACAACAAAAAAAAACCTTTGTGTTACAATATATAGATCTTATTTTCAACAGCGATTAGGTAATGGAATTAGTGCAGTAAAGTTTTATTAATGAATGCTGTAATTAGAAAATGTTAATTCAATATTTGCTTCCCCAGGTTACATTCATTTGGAAAAAAATGCATTAATCTTACCATTTAGTGATAACTCTTTCAGTTCAACCTACAGACACAAGATCTTGAAATGAAACTGTTGATTAATTTATTTACTCAGTAAAGATGCTACTGGATACAATAGAAATACAAGTCATAAATGTTTTGCAAACAATGATAGTAATGAAAGATATTAGTCTTTTTCCTTAGAAATTAACTTAGTGGATTGAGACAGTTTACCAGTCTTGCCTTACAAGAACTATTTTAAGCACCTAAAAAGTAATCATCCCAAGAGAAAATATAGAGTGCAAAGAGCACTTTGCTATTTCCTCCTGTTATTACAAAGCATAATAAATCCCTACTCTGGACTATTTCTTGCCTGTATCCTGATTAGATATACCCATAAAGTTTGAAAATGTCTGCAACTGAGAATACTTTTATTTATAAAGCGGGATAGAGGTTGAGGAGGATGTAGAGAACAGATTGTTATCTGTACTTGTCACAGCAAAGCATATTTTTTTAATACTTAGTTTTTTAGGCTTCTGTTGGCAGATTGACCTTTCTTGAGAGTAGCTTATCTTGCTGTAGAGCAATATTCCCAGACCTCCTGGGGTTCACAAAGTTAAGAAGAAGGAGCATCAGGAAATAAAGAAGACAAGAAAGCAAAACAGAAAAGTAAAATAAAATTTCTGCTGAGTTAAAGTAGGGTGTAAAAGAGCCATGGAAATTCCAAAGGTTGTTTTAGAACCTCCTATTTCACATCCTACTCAGCTGTCCAGAAGAGAAAGCAGCAAAAACACTCAGACTCTTGGGGAAACAAGCATTAGGTGGTGGCCAGTGGGGGTTGAGGGGGGAGTCTCTCTTAAAAGGGTGAAGAAAGCACAGATGAAAAGGGCCAGGCAATGCAGACTAGTTGTAAAAGCCTAGAAAATAACATCTGAAAGCTTAAAGGGGGGGGTCATAAAAGAGTTGGAATAACAAGTTGTGAGCACAGATCAGTGTAGTCTGAGAGTTGTTTATTGCAGAAAGATCAGAAACGTTCAAGTGAACCATAGCAAACTTCAAACTGCCATTCACTTCTCTCACTAGGTTTGTGTTAATCTCCGTTCCGTAAATTGAAATCAATGACAGCAGCCTGGCAGAGGCGTTGAGAGAATTGAATGTGATAATATGTATAAAAATACCGGCTGTAATAATTGCATATCTTACACTCCCGATGGAGGTCCACTTCTTTTTTCTACTACTAATGCCAATGCTAGAGGCATAGATAAATAAGAAGCATGGAGACTGAGATGGGCCTCACCTGTCTGGAAGCCTTTTAAGACGCACTTTTCTGGAAGCCTTTTAAAATGCACTTGTCCTACCTGAGATTCTCCATTCTGCTTGGTGAGGCACCCTGATGAGGCATTTCACATGTGATCACAGGAGATGTCACCAGGATTATTCTGAGTTTTAATTTAGTCGGTTGTAAATGGGGTCATGATAATTCATCATCTTATGTGGTTGTTAGCATAGTTAAAGGATAAAATGAAACAAAGTTCTTTGTGTGTAAATATTAGCTATTGTTATTATTACCCCCATTGTTAGCATAAATCAAGAGAGTGTCTGTTCTCCACCTTTCCCTTCTTTAATGGAGACACTGGTCACTAGATTTAGGACTTACCCCAAAATGATTTTGTCCTGAAATCCTTACCTTAATTATACCTAAAAAGTTCATTTTTCCAAATCACCTTCACAGGTTTTCTCAGGCTTAAGAGAGTGACATATCTTTCAGTGGGGAAGGGGCACAATTCAACCCACTATGGGGAGTTAGAAGTTAAGCATGTAAATGGACATACATTATTATGTAATGCCAAGTAGTGATAAATGCTCTAAAGTAAAAATAAAGCCATATAAGGGGATAAGGGTGAGTGGAGGATGCTCTTTGGAGACAGCAGTCAGTAAAGGCCTCCTGAAGAGGTGACATCTGAGCTAAGATGTGACTGAGAGAGTGAGACATGCAATATGGGGGACATGTGTTAGAGGCAGAAGGAGCAGCAAATGCAGAGAGCTGAGCCAGGAAAGTCAAGAAAAATCAGAGTGGCTGGTGGCACAGCAAGTGAGCAGGCCAGCAGCAGGGAAAGAGAGCAGGGGGCTGTGCTTGTCACAAGAGGATTTTGCATTTTATTCTAGGTTTGATGGGGAGCCAAGACTGGGCTAAGAACAGCAGAGTCATATTCAATTTCTAAGGCAGACATTCTATTTTAAACCAAACTCCAGACGTGGAGCTAAAGATTTAAGTGGTATTATAATATCCTCGAATAATTGCTCTGATAATGAGAAAACACCAAGAGCAATTCTTTGCCAATATTAGAACTAAATTCAGTTTGTCCTACCATGTCTTTTCATTATCTTGTGCTTCACTGAACATGTCACGAGTTTGCAGAAACAATTCCTTCTGCCTGCATGCCCTTCCCCAGTGTGCCCCCTCACTCTGCTGTGGCTTGTCCCTGGTTTGTGTCACGTCCCCCAGATAAGGTCACTCACACTTCCTCCATGCTCCAAGGCGCTTATTGCCCTGGGTGCCTACTTTCTCCTATCATTACCATCTGTTTACAAGCCTTCCTCCTTTTCTGACTGTACAGTTCTTTATGGTCACATGTAAATCTTATTAATCTTCATATTACCAGAAACTAGCACACTGCACACTAGGTACTGAATAAATGTTAAATGAATGAGTGAATCTTGGTCCTATTCAATTTTATTTTGCCTGGGTTTATATATTCTCCATCCCACTATTTAAATAAACATAGACTTTTTTCTTCTGTTATTTAATGAATAGCCTATAGAAAGGCATTACATTAGCATCAGGACACAATGACCATCTAAACATTTTTTAACAGTTCACTAGAACTGTACACAGTTATTAGCCTGTTCTTTGCTTGCAAATGCCTCAAGAAGCGAAATAGTGGTACGTCCTTTCCCCTGTGTTAAATTTGAGATCACAGAGGCAGGGCAAGCTGCATTAACCTGTCTGAGGTCACCCTCCAAGTCACTGCAATGGAGAAGCCAAATCATCAATGCAGAGAGCTGCTTTCTTCCGTAACTGTGATGTACTGAGTTCACTGAGCCATGCTGTATTTGTCATGCACATGAGTTCTGAAAATCAATAAAATCTGTGAACCATCCCACAAAAATAAAATGCAGTGAAAAGAGTCTGCTTTGCTCCCTTCAATTACTCCAGCATGAATGGACCCAACAGCTGTGGTCTTCAGTGGGACTTCCAGGGCAATAAAGTTTTTAGAAATATTGATTTTCTTGATTTATCAAATTTTCTTGTTTGAGCTTTGCCTAATAAAACATCAAAGTTGAGCATGTGAAGCTGCATTAAAGCATGATCTTCCTGGCAAGAAGAATATGGAATAAAATTGGTTGCATCTTTGGATATGAAATAGAAAAAAAATACCTGAATCATTTTCAACAAAACATATGCTCAAATACTGGTGGAGATAAAAACCAGTTCAGGTAGATTTCTTTGTCATGCTTGAAAAATACTTTTCTTCAAATACATATTAAATATATTACTATCTAGAGCATCTAAAGTGAGAGTCTCTTGTCACACATCTAGACAAAATTAGGATTCCTGTGACTCATGTCCCCAGTCATTCTACATTGGTTGTCAGAGTTCATATCTCAACTCCAGATTCAGGTCCAGTTTGCTGGTCCATCAGAGGCTGGAAGCATGCTGTGCCAGCTGTGTCTGTAGACACAGCTGTGCGCTGTGAAAAATGCACACTCGGTTAACCCTGGAATGATTTTAGATCCTAAATATTGCAAAGGAAAGAGTATCTTTTGGTTTTTTGTGCCTCAATATCCTATTGACATGAATGAATTTTGCTTGATAAATTTGTAAAGCCAACAGCCTTTCGACAAAAGGGGTGAGAAACATATGTGTGTTTTGTAATTGAGTAAAAATGGATTTTGAGAATACTATGGAATATTCATAGATTATTGGCTTTCGAGTTGGAAGAGCAATTTAGGGATAATTATAACAATCATGATAATTGGTGACCATTTTTAAATATGGTTCTGCCATTGTATGATGTGTTTTATCAACAAATATATTAGGTACATGATTCAGTTAACACTACATCCAATTTAAAGAAGAGGACAATCCATTCTAGAGGAGTTAAATGACTTGCCCCATTCCCACAGTTGATTACTTTTCAGAGATGAACAACAAAGTCAATGCTTCTATCTTCTTGGTTTACAAAGGAATTGCAAACCAAATTTATGAGAGTGATTAGCCTTCTCAAGGATGACATGGGACTTTGTCTTTTAACCAGATGATTGCAGAAGTGATTGGCCATTATTGCTTCCTCAAACTTCTAGTTACCTTGAAATAACTCTATAGGACAATTTATTGCTAAGAATCTTCTATGGAATACTACTTCAAAAATACATCAGAGGCCAGGCATTGTGGCTCATGCCTGAAATCCCAGCACTTTGGGAAGCTGAGGCAGGCAGATCACCTGAGGTCAGGAGTTCCAGACCTGCCTGGCCAACATGGTGAAACCCCATCTTTACTAAAAATTCTAAAATTAGCCAAGCATAGTGGCAGGTGCCTGTAATCCCAGCTACTCAGGAGGCTGAGGCAGGAAAATCACTTGAACCCGGGAGATAGAGGCTGTAGTGAGCTGAGATTACGCCACTGCACTCCAGCCTGATCAACAAAGCAAGACTCCATCTCAGAAAAAAAAAAAAAAAAAAAAACCAGAAAACAAAAATGCATCAGTAGACGTTACTTAAAGCTATATAAAAATGTTGTTAAAGAAAATGCTGAGTTAAACTAAACATATTACTTTACTGTAGGACTTATCACTACCATGTTTAATATAAATATATGCATTGCATATCTTCCAGTAGTGGGTACCATGTGGAGCACTTACTAAATGTGTTTCGTCATGTGACTGTTTTATCTGTTTTCTCTTAAATAAATATTGAGTGCTTTGCAACACAAAGTTTAGTGCTCTACGGAGATGAACTTTCCTAGAGTTAATATTCATCGCTAGTAGACTATACTGTGACAAAAATAATGTAATTACTTTGACTATTTTCCACCGTGGATATTACCGGAATCACATTATTTCACAGTCATTATTAAAATGGCCAGAAAGATTAGAAAAGTAAAATACAATATTGGAAAAAAATAGAAAACTGAAAATTGCCACCATATCTACTTAGTCTTTGACATGGCTATGTAAAAAACATTGGTCCTGTATATGGATGAACCTCATGACTTCTGTAATATTTTAGTGGTGATTTTATGAAAACATTGTCCTTTTCTAAAGTCCCTGAAAATCAGTTTTGTATCTTCAAATTAGAAAGCTGGAGAGAGCAATGCGTCATGGGGTTATGGAAGAGAGAGTAGGAATCTGGTCCCAAGTGAATTCAAATACACCACTTGGGTCCCATTCATCTACTCTCTGGCCCATGGTACCAACCTGGTCCTTCCATGAAGGTGCCTTTTGGAGACAGCAGAATATCCTAGGCATTTGCTTCAATTTTCCAATTTTAGACCCAAAGTCAAATGTTTCCCAAATGATTTAAATTGATACACATAGGCCACTGGCACTGGGATTTCCATTTCCTTCCTGGGCTTTGTAACTATAGAAAAACAACTTACGAAGGAAGATGTGGGGATTCTTCTACCACAGGTAGTCAGGTAGACCTGTCCCCAGAGATGAAGAAATGTACATGGGATATACGAATGAAGGGTGATGGGAAGGGAAATTGAGGTTAATGCTGAGGTTTCTGGCTGAGAGTCTGAATACAGTCTACTGTGAGCAAAAGTGGTTATGGTGCTTTTTGATTTTTAAAAGTTAGCTGAGAGGTGTGCCGTGGCCAGCAGTGTTGGTAGCCAGAAACTTCCCGTAAACCAGAGAGCACACTGCATCCAAGGGCTGTGCTACAAATCAGCTTTGGTATGAATTTAGGACATTTGCAAGTATTATGCCTGTTACCTTAAATGGGATTTAGGACCTGGTGCAGTGGCTCACGCCTGTAATCCCAGCACTTTGGGAGGCCAAGGTAGGTGGATCACTTGAGGCCAGGAGTTCGAGACCAGCCTGGCCAACATGGTGAAACCCTGTCTCTACTAAAAATACAAAAATCAGCCAGGTGTGGTGGCGTATGCCTATAATCCCAGCTACTCAGGAGGCTTAGGCAGGATAATTGCTTGAACCTGGGAGGCAGAGGTTACAGTGAGCTGAGCTCACGCCACTACACTTCAGCCTGGGCGGCAGAGTGAGATTCTGTCTCAAAAATAAATAAATAAATAAATATATAAATAAAACAAAATAAATGAGATTCAGTCTGTGCTTTTTCAGGATTTAAATTTGCCAAAAGAAATTGAAATTATACATTGCTAGTCTCATTAGAGAGTTCTGTCATATTAGGTGACACTAACAAGAAAAAAAATCCATGTCCAAAGGCTAAGGCTATCAGGAGCATCTAGTTACAATGATCAAAGTGATGATTAAAGAAAAATAACTATTTCTTGCCTGTTTAAAGCCATGCCATTACAACAGACTAATTGAAATGTGAAGCAAAGATTATGTAGATTTTGCTTGCTGGATGTTGTAATGTTAAGACTTTATTGATCAAAAAGAGGCAAGTAGCTTTTGAACTGTATTAGCAGTTCTTCTACTGGTTGGAAATTTATTTTCTGATAGTGTAAGTTACCAGAGCTTCATCATGCTGTGAAGTGTATTTCAAGTCAAAAAAATTAAATTGAACCCATAATGCATAAGGGTCTTTGTGCCTTGTAACCTAGTGAATAAGAACATAGGCTTTGGAATCAGAACCACCTTAATTTACATATAAACTTAGCCATTGTTTTGAAAAAGACAATCAAGTTTTCTAAGCCTCAGTTTTTTCAACTGTAAAAGTGGGATATTAACAGCCACCTGAATAAGTCTATTTATGACCAAATGGAATGAATACCAGGCCCTAGACCAGTAAGTACCACATAATCATCAGCAAATAAATTGGGGAAATAATTATAATAATAATTATCACCTCTCTGTCGGGCTAGAGTGGAACTTGAGGTTCATTTAATCCAAGTCTTACAATTTGAATGAGGACACTGAGTCACAAAGTGGAAACAGTTTCAAAGTGCTTTTATTCATTCGATGATATATTGTAGACCCCCCATTTGTCAAGCTCTGTGGTAGGTACTGGCAAATGAAAGTATAAGCATTCACCATATATGCATTCACCATGTATGTATTCATACCCAGACCCATTCAAGGACTAATTGATGGCATCTGTCCCTTAAGGAGTTCGGAGTATACAGAAGGACACACATGGTGAATTTTGTGCTATAACAGAGGGCTCAACAGGTTGCTGATGGAAGAACAGAAGACACCATGACTCTGCCAGGAAAGCCACTTCAGAGAAAAGGTGGTAACTTATGGGGTCTTGAAGGAAGAAAATGATTAATGTCAACCATACAGACCTTCTAGACTATGCAGAGAAAGTATCAACCATATTTTACTAATGAGAAAACCAAGAATTTGAAAAAATGTATTATTAGTCGATGGTTCCATGATATTTTAGGGGCAGAAATGGAACTAAAACTCAGGGCTTATCATCTGTATCTCTTACTACTTCTATTCTTTCTCCCATTCTCTCACATGAATAATATCTAAGTTTGCAGAAAGAAATTAGTTCAGCAGTTTAATTACACTGTGGATAACTTTTAATTTATTCATTTCTCATGGAATTATTTCCTCTTGCTTGATTTATGCCCTTACTTGATCTATTTCATTTTACTTTGATTTTCCCCTTTGTAATCAGATGATGCATCTTTGATAATATTTCATTCTCTTTCTGTATATAGCCATTTGTTTTTCTCCCCCTGGAGAACTAATTCATATATATTCTAAAAATAAGCAAATAGTGTAAATGCAAATGGGCTTCAAATGATACTTTACAAGCGCCTAAATTGAACTTTGTTTCACTTGTATCCTGATGCAAAATGTTCCTAACTTTAAGATCATCTCCCATAGGGCCATTCCAATTGTAAAATGAACTCTGCATCTGATTTTCAGATTATTGGATCTACATATTTACCATAACTCTGATTAAAGGCCTTTGAAGCAAATGGACCATAGCTGTTTTTGCAATTGAGCCTTATTAAAATTTAAAGTGTATCCGTAAACATGTAAGTGCCTATTATAGATCAAAGTTCAGAAAATTAAATATTCACAAATACAGCTCATTTTACAAAAACTACAGACTTGAAATTATCTAAGCCAAATAATCTTAGCACTTACCACAAAATAGCCTTAGTTATTTCAGCAGCAAGATTTTATTTATGTTAAGCAACTTTTTGTGACTTGAGCAAAGGTTTTATTTTACCTGGAAAACTCAGCATATATAGCTCTTACTCATGGAACACTGTTGTAATATTAAGATATAAAAATGATAAAGTACCACCTCACATTATATCATTTAATGCATCAGCAATGAAACCATTTGGGGTTTATTTATTTTGCTGATTGACTTGATTCCCTTCCTTTGGAGAGGTTAATAAAGTTGGGCATATTTCATGATTATTCAAATAAGATAGCAAACTTTAATTTCTGTAACCCTCTAGGAGGGTTCAGCCAACAAGTACAATACTGTGTGCTGTTTTAGGATGTTTAGATTGGTGCCTCCACAAATGAAAAATGAGGCCTTGTATTTGTTGATAGCAAGTAGATTGTACTGCAGAATTAAAAGGAAAGAAATCAATGCTGCCAAAATAAAACAATACAATTAGAACCACATTTTGACTTGTCTCAGAAACATTTTTTGGTATTAAAGTTATTGGGCTATTAAATTGCGTGGGGAAAAATAATAGAGCTCATTACATGGAGTGTTCTGCTTTGCCACAGCTGGAGTCTGGATTGCACACTTTAATATTACTTACATGTACTGGAGCAAGCTGAAGAAATACAGATTATTAAGAAATAACCTTTTCCATTAGGGGAGCTTCAAAGTCCTCAGGACCTTTTGGGGGTATTAGTGGGAATATAAAGAAGAATGAAGTATCTTTTTGCCACGCATTTTCCAATGTGAACAATAAAATCTATTAAAAAGTTTGTTTCTGTTTCAATATATTTCCCTGATAGAAAGAAAAGAAAGAGGGAGTTTAAGGGAGAACCGATTAAAGACTAAAAATAGAAGGGATGGAACTACAATTTCCTTAGATAGCATTGAGACAGACAACTCTGTTTGATCATTTAAGGCCAAAGATTAAATGGTAACTCAGAAATTTTTAATTATTTCCCTCAACAATAATTTCAGAAACAACTCATAGGACTTGTCTTTTTACTTGTGGCCATTTAAATGATGGTGGGCAGCAGCAGTTCTATTGTTTTTCCTTATTTTGGGGAGTGGACCGGTTTTATGCATACTGTCTTCCACTAAAAAAATCAGACAAAAAAGTTAAAAAAAGCTGTTAAGGCAATTAAATTACTTACCATCTTTACTAAGGAAAGAATGATAGATGCATGGTAATTGAGGATTTACCTAGTTGCTAGGGATGGCAGTAAGAGTTTCACATACATTACATCCTTTAATCGTTCATAAATCACTTATTTTTTGGATAACAGAACCTATCCTTGCTTTTTGGAAAATCACATTGCCTTCCACATTGTTCATTTATGAGAAGGACCCTGTGCCCTGGCTCAAAAGGTAAACGTATGACCCAGATCTGGTTAATGAAAACACTGTGGCAATAAGGACAGACAATTAGGATGTGATTATAGCTTGGTCAGGGTATAGAATTCTGGGACTTTTCCTGAAACTATCCAATTTTGAGAAAAATCCTCTGGTCATCTACTGTGGATCTACAAGTAGCAAAATCTTTCTCTTCCTTTCTGTCTCTCCATTTGCCTTCTTCTGCCCTTTTTAGACATTCTAGTAACTAGCTCACTCACCATGAAAACAACTATGAAAGAGTCATTTTTGAATACAAAACAAATAAACCAAAGGTTTAATTTAAAAAAAAAATTGCTGAACCCTGGGATACATAAGACTGCCAAAATACTTATTAAAACATATAAGCAATTCTAAAGGAGTCAGAATGAATGCTTAGAGTTTAAGTGACTATCATCAACATTTAATTTACCGAGGTGGATGTGCCATTGACCACTGATATTAAAGAGCCATTACCAAGAATGCACATATGAGCACATTACATCTAAATGGTCCCTTCACCTCTTTCTGGATAGCTTGTGGGAATCACTTTTAACTATGCTAATTGTTTATGCCGAGTAAACATTCATGCTTAAATGCCTCCAACAAAATAACATGTAACATTTGGGAATTTCGTGGTAACTTGATGACTTTTATTATCAGAACCAAATAAAGAACACATGTTTATTGCATATTAAATAGAAATGAGGAAAATTTCTTAACCAAAACAAAAACTTTTTTTAAAAACTGTAGTAAACTGCATATTTTCTAGAAGGCCAACAACAAAAGCAAACCTCTCTTTAATAAGTATTTTATGTTATAAAATTGGAAAATTTGTCCACACGCAGGGATTTAAAATTGAGTTATCAAATTCCAGATTTTAAACTAAATATGAAAAAGTGTTGTGACCTAAAAATTATTTCAAGCTTAAGATACCAAAGTGAACAAAAATACTTTCACATTTATATTCCACCTCTCAACACTCGCGTAAATACACAGAACCCAAAATATCTTTTGCAATTATCTTAATTACTGTTACCTTTGATTTATCTTACAAGGGTAATGCATTTAAAATTGTAATTTCTCATTAATGTCAGTTAGGTTTTAAAGGATTTTAAAAACATTACTTCTCTGTTGGTTGGTCTGATGTTTTAAATATGTTTGATTCAAATAATACAGATGTTATAACTAAAGGATCAGTTTCCATAGGGCCATAATTTTGCAATGCTAATAACTACTAGATTTTTTTTAAAGATAGGTATTTCCCACAAGCACATTTGTATATATTGGCAGAAGGAATGGATATGTTAAAAAATGATTCAAACACAAATGGTTTCCTTCAACTTAATGTTTTAAACTTTCTGTGTGTTTGAAGCATTTCTCCAAAAACATGATGATGGAACATGCATTGGAAGAAGAATCAGAAAAGTCAAATTTTTACATAAAGTCTGTTAACTCCTTTGCTGTGTGAATATTGACACATTGCTTAACATTGCTTAATCTTTCTGTGTGTTACTATATTCAAATTGGGAATTGCATTACTTGCATTACATATCTTTCCACAATTTATATGAAAATCAAATGGGATAACAGATATGATAGGCAACGAAAATTCCAAAATGCTAAATTAATGAATGGGTGCTCTGTTCATCACTTACCAATCTAATATTTAATGAGCTACTACTCAATATATAGATAATTTAGAAAAAGTACTCAAATATGACAGTAGGAGAGACACATAAAATATGTTAAGTCCTATAAGAAAGGTTTAGTTCAAATGCTAAGAGAATTCAGAGACAGGGAAAGATAATTTTGACTGAGAGAGAGGACTAGGAGGGAAAGTAGAAGTGACGCTATTTGAACTGGGTCTTGGGAAACACTAGGACCTGGATCTCAGATGAGAAAACATGTTTTAAGTAGGGGAGGAGATAATGGATTTGAAGGTTTAGGGTTATCTATTGCCTGTTTTGAGTGCATGATATAATGCATTTCACTTCTTCAGTTAACTAAAAGAATCACGTAAATTGTTTAAAAGGAGTAGAAGATCTTGAATAATCATATACCTTTTTACTAAGCAATTAATATATCTAAGACATTGTTTTTATCTACTATCTCAGTGTTGTGATATGAGTATTATTGCTATTATATCCATTGATAGATTAGAAAATTGAAATTACAACAAAAATTACTTGACTCCAAAACCACGGATCTCCCCTACATCCTGCTCTATTATTCTCTTGTAAAATAGATTGTGGTTCTTTTTATTTCTGTAACTTAAAACATTTTTCCATTGATGTCATTCTTTCAACTACACGTTGAGTGCAAAGATGAGGTGCTTGCTCTCAAATGGGAAGTAGGAAGTTGAACAGAGTTGTCCTTCTTCCATGGATTTAATGAGGAATTAAGATTCAGAAATGAGCTCTCATGTGCACCTATCCAGCCCTCCAACACCCACTCCTCAATGGACTAAATATTTAACCTAGGTGGAAAAGAACTCACACATTGGAGGAGGACTAACATGTGACTTCCTTTGCACATGACCCAGGATCATAAGTGGGGGACCTTCTATTTGCTCTTTACATTCAGTCTTCTGCTCATTGTCACATATGCCCATGATCTTAAAAGCAAGCCACTAGAGTGTGTTTCTAAGAGCATAGCTATAATTCAGATAAATGTGGAGAAAATTTGTAATTCCGTGTCTTAGTCTGTTTAGTGTTACTATGAAGAGATACCTGAGGCTGGGTAATGTATAAAGAAAAGTTAATTTGGCTCACCCTCCCACAGGCTGTAAAAGAAGCACAGCACCAGCATCTGCTTATGGTGAGGGCTTCAGGATGCTTCCACTCATGGTGGAAGGGAAAAAGGAGCTAGTGTGTGCAGAGGTGACGCAGTGAGAGAGGAAGCAAGAGAGAGAGTGGAGATGCCAGGTTCTGTTTTAACAAATAGCTCTTAAGGGAACTAGCAGAGGGAGAACTCCCTCATTACCACAAGGACAACACCAAGCTTTTCAGGAGGGATCTAACCCCCTTGAGTCAAACATCTCCCCCAATTAGGCCACACTTCTAACAGTGAGGATCAAATTTCAACATGAGGTTTGGGTTGGGGGCTAATATGCAAACCATAGCTTTCCCTTACTAGCAGAGTGACCCAAGGCAAGTTGCATACAATGGAGATAAAAATCCTGTGTTAATCAGCTTGGGCTACCATAACAAAATACCATAGACCTGTTGGATCAAACAGCAGACATTGGTTTCTCACAGTTTCAGAGGCTGAGTAGTCTAAGACCAAGGGGCTGGCTAATGCCATTCTGCGTCAGGGCCCTCTTCCTGGCTTGCAGATGGCCGCTTTCTTATTATATCTTCACATGGTAGAGAAAAAGTGATCTCTGGTCTCCCTTCTTTTACTTTCGAAAGTGCTAATCTCATCATGGGAGCCCTACCTTCATGATTTCACCCAAATCTAATTACCTCCAAGGAGCCCCACCTGTAAAAATGATCACATTGGGTGTTAAGGCTTCAACATACAAATTTTGAGACACAATTCAGTCCATGGCAAATACTGTAGGGTAGTTTCAAACTTTCATAAACATAAATATGTGAACTATTTAGCCTCAAACCTGGCATATAGGTACATTGAAATGGCAACTATTTGTGTCATACGGCTATTCATGTTTTACATCCACATAGTACCATCTCCTACAACATTCACCTAAAGCAACTGATTGGCAATGACATTCATTACAGATTTATAGCTATTCAATAATCATTTACAGAATACTCTGTGTCTGGCACTGTGTTGGGTGAGGAGAGGAGAAAGTATATAAAAAGTTGAGTAATTTAAAGCTCTTATTTTTGAAAAACTCATAGAAAAATGAGGAGTGCAGAGAGCTCTAAAGAGATTGCTGAAATATAAAATGGGATTAGACCATGGGGAAAACTGGTGACTGATTCTGCCAGACCAAATCAAAGAAAGCTTTAAAGAGAAGTGATGTTTCAAGCAGCTCTGGATATCCAAGTAGAATTTATCTGCCAGATAGCACAAAAAAAGAAGGATGCTCTAAGTAGAAACAATAGTATCTGATAAGCAGGGAAGCATGAGCAAGCAAAGAACTGTAGGGAAACTAATGGGAGACAGGAATTGTTGGAGCAACAGTCACATACAGGAACAGGTAAAGAAACACAGTCAATGTCACTGAGAACTGGATTGTGAGATCCCTCTGATTCCACAATCAAGAGACAGGGCGGAGCCGAAAGTATTTTTAATTTAATGTTGGCAATAGTGTGAAGAATGAGTTGGTCTGGGATGAGACAGGTGGCAAGAGGCCAGTCAGGACACCAGTGTCACAGTCTCTAGACAACAGGTGAATAGACCTATTGATATGGTTTGGATTTGTATCCCTACCCAAATCTCATGTCAAATTGTAATTCCCAGTGTTGGAAGAGGGGCCTATTGGGAAGTGATTAGATCATGGGAGTGGGCTTCCCCCTTGCTATTCTTGTGCGGTGAGTGAGTTCTCAGGAGATCTGGTTGTTTAAAAGTTTATAGCACCTCCCCCTTCGCTCTCTTCCTCCTGCTCCACCCATGTAAGACATGTCTGCTTCCCCATTCGCCATCCACCATGATTGTAAGTTTCCTGAGTCCTCCCCAGCCAAGCTTCCTGTACAGTTTATGGAACTGTCAGCCAATTAAACCTTCTTTCTTTATAAATTACCCAGTATCAGATAGTTCTTCATATCAATGTGAGAACAGACTAATACACTTATACAAGGCAGTAGAGGTAGAAAGGAAGAGACAATACTTAGAGACATTTGGGAGTAAGAAGACTTAGAGCTTCCATTTCAGGTGGATTGAGAGATTTACTCCTGATGAGAGGTCAAAGGATTCCTATTGAACCAGACATCAGTTGCTGGGGAACAGTCATATGTGACTGCAACATCAAGGAACCCACAAATGCAGCCTCGCACACATACAGGACATAAAGCCAAACTGCAAAAGGTAACACATCAAAATACCTCTATATTGTGTAATGCCAGATTTGTGTAAATCAGAAAAGAACTGCCAGGCTCACCAACAACCTCATTTATATTACGGTAACTATCAATACCGAAAACTGTTATTTCCTATTATATTTTTAAAAAGTCAAATTAATAAACTTCAATTATGAACAACCAGCATTTATTAATTATCTCCTATAATCACTATGACAAAGATAGTTAATTCCCTGCCCGGTATATATGCTTGCTTCTACTTTAAGAACAAATCCACAATTTTATTAAGATTAGCAAGTACCCAATTTAATAAATATATATGTGTAGATCTATATATTATATAGATATGTGTACATTTGTGTATATATACACATACCTATATTTTTTCCTTCTCTCATGAAGCTAGGGGTGGCCAATGAGATATGAATGGAAGCCACTGGCTGATGTATCTGAGGACCTCTTTATAGGGGTCTAGACTTATATGGAAGGGGGCCCATTGTCCTCCCTGCCACCCCCTCTTTCTTGCTTCTTGGATGAATTTGTAAAGGCCAGAACTCATGAATAGACACAAGCACCAATCTTAGTAGAATAAAACAAAACAAAACAAAAAACCTTAGTATACATAATAAAAATTTAACACTAAGTTGTATCAGCTAACACTATTTGGATTTTCTGATGTGTACAATGCAACCTAATTAACATGTCATATAGCCAGCATCATGCTTAGAGCCAGGGAAAGCAAAGATAACTAAAATACATAAACCATCTGAAATACCACAGGATAGGGAATATAACTTTAAAAACAATACCTTTCCATTCCCCACCCAAATAGTCTAATATAAACTGAAAACTGGATGAGGATGGAAGTTACTTTGTAGTCACGACAATATTGAGTATCCTGAGGAATCAGTTCTCTATCAAGTAGCGTGAGTGATAACTCATACCTCATCTCAAAGCTTAACATTTTTCTAGGTACCAGTGGGGCAGAAACACATGATTCCTAGTCCCAAACAGTTCACAACGCAGAAGGGGAGCCAGAACAGTACTTGATAATAAGTAGCATATATTTATGGCCATAGTCAGCGCTGCTATGTAGTTTTTAATTCAACAAATATTCCCCATGATAACTTGCCCTGAGGGAGAGAGTCATGAGTGTGCAACAATATTGCCCTGTTTTCAAAACTAGGTTTTGAGGGGGAGGATAAATAGAATTCAAATCGTATTATAATATGGTAGACTTGTGTGAACTTAATAAGTGACAATCCTGGTGGACCCCAAATTCATGTGTTGAGTTTCTAATCCCTACCACCTCAGAATGTCACCTTATTTGAAAATAAGATCATTGCAAAAGCAATTTCTAGTTATGATGAGGTCATAGTGGAGTAAAGTGGGCCCCTAAACCAATATGACTGATGTCCTTATGAAAAGGAGATATTTGGACATAGACATATACACAGGGACAAGGCTGTGTGAACCTGATGGTTGATATTGAGTGTCAACTTGATTGAATTGAAGGATGCACAGTATTGTTCCTGTGTGTATCTGTAAGGGTGTTGCCAGAGGAGATTCACATTTGAGTCAGTGGGCTGGGAGATGCAGACCCACCCTCAATCTGGGTGGGCACCATCTAATCAGCTGCCAGCATAAAAGCAGGCATGGAAAGAGCAGACTTGCTGAGTCTTCCAGCCACCATCTTTCTCCTGTGCTGGATGCTTCCTAAGTTCAAACATCAGACTCTAAGTTCTTCAGCTGTTGGACTCTTGGACTTACCCCAGTGCTTTGCCAGGGGCTCTCTGTGGCCTTTGGCCACAGACTGAAGACTGCACTATGGGCTTCCCAACTTTTGAGTTGTTGGGATTCGGACTGGCTTCCTGGCTCCTCAGCTTGCAGACAGCCTTTTGTGGCACTTCACCTTGTGACTGTGTGAGTCAATTCTAATAAAATCCTCTTCATATATTCATCTATCCTGTTAGTTGTGTCCCTTTAGAGAACACTGACTAATACAGTGAAGATGAAGGAAAAACTCTGGGTAATGCTTCTTCTTCATGGCAAGGAATGTCAAAAATGGTCAATAAACCACCAGATACTAGGGAAGAGGCATGGGTAAGATCACTCTCACCGCATTCAGAGCGAATCAACCCTGCTGATGCCTTGATCTCAGATTTTGAGCCTCCAAACCTGTGAGACAATATATTCCTATTGTTTAAGCCACCCACTCAATTAGCAATACTTTGTTCAGGCTGCTCTAACAAACTAAGACAAGCTTTAATGGAGTCTACAAGTTTGTTGAGACATGTTTAAGTCCCATGCACTAGGACACTGATATTCTAAAAAAAAAAAAAAAAAAAAAAAAAAAAAAAGCTTGATTGACAAGTAAACCCAGATTTTGTTGAATATTTCAACATAATAACACTTGAAAGAAAATAATAGAAAAACTTTGCTTCTTGAGGAGGAAACAGCCCTGTTCTAAAACTGCTTACCATGAGTGCTAGTGAAAGAATTATAAAGAAAGTACAGAACTTTAGTAATTTGATAGTAGAATATTATGAATTTGAGGATTCATGACATTCTTGGGATACATTTTAGAAAAACTGAGAAAGGGCTTCCTCACATAGCAAAGGAGGTAAAATTCAAAAATGATATAAAAATAAGCACTATGAGAGGATAAAAGAGAAAAAGAATACATTGTGGGATCAGAAAAGGAGGTGGCATTTGAGAAGAAACTTGAAGGATGTTCTATTAATCAGAGTCTGGTGTTTTAGACAAAGTCTATTTAATACTGACCATTGGTTACTCGGGTGATTAAAGACTGAAGCTTCTGGGGATGTTGATGTAACCCAGAGCTCAACAGCTTTAGGAAGTTGCTACCATTCTTCAGGCCAGCAGGGGAGAAAAAAAGAAAGAATGAACGAATCTGAAAGGAGAAGCTCCCTGCAGTTGGTAGTTGGACCTCTTAGGGAAAAAAAGCCATTGTTTCACACATACTAGACCACTGAGGGGGCCTGGCTGTTTTTTTACACATCTCAGAGGGGCTCTGCTGTGTGTTGGGAGAATGGGGGTGGGCTATGTGGTACTCCCCCCACTCAGGTAAAGTGACATCAGGGCTAGAAGTGTCAAGGAAGTTGGAGGCTGAAGCCATCGTTGTCTGCCTCAAATGGAGAGGGAGACCCAACCTGGAAGTCAGAAAAGAATCCTTCTTCCAACTTCCACCTCCTGTCCACATTTCCTACTGGCAAAATCTACCCAGAGATGGCTGAAAATGGGAGTCTGGAAAATGTAATTTTTGGAACCTTAATCCTAACTTCTCAGAAAAGAGTAGGTGGTGGATAGCGGTAGGACTTGGAACTAATAGCCAACAGGTAAAAGAGGCAGAGATGTAGAGGTTTTAATGTAAAGAAACAGGGTGAAAAGGAGGTATTTCCCGTTTCCTGAAGGCCCTGAGCATTGGTAAAGAGTCTGGAATGGAAAAGGACAGTTTGGTCAATAATGGTGATTCCCTGATGTAGGTCAGAAATGGGTCTAGGTGATAGAAATGTTAACGTGAACAAAATATACAATAGCTGTTTGTAGACTATTTAATTTAACCTTAGCATCAAGCATGTAATATAGGAAGAAGTAGAAAATAAGTCTAAAAAGGGAGGACAGGAGCCTAGAACTGCATTCTGGATAACTTGTGGCATCCATATGGGAGAAGGATATATAACTCAATAAATCATGTTTAATATCAGTGGCTTTTGAAAATGAGTCTGAAGCATGTCAATGGATTAGGAACATTAATTCAGAGGGTTTATAGAATAGATTCACTTTTCCTAATAGTCAAAGTTATTATTTTATCATTTTCATCATTATCATTGTCATCATTATCATAATTACAATGTTTATCCAGTACTCAATATATAGCAGAAATTGAGCACTTTCCTATATCACATCGAACCCTCCAAACAACACTATACAGCAGCTGTTATTTTCCCTATTTTATATGGGAAGTAACTGAAGATCAAATAGAGTACATCTTTTGGTCAAAGTCATATTGGTTCGACGTGGTTGAACCTGGATTCAAACTCAAGTCTGACCCTAGATTTCTTTCTCTTAAGCATTACATGCTTCTCCGTTTGAGAAAAGGACATCTAGACTCACATCTCCTTTCAAAATATTGTCATCCATGAGGTCACCTCAAGACTCAAGTGCCACCTGGCAGCTTGAGCCATTTCTCTAAGTTCTTCGTTCAGTTCATTTATAATCCCCTCTGAGTGTTACTTCTCCGCCTTCTCACTTCTTTAGGTTTGTCACAGTCCTCTGAGATGACAGGCTGAGCAATGGTGATGAGAATTATGGTAATATAAATTCCATAAACAGAAGAGTCTACCAGGAGTGGACACAAAGAAGTTCACAGAGGGCGCATCTGGGTGAGAACAGCCCCAGCTGTTATAGCATATGTGCAAAATAATGATGTGCCTGCACATCCATGCAGACCTGATCCTAGCTGTTTATAAGAAAGGATAGTTAAATGCAGAAATGCAAATCTGTAGGCTGGAGTTGCTCTGTTTCCTAAGTCTTAAGAGTTTGGCTCCTTATCTTACACACAAAAATGCAATAGACAAAACCTCCACATAAATAAGCAGCAGGTGAACTAGCATTTTCTTGCCAAGGTATTATGCAAGTGTTAACTGAGCTGATCAGCAGAAGCACATATCCATCAGTTTCACTGCAGAAAGCAGGAAGAGGAAGGTGAAGATGAGCAGGCAAGTTAAATGAAAACTCATCTGGCTTGCAGAAGAGACACTTATTGCTCAGAGGAGGAAGGTGCCCAGGGGTCATGAGATGTGACAGTACTAACAGAAAATCCTGAGCTTGCAAACTCTGATAAATGTTTAAGATTTAATGGGGAGTGTCCACACAAATGCAAAATGATTTAGAAAAAGGTAAATGATCATAACAATGTTAATAACATCTATCAAGCACTTTGCTGAGTATTTTGCTTACATTAATACCCCATTATCTAATCAAACTCATAGGATATGTATGGCACACTATTTCATTGAAGAAACAGATTCTTAGAGATGTAAAGTAACTTTCCAAAAGTATAGGTATTTTAGATATATATATTATAGACCTAGCAAATAAGATGCAAAAATAGAATTTAAACTTAGAACTGCCTAACTTAGAAATTACTATAACCAAATGCTCTACTTCACATCCTGATTGCTGGGGATTCCATTTGAAATAGCCAGATCATATATAAGTACATATCTGTACACAGAAGTACATCTATTTCTAAAAGAGACTGCTACTTGTCAAATAGTCAGGCAAGTATGTGTTTTGGCTCTGTGATGTGATAGGACCAGTTTTGAATCTCCTATTTTAACAAAATGTGTTGCTTATTTTTGTTATTTTACATCATGGAAACTTAGTTTGTTCAGCCTGAAGAGTTTATGATGGCCTCCTGTATTCTTCCTGTAACGTGTTCAAATTCTAGGGTAAAATAAATTTAAAACACAAACCCAGGATGTGTCCTTTTAAGCTCTTATAAAGGATATCATGTAGATAAGCCAATAAAAACCACAAAACTCCCAATTTGGTCAAAAGGGACCTTACTGTATTAATATATGCATCCTAATTCATGCAGTCACTTAATTTCTCATCATCTTCCTTCTAAACACCATTCCATGCACATTTTATATAGCAACATTGCTGAAAAAAATGCATGGATCCACAAAGATCTCTCATCTTTTTTTTTTTTTTTTGAGACTTGCTTTGCCACCCAGGCTGGAGTGCTATGGCATGACCTCAGCTCACTGCAACCTCTGCCTCCTGAGTTCAAGTGATTCTTGTGCCTCAGCTCCCCCAAGTATCTGGGATTACAGGCATGTGCCACCACACCCAGCTAATTTTTGTATTTTTAGTGAAGATGGGGTTTCTCCATGTTGGCCAGACTGCTCTTTAACTCCTGACCTCAGGTGATCCACTGGCCTCTGGCTCCCAAAGTGCTGGGATTATAGGCGTGAGCCATTCCACCTGGTCTCATCCTTCTTTTCTTGCCTTTGTGGATTCTGTTCTCTCATGATCTTTTCCCTATCTCTTAGTTGTACTACAAGATTCAGTTTGGTCTTCATCTTTTCAGCAAACTTTCCTTGACTTAGGTATTAGTGTCCATCTCAGCTATTCAGAATCATCCCAGGCATGTTATTATTATCACCACTGTTTAGTGGTAAACAGTGGGAATGGTCATAGCATTAGCGGTAGTAGCATTAGTAGCAGCAACAATAATGGAAGAGGTAGTGATACTCATACTTGACCTTAGTGAGTATCTCCAATATGTCAGGCACAGTACCAGGAACTTTAAATGTATGAACTCTAATCCACTAAAACTACATGAATCAGCATGAATTTATTATCCCCACTTTATGACTGAGGGAAACTGAGTTTCTCTTTTATCAGTGGCTGTTTCTCCCTAATTTTCTGTTTTCATGCTCCCCATTTTTCTCTCTTAAGCACCTTAGATATTTCTTTATTTATCTTGTATTTGTGTTCTATTGTTTCTCAGATTTCTAAATCATTGATTTCTAGTTTTACCCTTATTAATTCTGTTCTCGTTCCTTGGGATTTATTTTTTTTCTTTTCTAACAGTTTGAACCTAATTGCTTAATTCACTTAAATTTTCCCATTTTATTAATTCATCTATGTAAGGCCAGTAATTTTCCTCTGAGCAATACCTTAGCTGTGTTCTCTAGTACCTAAATTTATATTTTATCTATTCTGAGACACAACTTTTTAAGGTCATTTCAACTTATGACATATTTTAGAATTAAGAGATATCTTCATCTAGGGGTGAATGATATGCATGTTAGTACACTACGCTCCATTTTGATCAATTTCCAATGATTATCAGCCAGGTTACAGTCCTGACATAGCTGATAACTAATGTTGGAAACTGGATAGACTGGGACATTGTTCCTGTTGGCTTATGTGCCTTATTGATGCTGAAAAGCTAAGTTTAGTTACTGTTTCAAATACCTTTATTTTGTTGATCTAAAATATTCTATGAACACTTTCCAAGAAGATCTACCTTTAAAAATTTCAAAATGGGTGTCAACGGCTTGGAAGAGAATTTGGGAGATAATAGTGGAGCACTCTCCCAACTCAGGCTGCAATACTAATGCACTTAGTGTCACAGTAGGAGAAAAATTCTAACGACTGTAACAGAGTTGAGTCATGGTTTATGGGCAGAAATTTTCTTGTTAATGAACACAAGAGAACCATGCATCTTACAAATGGTGGTGTCTTAGATTAATAAAAAAATTAATATTTGTTTTCTGTAAGTTTATCGTGTACCTGAAATTTACAATTTCATTTTCATTTTCATTTTGACCTATGGGCCTTTGAGCAAGTTTTCAAAATCTCCAGGTGAAACTGGCGTTTTTCTTTTCAGTTTGTTTTTAATTTCCAGCTTTCTTGTATAGAGATCAAAGAGAGTGTTCTATATTTATATATTTAAATAATTTATTGAGGTTTTTGTGGCCTTAATATATGGCAGGTTTAATCAATGTTTCCAAGCTATTTGAATAGAAAAAGATTCCCCTCTTTTGAAGAAACGGAGTCCTTATATACTTACAGGAGATGTTCGGCAGCCTTTTATTTAAATGGGGTGATAAATAAAATAAAATTCTAAAATCATTGCAGAAGGTGAAAAATTAAAGAAGGATCCAGATTTGAAGGAGACTATAGTCTTTAGTAGTCAATAGTGAACCCTCAAATTGAGAGTGTAAGGCAGAGTGTACACTTGAAGAGCTGGATAATATGAACCAAGACTAACAGAAGCTAAAACTAGATTTCAGAGTGAAATCAGAAAGAAAGTATCTTGACAACAAAATAATGTCTTATGCCTAGTCTCTCTACTACTCTTGTTCTCAAGTTTGCCTTATTTCAACATTCCCAGTATTTCTGTCTTTAATTTTTACCATTTTTGAGAATCTGAGAACTATCTGTACTATTATTATCCTGACAACTTTCTCCAAATCTATTTTATACCAATTCACTCTCACTTGTTATGTAGCTTTGCATTTAGTAAAAATATCCATGAACTAATGGAATTATGTAATGTGTATGTCATTATATATGACTGTTTTTAAAAGTTTGTCAACATATTTTCTAGAAGAATCTCACTGATCCTTTGTACAATACTGCATAACTTGTAAACACTTATGCTGACTCCAGCCTCTGTGGGAGAGGAGGTGATCTTGCCCTCAAACTGACTTCAGGGAGGTCAGTCACAAAGGTGACAGCTGGGTAGCCATGGAGTTTAAACTAAGAGTCACTTGAAATAAGTAGAAGTAAGTACATCAGAGGCTAGACAGAACACTTGAATCAAGAGTCCAAGATGATTTGGAGGTTTTGAGATAGGAAAGTTTAGGGCACATCACTTTGATTTTGAATTGAGTTCAATAGTTCCTACATTAGGGGTTGGATTTTCAGGAACATAAGAAGGAAAATGTTTCTGCCTATTATTTCTTATACCTAAGGAACAACTGGGCTATTGAATGAGAATAATGTCCAATACCTTACTGCTGATACTTCCTATTTTTCTCCTTCTCCTTATCTTTTCCTTCCCCTCCCCTTCTTCCTCTTTTCTCTTCCTCCTCTTCCTTTTCTTTCTTTAGCTAACTTCTTAGTAGTTATTTAGATACACGTTTTCTGTTATCTGCATAATTTGTCATCTTCACAAGATTCTACATTCATCTCTGAATTTATTGTACTATACTGAGACTCATTCTCAAATATTTAAATCACATTTTATATTGCAATCTTCGTGTGATAGTTTATAACAAACCAAATTTATTTCAATAGTTAATTATGGAATAGGTAGACAGATGCTGCTTTGATAGTATGAAAAGTATCACAAATTATATTATTTCAAAAGAAAATTATAATTAAATGTCAGCTTCCAACAGTCACATACAAATCTGCATATGATCTGCCAATGCAGACAACCCTTAGAATGGTCTTGAAAATCCCATATTAAAGATGATAGAGTCATCAGATGGAAGGAGCTTGGTCCCCTAAGTCATCACTTGGAAGAGAGCCATTCATTTGCGTATACTTCTTAGGGCTCACAGGTGAGCAAGAAAATAAACTATTTGGTTAAACAACTGAAAATTTTTTTAGTTTGTTGCTCACAGGAGTTGGCCTATTGTGTGAGGCTTAGCAAATATCGGTAGAATGACAGACTGAGTCAATAAGTAAATGCTGCTACTCAACATTTGTTTCTGCCCATAGAAGCCTAAATTTTTTAGTGGTTTGTTTCTTGTCTCCAACTTAAAAACCCTGACATTGGAGATTCTAAGAAATCAACTGATTTAAGACTGCTTCACATAAAGCATCTTTTATGGGGTGAAAACCAAGAAGCATAAAAGCCCACTGCTCTGCTATATGACAGTTCCCGTAGGTATAACATAAACCAAGGTCACGTCGGCACTAAGCCAGAGCACAGTATTTTGCATTTTCTGCTAATGCCGAAAAACACATTTAAATATCCTGTTACTGAAAAAAAATCTAAATTTTCTTTGAAAATTTTGGATACCAAAGTAGAAACATTAGACCTCGCTTGCATACTGACTAAAAATCAATGCCCTAAAATTGCTGAGTGCACTCAGAATTATTTGATATGCTGTCCAAACTTGTTTATGAAAATATATTTTGGATGTGAGGTATAAGTCCCCGATTACTCATTTATCCAAATTGCTAAATGTTTAGAAGACTTCAAAGTAATTTAAATTATTCCTTTTATTGATTTATTACTTTCTTTAATATTCATAATAACTTTTGCTCTTAACCCTGACCTCATAACATTTGAAGTGCTATGATAATAATTATCTTATATTAATATGCTAATTTCTTCAAACAGTACATTCAACTGAAACTTCTTAAGGTTTTAACCACTGTAGACTTAATTAGGTTAATTAAAATACTATTCTATTTTATTTTTACTTTGTGATTGCTCCATTATCATATAATGACACTCATAATAGTAATAGAATTTATTATTTATTGAGCATATCTTTTCTTCCTAAAACATTAGTTTTATGATTAACTTCATAAAAAAATTAAATAGGTGCATACCCTGTGTGGTTTTACCTATTCTTTTTTAGTTTAATAAATACCACCCCATAAATGAATACCAACTTATCTTCCAGTCATATATAGTATTAAACCTACCAAATCTATTTAGCTAAGAGAAATTTACTTGGGCTTGAATATGCTATCCTGGATGCTACACTGTGACTTCAGCCTAAGGAGTTTCCCCTGTCTGAAAAACCCTTGACTCTAACTGGACAGCAATAGTAATCTCTGTGCCAATTTCTAAAGAGGCTGCAGATTGCAAGACACCTCATGATCTGGCCTTGCACAACTCTTCTGCCCTCTATTACTTTTAGAACTGCAATTCCAGCTGCGCACTGTGGCTCACCCCTGTAATCCCAGCACTTTTGGAGGCTGAGGTGGGCAGACCACCTGAGGTCAGGTGTTCGAGACCAGCCTGGCCAATATAGCAAAACTCTCTCTCTACTAAAAGTACAAAAAATTAGGCAGGCATTGTGGCAGGCACCTGTAATCCCAGCTACTTGGGAGGCTGAGGTAGGAGAATCGCTTGAACCCAGGAGGCGGAGGTTACAGTGAGCCGAGATCGCGCCATTGCATTCCAGCCGGAATAACAAGAGCGAAACTCCATCTTAAAAACAAACAAACAAACAAACAAACAAAAAACTGCAATTCCATAAATGCAGTATATTCTTTGGTGCCTCTATGCCGTTGCACACTCTGCTTCCTCTGCTGCAGCTGGCATTCTTTGCCTTGACCACCTAGTTAGCTCCTTCCTCTATTTGGAAATTCTGTCCAGAAGATACCTTTCATTCCTGGTGTCATCATTTGGTATTTTCTCTTTTGCTTGTCTCTGCTTCTGTCATCATGTGCTACATCCTGCTCTCCATCATTTACTAGTATTCATTTTATGCCAGCCACTTTACTATTCTTACATATATTCTGGAGAATTGTTTTAGAAAACTCACAAGTTTAACATTGTTATCCACATTTTAGAAGCAAGAAAAACTAAACTATTTGTTCACTCTGGCTAATGTGTAGATTATTAAGAGTTCAGGCCGGGCGCGGTGGCTCACGCCTGTAATCCCAGCAGTTTGGGAGAACGAGGTGGGTGGATCACGAAGTCAGGCATTCAAGACCAGCCTTGCCAACATGGTGAAACCCTGTCTCTACTAAAGATACAAAAATTAGCCGGGCGTGGTAGCGGGCACCTGTAATCCCAGCTACTTAGGAGGCTGAGGCAGAGAATTGCCTGAACCCGGGAGGCGGACGTTGCAGTGAGCCGAGATTGCGCCACTGCACTCCAACCTGGGTGACAGAGCGAGACTCCGTCTCAAAAAAAAAAAAAAAAAAAAAAAAAAGAGTTCATGCTAGCTAAATGTGAATTTCTCCTGAATTCTACCTAAGGTCTGTCTGCTTCTAAAGCCCAGTTTTTATATGCTCAGGTAAATATTTGCTTGTTTCCAGACATATGACAAAACATGGGCATTAACAAAGGAGAAAAAGAAAAACGGAGCAGGAGAGAGAAAATAAGAGAGACTAAGTAAGAAATTTTAAATAATTTAAATATGGCATCCACCCTTCTACTCAGTGGATGAATGACCAAGACTGCATTAGAATAAAGCAAATCTGCTCATCCGTGCCATCTCAACCCCTGGGACCTCATAGAATGTGAGTTTCTTCCAGTTCGAGTATAATGCTAGTATTTAATCACATGTGTTTCTTCTACCTCTTGGCAACTGAGGGCAAGCAAATGACTTCGTCTTGTACTCAGTTAAAGAAACAGTGACCTTTTCTGAGCATGAAGGTCATACATCCCACACTGGACTAACTCAGGGGCAGTCCTTCTCTGTGATATTGCACCTTCTTAAAGTACATTTGTCTTGCATACGGATTTTAGAGACCAATTGTTTTGCATGCTGCAGGTGCTTAACAAATATCAGTAGAATGACAGACTCGGTCAATAAATAAACGCTACTACTCAACATTTGTTTCTGCTCATAGAAGCCTAAATTTTTTTCGTGGTTTGTTTCTTGTCTCCAACTTAAAGAACCTGACATTGGAGATTCTAAGAGATCAACTGATTTAAGACTGCTTCATATAAAGCATCTTTTATGCGGTGAAAACCAAGAAGCATAAAAACCCACTGCTCTGCTGTATGACAGTTCCCGTAGGTATAACATAAACCAAGGTCACATCAGCACTAAGCCAGAGCACAGTATTTTGCATTTTCTGATAATGCAGAAAAACACACTTAAAGCCACAGTACTGTTTGAATAGAACACAAGTACAAGATGAGCCTACGAGTTCATCCAAAATAAATAAAACTACTGTGGGGAAAAGTTGATTTATTAAATTTCTTTCATCCCAGAAGAATATATTAAGAATATTATTTATATCCTTTGCATATCTTCCTTCTAATTAGATTCCCTTGTGCCATGTTAAAAATTGATTTAATCTTATTTATTTATATCTTATTTGTAAACTGCTTGCTATGTAATCTATTAATTGCTGTTTCAATTAAATTCTATATATCCATTCATGCATTTGTTTATCCTCCCATGGATTGTTTCTCATCATAACTCTACATTCAGAATTCTGGAGGCATTTACCCACTGGGAGCAACTACCCTCAAACACCTTGCTTTTTATTGCTGAAAACCCTTGTACTCTACTGAGAATAAACTACTGATACTCTCCATGTTCTCAGAGTAAATGGATAATTCAGTACAGTTGAACACAATGTAATTCTAGGTTTTATTCTCCATAAATTGCCTTTTAGCATAGAGATAAAAACTTTATTTAACTAAATGTTTCCCTTTATCCTGACTCATGTAGCAGAACAAGAATATATAACACAGTAAAAATTCCTTTTGAAGAGTAGTTTTTTAGCTGATTTGGATGCTTTCCAATAAACTCAGTTTTTCACAGAACGCTTAGGTAAGTAGGGAGATTCATTGAACATTACAACGAGAATTATCAATGGACCTTAACTACAGCTAAATATATAATTTCCAGTTGTAATATAGGTGCCCAAATATGTGTTGAAATAAAACATATTTACTTGTGTAGTTAAGGGGTAATGTCTATATACCACTGAATTTTACTAGCCATATCTATGAATTTTATCTAGACTACTTAAACAGTATCAGGGTTCTCAGTGTATGCGTTCTCATGTTTGGAAAGAATAAGGAATGAATCTTTACTGAGCCATGACCTTGAGCCAGAGACTCTTTTAGGCCTTATCTATCTCCTTTGATACTAATACTATCACGTTTGAGTATTATTGACCTATGTTCCACATAAAGACACCTCATCTGGGAACATTTAAACACAAGGTTACAATGTTAATAGGTGACAGAAACTACATTTAGCTCTGGATATGTCTTGTTTTAAAGCCAGCCTTCTTTGTATACGAAAGTTTTGCTCAAGATATTTAAAAGAAAATTGTATTTTACAAAATGAAGAATCCCTTGATGGGATTGCTTAATATCAGCTAGATAAAATATTTTTAAAAGTATACTACCGAATATTGTTGCATCAAAACTGTATTTGCCCAAGGGTGGCATGGAGAAAACACTCTCCTTTATGTGATTATCCAAAAATTTTCATACAAAGTAAACAAATGTTTAAAATGATCATTCTCAGCATTCTCCCAAATATTTTTACATTTGCCATGCATACCATGCACACATTTAACGCACACCATTACATCAAAGATGGTAAATGCCCAATCTTACTTCCCTCTCCTCTAGAAAATCATCTAGGCATTTAGTCAACAAGTACCTTATACAGTGTCAAGGGGAGCCATTAAAAACATGGTATACAGAAATTGGATTTCCTTTCCTGAGTATTGCAACGAAGAATGGAAGAGAAAAGCCAGGCTGCTAGCATTTCTCCTTTTGTAAGGATATGTCAGCCTATTCAGAGAACAAATGACCCAAGTCAATGAGTGTGCTGAGAGCTTATCCAGGAGAGCTGACACTCAACTTAAGCTAAACTTATAAACTGTAGTGCATGTTCAATTTATTTTATCTTCTGCATTTCACTCTGTCACTCCACTTGATGACATTAAGTATAGCCTTGCAAAGGAAATAGTATCTATTTCTGAAAGGTTTAGGTGAAACATCATTATATTTCCATTTCTGAAAGGTTTAGGTGAAACATCATTATATTTCCAAACAAAATGAAAACAAGCACCTTGGTAGAGGAACGGCATAAAAACAAACAAGCAGGAGGTCTGTTATTTTCAAGGGAATTGACAACTTAAGAAATTCACAGTTCTACATTTAAAATGTCTTCCTTTTTAGGAAAATTCCATGGCCTCTTCTGAAACATCTGGAAAAGACTATAGACATGTTCTTTGGATGCAAGTTATGGATCCATACAAAACGTATTGATCCTTATATAATAAAACCCACAATATTCGGGGGGAGGTAAAGAAGATAGGAAGGTAACGGATGAGAGTTTGGCTACAGTCATGCAAATCTGGGTTTTAATTCTGACTTTGCCAGTCTCAAGTCTCTGTAGAATCGGGAAAAGTATTTTCAAAGCCTCTGCTCCTTCATCTGTAAAATGAAGATAATAAATAGTACCTATTGTATCTGCACAGTTATTAAAGGGCTTAAATCATAGAATATACCCAAAATGAAGTTTTGCATAATGCATTCTCAAAGACATTGTTCAGTACATTTTGACTAGCATTATTATTTATATTATCACAGCTTGGTTCAGTCCCTCATCACTTCTCACTTGAAGAACTGCCTCCTTCAGTCAGTTCATACTAAACATTTGGTCAAACTCATGTGATCCTGTCATTGTCTTAATTATTAACCTCTTACAAATACCCCCTATTTACACAGAATGTTTTTCAAACTCCAGGTCATGATCCATTAATGGGTCATGAACCCAATTTAATGATGAGTCGAGACCAAACTTAAAAGAAGAAAGAATAAAATGGCATGACTACATAGGGCATAGAAAGATAGAATAGACTACATAGGGCATAGAAGAATAGAATAGAATAGAATAGAATGGAATGGAATGGAATGGAATGGAATGGAATGGAATGGAATGGAATGGAATGGAATGGGATGGGATATTGTCAGAGAATATGACACATAGCAAAGGTAAAACATATTTTTGAAATCATTTATTACAATTAGTATGTACATGTGTGTGTGCTGTACTATAATGTAAAATATATGTTCTTACTTACTAGGTAATATTCAAAGTCATCTGACAAGCATTGGGCAGGATGATGTCCAACATTAATGCTCTGCTACTCATCTAGCCACTGACCCTGGTCACTCAATATTCAAGACTTAATGAATGGAAAGTGGAAGATGCATTTTGCCTTCCTTTTGCTTTTGAGGTGAGGTAAGTGGTTTAGTATGATGGAAAGTGGAGTACAATAGGACTTTGATTTTATGAGTTGGTAATTTTTTTAACCTAATTTTCTGATTCAATAATAGAAATAAATATACTTTAGACTTTAAATGCTAATAATACCCCATCATTGCCCTTCCTATTCTATCTTCAGAAAAAGTGAATATAATCATTACTGAAAGTATTATGCACAAAAAATAGGATCAGAAATACAAGTTTAAAAATTTCTGTGACCTGAGATTTTTGTGTACATATTAGAATAGTATTTTTCCATTTATTGAGTTAAAATGTTTCTTTATGCAAATACCTTTTCAAACAAAGACATTTCCAACACAAATCCATGAATCCAACTTATAAATAAACTATGAACACTGGACACAATGCATGCAAACAGGACATCTGGAATGAAAATGCACCCTCCTGAGATAACTAGGAAGTCTCCATTTTACATTTAGCTAGTCACTCAAGCATGAAGTAGTCTTTTGGGAAGAATGAGAAGAAAGAGGATCAAATATGTTAAAACTAGTGTGTGCACCCATCCTAGATCATAGCATTTTTAGTTTCAAAGATTCTCATTGCCTTTCTCACACTAGCAATGCTCATAAATCGGGCCTTTAACTAAAAATCCACAACTGCCCTAATTCTAAGTGGTAAGAGAGAACTCAAATGCAAAATCAGACTCATGTCCATGCTTATAATGTTTCCATTTCCCCTTTGAAGAAAACCGCCCTCAGTAAAACCAAAAGTGAATTTTAGTGCATATCCATCATCTTAAAAAAATGGATTTTACAAATTAAGCATTATGAACAATTTGTAAGTGCATTCTAATACTGTACACAGAGTTGAGAGCCAAGGATTTTAGCATCTGATAAATCTAAAGTTAAATATCTGAGTTCAAGGCCAACTCAACTATTTTCTAGCTTTGTGGATTTAGGAAGTTATTTAGGCTTGCTGTGCTTCAGGATCCTCATGGGCAAAATTAAGATTAAAATATCTACTTTATAAGGTAGAAGTGATACTTAAATAAGGCAATATATATATGAAACAGTTACTCCAGGATCTGACATACAATAAGTGCTCAATAAATGGTAGCTATTAAGGTTGAGAATAGTCATAAAGAAGTCCTAGGAACTAGCTAAATAGTAAAATACCAGGATTATATACTCTGCCTTTCACAAAATAAGTGCTATTAGGGAAAATGTTTTAACATCAGCATTTAAAACTATAATATTTTAATGCAATTCCAATATAAATTTATGTTTAAAGGGTAAATTTTCATGGTTGAAATACCGAACAAAGCCCATTATAAAAATGTTTTATTTCACCCATTTCTTCTGAGTTCCAAGCAGGGAAGATAAAGAAAGAAACCAAATGAGTAGATGATTTTACATGATAAACTCGAGAAAAATCAAGATGGTGCTTCAGTGACACACAGAAGTTTCTTACACATAGTGATAGTCAAAACTAGTTTACTGAATTAGAACATCATGTAAATATTTCATTATAAGATTTTTTGTGTGTGGTAAAATTTCTGTTCTTTTCTTGCATATGTTATTTATGAACATAAAACATGCCTCACTCATCCTCATGAGTCTCCACAATGCCTGGCAGATAGCAGGCACTCAATGAACTTAATTTGAATAATAACATAAGATTTATATTACAAGTAAACAAGGATTTACTGCTCAGCAATCTGCATAGCCCATGGTTAGCTACAACCAAACCTTTGAGGTAGCCTGCCTTTACATGAGCAGTTGGAAAAATCATTACCCTCATTTTAATTTTCCTTCTCCCATTAACGCTTATACTTCAGTGAGAATAAAGTTAAATGAGTGTCTTTTTCTTCCTAGGTTGCTTACATTTTTAAACATAAATCTCAGACCTAAAAGTTTTGTTTCCCTTTTGAAAACAAAATTAATTTAGAAAAATGTAATCAGGTTTTAATTTTTTAATTCATAAAGGGCAACTAATTTCTCAACCTAAATTATAGTACAAATTTACCAAAATTATTTTAGTCATAAAGAATTTGCATACCATAACAGAATCATTCTTCGAAAACTTAAAGCCAAATCTAATACACACACATTAAGATTTTAGGAAACTGACAAGCCAGAATATAATTAAGTGAAAATTTAGAGAGTATAGAGAGCAAATTGGCCAAATTAATTTAAAATAGGAAATTAATTGAGCACCTACAATTATTACTAATCCTCAAAATAACCAATTAGCTGGCATTATTCCCCCTTTAGAGAGAGCAAGGCTCAGACTCAGAGACATGTGGCTCAAGACCATGCAACCAGTGAGGGAAAATTCTAAATTCAATCCTATGTCTGTCAACCTTCAAAGCTTGATTTCTTTCCACTACACTTTAGTGCTGGAATAAAAACTTGGAAGGAACACACTCACACAAAGAAAGATTGATAGTGATGAGAGGGAGAAAAGTGCGAATTTGAAGGAAGATGAAGTAACTTCTTGAAAACGTTTGAGCTTTGTAGAGGAGCAATATACGTAATCCTCTCCAAGCAAGTGTAACCATTTCTTATGAATGGCTGAGTTTTATTTTATTTCATTTTTGTAGGAAAAAACTGAGGTGGAGAAAGCAAGTGGCCCAAGGCAAAAATAGCAGTTGAACAAAAAGCTTAACATAGTGAATACTTACACTTAGCACAGGATTTGCCAAATATAGTTGTTTCATAAACATTTTTGGAACATATAACAGTAATCATTAATAAGTATAGAATGTTCAGTGACCCCAGTGCTGGGGTAAGCATTTGGCATGTAACTGACATTTCTCATGACAGTGCTATGAGGTGGGTGTTGTTCTCATCTCCATCCTCTGCATGAGGATACTGACATTCAGAGAGCTTATGCTGCATGCCCACTTCCCAAGTCGGTAGAGACCTGGCCTGGTCCAGGAACTCTGCTTCAGATCCCCAGATCCTACTTACTATGCTTCACTGAATGAATAGAATAATCAGGACATTCTTATCTCAATCCAATTACTTATAAATCAAATTTTTGCTGCAAAGTTTATCATCAAGACTTAAATTACTTTTATAAAATAAAATAAATACTACTTACACAACTGAAATTAAGTGAAAACAAAGGAAAGAAATTGCCATATATTTCACTGTGTCATGAGAATGAGAGTCATTGATCTTGGCAGATCTGAAGCATCCTCTCTGCTCTTTAAATGCCAAACTGATAGATTGTCAGGACAAGTGAAAAATATGCCTGAAAACTCATCAATACCCATATATTACAGGAAGCATTGCCCGCAAAAACAATTATGCTTGAATATGTGATAGAAGTCTTAGTGTATAAAATCCATTATGGCAGAAATTAGAAATGAGAGGAAATTCCAAGAAGCTTAATTTATTGATTATTATTTTCATGAAGTGAGGGTGTTGGAAGGAAAACAAAACCTTGAGATAATGGAACAGAGAAGTATAATTAAGAAATATGTATGATGTTTATCAGTTTTAAAGACTACAATGGATCATGATTATAATTAAGTTGAACAACTACCAAAGAATACTCATTGATAAAATTAATACTTGCCTAAAAAGAGAGTCTCTATCCTTTGGTGAAGAAGAGAAACTGATTTTTATGAACAATAATGATACTGTTTAAGGATAATGCATATGTGTGACACTATACTAAGCACTCACTCACACTGTGTGATTTAATTTTCTCAGCAATTAATTAAGAACCAGCAATGAGTTAAGAACTCCATTACATAAATGTTGGGACAAAAAAGGCAAAATAAAAAACTTGACCTATTCTAGTATCATCCTGTAGTTTTCATTTATAGCACATTTCCAATTGTTAATTATACACTTAATTATATATTTATTTAAGTGTGTATTCATTTTTAAATTATATGTTCCATAAGAAGAGGGATCGTAGATTTAATTTATCTCTACATATCCAGAGTCTGGCTCATTGTAGGTGCTCAGAATATATGTGTTGAATAAACTTATGAATAAAAGAGATGATGTCAGAGTTCCAGCATCTAAATGCAAAGACATTCCATACACTTGCCTCCCCCAGTGTCTCCCTTTGGGTGAATGTGGAGGGGATGGGTGTTAGGCGTGTGGGAGCAGCAGTGAGATCCCAGAACAGTTAAGGGGAGATTTTTTTAAAAATCAAAGGAAGGTGTGACAGGAACTGAATTAAAAGGTTCCAAAAAGAAAAGCTCCAAGATTTAAGATCTTCCCTTTGATACTAATCAATTTATTGAAGACTCTTGACAAAGAACAAGAGAAAGAGCAAACAAAACTGATAGGACGGAGCCTGATGCATTAGTCACTTGTCAAAATTTGTTGGTAACTGAAGAGAAAGTATGTTTAGCTTCCAAGTCCATTTATAAAAATATGGTTCTCCTGATACTAAAATAACCCCTGGATTCTTCCATAGTAAGGGAAAGGAAAAAATGTAATCATCACTTATGTGTGTGCTATTCTGAACTCAGGCTATTTTTTAATTGGAATAAGGTATCAAGTCTCAGCCTTATCATTTTAAAGTAGTAGTTCCCACAAGGTATGATTAGGACCATTATTTATAACAAAAAGCAAAAGCTGTAGTCTTATTCTCGCTAGCCAGGAGTGAAATGGTGTTCACTTATCAACAAAACTATCTTTGTTCTCAAGAAGGTTGAAGTTATTACCCACCAAGGACTGCTTTGCATCTACTTTGAGGAATTAAGACATCAACACCAACTAGAGATGGCACACCATTGTTGTTTGTGTATATGCTATGTAGATGGTTAGATTTTACATCAAGCCCTGGATTTATTATCTGAGGGCAGATGTGTTTAAAATCCCGCACTATTGGGTATAAGTAACTTTGTGGATGCCACACAGCCACTCTAGCTATCCATTTTCTCATGTCAGAGACAGAATGATAATTCCTGACCTATCTCCTGAAGCTACTGGAAAAATCACAAATGAGGTAAGGGATATAAAAACACCACATAAACCATAAAGTGCACTTTTCATTTTAACATAACCCATCACTCTTTCTTTACATCACTCCATTTAATTTCTGCATTCAGGTGTCAATTTTCAAAATAGAAAGACAGTCTTATCTTCAGTTGTGTTGGCAGATCCAGCTGAGTAAATGAAGAGTTAGAGCTTGGGAAATGTGCTCTTCCCTGCAAACAACAACAACAACAACAACAAAAACCACAACAGTAATAATGGCTAACATGTATTAAGTGCTTATTCTATCCCAGACGATTTTCTAACTCACTGCAGCTGACCTGCAGTAGGACAACTCCATTCTGATATTGGGTCAGGTCATGGGTGAACTAGCATAGGAATGACCAAGAGAACCATTGTGTTTGCCATGTTCATAGTATAAGAAACTGGTTCTTCAGCCTTCACTAGTTGGAGAAAGGGTACAGAAATATTGTCAGAGTGGGAGGAAATCTTAGCAAACAGTTAATACACATCTTGCCCAAAGAGATGCATATGAATACATATAGCCCTGTTAAATGCTTACATAACCAATGTTTATTTGAGCACCTCCATGTATAAAGAACTTAATACTTCATGAATCAGTTGCATTCCATTTTTGTATGTTTAACTAATAAAATGTTCCCTTTCTTTGGTATTGTCTTAAAATCTAGCTTCCTGTTGCTTCCATCTATTGATTTTAGTTATCCCCTTTGAAGTCAAATAGTAAAACTAAAATAATTATTCCATGTGAGAGCCCTTAAATATTTAAAGACATATGTCATATCTTGGCTAAGAGTTATTTCCTCATTAAAACAAAATAACTACCAACATTATTTTTCTTTTAAGATATAAAATAAAATAAATCTATGTAGATAGTGGTCAGATTCTGCCAATGAAATCATAATGATCTACTTTTCATGTATTTAACTTTGAGAAAACCTGGCTATGGGTGCTAGGCAATTACCAAATCAAAGGTTGTTATGGTGAGGAAAGTCTGAATAAATGTTTAAATCCCAATAACTTATCCCTGATCTTCCCTCCTCCCCTCAAGATGGCAACCTTAAACCAAAGGAGAAAATGCAAAGATTTTGATGCTAATTAGGTATGTGAGGTTTACCTCCTCCTTCTCCGATGGTTTGTAAGGCCATTCCAGATACATCAGGATTGTAACCCTAAGTGTCCCACGCCCTACATCAGGAAATGAATTACCTATATTTCAGATACATATGCAGGATACTTCTACTTTCTATATCTTTACTTATAGGGAGCTGTGATCCCAAACCCTACTAAAGGCATCCCAGACCACAGCAGAGGTACTCTAAAAAAATTAGCTGGTAATGGAAGGAACAATAACAATACATTATACCCTAACTGTAATTGAAATCTACTCTGTCTCTAGAGAATATTGTCAGATACCTAGCCAAGAATGGGATTTTATTTTCTAATTGTGTAAATGTTCCTATTTTTTTTGTATATCATAGTATTTGTAATTAGTAATAAGTCACTACGACATAAGGATTCTGCAACCATCACTTGGATTATTCCTCAATATTTAAATTCAGAGACACAGCAGGCCTGGTAGAACTAATCACCTTTTCATCCATTCAGAAGCAGATGAGTATCTCCTACTCTGAGCCTGGTGCCATGGTGAGCACTGGGAATAGAGATAAAAGAAAGTCAAATCATATGGAAATGGAAATAATGCAATAGTGAGAGACGAAAAGAAGAAACCAGATTACTATAAAATAGTCTAAGTAATCAGTTAGGATATCCTGGACTCAGTGCTGTAGGGGCACAAAAATGGAGGTGTGTATATATATATATATATATATATATATATATATATATATATATATGTGTACATATATAAGTACACATGTATCTATACAGATACATATATACATATATGTATCTATACAGATACATATATGTATAGATACATATATATGTGTATAGATACATATATACATGTACATATACACGTGTATATATATACATGTGTATGTATATATGTACATATATATATACATGTTCAGGGTCGGAGAAAAGGATAGTAAGGCAAGGGTTCTAGAGAAGGTAATAGCTAAGCTGAGCCTTAAAGGGCAAAAAAAGCATATGAGGCATAGTCTAGACCACAATCTAACTGGGGAAGCAAGAAATAAAATATTAATGCAAAAGGGTTGAATTGGATAAGCAGACTAAATACTGTAAGCAAGGAAAATAAGAAACAAGAAGCTACATTTAAGAAGCAGCTGCTTCTCTGTATTTCGAACTATGTATGAGGTTTAAATAGTCAAAGGACAGAAGGCAAATTATGCTTCCTTTAATTCTCTCTTATAGTCCCCAATTTTATTCCTTCATGACACTCTTCACAAGTGAGTAATAACTTATTAAAAACTGTCCCCCCTTCTAAGCTGTAAATTACAGAGGATAGGGACCAAGTATGTTTTTTTCTCCATTGCATTGCTGCCATTAATTGAGTAGTTCTCACCACCAAGCACCTGTTTAGTTAATATTTGTTAAATAGTTGAAGAATTAGATTAATGAATTGAATTTCATAAGATGCTAGAAAAGTAAGATGTTTTATAAGATATTCATGGTTTGGTTTAGTGATGATGCCATGTAAATTAAAAATAAAATTTGGAAGGAGCAACTAGAATTAAGGAAGGGCAAATCAGAGGGTAGGAAAAGATTACTATTAGCATTTCCAGCAAAATTTAGAGCTTGTATTGTCTTGATGTTTTAGTATAAAAGTGGTATTATGAAAAAAGTATATTAAAGGATTAACTGGGTTCTGTGAGCCAAAAAAACTAGAGGAGGAGTGAATAGCTAGGTGAATAGCTAGGCAGCTGGTGTCTCACTCATTCTGGTTGGAAAGGGATGAAACCTATTCTAAAGTGTTTTCAGTAGGTGTGGGAAGGGAAGAAAAGAATAGCTATCAAGGAATCAATTGTTTGTGAATAGGATGGCATAGACCTTATTTGGCAAGAAAGAACAGCTACATAATTTGCTGTGTCTGGGGAAAAATAGATTGCAGGGCCCCTTGTTTAAAGAGTATGAATAATCTCAAGACTGTGACACAAGAGGCTAAAATAAGGGTGGGGTCCTTCTAAGTATGTGGCCCTTTGCAACCAGACAGGTTGTATATCCATGAAGCTGGCCGGTTGTCAGGAATCTCATATAAAGAAAGGAGGAAAGAAGAAAGCAAAGAAAGGATGAATGAAGGGAGGAAGAAAAAATAAAAGGTTTAGGGATGTTTATTTCAGCATATACTGAAGTTGTGTGACATAGATATACATATATTAAAAATAACCTTTAATTGTATGGTGTATCATATCTCCTAAGTTTAATATGTGATCCCAATGGGTCATTACTATCTTCAATGCACAGTACATGTTATTAGTTTATTGTTTTGTAGAGAAGGGAACTAGACAACATGTTTGGACCAGTGTATCAGTAAGGCTATGCTTATAGACAAAACTGATCCTCTCTCTCTCTTAAAATTAGGTCTTATAATTTTAAGCTACATAATAGAAACAATGTCCAAGCAAGGCAGGTAAGTATCCCATTAATCTGCTGAATATTTCTCAGTGCAGAACCACTACGTCTATGTATTAATACTTAGAAATGGGTAAAACACACAAGAACACTATACCTTGTCAAGAGGAGGAGACTAATTCAGGTATTTAGATGTTTGAAAAATGTCTTATATAAAGAAAAGCTAAAAAAAATTGACAATATTTAACAAAGAAAAAGGAAGGAAATATGGGACAAATAGTGCCTGCATTTATTGAAGGATTACTCAGAGAATCTAAAATCATTTGAGCTACCCTAATAGGTGTCATAAAAAACAAGGAGGAACGTTATAGGAATGAACATTTTACTTCTGTATTAGGAAAACCTTCTGCCAGTATGAGGTCAAAAAAGAAAATGGCCTATTCACAACAATTTTATTTTTACCTGTGTAAAGAAAAATTGTGAAATATTTTGAAATAGACCAAAAGAAAACACAAAAACAAAACAAAACAAAACAAAAGCCACTGGCTATCCTGTGTGATGCAGCCTTTTGGGTATCTCAAGCTTTTATTGTCTTTGAGATATTTTGTAACTACGTAAATTAAAAAAACTGAAAATAATGCAAATCACTTTTGTCTATTGCAGTGCAAATTTGTGGTGTCTAAATTATGATTGCCCTATAACTCCTTTTGGATGTACGTGTAAATTCTTTTTAGCATTCTAGATTTGCCTAGAATGTGTGGTTCTTTGAGAGTCACTTTGAATCAATTATAATATCTTACTGGTGACTTCAGTAATTCTGGAGTTAAATAAAATTTTTGAGATGTGCATTTGTTCTATATTTGTATGAGAGTCTTGATTTTACCTTTAAAAACCTTTATCTTTTAATACTTGCAAGTGTGCAATTAAAGCAAGTTATTTTAACATCTATCAGAAACATTCTGAAAGAGATTCCTGAATTTGTAGCAGACTGCACTAAAATATTCTCAAAGGCACCTTTTAACTCTGATAATGTCCAATATATGAAGAAAAGGAATTAACAGAAAGAATAAATTGTTCTAATTGAATGACTTGGCGAAGGGAGGCACCATTGAAAGCCACAAATACAGTTCTACGGTGCTGCATTGGAAGTTGTCTGTAAGTGAATTCAGACTTACTGAGACCAAAGTGATAGAGGGATAGTCATGGGAAAATATACTGGAGTAACAGAATTCAGGCTGAATTCTGGATGACAAAATCAGGGATCTGACTTAGAAGTCATTGACAGAGAGAAGCATTGAAATTATCACTATGACAATTATGCCAAGAAAAAGGAAGGGAAAAATCAGCAAAGAGATAACATCTGTTTTTTTGTGAAATCCTCAGAATGTGGCTATTGTTGGAGAAGAGAAGAGTATTTATTCTTTGACACAAGTTTCCATCTTGGTAACTATGGATCATGGATGTCTCATTTTTTTCTCTGTAACAATGCAAGAGAACAAACAACATATATAAGATATCTCGTTTGGTTATTTTAAGTATTCCATCATAGAAAGTATTGACTTACCTTTTAATTTCTCATTTTATTCTCACAAGTTTTCTTAGACAAAACAGAAATTATCATTGATTGGTTGGAGTTTTAAAAGACCTGGATAATTTTGTTAAGGTTGATCATCACTATTATGCACAAATAATTTAAACAGGTACTTTGGCTTCTTGAGAATGGAGCTCTCAGTAATTTTGTTCATAGTTGTTTGTATTCCAAGAACTCCTGAATCCAACCCCATGATTGAATTCAACATCATTGTAAGGCACGTGCTTATAAGAAAGCTGCATATTTAATCTTCTATTTCTTTGAAAGAGGTGAAAGTATAATTCTAGCAAGACAAATATGCAGGCCTAATTGATAATTTTTATTTCTATATAGAGATTCAACAAGAGCTAAGGTGTCATAGAGGAAAGTCACTGAAAGAGCTGACTAGCACATAAAATATTTTTTTTGGTGTTTGAAGCGAGAAAGGAAGAAACAACAATCTATGATTAGAGTGCCCCTTAGTTTCATTTCAAAGAGCATGAGGCTCTCATGGCTGTATGAGGCCTCCACTAAAATAAGATGAATGGGAAGGAAAAACTTATGAGTTTATTGAAATTGCAATATTACAATTTGCCAAGAGTTCTGATCTATGATGTCCAGTGGTTTTCCAACTCCTTGGACTCCTTCTAAAATGCTGCATTGCATATATTCATTCTGCAATTTAAATAATGTGTGTGTGTGTGTTTGTGTGTGTGTGTGTGTGTGTGTGTGTTTCTTAACAGAGTGAAAAAAAAAAGTCCTGCTACTCCATAGATACCAGGGCAAGGAGCAGAGTGTTTGTGTACACACATTGGACTGTAAAAATCAAGAATAAAATTCTTAACTTATGCTGCCACTTCTGGGCTGAATGCCCATTGCTGGTTAAATTTACCCTAAAATTGCAGGAATTAAAAATGTGATCCGTTTATTATCTCTGAAAGAGCAAAGACAGAGTGGGAACCTCCGAGTGGTTTTGTGGTCGGAGTGCTCTGCTCTTCTGCTGACAGCCTGTCAGTGCCCTGTTCCTTTCTCATCCTTAATTAGAATTCTCGGATTCTGAGGTTGCCGTCTGTACCACATTTGCCACTGTGGTCCCCGGACCTGGCACAAACACGGCTCACCTCGTCCTCATAAAATGACTCATTACCTTCTCCAGCTGTTATCTATTAGCACTGCAGATTTTGCACCAATTTCCATGCCAAGTCATCTCTCCCACCCTCCTTATTGCCCCACAACCTACTGGAGCCAGCTGGTGAGAATTCCCACACCTTGTTTAAGAGGACATTTTCTTGACACATCAAGACAGATGCATGCCCTTAAGTGCACCTATACCAAGACCTGAAACAGGATAATTTGTCCAGTTCTCAGTCACAGATATTTTGAAAAATCTAGTTCCATAGCAGCATTAATGCCATGTCAACATTTGAGACAAATAGTGCAAGAATTGTCTGTTACTGAGTGAGCCATTACTCAGGCTGTTCTCATCTGAAGAATCTTTGCATTTAGTGTGTTCAAGCTAAAACAGGAATCATTTGTGTTCAAAATTACTTCTGAACACCTACCAGCCAACATAATTTGCTTACTTAGTATACCTTGGGGCCTGCATGTATGTAGGAAATGGAGCTAGGAAATGAGACTTGTGAACAAGCTGAAAGGGAAAAAAAACAGGTTACCTTGAAAGATACAATACCAAATTTCTTGTAATTTAAAATAACTCCTCAACAGCAACAATGTAAAGAAAGACAGTTGCTGTGTTCTGTGAAGGAAGCTGTGCTCTCAGATTTATATGTTCCAACTCATGGCATCCTGAGTTACACCATATGTTAGGATATTATTATAGAGTTTAGAGATATAGAAATAAACAATTCAATATTTTTGAAATGAGCTATTGGCCAAAAGTACAAAATCTTTTAATGAACAACAACAAAAGCAACCAACGACAAATAAGGGAGAATAGCATAATAGTTATGACCAAAGGTTTTGGGCTGGAAAAATACATCTGCTTAATTTCATAACACTTTTGAGCAATTCTTAACTTTTATGAGAACAATAATAATATGCAGGGCTGGTGGGTAGATGATATAAGATGTAAAATTCTCAGGGCAATACTTGGCTCTATAGTAAGTCTTTGGTAAATAGAAACCAGCATTAGAAATTATAATGGGGAGGAGGGATGAAGGTAGGAGGGAAGAGAGAGTAAAACATAGTCAATAATCAATCAATCAGAACAGAGCAGAATGGCTTAATTTGATCTCAGGAAGAAAAATGCTGCTCAGAGATAAAGATAATTTAAAAATTACATGCAACAAAAAATTGATGGAAGCGTCTACATGAAAATTTAAAACTTCTGCACATAAGAACAAACCACATTTCTTAATCCATGTGTTAAATGTGGCACAATGGAAGTATACTGTCTCAGGGTTTCCTTCAATTTGGAATATTAATATTTAGAATCAACATTTGGCACATTCCATTTGGAATATTATGTTGGTGCAAAAGTAACTGTGGTTTTGGTCATGAAAAGTAATGGCAAAAACCACAATTACTTTTTTTAAAAAAATTTATTATACTTTTTATACTTTAAGTTCTGGGATACGTGTGCAGAATGTGCAGGTTTGTTACATAGGTATACATGTGCCATGGTGATTTACTGCACCCATCAACCTGTCATCTAGGTTTTAAGTCCCACATACATTAGCTATTTGTCCTAATGCTATCCCTACCCTTGCACCCCAACCCTCTGACAGGCCCCAGTGTGTGATGTTCCCCTCCCTGTGTCCATGTGTTCTCACTGTTCAACTCCCACTAATGAGTGAGAACATGAGATGTTTGGTTTTCTGTTCCTGTGATAGTTTGCTGAGAATGATGGTTTCCAGCTCCGTCCATGTCCCTGCACAGGACATGAACTCATTCTTTTTTATGGCTAAATAGTATTCCACGGTATATATGTGCCACATTTTCTTTATCCAGTCTATCATTGATGGGCATTTGGGTGGGTTCCAAGTCTTTGCTACTATGAATAGTGCTACAGTAAACATGAGTATGCATGTGTCTTTATAGTAGAATGATTTATAATCCTTTGGGTATACACCCAGTAATGGGATTGCTGGGTCAAATAGTATTTCTGGTTCCAGATCCTTGAGGAATGCCACACTGTCTTCCACAACGCTTGAACTAATTTACACTCCTACCAACAGTGTAAGAGCATTCCTATTTCTCCTCTTCTTCTCCAGCATCCAGTTTCCTGACTTTTTAATGACAGCCCTTCTAATTGGCATGATACGGTATCTCACTATAGTTTATGCAAGCAATAAACATATGAAAAAAAAGCTCATCATCACTGGTCATTAGAGAATTGCAATTACTTTTGCACAAACCTAAATAGTACCATCTAGTCCCTGAAAAAATATTTATTGACAATCTACCGTGTGCTGACTTCTCTGTTCAGCCTCAATCCTATCCTAGGTAGTGGAAAACTGAGAATCCCCAGGAGCATGTGAGAAATTAAACAGAGCAGCTTCAGGGGCCACTTGAAATCTCCTGCTTTCCAGAGCAACTTGTGTTGAAGCACAGAGAAAGTGTTGAGGATTGTTACTTCAATAAATCCCCAAATTTGCATTAGAAGACACTTAGTTTGTCCTTAGCGCAACCAACGCCTTGTATCATGGCCCAACTCTCTTAATTGTTCAGCTTTCATTCTCTGTTTCTTGTTTAACACAATGGTCTGTATCTCATAGAATTCCAAACAGACATAGGCTACTTTTGTCTTAAGGCAAATTGGCTTATAATTATACTAATTCAACTAATATTTATATTTTACCATCTACAATAAAAATTTTCAACTGTTTGGATGAATTCTAATGGGCAAATATTTCAGTACACCATAATTGGGCTTCAAAGGCAATTTTTATTAATGCTTCTTGTAACATACGAATAAACACATTTATATATATGTTACAAGAAGTCTATTGACTCTGTAAATGGTAAAATCTGTTAACACTGCATTTTTATTTCTGCTGTTGCTTTTAGGAGTTGATCTCCATAACCTGGAATAAAGATATTGTCTTTCTTAACTTGGCATGTTGCTAAAGTCATAGTCAAATCAAATTGTGTGTGCACTGTTTTGAAACCCCCCTCCCTATCTCCATCTACCTTTCCTGGAGAGGAAAAAATAAAAACAAAAAAGAACAAAAACAAAGCTTGCCTCCACCTGGCTTTGAGCCAGGGAAGAAGAAGAAAGAAGCTTTTGTTATTGATGCTATTTATAACCCTGAATTACTCCGTTAGAATAATGGGGCCTGAGCAGGGGAAGGTCTTTTGTTTGCTTAGTACAAATGCGTCTTCCCCCTCAGTAAAACCTTACTTAGGATCATACTAAACAGTCACTGCAGGTACCAGGTGTGGAGCTAAAAGCGAGGAAAGGACCAAGATATTTGTAAAGAAGAAATGGAGAGGAACTGAGTTCCAGGCAGAAGATTTGGAAGCGGAAACCATCCTCCGAGGAGATGGAGAGCCAGTGGAGGATGGGTTACTTTCTATCTGAAGCCTGTGGAGATTGAGAAGAAAATAAGTGTTTCAAGGGGTTTTGTCAAGTGAAACATCATGGGGGTGGTGGTGGTGAATGTGAAGTCGTCCCACCTACAATACCTTTGATAAAATATTGTTCATTGATATGGTTTGGCTGTGTCCCCACTCAAATCTCATCTTGAATTGTAGCTCCCATAATTCTCACATGTTGTGGGAGGGACCTGGTGGGAGATAATTGCATCATGGGGGTCGTTTCCCCCATACTGTTTTTGTGGTAGTGAATAAGTCTCAGAAGACCTGATGGTTTTATAAGGGGAAACCACTTTCACTTGGTTCTCTTTTCTCTCTTGTCTGCCGCGATGTAAGACGTGCTTTTCACCTTCGGCCATGATCATGAGGCCTCCCCAGACACATGCAACTATAAGTCTATTAAATCTCTTTTTCTTTATAAATTATCCAGTCTCGGGTATGTCTTTATCAGCAGTGTGAAAATGGACTAATACACCCATGAATATCTTCACACAATGTTCTAGAAAGAAGTTTCTTCCTGTTTCAAAATTAGCATAGGATGAAAGCCAGGCTTGTCTCAGAAAGCTGAGGGGAGGGCCACATCACCAAATTCTGCCATCAAAGCCACTTTCCTTCAGTTCATTGGCTTTCCCAAGGTATGAAAGAAAAGTGTTTTCTTTGATTGGTCCTTTTATTATCTACAGCTCCCTTGGAGCCTAGGTCTACTGTATTCATTCAAAAAGAGTTGGCAGATTGGGGATGACCCAAAATTACAGGATTTAGGACATTTTCTTAAAATATACTACCATGCTGTTTTTACTGCTTTAACAGCAAAGCATCCAGACAATGCAGGTTTTTAGGATATTGTGTTTTTCCAGAGAAATCAAATGAATTAGGTCCCCAGTGGTAAATATAAAAAGAAAAAGAGGACTTGTTCGATTTATAGCAAAACATATATTTAGCTATAAAGGAGAGAAAGAAAAAGACAACAGAAGAGAAAAGAAAAAATGCATTTTAAGAGAGTAATAAATAATTATGAACTGTTGATTCAGTTGGGAGGGTAAATTATTTCGGTACGTCTGAAAAATTCAGAAAGCTGTAAAATCACTAGTCAGCATGCCACTGACTATTCTGGATTAAAGCAGCACCGGTTACCATTAAATGAAAGGAGAGAACACGGAAGAATGTAATACTGTGTTTTATGCATAAACAGTGTTGCAAGTACTTACTACATGCAACAATTTTGTAAGATTGATTTTATACCCATTTTAGCATTGGGGATAATTGAGTTTCAAAAAGGTTAATCAGCTAGACCAGCTTGTATAGAGAACATGCATTTTAAGTTAACTGAAGAATAGTTGAACTCTTAGTCTTTGCCAGGCTGTATACAAGATCAAGGTCAGAAAACTTTGTAAAGCATCAGATAGTACATATTTTAGGCTTTGCAAGTCATACAGTCTCTGATGCAATACTCAACCCTGCAGTTGTAGTACAAAACTAGCTATAGGAGATATGTAAAAAATGAGAGTGGTTGTGTGCCAATAAAACTTTATTTACAAAACCAGGCAGGCAGCAGACTGGATTTGGCCTGGGGTTTATCAACTCCTATGATTGATGATGAGGGTATGATGGTGAGAAAGTCAACTCATTAATCCCTCACAGAGCCTCTCTAATTCTAAAGACACTATTTCACCGTTTTCTTGCATCTGCTTTATTTAGACAGTGCTTCCCCCCAAAAAGATCTGAGATTTTTAAGCTAAAAATGTTTAACTAAGAAAAGTAAATATTTGCAAGATCTACACATGAGCACCCTGGTTCTTTTGCATTCATGCACCAGTGGGGTCTCCCAACTCATCCAATTTACGAATTTTCAGTTTGTCTCCATGTCTTTCCACAGTTTCCAATTCCAAGTGCAAATATCCTCCTAGCTGATTTCCCATTAAACAGAGCCACATTATGACTCCTGGAAGACACATCAGGTTAGGATTATTAGACTTATCTTCAGGGAACAGACATCTCAGAACATATCAGAATTTATGAAGTTGATGCATTTGATTAACTGTATCATCGCTGCAGTCCTACAGCTGGATTATTGTTTTGCTGTCAACATTCGTCAGATCTTGATTTGAGCATCCTTGCAACACTATTCCTCCTCTGTTCAGTTAGCTCCTGTGTGGAGACAGGGACCCTTCGGGAAATGTTCTACTGCCTCCTATGTTCTGCTTTGAATCCTCCTCCCCTGTTTCACATGTTAAAACAAATAATACATTTTGAATATTAATACACATTTTTGAAAATTATTTTTCAGTCTGTACAACCTTTTGATTCTGGTTACTTCCCTGTCTTAGAAAGGGAATCAATAACCAAGAGTGTTTTTAAAATAAAGTTTCTATTATAATAATTATGATTTACTATTTTTATAGTACTATAATTTCAGAATTTCCTTAAAGAAATTAATTTCGAAGTTCACAACTTTCCCCTCAAAATGCAAATTGTAACAAAAATAAGAAAGAAAAAAATGATAACTACCATGTATTACGTACTTAATAGGTGCCACAGACTGTGTTAAGTACCATAAATGGATTGACTTTTTTACATGCAAACATAAAATTATAAAATTAGAGGTAAGCTTGAGAGCAAAATAATACCACAGTAAGTAATTCAAGTGACAGTGCTGTCCTTTGTTGCTTCTACTACAAAGTGAATTATAGGGTTTGGCTTTTACTAGTTCAGATCTGTATTTTAGGTGTGAGTTCAATAATTGTTCTGAGCAGAGTTGCTCTGGCCAAGCTGACTGCTGTATTCTGTGTTAACTTTCCTGGTTTACCTACCAAAGGTGAAATGCTCTGGATGCCAGAAGAATTGAGTTTAAGAAGCCAGGATTTGGAGATAACCTATAAATATTGGAGGCAGGCCCAAAGGAAGTTGTAGGGAGTACTAAATATAAGACTTGACGACAATAGAGACACAGCCCTATTCTCAGGGATTTTGATTCACTAGATCTGGGTAGGATTCAGTAATAAATATCATTTTCAACAAAAATCCTCAGCGATTCTGCTGCAGGTGGTCCTCAGATCACATCTTAAGAAGTATTGATGTAAACAGAACTGTTTCAAACTGCTTCTTTCTTCATTCCCTTACTCCCTCTGCTAACCAAGTCCTCCCACTCAGTCCACTGAAAGGGCCAGGCTTGGTGATGCTAAGGTATGGCTTCCTCCCTAAAGGAGATAAACAATACAAAAACTTTCATGCTGAGCCAAAATGTTCACTTAATATCAACTTGTAACAGTCTCTTGTATTTTGTGTCTAGATCCTTGATCCAAAACTACCTAAATTTGGAATGAAGCTGCTCAAACTTTCATAATTACTGACATTATTAAGATTTTAAATCTGTATAGAACTAAAGTTTTACTTTTTTAATTGATGCATAATAGATGTACATATTTTGGGGGTACACGTGCTAGTTTGACACATTCATATAATGTATAAATTGGTGTAATTGGGCTATTCATCACCTTATTTACTTTTTATTTGAGAAATATTCAAATTATTCTCTTCTAGCTATTTTGAAATGTACAATAGATTAGCGTAAACTATAGTCATCCTACTGATCAGTTGAATACCAGTTATCATTTCTCCTATCTAACTGTGTATACTTGTACCCACTAATCAACTTCTCTTAAAGTTCTTCTTATTTTCCAGCCATGCCTAGAATCTTGACCTAGTACTGGTAAACACTCATGCTCTGCATGTGTTTACAACACTTTCGATTTCCCCATGGTTGTGAGCTGTTCCTCTGAATTGACACTTGGATAGATGTCCTCCAATACCCATGTTGTATTTCATTTCCATCATGAATACTTGTGTATGAGCTCCTTGCTACATCTATAAAATTGGATTTCCAGCCTTGCCTTATCTATCCTTGCTCAGGTACCTGCTAATAGACATCTCCTCTTGCAAATCCCACAAAGACACCAAATCCAATATCACCAACACAAACCTGATCCCCTTTTGTCATTTAAAAAAATCTTACTAAAGAAGGCCATCACTATTCCAGTCACTAACGTTAAACAAACAAAACAAAAAACTGGGTGTCATCCTAGATCCCTTTATGCTTACCACACATCCCTTCATTTAATCCCCCAACCGTTTTCACAGGCACCAGTGTCCTAGGGTTCTATCTGGGCTTCCTAGCACCAATCTCCCTCCTCTCAATTCCTTCTTCACATTGCTGCAGTCCAAACTATCATCAAACCAAATCTGATTATGCCATTGCTTTTCTTTTCTCCTTAAAACACTTTAATGTTTTCACATTGCCAAAAGAATCAATTTCAACATCCATGCAATTAAAAAGTGCATTTATAACCCAGAGACTGTCAATTTACCCCAACTAATCTCCATCTCATTCCATGTATATAATCAAAATTAATATATATCCAGCTATAATAAGTACTTACAGTGTCCCAAATATGCTGTTCTGCTTCTGGCCTCGACCACTCCAACTTAAATCACCATCATGTTTTTTCTGCACCTCTGTAAGAGACTCTCCTTTCCCCTTTCTCTTCCCCTAAACATGTCCTCCACCCAACCCCCTAAGTGAATTTTGATAAAATAATAAGATCATGTCAGTCCTCTATTTGGCTCTCCAATGGCTTCCTGCTGCACTGGATGGATGTTCATATTCCATCCATTGGTCTATAAGGTCCTCTATGATCTGATTCCTGCCTACCCTCTGCCCCTTCTCTCCTTCCATCCTCCCACTCTTTCAAATCACTCCAACCCAACTGACCTTCCTGATCCTCACATGAGCCAAGCTCATTTCTGCTTTAGGAACTTTGCTCTCAGAACCTTCCTGTAGCTTTTCCTCCATGCTTATGCATGGCTGGTTCTTACTCCTTATTCAGGTCTCAACTGTCACCTCCTCGGAGAAGCTCTCCTTGACCACACCATCAAACGCTAAGTGTCCTCCCCATATTTCTCTGTTACTTTACTGTGCTTTATTTTCTTCACGCCATTTCTCACTTAGCAAAATCACCTGAATTAGTTAGTTTACTAATATAGTCATGCCCCTCCCCAACGCAATTGTAAGGACACCATTTCAATAAGCATTTGTTGAATGTCTCAATGGCTTTGCTTATGTTGTTCCTTCTGCTTCAAATAGGCTTCTTCAACCTTGGGCACTGACTACTTGCTAGGCTCTAGAATATTCTTCAACACTTAATTCAAACAACTCTTCTGCTGGGAAGTCCTCTTTCACCCCAAACAGCATTGATCACATCTAGGTTTGCCTTGCTCCATGTCTCATTACAGCATCAAACTGTTTCATAACTATTTGCTTGCATGTCCTTCTCCCAAATTAGACCTCCTTGGAGTAAAGGATGAATCTTATTCATCTCAGGATCCTCTGCATATAACACGGTTCTCCAGGGGCAGTAGATACTCAATAAATGTATCCTGAATGAACAAATAAATCTGCTGCTGCCCATACCAGAGTGTAGATAAGATGTGAGAACAGTGATGATCAGAGTGATGGAGCCTTAAGACTAATAAATAAGCTGAACTCAAGTCTCTCATTGTATGTGTGTGTGTTGACTTTTCACATGTATAGAAAGATACACACACATAAGGTATGAATAATCCTCAAGTACAATGATTCAAAGAAATTACATATAATTAATCCTTATTATATTGCTCAGAATGTATTTTAAATATATTTGGTCATTTATGGCTAATGCAACAATTGTAGCTGCAACTGTAGCTGTGGGTACTCATCTTTTTGATTTACGTATGCCTGTAACTGTACTTACCTAAATTGATAGGTTCAGAATAAAGAAGGAAGAGTATGAAGCAATTCAAATATAATGCTTAGTTCAAGGGAGGTACTTTAAATCTCTTCTTAATTAAAGAAATAAAGATTCTTGGAAACCAATCATTGAATTTGAATTTTGCCATTTAAAATTTTATGAAACACTAATGAATAAGATATAATGTCCATGTTTATATACATTCCTATAAATGTTAAGTATTTGCTTGCATCTACATATCTATTCAGCTTTGATTATTCCTTTTTGGCAGTTTTATCCAATATATTGTTTTTTGGAAAAAACAACTTTTAACAATACTTACAAGACTCATGATTATTTCTCTCTTCTGTTGATTTTGCCAAAGAGCTTTAAAACATCTTTTATCACTCCTTCATTACATGGATGAATAAACTTATTTGAGCATTTATTTACTAACTTTGCAGTTGCTCTAGTTTTCTAAATTTTGTGTTTTGAATCCTCTTCTGTGTCTGTAAAATGACCTTGGAGTGAAGTTGTATCTGCAAGTCACATAAAGCCATAAGAGATCATAGAGATCACTAAAATTTATTCAGACTTTTTGAGTATTTGCAAGATTGTGTGGGAAAGAAAAAGAGGAGGAAGAGGAGAAAGAAGAAAGAAAGGAAAGAAAGGATGAAGGGAAGGAAATAGAGAAAGAATGTAAGACTTCAAATGCAAAGAAGAAAGTGCAAAATCCAGTCAAATGTTTTGGCTGGTTGAGAAATGAAAGCAGGTAAGATATTACATTTTATTAACTAAGAGGCCAACTACTTTTGAATATTTTGAAGCCCACAATATCTGCAGCTCCAGGTACCTTGCCGGCTAAGCTAAAATCACGGGGTCCAACTTCTGTTATTTGGAAAGGCAATTGCCTGAGTGGCCATGAATCTTCCAATCTTAAGACAATTAAAAGTAAGTAGCAATGATAAAAAAAAAAATCCAGTTAAATGAATGCTAATGACCTGTCTGACTAGCGATGTGTCTTTCAATCCCAGATGAAAAATCACAAACAAAAAGATTTAACAAAATCAAAACTATAATATCTGAAATTATAGAATTGGATTCTCATGTCTAAGGATTTGCACATTTAGGCAATTTATGTTTCTGAGATGCTTAAACAAATTTAATCTAGTAGACTGATAGTCTTATAGTTTAAAATATATTTTAATCAAAATATAATGAAGTAACTGATAGACTTGTGATTTTAAGTTGAAATTTTAGTAGACTTCTGTTCGGTAATGGGAAATCTAAGATTTTTTTCATTCGTCGATTATAAATTTTAGGTTTTACTTTTATAAAAATTATTTAGTGAATAGGAAAGTTTGATTAAGTTAGAGAGTTACCTCAAAATGAAGTAAAATATATTAATTTTTGAATAATATACCTTCTATTACTACATATAATAGTGCTAATGAAATGGTAGTATCTATTGTTGCAATGCAGATGTGGAGTCATTTGCTTAAAGCCCATTAAATTGTTTAGAAACCTAAGAGTAACAGATGAATGCCTACTTTTTGCTGTGTCTAAATCATCCTACGTGTTAGTTGCTCTTGCTATCCATTTATAGATAAAGAAACTCTAGAACAAGGGGTAAAGGAATTTAAGTAATCTGACCATGTTTGCTCAGCTAGTAATTTTAGGAACCAGAATTTTTACCTAGGGTTGTGTGATTTCAGTATAAAAGACTTATTAAACATTGTAATACAGCAATATACAGTAATACCACCTCTATCTTGTTTAACACGATATATTTTGCTCCTCAAATGGCAAGCATAAATGGGACCTTGGCAAATTGCAGGATTATTTGCTATTGGAAATTTTTGTCTAAGAGTGAAAAATAACCCTCATTAATCTTTTATTTCCATACAGAGTTTCATAGATTGTCTATATTTAAGATAAAGCCAACTTTTACACGGACTACCTCTGAAAAATATAAATTGGATGCTATTTGTCTGAAGAAGTTAGGATGAGATTTGATATCCTTTTTTTGGTACACTAAATTTAGACAAATTCAAGCAATTCTTTTGAAAATCACTGTGGGACAAAGATATTGAAAGACAAACTAGAAAAGTAAAGTAGCTAGTGGAACATCTTTATCACTTTGATCAATTATTTCAAAAGCCTCCAAGAGGTCAGATTACTTCGCTTTAGGTTTCCAAATGTATTAGGACATTTTCAGTGTAAATGGACAGTTAGTCTAGTGAAAGTGTTGTTCCTCTGGCATTTTCTGAACTTTAAAGGACACTGGGGTGTTTCTGGGAGTAAAACAGCAAGTCTTCTTTGGTGGGATTCTTGCGGGCTGGTCACTAAAATGCAAGTGTGGTCCACGTTGAAATGAGTAAAACTATTGACCTATGGCTCAGAAGCTAAGAGACCAAGGATGACATAAACATGAACACTAGCTGTTCCAAGGGACAATGCCATCTGGTTTGCTGTAGACGCTGTCAGAAATAGCAGACTCCTGAGATTCTCATTTTCACTCTTGGCAGATTGGAAAAGGCTAACAAACACTATGGCACAAAGGTAAATAAACTTTCCTTGGAGGCTATAGGCTTCTCCTCAAAGTCAATGAGGCAAGGCAAGTACATTTTTAAAGTGAGTCCTTATTGAGGATCATTGGATGCTTCATTCTTGTGCCTTGCTCTGTCATAAAGCTTCTAGGGCGAGACCAATATGCCCAATCTCAAACATTCTATTTTTAATATTCCTTTTTACAATTTTTTTTTTGAGACGGAGTCTCACTCTGTCGCCCAGGCTGGAGTGCAGTGGCGTGATCTCGGCTCATTGCAACCTTTGTCTCCCAGGTTCAAGCGATTCTCCTGCCTCAGCCTCCAGAGTAGCTGGTACTACAGGTGCCCGCCACCACACCCAGCTAATTTTTGTATTTTTAGTAGAGATGGGGTTTCACCATGTTGGCCAGGCTGGTCTCGAATTCCTGACCTCAGGTGATCGCCTACCTCGGCCTCCCAAAGTGCTGGGATTACAGGCGTGATCCACTGTGCCTGGCGTACAATGGTTATTTTATTGACTAAAACTAAATTAGTTTTCACATGTAAACAAAGATAGTTAACCATTCCCTGACCACCATCAAAAAAATGGGGTGGGAGGAGGAGTTAGTGGCTCTGAGTAGACGCAAGTTGAGGGAGTCTTCTTCCAGACAGAAAAAAACCATCCTCTGTTGTCTTAGAAATGGTGGCCAATAGGTTTCCTTCCTTCTGTTGTTTTCTCTTTGGACAGGAAAAATATGTAGAAAGAATGAGAAATGCCCTAAGCATTAAATTCAGTACCCTGAACAATCTTACTGGGGAGTTGAACCCATGCCTGGATAGCCAGAGAAAGAATTATATTATTTGGAGGGGAGCTTGGGGTGGTGGCCATCCAGATATGGGAACTCAGAGAAAGGATATTTCTGGCAATGGCAGCTTCATAATTTCTAAATAGTGATAATTTGATCAGAGAGTGAAGGTGGTGGTGGCTGGTAGGATAATAACATTGAGACTCGATATGTATGGCAAACAGGATCCTTTTTAACATATCACTGAGGATGGATGGAGAGGAAGAGAGTTATCTTTCTGAGAATCCCTGATATGATCTGGGAACAGTAGTCAGCAGAGTCATTACTTTTCTATTGCTGCTGTACCGAATTACCACAAACTTAGTGGCTTCCAAAATTGCGAATGTATTACCTTTTAGCTCTAGAGGTCAGAAGTCTGATGTGGGTCTCAGTGGACTGAAATCAAGGTGTCAGCAGGGCTGTGTTGCTTTCCCAGTGCTCTAGGGAGGAGTTAGTTTCTGTGCTGTTTTGTTTGTTTGTTTGTTTGTTGTTTGTTGTTTGTTTTTGAGACAGAGTCTTGCTCTGTTACCCAGGCTGGAGTGCAATGGCACCATTTCGGCTCACTGCAACCTCTGCCTCCCGGGTTCAATCGATTCTCCTGCCTCAGCCTCCCGAGTAGCTGGGATAACAGGAGCGCATCACTACATCCAGCTAATTTTTGTATTTTTAGTAGAGATGGGGTTTCACATGCTGGCCAAGCTGGTCACAAATTCCTGACGTTAGTTTTTACTCTGCCTGCATTCTTTGGCTTGTGCATGCCTTCCATGTTGAAAGCCATCAATGGTGAATTGAGTTCTCAAATCGTATTACTCCAATCTTCCCTCTGACTCACTCTTCCACTCCTTAGGACCCTTGTGATTTCATGGGTTCCTCACATATAACTCAGGAAAATCTGCCTATCTTAATGTCAGCTAATTAGCAACCTTTTTTTTTTTTTATAATGTAGCAAAATATATTAGTAGGGTCCATGAATTAAGATGTGGCCACCTTGGGGTGCTTTCATTCTGTCTGTCACAACAGCTGTGAAAAACATGGTGTCTGGAGCCATATTGTCTAGATTCAATCCCAATGCCACCACATACTAACTATGCAACTCTGGACTAATGACACAGTCTCTCCACGCCTCAGTTTCCTCAACTGTAAACCACAGTGAATAACGCCTATCTCAGAAGGTTCTTCTAAGGAATAATGTGTTAATATATGAAATGTGCTTACAACAGCACAAGTACTCAATTAAAATGAACAATTCTGATGTCCACCTACTTTATCAAGATAGAAGATAAAATTATTAAACATATGGCGAATGCCTACAAGCTTCAGACTTAGGAGAATTTGATTGCAGCTATCAACAATAGACACTTACAAGTGCTTCCTAACATGTCTACACTCCAAATTCCCAAAGTGAATGAATGGCTCAGGAGATCCCAGAATCAAATCAGGTGGACACTATTAGAAAGCACCCGATTTGATCCCGGGATCTCCCCAGCCATTCATTCACTCTGGGACTCCGGGAATCCTTGCATGGGGAGAGCTTCTCACATATAAGCATAATGTTTATCTGTAGCTCTGCCAGTTTTCTTAGTCCTGTTCCTTTGAAGTCTAGCATTAAGTAGGCCTAAGATGTCATGCAAGCCACTGTCCATGATACTGCTGGTCTCTCCAACTTGCATCTGCCTCCCTTTCTCACAGGTCACAGAAAAACCTATGCTTACCCTGAATTTTTCAGAACATAGTCACATAGCACAGCTGGTGGACTCTCTAGTAACAAAGCTATTTCCATTGTTCCACAATCATCTGCTTCACAAGAGACAACAGGCTCCTGAGAACTGGGGAGCTGAGACGCTGCAGGTGACAGTTGTATACAGACGTGCAAAGTTCTTGGGATCTCTTCCAGGTTCTAATTCAGGCCCGGATGCTAAGGCTTGCCCTGCTCTGCAAGGCTTTTACTCATGGTGCTTTTCTCTTAAAGGCTTTATTGTTTTGTTTTTTCATGATGGTCCTTATTACAGACATTTCCCTCTCTACTCTACATTCCCTTTCTATTCCCTCTGTATTCTTCCACAACTAATTACCACAACCTTAGAAGCTTAAAGAAACACAAATTTATTGTCTGACATTTTCTATAGGTCAGAAGTCCAGTGGTCACTGCCACGTCTTTATTTAGAATCTCACAAGCCTGATATAAAGGTGTCTGCGGGGCTGCCTTACTTTCTGAAACCTCTAGAGGAATGTCTCTGTTCTTGCTCATTCAGGCTGCTGGCTGAGCTTAGTTCCTTGTGCTGTGCAACTGAGATCCACATTTCCTTGATGTCAGCTAAGGACCATTCTTAGATTCTAGAAATTACCTGCATTCCTTGGCTTGTGTCTCCTTCCTCCATTTTCAAAGGCATCAATGGTGGCCGAGTCCTTCTTACATCAAACTTCTCTGACTCTTCTGTGTTCCTCTTCTGTTTTTGAGAATCCATGTGATTACATTGGGGCCTCCAGGATAATCTCCCCATATCGAGGTCCATAGCCTTTATCACATCTGCCAGGTCTTTTTTTGCCATGTAATATAACATAAAATAGTCACAGAATCTAGAGATTAAGGTGTAAGCATCATTGTAGAACATTAGTCAGTCAAGCACTGCCTCTTGTACTCCAGTCATCAGGGTCATTAGATCTACATATGTCTGAAATTTTTGCTTCTAATTTTCTCCCACAGACTCCGAGTTCTCAAAGAAAATCAAGGCATATGGCTGGGCATCTCTTTTAGCATCCTTGAACAGTCTGTAATGGCCCAAATGTACTTCAAGAATGCAGCAATTGAAAACAAGTCACCCGGAGCACACAGACTAGAGGTAGGTGGTGCTTCCTCACAGCCAAAATGTTGCCTCATCACTGACCAGCCAAAGGTGATCCATTTCATCCATATTAAGAGATACTGAAAATACTAGGAGAACTGATGAGAGATAAACTGACTTTCCTGGGAGAATTTAGTAAAAGTCCTCCAAGAGATTATGTTCAATTTGAAATTTGAAGTATGCAGGAAGTTTAATAGGAAGAACAGGAATGGATAGGAGAAATCATTTCAAGTAAATAGAAAAGCAAGAATATGCTTGTGAATAATGAGAAAAATAAATTTTGAATAAAATTATGGGTGTGTGTTTGTGTATCTATTGTATGTATGTGTGTTTGAATAAGGCATACTGATATTATGTATTGGTCAACCACAATATAGGAAAATAAATTGAAGGGCATCTCTTTAAATCTTACAGGTAGTCCATGCTTTCCACAGTACCAGCATTATGTTAAATGAATTCATTCATAGTGATCAATTCCTCACTTCGCATGAGTTACAGTTAATATGGTTCTGTGCAAAACAAGGACAGCCTGTATGTCTATTTTTAATCAAAGATCTGAATTGCTGACTACAGGGCATACTCATTAATTCAGACACCTCTGAAGATAGAAAAATTTGCTAGGACTAGATTTGAAGGGGATCTTTAAAAATTAGAGCAACAAGTAATCACAATGAAGATGATATTTCTTAACAAGATATCCTCATGGAAAATAGAGAAAAGAGAAGAAGATTGCTTCCTTAAATTAGGGACACAGACTAGTGAGGTAAAAGAAAAGCAGAAAAATAATCTGTGAGTTATACTTGACTACAAACTGATAGGAGAGCAAGAACATGTAGCGAGCACCCTACTATGTGCTAAGACTGTGTTAATCTAAGTACTTTTGTGGTTATCACATTTAATACTCACAAATGTTTGTAAGATATATTTTATTAGGTGAATGTCTTGATGCTGCTGAAGATCGAATACTATCTGAATTGAAATATTATCTCATTACTACTATTCCTCATGCCACACCAGGAATATTCTTGTCATACCTACTCTGATATTCTGGAAACAGGCAGAAACTGTTATATTTAGGAGATACTTCTCCTGCTACCTTAGGGATACTTCTCCTGCTGTCTTTAGATTATAAAACCATTTTGACTATGAACTACTTTTCAGTGGCAGGTTATAACAGGTCATGCCCTTCGGGCAATTTATAAGCTTGCTATGGCTACTGTAACAAAACACTACAGAGTGAATGGATAAACCAGCAGAAATTTATTTTCACACAGTTCTGGAGGCTAGACATCCAAAATCAAGATGTCAGTGGGGTAGGTTACTTCTGCAGACTATGAGGAATGATCTATTCTAGACCTTTCTCCTTGGCTTGAAGATGGCTAATCTTCACCCTTTGTCTTCACATTGTCTTCCTTCTTTACATGTCTGTATCCAAATTTCATCTCCTTATGAGGACAGCAGTGATATTGGCTTAGGGTCCACACTAATGACCTCATTTTAATTTAACTCTGTAAGTCCCATTAAACAAATATAGTTTCATTTGAGGTACTGGAACGTATTATAATCTTTCTTTTTGTGAGGGAGGATGACACAATTTAGCCCATAACACAGAAGAAAAACACAATCAAAATTCACATTAGGGATTTTAGCTCTAAGAAATTAAATATGTATATTAGAATACATAAAAACACCAATAAGAATACGAAGTCATTTGTGTAAATGAGTTTATTCATACATTTTCATACTGCTACAAAGAAAAACCCGAGACTGGGTAATTTATAAAAGAAAGAGGTTTAATTGACTCACTTTTCTGCATGGGTGGGGAGGCCTCAGGAAACTTACAAACATGGTGAAAAGGGAAGAGGCACATCTTTTTTTTTTTAATTATACTTTAAGCTCTGGAGTACATGTGCAGAACGTGCAGGTTTGCTACATAGGTATATATGTGCCACGGTGATTTGCTGCACCCATCAACTCATCATCTACATTAGATATTTCTCCTAATGCTATCCCTCCCCTAGACCCCCACCCCCTGACAGGCCCCAGTGTGTGATGTTCTCCTCCCTGTGTCCATGTGTTCTCATTGTTCACCTCCCACTTATGAGTGAGAACATGTGGTGTTTGGTTTTCTGTTCTTTTGTTAGTTTGCTGAGAATGATAGTTTCCAGCTTCTTCCATGTCCCTACAAAGGACATGAACTCATCCTTTTTTATGGCTGCATAGTATTCCATGGTGTATATGTGTCACATTTTCTTTATCCAGTCTACCATTGATGGGCATTTGGGTTGGTTCCAAGACTTTGCTATTGTGAACAGTGCTGCAATAAACATTATGTGTGCATGTGTCTTTATATTAGATGACAGCAGGTGAGAGAGAGAAGAAGAGGAGTGAAGGGAGAAGAGCCCCTTATAAAACCATCAGATCTTATGAGAACTCACTCACCATCTCAAGAACAGCATGGGGGAAGCCACCTCCATGATCCAATCACCTCCCATCAAGTCTCTCCCTAGATACATGGGGATTATGGAGATTACAATTCAGTATGAGATTTGGGTGGGGACACAGCCAAATCATATCAGTGAGCAATTAAGGAATTAACAGTGTCGAATCTTGGTTTGTTAACATTGATGAAGACAAATATATAGCCACCAATATCCACTCTATCTCTTCACCTGGTTTAAGGTTTTTTTGTTTGTTTGTTTGTTTGTTTTTGTTTTTGTTTTTTTCCTTTCATCATGGCAAGAGGTGCTTTAACTCTTCATTCTGTAATCCCATGAACAGCTATACAGATGTACCATACATTTTTTGGAGGGGTGGGGGATAACATTCTTCAATGTCACTAGGTTTTTGTAGGACCAACTCAAGCCGGCAGGTATAGTTAGAGAGACGGAAAGGTACAAGACCAACTATGGAAGAATCCAATGCCTCCAAGCATTACATGTTAGGATAAAGATCAGGATCACTGTTTGCATTCTCAGTAAGATAAACTTAGAGAAACTGCATGTTTTCCCTTTTCTCAATGATTTAACTTTTTCTTAGTTACGAGACAAACTTTAGAACAGCCAATAATCCATTAGAGTGAAGACATAATTGTCTTTTTAATAACAATGCCTCAAAGTGTGGGATATACGCCTGTCAACTCAGAGTTAGAATTGAATGTTTGACTTTCATTTTATTTATGTTGTAGAAAAAAAGATTGATTTTTTTTAAAAAAAGGAGGTTTTTCTGTTTTATTTCATTTTAGGCTGAAATTGGTTGTCAGAATACAGCATCACTGAAATATTATGTGCATTGAACAAATGGAGCTGGGTTGCATTCCACAGTATGCCACCAAAGTGAAAAGAAACAAAGTTTTTGTATAGAAAACTGGCATGTTAATAACGTCACACTCAGTGGCACATGCCTGTAGTCCAATATACTCAGGAGGCTGAGGCTTGGAAATCACTTGAGCCCAGAAGTTTGAAACTAGTCTGGGTAACATAGCAAGAATCCATCTCAAAAGAAATTGCACTGACTGGGGCTGAACCCTCAAGTCATTGAATCATGGAATTTTAAAGGAGAAGTCTGGCTTTTTCAGTTGTCTGGAGTGGATACTTAATTTAATTAAAGAGATGGAATGCATTTGATGAAAACAATTAAGCCACATTGGCATACTCTACATTGGCATCTAATATGATACGGCTATTTAATAAAAAGCTAGTATTCTGTTTGACAGATCAATTATTCATTAAATAGATGGGGCAGAAATGGACACGCAAAATCAAAGCTGATTAATTCAGCAAAATCTTCAATAATACTGTCACCTTTAATCCAAGCCAATGGCTTCCAGCACAGCAGGCAGCTTGATAGAGGGTAAAGTAATCACAATGCAATGTGTTAAGTGCAAGTTATAAGAAGCACTATGTAAAGAGTACTATGCAAAAACAGAGGAGTTGCACCCTGACTTGGGGATATCAGAAAAATCTTCCTTTTAATAGAAGTAATATCATTCTTAGTTTTAATAGATGTCAGGCAAAGAATGCATAAGTAGGCCGTTCAAAGGTATGTAGAGAGAAAAAGGCCCTGTTCATATTCTGAGACCCTGGTTTCATCAGTCTAATCTTGAGTACTGTTGGATCAGCAGCCACTCCACCAAGTTGGAACATGAGGGAGTAATTGATATTTCTCCCATAATCCAGTGTATTCATTATGGTATACTGTTGCAATCATGCTCCCAACATGAGCCAGCCTCCTACACCCATGCCCTTGGACAGCCTACTACCACATTCAATAGGGCTGATATGTGTTAACCAATAGGACATTGTAGAAATGGCACCATGTGTCATCAGAGGCTGGGTTATCAAAGAAATTTTAGCTTCTGCCTTGTTTGTTCTCTTGGTTCAGTCTCTGTGGGCCACCATGCATGAGGACATTCAAGCAGCCTTATGGAGCAGTTTACATGGAGAAAAACTAAGGCCTCCTGCCAACAGCCAGCACCAACTGGCCATATAAATGAACTACCTTGATCATGAATGCAGACTCTCTAAAGCCTTTACATGGATGCAACCTCATGAGAGACCCCTGTCCAGAAGAACACAATTAAGCTCCTGAATTCCTGACCCACAGAAGAGCTGTGAGATACTAAATGCCTATTGTTGTTTTAAGCCACTAAATTTTGAGGTAATTTATTATGTGGTAATAGATAACTAAGACATGAGTATACACTAACCCTAAAATAATCTCAAAATCCCTTCATGTTGTCCAGGTAGTACCATTAAATGTGACCTGCATGTTCTCATAAGTGTATGTGGTAAGAAATGTTCCATGCATTTATTTACATGTGTCTCTAGAAAAATATTCTACAGGGAAACAATTCTTCTATTCCTCAATGGATCCAGGTAGGGCCCACCAACACTTTCATTTATTCTGGTGGCCAGGCAAGTGCAATGGTCCATGCCTGTAAGCCCAGCACTTTGGGAGGTTGAACTGGGCAGATCACCTGAGGTCAGGGGTTCAAGCAGCCTGGCCAAATGGTGAAAATCTGTCTCTACTAAAAATACAAAAAAAAAAAAAATTAGCCAGGCGTGGTAGCATGCACCTGTAATCCAGCTATGCGGGAGACTGAGGCAAAAGCTTAAACTCAAGAGATGGAGGTTGCAGTGAGCCGAGATGGTGGGGCTGCACTCCAGCCTGGGTGAGAAAGCGAGACTCTATCTCAAAAAAAAAAAAAAAATTCTTCTGGTCAGAGAAAATCAATTCAGCCTTTAGCTGAGTAGAATGAGTACAAACTGAAAAGATTATTAGAGAGTGAATTTTATTCATGCAGACAACACGCTCTTGACATGAGGGATGCAGGTGTTTAGGCATATGCTATACAAACTTCCAGGGCATAAAACCAGGCCAGAAAGAATTTTCTGGTCAAACAAGCTCAACAGCTTAATAGCAGTTCCAAAGCTAGGAAAAATGAATGCACCCCTACCTTCACTAGACTATTTCCCTCCTCCCAGCTGGAAAGATAAAGGGAAAATAAACCCTTAAATATTGAGCTATATATATATAAGTATTTATATATATAATATATATAGCTTAAATTAAGCTATAATATAGCTTCTATTTAATGCATATTAAATCAAATATACATTATATATAAAATAAAATTACATTACATTAAAATTATATTAAATTAAAATTAAATATACATTATAGCTTAAATATACACATTTAAGCTATATATATAATTTAAGCTTATATAGATAAATTCATATATTTATGGCTTATATATGTATAATCTAAATCTAAATATATATCATCTAAATCTCTTACAGACACGCATTTTAAAACCCATCAAAAAAGCTGACAAGTCAGGAATCCGTTTTAGGACACCTATGGGCATATTCTGGGAAAGGAGTCTTAATCATTGAGAAGCAAACTCTGGAGCCATTTCATGGAGGGATCTTAAAGGCACACAACCATTGGTTTTACTGCACATGTGTCACCGTCTGAAGCCATCCTGCAACTCTCACGAGTCATCTGCTCTGAAGTAGAGCACACCTATTTCTGGAAAAAGAGGATCAGACTGTCTTTTTCTGAGTGTGGTTGGCATCTATGGGATAGGCTTTCCTGGTTAAAAACTAGTTAGTTAAAAACTAGGAAGATAAGAGTAGCACAATTGAAAGAAAGAATGAAAGAAGGAGGGAGAGAAAAGAGTGAAAGTAGAAAAATCAGGAAAATCTTTCAGTGATAGAATAAAAATAAATCAAAGGAAAAAAGAAAAAAATAATGATTAGAGTAAAAGAAACTAGAAATAACTTTAAAAACATACATCATATAGGGCCGGGCGCGGTGGCTCACGCCTGTAATCCTAGCACTTTGGGAGGCTGAGGCGGGCGGATCACGAGGTCAGAAGATCGAGACCATCCTGGCTAACACGGTGAAACCCCGTCTCTACTAAAAATACAAAAAAAAAAAAATTAGCTGGAATGGTGGTGGGCGCCTGTAGGCCCAGCTACTCAGGAGGCTGAGGCAGGAGAATGGCGTTTACCTGGGAGGTAGAGCTTGCAGTGAGCCGAGATCACGCCACTGCACTCCAGCCTGGGCTACAGGGCGAGACTCCGCCTCAAAAAAACAAAAAACAAAACAAAAAAAAACATATAAAAGTAACAAATATTCTAGATACCAAACAATGAAACAGACAAAACCTGAAAACAAAGAATTGAGGAGAAAAATAAAGTACATCTCTAAAATGGAAGCTATTCCTGCCCCATCCCTAAATCTGCTTCCATATTTTAGATGACTGCAGTTTTATTCTTTGAGAAGGCAAAAGTCTAGGAATCATTCTTTACTCCTCTTGTTCTCTCACACCCCACATCCAATTTTCCAGGAAATCTTGTTGATTCTATCTTGAGGCTCTTTCTATAATGCAACCATTCTGCAATCTCTCCAAGGCCACCACTTTGCTCTGAGCAATCCTTGTCTCTTGCCTGAATTGTGAAAATACCCTATGAATTTGTCCTCTGGTTTCTATCCATGCCCTTTATGGTCTATTCTGAACACAGAAACAAATGTGATTCTTTTAAAGGTAGGTCAGACCATGTCATGCCTCTGCTTTAGCCTCCAATAGCTCCCTATTTCTTTGAGCAAAAAAACATACAAGGCCCTACAAGCTCTGGCTCCCCAGTCACTGCCCTTGTCTCAGCTCCTTCTGCCCTTCCTCTTGCATCTTCATCATGCTCCAGCCTTAAAGCTTTGCACTTAGGGTCTCCCATTCCCTGAAGTGTTCTTCCTCTAATGTTTTTCCAAGACTGATACCATTATCTTCTTCAAATTTTGACTCAAATCTTACCTTTATCTCTCCACCTGTCTCACAATTGCACCCTTCAATCCTTCCCCTCCCACCCACCTCTTCTGTGCATGACTGATACTCTTTATTACCATCTAACACATCTCCAGACTGCTCTTCCCTCTTGAGAATGTCAGCACCACCGGTGCAGAAGTCTTTGTCTGAATTGTTTACCAATGTGTTGCAATTGTCTACAACAGGTCCTGAACACATCCCTGTGTCTCTATTAGTGTCCTGGGGCTGTCGTAACAAATTACCACAAACAGAGATTTACTTTCTCTTCATGTTAGAGGTTATATGTCTAAAATCAAGGTGTCAGCAGGACCAAACTTTCTCTGAAATCTGTGGGGAGACTCCTTCCTTGACTCTTTCTAGTCTCTGTGGTTTGCTGGCAATCCGAGATTTTTCTCGGCTTGTAGTTGTGTCATTCACATCTCTGGGCCTCCATAGTCACATAGTGTTCCTCTTGTGTGTCTCTGCGTTTCTTCTTCTCTTCTTGTAAGGACACGAGTCATACTGAATTAACAGCCCATCCTACTTCAGTATGGCCTCATCTTAATACGTGTTACATCTAATTAATGAATTAGCTAATTGATGACCTTATTTATAAATAAGATTACATCTTGAAGTGCTGTCAGGACTTCAACATATCTTTTTAGAGAACAAAATTCACCCCATAACAGTTCCCCAAAATATTTATTTAAATGAATCAATGAAGGTACTAAGTGATGTAAGTTCTTAAAAACATTCTTTGGCCAAGGGCGATGTGGGAAGTCCCTTACTATAGTTAGTACATCTGAGTGAATACACAAATTAGTAAGACAAATGTAGCTGCCTTGATAATGAGTTTATAAGTATTTTTACCAAAACTGTCATTTGATAACAAATTAAAAGGTTGTGTACTGTGCCTTCTTTCACCATGGTTTTACATTACAAAATAGAGTAATTTCTAAAATGTAAATATCAATAAATCATAAGAAAGTAAAATTCATTATTAAATAAAGTTTTACAAAACATACTGTCATCCTGTAGTCCCTCTGCTATGAGAATCACAGAGAAGTGGGTCATTGTTTCAGAAAAGAATATGGCAATAAAAGTGAATTTAAATATTATGTCAAAGAGGAAAAACACCTCTTTGTGTTTTTAATATGTCAATCATTGCTGCATTTTTTATTAGAGGACACGTTTTCCTTTAATTTCCCTAATGTGTTATAGCTTTATTCCTAAACCACATGCTACCATGATTCCTTTGTGTAATTTTAAGTAATAAATCATAAATGAATCATAAACAAATTATAGAATAATTATTCTGCTCCAGTGCTCACAATGATTTTCCTGCTTTTTACTTTAATGTCTCCTATTCCTCCTTAATCCAATATTTATATTTATGACAAGCACCAGTTTTCAATCAAGAGAAAAGCTTCTGTGAAGTTGGGATTAGAGAATGTTTTATTCCACCCTCTATTGTCTAAATAAACATGTTCAGAAATTAATCTCCTCCTTTTTATGGATCTGGGCTGTTTCAAACACCCCCAGGCAAGAAGAGGAGATCTCGCTTCTACTTCTGATCATTTGTTTTAAACTCTGTCTTTGAAATTAGCAAAATCCTACAGGGACTCAAAAAGGTTACTTGTTCTTTCAGGCCTCTGTGAGTTTGAATTACCTGACAGGTATTGAGAAAATTATTTATAAAACAAAAACTTTTACAGAAGCTAAAATATAAGTGACAGAAAGGACTTTAGAAGGGACATGTTGTCCAGAATTATCTAAATTGTAATAGGTTGTATACCACTGATGGTACATATGATGCTGAAGGTAGTAACATACTATTCAAAAACAGACTTTAATAGGAATATATTTGTTTTACATTGGCATCAGTTCAGTTTGCTGTGGTACTCTAAATACTCAGAGGTAATTTTTGATGCTCCTAGTCTGGGTAGGTAATTTAATCAAATTCAGTATAATGCTAGCAAAAAGAAAGAAACAGCTCTTCAAGCCTGTGATTTCATAGATACTACTGTCCGGAACAATACTCCCTTTAAAAAATAAGTCAATTGAGTTAAAGCCCATTTAAATAAATCAAGTATATAAAATTGATAATAAGGTATGTCAAAAAATATGAAGGTGGTAGCCAAAATAATGAAAATTTAGGAACCATTGATGTAGCAGATAAGCAAAATAGACAAAGTAATCAAGTGACTTTTCAGATTGAGAGCTACCTTTCTAGTTGGAGAGTGGATCATTCTTTCCTCTTGGTTTTTGCATTCTCTCTTTCTCCTTCTCTCTTTTTCTGGTCTCTCTCTCTCTCTCTCTCACTCTCTGTTTGTATTTATATATTTTCTTTTCTTTTTCTTTTTCTTTTTCTTTTTTTTTTTTTTTTTTTTGAGAGAGAGTCTCGCTCAGTCGCCCGGGCTGGAGTGCAGTGGCGTGATCTTGGCTCACTGCAAGCTCCGCCTCCCGGGTGCACGCCATTCTCCTGCCTCAGCCTCCCTAGTAGCTTGGACTACAGGTGCCCGCCACCACGCCCTGCTAATTTTTTTGTATTTTTAGTAGAGACGGGATTTCACCCTCTTAGCCAGGATGGTCTCGATCACCTGACCTCGTGATCCGCCCACCACAGCCTCCCAAAGTTCTGGGATAAGAGACATGAGCCACCGTGCCCGGCCATATTTATATATTTTCTATATTATCTCATATGTTCACTTGTTTGTTTCGTCTACCAAATAGTGAGTTACTTGATGATCCCAGGACCTCATTTCATTTATCTATGTGTAAATACCAACAATACCAACTATACACTGCTCACCCGATAAGTGAGACTCAATACATGTTTGTGGAGTGATTGGATAATTAACAGCAAAGATAGAAGTTAGTCCATTGGCCTCCGACTTCCCTCCTTAAGTCCTCGTTCAGAACTATTTTCACTGTACCATGCGTTCAACATTTAATGCTTAGATATTCATTTCCAAAGTCACAAATTAAAATAGAAAACTAATGCGCTCCACATTTTAAAAATCTTGAGAAATTGCTAATGATTATCAACTGAAATATTTGAATGTAGAAATAGCTTTTTAAAAAATTAGTGCTTGATTAAGCAAATATTAAACATGGTGGTACCACTGAGTTAAAGCAAGAGTAAGAAAGATGAATATTTATTATTTACATAAGTTTTGATCATATCCTTGTTGTTAGCTGTACTGCATACTTTAGAAGACATGCAATCAGACAGTCCAAATTCTAATTGCAGCTTTGCTCATTATTTCTGTCTGGATTTGTTCAAATCCTTAGAACCTTTGGAGACTGGAGGAAAAGTAACAACCCCAGGTAACCTGTTCCTGAAATAAGCCAAATAAGGCATAGATCCCAAGGTGAGGCTCCCTTTGTTGATTGTATTCACCAAATATATAAATTTACTAATAACTTTTTCATTCATCATCTATTCAGTAACTAAGCACCTGCTATGAACCAGGACTTTAGCTGGTATGACGGATACTAAAATGGGTAAGTCCTAGCCACTGTCTTCAAGTGTTTCATGGTCTAATGGAAGATGCAGAAGGCAAAAACTCAGATATTAAAAATCATAAGTGCTTTAGTAGATCACAATTGCAGCCAGAAGATGACACTTCAAATTAGAAGGGGTGTTACCTTGGGATTATGATTTCACTTCTGTAAGATTCCATCTTGTCTCCTGTAAAATGGGTATAGCAATAGTTACTTCATGAAATAAAGTGATGTAAAGACCATTGTACTCAATGTTTTGTGGAAGAAGTAAGGGTAGGTAATATACACCAGAAATTTTAGGCCCAAGGGGCAGCATGACTGAGCACATTAATAATTAATTCTGGAAATCCATGAATGGAGTCAGCAGTAGGAATTGGAAAGTGATTGTTTTAAAAAAGTGTTAAGGAGAGTGAAGATCAAAAGAGTAGAAACCATAAGTAAAGAAAGAATTGTGGCCAGGCGTGGTGGCTCATGCCTGTAATCCCAATACTTTGAAAGGCCAAGGTGGGCAGATCACTTGAGTCCAGAGTGTGAGACCAGCCTGGGCAATGTGGCAAAACCCTGTCTCTACAAAAAATACAAAAATTAGCTGGGCATGATGGCACATGTCTGTAGTCCCAGCTACTCAGGAGGCTGAGATGGAAGGATCTCTTGAGACTGGGAGGCAGAGGTTGCAGTGAGCCAAGATCACTCCTGTCTGGGTAATAGAGCAAGATGCCTGCCTCAAAATAAAAATACGATAAAATAAAATAAGTAAAAAAATACAGTAGGCATAGAAAAATATTATTAGAGTTTTACCCTCCTATCTAAAACTGTCCCCAAATCCTGTTAACTGAATAGAAAGAAAAATAGAAAATGAAAAAGAAAAAATAGCATTGATGAAAAATAGTTGCAAAGATTTCCCTGAACAATCAGCCCTAGCTAAGTTTCCAACTAAGCCCAAACTGTCTTATTACACATTCTACAACTCAGGAGGGGATATAAGAGAATCCCCTACTTTTCTTGCTCTAGTTTTTACAGCTGTTGCCCATGTACTTAGCCAAGGTCATGTGCTCAATCATCCAGTCCCGAGTTTTGCTTCTGATGCCCTGTCTTTCAGTACAGCCTTCTGACCTCTATCTCCAGTCTGCTCCAAACCTCCATGATGCTTCCCCAGCTCTGGGCCTGGTTGCTGATTGTTGTTTTCCTGAGATTCTGACTCCAGTGGTTTAACTAACAACCTTCCTACTTTTTCTTCTTATAGAGATATCTCAGGCTCCGTACAGAAACTCTTATTAAAACTCACAGCATTAAACCAGAACACAGACAAATGCCTACAATGGATGTGAAGTGAGCCAAGCAAAAAGCAATAAATAGGGAGTTTTGAGGATTGTTGCAAATAGTAGTAATGCTCCAACCAAAACTACTCAAATTTAATTTAAAAAGGCAAAACATCACTCTAGTCAAATAGTATATGTTCACAGGTCAAGAGGATTCAGTCTGCCACACCTAAATAAACACTTAATGCTATCTAGATCTCTCCAGTTGAAACTGCAGCTGCCTCAGACCCTGAAGTGTGCTGTTCACAGGAAAATGTGTCATAATTTTGCCATCTTATTACTTATTTTTTCCTGAGATAGGGTCTTGCTCTATCACCCAGGCTGGAGTGACGTGGTGTGAACATGCCTCACTGCAACCTCAACCTCCTAGGCTCAAGCGATGGATCGTCCTGCCTCAGCCTCCTAAGTAGTTGTGACCACAGGTATGCATAACCACATCTGATGAAATTTTTGTAGAGACAGGGTATCACCATGTTGCCCAGGCTGTTCTTGAACTCCTGGGCTCAAGTAATCCTCCCACCTTAGCCTCCCAAAGTGCTGGAATTAGAGGCACGAGCCACCATGTTCGGCCACTTCTTTTTTTTAATAGACAAAAAGGCAAAAGGAGGTTTTCACAATAGACAATGAGGCTTAAGCTTGTTTTCTGAGAATCCAACACATTTGGGCACGAAGGTCTGAAGCTGGTCTGCTAGAGGTACATTATATAAAAGAAATTGATATTTGATTCACCTATTGTTAATACTCAGGAACATTCTGAGGTTGGAGCCAGTGCCTTTATCTATTGAACAATCAGAAAGAAAAGAATGACCTAAGCCGGCATAAGCTCCCTATAAGAACAGTGAAAGACACATATCTAAGAAGAACCTAAAGGGATCCTCACCCTACTTCAGGGCTGCCATTGGCAACTGGCACCTCAAATACTGGGAGGCCAGGCAACTTTGCCTTTCAACTGTGAGTGCTGGAGAGCTCCTTGCTGTCACTGTCTTCATGCTGCGAAGTTATTGTATCCTTTGCTCATATTAAAGATGTATCTTTAGCCTGGAATCATTGGTACCTTTCTGTCAATCACTGTCACCAGGTAGCAACTACCAGGTAATTATTCACAGATGTACAAATGATGTATAATTAAAAACTGCTTGCTAAAGTCTTTTAATGACTTTACCCCCAAGATGTTCCTTATTTGATCTCTGGGACAAGAAAAAACGGGCCCTTCTGAGTATGTTAATTGAGGTCATAATTGGCTGATATGTATAATCAGTTTTTCCATGTGTTTTCTCAACCTTTTGCCTGCCTATCCTGCAATTCCACACCAATTAAAAAAGAAATTTATTAAATATATGTGTTCTTCTTTCATTGCAAAATCTCTTATTCCCCAGAGTATTTCAGAAAGGGCAAGACAACCTTGCTTTCCAGCTGTTTGCAAGCATTATGCCTTTGAGTCATTATGCAGAGCTTTTTACAAAATCAAGACATGTATTCATAATATCTGTTAATTTAACATGTTTATTTATATCACTGGAGCATGACTTCTGCATATAAAGAAAGACATATTTTAATAGTTAAAATTTAATTAAAACTATAAAACTACATAATTCTCCATATTTATAATTTTTAAATAATCAGCAAAATCCTGAATAAGAGGCATCAACTTAAAAAAATAGTTTGAAAATGATTTCTCTCAAGGAAGGAGGAAGGAGTGACCTGAATTTTACAAATAGAAACTTTCTAAGTAACACCTGAATTGTCAGGGCAGGTTATACTTCACAAAATCAAATCAATTTCTGTGACTTGTTTTTTATATTTCTTCTGCCATCACTCAGAACTTAATAACTGGGAAGATTTCAAATACAATAGGTGAAAATATCCAGTCATTTATATTTTTTGTATAAGTATTTAACATTCAATATGATGGAGCTTATGACATCACTTAAATGAGATTAAAGATGTCTGAGCTTAGCCAACTACAATACTAGCAGCAAATGTCCTTGTGTTCAGTGCAGTACTATGATTTCCAATTAGTTTTTTCCATCGGCTTAATTTGAAATCATAATATCATAAACATTCTGAATTTGACATTGTGTGTCTTCATTTTAATAGCAGGAAAACAGATTTGTAATTTTTGAGCACTTTATAGATGGTGAATTATATCACACACTGAGTCAAATCTTATTACTAAACAATTATGAATTTACCAGCTAGTGACTGGTATCATGCTACTTGCTAGAAAAATTACTAAACATAAGATATGCTTTATATGAAAGGAGATTACACCTATGAGGACAGGAAAATGCCGTATTCATCTTGGCATTCATGTTTTTATCCTACAAAGCTGAGCTCAATATTTTACCAACAGTAAGAACTCAACAAATATTGAATGGAATGGTTTCTCTAATAAAATTTCTCTCTCTCTGTCTCTCATTCACAGTTTTTTAGCTTATGTTGGTTCCCAAACTTTAGCTTTTAGTTTTGCATAAGCATTACCTGGGAGTTCTGCCACTTACTACTTTCTGCCATCTACTACTCTCAAAGTTCTTTTCAATTAGTTATAGAGAAGCTTAGGAAGCTACAGTTTTCAGACCACCAGAAATACCAGCTTAGTAGTTACCAATAGTTCTTTCTTGTTGGAGCATCTCAGAAAAGCATTACCTGGGAGTTCTGGCACTTACTACTTTCTGCCACCTACTACTCTCAAAGTTCTTTTCAATTAGTTACAGAGAAGCTTAGGAAGCTACAGTTTTCAGACCACCAGAAATACCAGCTTAGTAGTTACCAGTAGTTCTTTCTTGTTGGAGCAGCTAAGAACAAGTCAAAGTATTTATTGAGAAAGAGTGGAATTTGAATAATAACCTTCCTTTCTGCTCCATCCCAGTGAAAGCAGGGTGGGTGATGGTGATATATATACTGTATACATGCACAAGAATCTGTGCAGAAATAACATGTATCCAGCATCCCTCACTCCAGGCAGCAATTAGCCCTTTCTTCCCTTCCCTCCCCAAGAGGCAATGTACTACAATGAATAGCGCACAGGACTTCAGATCAGACAGACCGAAGAAACTTCAAATTCTGCCTCCATTACTTACCAACAGTGAATTTGGGCAAGTGACTTGAACTCCCAAGTCAGCTTTATAATATATATATAAGAAGAGTAATAACTAGCTCATAGGGCTTTTGTGGGAATAGAGAAGTTCATAGAGAATTTTCATAGCATATATTCCAGAATTGTAACTATTGTTTTTTCCATTTACAGACTCTAAGTTAAAGAAAGAAACTACAGTATTACCAGTCACATATATTTATACACTAAGTGAAAATGTCACCACAACTCAAAAAAATAAGTGGGTGTGGAATAGATGACCTTCGACCTTGATTCTTAACCTAGGATGGGATAATTATATGATTCATATTGATGTATTTATCCATATATAATTTGACATAGGATTGTCTAAATGTTGTCAGTTCAAAGTAGATCATCTGGCCTGACTAAAAAGTTATCATATTTCATATTTTAGTAGATATAAAATTTGACTCTAAAATGTCAGTGCCAAAATCTTAGAAATAATATTCATGTTTTTACTGGAGTCTCAGATAATAATAAATAGCTCTGTCAAATAAAAAAGGTAAAATATAAAATCTGAAAATGGGCAATATGTTTCAACAAGTGAAGAGAAACAATAAAGTCAAAGACTCTTTGACGCCGTAAATTGAATGCCAACTTTCTATTTCACTTAGCTTCTCCCCCACTTATTATGCTCTTACAGGTTTTGAAAGACTCTTAACAGGTAAATGCCCTCATAAATTCTTGAATATACTGAGATTAGAGTTCCCCTTCTGCTAGCTCCAAAGTTACCTAATTTTGTGACAAAGTAGCTGACAGAATGTGGCAATTAAGCTATGTTCATATTAGACATGGCTGCATCTATTTTTTTTAACCAAAATGATCTGAGGTTCCAAATTATGAAGCACAGCAAACCAACAGTGCTTTTCAGGGACAAACTGAATATTTAAATAATTTTTAAATAAATGATCATGACTTTGTTGGTCCTCCTTTGCTGAGCACTAAAATGATGATGATGATGATGATAAAATAATAATATACATTAAACAATCCCTGCAGTACTACTTAACTATTTTTTACCTCTATTTTTGAATCTATAAAATACAGATAACAATTGTATTTACCTCCATAGGGTATGCTGAATGTTAAATATGTTAATAAATCTGCTGATCTCAGCACATGGTAGGTTATATGAGAATGTCTATAATTACTATTTATATTACTATTTATAATTATCCCATTTGTAAAATTGAGGGCAGTGGGTATGTTGTTATCCTAATTGGGGAGTAGAGGAAGCTGAAGCTTGGTAAGGTCTGTAATTCTCTCAAGTCCACATGGGGGACATCAGTGGAAGTCGAATTTAAATCCCACTTCTCTCATTACAAATACTCTTTCCCTAACTCAGAGCCTTCTCACAGAAAACTGCAGAAAGCTGGTGAGCTACCCCATGTGCAGAATGCTCTATCAGTGACTTTGTCAGAGTAGCAGGGCCTGAACAAAAGCCAGGTCTGCCCTTCTTTTAAGTCACTCTATATAAGAGAGAAGTACTTTTGACATGCCTTTCAGTTAAGTGTACTTAAAGCAAAGCTCTCAAGCTTTCCAATGACTAAATGCTAGAGGAAATAATGGGAATAGTCAATACCTGTAACTGAAAAATTGCTGACTGTGTGACACAGCAAATCATTACACTGTTCAAATACCAATTTATAAAGCTGGAGTGATCATAGCTGTCTGGGCCAATTCATCTTAGTCTCTCTTGGTTTGGAATGAATATTTGGTTGGTTTAGACAGCAAAAGCCTTTGACCCACAAATGAGAGGCTAGGCTTGCCAGATCTAGTAAACAAAACTACAAGCTTCCTAGTTGAATTTTAATTTCAGATAAACAGCCAATACTTCTTTAGTATGTTACAAATGTTGCATGAGGCATATTTATACTAAAATATTGCTTGCTATTTATCTGATATTCAATGAAACGGAGTGTCCTGAATTTTACTTGGCAATCCTAGCAGGGGCTTACTTTGAAAAGTTCCTACCTAAGACTGAGCAGTTAAGGGAGGAAGTTGTTATAGAATGAATGTTTGTGTTCCTCCTAAAGTCATAGTTTGAAGCCCTAATCCTCAATGTGATGGTACGTGGAGATGAAGACTTTGGGAGGTAATTAGGGTTAGATGAGGCCACGAATGGTCAGGTTCTCATGATGGGATTAGTGCCCTTAAAAAACAGATACCAGAGAGCTTGTTTTTTTTGTTTTTTTTTCACCCCCTAAGTGTGCACAAAGAGGTCATGTGAGCACACAGCAAGATGGCAGCCACCTAGAAGGCAAGAGAAGAAGCTTCAGAATGAAACCTACCTTGCTGGCACATTGATCTTGGACTTCCCAGACTCTAGAACCAAAAATAAATTTCTGTTGTTTAAGCTACTCAGGCCATGGTGTTTTGTTATGGCAGCCCAAGCAGACTAAGATAGTAATACTAAGCACTTTGGGGCAGTGGCAACTACCCCATCTCACTCAAACCCTTCATCAATGGTGGTACCAAGCTGTGTAGACAACCCTTCTTTGCCTAAATTTCTTGAGTCCCCAAGATGTCCAATCCCTAAAGGAACTAGTATGTAAATAATGGGAGTCATATGGGTTCTTTTTTCCCATTGAACGACAGATCGTTTCTCCACATGATTGGCTGCACCTTTCCTATTTTGCTGTGCATTTCTAAAACTGAGTTCCATTTTTTTTTTCCCCAGGCTACACTCTTTCAGGTTCCAGTCACTGTTGTGCAACTGTCTGGCTTACAATCTATGTTTATTTTAAAATCCCACTAAGAATGGATTTAGATATATAAAGTCCCGGCCTAGTCACTTTTAGTCCTTTTTCCTATTGCCTCTTAAATGTTGTTTTATAACTGAATGCTGAAGTCAGATTTTCTTTTTTACTTCAGAAAACTTTTGCTATTGAACTGTTGAAAATCTTAGCCTAAATAACAAATTCTTTTGCAAAATTTGTGTGTAGATTCCAAAATCTCCACCTTGTTGAATAAACTTTTCCAATTACTTTGGCACACACATATGAATCTAGACCTTTTCAGATTTCTACACTGCATTCTACACTAGGCAGTTTAGCTCTTGGTTATAAACCATGGTTTAGTTTCATTATAAACTATGGTTTGGTTGAGCTCTTGGTTATAAATTATGTTTTAATTTTCCTTCTATTCCTACTCCATTTTTTCCCGATCTGTCTTTCCCATGCACACACCCATGCATGCTCACACACCCAAAAAACTGTTAATCCTCATTTATTTTTCATTCATCTTTAAACATAATCAGTGCAGTGCTAAATACATAACTGCTGCTTAACACATTAGCTGTTGATTATTTTCTGATATTTGCCTGAATTACACTCAATTATTTTTAACTTTTGAAATTATTTCTGTATTTTACCTTATTATTAACCTAAGAGGAAAAGAGGAAAAGATTTTATCTGGAAAAAAATAAGATGATTCTCAAGAAATTTTCCATGAAGAACTTGCCAAAACATAATATAAAAAGAATTGTGGTTTCTGAAATTTACTTAAGGCCTCCTGGATGTTGATCTTTTCACACTGAAGCTGATTTAATTTTGCCCCTGAGCTTGTAAGCACCAGATAATTTGCTTGCTTGGATTGTCACTGAGTCTAATAAGTGTCGGTCATTAATAAAACTTTTTCAGAACATGAGAATGATGTAGGAATGGTGCGGTTATATTATGAAAGTTGAGTGTAAATGATTCTTGGGAGGAAAAGATTTCCAAATTATGCAACGAATGGAATTTACTCAACTTTTAAAGATCCAAAGGGAGGTAATATGTATGCAGTAATGCTTGTTTAACAGACCTGGGCTGAGCTTTTCTACCCAAAATAGATATATTTTACATAATAATGCTATATATTGGTTTATTATAAGTTACATGAGCCTGGATTCCTCTGTAAGTATTGCTTACTTTACCTCATTTCAAATTCATTATAGAATTCATGGTTCTTTTGTGCTTTTTTAGAAAAAGATATTTCCCCAATGGATATTTTACTTCCTTTCAACCTGCTTCTTTACCTCCTCCAAAATTCTAAATTCTGACTATTAAACATGATTTAATGAGCTGAGAGTAGGTATGTTCCTTCACTGTGATTACCCAATACCCCATGCATACCTCAATCCTGCCGAGTTGCAATCTTCATTTTGCCTGACTATATCTCTTGTGCTAAACTACTGGCTCTTCAGAAGCAAGGCCGGCTGTTATCCTCAAGGTGTGTAAGTCCTAGCACATGCTGGTACTTGACATATGCTTGATATACAAATTAAAAATGAGCCGTGATGATCCCAGGCACTCAATACTAGTGGCAGTACAGTAAAGTGGCTGAGAGCAAGACGGTCTCTGCAGATCCTTGGCTTAAATTCCCATTGAAAACATTTCATTTCATTTAGAGAAATGTCACTTTGAAAAGTTCTGGCATTTTATGTCCTTTTTAATGCTAACCACAGTTATATTTATCTTTTTTACTATTATTCAATGTGATCCTATGTTGTCTGTACTTTTAACGGCACTAGAAAAAAAACAAGTATCTCCCTACCAATAATAATGAGTCACACAAGTGAAACATATTTAGGTAAATAGAAATTTTGCTATATTTAACCAATCACTATTGAACTTAATACCATAATAAATTATACCCATTTACATTTGATTAGCACTTGCAAGTTTATACACCTTTCCCATAAATTATCTTATTTAAAATGGCACATTAGCTTTTTAATTATATAAGAATTTCACAAATATGTGGTTTTGTGGAAAATCTGAAGTACAAAAGTATATACATTTAAAGGTAGAGTTCTCATTAACCTGAGATAATAAAATTGCATTTTCTCCACACCCCTCCAAGGTGTTGGGTGGGTCACAGGTCAGAAAACTTAGCAAGCCACGAGAGGTAGGCTGACAGATGGTTGGGACTTAGCAGGAGGGTTTGCAAAGCAGTGCAAAGCAATGCAAAAGAAAAGGTTTGCAAAGCAGTGCAAAAGAAAAGCTTGGGCCTGAAATAGAAAATCTATTTTAAAAGAAGACATATTGTGTCAATAGTTATCACAATGATACTTGAGAGTTTAAGCACCCCAAAAGAATAATAAATCAATGATCAGCTTCATCAGATGTAACTGATTGTATTGCATCACTGAAGCTAATGTACAAGAAAATTATCTGGGGGAATTAGCTTGCCTAGTTTCATGGCTCCTTAAGGAAGCAATAATACTAACTACTCTCAAAGCAACAAGAAGGCTGTCAGCTGTAGGCGCTTTCATGTGAAATGCCCCTATTTGATGCCCTGTTAGAGTCCAATTCACTGCTAGTGTTCTTAGACTAAATAAAGAACAGTAGCTGAAGGATTTGCTATCATATCATAATGTGTGAAAAATGCTACAGTGTCCCTTTATGAGATATTAAAACTGTATGTAAATAGAAATAAAACTGCATGATGTCACCATCACGAAGCTAAGTTTTAAAAAATGTTCTTCAAATTCAGAAACAACCTGATACCTATAGGGAATTTAGATTCTTTTTGACTAGAAACATCAAGAGAACAACATACCTGTTTAGTTCGGCACAGTGTACGCTCTATTCTTGGGCGATTTCTACATGAAAATTAGTAATGTCTTGATGTCAGAAAACCATATTTCCTTTTCTTTTTCTTTCTTTTTTTTTTTTTTTTTTTGAGACAGGGTCTTGCTCTGTCATCCAGGCTGGAGTGCAGTGGTGCAATCATGGCTCACTGTAGGCTTAACCTCCTGGTCTCAAATGATCCTCCCACCTAATCCTCTCTACTAGCTGAGACCATAGGCATGGACCACCACAGCTGGCTAATTTTTTTTTTTTTTTTTTTGACTTTTTGTAGAGACGAGGTCTAGCTATGTTTCCCAGGCTGTTCTCAAACTCCTGGGCTCAAGTGATCCTTCCACCTTGGCCTCCCAAAATACTGGGATTACAGGTGTGAGCCACCATACCCGGCCAACATATTTACTTTAAAAAAGCCTTCAGCGCGGTGGCTCATGCCTGTAATCCCAGCACTTTGGGAGGCCAAGGTGGGTGGATCACGAGGTCAAGAGATTGAGACCATCCTGCCCAACATGGTAAAACCCCATCTCTACTAAAAATACAAAAATTAGCTGGGCCTGGTGGCACATGCCTGTCATCCTAGCTACTGTGGAGGCAGAAGAATCGCTTGGACCTGGAAGGTGGAGGTTGCAGTGAGCTGAGATCCTGCCACTGAACTCCAGCCTGGCAACAGAGGGAGATTCCATCAAAAAAAAAAAAAAGAAAAATCCTTCAGAATCCCATTTTCTTCTCTATCATCACCATACTCATGTTCATATTATCTAAGTCTTCATAAATTATATTGATTACTTACTCTGCTTTTTTCTCTTTCCCCGGACCCTGCTGGTTTAGTTTCCAGCATCAAGTGTTAGGCTTATTGCCATCAATTCCTTAGTGCTTTTCTCAAACCTCTCTTCGCTGCAGATACGATGATTGAAAACAAACACACTAACAGATATGGCCATGAAACTTTCCTGTTTAAAATCCTTCAATGATGCCCTCTTCATCCAATGAACAGTTGTTTCCTTAATAGCCTCTAGACGCCCGCAAGAAAGAGCCCAAACTCCTTTGCATAGCATGAAAGATGTTTCTGTTTTTTGCCTAATGTATTGAGTAACATGTTTTGCTACTCTCCTCACACCTACTTTTCAGAAATAACAAATCCCATGTTGTGTCTTGAACACCATATGGTACTTCCCATTCCCATTTACTTTCACACGCCCCTTGCACCTTCCGAAATGTCATCGCTCTCTAGTTCACCTGGCTACTTTCTACATAGTGTTATTCTGTGACGCTTCCTCACTATATTCGGTAAGGAAAATGTACTACCTCTGTATCTTATTATTGCTTCTCTTGTTGCTCACAAGTTATATATGAATTTGTTACATGTTTATTTCTCCTATCAACACATGAGATTCTTGAAGGCATGAACTTTGTCATATTTATCTTCCTATCTCCAAAACCTACTATAAAACATGCTTCATAATAAACACTCAATGAGTATATGTGGTTTGAATGAATGTACTTAAGAGAAAAAAAGATAGTAATATAAGCCATGCTTTTATTTTAATTAATGACATTTTCTAGTTTTCCATTTATTCAAATAGTAAAATTTTACTAAAAATGGTAGTTATGTAAACATTAGCTAAAGATGACCTATTGGACAGGCAATTTGCAAATAAATTATTTTCTTCTTAGATATGAGGTAAATCAATAGTAACTTAGCAATGAAGATATAAACTTAGACATTATACCTATATTCCAGTTGGAAAGGTGGATGGAGTTAATGCTATAAACACTTCAAAAAATGTATTTCTATCCTCCTAATATGGACATCTCTAATAGTTTCTGCAACTCCACGGTATAAAAACCCTCTGCTATGTCCTCTCAAAACACCTCCTCAATCTGGGTCAGGCCTGCCTTTCCTCAATTCAATTCTATCTTTATGTGCCCATATTCTGGACCAATTGTGCTCAATGGCATCTATGCTTTATTTAGAATAAGACCCTCCAAAGTTTCTAACTCTTGAGTCTTTAGTCTACCAATCTGTTCATCTTAAGTGAAAATTGATTTTCCTCTGACTCCATTTTCCTTGAGGGTTATGAAATAAAATGAGATTTGGTGTTCCATCATTTATACATTACCCACCATCTATTCATTCAACAAATATTTGGGTGCCACATTCAAGCCACTATTCCATCACCCTTGCTCTAACTTCCCATCCATTAAGAATTATGCCATCTTTTATCAGGCTTTCTACATCTTTGTGCTATCACAAGGAAACTCCCTCAGCTTTTAATTATTTGAGGACATGTACAATTTTACCTTTTTTTCCTTTTTTATATCCCTGGTTGCTTATGTCAACTTTCACAGTGATGATCTTCTAACATAATAGATTCCATGCTTTTTGATGTTCAGCATTATTGTTACACTTTAGTTTTCTACCACCCTACACTTTCGACTTCAAAAATAGTCTTTTGTCAGAGACAGAGTTTCGCTCTTGTTGCCCAGGCTGGAGTGCAATGGTGTGATCTCAGCTCACTGCAACCTCTGCCTCCCGGGTTCAAGGGATCCTCCTTCCTCAGCCTCCTGAGTACCTGAGATTACAGGTGCGAGCCACCATGCCTGGCTAATTTTTGTATTTTTCACTTGTTTTTTTTGTTTTGGGGGTTTCACCATGTTGCCCAGGCTGTTCTCGAACTCCTGACCCCAAGTGATCCACCCGGCTTGGCCTCACAAATTGCTGGGATTACAGGCATGGGCCATTGTGGCTGGCCAACTTCCATCTTTATAATAACCTCCTCTTTGCCTTTCATGCAATTGCTCTTATTGAAAGTAAATAGAATCCTTTCAATAAATATCTGTCCCAGGGTTTATAATGAGTCACACTTCAGTGCAAGACATACAAAGTAGAACCATGTAGGAACTCTATTCCAATGGAAGTAATAGGAGCTACAAACTTATGAGGGAAGCAGATAAGAAAATTCACCATTACATTAGACTCATATAGGTGCCACAAGAAGGGTATCTGGAGCAGGAGATGGAGGTCCAGCGTAAAGTAATGTCAGCTAAATATTTTGGGAACACTCTTCAAGAATTTCCAACTCAAATGCTTCCATGAAAGCATTAAAAACTATTCCATCCCTCTGGATGCCCCAAAAGAGTTTGCATAATTGTACATAACACAAAAATAATCTTATACTGAGGTTATATTTATGACAAGTTTTGTATCTATTTCTAAACGGTACGTTCTTCCAGCAGACTGATTTAACACTCTTCGGGTCACAGACGTTTTAAAAAATCTTTTTCATAATTATTTGGCAAATTTATACCTATCTACTCTTTAGGGACTTTTGTACAAGCTCCCTCACAAAAATCTTCTAAAGTTATAAGTTTATTGCACCCATTTACATAGAAGGAAACTAAAAATTAACAGCTATGTAAGGCATCTATGTTTACCTAGCTAGTAGACAGCAAACCTACATTAAAAGTGAGGTATAGTGGAGACTGCTAGGTAATCCCCCCAATTTTTTTTTGTTTCTTTTTGGACATATAGTTGAGCTGTATTTCCCAGTCTTCAATTCCATTGGATTTGGCCATAAAACCCAGTTCTAGTTGATGGGATGTTAGTGAATATAATGAAAGAGATTTCTGGGCCAAGCTAATAAAAATGCCACACTTTTGCTCCTTGGTACTCCTTTCCTTTTTCTAGAGTACTGGGAGGTTAGTATCTTCTAAGGCAAATGTGAAAGTCATGCATTGAAGATAGCCAACCTGAACATCCACTTAGACAATTAAATGAGAGAGAAATAAATCTTTGTGTGGAAAGTTAACAACAAGGCAGGCTCTATTTAATACTACAGGTTATCCTACCTTATTGAATGCAGTAGACCAGCATTTATCAAACATTTTAGTCTTAGGACCTATTGACACTTTCAAAAATTATCAAAGATTTCTAAGAACTTTTGTTAATATGGGTTTTATCTTGATATTTACCTTATTAGAATTTAAACTGAGAAATTATTAACATATTTATTCATTTTAAGATATAAAGTTAGTACATGTTAACATAAATATTGTTTTTGAAAAAAATGTAAATTTTCCAAAATAAAAAAAATTGTGAAGATTGGCATTGCTTTACATTTTTGCAAATACCTTTAATATTTCGGTTATTAGAAAATACTTACATTCTCATATCTGCTTCTGGATTTAGTCTGCTATGATAGTCATCGTAGAGCTTCTAGAAAAGTTTACTGTACATTTATTAGCAAAAGAAGATGAAAAGAGAAATATCATCTCAGTGTTACTACAAAAATAGATTCATTTCTTGAACCAGCTAAAAGAATCTCAGAGGTCCACACCTCATTAATGATCACATTTTAAGAATTACTGCACTAGACCTTTGACAACAGAAGTTACTATGTTATCCACTATGTAGTATTTAAAATTCTTAGGAAAGCTACGGGTTCTTTCCTCAAAAAAAAAAAAAAAAAAAAAAAACACATACATACATACTTTTATGCCTAATTTAAGTGGTTTCCTAAAACCCCTGAATCTCATTCAATGGAAGTCAAAAACTTTCTCTAGAGTAGATGGCATGGCTTTTTTTAACTTTCATGTATCTTCTACTATACTGAGAAATGTACACTTTATACTTTATATAATGTCAATAAACATACGCTAGAAACAGAAAACATTAGAACTGGGAGGATCTTCAGAGATCATACTGTGAAATTTTCTCCTTTTCACATTTAGACTGTGCAAACCTAGGGAAGGAAAGTGACTACCTCAAGGCCACAGTGAACATGATAAAGAAAGGATGCAGAAATAAAAACACAATTTGCAAAGTTATGACACATCACTCATTCATATTTAAAATCTTTAAGTGATATAAAGTTATACATTCAAAGAGACAAAAATATTTTTAGGATTTTGGAATTTAAGGAGACATATAAGCCATCTATTTAAATCATCTCATTTGTAAGAAAAACCTACAGGATCTCAGAAGGATTAAACTGCTTTGCTAAATTTACAAAATGGTAAAGACCTGGTTTGCCAACTCTGAACAGAATATTATAACCAATATATCACATTTCCCTTTAAAGAACTCACATTTTATAGTCAATTAATAATCTCCATTTTGAAGCAAATTTATAAGAATAGCAACTGATGCACTGTATTTAAAAATATAAACAAAATCTTCAGAATACACCTTAATAATCCAGATTACAAAATTGTATTCACTTTATTTTGCTTCTCCAGATTTAAAAATGAAGAGAGCAAAGGCTGGGAAAGTTAGTCATCTAAAATTCTATCTTCTTTTGTCAAAACAATATAACACAAATATAAAGTTATTTTAAAATAAATTGTTCTGGCAAATTGGTACCCTGACCCAACGAGGAGGTTATGAAATCCAGTACCCCTCCATACTTCATTGAAACTTACTCAAATTACTGCAGTAGATTTTCCACTCTTGGAAAATGAGCAAATAAATGGCAGCATCCTTTCTAATGTCAATTCTCGACATTCTGATTAAAGTTCTGTTTTAAGTGCCCAGATACATTAAATCAACCCATTGTTTTCCATCCTTACAGATAGCCCAGAGTTCTAGAGAAGGATGGCGACTACAAAGAAATCAATCATCAGGATGTGCTTCTTTTAACACATAATGCTGTTGGTTAATTGGGTTTTTTGAAAGAATCTGGAAAGATCCATCAAAAAGTGGGCGAAGGACATGAACAGACACTTCTCAAAAGAAGACATTTATGCAGCCAAAAAACACATGAAAAAATGCTCATCATCACTGGCCATCAGAGAAATGCAAATCAAAACCACAATGAGATACCACCTCACACCAGTTAGAATGGCAATCATTAAAAAGTCAGGAAACAACAGGTGCTGGAGAGGATGTGGAGAAATAGGAACACTTTTACACTGTTCGTGGGACTGTAAACTAGTTCAACCATTGTGGAAGTCAGTGTGGCGATTCCTCAGGGATCTAGAACTGGAAATACCATTTGATGCAGCCATCCCATTACTGGGTATATACCCAAAGGACTATAAATCATGCTGCTATAAAGACACATGCACACGTATGTTTATTGCGGCATTATTCACAATAGCAAAGACTTGGAACCAACCCAAATGTCCAACAATGATAGACTGGATTAAGAAAATGTGGCACACATACACCATGGAATACTATGCAGCCATAAAAAATGATGAGTTCATGTCCTTTGTAGGGACATGGATGAAATTGGAAATCATCATTGTCAGTAAACTATCACAAGAACAAAAAACCAAACACCACATATTCTCACTCATAGGTGGGAATTGAACAATGAGATCACATGGACACAGGAAGGGGAATATCACACTCTGGGGACTGTTGTGGGGTGGGGGGAGGGGGGAGGGATAGCATTAGGTGATATACCTAACGCTAGATGACGAGTTAGTGGGTGCAGCGCACCAGCATGGGCACATGTATACATATGTAACTAACCTGCACAATGTGCACATGTACCCTAGAACTTAAAGTATAATAAAAAAAAAGGAAAAAAAAAAAAGAAAGAATCTGATATAAATTTGGACTTGCATTCAAAGTCCCTGACAGAACTACTGCCAAGAAACGGAAAAGTAATGTTTTCCTAAAACTATTACTTGAAAATCTTGAAAGAAATGACTTATGCATAAGTATTTAATAGTTTTCCTATGTGAAGAGCTGCCAAGACCCAGGCAGCACTAAAAAATGGAACCTTTCTATTGTACATTGTACTTAAACACCTGGTGTGGAGGCCACATTTTTTCCTGCTGTGTGGCAGACAATGAAGTGTAATACTGACATTCTCTCTGAAACTCTCCAAGATCTACTAAATAATTCCCTGTGTAGAGGTAGAAAGTTCACCTAAGAAACTCCCAAAAGGCACATAACCTCAGTCAAGTATTAGATCTTACTTTTTCTAACAGAAGCTAGAGAGCAAAGAGAAAACAACTGATTTCTTCACAATGGCAAATAAGAAATAATATAACAGAAACCATTCTACATGAGTCCAAAGCAGAAGCTACAACAAATTACTTAACACAAAGCAATAGCAACTGGGCAATTCGACAGAATTGTGAATCCACGCCATGAATTCATGGCATCATTTTACTAAAAAACACAACAGTGGATGGCAGTCTTTAGGATATATCTTGATGGACACTAGGAAACATTTAATAATAGTTGTTGCCTGTTGTTTTGCTATTTTTTGTTACTCAAGCAGCAGCGAAGAGGGGAGTAAACTTGTGTTTACAGCTGGCTCTCTGTATTCACAGGAAATTGGTTCCGGGACCTCCTTGGGATACCAAAATCCTGGGATGCTTGAGACCTGTAGGCGCTGTGGAACCCTTGAATATGGAGGGTGGACTGTACTGATCAGCTCCTAAATGTCAAACACTTGGCACTTTATATCCGTTTTAATTCTCAAAATAGTTCTCCAGGTCGGGTATCATTATTTTAATTTTAAAGACGAGGAACCAAGTTTAAGAGAGTAAATACTTTAGGTAAATACTTTAGTAAATACTTCAGGTAATGCCACCAGCTAGTAATTGCTAGAACTAGGATTCAAGCAGCATAAATAGCTACTCACATGGGTTTATGACATGACGAGCACTGTGCTAAGCAACTTACCTGGATTGGCTCATTAAATCTTCCTCATAACTCTTCAAAAGAGGTCCTAATATTTTACTCACTTAAAAGATGAGAAAACAGGCCAGGCGCGGTGGCTTATGTAAGCATGTAATCCCAGCACTTTGGGAGACTGAGGCGGGTGGATGGCTTGCGGATAGGCATTCAAGACCAGACTGGTGAACATGGTAAAACCCTGTCTCTACTAATAATACAAAAATTAGCTGGGCATGGTGGCGCACACCTGTAATCCCAGCTACTCTGGAGGCTGAAGCAGGAGAATCGCTTGAACCCCAGAGATGGAGGTTGCAGTGAGCCAAGATCCTGCCATTGCACTCCAGCCTGGGTGACAAGAACAAAAGTCCGTCTCAAAAAAAAAAAAAAAAAAAAAGATGAGAAAACAAAATTTTGGAGTTGTTAAGGAGCTTGCCTAATCACACAAATCATAAGTGGCTGAACGGCAGTTCAAACTGAGAGTGTTTGACACCAGAACTCCAAGCTTTTTACTTATCATTCCATAATGTCTCCCAATTTTAATGTCCATGCTCTTTCCTCTACAGGAATGGGGCAGGGGGGAGAAAAACAGTAAAATTCACACTTTTCATTTTCTTCCTTCCTCTCATCCAATTCCTAAAAGAGTAAGACAATATAACACATCAGTACTTTTGGAGGTTCAAAAGATGCTAATGATAATTTATCTGAAGGTTTACTTCAATTGCTGAAGGAAATGTTTTCTAGAAGAAAAAGAGAGCTCAGCAGAGTACACAACTATATCCATATTGATGGATACCTGTGCAATAAATTTTCCAATCAGGGGCAAATCAAGGCCAATCATGATTCATCAGCAGCCTAAGAGACAGCATGGAGTCAGACAATTTAAAGGTACTCCACATGTCTTCTGAATTCTGGTCTGTTTCAGATGGCACTCAATGCACAGTCTAGGTTCAAAGATTTTTTTTCTCTGGCTGCACTTGGTGCAAGCTGTCAGGTCTATTTTTGGGGGTATCCTTTAGAAACACAACATAAAACTGTATAACCATGAAAAAGAAAATTCAGGAAAAAGCTGCCATTTCAAATATTTTTATGTTTTTTATCATAGTGGTGGGAGCTCTACCTTTACAAGGCAAACTGCAGCATGATCCTGGCAACCTCCCGTGTAAATGCAAGCAAATTACTAGACAACTGACATTTCTTGGGCAGCAAAGATTTCAATTTCTACACCCTGGTTTTTGGAAATTCTGTTCTGGCTAGTTGTATTTGAGGTTTTGACAGCCAAATAAATCTGCTGCAAAGAATGTTGCACATTTCATTAAAAATGCTCCATCTAGACACACATATTCTGTCTGCTATAGACCTGAATGCATGATTGTGTGAACATGTGAGACACAGAATTTCAGTCTTGAAAGATGGCTCCTCAGTGAAACTCCTTTTTTGTACAAAGAAAATTAGTTACTTGTGATAATGTTGCAAAACTAGAGCTAATAAGGTATCCAGGTGTGTTCTGATAGCAACAACAACAAAACCCTACATTCATTATATGTACTGGTTAACTGTGAGTAAAGAGTTATCTTTAAAGGAATAATTATATGAGACTTTGTCAAGGCATAAGTATAAATTATGCTGCTGATTAATTGGGTTTTAAAAGAATGTGAATAAATTTAGATGTGAATTTTAAGTTCTTGACAGAACTATTGCCCAGAAATGAGAATGTAAGAAGATTTTGGATATTTTTTTCAGGACATGAAATGATTGTTTGAATTCTTTCATCAACTGTATTTGCTTCTATTTTCTTATGCTGCCAATCAAATGAAGGCAGCAGGAAATGCAATCTATTAGACTTAATCACATAAAGTTTAAATCATATTTAACTATTCAGTTGAAGAAAAATACCAGCTAAACTAATTACAGAACTGAAAAATGGCAATGATAAAATTAAGACCCAACAAAAAGACACGAAATACCTAAGAAATTGAGAATCAACAAATCTATACAATTGTCAGTGAAGACAGTCAATCTTTGTCATTAAATAATTTTAAAGAGAATTATTTAATTATTTCTCCATCAAATGTCTTTTATATTGTATCACAATTAAAATTCTGGAGGTCTCCTTCATTAACTAGACGAAATTAAAATGATGAAAGGTCAATCTGACAAGAATATTGATAAATTGCACATAATGTTTCTTCTTGTTTCAAAAAGCAATATAAACAACTTCTAGGACATTTAATTTAAAAACTGAGAATTGAAAACTTTTAAAAATATTGTATATTCCATTATAGATAGATAGAAAAATAACTGTCTCATTCTTTTAGCTTATGGGTTCTTTGAGGATTAAAAAGAGTATCTTATTCTAATTTAGGAATTTTGCTAGTTGCTGAGTATGTCTATTCTAATTATATATTCTGGAACTGGGTAAAAAACTACAGGATAGATTTGGGGACCCACTGGACCCATTAATCATATGACTTCCATCAGCCCTACTCTGACTAGTCAACCACAGTGACATGCTTGTATCTTCTGGAATTAATAGCAGTTTAGAGTCAATGTCTAATAGTCCCCAAAGGTTCTGATTATTTCCTTTTCCCTAAAACACAGTCACCCAGTAAAAGGCCATGATTTGGGGTTAGAATTTTGTTCACTTGATCTAGAACTCTTTGACTTACACAGATCAAGTAAGAATTAGTAGCATTCCCATCCATTTAACTTCTAGGAACTCTATCATCAACTAGCCAATGCCATAGGACTGCCCATATTCAACTATTCTGATTGCCGCTTTGACTCTGCTTTCCATCATGGTAACAACACCCATCTTATCTTGGGCGACTGAGGGCTGCCACTTGGCCAGCCCCTGCCACCCCAGGATTCAATTACTCCCATTACATTTAAGTTTCCTTATTCAGTGGTAGCAGTTCCCACTGTATTTTCCGGCAGACAAAAGCAATCACAAAGCTCTTCAAGGATGCAGGGGTGCCCCTCATAAACTTGTTTTTTACACTTAGGATGAAAAGTGTGCCCTCTGGGTCATCCCAGTGTAAGTGAGCAGATCTTAAATGACACATTCAATCTAACATTCCAGTCTCCCTAAACCTTGGAATCTCTTATTCTGCAGTACAGGAAAGCAGTTCTAGCATTTCAAGTTAAATTACTGTGGGCCAGCTTCTGATCCATGTTCCAGCCAACCAACCAACCAACCAACCAACCAAACTGATACAGCCCTTTCTCAATCCCTGAGCTACAGCATTAAATTCAGAATCTCTGCTTAATGAGTTTCTTTGGATTTGGGAGGCAATACATTTCTTATTCTGGTTTGCTACCCCAGCCTAGTAACAGAATGACCCAAAAAGCTGCTAACAAGAGAAGGCTCTGCAACAGGTCTAGGCTGCCATATAGGTGCCCTGCCACTGGGGTCATATGATCCAGCAGATTCAATGGTGTTTAAATTGTTGGTGACAGATAGGGATTCTACTTAAAATCTTTGACAGGACCATACAGGACAACCATAGTGCATACTCAGAATTTCAGACCAAAGCCCTGCCACTCTCTGCAGATAACTACTTTCCTTTTGAGAAACTGCTTTTGGTCTACTACTGAGCTAAAAGCCTAACCATGGCACACCAAGTTCTTCTGCAAACTGAGCTGCTCCTCATGAACTGGCCGTTACCTGTCCTACCACCAAGGCATAAAGTTGGCTGTACACAACAGCATTCCTTCATCAAACCAAGAAGTGGTATATATGTGATCAGGCCCAAGAGGGCCCTAAATGCACAAGTTACATGAAGATGTGTCCCAAATGCCCATGGTCCCCACTATGCTATATTACTACATCTCTTACAACCTGCACCTATGGCCTCATGTGGAGTACTCCACTGTCAGTTGACAAACTTGGGTCTGGTTTACAGATGGTTGTGCATAATATACAGGCACATACAATAGACAGCCACAGCACTACAGTCCTTTTCTAGCACATACCTGAAGGATAATGGTGAAGGAAAATCCTCTCAGGCAGCAGAACCCCGAGTAGTGCATCTAGTTGTTCACTTTGTTTGGAAGGAGAAATGCAAATATATACCAATTTATGGGCTGTGGCCAATGATGGTTTCTCTGGATGGTCAAGGACTTGGAAGAAATCTGATTGGAAAATTGGTTCAAGGAAGTTTGGGGATGAGGTATGTGGATAGACATCTCTGAATGGGTGAAAATCATGAAGATATTTGTGTGCCATGTGAATGCTAACCAAAGAGAGATGTCAGGAGAGGAGGGACTTTAATAATCACATAGATAGGATGGCATGTTCTGTGGATACCAGTCAGCCTCATTTTTGCAGCCACTCTTATTGCCCAATGTATTCATAAGCAAAGTGGACATTGTAGCAGGGACGTAGGTTATGCATTGGCTCAGAAACACGAACTTCCCTCTCCAAGGCTGACCTACTTATAGCCACTGCTGAGTGCCCAATGTGCCAGCAGCAAAGACCAACACTGAGTTCTCAATATGGCACCATTCCTCAGGGTGATCAGCCAGCTACCTGGTGGCAGGTTGATTACATTGGACTGCTTCCATCATGGAAGGGGGGTAGTGCTATGTTCTTACTAGAATAGTTACTTACTCTGGATATTGATTTGCCTTTTCTGCACACGATGTTTCTGCCAACACTACCTACTATCTATAAACTTACAGAATGCCTTATGCCCTGCCATAGCATTCCACACAGCACTCCTTCTCATCAAGAAAATTACTTCATAGTAAACAAAGTGTGGCAATGAGACCACAATCATGGAATTCATAGGCCTTATCATATCCCCAACCATCCTGATGCTGCTGGTTTGACAGAAGAGTGGAATGACCTTTTGAAGACTCGGTTACAGTGTCAGCTATGAGACAGTACCTTGCAGAGCTATAGCATGATCATGGAATTCATGGGCCTTATCATATCCCCAACCATCCTGTTGCTGCTGGTTTGACAGAACAGTGGAATGACCTTTTGAAGACTCGGTTACAGTGTCAGCTATGAGACAGTACCTTGCAGAGCTGTAGCAAAGTTCTCCAGGAGTCTACATATACTTTGAATCGATATCCAAAATATGGTACTATTTCTTCCATAGCTAGAATTCATGGGTCCACAATTCAAGTGGTGAAAATGGAAATGGCTCTATTTACTATTACAACTGATGACCCATTAGCACAATTTTGCTTCCTGCTCCCATGACCTTACGCTCTGCTTGTTCAGAAGTCTTAGTTCCAAAGAGAGGAATGCTTCTAGCAGAAGACACAACACAAATTCCACTGATGTGGAAGTTAAAATTCACCTGATGACTTTGGGCTCTTCATGCCTCTGAATCAACAAGCAGGGAAGGAAGTTACAGTGCTGGCTGGGATAATTGATACTGACTACCAAAGAGAAATTGACCTGGTACTCTACAATGGAAATAAGGAAGAATATGTCTGAAATATAGAAGATCCTTAAGGCATCCCTTATTATTGCCATGTCCTGTGATTAAATTCAATATAAAACTATAACAACTCAATTTGGGCAGGACTACTAAAGGCCTAGATCCCTCAAAAATAAAGGTAAGGTGACCCTTACCAGATAAATAACTGTAACCTATTGAGGTACTTGCTGATGGCAAAGAGAATATGTAAATGGTAATGAAATAAGAGTTACAGCGATGTAACCAGTACAGAAATGGGAACTGTGTCATGTGTATTTTTCTTTGTTATTTTGTTATGAATATGTTCAAGTGTGTGCATGTGGGTATCTCAAATATCTGTTTTCTTCCCTCTCTTTTCCCCTTACCATATAACATGAGATGTATTGACTTTATATTATAGTACTTAAGTAATGTTAACTTTACATCATAGTAGTTAAGTTAGAGGACATTGAGAAGAATAATCATCAAAAAGACTTTCAAGGATTTTGCATCCTCTTTTAGGGGAAGGGTTAGTGCATTTTTAGTTGTACACAGGATAGTAGTATTAATCATGTTAAGCAAAAGTATTGCCTTGTTATTGTCTTTAATTGGAGATTAATTTTGGTTTAAGATGTATATGAGTGCCAGGTTTACAAAAATGGACTCATGATGGTTAATTTTATATGTTAACACGGTTAAATGATGGTATCCAAATATTTGGCCAAATATTATTCTAGATATTTCCATGAAGCTATTTTTTAGATGAGATTAACATTTAAATCAATGGATTTTGAGGAAAGCATATTAACCTCAATTGTGTGGATGGGCCTGATTCAACAGTTGAAGACCTTAGTAGAAGAAAACTGACCACCCTTCAGCAAGAAGAAACTCTGCAAGGAGACTGCCTTCAAACTTGAACTCTTCCCTGGGTCTCCAAGCTGCCAGACTATCCTGCAGATTTTTGACTTGTTGGCCTCCATAATTATGTGAGCCAATTGTTTGAAATAAATCTCTAGACTGATAGATGATAGATAGGTGATGATGATGATGATAGATAGATAGATAGATAGATAGATAGATAGATAGATAGATAGACTGGCAGAAAGATAGATAGATAGATATCCTACTGGTTGTGGCCCTAATTAATGTATCCCCAATGCTTTACTCATTAAATTTTAAATAAACTTTTTCTTTTTCATTTTACATATCAGAAAAGAAAAGCCTTCTAAGTTGTGTAAGGAACGGTGTCCTGGTTTTAAAAAAAAAATCAAACAAAACCTTGGAAGAGTAATTTGACATTGTAATCCTTTCATTTCACAGCAACTCCATGAACTCAAGATTGCAATGTAGTTACCATCTACAGAGATCCAGAGTCAGTTTGGATTCTACAATTGTAAATACACAAGCAGAATGAACTTCCACCTGAGAAATCACAAATCAAATCTAATATTACTTTTGGAGGAAAAGGGTTGGAGAAATTCCAATAAGGTAAGCTTACAGAACTCATGTCCAACCCAAGCTATAGAAGAGCCTTATGGAATAAACCGAAAGAACTAGATTGATGGGAGGCACAGCCTTGTTCTGTGGGAAGTGATGCATATCTTGAGGGGCATAGATCCAAATTGTAGACAAATTATATAATCTTGGCAATAAGACTTCCATTTCCAATCCTTGATTTTCACATCTGAAACCTAATGAAAGTGCAGCAGGTAAAAGCAGCAGATGAGGAAGGGGTAAGTCCATATTCGAAGCTACCCTGATCCCCTTACTGTTTCTGTGGTATTATTATTTTAGTCAACGCCTGGGTTTACTCTGGGCATCTCAGAGTCCGCTGGAATTCTGGGTGGATCCCATAAATTCTCCAATAGTTGTCTCAGTACATTTAGTAATTTATTTATACCTTAGGTTTTGTTTTGGTTTTGTTTCATTTCATTTTGGCCCTTAAAATGGGATACTGCTTGTAGTTTGTAGAAGGCTTTGTTAATTTATTTTGATTTTTGATCTCTCTATGATTTATCATATGTCTTCAAGGCATATTAAGATTCTAGGAAAGAAAACTGGTGTAGTGAATTCATTTTTCTAAGAATCATAATTTGTTATTGTTTGCAAATAAATATCTGAGACTGTGGAATCCAAGAGTATCTGAGCTTAAAGGTACCCTAGGGTACCAGAGATAACTCTTATTGAACATTACTATTTGCCAGATGTTGTATTAATATTACCTTCTTTATTCACAGAAATAATCATTAGAATAGCAATAATTACCAATTATTAAGTACTTGAGTGTGTGCATAAGCACTCATGATTTTTACTTAAAATAAAATTCATTCCAGTATAGCTGGAATGTGTTGCAAACATATTAATTCATTCAATCCTGAAGACAACCATATGAGTTGTACCATTATTTCTCCTATGTTATAGATGCGTAAAATGATACAGACAGGTTAAATAAATTGCCCATATCATACATTTAGTAAGCAATAGAACCGAAATTCAAAGCAGAGACTAGCTCCCAGGTCTGTGTTTTTAACTACTGTATTAAGCGGTTAATGGAGTTTCCTTAATAAATATACATTGTTATTATTCTCATTTAAGAGATAAACATCTGAAAGTCAAATTAGCTAAATACCTTGCAAAAGTCACTGTCCCTAAGCAATGAGTATCTGAAATACTAGTGCACTTTATTCTCGTTACAAAACCTTGAAATACTTATATGCCCATAGAAAATCTAGTGAAAATCCAGACAGATCCCAATTGTCACAGATTGGGATCAATACCACTATTCTGTCTAGGCTCTTGTGTGGGACAGTTCCCAGTCTAAGACCTCATATCTGCCTATCTCTGTGCTGTCCTTGATCGCTGAACCAAGCCCCAAACCTATACTCCACAATTTCACGTCTGTCTGGGATGCGCTGCTCAGATGGGCTGTATGAGTGGCAACACAACCACTTCAAAAACAGAGACTGTCTCCTCCTGCCATGGGTAGCAATGACCACAACTCTCAAATCATTTTGCCACTGGATACTAACATAAGAGCAAAAGACTCTATAATTAGGTGATGAATTCAGATCATTGGAGCACACATTTTACATTAAAACACTTCTGTGGCTTCACTCTCAATGGGCACACTATTTCAAATGCACTTTGTTATCTGTTGCAATATCACCAGACCTGCAGTAATATGCTCAAATCTCATTTCCTCCATGAATCCTTTTCTGATTCCTACAGTCCTACCAAGTTGTCTCTCATCTGAATCATAAAGAGCGTATCACTCACTTTATTTCTACCACCCTAATCCTTCATTGTCTTGATTTCTCCAACAAGATATTAATCTTGTCCCAAGTAAAGCCTACATTATTATCCTCCACTTGGCCTTATGCTGTCAGACTCTGTATAGTAGATTCTATAATATTGCTCCCAGTGAACTGATCAAATTGGTTGAGTTGCCAATGTAGTTCCCACTGCCCGGAATAACATCATATCCAATCAAATGTCTTTCTTGCTATCCTATTAAATGTGCTTACCTACAGAAGTTAAGTCTACCTCCTCAGTGGCTTCATCCACCTCTTCATTAATGAGTCAATATTGTTGTCTTTGTTGGTATAAAGAGTAAGAAGAAGCACATAGTGTATTTCTGTCCATACTAATATAAAGATACCGAATTGCTATATTGAATCGCTATAGAATAGCGCTAAACCAAAAATTTAGATCTCCAATCAGATGTTCTTTTTTTTTCCTACAAGATTTTAATGAAATAAATACTTTAAAAATGTCCTGGTATTTACATTTTCAATTTAACAGCCATGCCCCATGGTTGGCAAATGCAAGCGCATGGGACATGGCAATACTATAGGTGATTTGCTCTCCATTGCCCAAGTGTGGCAACCCCCACTCTCTTGGTTTGTTACTCTCCCTGGCACTATCCATGAAGTTATTAACACATGCCACTGATTATATCTATGGCAAATCAATCACATTCTACTACCCATTGCATTAAACATGAACAACTTTACCCTCTTATTTTAATAGCAAATCAGGGAGTCATTATTTAGAAGGCACAATCTCAAATGAGAAGGTAAAATTTAGATTTACAATTTTATTTTCCCCCAATTTCTTCTAATCATTCTTATTTTCCTAGAATAAAAAAAATCTAGAAAGTTTTGAGGGGAAAAAAAACCACAACAGTTTTTCAGTCTTTTGTAATTGAAAGTGAATAGAATGGTGATTTGAGGGTGCTCCAGAATCCTAAAGTATTCTAAAACAAAGACTACATTTTCCTTCTAAAAATATATGTTTAATATTAAATATATCTTTTAATCTAATTATCTTTGAGTTGCAGTTTATCTTATATCTTAATTATATTTTAGTTAGCCACCATACTATATTTATTAACCTTACCAGAAAATATAGTACATGCACATATACACATTTTTTGGAAGAAGAATAATATAAATAAATGTTGCCAGAATTCTACAGGGAAACTGATTACTACAATTTATCTTCCTAATAGCGAACTTGTCATAACAATTTTAAACATTCTTTTTCATTCTATCTCTCTTATCCTGATCTCATATTAATATGAGATCAATAAAAAAGACTGATTGGAAGGCAGGGGTGGGCACTGGCCATGGACCCTTACTCCGTGCTTATCATACACAATAATCCTCATTTTATTCCATTTTCTGAAAAAGACCTACTCCTACAGATTATTATTAAGAAGTTGACAGATAACTGAGAAACTCATGAATAGAGAAAAAATAAATTCACATCACACATCACAAAAAAGAACAATTAGCCAATTAGTCAAATTCCTTTTTGAGATCTGGGTTCTTGTCTGTTCATTGTCCCTCATCTTCCTGCTAACTAGTATTCTCTCTGTGTCCATACACAAGACATGAACTTGAAAAATCATTCTATTGTTCTCAACATTTCAGCTCTGGCCCTCAACTTACGTACCCCACTCAACCATATCACAACTCACAGAAAAATCACCACAGGCTCCTCAGGCCTGCCCCTTGGAAGACATTCTGCTACAATGATGCTTTTTTTTTTTTTTTTTTTTTTTTTTTTTAGACAGTGTCTCACTCTGGTGCCCAGGCTGGAGTGCAGTGGCGTGATCTCGGCTCATTGCAAGCTCCATCTCCCGGGTTCACGCCATTCTCCTGCCTCAGCCTCCCTAGTAGCTGGGACTACAGACGCTCGCCACCACGCCCAGCTAATTTTTTGTATTTTTAGTGGAGATGGGGTTTCACCGTGTTAGTGAGGATGGTCTCGATCTCCTGACCTCGTGATCCGCCTGCCTCGGCCTCCCAAAGTGCTGGGATTACAGGTGTGAGCCACCGCGCCTGGCCTACAATGATACTTTTAAAAAACAGATGAATACACTGATGTCCTTCATCCCTGCAAAACGAGGTAAACCATATAAAAATATACTCCAAAAATTCATTTTAAAGCAATTTCTACTTTAAGTCCAGTAAGCTGTAATGTCACATGTTTTGTATGTGGCAAGTGTTTTAATTTATTATTTAAAATGAGAATAAATGTGCAAATAAGCAGTAAGAGCTCATTGTATGAATATGTTATAGTTCAGGGAAGAAGACACTGAGACTGTGTGAGGCTCTTTATAAACTGTTTAGTAATTCCTGGACTCTGGTAAATTATGGGGAGATGCAGTTTACAGACATGGTAATATCTTGCCTGAAATGGAAAGAACTACCAGACACACCTTCCACAGTCTCAAGCTCTAAATCATAAATATGTTGAGCCAGTCGTTTACATCAATTTCAAACACGAAGGGCAGAGATTAGAGACACATTCAATAGAAAGTATAAATTGGCTGAATAATTATTTGCCAAAATTTTCATTCACATATAGATCATTTCAAGAGGAAATCAGGGTAATCAAGCATTGGCCTAACTCTGAAGTGGCAAAGTAGGGTTGTTTAGAAAGGAAAAATTCTGTCAAATTTAGCATATTTATTTTCTGTTTACATAATCTAGTAGAGGCCCCGCACATCATAGAAAGTCAAATATTTGTTCATCTGATTATGACATGATTTTAAATTCCCTTGTGTTTGCTTTATGATATATACTCCTGTCCCTCCTGTTTGAACATTTTATGGAATGTCAGTTTGGTTATAATTAATATACTCTAGCTCGTGTTCAGTATCGAGTCTATAATGACTTAACATTCTCAATCAATTTAGTGGAAGATAAAGACAGGATGTTGAAGTTCCCCTCATTCCCTGACATTATAGCTTACATTGAATGCTGAAGTACTTTTGTTTCTAGATGACCAGTTACTTATAGTTATTTTGGATTGGTCATTAGGTATATTGGAGAAATCACTGTTAAAACTGTACTGGAATGGCCTAGAGGAAAAGCATCAGAAGAGAAAGATAATTAAAAGGTATTATTACCATCATCTTTATACAGTGCTAATTTTTAACAATCATTTTTACAGTCATGTGAATGACAAGTAGATGCTATCCAGAATTCCCATCATTGGAGCCTGTATTTCATTGAATTAACACTCAACAAAAACATGCTAAGTGTCTCTTAACATTATACTACATACTGATGCTATAAGAAAGAGATAAAAATGAGAAGGATATGTAAGACAGTATGGCAATTGAAAATAAATATGTTCAAAATAAGTACCTCTCTTGGGTGGTAAAGGGATAATAGGAAGAATGGGATGTCTTATGGAGTAGTTAGTTCCCTACATCTAGGGTGTTTTCAAGCATGTGATCCATAGTGAAACAGGCCTTAAAAAGTCCCCTGTAGGGTAATAATTTGTAATTATTTATTGGCTATTTATGTCTTGTTCCTTTTATCCTCTTCACGGCTCCTTTTGCAAATGCCTGTATTTCTGTGTAGTTAAGATAAAGATAGCACTTTTTAACTTGAAGCCTTGCAAAGTGACATTTTCTCCAAATGCACTTGGTGAATTTTTTTATACAACTCTAAACTAGAGCTGAATCAACTGTAGGGAATGTGCTGAATGTCCATCCATAAAGGGAAACAAGATTAATGACCTCTAAGTGTGAATGGGCAAAAGCAATTTACAAGAGTGAGTGAGGGTCATATTTTATCACAGGCAGGTGGCTTATTCCAACTTTGCAAACAGTTACCAAAAATGCACACAACCACAAATCTTTGGCCTTTCCATCCTCACGTGAAACCATTGTGTGTGCCAGACAAATGATCCTACTATGTTTTAACCCCAAACTCAATCTGCATATGTTAATGAAGACTAAAATAGATTGCTAGAAAACTCCTTGAAGCAGAAACTAACAGAAAAAGCATTTTCCTTCCCAACCCACTCCACAGGATCTGTACTTCACCCAGCAAGAAAAGGAGCATGAAATTTTGCTTCTCACTATGTGGAAAACCCTTAATGCATGTTCTGCTAATTTTGGAATTTAAAAATTTTCTTTCACCTTGGACTTTGTCCTTGTTCCAGTGAACTGTGACTTCAAATCAGTATATCATATGGTGTTTGTTTTTATGTTTTTGGTAGTCATAGTAGGGGGTGTTAGAAGGTATGTAATATGGGAGGACACTGGTAAAATCTTTCTAGTACAAATCATAAAATAACAAAAATAAAAACACTTGTTCCAATGATATTGGATCTCTATTCTTCTCCTTGAGGTTTATGCCTCTAGCATAATTTGGGCACAGCCCACTCTAGTACTCTCTAAATAACCTGTGCAAGTTATTATACTTCTGCATATCTGAGGTCAGGAAAGAGGGGTCAGACATTTGGAACAACCAAAGGATATTAGACCTAGTAATAAAATAGAGAGCCAAAGGATATTAGCTGTCTACTGCTGCATAAAATTTTACCTAAAACTTAGTATCTTAAAACAACATGAATTTATTATCACTCAGTTTCTGCGCATCACAACTCCAGACATGAAATAACTAGGCTCTCTTGATTACGATTTCACAAGGTCAAAGTTATGATGTCAGCCAGGCTTCATTTCCATCTGGAGTTTGGGGGTCCTCTGAAAAGCTCTCGTGGTTGTAGCAGAATTTAGTTCTTTGCAATTGTAAGACAAGATGCCTATTCTTTGCTGGTTGTCAGCATGGGGCCACTCAGCTCCTTGAGGCCACCCACAGTTCTTTGCCATATGGTCTTCTCCATCTTTAAAAGTGAGCAATAGTGACTCTCCTGCTGAATCCCTTTCAGATTTCAAATCTCTGTTACCATAAAGAGCCTTGCCCTTTTAAGGGCTAGCTTGTGTAGATCAGGCCCACTGAACATGATCTCCTTTCTTTAAGTAAACTGTGCCAAATAACACAATCTAATTATGAGAGTGGTATTATGGCATTGCATCACAAGCACAGGTCTTTCTCACAGTCAAAGGGAGGATATTCTACAAGAGCATGGTTCATTGGGGCTTATTTTATAATTCTGTCTACCACATAATTCTTGAAGGGAGTATCATAAAGCCAAGGCCTGAGGCAAGGCAAGTAAGCTGCTATCTTCAGGAGGGCTGGACAGAGAAGGCAAGGAGAGGGCATAACAGGAAATATGGATGTTCACATGAGTGATGACTGCCATCTAATGAAGATTAGGGATAAAGAGGATATTTTGTCCAAGAAATGGCATTGTTAATACTCCATCTCACAACTGTTTAGAGAAATGGGAATAATTTTGTTAACTGCAATTTACCACTTCCTAATGGAAAATATTCTAGCACAGTGACCTTGTGTGCAATTGGGTGACCAAGCTGATGTCTACCAACCCTGGGTAAAGCCAATTATGAAATATGATGAATGCTGAATGACTCAAAAGGGCTTTACATAATTAGCAAGAGCCAAAGAAACTAATGAATTCTTTTACAAGAACAAAACATAACAGCAACAAAACAAATAAATGAAAACAGGATGTCCTTAGAATCCTCAATATAGGTTGCAAGTTGAAGACTTTGATGGCAGACTTTCAGGATTCAAATCCTAACTTTCTAACTTACTAAGTATTTGAACTCAGGTAAGTTATTGAACTTCATTTTATGTATATAGAGCTACAGATATATACATCTATGTATATATATAGCTATGTAATACAGATATACATATAAAATGTATATATAATTTGGACAAATACCAGAAAAGTAGTTTGTATATAATACAAAGTCATTATTACTAGTTGTTTATAGTCCTCTTAATATTACTGGAACTAAAGTTTGTGTGTCTCAGCCCTAACACCGACATTGCGAAGTTCCAACAGGTCTACACCTCTAACACTTCTATATTTATTTATTTGCTCATCCATCTAATCTTCTGGATGGTAAATTTCTTAAGGTAAAAAAGTTGTGCTTCTCATTGATCTACCTTTTAGTGGACAATTTATGCTGGCTTGACTATCACACCAGCCTTAACAGTAAATCATCCTTGTAGTATAAGTTTTCAGTTGTGGCAGGCTTTGTCAGCAACTTATTCATTTTACATTTATACTTCTAGCAGAACCTGGATTCTGTTAGGGGCAACAGAGTGTCAGGCTCTTTGGCCCACCACCTCTTTTGGTACCATTTTGATGAAAAAGTATAGGGAGAAATACCTCAGGCCTTCCTGTCTAAAATGGGGATGTCAGGTGGGAGGTGGAACACCCACTTAGTGACCCAAAGGAATATTCTAGAAGACAGACACAAGCTAAAGACATTAGGCTGAAAGATGTAAGGAGCCTGAGACATTGGGGCCTGAAAACCTGCTGAAGCCATGCTGGAAAGGCTACTCCTGTGCTTGCTGATATATAAGGAAAATAAATTTTCCTTGAGCCACATGCTACAAGTGCCAAATTTTCCATTGAGCCATATGCTACAAGTGCCAGATTTCTGTTAAATGTAGCCTGGTACATGTTTTAACTGCTGCAACAGTGTATTCAGCATCGGAGGCCAAAAGATCACCAAAGAGATCACCAAAGAATACAGTTAATCCATATTAATGTCATCTTCTGCCACTTGATGATATATAATTGGATGTAGAGCCACCGTTCAAGTAATGTGAGTGGGAGCAAGAGGAAGCAAACAAGGAGAATAATGCAGTAGGATGTGCTTAAGCATAACTTCAAGCAATGTGGAGCAATCATCCATTGCTGGGCAACAGAGAAAGGTTTCCATTTAGTGTTTCATTTTGCATGTGATATGTCATATAATTCAATCCGCCTGCTGGGGAAAGGGAACCACAAACAGAAAAATGTAAATGTGGCTACAGACTTCAAGAGCACCAGACCTCTCTGGTGATATTCCACAAATTCATTATGCACCTTTAGGCAAATACTCACATACCCAGAAAAGTGTGTGTGTGTGCATGCATATTTGTGCATTGCAATGTATCTGTTTGTACATAATGATTAGCCTGTTCATTGTTGAAATTCAGACTACCACTGTTGTTAGAAACACAGACCTGGGGCACACTGCCTGGGTTAAAATTCCATTTCTACAGCTTACTTCTACAGCTTAGCAGCATAAACTCATCTTCAGGCATCAGCTTTCTTATCTGCAAAATTGGTGCAACAGATCCTGTTTCACAGGATTATTATCAGGATGAAATAATTAATATGAGGTACCCAGGACAGGAGTTGGAACAGTCTTGTACATGTTAGCTAATATCAGTTTTACAATGCCGTAGAAGTAAATATGCTCTCAATTGTGCATGTACATAATCGTGGGTATACAAACACATACATACATATTCATATATCCATCCATCTATTTCTATATAGATAAATGAAAAATCCATTGTTGTGATATGTGTAATGCTAGTTTACATGTTGTAGAGCCTTATGAATTTTAGAGTCCAGCAGCATTAACAACAGCTACTACTTATTAAATATTTACTAGGTGTCAGGGGCTGTGCATAGCACTTTACTTGCATTGTCCTGTTTAATCCTCACAACATTCAAAGATCGTAGGAAGTATTATTATAAGCACAGTAAAGGATTAGTTACTTGCCTGTGGTAACAAAACAAGCAGGCAGAGGAACTGGACTTAGAATCCAAATCCAAATCTCTCAGTCTCCAGAGACTGAATTTTTGTGCTTGATGCTGTTATTTTTATTTTTTGCTCCACTTATTAACTTAGATGACATGTCACACCTGAATAGGTTGAAGAAGTCCTCATTTAGGAAACTCAAATAAGTTTCTATTAATACTAGAAAGTACTCGAGTTAATTTCAACAAACAAATCTCTTATTTGCCATTAACCTATTTATATCCTAGGATAGTAGTGCTTGGAAAAATGTTACAACAAAGAATAGATAGCTTTATAATGAAAATCAGAAGTATTTGCTCAATCAAATGTGGATAAACTAATACTTTCTGCTCATTCACACAAGAAGCAGTCAATTTACAGTTAAGTATACAGAATGAAATGTAATAAATTTCTCTAGCATACACACTTCCCCAAACCACACAGCCCTCAGAGTATCATATAATTAGTTCCTTGCCACTTGCTGACCATTTACTTTTGCAATTGTTACTTAACTGCCTTAATCGTGTACCTGGTGCAAGGGCATTTAGTCAAGAGGATGCAATCTAAAGTGTATTCCACACTTCCACTCGCAATGGCAGGTGCCTAGGACATAGATGCATTCACCTAGGAAAAGGAGTGTCTTTTTTCTAATCAGCACTAAAGGCTGATCTTTGCTAACAAATACCTTGATTAAAATGTTTTTTTTTTTTATCTAAAGATACCTAAAGTTGTTTGATACCTCTAGATAAAAGGGCTGTGCCATCTTGTTCATCATCACCCAAGTACCTGGGGAAACACTGGGCTCATAGCAAGTGTTAAGTAAATGTTTCATTAGAAAACTGGGCCGGGTATGGTGGCTCATGCCTGTAATCCCAGCACTTTGGGACGCCGAGGCAGGCAGATCACGAGGTCAGGAGATCGAGACCATCCTGGCTAACATGGTGAAACCCCGTCTCTACTAAAAAATACAAAAAATTAGTCGGGTGTGGTGGCTGACGCCTGTAGTCCCAGCTACTTGGGAGGCTGAGGCAGGAGAATGGCGTGAACCTGGGAGGCGGAGCTTGCAGTGAGCAGAGATCGCGCCACTGCACTCCAGCCTGGGTGACAGAGCGAGACTCTGTCTCAAAAAAAAAAGGAAAGAAAAAGAAAACTGTATGACTAGTCTGCAAAGGGTGGAAAGAAAAATTGCTCCTCATTCTTTTTTTCTTTCCTATACTCTGCATACTTAAGGGTTGATGCTACTTCCTAAATGTCCTCACCCAGAATATCTGTGCAATGCCAATAAAACGAAAGACCCAGGGGCCTAATGTACTATTCCATCCAGAAGGCAGCAAGTATATGTGTACAGCATAACAAATAACAAGATTAGATCCCATATGAGCTCTCTTTTGCATAATGAAATTCCACATGTTAAAATGCAGATTTATTTTAAGCCCTAGAAGTGCTGACCATATGCCTCGGTGGCTGAGGAGATGGCTACTTAATAGATAATCTGCAATGCAAGCCAAAGAACTAATCATGGCCATCTGATCATCATGCCCCATCAAAAGCCGAAATGAGGAGACAGGGAACAGAGCCAGAAACTGCCAACACATTTTACAAGCAGGGAGAGACCACGAGTCTAAAGGGAGGGCAGGAGGGATAAAATGAACATCTTCCTACCCTAAGCAACATAACAAAATAATAACAATAAGAACATGGCTGTTTTAGAGTATATTTGTGATAAAACACATGCTCCACTAAATGTATTATAACTATACTCTTATTTAATCTCCTTTCATTGGGGAAGTTGATGAGAATATTGACATCACATAAAGGTAGAATATTTTCCAAAACATATATCCTAAAAGGTGGGGTCCCTGATCTTAATTCTGTTCACAGAACCCAAGCTTCTGATCACTATCCTACAGAAGATGGCACATCATGCATGCTAAATAAATGCTTGTTAATTGAATGAGCATATAACACAGAGAAATCAAGTGTTTGTCATTAAGTGCATTTAACAGATCACCATGCATAAATTTTTGCCCCAAATGTGTTCTGCAAAATATTGATTATTATGAATGGGATGGCTCTAAAATATCTTGGGCATCTCTCTGCCACCTTACTAGTGGGTAGAGGACAGTTTATCCTTAACTGATGACTGAGAATCAGGAGCTAAGCTGCATGTCTTTGAACTACTTAATCTCTGTATTAGTTTGCTAGTGCTGCTATAACAAAGTAAAACAAACTGAGAAGCATAAACAACAGAAATATATTGTCTCACAGTTCTAGATGCAGGAAGTCCAAGATCAAAGCATCAGCAGGGTTAATTTCTTCTGAGAGTAGTAAGGAAGAATCTACTCCATGTCCCTCCTCCCTAGCTTCTGGTGGTTTGCTGGCAATCTTGGTTTTCTTTAGCTTGCCAAAGCAACACCCCATATCTCTACCTTCAGGTCCACATGGCATCCCTCCTGTGTGAGCCTGTGTTCAAAACTCTCCTTTTTATCAGGACAACAGTCACATTGGATTAAGGGCCCATATTTCTGCAGTATGACCTCATCTTAACTAATTATATCTTCAATGATCCTATATTCAAATAAAGTTGCATTCTGAAATATTGGGGGTTAGAACTTCAACATGTGAATTTAGGAGTGCATAATTCAACTGCTAACAGTCTCTTTTATTTATTTATTTATTTGCAGTTTAATAACTTTATTTGACACCGAGCAGTTAGTTCTCATTGAAATGAACTGTAGATTTTTGAAAGTGGTGACAGGCAAAATAGGTATACAGCCTGTTTGGTGAATCTTCATCTCATTGCTTTTCAGGACAGCCACCCAAGAGTACAAGATAGAACATTTCTTATTCCTTTATGCCACATAGCTTTGTTGAGCCTGGTATCAATGCACACATCTGGAGCTCTCATCTCTTTCATGGAAAATTTCCAGATCTCTTTCAGTGCCCATAAGACCTACTACTTGAATCCCACTCCATGGATGCACCTCTAAATATTGATGGTGTATCCTCTGGCCACCTTCTTGTCGATGGCAAAATGGCCCTTCTTCTTGACTTTCTTTATGTGAGCTATTCTGCCAGGCTCAGGTTGGAAAGGAACCATAACAGTCTCTTACATCTGAGCCTTTGCACACGATGTTCCCCACACTTAGGATACTCCATCCACCACTGTCCCCATCCTGACCTCCACATTCCTTTCAACTGACTAATTAACTGCTCACATCACTGCTACCATTTCCCTTCATTCAGGAAGCCTTCCCTGACCCAGGTCAATAAATGTCAGCTAGTGTGATGAATAATAATAACAGTAATAATAGCTGAGAAATATTAACCACCCTGAGTAGTCATGTGGCAATAAGAGAAAGCACTATTGAGACTTTTCAACGCTGCTCTGTGATCACTTGCTTTTTAATTCTTTTATCAGTCTTTTTTTACTTGCTTTTTCGTTATTTTATTTATTAAAGAAATTAAGACTGTCAGTGAGCATTAGTGTGTTGCGTCTGTTGGCTTATTATTTTCCGGTCCATGTCTTTTTGTGATTACAGATCTATAGATCATGTGTCTGATAGACTCCCTTTCTTCATTCCATACTTTGTGACTGAATCCAGGCAAGGCAAATCACTTTTAATTCTCATTTCCTCATCTCCAATCAGGATAAAATTCTTAGGCTGTAGAGTTGATGTGAGAATTAGAGATACAGCTAAGATAGTGCTGAAGTCATAATAGGCACTGAGGTACTCATTATTTGATATATTATAGTAGTTAGGATTATTATTTATGAAATTAGAATTATTAATGTTTCTTCTACTCCACAATGTATCAAAGTAGAAAAGCACTGATCTGTTGGACTTATCTGTAAAATGAGAATAACAGGACTCTGAATGAGGCTCTTTCTTTGAGTCAATGTGTAAGGGTTCATGTACAGACCTCTGAAATCTACTGAGATTCTTTGGAAACTCTCTTGACTTGTCTTTGACCATAATTTGATGTTCAATGAGTCTGCAGCAAAGTGTTATTAGTGTTTTATCAAATGGTTTAAACATAATTTTTTTTTTTTTTTTTGAGACGGAGTCTCGCTTTGTCGCCAGGCTGCAGTGCAGTGGAACGATCTCGGCTCAGTGCAACCTCTGCCTCCCAGGTTCAAGCAATTCTCCTGCCTCAGCTTCCTGAGTAGCTGGGATTACAGGCACGTGTCACCACACCCAGCTAATTTTTGTATTTTGAGTAGAGACGAGGTTTCACCATGTTGGCCAGGATTGTCTCAATCTCCTGACCTTGTGATCCTCCCGCCTTGGCCTCCCAAAGTGCTGCGATTATAGGCGTGAGCCACCGCTCCCAGCCTAAATGTAATTTTATTTAAGATACACAGCATACAGATAAATATTGAAAGCAATAAAAATTCTACAACACCAGATAAACTTTCTAGAAGCAGACTTTTAAAGACCTCATTAAACATACTAAACATACTGTAATTTTACTTCTGCAGGAGGTAAAATGATTGTTTATCTAACTTGGAGAAGCCTTCCATTTCATCTTAAGTAATGCATCTGTAAACATAATAAAGTTCCAGCCTGTGAAGAGAACATCACATCACATCACATCACATCACATAGGGCACATCCCTTTTTTATTTTTTTGAGACTGAGTCTCACTGTATTGCCCAGGCTGGAGTGCAATGGCACGATCTCAGCTCACTGCAACCTCCACCTCCTGGGTTCAAGTGATTCTCCTTCCTTAGCTTCCTGAGTAGCTGAGATTACCAGGCCTGGCTAATTTTTATATTTTTAGTAGAGACGGGGTTTCACCATGTTGGCCAGGCTGGTCTTGGACTCTTGACCTTGTCATCTGGCCACCTCAGCCCCCCAAAGTGTTGGGATTACAGGCATGAGCCACCGCGCCAGGCCCACATAGTGCATATCCTTTAATACAACACACTTTGGTTTTGATGGGGTGGGGGCAGAATAGTGAAGCATACAGCATGACATCATTGAGGATCACAGGCCTGAATTCCCTCACTGCATTGCCCTGTGACCTCTGTCTCCCTTGTGAAGTGACAAGGTCGGTCTAAATCTTTCCTTCAGCTTTAGGATTTCAATGATTCTGTAAGTTTTCTCCAATAAGAGGTTGGTTTTGCAATAGAATTTTAAAGTCAGTTTGCCAATGTATTCTATAGATAAAACTGAATTAGTAAGTGGACCTGTTCAAAGTCTCTCTCAACAATATGTATAATTTAATTAGCAGTTTAAAAAGTAGACCATTGATTATTAGATCAGCCACCTGTAGAAAATATGCTTTTGTGCATTTTATGGTGTGATATTTTCTTTCAAAAGTGTTACTCTGTGTACATTATGTCATTTTGGCATAAATATTTTGTTTATCAGAGCATCTCATTGCCTAAACATATGAGACAAAAGATAATATGATTATCTTATATATTTTGATTAGATCTAGTGAAGTTAAAACTAATTTTTAAAAACCTAAATCTTGGGTTAATTTGATTCAAAGCAGTTTTAACCATAAATTTTTAAAATCTTACTAAGAATCTCTCATCTCTTTATTCATACTCCTGGATGAAGCTAACAGATGCATATTCTTCAAGTGCAGTTCTGATTATGCATTTTTTTGAATGAATACATTTAATGGTTACCTTACTAGTTTTTCAATAAAATAACAACCTCTTAGCCTGGTAGTCAAGTCCATTTTATTTCTATCTTCATTTCTCCTCAGCATTAATTTTCATTATTTTTAATGCATCAAATACATTTTCTAAGCCACCATTTCTTCATCTAGAGATTTGGATAATAACTTCTACATTTTAGGTAATTTTGAAGATTAAGAAAAATTAAATTTCTGTGGCCTAGGGTGAGTACTTAATAAACCACAATTATTGATTGTTATTATTATTTTTGAGACCCCATGATAAAAAGAATATGCTTACTTTAACAGAAGAAAACATGGTTTCAAGTCCTATACCTTACTTGTTATTCCTCATTTCAGGTAGGTTAATTAATCTTCCTGTGCTCTCATTTATTTATTTGTAAAGTGGTTATAGTAGATGATTAATTAATAAGAGGATGGACTTAAATACTTGAGGAGAGGACTCTAGCTAAAAGCACCAACAAGAGTTTGTTTCCCTTTTCGTTTGTTCCATGTGTAGCCTATATTTTAGCTATAGGTTAATCACCATTTGTTTACCATGTCTTTCCTTTCCTAACACTAAAAGTTTTCTCAGGCTAGTCCCTCAATCTACAATGTGCTCCTATATCCTATCTATCAATACTTTACCTAAGGCACAGCTGAGATATTTCCCTTATTTAAAGTCTTAGGATTTTTCCACCAGGAAATATCTTCCCTATCCTGTGTACCCTCTTTTATCTTTCCAAATATACTTGTATATGTCCTCCTTATTTATATATACCTCTTGCTTCCCTTACTTAGACTATAATACATGAAAGGCAGAGATGGGAGCATCATTCTTCATATCTCCTAAATGACCTTTCCCAATGGCTTGCAGATAAGAAACATTCAATAAACTTAGGTTAACTACACTATGATTTTTCTGTATACTTTGGTCTCTATTTTAAACTCCTTGTCTCCCTTCTAAAGTAATTTCTACATTTAGGGACATTTCACATCAAGCAGAATATATAACATATTTTTACTTTCCATTGATCTACCCACATATCTTTTCAAATCTTCCCTGAAGTTGTGCTATCATAGGTAGTCACAGATGACAGTTGGAAAAGACAAGAGTAAGTGCAGCTCAGGGGAATTTCAATAGTAGACTAACATGCCCTACTTCTGGCATCTGAGAAAAAAACAGCAAGAAATGAGAAAGACAGCACTGTTAACTTGGACCTGGAGGTTAGAGTGGGCTCATGAGATGTGGGGTTCTCTGTCCACTACTCTAAATTGTTAATGCTATCCTTAAACAGGTCCAAGAATCTATGCTTGAAAATTAGTTCCCTTTTCTAGTGGTGGTTGTAGTGATGACAGTGATACTTGTTATTTTCATTTATGTAGCAATTTCACTTATATATATCTCATTTTGACATGGACAGGAGGCAGGGAAATACTGGTTAGAAAAGGGAGGTTCCCTAGAAAAGGCCCCACCCTCAAGCCTGGAAACTTGCAGCCCTAAATGAGAATAAGCATTCCTGTTTTCGTGCCCAAATGTTGCCTTTTCCAAGACCACTCTGGCCTGCCATGCCCCTATTCTGTGCCCATATAAACCCCAAGCTCCATAGGCAGAGCAGCAGAGCAGTGTAGCAGAGAAGGAAAGAAGAGAGGAAGTGTCTGAACACATCAAGAGAAGTTCTTCTGGGACGACAGGCAAGGACATCAGCCACGGGACGGCTGAACTCAGGGGAACATCATCTGTCCACTCCATCTCCTTTCCAGCTCCCCATCCCATTTAGAGCCACCTCCTTCACTCAATAAAATCCCCACATTCACCATTCTTCAAGTTTGTGTGACCTGATTCTTCCTGGACACTGGACAAGAATTTGGGAGGCAGTGGGTACGGGAACCCAAAAAGGCTGTCACACTGACTCTTCACTGAGCCGCTTAACACTTAAGCCATTCTTGGATAGCTGGGCTAAAAGAGCACTGTAGCACTCCTGGACACTGCCATGGGTCTGGAGCCCAAAAGTGCTCACTCTGGCTCCTGCACCTGCTCACTTGTGTGCTCCCACTCCCATAAGGGGTTTGAGCATGCCACATCCACGTCACAAGTCCCACAAGGGGGTCAGGGAACTCTCCCATTTCAATTTGAATAGCAATCCAGTTCTCAGAGGTAGTTGTTATTACATCTATCTTACCTATGAGAACACTGTGGCTCAGAGTGATGAGCCAAATTGGCCAGAGTGACTAAGACACTCATCCGATAGAAGATTCTAGACAAAATCTCTTCTCCTGCCCCCACCCTCCACCCTCCATCTAGTTCACTGCCCTCGATAGGTTCTTTTATCCCTTCACTTTTTAACTGGCATCTCTGAAATGCTGAGGGGCAAAAAATGAAAGAAAAGATAAAATACTAGTGCCAAAGGCAAAGAAGAAAATACCAAACAATTTTAGTGTAAAAGTAACTAAACGTCCTTATTTCTATTAAAAAATTAGCTTAGATCGGAACTATATAAGGCAGTTTTCTCGCTGTAAGAGAAAATTTTCAGTTGCTGTAAAGGGTGACACAATGCGACCCAAGTGATCTGTAGACATTTTAAAAACAGGGCTGAGTCCAAAGTGCCTTTTCAGAAAGGTGTTAGGGCTTCCTCACACCACCTGGACAAAGGGGTATTTGCTTGTAAGCAACCTCTACAAGGGTATTTCATACACCCTGTGTCCTCCACAATCTGAAGCTTAAAGAAATACAAAGCAGAGTCAGCGGTGCCCTGGGATGTTTCTGACTTTACAGGTCTGTCGAGCTTGGGAAGATACTGACATTTGTTATATTTTTCTTAAAGCCTTTTCCAGTAATAAAAAGTACATCTTCTCTTCATTTCTACCAGATGTATTTTTATTTTTGTCCATAAAAAATGTCCAAAGTCACACAGTTTACAATCTGAATGCAGTGATTTCTCCGTACCAATACATATCACAGAATAAAATAAAAGTTGCTCACTGGCCTGAAAGATGGGCTACCATAACATCTGCCTACAAAGTGATTTGCTAAACAGCATTGGAAATGCATATCCCATTAAAAATGTAGCATTAGGGAATTCATCCAGAATAATGACAGAAGCACAAAAGCAGGATTAATTAGAACCCTATTTCTTTCTACTTAGGCCTCCTATGTAACATTATCTTCATATAATTTTGTTTTGTGGTCTAAAATAATTGTTTCTATATAAAAATGATTGTAATAGCTTTGCAGTTGTATGTGTTCACTCTTAAAAACCACAGACTTCATACACAGAATTACTAGAAAAACTAAAGTATTAACCAAGAAAAAGATTCAGGCTGGTACTGGACACATAAATATTGTTTTATCAGGAAAAAAGAGGAGAATTTGGAGAGATGTTACACCAACATCCTCCAGCATTTCATGTTTTCCAATGGAAACTGAAACAGTGTTTCTAATAACTTGATTCAAGGGTTATTTTACAAAGAAAATAAAATGCAAAGATATATTTTACATCAATAATTTGAATTATACAAAAAAGAAGAAACTATTGATCATTTTCTTAGAATGTTACTATAATAGCTATTTCCCTAGAAGAGGTTTCAATGCAGTCAAATTTTGATCAGGCAAGTGGGAGAAGGTTAAGACCTTAGAGGCCTATTTCAGGATATCAGGGAAAAGGAAACTTGTAAAATAATTGTAAATCAGTTTTCTAAACTGATAATGTAGCCCTTATCGATAATGGTTTCTAACTTACTAATATTCTTGATTCTTTTGAGAAAAGAAGTTATCGATGACATTAAATGGATGACATTACTTAAATGTCATCAAATGGTTAATGGATGACATTAAAATGTGTATCAAGGTGATTGTGGCCTTCTTTTTTAAATAAAAATTTTTCCTAAAGTGTGTAGATTGTTGAGGATTGTCTGCTTACTGTGAAAAGCTGATGCCTGTCCACAAGGGTAGCTTGGAGGTGCCCATCGGAGGAACATGGGGAGCGGAGTGTAAGCCTTTGGGAGCACCGTGCTATGACTGCAGATGCTCCCTGGCTGCTCAGAGCCTAGCTGTGACTAAGCCAAGGCTACTCTACTACCTGCTTTCTTCATGTCTTCAATGGCTTAGGACTGGCTTCATAACTAGCTTCTGGTTGTTGCTCACTGACCCACACAGGCCTTGAACCTGTGATCCTGACCTTGCTTGTTCTAAGGCCTAATAACTATGAGTGGTGTCTAATACTCACTGATTCTTGAAAGGTCCTGTAGAACCCAATAAGCTTCCCTCAGGCACTTCTGCACACACTCTGGGACATCCTTTCAGCAAGTCCATTCCAGAGGAGTTTGACATCTACAAAACAGAAATCCCCATGCTAGATCCTTATACAGCTTCCAAAATCTCATTCTCACAACAGCACTATTTTGTTGGTATGATATCCAAGGTAAAGAATGATGTTGCAACTTCCTCAGAGTCACAGTGCTAAATAACTTCAGAGCTAGAATTCAAACTTAGGTTTTTTTGTTTGCTTTTGTTTTGTTTCTTTTTTTTTGAGACAGAGTCTTGCTGTGTTGCCCAGGCTGGAGTGCAGTGGCACAACCTTGGCTCACTGCAACCTCTGCCTCCCTGGCTCAAGTGCTTTCTCTTGCCTCAGCCTCCTGAGTAGCTGGGACTACAGGTGTGCACCACCACAACTGGCTAATTTTTTTTTGTACTTGTAGTAGAGACAGGTTTCACCATGTTGGCCAGGCTGGTCTTGAACTCCTTGCCTCAAGTGATCCACCCACCTCAGCCTCCAAAAGTGCTGGCATTACAGGCGTGAGCCACCACACCCGACAGGTCTTCTGATACCTCTATTGCTAATGCTCCTAAACTGCACAGCAGTTCTGTGAACTAGTCACATTTAAACCACCTGCAAATGCTCTGCAGTAGATAGACCTGTCAAACAAAAAACAGAGGCAACCAAAACAAACACTCTCCCTAACCTACTTCTTAAACAGAGACAAAAAAAAAAAAATAGGAACCAGAGAAAGCAATTATTCCCATAGCATATTTAAACCAGATAAATATTTCTGCTTGCCATCTTGCAATTTGAAAGTTGGAAATGGCTTATGGTGAGTTAAAGAGTTTGGAATGTGGGCCTATCTAGGAAGATAGCAAAGTCGTTAAAAGTGAAGTTTCTGAGGTCAGGCACCTCAGTTTATCTTCTAGCTTTGTTGTTTATGATCTAGGTGGCTTTAGGCAGTTTGCTTAATCTCCTGTCTCTCAGTTGCTTCCCAGATATACACTCGAGAGTTGAAAAATAACATTCTTAATATAATTCCTGTTCCTTCATCTCACCATGCCACCTATAGACTATTTTTTAAATGCCTATGGACTATTTTTTAAATGCCTACTGTGAAGACTTTTGTGCATTGCACAACTTTATGGCATTGTTTTTGCATTAAATGTTTTCCATATATAATTATAAAATTATCACAATAGTTGTTGTGACATGATTTGGTACTTCTTTAATTTTTAATAAAAGCCTAAAAAATGAAAATGGCTTGAATTTCCAGGTCTTGGAAAGTCCTGACTTAAATTCATGGATGCTTAATTTATCTGTCACATGATCTATTAATGGCTATCATATAGTATTTTTGGTGAAGATTAAATAAAATAGGACGTGAGGACCAGCACAATGTCTGACATATAGTGGGCTCTCAATAAATCACTTCTGTTATTTTTCAGAAAGAAATAATTTTTTAAAGCTTTATCGTTGGTCCTCTGATTAGCCAGCATACCCCCAAAGTTCAGGAAATATATGGAAAGTGAAAATTTTATAACTTCTGGAAACCTCCTCCATGTCCAGGACCTTCCTCTGGGTAAAACAGAGGAAGATTTGTTTTCATGAACCTTTCTTTCTCTTTAACATTTAGAGGTCGTGGGCAGAGAAGCCTTAGAAGACAGAAATTTAATTCAAAGACTAAATGCATAGGAATGGAATATTGTAGTAGGTGATATATTGCTAAAAAACCTAACTTTAAAAAGTAATTGCCAACTTAAAAAGAAGTCAGGAAAAGCTGAGGAATGGTTACTACTGTCTTTTCTATCACAGGGCACCCCCCCCCCCTCATTTTATACATGTATTTTCTTGTAAAAGTTAATCAACACAAATGTAAAAACTAAAATAAGTCAAGGCTCTAAGAAGCACAGATAGGAACATTTCAAACAAAGTGTACCTGACTAGTAGGCACCCAGCCAGCTGGCCTTTCCTACAAAGGAATTTTTTAGGAGTATTGTGTAGTGCTGTCTGCAATGAACAAGATAGCATATCATAAGGGCGTATCAGGCATTTGGCAAAACTTGTGCTGGGGCCCAACTATGCTGGATACAGAATTCTCTCTGTTATCCAGGTCTTTATTTCCCACTTGCAGGACCATCTGCAGCCAACTCCCTATATCCCCTGAAGCCTTCATCCTTCCTCTGACCATACATGGCGCCCCTTTGGCCTTTTGTCATTTTCAATTATTGTGAACCCAGGAAGGTGGAAACTAACTTTAATATCTGCTGTAAGAAAACATAACAAGAAATATAAATCTATTAATTTCAAAAAATCAGTGATTAAAGCCAATTTATTTTCCTTGGCTGACATTTTCCTTCAAGGATTTCTCTGTTGCTCCTGCCTATAGAAGAATTTTAGTTTCCCTTCAAACATTCTACTGGTGCCAAGTTAAGAAGTTACCTGAAAGAGAATGCATAAAAATCAAGTTGAAATGTCTCAGCTTTGTTCCTTTTTAAAAGATGAAGACATAGTGCATTACTTAGGTAACACTGCTTCTCTGATTCAGTGGGACAGCTTGATGAGAAGATATATGATACTTTGTACATAACCGTTGTTTTCTTTTTGTCATCAATAAGTTGAATCTTGACTTCATTAGAGCCTATCCAAATGCATCATTGCAACGGATCATCTCCCCACATTACTGTATCCATTATGTGTAGAGCAAGTTCATCCAATTTCCCCAACAGTTTATGAGAGAAAAGAACAAATTAAAAAGGCCTACTCTCTTACATATCAGGATGATTTATGCCAGTGTGTCAGCACACGTATTTATATTTTCTCTGGCCCTTCTATTTGCTTAATATATGAAGGAGGAAAGTTAATATTCTTCTGAAAAACTCTGTTCTGGTCTCTACTGATTTGAACATAAAGTTCAAAAGGAGATGATATCTTATAAAGACTCTAAGCTTACTGCATTAAATTAACAATACTAATCTCTGTGTTTCACATGGTACTTATGCAGAGCAGCTTTACAGACATTAAATGAAAAAAAAATGCCAAAGCTGTCTTTTATATGAAAAGCAAGAATAGAACCTTCTCTACATGTCCCTTCAAGTCTTTTTAAAAGATACGCTTCAGCTAGTGGTGGTGAATAAGGGGGAGGAAAGAGAGCCACATTGAATGGGTTCTTCTCCTGCTTACCTTTCTTCAACTTCAGACCTTTCTAAATCCCACTGACCTGGAGGGAATAAACAGAGAAGAAAGAAGCATAGCAAGAAGTAGAAGGAGAAATAGACAACCATTCAAAAATGTTTTAAAAAATCATCAATTACCAATCTCAGGAACTCTGGGAAGGAAACTAGACAACTATAACATTAGAAAATCCAGTTATACTCCCCTTCCAGACACACCCCATGGAGAAACTTGAAGAGGAAAGAGACGAAGCCAACTTCAGCCTCAAACAATTTTGCCCATGACATCAGAAGATGGTAGGACATGAAAGGGGAAAACTGCAGGAAGATCTCATAATTCTATAGACCTTAGGAAAATTCCGGCTCATCTCACATTAGTTTTCCAATTCTCCTTTTCCCATTTGTCTATGGAGATAGGATATTTGAGCAGTCCCAACCACCTCTATTCTTGATTTCACATGTCCGTTAATTCAAAAACCATGTACTGAAAATCTCTCACATGCTCTGCTAGGATTAATAAAGACATCACACACAAACAATGTCACTGCTAAGCTTATTGGGCTCAAGGTCTCACAAGGTATGTGAGAGAGGATGTTGGAGACAGAGCCAGGAATAGAAAGCTATAACAGTGATATGATATAAGTATGCATCAGGTGCTGTGAGATTCCACTCAAACAGTTTGTCCAGACATGATATTTTTGTAATAAAATTTCAAGTCTATGATGATTGCCTAGCTGCACAGATAAGTCTTTTTCCAGAATAAAAGATAAGCCAACAATGACCACTTCCTTATTCCACAAATTGTTAGTCTCCATAGTAAGGTATGGAACAAAGTCTGGAAGGAAAATATTATGAAGAATTGCGAATAATGCTTCTACTTACTTATTTTTGGGAGAATTAAGCTAAAGCTTAATGAATTGTATTGAATGCCACTGAATCACATTGGACATTGATGGAAGAAAAGGAAGTTCTACGGTGGGACAGGCGGTGCAGCAAGCTGCCCATCATTGTACAGAGGTTCACCTTCAGTACTCTGCAGCATCTTCTAGTTTGTGTGTACCTTGGTTAACTTGATAGATAGATCACACTATTTAGCATAGTATCTCACTCCAATCAATGCCTGTCAATAATAGACTGGATAAAGAAAATGTGGTACATATATATACCATGGAATACTATGCAGCCATAAAAAGGAATGAGATCATGTCCTTTGCAGGGACACGGATGAAGCTGGAAGCCATTATCCTCAGCAAACAAACACAGGAACAGAAAACCAAACACCGCATGTTCTCACTCATAAGTGGGAGTTGAACAATGAGAACACATGGACACAGAGAGGGGAACGTCACACCAGGGCCTATTGGGCAGTTGGGGGTGAGGAGAGGGAACTTAGAGGATGGGTCAACAGGTTCAGCAAACCACCATGGCACAGGTATACCTATGTAACAAACCTACACGTTCTGCACATATATCCCGGTTTTTTTTAGAAGAAAAAAAAACTGCTGTATTAAGGCATAGATAAGAGGGAAACTGCATGTCATCATTTACTAAGCACAAGGTATGATGTGCTTCTTACATTTTTATGAAGATATTTATGTGAAAACTTTTTCAATCATTAAAAGCGGGTATAAAACTGAAATTAGAACTAAGTTCTGAATTGACATGTATCAAGATTTTCAAAAATAATTAAGTACATATAATCAAGCTGCCCTCACTAAAATTATTACAAATATTCTATTATTATATACAAGAAGATAACAATATGCAATATATACAATTCTAACATGTTAATGAGAGCTAAAACTTTCTTTGATAATCCACAAAAGTATTCAAATATTTAATTTTTTATCAACCTTAACATTTTATATTTCAGTTTCTCTATGTTTTGGACACAATATTTTAGCAGAGTAATACAATTTACTTATAATTTATAAATAAATAAACACAGTGAGAAGTATATACTCTCTATTTATATCTACATACAGTTGAACCTTAAACAATTTATATTTGAACTGCATGGGCCCACTTGCGGATTGTTTTCAATAAAAGTTATACCAAATGCGCCTGCCTCTCCCGTCTCTCCTTCTAGTTCCTACAGCTCTGCCACTTTGCCTAAAAATCAGCAAGACCACCTGCCTGCTTCTCCTCCTCCTCAGCCTACTCAATGTAAAGACAATCAAGAGGAATACTTTTATGATAATCCACTTTCACTTAATGCATAGTAGACATTTTCTCTTTCTTATGATTTTCCCTGCCTCCCTCCCTCCCTCCCTTCCTTCCTTCCTTCCAAGACAGGGTCACCTAGGCTGGAGTGCATTGTTGCAAACATAGCTTGCTGCAGCCTCGACCTCCCGAGCTCAGGTGATCCTCCTTCCCAGCCTCCTGTGTAGCTGGGACCACAGGTGCGTGCCAACGTAGAGACAGAGTCTCACTTTGTTGCCCAGGCTGTTTTCAAATTCCTGGGCCCAAACAATCCTCTGGCCTTGGCCTCCCAAAGTGCTAGGATTACAGGCATGAGACACCATGCCCAGCCATAATTTTCTTAATAACATTTTCTTTTCTTTAACTAATTTACTGTAAGAATACAACATACAATACATGTAACATATAAAATACATGTTAATCAACTGAATATATTATCAGTAAGCCTTTTGGTCAACAGCAGACAACCAGTAGTTAAGTTTGGGGGAGTCAAAAGTTTTATGTGGATTTTTGACTGTGCTGAGATGGGCACTCCTAAACCCACATTGTTTAGGAGTCAACTGTCTTTTTTAAATTTATAGAGCAGATAATGCAAAGTATGATGACCCCTATCATTAAAGAAGAAACTGAGGCACAAAGATGCCCACTCTAATAATTACATACCATTTTCTTTTTACTCCATTACCAATTACCATAATCTTACCACTATTTGTTTGCTATGCACGAGCTTTTCATGAACATAAACACCAAGGCTGAAAGCATTTGGGGTGAAATATATGTCCCCTCCTCTGTTTGATATTACTGAAAAAGAATCTATTTGGGAGAAGATGGAAATTTTCAAAGTAAAATGGGTGAACTGTTAGCAATGATAAAAATTATACCTATACCTTGGGAGACGGAAAGATTTTCATGACAACCTTATTTTAAATAATTCTTAAGTTTACATTTTCTAATCTTCCATAAGCATATTTATCTATTCAGGAATATTTGTTAGTTTTTTATATAAAATACTCATAAATGATAGAAAAATTAATTATCTTCGCTTAAGATTTGCTACCAAATTGAAAAAGGCACATATCTGAAACGGGATGAGAAAGCAACACAACAAACATGTTTCCTAATGATGAAATACAACGTTGCTATTAAACTTAGAGAATAAAAACAATCGCAGCCATAAAAAATGATGAGTTCATGGCCTTTGTAGGGACATGGATGAAATTGGAAATCATCATTCTCAGTAAACTATCGCAAGAACAAAAAACCAAACACTGCATATCCTCACTCATAGGTGGGAATTGAACAATGAGATCACATGGACACAGGAAGGGGAATATCACACTCTGGGGACTGTGGTGGGGTCGGGGGAGGGGGGAGGGATAGCATTGGGAGATATACCTAATGCTAGATGACGAGTTAGTGAGTGCAGCGCACCAGCATGGCACATGTATACATATGTAACTAACCTGCACAATGTGCACATGTACCCTAAAACTTAAAGTATAATAAAAAAAAAATCGATCATATTGAAGTTCAGTTTTGTACTTTAACACCATCTGGTAAAATTACAGACAGAATCTAAAAAATATATGAGTAAACCTTTTCTTTTGAGATGGAGTCTTGCTCTGTCGCCCAGGCTGGAGTGCAGTGGCGCGATCTTGGCTCACTGCAAGCTCCGCCTCCCGGGTTCAGGCCATTCTCCTGCCTCAGCCTCCCGAGTAGCTGGGACTACAGGTGCCTGCAACCACGCCCGGCTTATTTTTTTGTATTTTTAGTAGAGACGGGGTTTCACTGTGTTAGCCAGGACGGTCTCGATCTCCTGACCTCGTGATCCGCCCGCCTCGGCCTCCCAAAGTGCTGGGATTACAGGTGTGAGCCACCGCGCCGGGCTGAGTAAACTTTTTTTTTTTTTTAAATTAATAACTTGTTATGTTTTCCACTGGTTTAATCATTCTCTTTCTTTTAATAAAATTGAAGTAAAAATGACTTAGTGTCGTTTTGTTTCTGCTGTGTTTCTACAGGTCATATTCAGAGTTGACTGAGCACCATAAGTGTTCAGCCGACTTTGATTTTATTTTTATCGCATGCCTCATAAAACTGATTTAGAAACCTAAAAATGTGTCACTAAAATATTAAATTGTGAACAGTCAGAGCTTATTGAGTTTCCAAAATCTAACAAGAATGGCTGGCTATGAAGGCAAACAAACATTCTTCAAATGTAGCCAGCCACATTTTAAAAACTATTGGAGGGATCTTGAAGATTCAGAAGTGTATGATTGATACCATGCCAAATTTTCAGAACCAGTAGTCTGTTTTTGGAAGACTTCTCCTGCATGGATGCCTAGTAATATTCCCATCATAAAGTGGTTTAGCTCCATTTTAAAATTATAGGGGAGGCCTAGTACATTTGGAGAAAATTTCCATCCATTGGCATTTTTACATTTAATTTCCACACAGGCATCTTTCTTACATTATCTCTGCTTCACAGAATCTTCATCACATTTCAACTGTCATCAGAATCCAGTTTTTCTCTTGGCTATATACTTCATCATTTTCCTCTTGCTGTTAATGGGTTGATATGATTGATTGATGGAGCCCCTATTCTGAGAACATGTTACTCAGACTCAGGGGTATTAGGATGCTTTGAGCTGTATGTCACAGTAGCACCCGAAACCTATGCTGAAGTGCCCACGTTGGAGGAAAACTAAATCCTAACGGCTTGCAAGAATAAATGCTCATTTTAAATGACCAGTGATTCCAAGGAAAAAAGTTAGATACCCAAAAAATTGAATTCCTCCCCAGCAATGCCCCTTCACTTAAAGGTCTGGGTTCAAGCAAACGCATCCCACTAGAACCCAGTCCTGAACTTTGAAGTAAATGAACAAATGCTCCTGGATGTATGAAGGCCCCAGCAGTAAAGCTGAGCACTTCATAGACTCTCTCTTAGAGCCTGATTGATGCTTACTTAACTTACCAAGAAGGGATTTTATGCTAAGATAGATCATATTTAAGATACTGGTTCTGACGTGGACACAAGGAGGGGAACATCACACACCGGGGCCTGTCGGGAGGTGGAGAGCTAGGCGAGGAATAGCATTAAAAGAAACAACTAATGTAGATGATGGGTTGATGGGTGCAGCAAACCACCATAGCACGTGTATACTTATGTAACAAACCTGCACATTCTGCACATGCACCCCAGAACTTAAAATATAATAATTTAAAACAAAACAAAACAAAAAGATACTGGTTCTGTAACACATCTGCTGTGAGACCATGGGAAAATTTCCTGACTTCTGTCACACATCTGCTGTGAGACCATGGGAAAATTTCCTGACTTCTGTCAATTTTGTTTTCCTTTTCTGTGATGGGATAAACACACCTATTCCTAGAATTGTTACAGGCTGGATCTGATATAATAACCTTCTGATAGTAATTTACTGATCACTTGAAACAAAGGTTCAGTGTATATTAAATATGTGTTTTTACATATTTTTCATTGGCCAAGCATATTTACTGGTAAGCATGTTTGTTTTCTTCTGTCTAGTTCAGATACCATGAAAGTATGATAAGATTCCTTCAGGAAGGCTCAGGTGACGATTGGGATAACCACATGTTCCAGGTGTCCTTTGTGTAACAAATTACCCTCAAAGTTGGCATATTAAAACAGCAAACATTGATCTCACAGTTCTTGTGGGTCAGGACTTTGCGAGTGGCTTAGCTGGGTGCTTCTGGCCCAGCATTGCTCATGAGTTTGTAGTCAAGGTATAGGCTAGAGCCACAGTCATCTGAAGGTCTGTCAGGCCTGGGAGATCTGCTGCCATCATGGCTCATGCACAAGACTGTTGGCGGGAGGCCTCACTTTCCTGCCATGCAGGTTTCTCCAGAGGGAGACAGTGACATGGCTCCTGGCTTATCCAGAGTTAATGATCCAATAGAAAAAGAGAGAGAGAAAAAGCAACCAGAATAAATACTGCAGCACTTTTTTAACCCCAACCTTAGAAATGGCATAGCATCATGATTGCCATAGCCTGGTGTGATATGGGAGGAGAGTATAGGAAAGGGTGAATACCAGGAGGTGGGGATACTTGTAAGCAACTAGCATTTATATAACATCTCTCAAGTTATAAAGTGCTTTTCACAAATAAAACAACTCTAATGAAGCAAGAAACCAGACAGTCGAAATTACCCGCCTACGGCCACAGTTATCAACAGTATATACTCAAAATGACTCAAAAGTGTTATTTTCCATTACATTCTTTATATCTTCTTGGTTCTCTTAGTTGATCAGGATATACTGTCTTCTATTTTGACACTAAGTAGCTTCATCTTGATTAAGTTCTAATAGTTAAGGTATTAATTTTCATTTAAAATAAAATACAGTGCTTAATTATGATGGCAGAAAGTTAATTTAAATAAATTATAACAATAAGAATAAAATATTTTATTTTAGAATGGCATATTTAAAAAATAAACCCTCCACTAACATAATATTGGGCTTTATTCCAAATCCCACTTTCTAGAAATTTAATTTACACTTTTCTGAAAATAAATATAAAAACCAGTGGAAATGAGGTGTTACCTGATTTTCTATCTGTAAAGATGCAATTATAACTTTGAATCAACTATACTACCGTACTATACAGACTTGAACTAGCTAGTGGTGGTGGGTAATGAACTATGCTCCTGTGTTATTCCAAGTAAACAGCCAACTTTAAGCAATTTTTTTAAAAAACAGCTGATTTCAGGATAAGTATTAAACAACAGTACCTTACTTCATCACTTCCATATGACTGACTTGTAGTCAGCGTTACTGAAGAACTAAAGCTTAATTGTCAGTTAATTGACACATTATTGTACATGTTTCTATATGTGATTTAAAAAATCCTAACTCATTTTAGATGCAAAGAAACCAGCACATAGTCTCATGCCTTGCAGGGAGTGTTTGAAAACAAAAATGAAGATAAACAATGTCTTATCAGAAAACTCAATCTTCTAAATGCGTTAGCTTTAAAAATGTTAAAAACAGATTTAGAGAGGAGAATATTAATGACTTGTCAGCAGAGTTAAAGTGATACTTATAGCTCTTTGCTATATGTATTGAATTTGTGTCTAGTCTAATTTTTTTCTTAGAGTAATAACCAGAAACTGAGCTCTCATGAACACTGAACATGGAAGATCACAGATCAGGCAAGATTGTGGTGTGTGTATGTGTGCACACACACCCATGTACATTTCTACCTTATATACAGGATCATTGGTGTGGGCTTTCTCTACGTCTAATCCAAATAAGCTTTTTGCAGGGTTAAACTGATCTGAATACTTCTTTGTGAAAGTAACTTTAAAGAGGTAATAGTGTATGGCGATTATTTGGGCAATTTAGCCCATAATGGCTACAAGTGGGTTATGTTCCTTAATTGCTTTGAATATTACATCTTGAAGACAGCAGTGTTTTCACTTTTACAAGTTATCTTAGAAAGTCTGAGATGCAGTATACTTAGCTCTTCCCAACTGTAACCTCTCTCATTGTGCCTTTGAGAAATGAAGCTCAGATTGAGTGTCCTTACCCAACAAATCAAGAAGTAGAACTTGTTCCCTTGTTCTTATTTTGGGAATTTTAATCCTATATCATACCACTTTCATCTCCAGATACAACAGCCTTGGCAGTATCTAGAGGAGTGTTTCCATACCTCAATCATCTGTGGATCCCATTCATGGTTGAACAGTACCTGTATTTTACCTAGTATTCCTGTGTGAGTTTTGCCACACCTGAGTAACCTTTGGGTCAGTATTTTAAAAATAAATTAGTTTTAGTGAAATAAATTTATTTTAAATCAAATATCTAATTCTTATAAAATTACTGTTTTTCATAAATGGAAGATGCCCATAAAAATCTCCTGTAAACAAAATCTGGGTTTTTGTCTGCACTCCTATGCTTATTGCAGCACTACTTACAATAGCTAAGATTTGGAAGCAACCTAATTGTCCATCAACAGATGAATGGATGAAGAAAATGTGGTACACATACACAGTGGAGTACTATCTAGCCATTGAAAAGAATGAGATCCAGTCATTTGTAACATCAATAATGAAACAGAGATCATTATGTTAAGTGAAATAAACAAGGCAGAGAAAGACAAATATTGCATATTCTCATTTATTTGTGGGATCTACAAATCAAATCAATTGAACTCATGGATATAGAGAGTAGAATGTCGGTTACCAGAGGCTGGAAGGGAGAAGTTGTGGGGGAGGTGAGGATGATTAATGGGTGCAAAAAATAATTAGAAAGAATGAATAAGACCTACTATTTGATAGCACAATAGAGTGATTATAGTCAACAATAACTTAATCATATATTTTTAAATAATTTAAAGAATGTAGCTGGATTGTTTGTAACTCAAAGGATAAATGCTTGAGGGGATGGACACCCCATTCTCCATGATGTGCTTATTTCACATTGCATGCCTGTATCAAAATATCTTATGTATCTTATAAATGTATACACTTACTATGTACTCACCAATTTTTTTATTAAAAGAAAAGAAACACCATCAAAAAATAATCTGGGCATTTTCTAAAAATTTCAATTTACCACCTTGCCTTGCTGAAGGTTGAGTTTCATATGTTTTCTCTTATGAAAAGTAGAGAGTCACATGTTTTAGGGTGTTGATACGGACATATGTGTAGTAACTTGAGGATGTCCATTGAGGCCATCAAAAGCCTGAAAGAAAACATGAAAGGGACTGCTTCCATATTACATGATCCAACTACTTTTCAATGCCAAGTTTCAGTGTCATGTAAAATCAGCTTACTTCTACCAATATATGTATCATATACCTGGAGGACTTGTGATCTAGTCTCTAGCAGAAAGAGAATGGGATTTTAGCCCAAGAACAGGGTCCTAGCTTGAGCACGACCACTAAGCTGTTCAGTAAATCTGGTCTGACAACAATTATATACTGAGAAAACCATATGGAGCATAAAGAAACGCAATAAACTTGGTCTCCTTAGGTCTCAGGTTTCTCTGAAAAATGATGGGACTAGGGTGGAGCGTCACTGTGTCCCTTTCTAGAGTATGACTGCCTTCACCAGCTGTTTTTATTATCAACATTTTTGAAACTTTTACATTTTACTTCCCACAGTCAGAGAACTTCTAAAGCCCCAAAGGACTGCCACCTCACGTTTAACAAAGATAAATTAGAAAATATGAAATGAATGCTATCATCTTCCTAACATGATAACCTCAATATAAACTTAAGAGTGACATTTCCAAAGTCAAATCATAATCTGGATAAGTTGTCCTCAAGTCTTGTCAAAAGACGACTCTTCCCTTGGAAATCCTAGTGAAGGTACCCAATTGCCTCTCCATTCTTGTTAAAGAATGATTATTTTTAGATGAACAGGAGATCCTACTTTCCTCCCATTGCAGCAGAGATATTTCACACTTTTTCAACTAGTCCAAATTCAAAATGGTTATTCCTTAAAGATTCTGTCACCAGAAATATACTCATTCAAGGAACTTTGTACTCTGTCATATGTGAATAAATCAGCTTCATGTTCCAGGTCTATTTTATGCTATGTAACTTTTTTGTAGACAACATTAATGAGATTTTAGTCTATCCTGTTATTCCTATATTGGAGTGTTTTGTGTTTTGACTTACTTATCATAGCTTGTATTTACAAAGATGGGACTCAGTAAAGTTGGAAAATATATGTTATGAAGCAAATTTATATAACTGGACATAACCCATGAAATACTGAGTATGTCTTTAAATATATCAGATAAAATTACATAATTAATACTGCAATCACATTTTATGAAATAAAGGTTTTTTAAAGGAAAGAGCAAAAATATCTCTAAGAGTTATAACTGAGATTGTCTTTTTCATCCATCAATCTTCTAAAGTATATGTTCCAGAAAAAAAAAAAAAACATGGTGCACTAAATCTTAGCAAAGATAATGGATTTCTACAGAAGTACCTTAAGATCAGAGATATAGATTATGAAAGCAGTCCATTAAAAAAACAGAAATGCCAAGTTAGACATTTTGGCTTTTACAAATAAATGTGAATTACATAAGTTAAAATCCAGATTCTGAGTCCCTCAGACCACTTAGGGATTACTGACAGTCTTCTTTTGAGTTCTTATTTTCAATATTACACATCCAAAGGCTTAACTTGTAAAAGGCATCTGGCCTGATTCACTTGAAGAATTCTATTTTAATTCAAAGGGTATATAATTAGAATACTAGTATTCTAGCACTTCAAGATATTTTTAAAGTTGTTTGAAAACTGCTATATTATCACAGAAGGTTCCTCACTGGCACAGAAAATGGAAAAGTTGCTCAATGTGTTCAGGATGCTCTTGAAGCTACCTCTTTATTGCTTTCCTCTCTTCATTTCCAGGCCATCAGTACCTCTTGAATCTACCATCACTGCCAGTTCCCTGCAGCCATCTGCTGCCAATAGGGTTTCCTAAAGCATTGCTGCAATGGTGGAGCCTCTCCACTCAAAGGCCTGTAGGGCATCCTGTTCCACTGGTATGCATGCCAATGCCATGACCCCTCCCTGATCCATATTTCCAATCATTTCTTTCACTCTGCCATATCAGCAATGCTTTCTAACTCCCACTGCAGCCTCCACTGCTACCACCCTAGTCACAGCCACCACTCTTCCCACTGTTGGTATTCTTTTGTTTTTTGAGATGGAGTCTCACTCTGTCACCCAGGCTGGAGTGCAGCGGCACGATGTTGGCTCACTGCAACCTCCTCCTCCTGAGTTCAAGTGATTCTTGTGTCTCAGCTTCCCAAGAAGCTGGGACTACAGCCATGAGTCACCACACCTGGCTAATTATTTTGTATTTTTAGTAGAGACGGGGTTTCGCCATGTTGACCAGCCTGGTCTTGAACTCCTGACCTCAGGTGATCTGCCTGCCTCGGCGTCCCAAAGTGCTGGGACTACAGGCGTGAGCCACTGCGCCTGGCCCCACTGTTTCTATTCTTGACCCTCCATAGTATGGGCCAGAGAACTTACTCTGTGAAGGGTCAGATGGTAAGTATTGCAGGCTTTGTGGGCCAGACAGTTTCTGTTACAACTACTCAACACTACCATTATAATGCAAAAGAAGCCATAGGCAATATATACATGAATGAGCATGGCCATGTTTCATGCAAACTTTATCATTAGACATTACATTTCAGTTTTATATAATTTCCAAGTGTCATAAAATCTTCTTTTGATTTTTTTTTTTTTTTTTTGGTTTCCATCATTTAACAATGCAGAGGCAATTCTTAGTTAATGGACCATGCAAAAAAACAGCCAATAGACTGGATATAGCCCACAGCCAGTAGTTTGCTGACCTCTGCTCTACAACTTAATTGTAACTGCTGTGTTTAGAATGCTGCAGTGGTTCCCCATTCCACTCACGACATGTGCTTAGGTCCTCACCATGGCCTAAAAGGCCTCATATAATCTGTTTCCCTTTGCCTTTCTTCTGTCTTCTCCATTTACTCCCTGGTTTTCCTCTGTTTCAGCAAACTGACATGCTTTCTGCTTCTTGAACACATGGAACACAGCCTGCCTTGTGACTTCTGCACTGGCTGGCCTGTCTGCCTGAAATTTGTGTTCCCAGATATTTCTATGTTTCTCTTGCTTGCTTCAAGATTTTGACCAAATGCCATTCTCTGATAGTCTATCTTGACTACTCTATTTAAATTTCAACCACACTGTTATGGACGGAATTGTGCCTCCCCATCCCAAACTTGTTTGTTGAAGTCCTAACTCCCAGTACCTCGGAACGTGACTGTACTTAGAGATAAGATCTTTAAAGGAGTGATTCAGTTAAAATGAGGCCTCTAGGATGGGCCCTAATCCAATCTGACCAATTTCCTTATAAGAAGAGAAAATTTAGGCACACAGGGAGATACCAGGAGCACACAAGCACACAGCATAGATGGCATGAAGACATAGTGACAAGGTGGCCATCTGCAAGCCAAGGAGAAAGGACTCAGAAAAAAATCCAACCTGCTCATACCCTGACTTTGGACTTCTAGCCTCAATTGCTGTGAGAAAACAAATTTCTGTTGTTTAGGCTACGTAGTCTGTGATATTTTATAGTGATGGCCCCGTTAAACAAATGCACACTCTAACCTCCACAGTCTTCCCAAACCGACTTATCCTATTGTATATTTACCCAGAGTATTTATCATCTACTGACATGCATTTTAATTTACTGGCTTAGTATGTGTATTATCTGACTCCCCACTACATGAGGCTAAGATCTTTTGTTTATGGATGTATCCAAAGTTTGCAGAAGAGGACCTAGCAAAGGATAGGTACTTAATGAATACCTGTTGGATAATTGAATCCTAGCAATGCATTCATCTCTTATATCCCCTGCCTTTGTTTCTTGGCTCTTCCTGAGGTCCAATCCCCAACTCCACACCCATGGCCAGTGAAACCCACCTCAAATATTAACAATGCTAAGAATGTATCTCTTGCCACCAACACTCTGTGCTCTTTCTCTTTGGAGTCTAGTAATACACTATCTGTTTTTCTCTTGTGGTGCTTAATACATTCAAGCCTGTATTGAATTTTCTATATATACGCATATCTCAGAGATATTGCAGGTTCCATTATAGAACACAGCAATAAAGTGAATATCACATTAAAGTGAGTCATACAAATTTCTTGGCTTCCCAGTGCACGTAAAAGTTTTGTTTACACTGTACTGTAGTCTATGAAGTGTGTTATTGCATTATGTCTAAAAAATGGACATACCTTAAATTAAAATACTCTATTGCTAAAAAATGCTAACTATCATCTGAGCCTTCAGTGAGAAGTAATTTTTTGCTCATGGAGGGTCTTGCCTCTATGCTGACAAATGCTGACTGATCAGGACGGTGGCTGCTGAAGTTTGAGGTGTCTAGTGTAATTCTTAAATAAGACAACAATGAAGTTTGTCATATTGATTGACTCTTTCATCAAGGACTTAACTGAAGCATCTGATGCTGTTTGATAACATTTTACCCACAAGATAACTTTTTTCAAAATTAAAGTCAATCCTCTCAAACACTACTGCTGTTTATTGACTAAGTTTATGTAACAGTCTAAATTCTTTGTTGTCATTCCAGCATTGTTCACAGCATCTTCATGAGGAGTAGACTCCTTTCAAGAAACCACTTTCTTTACTCACCCATAAGAAGCAACTCTTCATCCATTTAAGTTTGTTCTTTAGATGGCAGCAATTCAGTCACATCTCCATGATCCATTTCTAATCCTCGTTTTCTTGCTATTTCCATCACATCTCCAGCAACTTCCTCCACTGAAGGCTTGAACCTCTCAAAGTCACCCATGAATGTTAGAATGAACTTCTCCCAAATGTTGATGTTTTGACTTCCTGTCATGAATCATGAATGTTCTTAATGGCATCTAGAATGGTGAAACCTTTCCAGAAGGTTTTCAATTTACTTTTCCCAGATCATCAGAGGAATCACTATCTATGACAGTTATAGCCTTATGAAAAGTGCTTCTTCAGTAATAAGACTTGGAAGTCAAAATTACTGTTTGATCCATGGGCTGCAGAATGGATGTTGTGTTAGCAGGCATGAAAATAACATTAATCTCTTTGTCTATCTCCATCAGAGCTCTTGAATGACTAGGCGCATTGTCAATGAGCAGTAACATTTTGAAAGTAATCATTTTTTCTAAGCAGTAGGTGTCAACACTGGGCTTAAAATATACAGTAAACCATGATATAAACAGACATGATGTCATCCAGGTTTGGTTGTTCCATTATTGAGCAGAGACAGAGTAGATTTAGCATAATTATTAAGGGCCCTGGGATTTTTACAATGATAAAGAAGCATTTGCTGCAACTTAAAGTCATAAGCTGCATTAGTCCCTAAAAAGAGAGTCAGTCTCCCCTTTGAAGCTTTGGAGCCAGGCATTGAATTCTTCTCTCTACTTATAAATGTCCTAGATGGCATCTTCTTCCAATATAAATCTTTTTCTTTATTTTTATTTTTTGATACAGGGTCTTACTTTGTCACCCAGGTGGGGTGCAGTGGCATGATCATAGCTCCCTGCAGCCTTGATCTCCCTAGCTCATGCAACCCTCCCACCTCAGCCTCCTAAGGAGCTGGGACTACGTACAGTCTCGAGTAGCTGGGACAACGTGCGTGCACCACCATGCCAGGCTAATTTTAATTTTTTTTTTTTTTTTAAAGACAAGGCCTCACTATGTTGATCAGGCTGGTCTCAAATTCCTGGGCTCAAGTATTCCTCCTGCCTTGGCCTCCCAAAGTGTTGGGATTACAGGCATGAGCCACCGTGCCCAGCCAGGGGCTTCTTCATCTACACTGAAAATTTGGTTTTCAGAGGAACAACATTTATCAATGATCTTAGCTGGATCTTCTGAATAAGCTGCTGCGGCTTCTACATCGGCACTTGCTCTTTAACCTTGCACTTTTGTGGTATGGATATGGCTTCTTCATGAACCAACCTCTGCTAGCTTCAAACTTTCTTCTGCAGCTTCCCTATTTCTCTCAGCATTCATAGAATTGAAGAGAGTTAGAGCCTGTATTAGACCATTCTTGCATTGCTGTAAAGAAATACCTGAGACTGGATAAATTACAAAGAAAAAAGGTTTCATTGGCTCACCGTTCTGCAGGCTGTACAGGAAGCACAGCAGCATCTGCTTCTGGGGAGGCCTCAGAAAGCTTCCACTCATGGCAGAAGGCAAAGGGAGCAGACACATGACAGAGCAAAAGCAGAAGTAAGAGAGAGTGAGGGAGGGGAATGCCACACTTTTTTTTTTATTTTTATTTATTTATTTTTTTTGAGACAGAGCCTCACTCTTTCACCCAGGCTGAAGTGTAGTGGTACGGCCTTGGCTCATCACAACCTCTGCCTCTTGGGTTCAAGTGATTCACCTACCTCAGCTTACTGAGTGTCTGGGATTATAGGCATGCACTATCATGCCCAGCTAATTTTTTTTGTAATTTTAGTAGAGACAGGGTTTCACCATGTTAGCCAGGCTGGTCTCGAACTCCTGACCTCAAGTGATTATGTCCATGTCAGCCTTCCAAAGCGCTGAGATTACCTGCGTGAGCCACCACGCCCAGCCAATGCCATACACTTTCAAATGACCAGCTATTGCAAAAACCCACACACTATTGTGAGAACAGTACCAAGGGGATGGTGCTAACCCATTCCTGAGAAATCCACCCCATAATCCAATTTTCTCCCACCTCCAACACTGGGGATTGTAACTCGACATAAGATTTGGGCAGGGACACATATCCAAACTGTATCAGAGACTTCCTCTGGATTAGGCTTTGGCTTAAGGGGGAGTTGTGGCAGGTTTGATCTTTTACCCGGACCACTAAAACATTCTTTATATCAGCAATAAAGCTGTTTCACTTTCTTACTATTCATGTCTTCACTAGAATAGCAATATTAATTTCCTACTAGAACTTTTCCTTTGCTGTGACAACTTAACTAACAGTTTGACATGAGATTTCAGCTATTTTGGCTTTGGACATGCCCTCCTCATTAAGCTTGATTATTTCTAGCTTTTGATTTAAAAGTGAGAGATGTGTGACTCTTCCTTTCCCTTGAACACTTAGAGGCCATTAAAAAGTTATTAATTGAACTAATTGTAATACTGTTGTATCTCAGGAAATAGGGAGGCCCAAGGAGAAGAAAAGACATGGGGAATAGCTGGTCAGTGTAGCAGTCAGAACACACACAACATTTATTGATTACGTTCACTGTCTCATATAGGTATGGTTGGTGGCACTCCAAAACACTTACGATAGTAACCTCAAAGATCATCATAAAAGATATAATGATAATGAAAAACTATGAAATATTGCAACGATCATAATGTGACTCAGAAACATGAAGTGAACATGTGTTTTTGGAAGAATGGCGCTGATAGTATTGCAAAAGGCAGGGTTGCCATGAAACTTCAATTTGTAAAAAATGCAGTATCTGAGAAGTGCAATAAAGCAAAGAACAATACGATGAGGCATGCCTGTATGTTTTATATTCTCCACTAAATGTCAAGCTCCTTTATGGTGCAGCTATTGCCTCATGCATCTTAAAATCCCTTACCATACCTTCTGAATGTGCCACACATATTAAAGACACAACAGACCTTAGCTGAAATTAGGAAAATTATTACAATAAAAACACTTGTTACTGAACAATTACACATTGTGTCAGGCTCTATTTTAAGTCTTCATGTCACTTGCCTTTACTAACAAAAATCTCATGAAGGTCGGACTATCATTATCTCAAATTTATTGATAAGGTCACTGAACCTAACATAAGTAACTTGCCCGAGATCATACGACTAATGATTGGTGAAGCCAGATTTTTTTTTTTTTTTTTTTTTTTTTTTTTTTTTTTTTTTGAGACAGAGTCTCACTCTGTCACCCAGGGCTGGAGTGCAGTGGCATGGTCTCAGCTCACTGCAAGCTCCACCTCCCGGGTTCACGCCATTCTCCTGCCTCAGCCTCCCAAATAGCTGGGACTACAGGCGCCCGCCACCACGCCTGGCTAATTTTTTGTATCTTTTAGTAGAGATGAGGTGGTGAAGCCAGATTTTAAGCACAGACCTATTGTTCTACAGATATCAGATATCAGGATCTATAGTATACTGTCTTGCCAGTTAAAAAACAATGCTTACTTTAAAGAAGATCATGTCGTTTGTGGGAACACAGATGAAGCTGGAGGTCATTATCCTTAGCAAACTAACGCAGGAACAGAAAACCAAATACCTGTGGTGCATACACATTGTCCCAGTTACTCGAGACTGTACGTGTTCTCACTTCTAAGTGGGAGCTAAATGATAAGAATTCATGAACACGAAGAGGGGAACAACAGATACTGGGGCCTGCTTGAGGGAGGAGGGTGGGAGGAGGGAGAGGAGCAGAAAAAATAACTATTGGGTACTAGGTTTACTATCTGGCTGCTGAAATTCCATAAAACAAACCCTAGTGACACTAGTTTACTTATATAACACATGTACCTCCAAACCTAAAATAAAAGTTAAAAAAAATAAATCTGTAAAGCACATAAAAAATGCTTACTTTAAAATAAAAATACTGCTATCATGTTAAATGAAATAAAAGGAAGCAGCATGTACCTGAATTCTTATGCGTTTTAGAAGCTGGAATGGACTGATTTCACATTTCCCATGACTACTTTTCTTATTCTAAATTCTGAGAGGGTAGTCTTTGTGCATTGGTCAAATTGATATACCTACTGAAATTTTAAAATTCATATTTCATAATAAAATTCTTCTCTACATCTTATTTCACTGGTAATACTTGAAGATTTAAAACATAAAATAATAAAATGTATTAAATATGGTTGTCTTTCCTAAAACTAGGACTTTAACATCTACGCAAATCTGTTATGCTTTTATAATATTTCATAAATAATTTAAAGAATGAGTAGGTTGTTAATATTGGCTTGTGAAGTAACTAATTTCTACATGTTATTGTAGTTTAAAAATTTTTTTACTATACTTTATATCCTAGGAAAAAGCCAAGATTAATAGTTAATCTTATTTTTGGTGAAAAAAACAAACTTTTTAAAATTATTATTATACTTTAAGTTCTAGGGTACATGTGCACAACGTGCAGGTTTGTTACATATGTATACATGTGCCATGTTGGTGTGCTGCACCCATTAACTCGTCATTTACATTAGGTATATCTGCTAATGCTATCCCTCCCCTCTCCCCCGACCCCATGACAGGCCCCAGTGTGTGATGTTCCCCACCCTGTGTCCACTATGTTCTCACTCATAGGTGGGAATTGAACAATAAAAACAAACTTAATTACAAATTTTTTGAAAATTAAGGAGTTTAGACTCAAAAAGTGTTAGCAAGAATACATATTGCACATATTTGTATAATATACAAGTCATCTGACATTTTTGGGTAGGAAATATCTTTTGGTAGGAGAGTAATAAAGCATAATTAAGTAAAACCCTTTAAGTATATTAATGTATAATTTTATCATTTATGAAGGAAGTCTTTGAGTCATATGTTCTACCTAATTTTGAACATTTTAAAATCAATAGAAAGTGAACACATTTTAACATTTTCTAAGGAATTTAAAATAATTGCATAATGTTTTACATAATACACTACACCGATTTATAAGTATCTGAAACAGGACTTAGTGCTGTTTGAATGAGTACTGATTCCAGCCACTGTCCTTACAAATGCTGGCTTGTAAAAGTACTCAGCAGAACCTTGAATTGGGATCACTTTATTTTTCCAATGAGGAAACTGATATCATGGGGGGAATATAAACTTGTCCAAGGTCACCTGCTAAGACGTGATGGTGCAAAGATAAAAGTTCAAGTCATTTTCTTTGCCAGGTCTAAGTGTTTCTACCCCACCAAGCCACCACCTGAGGCACTTGTCACAATGTAAGGTTGTGAGAGCAATGTGCTTGTGGAATGGGAGAGTAATAATCAGTACGTGGACCAATTAGCTGTTATGACCTTAGTAAAATCACTTGAATAACTCAGGTCCAGTTGTCTCTTCCGAAAATAAAGAAAGGAGACCAAATGATTTTTAAGATCCATTGAGATGTAACGTGTCTATGATCCAAGAATATATTCTGACACAAAAAATTCGTTTATATGAGTGACATGATAAACACAATGTTGTCTATATTGTTGCCATTGTGTTAAGGACTTGTACCACTTTGAGTGCAAACAAGTTTCTCAACCTTCTAAGTTCAGGGATTGTGCTTTTACTTGAAGATAGGCTAGGAGGGCATCATTGGAAGGAACATTTGCATGTATTTGGGAACATACCCAGCACTTGGCTGTATAGTTTCCCTTGGGGGAATTCAGTAGACACAGCATAAAACTGATCTTTAAAGTTCTAAAAGCTTTTTATAGAACTGGCTTCCTAGTTCTTTAAAGCCTTTTGACTTTTGTTTGGCTCAGGGAATTACAAGATGATTAGGAAATTCTTTTTGTATCTCCCATCATAAAACAGGCTCTATGTATCTTAACATGTTATAGAACAGGAATGTGACTGATTTGGTAGGCATTAAGTCTCTTATCCTAATCTGGTGGTCTTGAAAAATAAAAATCTTCCCATTGTAGAGGTAATAATATTGAGCTCGGAAGATTTACTACTTTCTCCAGGAGAAGAAAACTGCAGCTAGAGAACAGATCAACTTAAAGCCTGGTAATACTTTACTCAAAGCATGGTAATATGTTTTTTTGTGTGTGTAAAATCTCTAAAATGATAGTACAGCCAAGGCGGTATCTGTTTCCAGTAATTTTACCGTATTTGAAGATGGGAAGAACCTATAAATTTCTAATATTAATTTATTAGTTTATCTTATAGAGATATAACTATGTATTTTTTATTTTAAAAACATTAAAATTCAACTATTATACATATACTATGTTCCCCGTAGAAAAATGAGAAAATACAAATACATTGACATTTATACATAAATCAACCATAAGATGTATGACTTTTTAAATAAATGAGCAAATATACAGGACCTACCCCATTTAAAAATGTGTACAGTTAGAGAGAATTCACACTTCCAAAGCTCTCAATCATCTATAACCATTTTTTATGATTGGAAGAAGTACCAGGTAGAGATAGAACAGAACCATAACACAGATTAGAATGAGCAGCTGAAGTAGCCAAGATCAGAAGTGATTAGGTCAAATGGTATTTCTAGTATCCCATTACTGGGTATATACCCAAATGACTATAAATCATGCTGCTATAAAGACACATGCACACGTATGTTTATTGCGGCATTATTCACAATAGCAAAGACTTGGAACCAACCCAAATGTCCAACAATGATAGACTGGATTAAGAAAATGTGGCACATATACACCATGGAATACTATGCAGCCATAAAAAATGATGAGTTCATGTCGTTTGTAGGGACATGGATGAAATTGGAAATCATCATTCTCAGTAAACTATCGCAAGAACAAAAAACCAAACACCGCATATTCTCACTCATAGGTGGGAATTGAACAATGAGATCACATGGACACAGGAAGGGGAATATCACACTCTGGGGACTGTGGTGGGGTGGGGGGAGGGGGGAGGGATAGCATTGGGAGATATACCTAATGCTAGATGACGCGTTAGTGGGTGCAGCGCACCAGCATGGCACATGTATACATATGTAACTAACCTGCACAATGTGCACATATACCCTAAAACTTAAAGTATAAAAAAAAAAAAAAAAGAAGTGATTAGGAAGTCACAATTCTACCAACCTGGGAAAAGATACGCAAAGAAATAGGCAGGAGATGGTGTAGCTTTGTCCCCTTAAAAGCACTGGTGTTGTTCAATTTTGTAGCACTTCCAATGACTATGTAATGAACATTGACTGTGCACCAGTATGGTCTAGGCACTGGATTACGATAATAAACAACAAAAAACCCATAATTATTTTAAAAAGTTTATATTCCACTTTTACAGACATTTGTAAATATTCTATGTTATTTTAGGTAGTGGTAATTTTTATGGAGAAAACTACAATGCCTCCCAGCTTGTGTGGGACAGTTTGGATTTGTGCCTGTTTTCCTGCTGTGATGATTAAGATTGCCTCTTTTTACTCTCAAAAATGTCCTAGTTTTGGTGACCCTCTCTGTAAAAGAAATTTCAAAACAATGATAATATGAAAATATGTATGGGAGGGGTTCTTTTGGACTGGATGATCAGGAAATGTCTCACTAGGTGATATCTGAGCTGAGAATTAAAGTAATCACACAGCTCTTAAGGGTGAATTTGAATTTGAGAGGGGAAAACTGTGTAGTCAAACAAAGACGTAGTTTAGATTCTGACAAACCTGATTTTATACCTCAGCCCCAGCACACCCTAGGTTTGGTACTTTGGGCTTGGCTCCCTGTGAGATACTCAATAGTATACCTTAAGTCTAATAATGTGATTCAGAAATGAACACATTAAATTACATGGGCAAAGAAACTTATATTTATTTATGATATCCTCTCACAATACCATAAAGAAATAATCTATATTTTAAAGCAACTACTGTGCAGTACACACTGTGTTTGGGTACAGCTGGTTAATTAAGTATTACCGGTTGAGTATCCCTAATCCAAAAATATGAAATCCAAACTGCTCCAAAATCTGAGCCTTTCTGAATGCTCAATGGACACTCAAAGAAAATGCTCAGTGGAGCACTTTGGATTTCAGATTTTCAAATTAGGAATGCTGAACCAGTATATATTCTGCAAATATTCCACAATCCAGAAGAGTCCAAAAACCAAAACACTGCTGATCCAAGCATTTCAATGATGAGATACTGAACCAGGTTTTCTGTCTTTTAGAAGATACTGATCTACCTGAGATAAAACTTGAACACCTGAATCTGTTCAATATACAGGGTTGACTAGTAATTAAATGCTGAACAATATGGGACAGACAACTTGTACTATCAGAGCTCAAAAAGAAAATAAATCAATATACATTACAGAATGAAGCAGGGTTCCAAGGAAAGAAAATAGGATCTGAACAGGTGTTTAATTGATAAAATGCAATATTTCCTACCTGACCACTCAAAAAGCCATGGAAATTTGCTCCAGGCAGACAACAGGACCCTCTGTTGGGCTTGGCCAGTGGTTTCTGCAGCAATCGGGTTGTCTGGACCATTTAGCTTTTTAGCAAAACTTCCTGTTCCTACAAATAATCCCACTAATCCTCTCTCTCCCCAGCTGCTTCCTTGCCTTTCCTGCTTGGCTCCCCTCTCATAAGCCTCTTTCTTTCTAATTTTTTCAGAGGAACATATTTTACAGTCCCGTTGCTTCACCTACCTTGCCCATTGTCCTTGCCTAAAATTGTCCTTGACTGAAATAGTAAGAGATAGTTTTCCTCTGCTTTTTGAAATCTTAGCATATGTTGGTTGGTTGAGTTAACTGCTTCATATTTATTTGCTGTACTGGCAGGTTGACAGGGCAACTGGGAATCATGAAGAAATAGTTCAGCAGAACCACGAGACTCAGCTCTTAACAAGCACTTAATAAATGTTGGTTGAATGAATAAATGGCTATTGTAGTTATTGAAAACTAATACAATTAAAGGCAAGTGAGTTTAAAAATCACAGTCATTTATATAGGTACCTTTCTATTTATTCCTAATTACCAGGAAGCATAATAATGATTAGGTATTTCAATTATTTTTAGTGAAAATTTAATTTGAATAAAACTAATAGAACATCCTATAGATAACAGATCAGTAATAGCGACAAATTTGTTAAACGTGTGCCAGCAACAGAAATAATTGTACAAAGATCCCCATTTTACAGATGCGATGACCCAGCTTAGAGGGGTCATCTAATTGGTCTTCCCAATTGTGAGGTTAGGAATTAAAAGCTGGAATTCCAACACAGCTCTATGCTGTGCTGTTGCCTCTCAGAAAGATGGCTGGGGGTTGAGCAGAGAGAATAGCTCTCCTGGAACACATTTTCAGAATATAAACTTTTTCAGTTATGATGTAATATATTTATATTATTGTCATTAAGACTATGATGAAAAGACATTAGAGGAAGCAAAACAAAGCCTGATAGTTCAGATATGAGATAAGTAAAGAAGGGTGTCAAATGACGAAATGCTTTTTATGATGATATAGAACGATGAAATGCTCCCTTATGCCAAACCTTGGCACAGTACTTCTATGCCCACCCTGGCCACTGATTCAGTCCTACTCTCATATTTGTTCTTCCTGAAGTTGGAAAATAATGATTCACTGGCCATCCTCAGACATTATTACATGTTGATCTACTGCAGGGTTTTATTCACCCTCCTTTAAAAACATAAAGTGAACATTAGCCCCAAATAAAGAACACCTTGAGACATCCTGATGTCACTGCTATATCTCTATTAGGAAGGAGAAATAAATAACGTTAAGCATAGAGCCATATTTTGTAGGGACTTGCTAAAAACTGATTTGTTGGTAAAACTAGTTTATATTGCAAATATACATATATATGTATATATATACATATATTATATATATATTTTATATTATATATATATATATACACACACACATACGTAAATATACACATCAACGATGATCTCTGTCATGGTCAGTTGGACTTTTCTTCCACAGTTAAGGGAAGCTCCTCAGATCTTACCTTCCCAAGCCCACAAATGTATCCCAATACTGGAAAAACAGTGTTGGAAAGAAAATAAACTTCATCCAAGAAAAGATGTTGATATGGTTTGGATGTTTTGTCCCCTCCAAATCTCATGTTGAAATGTGATCCCAGTGTTGGAGGTGGTGGCTAGTGGGAGTTGTTTGGATCATGGGGCTAGATCCCTCATGAATGGCTTGGTGCCCTCCCCAGTGTAATGAGTTACTGACAGATCTGATTGTTAAAAAGAATCTGGGACCTCCTCTCCTCTTGCTTCCTGTCTTGCCATGTGACACATCTGCTCGCCTTTCACTTTCCACCATGATTGTAAGCTTCCTGAGGCCTCACCAGAAGCCAAGAAGATACTGGTGCAATACTTGTACAGCCTGCAGAACCGTATGTCAAGTAAATATTTTTTCTTTATAAATTACCCAGCCTCAGGTATTCCTTTACAGCAATGCAAAACAGAGTAACACAGCCATCAATGTGCCTAACAAACACAAACCATAGCCGTATCTCACTGAGTTGTAATAACATCTTCCCATAATAACAAACATCACATTATTTTCAAATATCATTTAATTTAGCTGATTATAATGACATTCTCTCAGAATACAGAGTCAGTTTGTTTGAATGTATAGGTTTACTTTACTTCTGGAATGTAAAAAAACATACAGAGAAATATTTGAGAGAAGTTTTACTGTCAAAGTAAAAGATAAACAATGATAGCAAACGATGTGGTAGAATGATAGGAACCTCTGCATGACCCACAGATATGATTAGCTTGCTCATGCCACTTTCAATATCTTTTGAGGGGAAGCAACATGACCACTGTGAGTAATTTTAAATAAAAAAGCCCAGTCAGTGGTAATACCAGTGGTGAGTGAATATAAAATAATCAATACTGCTATGAACATATTTCTCCTGCTTAGAGTAGCTTTCCCGCAGGTTCCTAGGATGGGGTCAGACAATGGAAGCAGTAGCAGAAACTCTGAAAGTAGGAGGAAAATGAGACCAGCATTTTTTTCTTCCCTGAGCTTTCTTCCTAACAGGCCTCTGTGGGTAGGCTATATTCCTGTACTCAAGGCCACCACTCTGTCTGGAAGCTTTCTAGACACAGGTTTCCTCTCCAGGCTCTGGAAATGGTTCCTATCTCTTGCCTCTTCAATAGTTTACTGTTACCAGCTGGAGCATACACATTACCCCTTATTGCTCCAATATAGAGTCACTTTATCAAATTCTTTTCTGGAGTGTAAGATCTCATTCCTGCCAGAAACAGAACTGATACAGATCACAATCGATGTATAATATCCTCGGTAGTCTTTGTCTTGTATTGTGAAACTTAAACGTTTCTTTAAGTACTTAAACGAGGCACTGATGTGTAAGTGCTGAAGTTTCTGGTAAGAAAGCTCTGATTACCTTTAGCAAGAGGGGCAAACGCAGCTCTTTTTTTTTTTTTTTTTTTTTTTCTTGAGACAGAGTCTCACCCTGTTGCCCAGGCTGGAGTGCAATGGCGCCATCTTGGCCACTGCAACCTCCGCTTCCAGAATTCAAGTGATTCTCCTGCTTCAGCCTCCTGAGTAGCTGGGACTACAGGCACCCGCCACCATGCGCAGCTAACTTCTTGTATCTTTAGTAGAGATGGGGTTTCACCACATTGGTCAGGCTAGCCTCAAACTCCTGACCTGGTGATCCACCCACCTCAGCCTCCCAAAGTGCCGGGATTACAGGCGTGATCCACCGCACCAGGCCAAATGCAACTCTTTCTATGAACATGAGCTCCTCCCTTTAGACCTCGTGAAACATGTTGATTAATTTAGCCAACCAGTCAACAAGTGAGTTTTAAGAGTTTACCACGTCTAAGACTGTGAGATCAGACCACTTACTACTTTAAAGTTATGACAATGATAAAAACAGTCTTCTTTGGGAAAGAGGCTTTAACCCTGCAAGCTTACCTACTATGCTAATTATAGGAAAAAGAACATAATTTGCAATGTAATAAAACATTAACATGCAAATTTCTTTCTGAAATTAAAGAAGGCAACCAGTAATCTGTATATATAAGTGTTTTGTTTGTTTAAATCAGAGATCATGTAATCAGATTTGGCAGAAATGGCAGATTATAAGAAGATTAAGCAAGACCATGAATTCCCCACAAACGTCCCTTTAATCCTGATTATAAAGTTAAACAGGACAAAATAATTATCCTGATAAAGTTGAAAATGTAAACTCTGTTGGGAAAAGTAACACAGTGCCATAAATTCATTGGCAGTCAAGTGTAAACATCATTTTTCTTTGCTTTCTTTTAGCTTCAGAATAGGTTTCAATGGAAGAAAGAGCAAAAGAAAACAGTGTAACATGGTGGTATTTTATATGCATTTGAATAATAAAAATTTTACATGATGCTTTAAGAAATATAATCTTGTTTTATCAGCAAAATTTGAAAGAATAGATTAAAAAGTTGAAAAAAAATAAATCAGCAATAGCATAATTTCAGAGCATGCGGGCCAAGAGAATATAAACTGTGTATTTGACTGCCACATGTCAGGGCCACTTGAACTGGGAAATAGAAAATCCTGTCATTTTTTTTTTTTTTTTTTTTTTTGCCAAGATTCAACTTGAATTTTGCTAGTGTTTATTTATGTGAGGTCTTTAGGGGTACTTCCTTTGTGTGAGATGTGTCTGCCCTATGTGTAAATGTGGCTGGGCTGGGGGATGAGAGAGTACATAGGAGAGAGAGGTTGGAAATATGATTCTGTGTTCTATCATCTCCAGGGAGAAAGAAGAGAACAGAAAATGGAAGGGCACACAGCCAGAAACAAACTTTGTTCAAGTCTCCGATTTTGCTTAGGATCACCTCTTCCAGACAGAGTGGTGGCCTTGAGTACAGGAATATAGCCTACCCACAGAGGCCTGTTAGGAAGAAAGCTCAGGGAAGAAAAAAATGCTGGTCTCATTTTCCTCCTACTTTCAGAGTTTCTGCTTCTCTTCAGACTTCAAAAATGTAGTATAAAAAATATTTAAAATATTTAAGGCTGGGCACGGTGGCTCATGCCTATAATCCCAGCACTTTGGGAGGCTGAGGTGGGTGGATCACTTGAGGTCAGGAGTTCAAGACCAGCCTGGCCAACATGGCGAAACCTCGTCTCTAGTAAAAATACAAAAATTAGCAGAGCTTGGTGGAGAGCGCCTGTAATCCCAGCTACTCGGGAGGCTGAGGCAGAGAGAATTGATTAAAACCCAGGAGGTGGAGGTTGCAGTGAGCTGAGATCGCACCACTGCACTCCAGCCTGGGTGATAGAGCAAGACTCCGTCTCAAAAATAAATAAATAAATAAATAAGTCTTTATATGACTAGCCTGTGGTGGCTTGACCCACAATAACTTCAGTGATGTCAATTTTAAGGCTGGAAACCACTCAAAGAAAACTTGTGAAACAAATGGACAAATGTGCATCATCTCTCCCTCTCATCCGTTAATCTAAAGCTCTCTACTTGATGGAATGATGAATTCTTACCTCCTGCTTTTAATAATATAATTTCACAAAATTTGAAATACTTTAACACACTAGTTAAACAATTCAGTGTTTCACAGAATTTTTGGGTTTAAATTGCTTTTGCTTCCCTTAGGTGGAGAATTGAACTTGGACATGCCTATAACTTTCAGACCTGAAGCCTGAAACAGAGCTCCAGGCAATATTCACCTCACACGTATATTTGGGGAATTCTTGATAATGGAAAAATGTGTTCAGGTCTTGATTTTTCAAGAAAACAATGTACAGAATATTGAAAAATGTCAAAACAACCTTCAAATAAGTACCCTAAAACATGACAATATTAAATTTCACACATAAAGAAGAAACAGTTCAAAACATGATATCTGCAATAACATTCATCCTTCTCAATGGGGCAGCATTCATATGATAGGGTGTTGTATGGGTTCCTATCATACACAAATAGAAGTGTCGTATTCTTGGAGCAATCCTAAGACCTATCTCCATTTATTTAGGTGTACAAGAATATATTGGGTAGCATGAGCCCCATCTAGAATTGAATATGATATGGTACATCAAGAGGCAGATCTCAAGCTGAGAAGAAAATAGGAAAATTGATCCTACAGTGAACTGAGGCCATTAACTTGTAATATTTGCATATGGATTTCTGTGATTTGCTATACATAACAAATAAACTTTTAAAAAGCATATGTTTTTATGATAAATACAGACATTATATATGTTTGTAAAATACACTCTTTGAGAAGTGATCTGCCATGATAAAAAATATGTAGGAAGTTTCAGGGAAAATAGATGTATCTTATTTTAGCTGGACAAATCTTTACTTTTGAATCTGTACTCTCTAAAAAAATTATTTTAGAAATCAAATTAAATTTTTAATTTGTAAGCAATCCTAGACACTGCCACAACTTACATGAAAAGCTCTCACAAAAGGAAATTGCTTTTCTGTAACTTGTGATAACACTAATAAGACAAATTGAAGGAAAGTTTGTATCCACAAAAATTTCTTTGCACTTCCAATATTCTATGTTTGTATAAATGGCCCATTGTGGTATCAAATGAGAAGCAGCTGCCAAAAATAAAATTATATATTTTGGAATTAACTTGTTTTCAAATGTAAAACAAAATCACCGTTTCCTCAGATAACACGATTGACCAAAAAAAAAAAAAAAATAAAAATAAATAAATAAATAAAGGGCTTTTTGGTAAAAAGAAAAAAAATCACCCAAGACATGTTCGTGTTGTTTTAAATTTTTGATAACTACAAAGATACATGCTGATTGCTCAGGATACAATTAGCAGCTGCCTGCATATCCAACCTTAAAGGAAATTTTTTAAGCTAGTTCAACTCTGTTTCCTACTTCTTCATTAATTACTAGCTAAGGGACTTGAAAGTGTCCTAATGAATTTTACATTAGACTCTGTAATATGAATGGTGTATATTATCACAGCATCTAGTAAATGCATAAATTGGCTTTTCCAAGTCGCATTTTGAGTAGTTGTAAAGATTCTGGCTGGATATCACAAAATTTAGTATTAGAGACTGAGCCGAAAAGAATTTTTACAAGAAACAGGTTGCTGCAATCACATTTCTCAGGTCATAAATCTATGTTACTACTTTATGATAATCTGTCGGTCCTTGTTCTCAAAGTTCAAAGATGCTGTGCTTCTTCTTTTTTTTTTTCCTCCTGTGGTTCAAAAAGAAGAAAGCAATCCCACTTACAGTGATTTCCAAATACGCATTGAATAAAGCTTAAAATACTACTGCTATACCAGCTTTCCATAATTTCCATATTATAAAGTACCATCCAGTGATAAAGTACCAACCACAGTGTTTTGGATTTAATACTTATGGTTTACAGTTTCCCAACCACTTACCATTTTCGTAAAATTCTTTGAAATCAAAAGTTTAAGAAAACTATTCAACAAACAGAATGAGCTAGACAGGCAGAAAACTGTACCTAAATCCAGTCAGAAACAGACAGAACCTTAGGATTGCCCTATCAGAGAGGAAAGGACAGACAACCATGGAAACCTCATGGAAAGCTTTCTTTTATAAAATATTTCTCTAATTTCATAGCAAGGTAAAAGATCACCTCTTGCTCATTTTCAAATGTGACATGATACCATAAATGGCACATCATCCTTACTTGAATGTTTAAAGCTAATATGCAGGTAATGTCAAAGTCATAGTGATGGGACTAAACATTTGTAATCTAAAGGTGAAGACTGCGTGAGAAACACCACAGAGCTCCGAGTTGGCAAAAGTCAGATACAGACTCTCAATGATTATTCCTTAAAGAATATCCAAAGTCACCACAATTCACATTACCTAAAGATTAAAATGCGGATATTAACAGGAAATTAACATTAGGATGTTAACAATCCTCTTAATATCTATTAATATTTGATGATGCTCTCTAAAATCATTTGATTGTCAGTTACTCTCTTAAAATGGTTTTCCCTTATTACACTAACATAATTGTATATGCAGTTTAGTTAATTATCGCCAAGACTTTACTTTCTTAGGTAAAATGTTGCTCAAATTCATCTCTCAGCTTTATATCAGCACAAGATCACCTCTTGCTCATTGTCAAATGTGACACGATATCATAAATGGCACATCATCCTTACATCATCCTTACTTACAGTGTGTGAGTTTCTTTACTCTTTTTTTCTCTTTATTTAGATTAAAGAAAACAAATATAGGTCAGTATTTGAAAAATAAAGCTCACAACAGTTCTTTATGACCAGAATCAAAGTGTGTGTCCTGTTAACCAAGATTTGTCTCTCAGAAGTTTGATGATCTGTTAAAAAATATATATATTATCAGTGTCAAGTATTTTAGTCCCACCTGTCACTAATTTAATGACGGCATTGCCTAGGAATTTCATGAGCAACAAAACTGTTGATTTAGCCTCATAATTTTGGAACATATTAAAAATATTTTCTTGCTATCAACACTTAGATTTAAATAGAATTTCTATTTCAATCATGAAAATTTTTAAACATTGAAATCCACTGCAATGAAACAAATATGAAACCTCACATGGACATTTTACTCTTCAGCTGTTTTCATATTTTGCTCACATTTTGCAAGGAACCCAGAGATCCAAAAGAAATATCCTTAACTCTTTCCCGGCCAAGCCCTATGATCAAACACATGGGAAATAATCTATGGATTACAATAATCAAACAGTTCTAGAGAATTTCTAAATATCTGCAGGAAGAAAATCTGTGTGCTTTTCAAGTAAACTGCAGCAATCAGGAAAGAAGAGAAAAACCCCTTGCACAATCATGTATTTAAAAAAAAAATCTTTCTACTCTGCAGATACTGTTTCCTGAAATTTACCAAGAACACTGCCTTGAAGAGATAAAAAAAATACATCCATAGAAGTCAGTTCTACCCCCAAAAGAGCTGCACTGCACACATTTTTAGAAACATAAATCTCAGCAAATACAGTTGCATTTTATTGACAACATTAAAAATAATCACAACAAAGAAATAGCCTTTCCTATTCCATTTCAACTTCATTACCATGCTCTACTAGCCTCTACTAAAAAAAAAAAAAAAAAAAAAAAAAGTCATTACCTGTATGAAGAGAACCTGTTAATAGTCTGAGAAGGTACTGGGCAAATTTCAGTATTTCACGTTTACACCGCTTTCTACAGCCACTCATCTTAAGCAACAAGGTATTCCTCTGAGGAGAGCCAGAAGTCTTTGCCAATAATAATAATAATAATAATAAAAAGAGAGTCTCTGAGGAGAAACTTCTGTCTCAGTTTATGCACAGGCTGCCTTACAACTCCTGTGGAATTAGCTGTTAGCGCCTCAATCAGAAATTCCTTTAAAATGCTAGAGAAGCCAGATACAGCTACAACAGTAACAGGGAGGTGAGAAAACACGGCTTCTCAGTGTGGTGACCAAGTTCTTCTGTGGCAACAGACAGGCTGCCGGTTCACACTTGTAGTAACCCAGCTCTGGTTCGGCTCGGCATCCCCTCTCCAGAAGCAGTTGCAACCTCACAGACCATTCAGAGGGAGGCGGGGCCTGCGATGCCAGCTCATCAGTGAATCAGCATGTAAGCAGGTGAGAAGACAGATGACAGGTCACTGGGTCTGAAACCCTTCCGATACCAATAAAGGGAACCTGCGAGTGCACTCCAGCCTGCTGGGGAGGAATCTCAGGGCCCGAGGCTGTACAAAATGAATGATTCCCAAAAAAAGGAGGTGGGGAGAGGGAAGCATGCTGCTCAAGGTCAGACATCAGACAACTCCCTTGACACAGTGTTAATCAGATTCAGGAAGGCTACATGGGGGAAAGGCTCATTTGAGAAGCTGACCCTGATTCTAAACAGACTTGACGATTTACCACCAAATGGGGACAATGCTATTTTGTCAGGGATAAATGTATTCTTCTTCATGGGCTTAGAGGGAGAAAACAAGCTGTTTCTTAAAACTGGCTACATTTTCTGCACAGCGCGGGCTCAGGTATTTGGAAATTAGGATACATAATTGTCTCCTTTAAAACACAGTAGCCTAGAAACCAGAAATCTTAAGCCCTTTACATTGCCTCCAGGCAACAGAGCTCCAAAACTAATTTACTGCGTTGTCCTAAGAGAAAGAAGTGCCTCAGTTTCTTCATATTTCAAAAAGGCAAACACAACCATCTCCCTACCAATCAACTTTTTTAAAGTTAATAGCCAGAACAATTGCAAGGATTTGCAATTTTCACAAAGTACTTTCCTTTTAAGACATTGGGATAGAGGCAGTTGCTGTGAAAGCCAGAAAACTACAGGCTTGCCTTCTCTGAAAAAGTGGTTTTCCTGAATTCTTAAGTGCCTTAGGCAGTTTTCGGGATTTGTCTACACTCTTAATTTATACTCCTAGAGTTTGTTTATTTTTGTTTATTCTGAATAAATATAAATATTATATCTGTGAGATTTAGCACAGATGGGGCCATATTTTAAATACCTAGACAGGCCTTTTGGCTTCTTTTTCTGACAGTTGCAATAATTCTAGTTGAAACTGATAATTCCCAACAGTACTACATAAGAAATTATGTTCTTCTACACTAAAGAAAGAACTCCTGGACTCATAGACTGAAACACATTGAATGGAAACTCATTCTCTTCTAGAACTCTTCCCCATTCCCACCAGTCTCAGGGTTCTAACCATTCTAACCATTTAAATGGAATAACAAAGCATGCATTCTAGGAATTTTCAGAACTTTAATTGAAATTATTTAAGATATAAATAGACTCATACACAAAAATCAGCAACGTGCTTTCTGAAGTTCTTTCTCCTACACATTTACCATGAGTGATGGCATCCCTAAGTTTGAAATAGGCAGAAGAAATACACAATTGTAGTTCAACAGTTGGTTTAATTAGTTGAACACCCCATTTCCTTATCTACAAAAGTGGGAATAGAATGCATATTTTATTTACTTGTTGGAGAGTAAAATAAGATAGGGAATGGACAACCTTAAGCACAGCACTTTTATTCATAGATGTAGCAATTCTATACTGAACACCTATTATGTTCCAGACATGGTTCTATGTGCTGGGAAAACAGTGGTAACTGAGAAAGGCAAAGCCTCTGTTCTCATGCAGCTTACACCTAAACAAAGAAAACATCAGGTTATCAAATAATAAATAAGAACATATCCCATATGAGTAAGTGCTGTTGAACCAGGAGAGAACATTAAAACCAGCTGGCAGAATAGAAAGTGAGTAGGTTGAGAGGTCAGGAAAGAGGTCTCTAAGAAAAGAAGTTAAGTAGGAGTTTAAATTACAAGAAGGAACTGACCGTGAGATGTTTAGGGTAAAGGGCACCTTGGGTGGAGGAAACAGCTTATGCAAATACGCCAAGCTGCGAATGAGCTTGGCATCCTTAAGGAACAGAGAGAAGGGTGTGGCTGCTGAAACATGCTGAGCCAGGAGAGACTTCTGGGAGACATTTTCATGGATAAAGTCCGGGGCTACAGTATGTGAAGCCTTATAGCTGGGGTAAGGGATTTAGATTTCAGTCTCTTTGCCAGAAAGCCACTCTAGGGAATAGGGGACTTGTGTGATCTGCCTGCTATGAAAAGGATGAACTGCCAGGGAGCAAGAGTGGAAGAAGGAACACATGTGAGGGGGCATCACAGTGGCCCAGGTGAGAAACAATGGTGGCATGGCCTGGAGTGGAAATACAGGTAGTCAGTTTCTGGATATAATTGAAAACAGAATCAGTACAATTTGGTACACTGAATAGGGACATGAGGGAAAGAAAAGAATTAAGAATGAATTAGTTTGGGACATGAATAACTGAATGGGTAAATTTAATGAGTTGATGACATAGAAATACTATGGGATTGCTGGATCGTATGATAATTGAGTTTTTTGAGATACTCCATACTGTATTCTAAAATAGCTGTACTATTATAATTTACATTCCCAACAACAGTATATGCAGGTTCCCTTTTCTCTGCACCCTTAGGATACTTGTTATCTTTTGTCTTTTGGCTAATAGCCATTCTAACAGATATGCAGTGATAGATCATTGTGATTTTAATTTGCATTTACCTGATGATCAGGGATGTTGAATGTTTTTTCAGGAACTTGCGGGTCATTTGTATGTCTTCTTTTGATAAACGCCTGTTCAGGTCCTTTGCCCACTTTTTAAAATGCATTATTTGTTTTCTTGCTATTGAGCTATTTGAGTTTCTTACATATTTTGGATATTACCCCTTATCAGATGTATGGTTTGCAAATATTTTCTCCCAATTGTGGGTTATCTTTTCACTGTGTTTTTGTTGTTTTTTTTTGTTTGTTTTTTGCTGTGCAGAAGCTTTTTAGTTTGCTGCAATTTCATTTCTCTATTTTTGTTTTATTGTCTGTGCTTTTGGGGTCCTATATGATAAATCATTGTCCATACCAATGTCCTGAAGCTTTTCTCCTATATTTCAGTAGTATCACAGTTCCAGGTTTTACATTTAAGTATTTAATCTATTTTGAGTTAATATTTTTGTATATGATGTGAGATAAAGGTCCAGTTTCATTCTTCTACATATGGTTATCCAGTTTTCCCAACACTTTTTATTGAAGACACTGTCCTCTCCCCATGGTGTGTTCTGGGCACCTTTGTCAAAACTACTTCTGGGGATATATATAAAAAATTAAATTAGTATGTCAAAAAGATATCTGCATTTCCATGTTCATTTCATCATGATTCACAATAGCCAAGATACAGAAGCAACCTAAGTGTCCATCAACAAATGAATGAATAAAAAAATGTGGTATATATACACATTGGAATAATATTCAGCCTTATACAAATTAGGAAATTCTATCATTTGTGATAATATGGAAGAAACTCAAGGATGTTCTATGCTAAGTCAAATAAGCCAAGCACAGAACAACGAATATAGTATGATCTCACTTATATGTGGAATCTAGAAAAGTTGAACTCATAGGAACAAAGAGTAGAATGGTATTTACCAGAGGATGAGAGGGAAGGGCTGATGGAAAAAGTAAAAATGTTGGTCAAAGGTTACAAAGTTTCAGCTAAACGGGAGGAATACATTTTATTGATCAATTGTACAACGCGATGACCACAGCTGCTAATAACGTGTATTTCAAAATTGTGAAAAGAGTAGATTTTAACCATTCTCACCACAGAAAGATAAGTAGGTGAGGTAATCAAATTGTTAATCATCTTGATTTAATCTTTCTGCAATAACCATATATATCAAAACATCATATTGTACCCCATAAATATATGCCAAGTATTATTTGCCAATTAAAAACTTAAAAATATAAATAAATACAAATTAATACTGTCTGTAGTCTTCTAGGGTTAAGAGAATCAAAAGATCTGCTTTAGATATATTAGAATGTAGATATCTATAATGTACTCAAAAATTAAGATGGATGTTTTAATTCATTTAAAAATACATTTTTGTTGTTGTTTTGTTTTTTTGAGATGGAGTCTCACTCTGACACCCTGGCTGAGTGTAGGGGCATGATCTTGGCTCACTGCAACCTCTACCTCCTGGGTTCAAGTGATTCTCCTGCCTCAGCCTCCCGAGTAGCTGGCATTACAGGTGCCCGCCACCACACCCAGATAATTTTTATATTTTTAGTAGAGACAGGGTTTCACCATGTTGGCCAGGCTGGTCTCAAACTCCTGACCTCAGATGATCTGCTTGCGTTGGCCTCCCAAAGTGCTGGGATTACAGGAGTGAGTCACCATGCCCGGCCTACTAAAAATACTTTTTAAAATGAGAGATAAAACTAGAAAACCTACAAATGTCAAAAGGATAATAGATATGTTGTTCAATGCAGGCTGCTACAACAAAATACCATAGTCTGGGTGGCTAAAACAACAGACATTAATTTCTCACAATTCTGGAGACTGAGAAGTCCAAGATCGAGGTGCCAGAATATTCAGATTTTGGTGAGGGCCCTCTTTCTACCTTGGAGAGTGCTGTCTTCTCTCTGCATCCTCACGTGGAGGAGAAAGAGAGAGAGAGGTGGTATCTTCCTCCTCTTATAAGGACACTAATTCTATCCTGAGCACACTATCCTCATGACCTTATCAAAACCCAATGACCTCCAAATGTCACAGCTCCAAATACAATCACATTGAGAGGTTACGACTTTACATATAAATTTGTGAGCAGGAAAAACAAATATTCATTCCGTAAGAGAAGAATACTACAAACAGCCCTACAACATAATTTTCATGAATTAGATGAAATGGAAAAATTCCTTAAAAAATACAAACTAAAATAATTCACCAAAGATTAAATAGATAATTTGAATAGCTTTATACCTGTTAAGTAAGTAAATTTAATTTACAATTTATAAAATTTTCCATTAAAAAAAACTTCAGACCACATGGTTTCACTGGAGAATTCTATCAAACATGAAAAGAAGAATTAACACTAATTCTTCACAATCTCTTCCAGAAAATAGACAAGAGTTATACTTCATAATTCATTTTATGAGTACAGTATTGGCATGACACAACAACTAGAGAAAGACAATATCACAGAAAAGTAAAGTATAGACAAATATCTCTTAGAAGTATGGACTCCAAATCATAAACAAAATATTATCAAAGAGAAGTTAGCAATATATAAAAAGAAATATATATTATAGTCAGGTAGAGTTCATTCCAGGGATGCAAGCCTGGGTCAATATTTAAAAAATCAAAGTAGTACATCATATTATCAGGCCCCCCACAAAAAAAAATCACATGATTATATTCACTGATGCAAAAAAAAGCATATGACAAAATTCAACACTGATTCATGATTAAAAAAAAATCCAAGAAATAGGAATAGACAAACTGCTTTACTTTGATAAAGAACATCTACAAAAACCTACTAGTAACATTATGATTAATGGTGAAAGGCTGAATGTTTTCACCCAAAGATAAGGATCAAGACAAAAAAGTGCTTCAACCAATGTTATTCAACATAGTGTTGGAAGTGCTAGCCAGTACAATGAGGTAAGAAAAGAAACTTAAAGGCATACAGAGTGTAAAGAAATAAATAAAATCTTTCCATTTGCTGATAAGATGATTTTCTACATACAAAACCCAAAGAATCTATAAAAATTAAAATTTCTCTTTTTTTATTATACTTTAAGTTTTAGGGTGCATGTGCACATGGATGAAGCTGGAAACCATCATTCTCAGCAAACTATCGCAAGGACAAAAAACCAAACACCACATGTTCTCACTCATAGGTGGAAAAATTAAAATTTCTAGTATAAATTAGTGTCTTCAGGAATGTCATAGGATACTAGCTAAGTATTCAATTATACTACTTGAAAAAACCTGTTGTACTAGCAATGAACATATGGGCACTAAAATTTAAAATACAATATCATTTACAATGACTCAAAAAATGAAATACTTTGGTGTGTGTCAAACAAAACATATACAAGACTTGTGTGCTGAAAATTACAAAAACTCTGATAAAAAATAAAAAGATGATTTAAATAAAACATAGTAAAGATGTCAGTTCTTTACTGCAACTGCAAGCAAAATTACAAGACTTTTCGATCATAGACAAGATTTTTCAAAAAAATGTATATAGATGTACAAAGGAACTAGAATAGCCAGCACAATTTTGAAAAGTAAGTCTTGAAATCAGGTAGAATGACTTTGAGACTTATATGGCTGCAGTTCTCAAGTTTGTGAGGTATGGTTAGAACAACAGATGAGCACATGGTTCAGTGGTACAGGGTAGAAAATGCAGAAATAGAGCCACACAATTATGCACACCTAATTTTGACAAAGATGCAAGAGCAGCTATTCAGTAGAGGAAAGACAGCCTTTCAACAGTGACGCTGGAGCAAATGGACATCCATAGGCAAGAACCCAACCTTGGTGAAGATCTCACACCTTGTATAAATACTAGCTCAAAATACATCACAGGCTTAAATGTAAAATGTAAAACTGTTAAAGTTTTAGAAAAAAAAAGAAGAAAATCTTCAGAATCTAGGGCTACGCAGAGTCCTTAGCAATGTTCATTGCTGGTAGAACAGATGTTTTCAATTAGTATATATTCCAAAAACATGAGCCATAAAAGGAAAAATTAATAAATTAGATGGCATCAAAGTTTAATACTTTCACTCATCAGAGACCCTGTCAAGACAATGAAAAGACAACATACAGAGTGAAAGTGAAATATGCAAACCACTTATCTGACAAAGGATTTGTATCTAGAGTATATAAAGACTTTGAATATTCAACAATAGTGAAGCACACAATTCAATTAGAACATGAGCAAAAAACATGGAGAGTCATTTCACCACAAAGGTAAAACAGATGGCAAGTAAGCACATGAAAAGATATTTAATAGCATTACTAATTATTGAAATGCAGACTAAAACTACAATGAGTTATTACTACACATCTATTAGAATGGCTAACATAAAATCAAAAATGGTGTCAAGACCAAATGTTGGCAAGGACACAGAAAAACTGGATCACTCATACATGGACAGTGAAAATGTAAAATGTTACATTCACTCTGGAAAACAGTCTGGCGGTGTCTTAAAATTCCGAACATACATCACCTACAAAACCTAGCAATTGTACTCCAGAGCATTTATCCCAGAGAAATAAAAATTTATTTTCACACAAAAACCTGTACACGGATGCTTATAGCATTTTGACTTGTCATAGTCTTAACCTAGAAACAACCTAGATGCCTTTTAATGGGTGAATGGTTAATGAAATTGTATATGTCCAAACCATGTGATACTACACAGCAATAAAAAGGAATGAACTAGTGATAGACACAATTTAGATGGCTTTCAAGGGAATTACACAGAGTGAAAATGCCAGTCTCAAAAGATTACATACCACATGATTCCATTCATATAACATTCTCAAAATGACAGAATTATAAAAGTGGAGAACAGATTAGTGGGTGCCAAGGATTAAGCAAAGGGTGGGGGCAGAAAGAAGGGCATTCGCTATAGAAGTGCAACACGGCAGATCCTTGTGGTGATGGAAGTCTTCTGTATCCTTATTGTATCAATGTTGGTATCTGAGTTGTGATATTTTATTATAGTTTTGTAAGATGTCACCACTGCAGAAAAATGAGTAAATTGTACACTGCATCTCTCTGTATTATTTGCTTATAATTCCATGCTAATCTACAATTATACCCAAATAAAAATTTAATGAAAAATGTAATAAATAAAATTTTAAAAATACCTTTTGAGCCCCTTCTATGCACTACTGTTTTAGGTGCTGAATATACATGAGTGAACCCAATAGACAAAATTGGTGTCTCATGGAGCTTATAATGGGGAACGGGGAAAGAAACAACAGAGCAGGCAAAGGGACACTGAGCATGTCGAATGGAGGGAAGGGATGGCAGGGCATGTAAAGCAAGGTGATAACAAAAGTCCTCAAGAGAAAGTGATGATGTTTGAGTAAAATTTGAAGGTGGTGTAAAAGAGACCCATGTAGATACCTGGAATGTGCACATAGGTGCTTTCTCTGTATATGTAACTTTCTGTAGACCCTGGACAGTCAGCTAATAATCCACAAATCAATCTGTTTGAAAAACCTTCTCAAAATCAGCCCTCTGTAGAAGGTTCATTTTTCACATTGAAGCCTAGAGCACCAGCATGATCAATATTTTCTCTAGGGAAAGTAATTACTAATCACCAATTGTGTTGGATGTGTGCAAGGATCCCACTGCCTATATTTGTGTATTGTTGGGGAGTATGCAGGGAAAATAAAGTTGTTTAATGCTATCCTTGGGAAAACACAAAACATAATTAGGAAGAGAACTATACAAATATCACAGAGTATTAGAAAACAAAAATGTTCTTTTAATGATCAGCTAATTTGGATTAGATATAACTACCACTAGCAGCAATATCAAGAATCAAGAGTTGCATGTTCAATAATAACAGATGTCTTTAATATTTCAGAGATGTTTGAGCAAAGCCACTGTCATTTACAAAGAAATATAAGTGAACAGCTCATAAGGGCTTAAAGGTTTTCGAGATGAAACCAGTTTTGGCACATGGTAAGGGGACTACTAAAATTCCTAACAGTAAAGTTACAGAAAAATTTAGTTTAAATGCAAACCAGCTCATCATGTGATAAGAACAAAAGGTTCCTTGATGAGTGATGATTCCACAAGCAACTACTGGCCATGTGAAATAAGTTACAGAAGGACAAAGAAGTGTAGACTCATTTCAAGATATATTTCTCCTAATTGCATTTTGGAGGAAATGTTTTTCAGAGCAGCTCTTTTAGAGAAGGCCAAAGTCCAAATATATGAAATCTTAAATGCACTTAGATGATCCTCATTGCTTCTTAGAATGGAAAAATAAATGTGACTGATTGATTAAGGGAAGAAAGTTGGCTTCTCTTCAAGGAATGACGAGTGTAGTGATTCCCAAGAAGACTCTTCTCACAGTGGAGTTTTCTCTCAAAGACTGCTCCTCTCAAAACATCGTGGTGTGTTCTGTGTATCTCAGTGGGAACAGACATTGTTATGCCTTTCAAATTGTCACAAGTTGCAAAATTAAACATGTGCAGCATAAAAATAGCACACCATGGGGCTGCAAAGAGAAGCAGAGCAGAGCCTTGCGGCAAAGTCACAGGTTTTGAAAGTGGGTCTTGATAAAATATCAGACTTGCTACTGTCCATTAGAGAGGAACTCCCCAGTGCCAGGTCCATTATTATTCCAGAAGCTGTTCCCCTACTTCACTGAGTAAAGAGCCTGCCATGACACTACCAATGTTTGCATCAACTTTGGTTATAGCTCTGTGAATACAAAGCAAGTCAAAATCAACCCTACTGGCATAGGAAGTCCTCCTTTAGTGTGGCTAGGTCTAAATTGACCACAAACCATACGATAAACATTTTAGGTAATGTCTAAATGATGCCATTGTTGAGGCTTTCTGCCATAGTCTAATGTCACACAATGAAGACTAAATCATTGATAGATATGAGGATTCTGTATCACCTTGGTATTGAGTGTGACAATGTGAACAAATATTTACATGTAAATAGATTCACAGAAGTATCTACTAAATACAAATTATGAGCTTTAAAAAGTAAAACAAAACATCCTGGAGGGCCGAAGAAGTGAAATTTTTTCTAGAAGATGAGATTGAACTATTCTTTGTTTGGTTGTGTTTTTAAGGAGAGCCACTGTTTGTTATTCATGAGTGTTCAGAGGTAAGGAAAAGTGTTTATGACATATGTGTAGATTTTGGACAAATAGTCCATTGGAAATGTGCACCAGGTAGAGGTAAGGCTCCATTGATGAGACCCCACCCACCAAAAACTCTGTCTGAAGTCCTCATTGTTGTTGTTACAGGAGATGGGAGCAGATGTGATTAGCTGAGGGAGAGCCCTGAGAGTCAGAGACAGATGTTTACATCATACTTTAAAAAAAATAAAAATACACTGGAGAGTCCTGTCCAATGGAGACATGACTGGCATCATGGGCTTGGAATTTGGATTCTGTGTCAGCATCCAGGACTTCAAAAAAGGAAAGGTTGAGGGGTCAGTATGGTTAGGGGAGCTAAGTTTCCAGTCATAGATTTATACCTAGATTATAAGAAAAAAGGATGAGACGTGTCCTCAAGCCCAATATTCCATAAAATTAGGCTGACATTATCCTGAAACACACACATACACACACACACACACACACACACACACACACACACGGATAATGTCAGCTAATATACATATACAAAATCAACTTATGAGAAATTCTCTTTTTCCCACTCTTTGGTGGGTCATTTAGAATAAGGAACTGGGGTTCTAATTTCACACTGGAACATAATATCATATTGTTTACCTTTACTCAGATGCATTTTCTCAGCTATTAAACAGTCATGCAGTCTCCTGCCTGACAAAACACATGTAGTTATAGGAAGTATTAAAATACTACCCTACAATTATATAACCATTTTAAAGTGTTAATATATAAACTTTTTTTCTTTATTGAGATCACTGGAGCTCATCCACTTAATTGTATTTACACTCTTACCCATTTTTTCTCAAAGTACAATGTTTGGCCTATTTGCATCAGAACCACCTGGAATGCCTGTTTAAAATGCAGAATTCTTAGGCCCCGCCTCCAATATATAGACAGAATTTCTAAGTATGGGGTGAAGAGTCTTACAGATTTGATATCTCCTGAATTCTCAAAAACACAGACTTTTGATAATCAAAGCGACATAAGCCAAATACCATCTTGGAATGAGAAGTCAAAGAACAATCAAAGAGCAAGCTGAAGATGACAAAATTATGGCTCTATAAACTCCCAATAACCCACCAGATATTTCTGCCTAAAGCCACCTGCAGACCACTGAGAGGCTGGGATGTGGTCTTGGTAATGCATTCCCAGCCTTCCATTTCAAAACAAATCACAAGTGAGTCAAGGAAGCCTCATTTTCAGTTATATCAAAGGCAATCAATAGGCAGCTTTAAAACAATGAGGTTGCTCATTTGGCTTGAACAGAAGTCATCAACCGCAAGCAATCCTGTGGTGTCCATTGGAACCTAATGGACTCACACAGATTTGGTAAACTTTTTACAATATTTTACATTGCCTTTTTACAATATTTTATAGATTAGCCAGTTAACTAATATTTAAAAACAATTAGGCCACATATGTGATTTAAACTTTCGAATTCAGCATGCTATTTTCTCCCCTTCCTTTATTAATTTTTCTGCAGATTAGTATTTTTTAAATTTTATTACATATACTATTAGACTAATATAAATATGAGTAAGCTGAACTCTAACAAAAATATTTGTGTATATTTTTTAAGGGAGAGGCACAGAACTTTCTGTCTCATTCTGTTGTGAGGTGAGATCCCCAAAAAAAAACAATTGTGAGTCTGGGGTAACTAAGTGAAGGACAACAGCATAATAAAAAAAGAATTAAAAAGAACAATAAATGTCCTGACCTTCCCTTGGCCCCCAGCCAACATATACAGATGATGAGTTGACTCAGTATATATTTATTGAGTTTCTACTTACCAGGTAGAGGTTGAGAGCTGAGTTTCAGATGACGTTAAGATACAAACTGAGTATTTGGAAATGATGATTTACCATTCAGAAGAAAGGTCAATGTTGAAGGTCACATGGTGATATCATTCCTGAAGACATAGCAATTAAAACTGAATATGGATAGAATACCTGAAGGAGACAGAGGTGCCCTACAGGCTGTTGTCACATTGTCTCAGTTATAAATGGCATTGCCCTATTTTTCACTTGAAATTGAACTGTTTTACACTATTTCTTTATCATAAACAGATACTAGTTTTTAAGAAAGAGAAGATGCAAATAATTTTTTTTAAAGTTAAGATCATCAACAAAAAAAACAGGTCTAAATATTATTAAAAAATAACGGTAGTATTAAAACAGAAGTATTCTTGATGTGCTCAGTAAAAAAGATTTTGTGACTTATGTAAACACCTAGGAATAGTAGAGGCAATGGTATTACAGAATCACAGAAACATATATACTCAGTGATGTCTTGTCTACACCAGGTTACAATTCTCTTTAGTGTGAGTAATCCCTTTTGTGCTAAAATGTCCAGTGATGCTTTTATAACTAACTACACTAATGCCATAGGCCAAATGCCAAAAGAGAAGCACATATCCTAGTCCAACAGCTAATAATTACTGACATCATATAATGATAACCACCAGAGCTGCCAGCACATGCAACTTTTAGATTAAATTGGATAGGAGGGCCCACATTGGCATGCCCTGCTGGAAAAGGCAGCAATAGAACAGCAACAAGACATAACTGCTGTCATTCTTCCCAAATTATATATTCTTGTTTTGACTTACATAAGGCAGAATATTAGATGATGTGGAAGATGAATACCTCTTTAGCACTTCATCCTACAAATCTAAATTCAATTTCAACTAGGTAAAGGCAAAGCTTGGCTCAGAAATCCTCTGTGCCTTTTGAATGTCCTTGAGTGTTTCCTAAGGATTCATTTCCCAACAGCAGTCTGAGGACGACCACACTCACACACTCCCCTGGAACTTGCTGCCATACACCCTTCTCATCAGAGAAGCGTGATTAAATATTCAGGACCCTGCCATCGTGGTGCATAGCAAAGTAATGCAGGGCTCTGACCTCCTCCAGGAAAATCAGTCAGGGAACAAATGCATGACAACAGGTGGTACTAACTGCGTACTGTAACCGAAAACCACCTAATGCAGTTTTCATGTTACACACTCTCCAATGCTCACTGCAGAAGATGTTGTACTAAAAGCTTTTTTAAATGCATGCTGCAAATTCATATGCAGATCCAGCCACAGCTGACCTTCGGCCCCATGTGAACTCTGTAGCCAACATGTGCCTGGAAGAGGAGGCAGTGGAATGAGCCCTGGACTGAGTCAGGCTTGTGTCTGGCTCTCTCAAGGACTAAAGTTGGGCAAGCTGCTTCAGGTTTCAATCTCCTGATATGTAAAATGAAGGTATTATATTAAACAACATCTGTTTTATGTTCCAATTCAAAAAAAATCTAGAGATAGAATTCTAAATATCATTAAAATAGCCAAAGAATGCCCTGTAATGTGGATCTACTTTGATTTATTCACCCTTACCCCTATTGATAAACTTTCAGGATGTTTTCAGTTGTACTGCTATTTCAAACACTACTGCAATAACCAGCCCTGTACACATATCCTCACAATATAAAGCTTTATTTTTTCTATAGATTAATTTCATTAATGTAGAGGCACGCCTACTACCTATGGTTAAGTAATAAAGCAAGTTAAGAAGATATGTACATGTGATATGTATGATCCTACTTTTATGAAATAAAGCTACATTCTCTATGGGGTAGATTTCGTTTGTATAACATTGCAGCCTATTTTCTTGAAGGGAGAGAAAAGATGCTATAAGAAAAAGGAAATGGGCCAGACACAGTGGCTCACGCCTGTAATCCCAGCACTTTGGGAGGCTCAGGTAGGCAGATCATGAGGTCAAGAGATTGAGACCATCCTGGCCAACATGGTGAAACTTCATCTCTACAAAAAATACAAAAATTAGTTGGGTGTGGTGACATGCACCTATAGTCCCAGCTACTCAGGAGGCTGAGGCAGGAGAATCGCTTGAACCTGGGAGGTGGAGGTTGCAGTGAACTGCAGTGAACCAAGATCGCGCCACTGCACTCCAGCCTGGTGACAGAGCGAGACTCCGTCTCAAAAAAACAAAAAAAAAGGAAAAGGAAACAGCAACAAAATGGAAGTTATCACAATATAGTGGTAATATTTAGAATATAAAACTAAAATGTGTAAAAATATAAAACATTTTCATATACTGCTTTGAAAAAGAAATACAGATTAACGAAAAACTGATTTCATTAAGAGATAAAATATATAGGCAAATTTTAATTGGATTCCTTCTGTTACTGTTTTTCATATTGTTTTTGCAGAAAAGTAACATGCAGACAAAAAGGGAACTAATGAACCTGTGATGTGCATTTCCCTGAGCAGTTCCAGGACTGTGAAATCCCAATGATATCTACTTATTCTCTATGGGAAAGGCACCAGGATGAGAAATTCTCCTGAACTGTATGAACTAATCTTCACAGGAAACTTTTTAAGTAGGTTTTATTATCCTTCAAAAAGGATAGGAAAACTGAGGCTGGGAAGGGTTAAGTAACTGGCCTATACTCATTGCAGCATAAGTATCACAGCTTAAATGTGTTCCATTCTTTGCCTGACCCCAAACCTGTGCTCTAAAGCATTGTGGAACATCAAAAGCCTCTCTGCCTTCCCTACAGTCCAAAAATTCTCAATTTTCTACTATGGGAGCTATTAAAATTACACTAGATAAACCTGTATTTTAAAAGTATTCAAAACAAAACACAACACACTTACTTAGAGCAATAATAATAAATATTACAGAATAATATAATCCTTCCCGTTCTAAAATATTTTTAAAGAATATGATAACTTTATATTGGGTCCTAGATACCATACTGTATTTAGGGAATTTACCAAGATAGAGCTGGCTTTATTGTAAGTCAAGCAAAATGAACTGGCGTTCTTGTAAGCTGGGTTCAGTCTACTATTATCGGTTCTGTACAGTGTCTCCTCGTGTGCTAGTGAAACAGGATGGGGGGCGAGGAACCTCCTTCCCATCTTTTACTAGCCTGAGAAGTATCTTTTCAATATTTTATAATTTTGCCTTTGGCAAAGGGCTGCTTATCTCCTGGGAATTCAGGCACATTTTGAAGATTTCCCCATAGCCAATGAGCACAGAATGATTATTCTCACAAAAGTTCTTAAGAAATGTCACCTCTCTTGTGTCTCCTTCTTTCTAGATAAGCTCTCCCCACACCTTTCTCCTGAGACAGTCTAGAATCTCCCTTTTATATTGCTGCAGAAACACAGACTCATTTCCATACACGTTTACTCCGGCACCTATAGCATAGATCAATGCTATGGACACGTGCTGTTGTGTGAGATTTAAAAGTAAATTTTCCATTCAGAGATTTTTAAAAAAAAAAATCTGGTCATAGCAGCCATTAGTCAACTTAGTCTTCATTGCCCTCCTTTTTATTTCTAAGCATGATTCATTCAGGATATAAGATTGCATGGGCAATCATTCTAGTATTAAACACCTTGGAAAGATGAGGACCATCTTCTTCCTCCCTGTGTCTGCTTCTCTTTCTGTTCCATCTTCTTTCCTTCCCCATTTCTTTCACTCTTTCCTTCCCTGTCCAGGTCCTGTTGAATGCTGACTCAGGCCATCTGTGCTTTCCAGGCCAGCTCTTTCACTTATTGCTCATGATTTTGGCCAAGCCATTTAAAATGCCTAGGCCTCAATTTCCTCATGGGTAAAGGAAGCTAATAAGGTCTACCTAATGGACCCACCCAATAAAATTCTTTTGAGAATTAAGTGGGAAAATGTATATTAAACACATTGGAAATTCTTGTCTACAGGGGATATGTCATCAATGGGAGTTGTTACTGCTGCTGTTTCTACTAGATTCCAAATTGAGAAGAAAATCTTTCTAAAGCAAGTATCAAGTAGAGTCAGGAGGAAGCATCTAAAGTTTCTGCAAGGACCATGGCACATCTTCTTGAACACTGCTGGGATGATTATTTGGATAATAGGAGTTGGCATCATTTTCATTATTTTATAGGCAATATAGAAATATATCTGCACTCTTCTTTAAAAAAATTACTAATACATAATAGTTGTATATTTTTATGGGGTACAAGTGATATTTTGCTACCTGCATAGAAAGTGTAATGATCAAGTCAGAATGTTAAGGTTGTCCATCACCTCGAGTATTTGTCATTTCTAAGTGTTGAAAATATTTTGAGTCCTCTCTTCTAGCAATTTTGAAATATACAACATATTCTTGTTCACTACAGTCACCTTACTCTGCTATTGAACATTAGAATGTATTCCTTCTACCTCACTGTATGTTTTACCCATTCACCAGCCTCTCTTCCTACATGCCCTGCCCACACATACCCTCTCCAGCCTTTTTTCCCATGTTCTCTTTCTTTCATCACATAAACACTGGCTTTCTAGTCAATGGGAAACAAATTACCAAATGGTCATATTTCACAGCACAAGCTCATGTACAAACCCATGATTAGACTTCAATCACTCAAAAAAATTATAAAATTCAACGAAAATGATATGAATATGTATGCATTTTCTGACAGAAGAGTCCAGCACTTCCACTCAATTCTAAACAAATTATAATAATCCTGAAGTGATTCTATACTGGATATATTGTGTGTAAATACATCATCAGATTTATTTTTCCCTGGAAACCTAAGGAATAAGTTTAATATACTCCAAAAATATAGTCTAGTGCAGTGTTTTGTCACCTTTGAGATGGTAGTCCCCTTTGACAGTTTTATAAAAATTATAAACTCTCTCTCAAGATTAATAAATTGTCATCAATAATGGCTGTATTTTCAAAGGCTCCTAGTGGTAAGTTCTCCCTCATAGCAGCTAGGAACATTCCATCTCTCCCTTCCTTGACATATTGACTACTTTACAATCTCCCCTGATATTTCTCGGCTCTCTAGTCTCCTTTGTTCTTTGAGAGAAGGCCACAGCAGTCAGTCTTTCTACAGCATCGGCTACCTAGGACATGGACAGAGAAGGAAAGGGACAAGGGGAAGGGGGCAAAAAGAAGATGGGACAGAAAGGTAAGAGAGTCAGACACAGGGAGGAAGGAGATAGAGACAGGAGAGAAGGAAGAAAGAGGAAAGGAGAAGAGGAAGAAAGAGAGGGAGGAAGGGGGGGATTAATGGGGGAAGGAGAAGAAGGGAAGAGAGAATATGACTTGGTAGCTTTTAGTAGGTCAAGAAGTAGGTTTATAAGAAACACCTCTTTCAAACCTCTCAACTTCCTTCCCCATTCAACACATTTGCTCTAAGATAAAGGTGAAGTAATTGAGAACAGCCTGGCCTACAGCTTTTAAAGTGACCTATGAATGGATATTATAAAGAATGTGTTAGTAATTTCCCTTTGATTATTTTATTTTATTTTATTTTATTTTATTTTATTTTATTTTATTTTATTTTATTTTATTTTATTTTATTTTATTTTATTTTATTTTATTTTATTTTATTTTATTTTATTTTATTTTATTTTATTTTATTTTATTTTATTTTATTTTATTTTATTTTATTTTATTTTATTTTATTTTATTTTATTTTATTTTATTTTATTTTATTTTATTTTATTTTATTTTATTTTATTTTATTTTATTTTATTTTATTTTATTTTATTTTATTTTATTTTATTTTATTTTATTTTATTTTATTTTATTTTATTTATTTTTGAGATGGAGTCTGGCTGTGTCGCCCAGGCTGGAGTGCAGTGGCCCCATCTGGGCTCACTGCAAGCTCCGCCTCCCGGGTTCACTCCATTCTCCTGCCTTATCTTCCCAAGTACCTGGGACTACACCAGGTTCACGCCATTCTCCTACCTCAACCTCCCAAGTACCTGGGACTACAGGCGCCCGCCATCATGCCCGGCTAATTTTTCTATTTTTAGTAGACACGGGGTTTCACCGTGTTGGCCAGGATGGTCTTGCTCTCCTGACCTTGTGATCCGCCCACCTTGGCCTCCCAAAGTGCTAGGATTACAGGTGTGAGCCACCGCGCCCAGCCTGATGTATTTTATTTTACACAACCAAGTTACTGAGCTATACTTTACTGACAAACTATTTCTTGGAGTATGAATGAGGGGGACAACTGCCTCCTTAGTGAACTGAACAAAAAAATCCCTTCTATGCCAGTTTTGCTCTTTTGTCTTGATACAACATTAGATGTCTCTGACATTTTTGCTACAAAATAAATTATTTTCAACACAGTTTAACAAATATGAATTGGATTTCTTATAGCTTTCTTATACTGAGCCAAAGAAATAGAAAAATTATATCTGCTCTAAAAATTGAGAGGACTGCAAATGTCAGGGGTGAGTTGCATCCATCAAAAAAAGTCCTAACTGAAAAAAGTTATTTTTTCTAAAAATTAATTTGCTTTCTTCCTGAAAATCTCTACTGTTTCCATGATATGGTTTTCAATCTTTTCTTTGTGCTTCTGATATCATAATTGCAAAATATTTCACTTGACTCTGCATTATTTATTCACCCATCAGTCAGTCATTTATTAGGGAAGGAACTGTAAAATCAGGTTACTTTGATACGACTTCTCTGATTTCTTCAAGATCAACATTAAAGTGGAAACACCTGGGATCTAAATAACTGGAGAAAATTTGCATACAAAATGAATTAGCATCACCATTAAAAAGCCTCTTTTATCCTAATCTGAAGTTTATGGGGAGCAGCTAAAACTAAGAATAAAACAAATCATTCTTGGTCAGCTTTGATGGTCAGACAGTTGTCTACGGAACCCCAAGTCTATGAGCAAAGTGACTCAGTTTACGTATGGGGCCAACATAATAGTCTTTTTTTAATTTTAATTTTTATTTTTGAGATAGAGTCTTGTTCTGTCTCCCAGGCTGGAGTGCAATGGCGTGATCTCGGCTCACTGCACCCTCTGCCTCCCGGGTTCAAGCGATTCTTCTGCCTCAGTCTCCTGAGTGGCTGTGATTACAGGTGCATGCCACTGTATCTGGCTCATTTTTTGTATTTTGAGTAGAGACAGGGTTTCGCAGTGTTGGCCACGCTGGTCTCAAACTCCTGACCTCAGGTAATCGCCCACCTTGACCTCCCAAAGTGCTGGATTACAGGTGGGAGCCACTGCCACCGTGCTGGGCCGGTAGTCTTTAGTTTCTGAGAAGAGGCAGAAACGGCTAGTTCCTTAAAACCCTGTAATGAGGAGTTACTGGGTAAAGTTAGAAAGCTTAATTATAAGATGGTCTGATGGACATGTTTACCCCCAACGAGTGAGTCAATTTAGATCACATTTTCTGCTTTCCAGACTGATTATTAACCCATTTGTTTCCTCACCTCCAAAGCTGGTGGTGACTCATCCCATGCTAAAACGGCCTTGTTGAAGGGAACAAATGGCTGTGACCTGATATTAATGTCACTTTGTTCCTATAGCCATTCCTCCTTTTGGGGTGACTGACTATTAAGAACTCAAGTGTAGGTAAATTTAGAAATACAGAAGCCACTTCTCTCCATACCCAGGTAGACGGAAAGAATCAAGTTCTCATGCTGGGCCAGTGTGCCCACTATCCTTCCAAAGGTGAAACTACCACACTGGAGTTTCTTAATTTATTTCCCCATCTGATGGGTTTCAGGGATGCCTGCAAATCTCACCTTTCTCTCTTACACTCATTATTGTCATAGTGTTTCTCAAACTCAGCACTATTTTGGGCCAAATATTTTGGTTTGTTTTGGAGGGGTATCCTGTGTATTGTAGGATGATTAGCAGCATCCTTGGCCTCTATCTACTAAATATCAGAAGTATTCTCCCACTGTAGCAATAAAAATGTTGCTAGACATTCTCTAATGTCCCCTAGGGGTAATATCACCCTGGATAGAGAACCACTCTACTAAGTCTACGAACTTGACTAATGAGAGTGCCATGGATTCTTGATTTCAGCCCTAGTGACTCAGATTTTACACATGATTTTCACAATATTATCTATATAATTTGCTATATATTAACTATATAACTCCCTAGAATACACTGGCTTATAAGCAATAAATCAAATGCACTTGGATTTAGCATTGAGCATTTTATAACCCTCAAAAAAAGCTGAGCCTTTGTTTTTGTAAGAATTTGGCTATGGCAGAACCAATGAGACCATACCTCCCCAAAATAAAACCCATCTTGCAAGTTATGACCACCTATATTCAAATGGTAGCCTAGGACTGGAGCAAAGAGCAAACAGCTATCAGTTCTTAATTTTACTCTTGATTGCTTCTTATTTTTCTTTACTGGGTTGAACTGATCAGACTTTGCACATATTAGCCTATGTGACCTAATTCTTTTCCTCCTATGTTTTCTGTTTCAAGGCTCTTGATCACTGTCATTTTCATTGGCCCCACTCCTGCGTAATAGTTCCTTCTTTAATATAGTTCTCACTCCAACTTCTGTTTTATATTCCAAATCTGTGATCGTCACTTTTCTCTTTCATCTTTTAATGCATCACCAGCTTAGACCTATGGTACCCAGTTGGCCTCAATTCACTAGTGTCATCCTGGCATCTTTTTGACTTCTCTGTTCTGAATCTGTTCATTTCATGTCATAACAGATCACTTAGAACATGAAAAAGTAAGAGAAAGCAATTTAACAAAGGGGCAAAAATAAAAAACCATACATTCTCAGAAATAAGCATGCAAACTTTATAACTTCTGAGAACACCACATTATCACATGACAGTGTACCAAGTGTCATTTGCAGTAATGATTTTGAGCCTTCAATAAAGGAGTATGTGTGCTCTCCTTAAGAAGAAAAAAATACTATATTTAGAAATAGTTTCAACTCATCTGGTTAATATAGCAGTTGCAACACCTGAAGTGATGAGCTCAAATTTTCTGCAAAACACAGTTATGTGAAACACTATGTTACCTAAATATTTATTAGCCAATTTGTATTTATGCTTATTATGTTGAATTGTATATGGTTGCTAGTTTTACAAATATTATAAAATTTGGTAAACATTTTATGAATATTAACAATTATGTATTCAACCAAAATAATACTGAAAGGTTTTTTTTGTTTTTTGTTTTTTTTTCAAGTTCCAGGATACATGTGCAGGACGTGGAATTTTGTTACTTAGGTAAATAAATGTATGCCAGGCCATACCACCCTGAACATGCCGGATCTTGTCTGAAACTTCTCTAAATGCAAGACAATACAAACTAGCAATGCCTTCTTCAAAAGCCAAACACACTTAAAGTTTTATGAAAATAATTTTCATTTTGCTAATGTTTCATCAATGCTTCCTTCTTGCGTGGATAGCTTCATGATTCCAGAAACTCAAGAACATTAACTGAACAATCAACTAAAACAGTGCAAGTAATGACTCCACAAGACAGCGCAAGTAATGACTCTATAGCCAATGGATAAATAAGAAAATGAGGTGATTATTTTAATTAGCAAATCTATTTGCAAAGGACCCTTCACGGATCCTCAAGTTTCTGTTTTGCCATGTTTAGTGCATTTCAATTGCAAATGTCAACAATTGCATTTTTTGGATTCTAATCTCCAGCAGCATAATAAATAATGTGCACTGCATTTGTCATTTTAAGATGACAGCACTCAGCGGTAAGAACCTAACAAACAAAACAAGCTAAAGAATCATTAAGTTTCAGTACGCAAGTGCCACCTTAACAAGTGATCATTGAAGTAATATTTTCTGCAATAAAACCCCTACAGTTGCTAATCATTGATGATAGCTGATGCTAGAAACCAAAAACAGATACACATCTTCAGTACATGAGATGGAATATAAGACAGAAAGTAAGTAAGGAGAAGGAAAAGGAGACAGAAAGAAACCTAATTATATCAGACACCCAGGAACTCTGAAATGAACTCGTTTCATCTCAGAGGAACATGAAGAAATATAGAGGAGTCAATTTAAATTTATTATCTGCCTGCTGCTGTTTCAGCTGCTGCTAACAGACGTTGCATAGAGAACCTATGGGGAGAACAGCATTTTTATATGTTCTCCTGGTAAGAAGCTGGGGTGAGGGTGTTGAGGATGAATGTAAATGTGAATATATGGTACTTCATCAGGACCAAGTTTTATGTTACCATCTCAAGGGAGCTAAGTAAAATAAAAGTTCAATGAATATTTGCTGAATAAATAAATGATGCAGTGATTCCAAGACTCCCTAGAAATCCATTGTGTGGTTCAGTAGAGTCTAGTACTGAACCATCACCTCTCATCAGCAGTGGCAAGAAGAAATCTTTGTGTCAGGTAAAAGAAGAAACAATAGGGGCCAGGCATGGTGGCTCAAGCCTGTAATCCCAGCCTTTGGGAGGCTGAAGCAGATGAATCACCTGAGGTCAAGAGTTCAAGATCAACCTGGCCAATATGGGGAAAACCCATCTCTACGAAAACTACAAAAAATTAGGTGGGCATGGGAATGGGCACCTGTAATCCCAGCTACTTGGGAGGCTGAGGCAGAAGAATCACTTGAACCTGGGAGGCAGAGGTTACAGCGAGCTGAGATTGTGCCATTGTGCTCCAGCATGGGCAACAAGAGTGAAGCTCCATCTCAAAAAAAAAAAAAAAAGAAGAAGAGGAAGAAGAAAAGAAAAAGAAGAAGAAGAAGGAGAAGGAGAAGGAGAAGGAGAAGGAGAAGAGGAAAAAGAAGAAGAAGAAAAAAAAAACAGGGCTACTGCCAGTTATTTAATACCTTTTCTATATCTGCTAGCATCCACCAACTGGTGATAAGAGGGACTTCTTAATCTTAAAGGCTCCATTGAAACATGTCTCCACTTCTCTCTTACCCTCAGGAAGTATGCACTAGGCCAGTTGCGTTCAATACCACATACAGAGTTTTCCATCATAAGTACAGTACATATTTCTCCAATTTTTTTCATGTAAAATATAAATTGAAAAAAAAATCAGTGCAACAAAAGAAAATATTCAAAATCCAAAGACAAGTGGAGCCTCAGAGCAAATAGATGTTAAGAAAATCCAAGCTAGACTCTGCCTTCTTGATTTTCATATCTAAGTGATAGAAAACTTTTTTCTTATTTTGTTTTATTTTCTTTATTTGTTTTACAGTAAAAGAGAATGACTCGGAGCTGTTGTTTTTTTTCCCCCATTCTGTTTTTTTTCTTTTTTTTTTTTTCATTGTACTTTAATTTCTAGGGTACATGTGCACAACGTGCAGGTTTGTTACATATGTATACATGTGCCATGTTGGTGTGCTGCACCCATTAACTCGTCATTTACATTAGGTATATCTCCTAATGCTATCCCTCCCCCCTCCCCCACCCCACAACAGGCCCCAGTGTGTGATGGTCCCCTTCCTGTGTCCAAGTGTTCTCATTGTTCAATTCCCACCTATGCGGTGTTTGTTTTTTTGTCCTTGCGATACTTTGCTGAGAATGATGGTTTCCAGCTTCATCCATGTCCCTACAAAGGACATGAACTAGTCCTTTATTATGGCTGCATAGTATTCCATGGTGTATATGTGTCACATTTTCTGAATCCAGTCTATCATGATGGACATTTGGGTTGGTTCCAAGTCTTTGCTATTGTGAATAGTGCCACAGTAAACATACATGTGCATGTGTCTTTATAGCAGCTTGATTTATAATCCTTTGGGTATATACCCAGTAATGGGATGGCTGAGTCAAATGGTATTTCTAGTTCTAGATTCCTTGTTCTTTAACACTAGAGCCTTAGTTCGGAGTTTGGTTAAACTGTTCAGTGAGCTAACTCCAACGTTTACATAGAAAGTACTTTTTCCGTGAAAACAGTGTGATGTAATGACCTAAAAGTAGAGATTCAGTGACAGATCACCTGGATTTCCACTCTAATGCTGCCTTTAATGGCTGTGTAATAATGGCCAAGTTACTTAACTTGTCACCAAAAGATTATGTATGATTATTTCTGCATTCAGGGGATCTACAGTAATTTATGTTTTCTAGTTTATGTTTTATTTTTCTGATTTCTATAATTCCTATAGTGAACAAATTTTAAAAAAATAAGAAGAAAGAAACTTCAATTGGTGACAAGGTATCAAGTAAAAATGAACATTAAATGAAGCACCACCTTAAATGCTACACTTTACAAAGTTCGACTTCAGCTATAATCAACATAGTTTCTAATTTTAATCAGTTAATGGAAAGCATAAATCAGCCACTCAATTTTTGCTTATAAGTAATTTCTGGGGGCAAGTATATATCAGAGTTGAAGTTCTTGATCAACTAACTAAAAAATCACATAAAAATTCTCCCACCTTCTCATTATCAAACACTATTTGGTTTTCATAATTGCAGTGTTGAGCTCTGACCTACAGATAATGTTCTGATACATCCAATAATACTTTTGCTGCTACATCAATAAAACATGGTTGTAAACTCAGCACTTGCCATTCACATGGCTAACACAATTATGCCCGTCTCCATAATAATACACCAACATAAAATCATCCTCATGGCTACATTAAAGTTAATTTCCTCCAAATTATATGCTGTGTTCATAAGACATGACTGTGCATTTAGACAGTGCTTACCTGTTAAGGGGCTCTGAACACTGCCTGTGTGTATGTTCTATTTATGTGTATACATCACTGATGCAAAAAGAGACAGCCTTTTATTTCAAAGGTATCTATGTTCTGATTTGCACTAAAAACTTAGACTCCTTAAGATCATAAATTTCATATTCAATCATAGTACCATTCTATTGAGCTCATTATTCAGTCTTTCACCAGTACAAACAAGAACTATTTTATGGAAAGCCATTCATTTATTCAATCTACTGCTAGTGCTAAAGAAAGCTGTAAAAGTAAATCTAAGCCAGCTCTGCATTTTGGGATGTCACAGCTCAACTGGGAAGAGAGGTATGAAAACAATTCCAGTGTATGCAGGGCTGTTATAGCCACACTTTAGGCATGTGAGGCGGGGGAGATAGGGAAGAAAGAAAATGTGTTCAGGGTAGGCGTTACTAAAAAGAATTTGCAATGAGTTTCAGGAAATGAGTAGGTTTTTGGCCACTGGGTAGGAGAGAAAACAAGGAAATCCCACATTCTAAAGAGAAACAGAATACCTGAACAGCAGAGACATGAATGAGCAAGGAGAGAAAATGACATTGTAAGAAAAATGCTCCCTTTTCCTCAGCCAAAAGTTTTCTTACTTTCAGTTAGGATATGCAGATTTAATTCAACACGTCATTTGGGCAACCACTAGAATTTTCAATTGAGAAGAGAGAAATCACAAGTCAATTCAAATTATAAAAGCAAATTTGGCAAGATCATATGGTTACTGCCGTGCTAGAGGGAGCGGATGGGTATCTGGTTCTCTTTGATGTGGCCTGTTACAGCTTTGTGAGTCCTTGCTAAAATGTATTATTGCTGCCATTTTACTGTGCATATTACGTTCTGCTCTTTCCACATCCTATGGTAATATTTTTGTGCCACTCTATGGTTAAACATAATTTTAACTATTGCGACTATATATGCATTGGCAATTCAGTATGTGTAACCTTCAAGGGAATAGTTTTAAAAAGATTCTCCGTGTTAACAACATGGTAAGGAAAGTGAGGTCTTCAGACAAAAACAAACAAACAAAAAACAGAAGTTCCATAAGGATTCTCACTGTCTATCTACCTAGACATTTGTTTTACATATATTTCTACAGAATAAAATTTAACAATATAGAAAGATCTAATGGGTCTATGAAAAGATTTGCTGCCACTGTCCCCAATCCTATTCATTTTCTCCAAGATATGATTTCACATAGATGATATAAGTTCTTCGGGCATGTGGACTCAGATTTCACTTACTAAAAACAAAACAACAGTAAAATAAAATCTGTGATGCTGCTAAAATTCATATATTTCCCAAATTTGAAGACCCTCCTTTGAGTGGACAGGGTCCCCAGGACCCATATTAGAAAAGAAGAGCTTTTAGAGAATATTTTGCTAATATTCACTGCTGCTTCTCCTTTTTTTGTGTGCAGCAACCTCACTTCTGATGAGCTTTTAAACCCATAGCCAGCTAAATCACATGTTAGGCCTTCACCTAGTATATTTACCCATCATCTCTTTCCAGTAATGTACAGCTTGCCTAAAATGATGTAAAGAAGAAATATTGAGTTCAGTATGGCTAGTGGAGACGTGGTTTGTAGGAAAACATAGGAGACAAGGTTAAAAAAGCACAAAGAACTCACAACAAATGGCTCAGAAAAAGAAAGTTTGGTGTCACATGGGAGCTCAGTCATACATGGTTAAGGAATTAATACACGTAAATTCCTAGCCATACACATACACATAATCTATCCTCAAAGGTATGTGCAAGGCTCTTCCTAGCCTTTAGATCAACTCAAAAAGGAGAAACTTTGATATAATAAATTTCTCAGGGATTATCTGGTTGTGATCTATTTAATACAAATGAGTCTGGACTATGAAAAACACAGTTTTCCTTGAGTTTAGATTTTTAGGGCCTTCTCTCTGTAGGGCATTAAGGCCTCACAGGGTCATGATCATTTTATAATCTTTAGGAAAAGAGCCAAGCACATTCCTCAGCCAATTTTATATGCAGGCCTTATAGCAGAGGGGGAGGAGCAATTCTACAACTTGCAGAAGACTCAGGGAAGATTGTCAGGATGGGAGAATGCCATATGAGTTGGAGAGAAGGCTCCAAGCAGGTCCTGAATCAGAATAGAACCTACATGAATGATGGTACATGGTCAAGGATTTGCAGATTTGGATTTGTACATCTCTATCTCTTTTATCAAACACAACTGGTCAAACTATCACAGAGCATAGACAATGAGGTGTCTAAGAAAGATCCCTGAGAGCCAATGAGGTACAGACTAAGAGAATGGGTTTTGAAGTCATGTAAACAAAAGTCTGAACTCCAGCTTTCCAATTTACTAGTTATTCACCCACAAAATATTTTCTTGGCCTCTCTGAGTCTCAAAGCCATCTATATAACCCTAAAATATTGTGGGAAAAAAGTTACAAATAATACAAGTGAGATATTTGGCATGTGTTTGACATTCAACATGTATGAACTATTATTACATGAACATCATCTAGGAATGTAAGTGAGTTACAACACTAAAGTGCAATATTTCTGCATGTTGCTTGCGGAGCAATTCATCACTTTGTGGAGCAATTCATCACTTTACATAGGCTCAGTGAGGGCCTTTTTTTTTTTTAACCTCTTCAGTATCTTTAAATCTTTAAAGTTCTGAAAAAAATACCGTATTTCCCTCTGTTGGTCTAAAAGTTACTATTAAATTCTTGGATTTCACATATAATTTTATGCTCATTTAGTAAATACATGCACTTTACACATAACTTTTCAAAGTATTATCATTTTGAAGTGAAGAGATGATGGAGACTGAAAGGTTCCATTAAATATCTTCTGCTCAGTGAAGAAAGAGACAGCTTGCAGGGCATGCTTAAGAGACCCAAGGAGTGTGTGACAGTCTGCAGCATAACAGACCTAACCATACAGTATCCAAAGGTCTTTGGACTTCTAGCCTGACATTCTCTTTCCTACATTATCTTTTGAGCTTCCTCTACTCAGTCCTTACTCTTTCCTTTCTGGAGTTGCTTTGTAAACACTTTAGCTTCACAGAAGTTCCTGTGAGATGTCAAAATATTCCATCTCTCTATTTAATCAGTCTGACTTTGCGTCTAAACCTAGTAAATTTGGGATATTATTTGTTTGACACCTCTGCCTTCACAAACCTATGATTCCTAATATTCTTGGTTAAGGCATCACAGATGCCTTTTAAACCAATCATTCTTCATCAAAACACAAATCCAGAAAATCAGACTTCTTAGTAAATATTTCAAAACTTCCTATACAAAAAAATCCCCAGCTCCCTTTCTTTTCTTAGACTTCCTGTCACAACATTCACACCATTTGTGAATAACAGTCTGGAGCTGGTGTGTTAGAGTCAGGCTGAAAAATTGGATACCTCAGATGTACTTCGAAGTCATCCATAAAATACTCAATGGAGAAGAGGCAAGGAAACCCATTGGTTACAAAGGCAGCAAAACGAAGTAAGGCCACTGCCAGTGGATCATGAGAAAAGACAAGAGACATTCAAAGACACAATTGCTATCTATGATGCATCTGGCTCTGGCAGAATGATAGACATAAGCCTTCAGCTCTGAGAGATGGAGAGGATTACTGCTTTGGAATAAGGCCCTGTAATCTTTGCATTAGTATATCTGAAGCAAATGACCTTATTATTTTGATATTCTACCTTACCTTCTCTGTAACTGAAAATAGAGGACACCAAAACAACTTTGTTTGGCAATATTTTTCTTCTTCATTAGTGTTTATTTCCCCTTAGAACAGTTCAACATTAACTGTTAAATTCTGATGAAGACTGTTTTATTCTTGGTGATTTCAAGTTACAAGAAAAGCACCTGGCACATAGCAGGTATATAATAAATGTTATAAAATTGATTTAATAATTAATTAATTATCAGGCCTCTTCTGCCCTAAAAGAGAGATGGCACTCTAAAAAGAAGAAAATAAATTCTGTTTCTGGAAGAGTAAAGTGAAAGGAAATCTATCACTGATGTGTGCTGCTTTGGCAATATGTGTTTTCTTAATCTACAGCAAACAAATGTTATATAGGTTAGAGGTATACATATGGAAATAGCTCAATTCCTATCAAGTTTATTTGCCTAGAATCTATACAGTAGGAAGTCTAAGGATAGCAATATTGTGTCTCATAACTTCATTAATTTTGATGCTTAGCTCCAAAGCAACTGGGACATCAGTGTACTGTTAGCCTGGAGATGTTTACTTCTCCTTTCAGCCTCCTCATGGATAAATAACAAATCAGTACTACTGAAATGAGTTGCTTCTGGGGCAAGCAATGAAGCAGTTGTTCCCTCAGTAGCCAGCTCCAACAGCCTTTACAGTCTCTCAAAGAGGCATGTCTTCTGCTTACTAATAAACTGTATTTTAAGCTGCCAAAAAAGCAGCATATGAAACACTAAATGTGAAAGTGCCTAGGCATAAAGATAAGTCTCACGTAGCAGAGGAGGGTGAGTAATTTTTCCCTAACTATGGGATGACCTAGAGCACAAGTTAGAAAAATCGTAACAAGACAGAAATTCGAAACCTAGGAATGTGTTCAAATGGTCCTGGAGAACATTGTCATTTAGGCCAGCAACAATTTGAGTCCTGCTTTCAGGAAATGTTTGCTAAGACCTTAAGATTAGATTCCACGTCCCTGTGAATACCCTTATCTCCTCATGTTTTCAGAAATAAATCATTTATCACTCTGCACTGTAATTGCTTCTTTAATTGTCTGCTTCCCTCCCCAAATGTTTGCTCACTGAGAAAATATCCTGTTCACCACCATTTATACAGTGGCTAGCACAGTGCCCGACACAAAGTAGATAAGCAATATATATGGCTTCAATCGATGGATCAATCCTGATTTGTGTCAATCATACATAAGAACATAGCTATAAATTCTCAATTATCTTTCTGTAGATTTGGGAAAGTAGATTCTTCCATTATTATGAGGGGAAATCTATTTCCCCCTAGCCATAAGCTCAATCTGTCTAGGGAAGGGGAATCTACATGTTTGGCACTACACAGTGCAAAAATTATGGTAATCTGATAACTTATTTCTCAAATGTTTTGTTGGTTAGTACTCTAGAATACTGAAACACATAGAGTGGTCACATGTGCCATGTATACTCTAAATGTGTTCCTCCAAAATTCATGTTAGGATCAAACACCCAATGTGATAGTATTAAGACATGGGACCTTTAAGAAATGATTAAGTCATGAGGACTCTTCCTTTCTGAACAGGAATTGTGCCCTTATACAACGTTTGAAGGAGTATGCCTTTCTCTCTTCTGTCCTTCTACCATGTGAGGACATAATCTTCATTCTTTCCACCATGTGAGGACACAGTCTTCATTCCTCCCACCATGTGAGGACACAGCAAGAAAGTACTATCTTAGAAACAGACAGCAGCCCTCAAAAGACACAAAATCTTCTGGTGCCTTGGTCTTGGACTTGCCAGCCTCCAGAACCATAAGGAGTAAATTATATATAATTTATCCAATCTGTGTTGTTTTGTTACAGCAGCACAAACAGACCAAGACAATACCCTACATTTAAAATGGTTATTTGTGGCCGGGTGTGGTGGCTCATGTCTGTAATCCTAGCACTGTGGGAGGCCGAGGTGGGTAGATCACTGGAGGTCAGAAGTTCAAGATCAGCCTGGCCAACATAACAAGAACTCATCTTTACTAAAAATACAAAAATTATCCGGGTATAGTGGTGCTCACCTGTAATCCCAGCTACTCAGGAGGCTGAGACACAAGAATCACTTGAACCCAGGAGGCAGAGGTTGCAGTGAGCTGAGACCACACCACTGCATTCCAGCCTGGGCAACAGAGCAAGATTCCATCTCAAAAAATTAAAATAAGAATAATAAGAATAAATAAAATGGTTATTTGCCTTTGTTCAGAATATTTTTCAGAACAGCAGCCTACACACAAGCCACGACCTAAAATGCAACTAATAAACAGGCCAGGCATTTCTTGCACACTTTTTCACATAGTATCTAATACTACACTGTACTAGTTTTGCTCCTACCCAAATGACTTACACTTTCTGTCTTCTGGACTCCTGTCTTTCAAATCTCAGCCTCTTTTCTTCTCCATCTACACCTGCTTTCCAGGTAATTCCATCTCAGTAAACAATGACAATTTCCAAATTTAAATCTCCAGCCTGAGTCTCTTCCCTGAACTCTAGACTCATGTATCAACACAGCCAATTGGATGTATAAGGAGCATCTCAAAACTAACCAAACTCCAAATCTCCTTTCCTCAACTCTGTTCCATAAAGTCTTTCTTATCTCTGTAAATGGCAATACCCTTCTCCCAGGTGCTCAGGTTAAGTCAAATAAGGCGTTTTCCTCCCACTCCACATCGAGTCCATCAGCAAATGGTGTTGGCTCAATGTTCATAATTGAAGTACTTCCCACCACTGCCACCCCAGAACTGCAGGCCAAGCTGCTGTGATTTATGGCCTATTTATTGCAGTAGCCTCTTCACTAGGTGTCTGCTTCTGCCCTTGCTGCCTTACAGTCTAGTCTTAATGCAATAACCAGAGTGATCCTTTTAAAACATAATTCAAATCATGCCACACCTCTGCTCAAGTCTCTCCAATGACTACCCATTCCATTTGAGGAAAAAGCACTTAAACCACCCACATCATTTTTTTCTCTGTTTCCTCTCTGACCTCATCTGAACTACTGGCCTCTTCTTCACTCTGGATCACACAGATATGATGCTCTTTTAAAAGACTCAACATGCCTTCCTCAGGAGTTTGCCTTTGAGGATCCTCCCCTGGGGAAGCCCTTCTTAAGGAGATCTCTATGTCTCATTGTCTTACCACCCCTCAAATCTTAGCTCAAGATTCAACTTTTCAATGAGACTTTCCAAGACCACCCTATTAAAAATAAATTTCCTCACACTGGATTCTTCTCTTTCCCTTCTTTGGTTTATTTTACTCCACAGTTTCTTCCAATATGATGCCACATATATACACACTCATGCATTCGTGTGAGCATGCACACATGCACGCTTGTTCCTTGCATTTATTTCTTGGCAAATAATGTCTCTTTGCAAATAATGATATCTCTCCTCCAGAACCTAAACTCCATGATGCACAGACTTTTATCTTTGTGCTAAGTGCTTAAATCTGAGCACCTTCTACAGGGTTTTCCCTACCCATACTGAATACAATTTTAATGAAAAAAATACAGATGTATATTTGAATAGGAATCATTTGGGGTCTAGGTTGCCTTTTGCTTAGTCACTTTCCACCAACAATATCCTACTAGACACAGAATCTTCTTATTTCATTATTAGAAACACTTTTGCATTCAGTTTACCAGGCTTAACATAAATTAAAAAGGAACAAGGAATACACCAGTGACTACTTAGAATAGATGCCACTATAAATTTTCTGGCCCTAGTACTAATCTAGGTAATATAATTTGTTGGAAGCATATTATTATTCGAGAAGCAATTATTTCAGCTAAGATGCAAGACTTCTGTGACGAGAATTTCACCATGTCCTTTCACATAAATGCACAGTAAAAGATTTTTGCTGTGTTCTATGGAGCCTCAAGTGTTTTTTAAATGAAAAAGATGCATGAAATAAATTAGTAATACTTCTGTGAATGAAAAGAATTAATACAAGAATTCTAAAAGCAAAGGTATGCCTCTGCTTCATTCCCATGAATGTTTCCTATAAGTTTACATGTGAAACAGAACTCTGCAAATTTTAATTTTAATCAAGAAACTAAGTTGACAGTTTTTATTTAAAAATGAAATATATATTTCACACACTAAGTTTTCTAATTTCATTTGAATCTTTTACAAAACATAAAAGTATTTTATAATATATGGCACATTACAAAACTTGTCTTGTTTGGAAAGTATTTAATGCATAAAGTTTAATAAATCATAAATCAGATATGATGTGTGACTCATTAATAACAATTGGTTTGGAAAACTCTCCCTGAAGCACAAATTGTTGGCTTGCTTCCCAATATCACTGTTCAATCAACAGTGATTGAAGAATCACTGTTCTTCAATGCCTGAAGCTCAATGTCTAAAAACAGTTATTTTATGGTTTTGCTTGTTCATCATTTGTTTCAGGTGGGAGGTAAATCTGGTTCCTTGCTGGAAGAAGATGTCAAAAATATTCAGTATTGCAACACGGATATATTATTATTTAGAAATGAATAAAATAAAATAAGTGCCTGGCTCAGTATCACCCAGTGATTAAATTGGGAAAGGGAGAGATCAACAGCCACATCCCAGATCTTAAACACAGTAATACTCTGCTTCTTCTTAAACCCTCATTAACATTTGCAACTTAATATTATAATTTTTCAAATTAAAACCTCCTTTTTCTAGACTCTGACCTCCTTGGAGGAAATAGTTCCGTGTTGTGTTTCACTCTAAGTCCATGTATAGCCCAGTGTTGGTGCACACTCAGGACATGCTCAGGAATGAATGACAGCAGGTAAGCGAGCTGCTTACTGGGCTGGTTCTGGCAAAGCACAAAATCATGCCAGTGACGGCCAGACAGGATATATATTGGGGGTGAGGTCTTTGCAAGGAAGGCTACGAGGCTTGGAGATATTAATATACCATAATGAAAAATAAGTTTCATGAGGGAAAAAAATTAATAAAACATTGTAATGGGTAAAGGGGATGTAGGAGTCACGGATGTGCCAGCCAACTTTATTTAGATATCTGCTAAGTGGAAATGTTATTTTGATTCAGATTTACTCTGAAATGGGCATCTGTTCAGGATCACAAACTTATACGCTGGAAGAAATTACTACATAGGTCACTTGATCCTGGTTATTGTGCAAATTAAGAGTCGATTCTAGGCTGGGCGCAGTGGCTCACGCCTGTAATTCCAGCACTTCGGGAGGCCAAGGCGGGCAAATAGCTGGAGTCGAGGATTTTGAGACAAGCCTGGACAACCTGGCAAAACACCATCTCTATAAAAAATACAAAAAATTAGCCAGACGTGGTGGTACACTCCTGTAGTCCCAGTTTCTTGGGAGGCTAAGGTTGGAGTATCACCTGAGCCTAGGAAGTCAAGACTGCAGTAAGCCTTAATTGTGCCACTGCACTCCAGCCTGGGCAACTGAAGTAAGAACCTGTCTCAAAAAAAAAAAAAAAATCCATTGTGACAATAGACATTAGCCTTATGATTAAGTCCTCCAAATAACAGAGGTCCATTATGGGTGAGAGAGGCTGTCCCACTGTTAGACAATTTTAACTGGTAGAAATCTTCTTTCTCATATTATCTAGCTTCTTTACACATCAAGAGAAGGTACATACACACAAAGAGAGAGAGTGAGAGAGCTATACACAAACGATATAGCAGATTTCTCTCACAATGTTTAGACATACAGAAATACGCTTTCGACGTGATAGAGGACGGAAGGAGAGGTGGAGGAGGAGGGGGTGAAAAGATCTAAAAGTAAAATATTTATATGAAGAGTAGTTTGCTTCTAATCACGCTGTATTTTAGTTGGACTAGAAAGTTCTAGGAATATATGGCAAACAATATGCCAGAAATCTCATGCTCATTTACATCCCCAAGTTATTATTAAATTAAGATATTTTTTATCACCACCCCAGCACTTCACCCCTGACATCCTAAAGGCTTAAAATCTGAAAATTTTACTGATCTTCAAAACCCAATCAAAGTTTGCACCATTAGGGCTTTATGGGAACAAGTCTGTAACTAGTGATGTTTTGCATAGTCCTCTGATATACAGGACATAACTCATGGTTAATGTCATCATGTGGTTATCTATATAATATTGTCACCATATGCCATCAAGAGATGAGATTGCCATTTTCTTTCCATGTACTAAAAGAATACCAGACAACTTGGCTAAATACATATGGACCTCCACCAAAAAATCAGAACAGCTAAGACAACTTGAGAGAAAGGGCAGGGCTCAATGAGAAACCTCAGAATTACCAGTTGACTAGTATTCCTTATTTATTATATATGCTCCAGCTATTCCAATAATTCCAAACACACATAAATTACATATATATAAAAATATATATATATTTAATTGAATAAACTTGATTGTATAATTTTGGCTTAGTTTTTAGATACATCATGAGTTGGTACACTTACTTCTTCAGTTTATAAATTTTTAAAATATGTAAAATAGGTGTAATGTGCCCAGTAATGAGATAGCTTGGAAAATCTACTAGTAAAAATAATTATTCTTCATTAACTCCCTTTATAAATTATATTAGATTATGCTTGAAGACCTTTTCAGTGCTACGTGCTAGGATGAAATGATATATAATTGAGAAAATAATAAAAGACATCAAAACAATAGCTCCAGGTCTTAAAATATGAGATATTTCAAAGCATACTAAGTGATTGCCCATCTCTCCTTAATTACTAAGTTCAATTCCCGAGAAGTGAGAAAGCAGAGGCGTAATATTGATGATCACCTATTGTGTTCTTTCTGGCTAGTCTGAAGCTCTGCATTTTTATTAAATTTCCACAATAACTAAAATAGTTAATCTTGCCCAAAGCCAATCCAGCTGTTTCAAAGCAGGAAGGAGCCTAATGCAGAGTTGCACAGCCACAACTTGGGGGCATCCTACCCTTCACTGATGCCTCCCAGAGCCTGCTCCTAATGAAGAGCCCCTGCCTCCACTCTCCTCATCCCATTCCAGCACTGATCTGGGGTATTCGGTCTTGCCTCAGCTATGACTGCCTCAATACATTCGCCTCTCAAGGTGGCATCAGGGGAAGGAGAATACCAGTGCTGAAAAGTGATACTCTGTCTACTGATGTCTGCTCAGACTCTGAGGAGTAATCAGGGTCCAAATCATATAAAGGTAAATGAGAGAAATACAATTTCAAAATTAAAAGATTCATACCTACTCCAATCACAAAATATTGCTCTTCTATTTCTGTTCTATTTCTATATAATTTCACCTAACCAAAATTACTTAAAAAGTATATTGATATTAAAGATAACATGTTTTAAGAGAAAATTAAACTTCCTATTTAACTTTTAATAGAAAATAGAAAACTTTCACAAACTGTACTCTCCCCAAGTAGAAAAGTACGAATCTCAACGCTGAGCAAGAGTATAAGACTTTCCTTGGGCACTCATGGATGATTTTATCTGCTACGTCTTTGTGTTTTATACTTCTCTTCATTTTTTATGCGCCAATCCCAATTTTTACTCCAGTACCCTGTTGTAATTAATAATCCTTTATATTCAACTTCCCAGTTCAAATTACTGTGTGGTTTCTATCTCCTGATTGGGACATGACTGATACACACAGTGAACTGAATTTGATAAACAGTGAATCGTATATAGATACAGATATACTACTGGGAGATTTCTCAGATGGTCTCAAGTATGTTAATACATGTCACAAATTTAATAGAAGAATATGTTGTCTACAGAGTTTCGCAAACTTGTATACAGATACACACACACATATACGCACCATGGCACAAGATTAGTGCTCTGTGGAGCATATATTGGGACACAGATGTTCGAAACTATAGTATAGCAAAATTCCACCTGGTAGAATTTTTAAGACAATGCATGTCCATGGGAAATAGCAGTATAATTTTTGCAAGTCAATAATTTTCTCTTTTGATAAGAGAAGCTGTGGAATGATGTTTTTGAATATGTTCATGTCCTTAAGTACCCGAGCGAGAAAACACTTGCTCATGAATATCCGTATGTTGCTACTGCAGGAAGAGTGGAGATTCTTGTGGGGAGTGGGGAGGATAACTTCCCCAAGGGATATAGCAGTATCTTAAAATGGGGACATAAAAAAATTCTCCCATTTTAGAGATTCTATTTCATATTCCCTACTTAATAATTCCTTATTCAGAAAGTTTAGCCATTCCCATCAATGCATATGACATCCATGGAAAGTTGGAAACATAATCAGATTTTTGACTCTTTGCAGCTTGAGACAGTATCATTCAGGAAAAGACCTTGCAGAGGTCTCTGCTTTCAGAAATATATGACTTAAGTAATAAGTGTCAGACACTATCAGAGACTGGGGCTGTGACATGCTGCAGGACAGGGCGCTGGTAGGAGCTATTATTACCTTTTATGTACATTCTCCAAAATGTTGTTAAGAAAATGTAATTACCATGGGGAGGCTCATTTATCTAAATTATTCTGGGCTACCAAAGAAACTTGACATGTAAACAATTTAGATAAGGAGTTTAATAATCTAGCAATACCAAGTGTCTGCAATCTGTCACTTGGTGCACTCTTATTCTTCGGTGGAACAGTCTGTTGTCCTTGAAGTGCTATTTCAGTGGAATGTACATTAGGAAGACAAACGTGACTCAGTATCAAGATAGTGAGTTTTAATAAAGCTAAAAAATGTACAAAACAGATTTTCAGCTACTAATATCAAAGTAGAACTCAGTGGAATTCAGATAATTGGCATTCTTCAATCCAGGGAACTCACTGAAATGGAAAATATATAAGATCTACAGGAAACTTCAGAAAATAATTTTGAATTATATTGGTATTTGAGTTAGAAGTAAAAAGTAAAACAATCAATGCAAACTCTTTAATAATTTGAGTCACTATGTTTTGACCAATACTGTGCTGTGTGAAAGAAATACAAATAAAGCACAAGATACAATTGCTATCTTTAAACACTTGACTCAATTGGTAGACAAAAATTTTTTAAAGTGGTTATAAATATAAATAGATTATTTACATAAGGAAATGTATGATAAAATTTCAAAAATACAACAGAATTTTCAAAAGCTACAATCCAGGTCTTGAATGTACATTTAACTCGAGATATTTTCTATAGAAATTGGCATTCACCCAGAGGAGCAAAGCCAGGCTCTAAGATTTTTTTTTAACAGCTGAGTATTTGCAGTAGGTGAGATTCACATAAGACCAATTGCCTGGAGTGGCTCTTTCTTTATGAAATAGAATGACTTCGCTCCTATAAATAAAGATTAGTGTAAAGAGAGACCAATAAGTTTCTTATTTCATGAAAAAATGTTTTCACTCATTCATTGCCTCAACTGATATTTGCTGAATTTCTTCTGTGTTCCAAGTACCATGTTAAGTCCTGAGAAATTCAACAGTGAGATAACATCCTTTTCCTTGAGGAGCTCATTGTCCAGCAGGCAAGCAGATGACTATAGAATAATTGAAATAAAATTTGATAAGAGCCATAATGGGGCAAGTACCAAGTGTGGGAGTGCAGAGAAAAAGAAGACACTCATGGTATGCTAGAGCCGGCTTCTAATTGGCTTGTGAGAGCCAATTGCTAAATTTTCAGAAATTTTGTTAAGCTACTCACTGAACATAGCAATTATTAAAAATTAAATTGGATGAAGTTATAATTCAATAAATTAAATTTAAAACAAAGATTACAAATACTTAAAACTTCATTGCATCCTAATTATTTTACTATGGCATAATAGTATCTGTACATTTTACCTTATTCAGTTCTATTGCATCTATATGATGGAAATGCCAAATAATGGAGTGCTGCTGTGCACCTGTTACCAACTCCGTGTTCAATGACACCACATTGGCAGCCTAAAATTTGCCTTAGTGGGAGGATTTGCACTCAGGAGTTCAGCGAAGCCTCCAAAATAAAGATTTGTTTTTGTTTTTGTTTTTGTTTTCTACGAGAGTCTGTTGTTAAACACATAGCATGCCACTGAGAACATGGAACCTAGGTCCCTATCTACTCTTGGTCAGAGAAGACTTCCTGGAAGAAGAGGAAGCAAAGATAAGCAAAATCTGTCACGCGAAGAATGGGGACTAGCCTGCATAAACAAAAATCCAAACTAGAAACACCTTTGAAGTTATCCTAACCTCTACTCTTACGTCTTCCAAATGTGACCATTTGCTATCATATCATATCTCTAATGAGAGCTCTTCACCTATTTTCTAGTTTTCACTTTCAGAGCCTTTATGGGACTGCATTTTTCAGTCCCCTGGAAGCCATGCATGGCCATGTGACTTGGTTTTGCAAAGAGAATGCAAGAAGAAAGGAAATCAGTCATTTCAAGGTTAAAGCTGTTAGAGACGGCGTGTGACTTAGTGTGCTCATTTAACCTTAATGTGGTGACTGTGGAAGCTGTCAGCCTGAGTCCCTGAATGCCTTTAATGAGCAGTCTCTCAACTCCTATTTGGATTGGTTATTATATTGAGTAAGAAATAAACTTAGATTGGTCATGTATACTGAGTGAAAGGAAACCACTGAGATTTTGGGGGTTACTCATCACTCCAGCATGGCCCAGCCCATCTCAATTCACCTCCCTATTAATTTCTCACTAGAACCACTATACTAGCCACCTCCCTTCCTATGGCTAGTCTCAGCATCCTTCCATCTGTCCTCTGTACTGTAGAGAGATAGGTCCCTGTAATACTCTTCTACTTAAACATCTTTAAAATATCCTCGTGACACACAGAATAAATCTATACAATTTAGAACAGTATATTCAACAAGTATTTCATGATCTTTTCCTCAGATATTTGTGTCCCAACCACACTGAACTAGTCACTTTCTCAAACAGTTTTCCTGGCAACAGAATGCCCACATTTTGAGGCTTTATGCTATCATCCCATTCCTCGTTTTGACAAACTCAAATTCAGACATCAAATACCAATTATTATGTCACTTCATAAGTGAAGACTCAAGTCACATCAGTTACCTCTTCCATTATCTGTATTTTTACGAGCACTTTGCTCACACTTCCATGACAGCAAGAATCCTATGACATTATAAATAATTTTATATATTTCTTATTTAGATTTAACTTTCTGGAATCTATTTTTGTATCCCAGGGATTTGACACACAGTGTTCATTAAAAGCTTGCGCTCAATGTATATGAGTGACTAATCTTTGATTTACTAAATATGGTCAGCTAGAACAGAATTTTCCTTTTGGTTTTCTTGACTTTGATTTTAATTAAGATTGTATCTTAGACTCCTGCTAGAGCTCTAGAAGAAAGTTCTGAGAATGATGTTGTGCACATGTACCCTAGAACTTAAAGTATAATAATAATAAAAAAAAGAAAGTAAGTTCTAATCATTTCCTCCAATCCTTTCACTTGAGGGACAGAAACCAAGACTTACAGATGTTGGGTGACCTGGTGCCTATTTAGTGACCAAGTCAGAAATAACGCCTAAGGTCTTCTCACCCTCGGGTGTAGTCATTTACCTACCTTCAGTGTGATGTACTAAAATGTTATCCTTATGTGCACCAATCAAAATTTAATGTTCTCATCATTCACATCAAACCGTGCCTGAGAAATATAGTCACTGTTTTTCTAGTATTTCTCAATTTATTTCCATAGGCTATGTTCACACATATATTGCTCTTACCTCTCAAATACTCTTTCTGGGTTTTTTTTTAATGGCCCAAAATATGTCATGAAGTGGACATTCAATGAAAAGGCAAAAATATTAAGGTAAATTTCAGAATTTCTGAAATGGAGGAGACTAGAAAAATCATCCAGTGCAAACTTTCTCTTTGACAAATTTTTAAAAATGAGATACTAAAATATAACATCATTTATTAACGGCTACACAGCTGTCATGTGGTCAAAACAAGAATGCATTCATATTTCTCAACTCCCAGGCCAGGAGCCCTCTTCCAGCAGAATGCAGGATTCTCTTTTGCCAGTAACCATGGCCACTATTGCCTTACAGCTTAGGTCCCTGGTTCTGTGGCTGAAATTAAATAATACAAGTGAAATCCTTTTTATTTAAATACAAATGTTTAAAAATAAAGGAAAATACTCTGCGGAACCTAAAACCTAAGTTAATAAAAGGCTTAAAAGTCAGCCGGGCATGGTGGCTCATGCCTATAATCCTAGCACTTTGGGAGGCCAAGATGAGCAGATCATAAGGTCAGGAGATCGAGACCATCCTGGCTAATATGGTGAAACCCTGTCTCTACTAAAAACACACACACACAAAAAAAATTAGTGGGGCATGGTGGCACGCCTGTAGTCCCAGCTACTCTGCAGGCTGAAGCAGGAGAATCACTGGAACCTGGGAGGTGGAGCTTGCAGTGAGCCAAGATCTTGCCACTGCACTCCAGCCTGGGCGACAGAGCGAGACTCCATCTCAAAATAAATAAATAAATAAATAAATAAATAAATAAATAAATAAATAATAAATAAAAGGCTTAAAAGTCAAATCTAATGAATTTATTAATATTTTAAAAGGCATATACTTGAAATCTATTTGTTTTTATTCCTCTTTATATAATCTACTTGTAGGATTTCAAAAGAAAATCCCACAGTAAAATGTTCATTCAAATAAAACATGTGAGACAAGGAAATGCAAGCTGTTTAAATTAAATGAAATGACCTGATCATCCATTCAAGGCAACTGGAAGAGGGATTAGAGTAAAGTTCTATATTTAGTTACATGTTCGAAGTAAATGGGAAATTGCTGACTTAATAACTTAAGCCTAAACAAAAATGAATCTCAGTCTTCTAAAAAGAGTCCCTGAAACAAAACCTTTAATTCCTAGAAAGCATCACAGTATGAATTTCAGAACATTGCTCAGGGCTTGTGTTACATAAATGTTTGATAAATTAAGAATGTATTTTATGCTTACATGTGTCCTGCTTTTCACAGTGTCTCTGGTCAAATTAATGTAAGCTTTTAAAATGCTGCCTTTAATTCTCATGTATCTAATTCCATCCATTCTTTATGGCCAGTTAAATGCAGTATACTTGTCATAACACCTCCAAATATCAAGGTCTATGCATTTGTCTGGCCATTTCCCCTGTCTTCCCCACTTTCTTCTCAATTTCCAGCAGCATGTATCACCTAGGTTTCTTATTTGAGTTATTATTCTGTAGACAACGGCATAAGATATATAGACATACATGATGATCTATCATTAAACAAAAAGGGAAGAAGAGTTTGGAGAATAGAAATTGTGGTTATTGAATGACATTATTATAAGACACAAATATCTTGATTCGGCTTTCATTAAAATCATAGTGAAATCACAGGCATGTATTTCAGTTGGAAGCAATTAAGGAGTGAAAGACCGTTGACCCAATTATCTTAGACAATACAGAGTGCTGGATTGGCCACTACATTTTGCTGAGAAAAGGAAGGAAAGGTAAAAATGCATACATAGACTTATTGTAAAATTAGGTTAAACCTGCTCATCATAAAAGATTGAATCTCCGAATTTGTTTTCTAAACTGAGGAAAGAGCTTTCCTGTAATATTTTAATAGTTATCTTCCAAAAACTGTTGATGTATTACCCTAAGACCATACAACTGTGTTATAGGAATATGCACTAACATTTGCTCTAAATGTAGTTAAATATATGTTTTAATAAGAATAAAGTATATAATTGCATTTTTAAATAAAATATAAACCCTAAAAGCTATCTTCAGGATTTGAAAATTGAATCTATGTTTCAAAAAGGATACTTTTTAAAGCTTACAGCTCTCAGATGGTTCTATCTCTTTTTTTCTTAAAACAATTTAGGCATGATATTGACAAAAATCTTGAGAAAATGACGTTTTTCAAAGAAGTATCATGAAAACTTATATTGAAAATTTTCTTACTAAAGATACATGACAGTTTCTAATTCTTTCAAATGAATTTCTATATCATAAAATAACCATTTACTTTCAAGAAATAAATGAATTACATATGCTCAGAAAACTCCCAATGCTACCCACACCACTATGATATAAGGAGAAAGTTATGCTTGTTAAAATAAGTTATGTCCAAAAATATTTGTCAGGTTGTCTTGAATAGCTCCTTTGAAGTACATCCTTTATGTCACCGCCAATTTTCTGTTTCTCTCATTAAAATATAACTACTATTATGCAAAAGAAGAAAACAATGAATAAATAAAAATGCTCAAACAAAAGTATCCAATGGTTGGTTCACAGGAAAAGCAAAATATGGTATCTACAAGGAAGCAGAAATTTCTGATTTAATTTGCCTTCACATTCAGTCAACCATTAAAGCAATTGGTTTTAATCTCTGTATATGGGCTTAGTCCAAAAGGGTTTCAAAATGTGGATGATGCTGCATATACTTGAGTAACTACAGCCAAGCAACTTTTCAAATACTCAAGAATATATGTATACACATGAATATATGTATACAAAAGAATATATGTATACACATGAATACCTACATAAGAAAATATATGTATATATGTATTGACACATGCATATATACATAGACATGCACAAACATACACATATACAGTTATGGTTTTCAATACTTAAATATTTATATATGCACAGTAAACAAGTATAAAAATGATTGTATTCTATAGAAGAAACACTTGAAGTCCTGAAACTAAAGTATTTTCAAAGACCTACCCTTTCTCCCTTCATTCATTCTTTCTTTTCTCCCTTCCTTCCCTCTTTTCATTCCTTTCTTCCCTGTCATCCTCCCTCCATTTTTCTATCAATTTATTCCTTCTTTCCATAAATAATTATTAATCATATCACATGTGCCAGGAACTGATATATATAGAATATTCAGTGGTAAGCAATCAGAGAAGGAGCCCCCCTTCATAGAGCTTTAATTGTGCTGGGTGTAAATCCATTGAAAAAAATGAAAATCATAGCATTTCAAATCTGACAGACTTACATTCAAATCATAATAACATCACTTATTTCACTTATTTGGGAAATAACTTTGCTAAGTTTCCATTTGTTCAAAAGGAAAGTGGCAATAATTTTAATTCCACCATTTATCTTGAGAATTAAATAAAATCATGAATGAAAAAATCTGATGGAGAATCTGGGACTTAGCAGGTGTTCAATAAATGCTACATAGCTACTCTACCCATATACATTTAACATTAAATTGCAGTTAAATCTTAGTTTCAATGTCACAGGTTCACAGATGGTCAAGAAAAGAAAATATGCTCAGGGTATTACATTGCCCTAAAGCAAACATTTTACTCAGAAAATGTGCTGAATAAACACTGGTTGAAAATATGTTGGTGTTACCAAAAAGAGGGAGAGAAAAAAAAATTCAGAGGCAATGACACAGGGACTTGGAGAGACAGTGTGGAAAAATAAGCCCATGGTGGGCTTATTTTAATAAATACAGCAGATTAAAAGGTGACTGGTTCCTCCTTTCTTGTTCATATAAGAGGCACCATTTTGTAATGCTGGCTTATAGCATTTCCAAACCCAATTTTATTTTTTCCATTTTTATGAAGGAGGTGTTTTCATTTACTGGGAAAAGAGCTAGGGCAAGTAGGCCTCCAGCCATGGCAGGTAATATTCTAGGTTTCTATGAAATAAGTTGGTGCATGAAAAGATAGATAAACTCGAGAAGGAAGTAGGTCTGCAGGGAACTCAAATAGCACCGTGGAAACAACTAACAGAATGGACGTTCTCACCAGGAAATGATCTGACCTCTATGAGGACACTGCATATTCCAGAAATCCAAGGCATGTCCTGCTCCATCTTTTATCTGCTTCTATTCCCCAAGGAAGCTTTTATCTCTGGGATGGGCTGGATGATTCTAAATGAGATTTGAAAACAATGAACTCCAGTGGAACCCAGCATCATCTATACTTTAAGCCTCACCACTACTTGCTATAAAATTCCAGAAACTGGCTGAATCCAGTAGTCTTAGTTTTAAAAAGGCAATTTTATGAAAACAATAAAGCAAAGACAGAAGCGTATTTATAGTGAGAGGGAGAGCACTTTTGAAACACTGGGATTTAAAGTGTAAAATCAACTCCTAACTGTTGATATCAATGTAACTGAAAAATACACTAGGCCGGGCGTGGTGGCTCATGCCTGTAATCCCAGCACTTCGGGAAGCCAAGGCAGGCAGATCACAAGGTCAGGAGTTCGAGACCAGCCTGGCCAACATAGTGAAACCCCATTTCTACTAAAAATACAAAAATTAGCTGGGCATGGTGACGCACGCCTGCAGTCCCAGCTACTCGGGAGGATAAGGCAGGAGAATTGCTTGAACCCTGGAGTCAGAGGTTGTGGTGAGCTGAAATTGCACCACTGCACTCCAGCCTAGGCAACAGAGCGAGACTCCATCTCAAAATAAACAAACAAACAAACAAAAACAAACAAAAAATACTAGAAAAAATGTTTCTTCTCCATAAATAAAAAACTCAAGTACCAAATTGAAACAGCGTTATTGTACCTAATGAAAAGGGTACTGAATAAAAGTCAGATTTCTGTACAGAGCTATGCGAAAATGACACTTCCAATGTTTTTGTTGTCCAACCATGCATTACATAGAGAGAGGGTCCCCAAAACTAATAGGATCCCTTACTGAGAAAGTCTCCTTTGCAGATGGATGTGTTAAATAGTCTGGGCTTATTGTCCCTAAGTATTAAAATAAGCAATTATTTCCAATCAGACAGGTTCTATATTTTCCAAGCAACCTTCCTGATTGCGATTTAGCTCCCTACATGGATTTTCCATTGTGATTAAAGGAGACCTCTGATTCACTTTACAATCATATTTCTCATTGCAAAGTAGAAAGCTGGCATTTTACTTCACGTTCCTCAGTCTTTTATGAGTTTTCTAAGTATGAATCAGCATTTCAAGTTCCAATTACTTGTGACAATGAAAAGATGGAGTTACTAAAACATGTGAGATTTAGGGCCAACCAGATGTACTGGTAAATTTGGTCAAGTTAATGGTATGTATATGCAAATCATTCCTCAAAGCATGGCAGACATAGAGAAATACAACAAGACTTAGTCTCACTTCTCAAGGAGTTTCCAAACCAGATGAGGAGGTAAGTTATATGTACATGGGAAAATAGAAAAAGACATGAAGGCAGTTTGAGGCCCAGCAGAATAGGGAGATTTATAAGATACATAAATATATTAAGAGCATACACATACACCTACAATGAAAAGATTAGAAGGATATCTCGGGGTAGTGGGATAGATATGCCTTTATTGCATTTATATTTTCTATAATACACACGCATTTGCTTTTATAATAAAAACACTTAAAATGTTATCTGTAGAGTGTAATAGGCTACCATAGGCTGGAGCAGAAATATCTACATTCGGATTTACCGTGGATCTGTAGAGATATAATCAGTGGTCACCAAGATTAAGTTACCATCAAAAATACTTCTATTAGTTTCCTATTGCTACTGTAATGAATTATCACAAACTTGGTGGGTTGGTTTAAAACAGCCTAAACTTATTTTCTCACAGGTCTGGAGTTCAGAAGTACAAAATCGGTCTAATTGGGATAAAATCAAGGTGTTGGCAGGGTTGCATTCCTTCTGGAGGGTTCGGAGAAAATCTGACTTCTTGCTTTTCCCAGCCTCTAGAGGCCACCCACATTCCTTGGCTCATGGCCCCTGTTCATCCTCAAAACCAGCAATGTCTGGTATAGTCTTCATCACACTATGTCACTGGGACATTGACACTTTTGTCTCTTTTTTTTTTTTTTAACTTATAGAGAATCTTGTGATTACATCAGGCTCACCCAGGAAGTATGGAGAAATGATCAAGGATCCATAACTTAATTACATCTTCAAAATCTTTTACCATGTACAGTAATATATTCATAGGATCCAGGAATTAGGACATGGGCATTTTTGTAAGTAGATTATTTTAAATACCAAAATAATATTTAAGAAATAAACACATTCCTTGACACAATTCCTTTTTTTTGTAGGGGGAGGGGGGAGATGCATACTTTCTCTTTTTCTCCATATATCACTTTTAAAAATATTATAATTCAACTTGAGTGGTCTAAGAAAATCAGCAATATCAAATTTGTAACTCACCACCAAGATAACAAGAGAGAAGATGCAAAGGTTATTTTCTGCAAATTACACAGCTTTCTTCTTAGCTATAGGAGCATCCTAGATGAGAAATTATGCTCTTCATCCATAGTTAATGGAATTTTGAAAATGGGAGGAGGCATTGCCATGGGACTTGATGTTATAAAGTAATGCTTTGCCTGATTACTCCAGAGGCTAGATCTGCTAAAGCTACAGCAGAAGTAAATCCACGGAACAGAAAATCTAGATTATAACCTTCCTGACAATCAAATATTGGAGAAGAATTCTACCAAGCTCAACTGCTATTTAATGAGCTACTACTGCAATGTCAAATGATGTAAGGTTAAGGACTGGCTTTTCTAATAAACATTTTGCAGACCTATTAATATTGAAGTTGTTGTTATCTCCTCATAAATCTAACCATGACCACAATCTATACAGTGAGGACTTGGTCTTTGCTCATGATTCACCCTCTGCCTACAACCCCTTGGTGAATATTTGCACAACTTCCAAAACTTAGCAAAGTCACCCTCTTGCCCTTCCAGTGAAGTCCTTTGTCTCTGTATTACTCACTCTCATCTCAAATAACATTGACCCCTGCCTCCCTGGAATTCCACTGGACATACTTACAACTTTTGTGACCTTTGTCTTTGCATGGTCTACATCCCCACATTAATATCCAGAGGTGAGAATTGGTTTGACTTATTTCAACCATTTTAAAGATAACCATAAGGCCAGGAAAAAGTTTACAGTCTGATAGAGCTATCCCACTTGCTCAAATATTTAAATGCTTCAATGAACACCTGCTTCCCTGAGCTTTCTCCTGGGACTCTCAACCCAGCAACTAAAGTGGTGATGCCTGGGCCATCCAGGAGCCTCTGGGACCCTGCTATAGAACCACAGCCAAGGTCACTTCTAATTGGTCAGTGTCCAGGCTCCACAAACTTGACTGCATTCCCAAACTGCAGGACAGTAACTGGCTTATAATGGGCACTCAGTAAATATCTGTTGAATGAATGCATCTTATCAACATACCTTGTAAGTCAATATATTTTGCTACAAAAAAACTAAAAACAAAACACGTTCCTCACAATTTCACAGAAGGTCATTCAAATCTTTATTTAAAGTAGTTTGCAAACTATATTTTCTACTATTTTGCACCGACCTACCGTGGTTCAACTTGGGAGACATTCCAGAATGGCTAGATAATTTTATCTCACAAGTGAAAACAGTTTTATGTTTTAAAAAGAACACTACCAGCAAAGAAACAAAAAACAGTGCCTTGCAGAGATGGCATTTTTGATTGACCCAACAGCAAAACTAAATTAAATAAGCATAGAGCTATGGAAAAGACAGACATGTCTAAATAGGTTCTAGAAAGATCTCCCAAGAAATAAAGTAGAAATCTTTGATAAAAAGTTCCACAAAGGAAGACTTTAAGCATTTTAAGCAGAAGAATCACAAGTGAAAACAAGAAAAAACAGAGGAAAATGTTGCTTTCATCTTGCAAGACAAGTGTCCTTCACTTGAAATAAGATTACCGTAGAATTTCAAAGACGTTTAGCAGATTTCAGAAAGTAGTAGCTACTCTTTATCTTTAGGTTCTTTGCCTTAATAACTGTGATATTTATGAAATAGAAGATTTGTTTTAAGTGAGGTTATTGTTCCATTTAGACAATGAACATTTTCAAAAGAATGTAATAGCCATAGAAAATATCTTACATGAGACAGTTCAGGGCATAAAAATCTTAAATTAAAGAAAGCTTTACTCTGTAAATTTAAAATTCACCTACTTTTGTGAGTCTGTACTCTCAAACTTGGAAAATAGTTATATTATACAGGTCCACATCAAACCACAGAAACACAAAAATTAAACTGACAATGTATCAAAACTCTTGAGGAAAAAGGACTTTCTAAGCTTTGAAGTACTATGAAAACAAAAGCACACAGGAAAAGATGAATAATTGTGGAACGATAGTAAACATATACATGCTTTATGCTAAAAAAATAAGAAAATATTCAAAAGACAAATAACCACTTTGCAACAAATGTAAGAAGCAAACAATAAGTATGTTTAATATAACAAGAGCATGTATAGATTACTAAGAAAAGCCATAAGACCCTAATAAATAAATAGGTAAAAAACAGTGTTTTTGTTTGCTATGATGCCATAACAAAATACAACAGACTGAGGGGCTTACACAATAGAAATATATTTTCTCGCAGATCTGGAGGCTAGATGTCCTAGATTAAGATATTAGCGGGTTTGGTTTCTTCAGAGGCCTCTCTCCTTGGTTTGCAAATGGCCACATTCTTGCTCTGTCCCCACATAGCTGTCCTCAGTCTTTGTGTTGTCTGTGTCCTAATTTCCTCCTCTTATAGGACACCAGTCATATTGGATTAGGGCCCATCCATAGAACCTCATTTTATCTTAATTACTTACTTAAAGCCCTATCTTCAAATATAGTATCATGCTGAGGTTTAGGTGTTCAACATATGTATTGAGGTGGGAAGCACAATTTATCCCATAACAAACCATAAACAATTCAAAACAGAAATGTCTGAAACAGGCACATAAAAATATTACATTTGCTAATAAGTAAAGGAATGCTAATTGAAGGTAAAATATCATTATATTTTTCATTTTCAAACTAGTAAGACTTGAAAGTCTTTTAAAAGCATTTTAATCCTGGCAAGGTTTCAGTTCAATGAGAACTTTGAATGCTATTGGCAGGAGTGTAATCTGACAAACCATTTTGGGAAGGAAACTTTCAATATTAATCAAGATTATAAAAAATATTATACTCAGTATAGGTCAATATAATCAAGAAAAAATAAAAAAAAAAGCACATTTAGATATGAGCATATTAACTTCTAGGAAGATATCTTTACTAAAATATTATCTGAGTCTTATTCATAATACCAAAAAAAAAATTGAACCAATCTAAGGGCTCACAATGGAGAAACTCTAATGTAAACTCAACACTTCATAAGCTGTTATGCAGACATTAAAACGGTGTGAGTAATAACTATCAAAAACATAAAATAGTTACAATTTTGTTTTATAAAATGCAGTATGCAAAGCTATATATTAAAAAGATTCACAGAATAAAAGGAGCAGGAAATATACCCACAGTCATTTCTTTAAGATAACACAATTGTTTGTTGTTATTTGTTTCTATTTACTGGTATTGCAGTTTTAAAATTTCCAAAAAGCAATATGCATTCGTGTTTATAATAAAAACATAATCATTTCAACTTGAGTTAAATTGGATTGAATATGCCAAAATTTAGTTTCAATTCTATTAAGCGTAGCTCAACAGGTCAGCTTCTTACTTTAATGCTTTGCTTTCACTCTGCCACATGGTTTTTAACCAACTTTTATGTTGACATAAGTGATACCTTCACTCAACACCCATTTCAAACCCAACCCATTTATGCCCCAGAAATAAAAACAGATCACTCTATGGGAAAAGATGGAGATCCCTATCATAAGAACTTGAGAATCCTTAGCAGGTCAAGTTCCCCTTTCAGGAAACCCTGGTAAGATCATTCTCTGTTCAGCTTTTCTACCTGAGATCATCCACTTTATCTGCTGAAAGGTCAGAGGCATGCGTTCTGTAGACGCCTCAATAACATGAGACACTACCTTTCTGCTGCCTTTCTCTGTGACTGTGAGAGAAATATACAGCAAGGTGTGGCAAGTTCTAACACAAGCATCTCAACTCTTAGTTCAGTGCAGGTTATAGAGTACTGTGCCAGAAGAACCTGTGAAATATTGTATTTTACTTTTTGGTAAAATACCAAGATTCAAAGTACACTCAATCTTGGAGTTTGTGAGGAGCTCCAAATTGTAAACTTTGAGCAACTGATTGCCAATCAAAACTACAGGACTCAAACTATGTTCATTAATTTGATGGATCTTAATTGGGACTCTTATTTTCCTACTAGACTAGAAAGGAGAAACATAATTGTAAAGAGTTGCATAGTGTCTCACCAAAACTCACACCCACCTGGAATCTCAGAATGTAACCGTATTTGGAAATGTGGTCTTTCCAAATATAACTAAGGTAAAGATCAAGGTGAACTCATACTGGATTAGGGTAGGCTCTAAATGCAATGAAAGTGTTTTTACAAGACGCAAAAAAGGACACACAGAGAAGAAGCCATGTGGAGTCAGAGGCTAAGGTGAGAGCAAGGCTGCCACAAGCCAAGGAACATCAGGAGCCACCAGAAGCTGGAAGAGGAAGGAAAGATTCTTTAGAGTCTTCAGAGAGACCCTGACCCTGCTGACTCTTGACTTTGGATGTCTAATCTGGAGAACTGTGAGAGCATAAATTTCTGTTGTTTTAAGTAACCTAGTTTGTGATGATTTGTTATGACAGCCCTGGGAAATTAATACAATGCTATATGAAGACAATGATGCCACATTTCACAAAACTGTCCCTTTATATTGAGGCAGAAGGGTGTGGTGGAAACAGCACCAAAAGAGCAGAGTCAAAGGGTTGGGTATTGGCTCCATGCTACAACTTTCCACTAGGCAAAACAGAGCCTCTCCAAATAGCTGCTTGTGATAGACATGATTATCTCAATTGCATAGGATTGTTAACAAGACAAAGGAAATGGTATACCTAATAAGCATTTGATAAGGTGTAGACAGAAATCCTGATTTTGTTGTTATTGTCAGTGGTTTAGAGTAAATGCCAATTTTGCACTAAATATCTATTTAGGAAATATGAAAACAGACCAAAAAATATTTACACAACAAGTACATATGTGGTTTACCTTTCAGTTCTTTATTATAGGAGCTTTCTTGCCTAAAGGGTGGGTTTATATCATGAAGACCGAATTTATACCCTGTTGTGAATCATTTATCACACAGGTGAATTATTAGGGATGTTTTGGAAGGGGTGTAATCTGAGGCTGTTATTTTTAGGATTGTTGTACTGTCATTAATAATCATCTCTTGTACTTGTAGTCATCTGAACTGGCAAAGAAAAGAAATAGATAGCCCGGATCATGGTAAGGCAGCTTTTTAGTGTTTCTGATTGAAAAAAATAAAAAGTTAGGGACAAAGAATCCTGTCACTAATGTCCAGTTCCTGGGTTTTGATGGCATTCACCATCCAATTTGAGAAAAATGGTAGATGGGTGGCATCAAAGGCAAGAAAACTGACTGCTGTTATGTAAGTAATAACCACAGTACAATACTGCTTTTATAACATTCCAGGCTGTAATAACTACTAGAATAAATTACTCAATTCTTAAAGTAACAGCTTAGGTGTACCATTCAGAATATTAAATGTATAACTCTTGATTGTGAATCCCCTTATTCAATAAAAATATAATGTGGCAAATTGTTTCAAGCATTATTTCTAAGAATTGATGTTATCCAAACATGTCTTCAAAATTAAATAGAAGAAGGGTTGAAGGCTTCTGGTGTTCATGCTTTCCTCCCTATTAGAGCAGAAGGCAAGTCTCCAAGCTCATTCTCAATGGAAAATTGATGCCAAACCTAAGGTGTTGTTGTGAACAAAACTCACTGCAGCAAACAATTTCTCCAAAGCTCAACTCCCTAGGAGCATTTTGTCAATGTTGGGTAATTAGTTTCCACGATGATCGCTGTCTTTCAGTGGGTCTACCTAGACGGTTACATTGTTCTCCAGTCTTCTTTTGTGTTCCAATGAAGGACCAATGTGGCAAGTGCCAATTCCTCACTGCTTTGCCCTCTCCCCACTTGACACCATTCCCAGACATGCAGATAGTGGTGATGGTGGAAAAATATTCACCGCCCTAGGAATTTCTCTCTAACCCCATTCATAAGTTCATATCCCCACCCAATCCTGGATGAGTCATTGCAATATTCAGCTAATGAGACCCGTCATTCTTGGACCTGTGCTTACCCTACATCCACATCTCCCATCACTGCCCTCCACATGTGCTATACTGCCGTCACACTGAGGGTCAGGGCCCTTTCACTCTTCCACATCTTTGGGTAGAAAGAACAGCAGGGCATGCCTGTTTGGAGCACACATGCCGGAGATCCTTGCCTAAACACCCTCATGCTGAGTTCCTTGCTCTTCTCTTTGCTTCTTTTTACTATGTCTCATCACTATATATTCCATACTTAGAGTCTAAGTTACTTAATTCCAGGCTGAGGCTGGAGCTATACAGTAGTTACCACTTATCTGCAATTTTGCTTTCCGTGGTTCCAGTTACCAGCTGTCAATGGTGGTCTGAAAATATTAAATAGAAAATTCCAGAAATAAACCATTTGTAAGTTTTATATCACACGCCCTTCAGAGTGGAATGATGAAATCTTGTGCCCATCCTCCTCCCTCTCTCCAGGGATATGAATCCTCCTTTTGTCCTGGGTTTCCACATTGTAGACGCTGCCTGCCCATGAATCACTTTGTAGCCACTGGTGATCAGATCTACTGTCTCAGTATTACAGGGCTTATGTTCAAGAAACCCTTTATTTTATTTAGCAGTGGCCCAAAGCACAAGAGTAGTGATGCTGGCATTTCAAACATGCCAAAAAGAAGCTGTAAAATGCTTCCTTAAAGTGAAAAGGTAAAAGTTCTAAACTTAATAAAGAACACAAAAACTTATGCTGAGGTAGCTAAAGTCTACGGTAAGAACACATCTTCTATCCACGAAACTGGAGTGACACCAGCATTTCCAGTTCCCTCAAATATGCCTCCGCAGCTCTAGGTCTGATGCTAGGTTGGGAATGAGGGTGTAGTGATTGAGCTTGATGATGGTTTGACTAACAAGTAAATGAAACATGAACATCCTTTGAGGAAAGTGGCTAATTATAAACATATTTTGAAAACAAGTGCTACCATTTATTCAGCATTTACTAGGACCAAGAATTAAGTAGTTTTTATATATATCATCCTAATCTAATTCTAGGCACCTGTAAGTTCAAACCATGTGATTGCCCTGAGAAGACTAATAATCTATTGCCCTTACAAACTGTATTTTCCAGGTGCTCAACAGTTATTTCGCGGAGAAGCTGTGGGCTGGAGAATGGGAAGGTGGAGAAGGTAGGCTACTAATGTGAGCATTCCATTTCTCCTACATGGCTTCAAACAATTCAGCCCTGGCCCCAAACACACAACTCCATTAGGCAACATAAAAGCCCTACAGTTAAGTGGGTTTGCCGCACCTCCTAGCTAGATAAGACTGCAATCATCTATATTTACTTAAGACTGTCCATTTGTAGGAAGTAGGGGGTCCTACTGTAGGACGTAGGGGGTGTCTTGATTATTTAGGCCTTGCAAAAAATGAATTGAGCCTGATCTCATGGAAATTCTACAGAGGTAGGTAGGGAAGAGGAGACTGGGTGAAGACATCTGGAGGAAGCTCTCAGCCAAATCCAAAGACCAAACATCCCCTTTCTCAAACAAATCAATGACTTGAATAAAAAGGAGGCAGAGCTAGTGTTACACATTTAAAGAGACTTGGAAAACATAACAGCAAATACCATATAAAGACTTTGTTTGGATTGTATGCAAACAAACACACAATTAAAAAACTTCTTGAGACAATTGAGGCAATGCAAATATGGATATATGAACTGAATCTTAAATTGCATTAAAGGATTATTATTAATTGTGTTAGGTGTTATGACATGGTGTTTATGTATATACACATTCTTATCATTTGGACATGTATATTCAAGAATCTGCAGGAGAAAAGCATTATGTCTAATATTCATTTTAAAATATGACCTCCTCAAATAAATTAATGGATGGAACAAGATTTGAAAATTGCTGACAATTGTTGAAGCTAGGTAAAGGGTGCATAAGCTCTATTGTACTATTCAGTTTCTTTTGTTTGCGTTTGAAATTTTCATAATAACAAGCTTTACAAAAAGCAAATGCATTGATTCTTTTTATCTCAAAAAGAGACATTTGTGCCTGCCAGGTAATGTGTCCAAGTTTTAGAAATGTAACTGGAATGCTCAGATCAATTTACATTTATATGAAATCACAACTGGGTTGAACACAGGTAGAGAAAAGGCAAGCAGAGCCAAGAAGAAAAGGCTTAGGGAGGATGAGTATTAAAACAACATCTGATGGAACAATCAATAATTATGTGCATAGCCACAATATGAAAGAAGTGAATGAACTCCAAGGAAAAGAAGTTCAAATAAAAAGGTAGCAAAACTAATAGAAACTGTCTTTCTACTGTTCTGCAGGTGGTATAAACACCCTCCTCCTTCAAGACGCATCAAAAGTTATAGATCAGCGCTGCCTTTTCCAGCTCCCCAAGGCTGTTAGCTGCTCTCTCATATGAGATTCCACAAAGCTTTGTTCATACTTTTCTGTTTTTCTCCACTTTATAAGGGAAGAGATGTTGACTAGCACCTGCCTTGGAAGGTGATATATGTATACGCTTAAGAAATAGTGGAAGGAATGGATGCATGGTCTATTTGTCCATTTTCACACTGCTATAAAGAAATATCAGAGACTGGGTAATTTATAAAAGAAAAAGGTTTAATTGACTCACATTTCTGCATGGCTGAGGGGGGCGCCTCAGGAAACTTACAATCATGGTGAAAGGCAAAGGGCAAGCAAGCTTGTACCTTCTCACATGTCAGTAGGAAAGAGAGAGTGAGCAAGCAAAGGGGGAAGAGCCCCTTGTAAAACCATCAGATCTCATGAGAGCTCACTTCACTACCAGGAGAACAGCATGGGGCACACTACCCCCGTAATCCAACCACCTCCCACCAGGTCTCTCCCTCAACACCTGGGGATTCCAATTCCAGATGAGATTTTGGTGGGAACACAAAGCCTAACCATATCACATGGGTACTAGAGGAAGAAAAAAAAGGGAGGGATGGAAGACAAAGAAAAATTCTATTCTTTCCTGGGAAGAAAAATTCTGAGGTCAGAGGGTTGGGACTGATATTTAAGAAAGACTTCCTGTAAATAATCCCAAACCAAGTAGAATCAGATGCTGCCTTTCTTTAGGAGCCTGCTACTAGGATTTTGTTTTGTTTTGTTATAGCTAGGCTAAATCCCACCCATTCTCTTTTGTGCAAGCAATTCACCAAATATGCCAGGCTGGAGACAGTTGAGATTTTTTATCTCTTGCTGAGAAAAGAAATTTTTCATTGAGCTATCACATGCACAGTTATTTTTATTTGACTCTCAGTTGAGATACCCCTGCTGCATAGCATATTGAATACTTTATTGACCATAAAATGTGCTGCTGCAATTAGAGGGTTTTTTTTTATCTTTTTTTCCAAGCATTGTGCCTTTCTGGGGGCACTTGGAAGCTCATTTCTGTTTATCAGTTTTTCAAGGATGTTTGCAATTTAGCAACAGTGAATTGGAAGTTCAGTTAAATATCTGGCATGTTTGAGTGAGTGTTTCCAAGATCTGCAATTAAGCAGGGCAGGGTAAAGTGTAGTGAGGCTCCTCATGCATAATCTGCAAAGGTTTTTCACACTATCTGAGGTCTTAGAGAAAAAAAATGTTCACTAAGTAAATCAGGAGCAAATTCACTTAAGAGACTGCTTTGTAAATCATTCAGCTTTGTCAGGCAATCTCTGGGTGCACTAAGTGCTGGCTATCTTTGGGCTATTTTAGAGGCCATCACCTCTATTGGGTATCACCAAGTAAAACAGCACAGACCTCATGGAAGATACCATGTTTAAATAGCATGAGTTTTCAGATCTCATGCCTCAGGCAGAGTTTGGAACCAGGAGCTGAGGACACTATTAGTTGAATGAATGAATAAAAGAAAAGAGAATTCTTCCTGGTCTCTAAAAAAATATGCCCTAGGTTACTTCCAGTAAGCCAACAGCAAATCAGAATGGAATGTGTGAGTTGCAGCAGGACTGGCAGCTCATGCAGGTTAAATGTCCTGTTGTGCATTTCCCTCCATGTACCCTCACTGGGTTAGTAGGGAAGCCCGGACTCGTCTTCGAATCTCAAGCCATGACCTGTGCTATTTCTGTAGATTTCATAGCTGCTGTCAAGAAAACTTTTTATTGAAGCATCATGCCTTTTGTGAAACTATAGTCAAGCCCATGCCCAAAAGCCATCTAGGTCTAGACCTCTGATGACATTCTGATGAGGTGGAGCAGGTGACTGCTACCGTGGAGATTCCTGTTCCACTCTCAGCTTCTTCTCTCCATCTACTGACCCCCTCCTCCTACTATCCCCACCAGGAAATAGACAGACTCCAAGAGCTACAGCTTAGTTGTACTGAGAACCTAACAGGCATTGTGCATGCTTGTGATGCACCAACGAATGAGACAGAAGTGTGCCCTCCTTAGGGAGCTCGAATTCTAGTGATTTAAAATAAGCCTGCAGTAAGGGCTCGCATCTCTCCACAGCAGCCATCTTACAAAGCATTGTACCTTCAATTTGGTTTTCTGTGTCGTTTTTTTCTTAATTCGCTCAATAAAATTTATTTCAGGTTTCTGCTCAACTGTCACTTTACAATGGAAAGTTCTCCTTCTAAAAAATATCCATCTCCAACTACCACCACTCCACACCCACCTCTCTCTACCTTGCTTTATTTGTCTATACAGCCCTTACCACTACCGGACCAAGCTTATTTATTTATTAGTTTTTCTGTGTGTTTTTCCTTGCTAGAATATAAAGTGTTTCAGGGCAGCCAACTTGGTTAATTCATTGCTGAGTATCTGGCTTATTATAGGAGATGAATACATATTTGTTGAATTAATTAATGCATAAATAACCATAAGCAATAGGTATGACCATTATTCCTGTTTTTCAAATGGGAAATTCACACTTAAGGAGGATAAGAAATTTGCCTAAAGTCACCCAATACATAAGCAGTGAAACTAGGGCTCAGACCAGGTCTTCTGGAGCAGAAAGCCTGGCCTCTTGATCATTACTCTAAATTGTCCCACTTCAAATAATCATTTCTTTAACATGTCTAATAGTAGAAGCTTCCCTAAACTGTCAACTCTAGGATGGGATGAAGACACTGAATAGAAGAAATGCCACTAAACAACATATAAAGATAAAAATACAAAACTACAAACGTAATTCTGAAAAACTTCAGAATAAAATTTAGGACAGTTTTATCTTGTGCAGAGTTAACATAAAAATATGTGCTTTTGGGCCGGGCACAGTGGCTCATATCTGTAATCCAGCATTTTTGGAGGCCGAGGTGGGCGGATCACCTGAGGTCAGGAGTTCAAGACCACCCTGGCCAACATGGAGAAACCCTGTCTCTACTAAAAATACAAAAATTAGCCAGGCATGGTCATGTGTGCCTGTAATCCCAGCTACTCGGGAGGCTGAGGCAGGAGAATTGCTTGCTTGAATCCCAGAGGCAGAGGTAGCAGATGGCGCCACTTCACTCCAGTGGAGACAGAGCAAGACACCGTCTCAAAAAGAAATAGAAAGAAAGAACATGGAAAGAATAAAAGCTTTAGAGTCGAGCATGGATAGGCTGTCTCTGCCAGTAGTTATTCATTCACCTTCTCAACCTCAACTTTCATATCTATAAGGTAGGGCTGAGGCCTACCCACCAAGGTGGTTGGCAGAAGGAAATTAGATAATAAATGTAACGTTTCTGGCAAAACTTTAAGTTAAATGAATGACTCATTTAGTTACTTACTCTAATAAGTCCTAAGCAAATGGACAAATAAAATTAGGTTTCAGTTATGCATCTATTAATGCCTAAAAACAGCAGCGCTGCACATCACAAAGGAACAGGCAGACTTACCCCCGGGGCAACTGAAACTGAAGGACAAGGGGCTAGTGACAGTCAGGAACAATGGTCCCTAATCCCAGGGAAGATGTATTAAATGTGTTTACTTGCTGTTGCTCATACCAATCAATTGATCAGGCTGTGGAAGGAGGTATAGTGGCACCCATACATTTATTTAGACATAACTAATGGACTTCCCAAGCATGGATAGAGAAGCCACTTAACTGGTCAAATATCTGGAAGAAAAAAAACCTGTAGTTAATCAAATATCTTTAATAAAAGTATTGGTAACATTCTGCCCATATTCATCAAACACTTGGTATTAATATTGTTTTCAAAAAAAAGTGACTGATGTTCTAGCTCAGATGTGGTCTTACATATTTAGTTTGTCACAATTTCTATAGTTGCTGATAGGGCAGTAATGATCTTTTCTTGTGTTATGGTTGTATTGATATAATAAATTGCATTTTCCCTTAGATTTTATTAGAAACTATAAATGGCTCTATCACCTCTGAAACAACATAAGTCACGCAACACATTTTTAATTTTATCAGCCCAACTCCTTTTTTAGAATCAGAATATTTGCTTGAAAACTGAAAAGTTTTAGTCTCCCTAAAGAAATATCAACTGATACTTTATAGCTAAAAACATGGATTTTTATTTCTCTTTTTCTTTCCCAATTCCTAAAGAAATGCAGATACATTTCTCCTTGTTCTATTTGGCCAGTTTAGATCTTTAGATGGTTTTAGTCTTCGTATGTTTGTTTACGTGCTGGTTTTAAAATAGTTGAAGTATTATAAGAAATATCTGTTGGCCGGGCACAGTGGCTTACGCCTGTAATCCCACCACTTTGGGAGGCTGAGGCGGGCAGGTCACGAGGTCATGAGACAGAGTCCAGCCTGGCCAACATGATGAAACCCCATGTCTACTAAAAATACAAAAATTATCCGGGTATGGTGGTGTGTGCCTGTAATCTCAGCTACTCTGGAGGCTGAGGTACGAGAATTGCTTGAACCCAGGAGGCGGAGGTTGCAGTGAGCCAAGATTGCACCACTGCACTCCAGCCTGGCGACAGAGCAAGACTCTGTCTCAAAAAAAAAAAAAAAAAGAGAGAGAGAGAGAAATATCTATCAACTGCAGCCTCTCTCTTTCTCAGATGGAAGAAGTCCAAATGTATATTAGCTTAGTAACTATGTAACCACTTTAAAAGGGGCACAAATCTACCTTGATATCTCTGAATTACTTCTGAAATTATTTATCCTGAAAGAAAAATCAATGAACACTCCTGAAATTTGCCACTTGTCATTTCATGATATTGAAAAGCAAATGTAAAACTCGCTTTTAGAGAAAATAGGCCAGGCGCAGTGGCTCACGCCTGTAATCCCAGCACTTTGGGAAGCTGAGGTAGGCAGATCTCTTGAGGACAGAAGTTCAAGACCAGCCTGGCCATGATGTGAAATCCCTATCTCCACTAAAAATACAAAAATTAGCCAGGTGTGGTAGCAGGCACCTGTAATCACAGCTACTTGGGAGGCTGAGGCAGCAGAATCGCTTGAACCTGGGAGGTGGAGGTTGCAGTGAGCTGAGATCCAGCCAGCCACTGCACTCCAGCCTGAGCAACAGAGTCCTGTCTCAAAAAAAGAAAGAAAGAAAGAAAGAAAGAAAGAAAGAAAGAAAGAAAGAAAGAAAGAAAGAAAGAAAGAAAGAAGGAAGGAAGGAAGGAAGGAAGGAAGGAAGGAAAGAAAGAAAGAAAGAAAGAAAGAAAGAAAGAAAGAAAGAAAGAAAGAAAAGAAAAGAAAAGAAAAGAAAAGAAAAGAAAAGAAAAGAGAAAAGAAAAGAAAAGAGAAAAGAAAGAAAGAAACTATCATAAAATCATTCAGGATACCTCTTTGTGTGGGTTAGATCTCTGACAACAGAGAACGTAAGCTCACATGTGGGTTTGGACTAAATAATGATCAAGTATCTATGTTCAGATATTATCTGTCCCAAGAGAGCACTTAGCAAAAGAATCACAATATTTATCATGATGTAATGCCTCCTCTCTATATGCAATTTGAAAATGCTGGTTAGGAAATACATGGCTGAGAATGCTATTTTTCTTTTTTAGAGACGTCTTCACCATTTATTACAGATTGAGCCAGAGACTTGGAATCAACAGTCCTGAGTTTATATTCTGGCTTTACCAATTTCTAGCAACAAAAATATCATTTATTTGAACTTCCTTTTTTGCCCTTGTAAAGTAGAACTGGTGATGCCTGCCACCCAATCTATGACCCCATTCAATAAGTGTTCATTGAATTTAAATCTTGTCTACAAAGTTAGCGATGAAGCCACATAAATGACGTCTTGGGAAAATCAACCAATGAAAAGATAGAACTGTTCAGAACTTTTTGTAGCCACAGGTGAGCTGAGTATTGGGTGTAAGAGTATAGTCCATGCAGATGAAAAGACATGCGTTGGTGTGTGACTCCTAACTACTAGGTTTGTGTCCTTATGCAAGTAATTTGACCTTAGTATGCCTTATTTTTCACATCTGCAAAATGGGTATGACAATAAGACCAACTCCCTAATTTTACTGTAAGAAATAAATTTAGAAAATGCATACTTACTGCAAAGAAAGGAACACAGGAAACCAGTCAATAAAAATTGTTGCTATTGATATTTATAATAAAAACAATAAGCGAAATCATTCATTCAATTAAAGTTTTGGGGTGCAATTTGTGTCCTATATACTGTTCTAGGTACTGGGGATACAGAGGTGAATAAAACCAACAACCTCTCTGTTCTCATGAAACTATGTCTGGTAAAGAATAGACAAGGCAATGTCAATGCTCTGAAGACAATAAAACAAAATAATGTGAATAGAGTAACTGAAGATGTGTGTATGGTTTTGTGGGAGAGTGCATGTTTGGAAAGTGCCTTAAAAACAGGGTGACCCCCACATGTCTCTTTGAGGAAGTAAGGTTTGAGCTTCGACCTGCACCCTGTGCAGACTTTCTGCAGGACTTTGGCACATGCTTACTCAAGATGCATTTTCACTTCCTGCAATCCATCATTTCTCTAAACCCATGTAATAAATGGGATTCAGATTTTAATAGGCATACTTTGTTCTTTGTAACAAAAGGGACATCCACAGTTGCATAAGTGGTGAATCCATCTTGGTCTTTGGAATTAGAGATTCCCAGCCATAAGACTTATTGGGTGGGTGATAGTGGACTCATTATCTAGGCACCCTAAGCCTTACTTATCCCATCTGTAAAACAGCCATGAAACAAAGCCATATATGGGCTGCTTCTGCCAGAGTCTGTGATGCAGAAGAGAACCTCCAAATGGTAATTATTGTCACTATCAGCAGTAGAGAAATATCCTGGTTAAAACCTCCACTGCCCACTTGCAATGTGACCTTGGGTAAGATGTGTGACTTCTCTGAGCCTCAGTGTACTAATGTGTAAGATAAGGATAATAATAACAATAATAATAATAATAATACCTACTTATCAAGTTTGTGTGAGAAATTAACTGAGTTGTAGAAACCACTTTGAATGGGTTCTGGCAAAGAGCAAACTCAATAAGTGCTCCTTGTTAGTATTACTCATGACATTGACATCATGAATTACTACTCACAGGCTCATAGACCACTGTGAGAGAAAAGATCATTGACTTAGAAATATGTTGAACTAAGCTGTTCCCATGAAAATCTTCCCTAATAGAACAATTATGTGAACCATTTTTTATCTTCTGGAGATTTTAATATATTGATTAAATGTGTCAACACAGTGATATGATCAGTGAATAGGAACACTTGCTTTGTATAATTTTGCCCATTTTGATTGCTCTTTTAATTTATGCATTTCTTAAAATTGAGTTCAATTATCACCACATGCCTCTTCAATCAACATTGGCTGCATTTCATGTGTCCTTAACAAATCACAAAAGTAATTTGAACTTATTGCCAAGTGAAAAAGAAATGAACATCTTCAACTGAATATTCTTGGTTTTACCATATAGCAGGACATAGAAATCTTTGTAGTCAAAGAATCCTAGAACCTAAGAACAGTAATCATGCTACTTTTCATAGACATCAGAAATTGATCAGGACATTTTTTATTCTTTAACTGACCCTGAATATGTCTTTGACCCTGAGATCTGGGAAGTCATTTCTATACTGAGGTGTGGAAGAGGAGACCTATTAACCTGGTATCAGCTTCTCAATTCCGACCTGACTTCAGGGCAGTCTGAAGTCTTCATAAATTTATTTTGCTGAGGTCACACAGCAGTAGACCTGGAATGACAACCTACGTTCCAAAATTCTCATGGCCATTATCTTGCCACCTGTCCTTGTAAACTGCTATTAAATTCCTGTCTAAACATGGCTGTGGATACAGGAGGAACGGAATTATAACACAAGTCAAAGTCCTCATTTTTCACCTCTGCTTGAATTTAATATACTGCTCCTTTAGATTTCTGCTCTCAATGTCTTTGCTCTTCTTTCTATTTTCATTGACATAAATATTCTGTTATAGCTAACTGATAAAGAAAGAACTACAGGTCTCCAACTACTCTATTCAGCTGCTCTCATATTCAAGAACAGCATCCTACAAATAGAAATATTGAATATAAATATGAACAATGATGTTCTCACCCATAATGTTGCCGTGCAGCTCAATTACTCATGGTTTTCTTTGCTGAAAACTTATCTCCCTTGCTACTCCTTCCCCTCAAAGCTTCCTTTCTTAACATTTAACTTCCAGAGCCTAAACTTAACTAAGCTCAGGTACTAGAATCTAGTGGTTCCATGAATGACTGCAAATCTTGAGTGCTCTGCTGATGCTAATAATAAAGCATGTCAGCACAAGAAAAACCCTGGTAATAACCATGCCAAGAAAATGAGGGAAAACGCCCAATCCCACGCCTACAAATTCATGCTGCTAATTATTAACAATGAAAAACTTGGCTTAAATTCAACCTTCAATTAGATACATGTTCATGTTTTTATTAAAGTAAAATTCTAAATTTGTTCAATAAAACAGGCAAATTATGGGTTTTAGAGACTGACTTTATTAAAATATTTGTGTTCTATTGGCAGCATGGCAATGTGAAATGCAGAATTCGGAACCCCAGGGCCTGACTTCTAGGCCTTTTCTGAATCAATCTGAATACACAAGTAGCTCCATGGCTGTTTTCTCCTCTGTAAATCAAGTACATAATCAATTACAGAGGATTAGAAATCCTCTCTAAATTTCTGTCAAGTATTAAAAAGCTAAAATTTTAAATATTTCTATTATTTATAGCTTTGCAAAGCAAACAAATTGCTTAAGGGTAGCCACAGAATGGTCATGGATGCCATTTCCACTATTTTCCATCCACACTCCCAATGCATTCTATAGCAAGACCAGCATGGAATGACCAAAACATATCTTAATAAGCTAAGTGTATTCATTTAACAGATATTCATTCACCAACTACTACATGGCAGGCACTGTTCTAGGTGCTTATGAGTCTGATATTTTGCTCATATGAGAAAGAACTTATAAATCTCATAAAATTAAATAACGTTTTGCACTTGTAAAAACTGACTATAAGAATAGGTTGAAAGGAGAGTGTGTACCTCTCCTTTAATTATGTACTTTATTAAGAACATCCTCTAATAATTTTTTGAGAGATGAGTCTCACTCTGTTGCCCAGGCTGGAGTGCTGTAGCATGATCATAACTCACTATAGCCTCAAACTCCTGAGTTCAAGTGATCCACCTGCCACAGCTTCTCAAGTAGCTGGTACTACAAGACCTATCTATAACCTTTTCAACAATATAACTTCTAAATTGAACCCTGGTGGTTACTAAGGTGTGATAGACAGTCCTTCTTTGTGTACTTTTTTGTAAATGCCCATCTGAGGCCTGTTTGATGAAGAAATTCAAATAATCTAAAATTTGGAGAAAAAATAATGAATTATTTGTAATTATTCAAAATTTGATTAAATCTATAAGGCCAGTAGCAGAGAAAAATAACATATTCACTCAGTTGAACACTATACAGACATTACAATGACCTCTCTCTCTTTTTTTTACAACCATCTTATAACTAAATTTAAAACATACAATTCTTATGTTCACATAAAAATAATTAAAATGCAATATATAATATTAACATAAATTTGTAAAACAAGTACAAAAAAGCAAAAAAAAACTCTCAAAATAAATATACCACAATATTAAAAGTGTTTCTTATAACAAAATTAATTTTTAATTATTTCTTCCATATTTATTTTTTCCAAATTTACTCCTATAGAGGAAGAGAGGGGAAAATTGTATTGTTTAACAACATTAAAAAAAAATTCCTTACTTTGCAAATTGCAAATGACCTAAATGTCTAAATGGCTAAATGATGCGGAACAGGAAGTCCTAGTTATACACACAACTCAACACTTCCATGATGGGATAATTATGATAACATCCAAGGTGGCTATACAAATATCATGATTTGAGAAAAATATTTAATGAAATAATTTTAAATGTGAAAAATCATATTATAAATCACTATACACTATATTATCATATAATCCCCAATATGACTAGTGGAAATATTACAATGACACTTTCTAACAAAAATATAATATGTGCCACATATGTAATTTTATTTTTCTAGTAGCCACATTTTAAAAAGTAATATGTGCCACATATATAATTTTATTTTTCAATTAGCCACATTTTATAAAGTAAAAAGAAACAGGTGAAATTAAATTTAATAATATATTCAACTCAATATATTCAAAATATTATTTCAACATGCAATCAACATAAAAAATTATTCATGATCTACTTCACATTATTATTTTACCACACATCCCAATTTGGACCAGTTACATTTCAGGTGCTCGTTAGCCATATGTGGCTTGTGACTACCCTAAAGGACAGCATTGCATTGAAATGAAACAAAGAAGATTAGAAATTGTTGTCTTTTCTCATTATGTTTTTCCCATTTCTTATGTGCAAGTTTCCTTATTTTATATTTTCCCCATTGCCTAGTACACTGCTAGGCTCAATAAATCTGGGCTGCCTTTAACTTATAAAATACTAACAAAATTAATTTTGAGCAGAACTGGTTGCTGTTAGTTAGACGAATCTCAGGAAAAAAGCCAAGGGTACTGTTCCTCATCTGCAAACATAAAACAAACCAGCAAGGACACCACTCTTATTTTATTCTTTAGTGTTAAAGCCAACCATCATAACCAAAGATGGCATCTACAAGACAACATTTAAACACTTTACCAGCGTCATTAGTGGGCTGGGTCAACGAGACTCTTCCACGAGTCATCAAAACCATCTTCCAGTCATGACTCTTCTTTATCTGAATAAATGTTCACATGAAGAATGTGTATATATAAGTGTGAGAAAGGAAAGGAGAATCCCAGAAGATTGGGAGGGGGGTGTAGGTGGATGGAATTGGAGGGAAGGACTCACATGATGATCTGACAGGTGCTCCCACTTCCGAAGTCTCCCTCTGGGACCACTGGGTGTAAGTCTTCTTGTCAAGGACAGCACTTGGTACACAGCGAATGCTCAATAACCGCTTCTAGATTGAATGGACATATGCACAGTTTGCCTAATTTCCTCGTCAGGACACTCAGGAATGCATTCCTAACAACGAGCACAGGTTCACCAGACAATAATTCCTTCACTGTGGTTGAATTCACACAAACAAAATGTGAAGAACATTGCCCAGATTATCATTTTAAATATAGCTGCAGTCTGCGTGTCATAAGAAACAAAGCCCACGGCTGTGCATTCCTCTAACACAATAGGCACATGCCATCCGGTGCTTATTACACACAAGGTGCTGGTGATTATGGTTATATACATAGAGACAAAACGGGCAACTAGCTTAGCCTAGTTATAACTAACAAATACACTTGGCTTTATCTCTTTCCATAATGAAGGTTTAATCATTCCTTTCTTTTTCTTTTACTGAATAAAAAGAACTGGATAGAATTTTGAACATGATTCTACTGGCTAATAAAAACAACAATGTCTTCAGAAGTGTGGAGAAAAGCCTTAGCTAGTATTAAAGGGTAAATGTGCCATTCTAGAGTGTCTTCTGAGAGCCAGGGCATTAGCTGGCAATGGTAGGTATATAATAGCTTGGGTCTGTCCCCTGAGCTGGTTAACCTTGAGCAAGTTATTTCTCTTTTCTGAATCTCAACTTTCTCAGCAAAAGGAAATAAAGAAAACCCAGCACAGTTATTCTGAGGATTAAATAACATAAGTAGAATGCTTCTTCCACTGTATATGCTAAATTTTTCATTTCAGTCTTGTTATATACATCTTCCTTTTTGTTGAAAAATGAATGTGACAAAAGCAAGAAAAACAATCACTGATTTATCTGAAATTGTAAAAATTCTCAGGTTTGCTTGTTATGCTTTGAAAAAGGAACCCTCAGCCAACACACAGAATTTGGAAGCAGCCTGGGAGTTTTAATAGGTTTGCTAGGAAATGGGTTTCAGTGCCAGGAACTCCAGATCACAAGAAAATTTATGCAATTAGATCATTTGGTCTAAATGTGATTATGTATTTTAGTAATGAACAGTATGGTAAAGCCAGAACAATAGAAGGAAAGCAGTAAGAAGAAATTCAATTTAGTATAGAAGCTTCAGAGACCTGCAGAAAGGGAAATCATATATGCATGATAAGCAGGCATTTTCCATAATGGCTGGAGATAACAAGTAAATGATTTCAGACAATTGCGTGGAGGATACAGAGGGTACAGACTGGCAATTCTCAGAATGTGGCCATAACACCAGCCAGGGAGACAAACTTTGAAGTTCAGAACAGAAAAGGTAAAGATGTTAGAGGTGGTAGTACTGAGTCAGTGCCAATTAATGTGCAAAGTTTGCAACTCAGAAGAGAAATAAGAAAAGTCCAACCAGAAAGTTCATAAATGAGCTAGTTCAACTTGGAGAGAAAGTGGAAGAAGAGTGAGCCTTGGGCTATATCATGACACTGGGGCATTTGTTTTCAATGAAATATTTATATAAAAATGAAACAAGGTGTGTCATATTGGTACCCATAGTTGGTGATGATTAATTATGTCTGGTCAGGATCAGAAACCGGACTATATAAACCACTGCCAGCTAATGCATGTCTCCCAGAAGACATGAGAGGGTGGTGATGGCTTTGCTCTTTAATACTGGACTTTTGCTCCACATCCCTGGAAGGAATGGGCCATAGGGAGGCTTAGAAATCTTTTCTGCCCTTTCCACCAAGGGCTCAGATGAGAGCAAGACTAAGGGACCTACTTCCCTGTCCTTTTTTGCTTGTCTGCTATCCTTTGTGCTCCTTAGGACTGGGAAGTCCTCAGGCCTCCTCCAACCCCCAGACTAGCTGGAGGGGAGATGTGGAGTGTACAGGCATTGAAGAGAGGTGTTTGAAGAGTCAGGAGAAGAAGATTTTCCATGGAAGTTCAATTCATAAGCCCTTTGCTCTTCTCATTAAAAGCTGTGTATTGGAGGAGAGGCTCTATGAGACCCATATCACAGCCATGTCAACTTGGGATGGAGCCTAGTGTTTCCTCCCCAAATTAAATTGAGCTACTCTCAGGGAGTATACACTGTGGCTACAACAGTCAAATAATAATAATATTAGTACGAATTTAAAATGGGAAGTGCAATGGCTTTTTGTCATTGTTTTATTATGAAGAGAACCTTTTTTTTTTTTTCCGAGACAGAGTCTTGCTCTGTCACCCAGGCTGGAATGGAGTGATGCGATCTCAGCTTACTGCAACCTCGACCTCCGGGGCTCAAGTGATCCTCCCATCTCAGCATCCCAAGTATCTAGGGCAGAATCTAATCCTTTTTGTTTTATTGGGCCACTGGAGTGGTCTTATTAACTATGTTAATGGTACCCACTGCTCCAGGAGAAGGCAATGGTAAATGACTGTGTGTGTGAGCGTGTGTAACTGTGTGCGCATGTGTCCATGTTGCTTAACAAAAACTGTTTTATCCCTTTTTTATGCAGACTTGCTCCCTGGGGGAAAAGTGGTCAATTTCTGAGTTAGGGGCTGTTTGAAAGAGAGGAATTGTTCCCCTGGAGGGACATGGAATCAGGATGGTGACTTGAGCTTAAAGATGGACTCTGGGGTCAGAAACAGGGCTCCGTCTTCTTTTTCTTTTCTTTTTTTTCTTGTGTTAATACATATAAATGGGTCTTGTTTTATTGCTCAGACTGGTCTTGACCTCCTGACCTCATGTGATCCTCCCATCTCAGCCTCCCTAGTAGCTGGGATTACAGATGCAAGCCACCTGCCTGGCTGAGGGTTCCTTCCACAGAATCCCTCAGGACCCAGAGATCTTAGCACCAGGCCGTGAAAAAAAAAAAAAAAAAAAACAAACTGAAGATGTGTATGTGAGGACAGAAAGAGAGAGACAGATCAAGGAATCCCAGAGCCCAAGAGCAAAGATACTTAGGAAAAGGCATACAGTAAACTAAGCGGCCATTAGATTAGAAAGGAGCCATCTGCAATAGCGGCACCATGTGGTAATAATGTGTCATAGCAGCAGTGGACCAGGATTGTAGATTTCTCTTCCCTTGGCTTTTAAAACACCTGATTAACGCTCTCTGAGTCAGGGCTCTTGAATTACACAGGAATGCAGAAGAAGGTGGAAGAATAGGAAAACTCAGATGTCTTCCTGCTAACGGAGCAGGTGGTGGCCTGAACAATACATTATTTAACAAATGTGAGAAAGTAATTATTGGGGTTCTACAAGGTTTATTCTAGGCCATCCTATTTTCCATAAGAAGGTAGCACTGCACTTGGCGTATACCGATCTCATTTACTATCTCAATAATAACCCTTGAGACAGTTTCCCTTACCCACTTTATGCAAGAATAACTAAGGGTCAGAGAGTTCAAATAATTTGCACAAGGATTACTCGATTGTAAGAGTTTGAGCTGGGACTCACATGCAAGTTCATTTGTCTTCAAAATCCTGGGCTTCCAATCTCTGTTCCCCTTGCCTCCCCACAGTCTTAAAATAAATGTTTCCCAGGCTTCCCTCTGCTGCTATCACTGTTGGCATAAAGCGAATTTCCTCGACTGGTGAACCTAAAATTTTCTAACAACAATGATCTGCATAATTTCTCATAGTTTAAAAAGTTCTTATGAAAACAATTTCCTTTTCAGTCTTCCCACAATTTCATAAGGTAGGTAAAATAAAGATTATTATTATCATCTCATTTTATATACGAGGCAGGGAGGGCCCTAATTAATGTACTTATTTCAAAGTCTGGCATCTCTTAACAATAAACTTATTTCACTCTTTGTTAAACTGACCAGCATAGTCATGGACTGAGAGTCAGAAAGTGTGTGTTTTATTTATTCATTCATTCACTTGTGTAATTACAAATCCATTGAGTGTCTATCACCTATCAGGCATTATTTTAGGTACTGAAATATAGCAGTGATCACAACAAAGACCCTGTCCTCTTGGGGAATGCATTCTAGTGAAAGAAACAGAAAATGCACAAGGAAACAATGATTTGAGATCAAGTGTCAGGTAGTGATCATGGCAATGAAGAAAAACAAAGAGAACACAAGAAAGGGAGTCAGGGAATCTCTCTTTGCAGAGCAACATCTGAGAAGAGGTGAGGAAGAGAACTAGGGAGAAGACTTAATGCATTAAAGCTTTAGAAAGGAATTTGCTTTATGAAAGAATGAGAAGGCCATTATAACTGGAGCCCAACGAGCAAGGACTAGTGATACCAGAAGACACTGGAGGAGGAGACAGTCAGATCACACAGAGCTTGAAATGCCTTGTTGAGAGTGAGGGAGACTTATTGCAAGAATGATGGGAATCTATGTGGGGGTTCAGAGCAGGGTGGGGCAGAGCTGATACATGTTTAAAGGATACTTCCATGGCTCTGTGGAAACTTGACTCAGGGATGTGGGGTGGGGAGGCAGTGCAGAGAGAAATCAAGGAGATGGGGTTAGGAAGCAGATGGAGTGACAGGTGAGAGAGGTCGATGGCTAAGAATAGAATGGTAACGGCAGCTGGCTTTATTGCCAATTATGCAATACTTTTAGGTTCTATGACCTTGAGTTTAATTAACCTCTTTGGGGTTAATTAGCTTTTTTTAGCTTATTTTTATTTCAAAATACAGTTATTAAAATCCTTACAAGTCTGTAATGAAAGAAAACTTACAAAAAATTACATATCCTGAAATATATAAAACGTTAAATAACTGTTTTTCTCTTGCCATAGAGAAAAATATACACAGCGGGGACCTAATAAGCACAGAATTTGATTCAGAAATGGATTTAAAACATACACACTACTACCTGAAAGCAAGCATCAAATAGTTGTAAGTGCCAAAGCAACCAAACTTACCACCGACATATCTATTTCAGTATTGACAGAGCTCTTGGTTCTGGTTAAATAAATTAAAGATGGGAAAAGTGATAAAATGTCAATTAAGAAAGCCAACAAAATCCCCTAAAGGAAGAAGAGAAGCCATTCTTCTAACTTCAAAACTGATCCTTGCTGAAGACAAAACTTCCAAGAATTTGCTCTTATTATACACATCATTCCTTAAAGGGAAATTGACAGACATGGATATCAATCTCAGTTACACCACCAACTAGTGCCGATAAACCGCCAAGCAAGAGCTTCTAAATTTATGATTTGTGATTAAAACAAATATTTAGTAAAATAATTAGATGGACTAAACAGCATTTTAGAGAGCTTTTTAAGACCTAGGATTTTGGATACAGTATGCATCTTAACACAAAAATCATCAATTCTATATTGATAACTAATAATAATAAAATAAGTATGTAAGCATGTGAAGTATAGATTCTGCTCTCTCTCTAAACAGTACCAGAAACTCCTGCAGGAGTGCTTTGCTTGACTTTTTGACCTCTGAGTACGTTAATATTTTAAGGTAAATTCCGATTTAAGTACCCAAATGATTATAAAGCAGGGCTTCACCTTGGTGTTGTGGTTACAATTCTGCATATCAAGGAAAAAGAGAAATGCTTCACTCCCAAGTCTCGCTCCTCATTTTCAGTCTTGAGGTACCTTTGTTTACAAAGGATTTCTCACTGCTTGTTTTGTACTGCCACCTGCTGGTAAGCACCAAACTTTATTTTTATAAATGAGAAATCTATACACATCCACTCTTAGTTGGTGTTACACTCTCAGATTTTTATAAGTTTTAAGAAAGTTTCCTTCACATTTGCAATTATTAATTATTTCTCATGGTACAAAATTTTATATAACCATTAAAATATAGAAAACACAAATAAGGAATTAATAGATGCTGCATTTCCATCTCCCAGAGATAATCTCTGGTATACAGCCTTCAAGAACACACAATTGGGTTATATGATGTTTATCATCTAAAATCAAATGTGATGTCATTTAATAATTATTTGTTGGATACATTACATGTAATCATATGTCAATTTATTTTCAAACATTTGGAATTTTTTTCAATTTTTTTTGTTATTTGTTTGATGTAGCAATATCCTCGTTTTAAAACCTTATACTCAGCTCTAAGCTATATGAAATATTACTAGAAATATAGCTAGTACATCAAAGGACTTCAAAATGGGAAGGCCTTTGACATGTACAGACAAGTTCACCTCCAGAAGTCTATACGAATTCACACTCCTATAAAAGTGCTACTCTCTCCACACTGTCATCAACTCCTCCTTTTAAGTATTTTAAAAAAAACTACTCCAATCATATCCTGAAGGAAAACTGGATACTTTTATCATTTATATTTATTTTATTGGGAGTGAACATTTATATTCATATCTATTAACCGTTTCTATTTTTGCATTTCTAAAATGCCTTATGTCCCTCTGCCAGGTTTTCTATTTTAGTGTTTGTATAAAAGAGGAAGTAATCACTTTTCATGTATGTTCCAAATACTTTTGCTGGTCATATATTATTTGATTTCATTTGTGGTATTTTTAACAATAGACATTTTCAGTATTGATTTAGTCAATTACATCAGTTATTTCCTTCATGTGGTTTGCCTGTGGTTTTATGTTTAGAAATAACTTCCTTGTTCTTAGAATTATTCATTATTTTATCTTGAAGGAAACTGTTCGAATTCCCTCTGTCATGCAAGAAGATTTTATCTAGATATTTTTCCTGTGGCAGTTCACTAAGTTGCCTGGCATGAGACTGAAGGTTGATCTATGAGTCATTATCACATTACACCATTTGTTTTTTCTGTACTTATAGGAATTTATGACACTGACGTGCAAAATATTTTGAGGACTTTATAAGGAATCCCTTATTATGTCTATTAATGGGCTAGCCATCTCTCCTCCATAGCATTCCACACTTATAAATTCTGTTCGTCAATAAAAAGCAAAAATCATATTTTACATCAAATAAAACTCACCATAAAATTCAACCACAAACAGAAGCAGACTTCTATTATTGTGAGGTTACTAAAATGAGAATGGGACCTAGGAGGAGGGCAGCTTGGCCAGCTGCCAATCAATTCATACCAGAAGGTTGTCTTTTTCTTATTTATTTCTTCTAAAAAAAAAGAAAGATACATGTGCGGAACATGCAGGTTTGTTACACAGGTATTCATGTGCCATGGTGGTTTGCTGCACCTATTGACTTTTCCTTTAAGTTCCCTCCCCTCACCCCCTAACCCCCAACAGACCCTGGTGTGTGTTGTTCCCTTCTCTGTGTCCATGTATTCTCAATGTTCGACATCCACTTATGAGTGAGAACGTGGTGTTTGGTTTTCCATTCCTGTGTTAGTCTGTTGAGGATGATGGCTTCCAGCTTCATCTATGTCCCTGCAAAAGATATGGCCTCATTCCTTTTTATGGCTGCATAGTATTCCATGGTGTATATGTACCACATTTTCTTTATCCAGTCTATCATTGATGGGTATTTGGGTTGGTTCCATGTCTTTGCTATTGTAAATACATACCGTGTGCATGTGTCTTTATAGCAGAATGATTTATATTCCTTTGAGTATATACCCAGTAATGTGATTGCTGGGTCAAATGGTATTTCTGGTTCTAGATCCTTGAGGAATCACCATACTGTCTTCCACAATGGCTGAACTAATTTACATTCCCACCAACAGTGTAAAAGTGTTCCTGTTTCACCATAGACTCGTCAGCATCGTTTCCTGACTTTTTAATTACCGCCATTCTCACTGGCATGAGATGGTATCGCATTGTGATTTTGATTTGTATTTCTCTGATGATCAGTGATGCTGAGCTTCCATGTTTGTTGACCACGTAAATGTCTTCTTTTGAGAAGTGTCTGTTCATATCCTTTGCCCACTTTTTGATGGGGTTGTTTTTTTCCTTGTAAATATGTTTAAGTTACTCATAAATTCTGGATATTAGCCCTTTGTCAGATAGGTAGATTGCAAAAATTTTCTCCCATTCTGTAGGCTGCCTGTTCCCTCTGATGATAGTTTCTTTGCTGTGCAGAAGCTCTTTAGTTTAATTAGATCCCAGTTATCAATTTTGGCTTTTGTTGCAATTGCTTTTGGCATTTTTGCATGAAGTCTTTGCCCATGCCTGTGTCCCAAATGATATTGCCTAGGTTTTCTTCTAGGGATCTTATGGTTTTTGGTTTTAGATTTAAGTCTTTAATCCATCTTGAGTTGATTTTTGTACAAGTGTAAAGAAGGGGTCCAGTTTCAGTTTTCTGCATATGGCTAGCCAGCTTTCCCAGCACCGTTTACTGAATAGGAGATCATTTTCCCATTGCTTGTTTTTGTCACGTTTGTTGAAGATCAAATGGTTGTAGATGTGTGGTGTTATTTCTGAGATCTCTGTTCTGCTTCATTGTTCTACATGTCTGTTTTGGTACAAGTACCATGCTATTTTGGTTACTGTAGCCTTGTAGTATAGTTTGAAGTCAAGTAGTGTGATAACTCCAGCTTTGTTCTTTTTGCTTAGGATTGTCTTAGCTATATGGGGTATTCTTTGATTCCACATGAAATTGAAAATATTTTTTTTCCTAATTCTGTGAAGAATGTCAATGGTAGTTTAATGGGAATAGCATTGAATCTATAAATTACTTTGGGCATTATGGCCATTTTCATGATATTGATTCTTCCTATCCATGAGGATGGAATGTTTTCCCATTTGTTTGTGTCCTCCCTTAGTTCCTTGAGCAGTGATCTGTAGTTCTCACATCCCTCGTTAGCTGTACTCCTAGGTATTTTATTCTCTTTGTAGTGATTGTGAATGGGAGTTCATTCATGATTTAGCTCTCGGCTTGCCTATTGTTGGTGTAAAGGAATGCTTGTGATTTTTGCACAATGATTTTGTATCCTGAAACTTTGCTGAAGTTGCTTATCAGCTCAAGAAGTTTTTGGGCTGAGATGATGGGGTTTTCTAAATATAAAATCATGTCTGCAAACAGAAATATTGACCTCTTCTCTTCCTATTTGAATACCCTTTAATTCTTTTTCTTGCCTAATTGCCATGGCCAGAACTTCCAATACTATGTTGAATAGGGGTGGTGACAGAGGGCATCCTTGTCTTGTGCCCACTTTCAAAGGGAATGCCTCCAGCTTTTGCCCATTCAATATGATATTGGCTGTGGGTTTGTCATAAATAGCTCTTATTATTTTGAGATATGTTCCATTGATACCTAATTTATTGAGAGTTTTTAACACGAAGGGATGTTGAATTTTATCAAAGGCCTTTTCTGCATCTATTGAGATAATCATGTGGTTTTTGTCTTTGATTCTGTTTACGTGATGGATGACGTTTATTGATTTGCTTATGTTGAACCAGCCTTGCATCCCAGGGATGAAGCTGACTTGATTGTGGTGGATAAGTTTTTTGACGTGCTGCTGGATTTAGTTTGCCAGTATTTTAATTGAGAATTTTCACATCAATGTTCATCAGGGATATTTGCCTGATGTTTTCTTTTTTTGTTTTGTCTCTTCCCAGTTTTGGTATCAGGATGATGCTGGCTTCATATAATGAGTCAGGGAGGAGTCTCTCCTGTTCAATTGTTTGGAATAGTTTCAGAAGGAATAGTACTAGCTCCTCTTTGTGTTTCTGGTAGAATTCAGCTGTGAATCCATCTGGTCCTGGGCTTTTATTTGGTTGGTAGGCTATTAATTACCGCCTCAATTTTAGAGCTTTTTGTCTCTTCAGGGATTCAACTGCTTCCTGGTTTAGTCTTGGTAGGGTGTATTTGTCCAGAAATTTACCCATTTCTTCTAGATTTTCTAGTTTATTTGTGTAGAGGTGTTTACATTATTCTCTGATGGTGCTTTGTATTTCTGTGCAGTCAGTGACGATACCCCCTTTATCATTTTTTATTGCATCTATTTTATTCTTCTCCCTCTGCTTTATTAGTCTAGCTAGCAGTCTATCTATTTTGTTAATTTTTTCAAAAAACTAGCTCCTGGATTTGTTTATTTCTTGGAGGGTTTTTCATGTCTCTATCTCATTCAGTTATGCTCTGATCTTGGTTATTTCTTGTCTTCTGTAGCTTTTGGATTAGTTTGCTCTTGCCTCTCTAGCTCTTTTAATTGGGATGTTAGCGTGTCAATTTGAGATCTTTCCAGCTTTCTGATGTGGGTGTTTAGTGCTGTAAATTTCCCTCTTAACACTGCTTTAGCTGTGTCCCAGAGATTTTGGTACATTGCCTCTGTTCTCATTGGTTTGAAAGAACTTATTGATTTATGCCTTAATTTCATTATTTACCCAGGAGTCATTCAAGAGCAGGCTGTCCAATTTCCATGAAATTTTGTGGTTTTGAGTGAGATTCTTAATGCTGGGTTCTAATTTAATTGCACTGTGGTCTGAGAGACTGTTTGCTATGATTTCAGTTCTTTTGCGTTTGCTGTGGAGTGTTTTACTCCCAAGTATGTGGTCAATTTTAGAATAAGTGCCATGTGGCACTGAGAAGAATGTATATTCTGTTGATTTTGGGTAGATAATTCTGTAGCTGTATACTAGGTCCACTTGATCCAGAGATGAGTTCAAGTCCTGAATATCTTTGTTAATTTTGTTTCTCTTTGATCTGTCTAATGCTGACAGTGGGGTATTAAAGTCTCCCACTATTATTGTGTGGCAGTCTAAGTCTCTTTATAGTCTCTAAGAACTTGTTTTATGAATCTGGGTGTTCCTGTATTGGGTGTATATATATTTAGAATAGTTAGGTCTTCTTGTTAAATTGTTCCCTTTATTGTTATCTAATGCCCTTTTTTGTCTTTCTTGGTTTAAAGTCTGTTTTGTAGGAGACTAGCATTGCAACCCCTGTTTTTTTTTGTTGTTTTTTTTTTTTTGTTTGTTTGTTTTTGTTTTGTTTACCATTTGCTTCATAAATTTTCCTCCATTCATTTATTTTGAGCCTGTGTGTTTCTGCATGTAAGATGGGTCTCCTGAATACAGTGCACTGATGGGTCTTGACTCTATCCAATTTGCCAGTCTGTGTGTTCTAATTGGGGCATTTAGCCCATTTACATTTATGGTTAATATTGTTATGTGTGAATTGGATCCTGACATCATGATGCTATTTGGTTATTTTGCACACTAGCTGATGCAGTTTCTTCATAGTGTCATTGGTCTTTATATGTTGCTGTTTTTGCGGTGACTGGTACTGGTTTTTCCTTTTCATATTTAGTGCTTCTTTCAAAAGCTCAAGCAGAGCAGGCCTGGTGATAATAAAATCCCTCAGCATTTGCTTGTCTGGAAAGGATTTTATTTATCCTTCACTTATAAAACTTAGTTTGGCTGGATATGAAACGCCGGGTTGAAAATTCTTTTCTTTAAGAATGTTAAGTATTGGTCCCCAATCTCTTCTGGCTTGTAGATTTTCTGCTGAGAGGTCCTCTGTTAGTCTGATGGGCTTCCCTTTGGAGGTGACTTGGCCTTTCTCTCTGGCTGCCCTTAAAAGTTTTTCCTTCATTTCAACCTAGAAGAATCTGATGATTATGTGTCTTCGGGTTGATCTTCTCATGTTGTATCTTAATGGTGTTCTCTGTATTTCCTGAATTTTCATGTTGGTCTGTCTTGCTAGGTTGGGGAAGTTCTCCTGGGTAATATCCTGAAATGCGTTTTCCAGCTTGTTTCCGTTCTCCCTGTCTCCTTCTGGTACTCCACTCAATCGTAGGTTTTGTCTTTTTACAAAGTCCCAAAATTCTTGGAGGCTTTGTTCCTTCCTTTTCATTCTTTTTTCCTCTATTCTTAGACAAGAATGCATATCTTATTTCAGTAAGGTAGTCTTCAATCTCTGATATCCTTTCCTCCACTTGATCAATTCATCTGTTCACACTTGTGTATGCTTCATGAAGTTTTCATGCTGTGTTTTTCAGCTCCATCAGATCATTTATGTTCCTCTCTAAACCTGTTATTCTAATTAGCAATTCATCTAACCTTCTATCAAGGTTCTTAGTTTCTTTGAATTGGGTTAGAACATGCTCCTTTAGTTCAGTGTACTTTTTTATTACCCATCTTCTGAAGCCTACTTCTGTCATTTCATCCATCTGATCCTCTGTCTAGTTCTGTGTCCTTGATGGAGAGATGTTGTGATCATCTGGAGGAGAGGAGCCATTTTGTCCTTTTGGGTTTTCAGCATTTTTTTCATTGATTATTTCTCATCTTTGTGAGTTTGTCTAGTTTTGGTCTTTGAGGCTGCTGACCCTTGGACAGGGTTTTCGTGGAGGCCTTTTTTTGGTTGGTGGTGTTGATGCTGCTGTTGCCACTTTCTGCTTTTTTGTTCTTCTTTCAACAGTCAGGTCCCTCTTCCGTAGGGCTGCTGCAGTTTGCTCGGGGCTCACTTCAGGCCCTATTCATCTGATTCACTCCTGTGCCTGGAGAGGTCACTCAAGGAGGCTGGAAAAGAGCAAAGATGGGCTCCTGCTCCTTCTTCTGGGACCTCTGACCTCGAGGGCCACCAACCTGATGCCAGCAGGATTGTTCCTGTATAGGGTATCTGACAACCCCTGTTGGAAGTCCTCACCCAGCTGAGTGGCACAAGGAGCAGGACCCACTTAAAAAAGCACTTTGTCCCTTAGTGGAGAGGGTATGCTTTTCTTCGGGGGAAACCCATTTGTCTGGGCTGCCCAGATTCCTTAGAACTACCAGGAGGAGAGGCTAAGTCTGCTGGTCCACAGAGAATGCAGTCACCCTTCCCCCTAGGTGCTGAGGCCCAGGGAGATTCGAATTCTGTCCCTGAGCCTCTGGCTGGAGTTATTGGAGATCCTGCAGAGAAGCCTCACCCAATGAGGAAGGATGGATAAGGTTTATGCCTGAAGAGGCACTCTGGCCACAACTTGTGTGTTGGGCTGTGGGGACAAGCCTTGGGACCAAGCCATTCAGCCTCCCTGGCTCCAGCAGGGGAAAAGCACAGCCTGGAGCTATGGAAATGGGTGCCGCCCTTCCCCTGACCAGGGAGCTTAGCATTTTAGGTAGTTGTGAGTCCCAGCGCTGGCTGATGCCCCTCCCCTAAGGAGCTCAAATGGGTTAGACAGCAGGCAGCCACAGCTGGTGCGGGTCACCCCTCACTCCAGGAGTTCAGTAGGCTTAAGCAGATTCCAGCTGAGAGGCTGCAAGAATCTAACCATTCTAGGGTTGGGACACTAAGCCCTGGTGGCATGAGTTTGCAAGTGGGATCTTCCAATCCATGGGTTGCACAGTTCCGTGGAAAAAGCACAGTTTCCCCAGCTGGGTAGCATGCTCACTCACCACCTCCCTTGGCTGGGGAGAGGGGGTTCCCCTTCCCCGTGTGGCTCTGAGGTAAGCTGCTGCACCTCACTGTTCTTCCTTCTCTCCAAGAGTCACACCAGCCTTTTTGTCAATTTTGATGAGAAAACCTGGATACCTTGGTTGCTGGTGAAGAATTCACATACTTACTATGGTTTTTTTTTTCGATGGGAGCCTCCGAACGTTGCTGTTTCTAGTTGGCCATCTTGGCCCCGCCCCAGAAGTTTCTTCAACATGAGTCATGTATTATGGAGTTTTCCTAAATTTATAATATGGTGAAGTAGAAAGTGTGGTGAACAGGCCTGGGTATCACAAAGTTAGCTCTGGCAACACTGCAACCCACAGAAAATCATCTAATTTATCCTTTCCTAAGTTTCCTTTACTTCTGATGTAAAATAAGGGAACTTGAGTTAATGATCTCAAAGATGTTGATATGGTTAGGCTTTGTGTCCCCACCCAAATCTCATCTTGAATTGTAATCCCATAATCCCTAGGTGTTGAGGAAGAAACCAGGTAGAGGTGATTGGATCATGGGGACAGCTTCCTTCATGCTGTTTTTGTGATAGTGAATGAGTTTTCATGAGATCTAATGGTTTTATTTTATTTTTTGAGACAGAGACTCCCTCTGTCACCCAAGCTGGAGTATACAATCTCGGCTCCTTTCAACCCCCGCCTCTCAGGTTCAAGCAACTCTCCTGCCTCAGCCTCCCAAGTAGCTGGGATTACAGGCATCCACCACTACACCTGGCTAATTTTTATATTTCTAGTAGAGACAAGGTTAGACAGGGTTTCACCATATTGGCCAGGCTGGTCTTGAACTCCTGACTTCAAGTGATCTGCCCACCTCAACTTCCCAAAGTGCTGGTATTACAGGCATGAGCTACCGCACCCGGCCAAGATCTAATGGTTTTATAATGGGTTCTCCTGCCTTCACTCTACCACTCTTCTCTCTCCTGCTGCCTTGTGAAGAAGGATGTGTTTACTTCCCCATCTTCCATGATTGTAAGTTTCCTGAGGCTTCTCCAGCCATGCAGAATTGTGAGTCAATTAAACCTCTCTCCTTTATAAATTACCCAGTCTCAGGCAGTTCTTTATAACAGTGTGAAAATAAACTAATACAGATGTCTTCACTCTCTAACTTACCACAAATTTATATTTCTCAGACACACTTGGATAATATCTCAATCAGGTCAATACAGTAATCAACAGTGTTCACTGTAATATACAATAATCACTAAAGCACCTTCATATGGTGCCACAAAGCATACCATTTTGAGGAAATAGAATTAAAAATGGGACATTTTTATACCAGATGTAATATGACTTGGCAAAGAAACTGCACAATTTTTACAGTAGGACACAATGGTGAATAACTTACATTACCAAACACACCATTAAATGGGTAGAATAGCTGTCACTTCTGCTCAGAATTACATATAAAGAGAGAGGGTCACTCACAATCTTACACTCATCAAAACTCCTATTGTGAACTCTACCACTAGCACATGACTGATATAATTTATAGGCAAATAAATATATACTCAGCAACTCAACTATCTTAATCAGCTCATTAAAAACATACAGCTTTATTTGTTTATATTTTTAAACACATCAGTTCTTTACTTCTTGAATAATGTTATAAAAATTTCATACACTTTTTATGATTTTCCTCTTATATACAGCCATTAATAAGAGTTGAAGTTTTACTTTAAATGCCCAAACCAAGGGAACATTTGCTTATAAAAATCTGTAAGTTTTGACTATAATCATATAATCTATTTTTGACTATAAACTCATTTAGGGAAAATAAATAATAATTTGATCATTATAAATAACTAAGTAAGGACATAATTCTTCAAGAACCAATATAGGACAACTTATCTGTCTTTACCAGGTGAAACTAGTCAGTTCTCCCTCTGTGGCTGAGTTTCAGAGCAGGAAAAAATAAATTGGTGCATAATTTTCATAACTCTTATGATCAAAAGGAAGCCAAATAGCAAATGTGTTTGTATGTTTTATTTTTATTTGTTTCTTTTTCCTTTTTTCCTTTTTTTTTTTCTTTTTTTTTTTTTTTTGAGACAGGGTTTCACTCTTTCGCCCAGGCTGGAGTGCAGTGGCCCAAACATGGCTCACTGCAGCTTCAACCTCCTGGGCTCAAGTGATCCTCCCACTTCAGCCTCCTGAGTAGCTGGGACCACAGGTGCACGCCACCACACTGAGCAATGAAAAAAAAAACTGGTAGAAATGGGATCGCATCATGTTACCCAGGCTGGTCTTGAACTCTTGGGTTGAACTCCCACCTCGGCCTCCCAAAGTGCTGAGATTACAGGTGTGAGCCACTGTGCTGGGTGTATATATTTTTTGTTTGTTTTTGTTTGAACCTAAAGTCAAAAAGAAAATTTCTCTTGTATTTCTCTGCAGGAGAGACACTGCATATTGTAACATAAAATATTACAAATATCATTTTTAGAGCAAAGGTAGAAGCACATTTTATATAAATCTAGAAGTATCCTTTGATACAAATTAAGGCATAATGTAAAAATCGGATTCTTGGAGGAACTAGGTGATATGATACAAGTATACTCCAGTGAAGTAATAATAATAACATCAACTAAATTTACTGAGCTCTTACTCTGTGCCAGCTACTCTGTCTCCAGGCTACCTATGTGCAAATTCCAACTCAGTCACTTATTAACTGTGTAACCTTGGGCAATTCTGTAGCTCTCTTTGTAAAATGAGGAAGGTACTAATTGCATTAGTACCCACTTCCTAGAGTTACTGTGAGCTTTTAAAGTATGGGTCTGGTGTGCATGAGTGTGCACGTGTGTGGGCATGAGAGAGAGAGAGAGAGAGAGAGAAGATTATATTCTTATATAAATGAATCTTGCCTCTTCCTGTTTTCTATTCCATTCATTTATCTACCATAAGGGATTCCACTGTGATGAAAAAAAAAGTATCTTGTTTCCTCAGAAAGACATTTAGAAATATGTAAACATTTTGCTTTCATCTTTATATTTATGGTAATTCTAAGGATATTATAAACTTGCAGTGGTAATTCTGAAGTATAATATATATTCAGGGTCACAAAACAGGGCGGCAAGGATGATAACTCTATTAGCATTTAAAAAGCATAAAAATACTAATAAGCACAAATTTTCCTACTATAGTAACTGTAGCCTGAAGTTAAGAATAATAGCATAGTGATTGTAATTAATAATAATATATATTTGAAAATTGATGAGAGATTAAAACTCAAATGTTCTTATCAAAAAATGATAAGTATGTAACGTATTGGATGTGTTAATTAGCTTTAATTATTTCACAATGTATACACATATCAAAATGTCACATTGTACACCATAAATATATACACTTTTTATTTGTCAATTATACCCTGATAAAGCTTGAGGACCAGGAGAGGAAAAATAAGAATATACAAAAATGGAACCAGCACGATAGTTCACGTCTGTAATCCCAGTGCTTTGTGAGACCGAGGCAGAAGAATCATTTAGCCCAGGAGTTCCAGACCAGCCTGGGTGACACAGCAAGATCCCATACCTACTACACGTTAAAAAGTTAGCCAGGCATGGCATTAAAAAATTAGCCAGGCATGGTGGCACACTTCCTCCTGTAGTCCCAGCCTGTCGGGAGGCTGAAGCAGGAGGATCACTTGAGCCCAAGAGTTCAAGGCTGCAGTGAGCTATAATTGTGCTGCTGCACTCTAGCCTAAGCAATAGAGTAAGATCCTGTCTCAAAAAAAAAAAAAAAGGAAGAATATTATTGAAAAATGAGGTCTGCAAGAAATGGCATATCACAATGGCTAGAAGACACAGTGATTTAAGAAGGAACTCGGATGCTTAGTAAATATTATGAAGACAATTCTGAGCCTCCAGATGAAGATAGTGGATGAAATTCCACTATCTTCTAAAACACCCACTAAAATGAGAGCATAAAAGTTTTATAACAGTATGAACAGAGAATAACACAGAACAGGAGAAGGGGATAAGATTCTGGAAGCAGGAAATTGTGAGGATGTGTGGAATCTGATGTTGTCACCTGAGCTTTGCAGGCAGTACAACACCAGGAAGCAATATGATTTGCTTGCCCAACTCCCAAAGGGTCAAAAATTCCCCATGCCACCTGGAAGTGGTAGGGAAAGGGACTAAAAATAAACAGTTTGCTTGAAAGTCCCATGAATAATCAGCAAGGCCCATTCCATATGCTCCTACTCATGACAGCTGGGTGACCCACCACCTCCACCACTCTCAACTGCCAAAGACTTGTGAGCTATTTTTTTGGAGAGGGTGAAACTGATGGTTTCAGGACTAGAGGAAACCACATGCATTTGAGGGAAGGGTACCATGCTAAACATAAGGGGGACTCAGAGGAAGTTATTTCCTGAACACTGAGACTGCCCAGGCTGCTCCAACCTCCCATTCACATGAGTCTCAGTTTACAGCAGTGGCAACCTGACAGGTAACTTACAGGCTTAAGACTGAAAGATGCTTTGCTCAGAAATGTATCAATCAACCTGTGTTCATTTTCTAGAGCTGCTGAAACAAATTATCCACACACCTGTGGATTAAAACTGTGTAAATTTATTCTCTCACATTTCTGAAGACTTAAATTCTAACATTAAGGTGCTGTCTGGACCATGTTCCCTCTGAAGCTGCTAGGGGAGAATCCTTCCTTTCCTCTTCCAGCTTCAGGTAACCCCAGTCCATCCTTTGGCTTGTGGCATCATCACTCCAATTTTTGCTTCTGTCTTCACAGGGATCTCTTCCTCTGTGTTTGAGAGTGTGTCTCTTCTAAGAACACCAGTTACTTGAGGTTAAGGGCCCACACCACTCTGGTCTGACCCCATTTTAATTGACCTAAATTCATCTGATATGGTTTGTCTCTGTGTCTCCACTTGAATCTCATCTCGAATTATAATCCCCACATGTTGAGGGAGGGAAGTGATTGGATCGTGGGGGTGGTTTCCCCCATGCTGTTCTCATGATAGTGAGCAAGTTTTCACAAAATCTGATAGTTTTATAAGCGTCTGGCATTTCCCCTGCTTGTACTTCTCTCTCCTAAAGCCCTGTGAAGAAGGTCCTTGTTTCCCTTTCACCTTCTGCCATAATTTAAGTTTCCTGAGGCCTCCTTAGCTATCTGGAACTGTGAGTCAATTAACTCCTTCCCTTTATAAATTACCCGGTCTCAGGTAGTATCTTTAGAGCAGTATGAGATCAGACTAATATAACATCTGCAATGACCATATTTCCATTTTGAGGTACTGGGGATTAGGTTTTCAACGTGTATATTTGAGAGTCACTATTCACCCATAACAAAGACATTCTCAGATAAAGGAAAACTAAGAAAATTTGTCACCAGCAGACCTAGACCAAAAGAATGCCAGAGGAAGTTATTTATCTGTTATTTATCGAATAGAAAGGAAATACTAAACAAAGGACTCTTTGGACATCACGAAGAATAAAAAGAAAAAAATTATAAATAAAATAGACTTTTTCCTCCTCTTGAATTTTTAATTTTTGTTTTGTATCTAAGCAAAGATTATAACAATGTCTGATATTATTCTTAGTATATATACATGAGATATTAAAAATAATTATATGGGGTATATAAATGGTGGGGAGTAAATGGGCTTAAAGAGAGGTAAAGTTTCTATATTTCACTTCAACTGGTAAAGTGTTGACACCAGTAAACTTTATTAACTAATGCATATATAGTTTAATAGCTAGAGCAACCACTAGAAAACCAACAGGAAAGGAGATACAAGAGATACTATTGATAAATCAAAATGAAATTCAAAAATGTTCAAGTAACCCAAAGAAAGGCAGAGAAAAAATAAAGAAATGAAAAGGAGAGAGAGAAAAATAAAAAAGCAAAATTATAATAAAAGACTTAAGCACTAACAAGCATAACAACAATTACATTAAATACAAATACTCTAAATACACCAAGTAAAAGAGACTGATGGAGTGGAGTGAAAAAACACGACCTAACTACAAGCTGTCTACAAGGAACTCACTTCAAATATAATGATATATATACGTGGAAAGTAAAAAGATAGAAATATACATGCCATACAAACAATGATCAAAAGAAAATAGGAGTGGCTATTTTAACATAAGATACAAAACAAATTCTTACCATATGACCCAGCAATCATACATCTAGGCACTTATGCCAAATAAATGAAAATTCATCTTTACATCAAAACCTGTACACAGCTGGATGTGGTGATTCATGCCTGTAATTCCAGCACTTTGGGAGGCTGAGACAGGAGGATCACTTGAGCCCAGGAGTTTGAAACCAGCCTGAGCTACATGGTGAGACTCCGTTTCTACAAAATTTTTTTTAAAAAATTAGCCAGGCATGATGGCATGCACCTTTGGTTCCAGCTACTCAGAAGGCTAAGGCAAAAGGATCATTTGAGCCCAGGAGGTTGAGGCCGCAGTGAGCTGTGTTAGTGCCACTGCACTCCAGCCTGAGAGACAGAAGGAGATCCTGTCTCACACAAACAAACTTGTACACAATTGCTTATAGTAACTTTATTTGTAATAGCCAAAAGACTTGGAAACGGCCAAAATGTCCTATAGGTGAACAGTTAAACAAATTGCAGTAGATCCCTGCCATGAAATAAAATTCAGGAATAAAAAAGAACAAAATACTGCTATAAACAGCAACCTAGATGGATCTCAAAGTCATTATGCCTACTGAAAAAAAGCCAATCTCAAACATTATATGATCCATGTAGGTAAAATTCTTGAAATGACAAAATTGTAGATAGGGACAACAAATTAGTAGCTGCCAAGGATGAGGGATGCTGAAAAGGAGGTGGAGGTAATGATAAATGGGTAGAATAAAAGGATTTTTGTTGAAAGGGAACAGTTAGGTATTTTGATCATGGTGGTAAAAGAAATCTGCACATGTGATAAAATGACATAGAACTACATACATACATTACAGAATTTCAGTTTCCTGGTTTTGATTTTTGTGCTTTAGTTACATAAGAGGTAACAACTGGAGGAAACTAAGTGAAGGCTAAACAAGTTTTCTCAGTGCTATCTTTGAAACTTTCTATTCATTTATAATGTATTCAAATTAAATGGTTAAACAAAGCCAAAACTAAAACTAACTTTAAAAAGAGGCAGACAAGGATCCCAGAAATGAGAAACAAAGCACCAGAGAGGAATAAAGATAAACTCAAAAAAAAAGTTTTCAACAGGCCTAAATATAAATAATGTGGATTGGGGCAGGCAGGAAACTACAGAAGAAATGTTTCCAAGATGAAACTGAATAATTATCCCAAGTGCTTGATCACATTGAAAAATTATTATAAAACTGAGAGCAAGTTACAGATAAATTAGTAATAAGTACATTTAATCAAAAGCAAACCCAAAGCAGATGTCATTTCCAGAAAAAAATAAAGGTAGGACATCAAAAAAGGACATTTAAGCATAACAACATGAATCTTCTGAAGTCAGTGTTTATAGTCATAACAATATAAACATTAAAGACTTATTTACCTAAAACAATCACATAATAGAAAGATGAGAATATTATAAATGTACATATCGGAGGAGTGGGTAAACAGAGCTTAATCCCTATCTTCCATTATTATTTCTATTAATTTACAACCTCAACAGATCACATCAGTTTTGCACATATCAACGGATAAGGTACAAAACTGAAATATCAAAAGTAGCAGCATAATTACATTATTTGACCAAAAATATTTTTCATAAGCTTTGTAGAAATATATATTTAATCAGATACATATATGTATTACTCTGTTTTCACACTGCTATAAAGATACTACCTGAGGCTGGGTAATTTATCAAGGAAAGACGTTTAATTGACTCACAGTTCTGCATGGCTGGGGAGGCCTCAGGAAACTTACAATCATGGCAGAAGGCAAAGGAGAAGCAGGCACCTTCTTCACAAGGCGGTGGGGGGTGGGGTCGAAGTGCCAGATACTTATCAAACAGCTAGATCTCGTGAGAACCCACTCACTATCACGAGAATGGCATGGGGGAACCACCCCCATTATTACAATTTGAGATGAGAGTTGGATGGGGACAGAGCCAAACCATATCAATATACATATATAAAACAAAAACTTACTCGACTCCAACAAATCCTGTGCTCTGTCACTATATACAGAACAGCAACTTAAAAACCTCTCAAATGACAAAACAAAAACTTTCTTGCCCAAAGAAAATATTCTTAACACTAGAAAAAAAAACATTTTTTGATTAAAAAATCACATTTTAAAGAAAAACAAGGAGTTATAAAATATTTTTATGGAAGTCTTTGAACTCATATTCTAATATGTCAACCTGCCAAAGACAGAAACATTTGCACAAGAATGTTTTCTGGAAACTAGATAAAAATAATGCCATATTTTTATCTGAAAAAATAAATATAAGTCGATGTCAAAAACCCCAAAGGTGTTATCATGAAGCCAAACATTTTATCCTCAAAGATATATCTTTATTTGGAACATTCTGACGAAAATCCAACTAGGTCAAATAAAAATGCAGAATTTACCATCAAAGAGTACACCTCCTGGCTCCTTCACACAGCATTTTTATTTATCTTATCATGATCATGTCCTAAATTTAGTTTCTTTCTACTCTTTACCAGAGTAAATTTGATCACACTATATTTGATTCAATGTTGAGTTGACATTACTTAAATATTTTCAAAACCTTCATGACCAAGTGTCATTTCTTGCATGCAAACAGTCTTTTAAGCTAAAATAGCTGATGTACAGCAGAAATTAAATTGTCCTTAAACTATGAAGTTATATTACTGGCTGTCCCCACTCTCACCCATCCCTTGCAGTCAATAGCTGGTTTAAACTACACGTACAGCAGTAAAGATTGGTTACTTTGGTCCATTAAGAATAGCGGTTTTTCACACACACTATTTATCAGAATCACTCAGACCTCATCCCCCGAAATTATTTTTGTAGTAGCTTTATGGACATATAACTCACATACCACAGAATTCACCCATTTAAAGTATCCAATTCAATCCATGTTAGTATATTTAAAGGTTTGTGCAGCTATCACAATTAATTTTAGAACATTTATATCACTTCGAAAAAAAAAAAACTTGGCTGGCCACAGTGGTTCACACCTGTAATCCCAGCACTTTGTGAGGCCAAGGGAGGCTGATCACTTGAGGTCAGGAGTTTGAGACCAGCCTGGTCAACATGGTGAAACCCTGCCTCTACTAAAAATACAAAAAATTAGCCAGGTGTGGTGGCGCATGTCTGTAATCCCAGTTACTTGGAAGGCTGAGGCAGGAGAATCACTTGAACCCAGGAGGCAGAGGTTGCAGTGAGCCGAGATTGCACCCCTGCACTCCAGCCTGGGTCAAAGAGTGAGATTCCATCTCAATAAATAAATAAATAAATAAATAAAATAAAAAAATAACCATGAGCTATTATCCCCAATCCTCCCTTTACCCAGCCCTAAGTATTCGCTAACCTATTCAGTTTCTATGAATTTGCCTCTCTATATTGAATCATACAAAATGTCACCTTTTGTGTCTAGTTTCTTTCACTTAGCACACATTTCATAACAGCACTTCATTCTATTTGTTGCAAACAATATTTCATTGTACGGATATGTCACATTTTATTTATCCATTCGTCAGTTGATGGACATTTGAATTGTTCCCACTTTTTGACTATTACAAATAATGCCACCATGACCATTCATGTACAGGTTTTGGTGTGGGCATATATTTTCACCTCTCTTTTTATTTGAGGGGCAGTCTCACTCTGTCGCCAGGCTGGAATGAGTGCAGTGGCACTATCTTGGCTCACTGCAACCTCCGCCTCTCGATTTCAAGCGATTCCCCTGCCTCAGCCACCCGTGTAGCTGGGACTACAGGCGTGCGCCACCACACCCAGCTAATTTTTGTATTTTCAGTAGAGATGGGGTTTCACCATATTGGCCAGGATGGTCTCGATCTGTTGACCTTGTGATCTGCCTGCCTTGGCCTCCCAAAGTGCTGGGATTACAGGCCTGAGCCACCATGCCCGGCCTCGCTTCTCTTAAATATATACCTAGAATTGAAATCTCTGGGTCATATGGTAACTACATGTTTAACCTTTTGAGATACTTGTCCAAGTGCTCTCCAAAGTGGCTGCATTTTACATTCCCACCAGCAGTGTAGGAAGATTCTTATCTCTCTCCATTTTTGCCAACACCTGTTATAATCTGATCAGTCATTTTATTATTGCCATACTGGCAAGTACTCCCAGAGAGTTTGGTTCAATTGGTGTAGCTGTTGTACCCAGGCTGTATGTTTATTTATTTATATGTTATTTGTCTACATTGAGTGATTTTAAACCAGCATAGAGAGTCACTCTTTTTTTTTTTTTGAGATGGAGTCTTGCTCTGTCTTCCAGGCTGGAGTGCAGTGGCCTGATCTCCTCTCATTGCAAGCTCCGCCTCCCGGGTTCATGCCATTCTCCTGCCTCAGCCTCCCGAGTAGCTGGGACTACAGGCACCCGCCACCATGCCCGGCTAATTTTTGTATTTTTAGTAGAGACGGGGTTTCATCGTGTTAGCCAGGATGGTCTCCATCTCCTGACCTCATGATCCGCCCGCCTCGGCCTCCCAAAGTGTGGGATTACATGCCTGAGCCACCGTGCCCCGCCGAGAGTAACTCTTTTAGCCTCTATCAGAAAGTACCTCATATGATCGAGAATAAAGGTTATGTCTCTAGCCTAAGAACTTGGAAACCATTTCTGCCAGGTGAAGGTAAACCAAATAAGCCAGTGATAAAACGAGATAAATATGTGTATAGACAGTTTGAGCATCCCTAATCTGAAAATCTAAAATCCAAAATGCTCCAAGATTTAAACCTTTTTGAACACCCGACATAACACCATGAGTGGAAAATTCCACACATAAGTACCTAATACAAACTTTGTTTCATGCACAAAATTATTTGAAAATGTTTAAATTTACCTTCAGGCTATGTGTACATGGTGCATATAAAACACGAATAAATTTCGTGTTTAGGCTTCGATTCCATTCCCAAGATTCTCATGATGCATATGCAATTATTCTCAAGTTTAAAAATCTGAAATCTGAAACACTTTTGGTCCCAAGCATTTCAGTTAGTTCTTCTTACTGGACTATAATCTACTGCATTCATTCCAGTTTGTCAAACTCCAGCTGAAACACCTCCTCCTCAATGAAGCCTGGTCTCTCCAACTAGGGTTAGATGCTCTCTCATTTATGCCCACACAGCAAAACTCAGTACACTCCAGATATTATACTAAATGCTCTTTGTCATTTATTTCTCACAACAACCCCATGAAGAAGTTATTATTATCCTAATTTTACATATAAGAAGCTGAAGTTCTAAACAATTAATTTACACATAGTCCTTGCACATGGCAGAGCCAAGATTTGTTCCTAGGGCTATTTGACTCCAAAGTCACTGATCTTCTCACTGATTTGCTTGCCTTCCCATTATAACGTTTCACACACAGCTGAAACCATATTGGGCAGATCTTGTATTTTAAAAACTAAATTTTTTTAAAAATCTGCATTTTTGCCTCCATCATTAATTGTTCCTTTTTTCTCTATGTGCTTATTCATTCAACATTAGACATTGATTCTCTGCTACACACTGGCATATAATTGTATATCGGTTCTTCCAGAGCTGACATTCTAGTGGGGGAAGCATATACCAATCAAATGTGCCATGGGAAAATTCCTTCAGATTATTTGTCTCTTGCTCCAGGTAGGAGCAAATGAATAAAAAGAAAAAAAAAAAGAGAGATGGCTTTGAAGGCAGGCCGCTTGATACATTTCCCAAAAGAAAATTAAACTCAAGTCCCAGAAGCCAACAGCAGGCCTTGTCAATTAAATTTCAACCAGAAGACATTCACTCTTTTGCAAGTAAACCACACTGGACATTTCAAAATTTGGGAGGTAAAGAAGAAGAAGTAGCCATATTATTTTCCACAGAGCAATTTCATATAAACTCAAGAGCAATGCTATTAGAGATTATTAAGCAATGGACAATATAAACAAGGAGTTGAGATTTTTATGGGAAATGAAAAATGAAAAAAAAAATTCTGGGATTAAAGACTTCCTTACTTGAAGGATATATTAACACATAGCTAAATGACAAAGTAAATGGTGCACAAGTTTCAGCATATTCATCAAAGATTCATAAACAAATGTTCTAATCAATTACTTTAACTTCTATGCTATGAATTATGAGGAATGCAAAGAAATCTCACCCCCAGCCTCTAACCTCATCTACAGCCTGGCTTGCAAGATGGAACAAGATGCATGCATTCTACAAACATTTACTCTGCCTCAGGCAGGTCACCAGGCATCTCAGATCCAAAGGGTAGCGGGCTAAGGCAGCTTCCACCCTCAAGAAATTTACAGTTGATGTGGAGAAAAATCCCTACAAATACTGATGTTTTAGTTCTTTAATGCAGAATAACTATAAAAATAGTTACCATTCCTTGAGCCCGACCTACATGAGCCCCTGACATATTCACAACAACCCATTAAGTAGATATGCTTATGTCATTGTCATTGTAAAAATAGTCTAGCTGGCCGGTTGTGGTGGCTCATAACTGTAATCCCACCACTTTGGGAGGCTGAGGTGGGCGGATCACGAGGTCAGGAGATCAAGACCATCCTGGACAACAAGGTGAAACCTCGTCTCTACTAAAAATACAACAATTAGCCAGGCGTGGCGGCGCGCGTCTGTAGTCTCAACTACTTGGGAGGCTGAGGCAGAAGGATTGCTTGAACCCGGGAGGCAGAGGCTGCAATGAGCTGAGATTGTGCCACTGCACTCCAGCCTGGGCAACAGAGCGAGATTCTGTCAAAAAAAAAAAAAAAAAAAAAGTCTAGCTGAGGTTCAAGGGAGGATATGTGTTTTGCCTCAAGCCACACAGCTGGTGCAGGTATTACAACTCACACTCAACAAATTCCAAAGTTCAAGGTTTCTTCTACCCGCCCTGGGTTTCATGCCACCTCCCACAGAGGATTTTAAGAAATCTTAGTTGTATAAATTTTCATTTACTTTGGGAATGATTGTGTCTTTCAAAGTTTAATTTAAAATGTAAGTAAATTTCAGGTGCAGCATTTCATCTCAGCTGACAATTTATCTCTAATAGAAGAGAGCTACTTCAAATTAGACAATGGAAACCTCTTTTGCTTTAGTCTGCAAAACCACCACTAGATGGCGGTACCTACACAGTTATTCTAAGGCCAGTAGGGAACATGGTCTCTTTTTCAGTAAGCAGTTGGCTTCACAAAAAGTAAGTACTTCTTTTAAAAATCTAAATTTCTGTATTATTATTAGATACAGCAACTGGGTCACAGAGGGGTGGAGGTTTAAGACTACGTAACATCTTTGCTACATCTGTGTGAAGAACAGGATGTGTCTTTCCTAGTTAGCTCATCGTCAAGACATTCAAAGTTTCTTATATCGTTTCCTAAAACAGCATAAACAAAAGATTTAATTTCTGTGTAGATTATTGTTTTTGTGCCAATAAAAGACAAGATATTTGTGCTTGCTCTTACAAAGAAGAAATCAAGGGAGGCAGAACCTTATGTTATTCCTTCTAGTTAAATAAACATGATGTCTAAGGCAACCCACCCAAGTTGGGCCTTCCAAACTATTACTTAAGAAAATGAACATCAGATTCAGTTTGCGTTTGTTTTAAAGGAAATTGATTTGAATAGGAACCCAGAACTGAAGTCCGGTTTCTTCCCATTTTCCATCTTCATATACATTTGACAGTAGGAAAAGCATGGAAATATTATTTTGGTTATGAAACTGCCATGAAAAGCTGCCTCAGCATGTCATTTAACGGAAAGAGCTCCAGGCAAAGCCATTATGTGGATGGGCAAATGAGAGGAGGCTGGGAAGAAACCACATACTGCTTGCGTGAGTATTAAGTTTAAGCCATGGAAAGAGAGAATGAGAGGCTAGAAGAAATAAAAATGATACAAACTAAGCACTGTGCTCTCATTTTCATAGGAAATAGCATCAGCCATTCAACAATCATTCCCTGATAAGTGTGTTCAATCCTTAAAACAATTTCGAAATTACTTACGATTAAAAACATATTTCATCAATGCTGGAAATCTAAGCAACCACTTTAATACGATACTCTACACACACTCATTGTATCTTGTGTTTAGAGTATGTTACAGAGTACACTCAAATTTCACATACACCAGAATAGGAGAGGAATTTCGGAGGCTTTAGAGGTGGGATTTACCTTTCCAAAACCTCACATTATGACAACTTATGTTCCACTTCTCAACTTTAAATTTTTTAAAAAATTAATTCCCAGGACAAGTTTTGTATTATATTTCTATTTGAATATGAAATAGAAAACACATTAAGAAAAAAAAAGAGAACTTTCAACCAGAAGAGGGCGCTATCCTCAAACTTAAAATTTCCACACTGTACTCATAAAGTACCTTTGCAATTCTGAAAGATGCTTCAGCATAATCCAGCTTAATCATTGCCTTATAATCTTAGAAAGAACCCTAACCATATCCTTGAAGGGTGGAATGACCGATTTGCACAATATTCTCATTTTCAATACTCAAAGTAGCCATTATAATTCCAAGTTAATGACAACAGAAGCTGAAAAGGTATCATTCTGTAGCATCACAATCTTCATAATTTGTAACTTTTAAAAATGCTTAACTCTTGCATTCATTCAACTGAAATGTGTGGCTCCTTTATTTGCCTGCGCACTCCACAAAAAAAAAAAAAAAAAAAAAAAAAAGTTATATCTTGGAATACATCATTTTACAAAGACTGCTATTTTTCTTGGTATCTTAGTTTAAGGGGCAATAACAGACTACTCTAGGCTGGGCAGTTTATTATCAACAGAAATGTATTCCTCACAGATCTGGAAGCTGGAAGTCTGAGGACAAATTGCCAGCATGTTTGGGTTCTGGTGAAGGCTCTCTTTGGGGCTGCAGCTGCTGACTTCTCATTGTATACTCACAAGGCTGGAGAATGGGGCAAGCGAGCTCTGAGTTATTTTGTGTGTGTGAGGGCATTAATCTCATTCATGAGGGCTTCATCCTTATATCTGAGTCACCTCCCAAAGGCTCCACCTCCTGATACCATCAGGAGGTATTAGAGGTTAGGATTTCAACACAGGAATTGCGGGGCAGAAGGTAGAGGGGACATTCATTCTATAGCATTTGAGTAACTGGAAAATAAAGCAGACAAGTGAGAATTTGAAGAAGAAAAGGAGGAAGAATGGGAAGGGTGCTGCTTTTAGAAATTCCTGTTCACTGCAGAAAACAAGACAAAAACAAGAATTTATGTGGGCAGAGAAGATAAACACAACCGCGGGACTCACTCTGGTGAGTAAGATGTCTGTGTCCACACTCATCCTAACTGGAGGAAAGTTGACTGCTTTTTCCTACTTTTATGGCTTTGAGTAGGTTCCTTAACATACTTAGTATTTCCATTCCTCAGCTGTAGAAAGCAAACAATAATAAGAACTACCTCTCATGCCTGTAATCCCAGCACTTTGGGAGGCCGAGGTGGGCGGATCACCTGAGGTCAGGAGTTTGAGACCAGCCTGGCCAACATGGTGAAACCCCTTCTCTACTAAAAATACAAAAATTAGCCAGGTGTGGTAGTGCATGTCTGTAATCCCAGCTACTCGGGAGGCTGAGGCAGGAGAATCACTTGAACTCGGGAGGCGGAGGTTGCAGTGAGCCGAGATTGCACCGCTGTACTCCAGCCTGGTGACAGAATGAGACTCCGTCTCAAAAAAAAAAAAAAAAAAAAAAAAAAAAACCTACCTCATAGGCACTCTTCATCCCTACACTCTCTCTGTTTTTTTGAGACACTGCTTTCTGATTTTCGTGGTGGGAAGGGTTGGCTTGCTTAGTTGCTTATTTATCTCTCTTGTTTCTCTCTCTCAATAGACCCTAAGTTTCACAAGCACATAAACCGTATCTGTCTTATCCCCCTCCATTCCCAGTGTCTAGAATGTGGCAGGCCCACAACAAATTCTAGCTGAAGGAATCAGCAAGGAGATGTTATGGAGCTCTACCAAAATACTAACCCAGAACTTGAGACATGGTCAGTCATGAGAATTTCCACTACACTCTGCTTCTGTGATGTTAATTTTTATATTAACATATAAAATAATGGCATATATAGATTTTGAAGTGTGTGCTAATGGCATAAAATTGCCCTCATAAATAAATGAAGTCAAAACTTACTGATTTAAAGAAAACTATTAAGTAAATAATGGAACAGATGCTGTGTGTAAATGTCAATACGTGTGAAAGTGGTCATGGATAACAGAAGTTTGCAAAACTCACTAGATGGAGAATAAGCATAACAGAAGCCTGGCACCAAGAGTGAGGGTGGAGGTCGGAGGAAGTTTAAGGACTTGGTTTCACAGCTGGGCATTTTGGAGATGGCTGAGGCCAGCAGACAGAAAAGCCCAGACTTCCCACATTGAGACTGCACAGGGCTGCAGACATAGATTTGTATTCCCAGGTTTAACCACCTCTCTAACTTTATGGAGGAGAATCTCTGATTGTGAAGGGTTATGACTTACCAAACTACCCACTGGATGTCTTCCTGTAATGTTGAGAAGCATCCATAGTTTCCTATTTCTTTGTAAATACCAAACCTAGAAAACTACACATGACAGTCAAGGGCACTATTCTAAATATTCTAAATGCTCAGAGTATGTGAGAGAAATTTGGAAAGAATCCTCTGGCTCAGAGTCAACAGATGAGAGAAGGAAAGCTACTGCCTTAGGTGTTTGGGGGCAGAAATTTTCCATTCCTGAGAAGCAAACTGAGGTAAGGATAGTCAACATTCATGGGCAGTCCCAGTTTTTGTTGTACCTTTAAAAAAACCAAAGCCTAAAATGAGTTTCTGAGAAAAGAAATCTATCCATATATCAATGGAAATTTGTATACCCAGCAAATATAAGATAGTATCAGTTCTTCAGGAGGAATTATCATGAAACCTGTGCACATTGACACGTTCTGGACAAGTAGTTATTCTTTTTTGAGATGGAGTCTCGCTCTGTCACCCAGGCTGAAATGCAATAGCACCATCTCGGCTCACTGCAACCTTTCAACCTCCACCTCCCAGCCTCAAGCAATTCTTCTGCCTCAGCCACCCCAGTAGCTGGGATTACAGGTGTGTGCCACCATGCCCGGCTAATTTTTGTAATTTTTGTACAGATAAGATTTCACCATGTTGGCCAGGCTGGTCTTGAACTCCTGACCTCAAGTGATCCACCCACCTCGACCTCCCAGATTTCTGGAATTACAGGTGTGAGTTACCATGACCGGCCTGACAAGTAGTTTTTTCAATAAGAGAAAAACAAAATAAAATTCAAACACATATCTTATAATTTAAGAGACAGAGTTCAGAAAAGAAATAAATACCACCTGAATCCTCCTTTTATGTGAAAATATTTAATTCCATTTAATCATACAAAATCTGCCCATATAAATTGTCTTCCAGGTCTGGGCCCAATTGCCACTTAAGGAAAAAATACATGAAAATATACCACAGGGGTATATACCCAAAGGATTATAAATCATACTGCCATAAAGACACATGCACACGTATGTTTATTGTGTCACTATTCACAATAGCAAAGACTTGGAACCAACCCAAATGTCCATCAATGATAGACTGGATTAAGAAAATGTGGCACATATACACCATGGAATACTATGCAGCCATAAAAAAGGATGAATTCATGTCCTTTGTAGGGACATGGATGAAGCTGGAAACCATCATTCTCACAAGGACAGAAAACCAAACCCCGCATGTTCTCACTCATAGGTGGGAATTGAACAATGAGAACACCTGGACACAGGGTGGGGAACATCACACAATGGGGCCTGTCACGGGGTAGGGGGAGGGGAGAGGGATAGCATTAGGAGATATACCTAATGTAAATGACTAGTTAACGGGTGCAGCACACCAACATGGCATATGCATACTTAGGTAACAAACCTGCACGTTGTGCACATGTACCCCAAAACTTAAAGTATAATTTAAAAAAAAAGAAAAGAAAATATACCACAGGGGAAGATAACATTGATTGGATCATCTCAGATTTCACTTAATTCTATCCTGTCAGGGGCCACTTACTCATAAACTGCTTAATTGAATGGGTACATTTTCAATCAATTGTTTTGTCTCATGAAAATATATACCTGGTAGACAGCGTGAGCACTGACAGCTTCCTGAAGCCATCTGAGTATGTAGAGCAATAACTGCAACACGAGGGATGCTGTAAATATAGGGTTGCCCTCTGGGAAGGCTTTCACCTACAATTCTTGGGGAGGCTCAGAGAATCTGAGACCCTGGCTTAAAAACTCACTGAGACAGCCGGGCGCAGTGACTCATGCCTGTAATCCCAGCACTTTGGGAGGCCGAGGCAGGCAGGTTGCCTGAGGTCAGCAGTTTGTGACCAGTCTAAAACTCCAGCTCTACTAAAAATACAAAAAATTAGCCAGGAGTGGTGGCATGCACCTGTAATCCCAGCTACTTGGGAGGCTGAAGCAGGGGAATTTATTGAACCAGGGAGGCGGAGGTTGCAGTGAGCTGAGATCATGCCACTGCACTCCAGCAGGGGCAACAGAGGGAGACTGTCTCAAGAAACAAAAACCAAAAAACGAACAAACAAACAAATAAACAAACGAACAAAAACTCACTGAGACCTGAAGTTCCCTTCGTCTCTCCAGCCAAACCCATGATTACCCTCAAGTACTCAGCAAATAGGCCTTTTGTCCTTACTACAGACTGAATTTTCAGTTCCCCCCAAATTCAAAGCCCTAACTCACCTCAAACTGAGATTGTACCTCAAAATGAGATTGTATTCGGAGACAGGGCCTTTAAGGAGGTGATGAAGTTAAAATGAGGCCACCGGGGTGAGCACTGATCCAGTCTGACTGGTGTCCTTCTAAGAAGCGGAAATTAGGACATGTAAGTAGACATCCGGGAAGCGTGCACACAGAAGAAAGGCAGTGTGAGGATGTGGTGAGGAGCGTAGTCAAAAAGCAAGGCCTCAGAAGAAAGCAAACCCAGAGACGCCTTGATCTTGGACTTCCAGCCTGCAGAACTGTGAGAAAAACGTCTGTTGCGTAAGCCACCCAGTCTGTGGTATTTTGTTATGGCAGCCCCAGCAATCCAGTACAGTTCTCAAAGGGAAAGCTGCCTGATAAATCACCCTGTGCAATGTCTATGAGGCAAAGTGATACTAATATAGAATCTGACTTTTCAGACACGGAAAAATTTTAAAACAAATAGGTCACCAAGGATTTGTCTAAGTAAGTGAAAATTCTAGATGAACTTGAAATACTCTTCTCATTGGAATTGTCTGTCTATTTTGGATGCCATTTATATGGGACATCTCACACAATACTTTTTTTTTTCTGTTGCTTTCTGAGTTGATTTTCTTAAGTATAGTTTAGTAAAAAGAGATGCAAGGGTATATTGCATAATCTCTGGTAAATCTGCAACTGAAACACACTTTCTTCTTTGAAAAAAATAAATAAATAAATTTCCCGGGTGTGGTGGCTCACGCCTGTAATCCCAGCACTTTGGGAGGCTGAGGCAGGTGGATCACCTGAGGCCAGGAGTTTGAGACCAGACTGGCCAACACATGGTGAGACCCTGTCTCTACTAAAAATGCAAAAATTAGCTGGGTTGGTGGTGCGTGCCTGTAATCCCAGCTACTAGGAAGGCAGAAGCAAAAGAATCACTTGAACCCAGGAGGCGGAGGTAGCAGTGAGCTGAGATTGTGCCACTGCACTTCAGTCTGGACTACAGAGACAGACTCTGTCTCAATCAATCAATAAATAAAAATTAAACCCTAATAAACATGGAGATCTCTGTGGTTTAGCTCTTATATAACATCACATTACACTATTTAAAGCAAGTTTTGTTCTTTACTCTGGTTTCTCATGGGATGTTATAGAACTTGGTTCATATGGCCTGTAATGTACTTCTTACACAATTTTTTCTCTTTCTCAATTATCTATAGCACAGGTTCTCTCCAACCTTTCATTCTCCAAAACTCCCTCCCTACATCAGCTTTCTCCCCTCCCTGTAAGTCCAAGCCTTCCCCATTTCTTCCAACTCTTCATGGTGTTGACTGGAGTGACCTCTTCCAATGAGGTCTTTCCTACGCCAGACTGTCAAGCTTGGTCCTTCTCTGTCTGATCTCTGGCATCTCAAAATCCAGGACTCTCTCTGGTCATATAGACACACATCTTCATTTAACTTGCGTGAGAGAAAGATGTCTGAAATGAACCAGTTAAATTGTGTACTTGAGAAACGTACCCTTAAAGATAATGAGCCATTTCTTAAAAGCGTTCACCTAATCTTAAGAAAGGAGGTAGCCATCTCTAAGCCATCATCTATATGTGTGTTATCCTCTTATTTTTGGAATGACACATCTATGTTACTTGATGACTACAAATAGATATTATGGATTGGAAATTTCATTTTTTAAGTCTGAATAATAAACATTCAGGATGTGACTATGAAACTGATGCATTTATCAATGATTTAATTCTGTGGTTTGCGGGAGTCAAGATTACATGTTCCGGAAAAGCCCAAAGTTTGTGGATATCTCACCCTTTAAGTGATACAGTATTTTACAGTAAAATGATTGTTTTTATCAATAGTTGATGCCTAGCATGCTCCCTTTATATTGAACGCTTCTGACATTGGCAAAGCTTGGACATATTCTGAGCAAGAGGCTCCATTTTCATTTTGTGTGAATTTTTGGTTTGTATTTTCTACCATCACTAGTCACAGAAGCCACTCAGCCTTCCCTTCTTCTCAACTGCATCCTTTGATCAACACTACCCACAATTATAGATACCGTCCCATCTATGCCTGTCTGCCTCATTAATTCTATTTATTTATTTATTTATTTTTAGAGACACAGTCTCTGTCACTCAGACTAAAGTGCAGTGGCGTGATCATAGCTCAGTGCAGCTTCACGCGTCTACGCACAGGTGACCTCCGGGCCACTGTGTGGCTAGGAGTACAGGTTTGTGCCACTGTGCCCAAGTTATTTAATTAATTTATTTTTTAAGAAACAGGGTCTCACTATGTTGCTTAGGTTGGTCTTGAATTCCTGGCCTCAAGTTATCCTCCTGCCTCAGCCTCCCAAAGTGCTGGAATTACAGGTATGAGCTACCATGCCTGGCCACCTCATTCTTTTCTCAAAAACATCAGTTTTTTTTTTTATTTTACTTTGTCCATTTATGTTTCTTACACAGTATTTATGTCTTATGCTTTTGTATGTCTTATAAAAAGGTCTCAATTTTATTTGAGTTTTCCACATTTGAATGCTTATAACTTCTGTTTTCTTTGCAAATCTATAGGATGTCATTGTTATATTTGGGTTGTATTTTGTTTCACTTTTTTACTGGGTTATCTTCTTATCACTGTGATTATTTATCTCAGGCACAATGAATTTTACTGACCTTCAATATTATACCAAAGAATTAATAAGATAAGTTATGTATTGATATCTGATTCTTAGAGACTGAACTGAGACTCTAAAGAAACTAGTTAACAAAAATGGTTTGATAGGATAGCTGCCAAATTTACATGATAAACACTCTGGTAAGGTTCCCATGTCATTCCTAATGTCACTATATATATGAGGCCAATGGAGATGAAGGAATAGGCAGAATGAGAAAAAAGGCAGTGCTGTGATAGTAATCAGAATAGTATGATGTAAGGATATACAGCTTATTATACGAGGAGTATTTTCAGATTGCCCCCCACTCCTAGCTTACCAAAAAGCATCTTATAGTTGCAATTCTCCTTTCCTTTCCTTCTTTCTCTCTCCTTAAGATGTTGCACTTAAATATATAAAATACAAAAAAAAAATACGTACACACATATCCACACACATCTTATTCTAGGAGATTAAATAAAAACCTACATGTATACATATCAGACTTATATGCATATATGTATTTGGATATGTGTATAGTATACTCTGAAGATGAGAAATAAAATGCAGGATGGGCGTGGTGGTTCACGCCTGTAATTTCAGCAATTTAGGAGGCCGAGGTGGGAAGATTGCTTGAGCTCAGGAATTCAAGACCGGCCTGGGCAACATGGCGGAACCCCGTTTCCACACACACAAAAAAATACATATATATATATATATATATATTTGCTGGGTGTGGTGGCACACATCTGTAGTCCCAGCTACTTGGGAGGCTGAGCACTCCAGCCTGGGTGAGAAAGCAAGACCCTGGGAAAAAAAAAAAAAAAAAAAAGGAAAGAGAGAGAGAGAAAGAGAGAAAGAAAAAGAAAGAAAGAAAGAAAGAAAGAGAAAAAATGCAAAGAGCCACTCTTTTAAGCTATTCTCCAATAGATTAAGAGAATGAGAAAAAAATAAGCTGTTAAGCTTTTTGGAGGTGATATAGTTTGAAAGTGAAGAAATATCTACTTTCAATGCTAGATTTCAGCTTTACATTTATAAGTTCCTCAGAAACTATCTGAAAGTTTTGTATTCCTGCACACTTAGAAGGCATATGAAACAAAAAAGGTAAAGATAGAAAAAGCTACCCTGCTTCAAAATAATCAGTTCTTTCTGTGGGTTAAAAACTACTAATATATTTGGCTTATATATTTGGTGTATCAATACTTTTCACCCATATATAATAAAATTCATTTCCAATCTTTGGCTACATTATCAAAATGTTTTAATTAATTGACTATGAGCTGACATTTTCCTAGAAGAAATATCAATTTTTACATAACAGTCCATCCAGGAAAAAAATGAAAAAAAAACCTCTATAATTTCAACTTTTACATTCTTGAAAGTATGAGCATACTAAGAATTTGGTACTTTAATGATATACCATTAATAATAATAAGAGGTGCTATTTACAGAGCTCTTACTAGGCACCATGTTAAGTGCTTTCCAAGAAGAATTTTCTTTAGTATTCACAACAGTCTAATGAAGGAGACACCATTATTTTCTCTCTTTTACAGATGAGGTAACTGAGATTTAGAGAGGTGAACTTATGTGGCTGAGGTCTATTATCTCTAGTAAATGACAGAGCCAGAAATTGAATCTAGGTATGGGTAACTCCAAACACCACACTCTTAAACTTTTCTTTATATTACCAACATTTTAAAAGACTTCTCCAAGTGCTAATCCTGGCTTACTGTATTAGCTTTCGTAATCTTTGACATTAATATTGGTCAAAAGCTATATGATACCTGTTTGTTGCAGGGAGGTAGAGGTAGTGACTAAGAAATTAGTACAACAGCACTCACTAAAATATTAATATATATTCACTTTCAAATTGCTTAGTTATGACTTTAACACGTTAAAAACAAGATAGTAAATATTTGTTGAATGTGCCAGGTGCAAAGGAGTTACAGAACTGAATAGGGATAAAGACTTCATGTTCAGGCCCTTAGAACAGCATTGAAGACACACTTCTGAACTCTGGAATGCTGTGATTTCTATGTCACATGTCAACCATTTAACAAATAAGTTCCTTCCCTCCTTCTCCCTAGAACAGGGGTTAGTAAAATACACTCCATGGAGTAAACTTGACACACTGCTTATATTTGTAAATAAATCTTTTTAGAACAAACCACATCCACTCATTTCCTTATCATCTGTAGTTTCATTCATCCTACAATGACAGAGTTGAGTAGTTGTGACCGTGACTATACGACTGCAAAGTTTAAAATTTCTACCATGGAGCCCACTATAGAAAATGTTTGCCAACCCCTCCACTCAATCTGGATAAGAATCTTCTTAAAGATAATCTCTATATACAGCACACATCTTTGATAGCTAAGCTTATAGAAAAATCCTGAATATTCTCCAGCCTCCTAAGGAGAAATGAGTTCTTTCCCCCTAAAATTGTCCATTCTATTGGTGTGTTAAAAAAATCAAATTATCAGTGACAAAATTATTTAAATCAAGTTGGTACTACATTATTTCAAGATCACTGGGAATTTTGATTATGCTATAGGGCTCTGTAACTGGCAGTTTTCACGGTTGATTTTATGGTTTTCAACTAAAATAATAAGAGACACTGAAGACTTGCTATAATTCATTGTTTTACATTTGCTTTCTTATTAGATTTGGTTTGTTTTCAAAAGGGCCTTTACCATCATTTTCTTTCCTTTTCTAGCTGAAGCAAGGATTATAAAAATGAACCAAATCAGATCAATTCATATAGTAAAGTTACCAACATTTCTAAAGAACTAAAATAAAAAATAAAACCGTGACTCCCTAGGCAAAATACTTTCAAATAACATAGAAGTTTACAGTCAAAAGAAGCAAGTGAATTATTTGCCTTGAGACAACAACCCACTCCCCAATCATGTACATTTTCTGTTTTCGATGAATGGTTTCTACTTTCATCATCATTCACATGATGATCTAAAAAGAAAGGACTGAGGCAATAATAAAACAGGACCTACAGGAATTGAAGGAAAATCCAATACTACTTACATTAATATAGAATTCCGCATACAAACTCCTTCCCCAAATAAATTGCAGGTATAGCAGAATATAATATACTGCCAAACATAGCATGTAATATTATGATGACAAACATAAACTCTCCCGATGGCCTCAGGTAATCAAGCACACTATAGCTTCGAAAAAAGATTATGGTCATAACATTTGCCAACGTTTCTCATGAGAAGTCTCTCCTGCCTTCTTTAGTCAAACTGGGGCCAACACTTTCATTACATTCATTCTCCGAGTCAGAAACTTTGCAAGGCACTGTGCAAGATTTTTTGAGGACATCTTCTCAGAAAAATCAGGGAGGTTTTATGTCCATTTTACAGGAAACTAAGGTTCAGAGACTTTTAAATGTGTTCCCTCGGATGATTTAACTAGTGTGTGAGAGAGAACATATTCTAACACCAGTTTTCATAGCTTCATGTCCAAAGCACTTTTATCATTACATAAGCAATAGAAGGTATTTGACACGTAATCTTTTTAAATTTATGTTAAAATCGTCAAGGAATAAAAATAAAGCTCTAAAATAGATTGATAAATGTGCTGCAGTAGACAAGACCCCGTTGAATTTAAAAATCACTGGTCATGTAAAACCAGTGACCAACCTCTAGTTGCCAAAAGAGTGGCTTTGTTCCTGGCAAGAGAAAGAAGGGAAAGGGAGTTAGATTGGTGATTATAGAAATTGTGCCATGGATTTGGTATTAAAACAATACCAATTTGGGACACACAAGTCATGACATACATCACCAAGTTGTGGAGGCAGGCGGAGGCATTATTCCTCATATCTGCCCAGAACACTGCTTGGAAAATGGTGGTAAATGACACATGAAGAATTTTACTTATTTATTTTATTATTATTATTATTATTTTTTGAGATGGAGTCTCGCTCTGTCACCCCGGCTGGAGTGCAGTGGCACAATCTCAGCTCACTGCAACCTCCACCTCCCGGGTTCAAGCAATTCTCCTTTCTCAGCCTCCCAAGTAGCTGGGACTACCAGCGCGTGCCACCATGCCTGGCTAACTGAAGGATTTTTATTTTTTTATAGCTGCACAGCACCAGGATGTAGATACCAGGCTGAGAAGCAGTGGCCTCTTAGACAGTGCCATAATAAAACACCCTTCTTAAGAGCTATACAGAGAGAAGTCATCAAGAAAAAAAAATAGTAGGAAAGGGATAGAGAACACAAACAGAATTCAGGGAATTTTTTTTTTAAAAAAGAATAATTTTAGGTGGGGTGCATAGGGTAGGGCACAGAAGGGGCTAAGGTCCTGAAGTTCTTCATGGGAGAAAGAATGTTTAATGAGAATGGGAATTAATATTAATATTATTCTAATTTTTCTTAACCCCAGGCTACTGAGACTGAAGTGCAGACTGTTGCCTGTCTTACAAATCAAAACCACAGTATTTGACCACTATGCCAGGAATGTTAAAATCTGACTTTCTCCAACAACAAGTGAACATTTCAGTTTTTAGTGTTTTAATATTTAGTATGAATAGAGTTTTTCACTAGGATATTTAGTATTTGATAGACCTTACATGTCTTATCTCATTTACTAATCCTGAAAACCTTAGGCCTGTAGTAATATTATCCTCGCTTTACAAGGAACCAAAACTCATCGTCTCTCTGCCTCCCTTATGTTGCTTTGCAGTTTGGGGAGCATAGTTTTTGTTTTTGTTTTCCTAAATAAAGGTTTGTGCCTCTAAGGTAATCAGGATATGTATTTTTTATTTCCATATTGCAGATAAGAAAACAAAGGCCAAAAAATAATAAATTATTTAAAGAAATGTACATCATAATAGAAACAGATCTGGGGCTAACATCAGGTTTCCTGACTCCTGGACTGGCATTCTCTACATTGTACAACAATTACTCATTGTTGTTTATCTTCAGCTTCTAGCAACAGACATGGGAATTAATCACTCTCTGAACATGCTTTTGAAGGAAAATAATGGTTGAGTGGATGAATGGAAGGCTGACCTATTAATAAAAAAGCACAAAAATAAAGACACGGTTCCAATAACATCTAAAAAAGATATCATACATATCATCACATTTCCTAAACCACATTCTCTCTCAAAAATTGCACCCCAACTTTCATTCCCAGAAAACAGCCTTCCTATTCAACTGATAGAGTCAGCTTTAAAATTACTGATCCTGGAATTTTTTTAAAGGGGCTTTAAAATGGCCAATTATCACAACAGGATGGTATATTTCAAAATTTCCTTATATCAATTCCTGAACCAACCTTCCTGAAATTCTCCCAGTTCCATGTCTTCCCTAGTACTTCATTTTTGACACAAAGGTTAAAAGTAAAGGGATGAAGGCCTGCTCCAGAAGACAGACAAAGTGAATTTTAGTTCCAGTATATAGCAGGTTTTTGACGTTAGTAAAGGTAGTAAACGTGCCATGCATCAAGCCGGTAAATGTCACGACATCTCTTGAGTTGCCCAAGCCAGAACACCTCCCTCTATCTCCCACTTCCTTGATCCTAATCCATTATACAGTCTTATTTATTTTAGCTATAAAATATATCCAAGAAGAGTCTACAACTCTCCATTCTTACTTCCTCTGTTGTCACCCAAGCTTTTATCACTTCTCATCTAAACAACCCTCTGGGCCAGTCTTCCCACATCCAACGTGGATCCTCCCCAATATGTTCTTCACACAACATCCAAAAATCTTTGTACAATGCACTGTGATGTGATAACACCATTACCTTCCCTAAATGTTTCAATGGCTTTCTTTCAGCTCTTTGAAAAAAAGATCACAATTTTCAACATTCAGCCTCTAACACTGGACCTCACCTGCCCAACCCCCACCATTACCCTGCCCTCTATTGCTACTGGTCTTCTCTCAATGTCTCCAAAATGCTACCCTATCTGCTGTCTCAGGTCCTTTCCCTTTGCCCTTCCCACCTTTCCCCTTGTCTGTCCTTCTTACCTCTCAGTTCAATAGACACTTCCCCAGTGAAGCTTCCAGACCCCTGTTATACAAACAGGCAATTCCTGTCTCCAGAGCACTGATTTCATTGGCAATTTTCTACTAATTAGCAAATTATCTTACTTATGTCTGTCTCTCTGAACAGAATAAAAGCTCCATGAGAACTGAGACAAAGTCTCTTTATATCCATTTTACCTCCAAACATAAAGTACTTGATCTCCAGGCAAAGATCACGGGGAATAGATCAGCAGTCAAACAAAGCCAGGCTCATTGCAACAAGGGAGAAAGCAACCACGTGGAACCATGAAGGAAAGGTCTCAGTAGAGGTTATTAAGAGGGGCTTGGTACAAGATTTGGCTTTGTGTTAGAAGATTTTGTGGAAGATTCAGACAAATCTAATTTTCCTCTCAACTGGGGACTGTGAATTGGATTTTTCTGTTGAATGCTGAAAAGCAAGGCCAATTCTATGACTGGGTATCTTAGTAGTTTTCATTTAGAAGGCAAGAAGGACAATGCAAGGCTAAAATGATGGTAAAGAAACAGCAGTCATGTTAGCTGAGCACACATGGTCATTTTCATGGCTTGGGTTGTGTTCTTGTTTTGTTTGTGATCAGACATGATTATAGAGTGGTCTTGTTTTTGTCTCACTCCATCATGATCATACAGTGACCTTGTGTGATGTAGATATTCTGTGAAATTATATATTTGATGAACAAACACTGAATTAGCAGTTACAACCAAGCCAGCTCAGTTGACCACAGAAATTTCACTTTTTCTTTTTCCTCACTAATAAATAATCCTGTGACTTGGTTGTAGAAGTCATTCATCAAATAATTGATGAAAACCTGAATGAATAAATTTAGCCACTCTTAGCATCAGCTGCTTCATGTTTGGGGGATAACATTTCACCTGCTCAAATTAGACCAGAAAATGACTTTAAACCACTGCCACTTTAAAAACCTATAATTCTAAGATATTCAAAATTTACTTGAATATTCATATAACAGCCTATAGATATGTTATCATAAATATAAAAGGAAAACTAAGTTATAGAATTTTGTGACTTAATGAAAACTTTATTATCTCCCTCCACACAGGCACTTACATTCCTAAACATACAATTTCATTCTGTCACATTCCACTGCCATTCCACTCACTAACAAACAATATATTGAAACCTGAAATGTTAGAACGCTAAGAACAAATTTATACAAAGCTAAGAACAAATTTATAATGTTTACCTGACAACAGAGAAATGACTACAATTCAATGGAGAAGAAAAAGACCACAAATTAAAAATATTCCTTCACTGGTTTAAGAGGTAGAGATTAGGATCTCACTGTGAGAGTTCACTCTCATTGCAGAACAGAGGGCTGAGAAGGCAGAAGGACATACAGCCTTTTGAACATCCACATGTGGTAATGGTTGCACTACTCTAGAAATCTATACAGAATCACTGGATATTACATTTGCAATGGGTGGACTTCATGGTATGTAAATTATACCTCAATAAAGCTATTACCAAACAAAAGTTGGTGGAACTCCATCTAGATGTATTGATATGGTTGGGCTCTGTGTCTCCACCCAAATCTCATCTTGACTTGTACTCTCCATAATTCCCATGTGTTGAGGGAGGGACCTGGTGAGAGATAGTTGAATCATGGGGGCTGTTTCCCCCAGACTGCTCTGGTGCACTACCAGAGCACCACGAGATCTGATGGTTTTATAAGGGGTTTCTGCTTTCATTCTCTCTTGCCACCACCATGTAAGAAGTGCCTTTCATCCTCTGCCATGATTGTGAGGCCTCCCCAGCCGTGTGGAACTGTGAGTCCATTAAACATTTTTCTTCCCAGTCTCGGGTATATCTTTATCAGCAGCATGAAAATGGACTAATACCTGTATGTCCACCTAACAGGAACCCGAGGCTGTTTACCAAATATCCTGCAGTCTCACTCTTTAAAACACCTTCATCTGTAATATCTCTATACTCTCTGCCTCCATGAATTTTCCCCTCTATGGAAGATTTATCAAGCAAAATGGGAGTGGAAAATCTCACCCTTCCAGCTACACCCTTCCTGAGCCCTGGCCAGTAAGCAAGTTCATCTCACTTGAACACTTGAACCATCCAGACTGTGGACTTCATATCCAAAGGCCCTGTGCTTGGCAGGGCATGATACAGGTGTGGCACATATTAAGCAACTCAGTAACTCATAGTAGTGGTGTTAAGAATTAGGCATGATGAAATGAATGTGTCAAGAATGTAGGTTACAAATGGAGCTGCTTTTCCTTTAGGAATTTTCTGTTTAGATGGACACATCAATTGTATCCTGGTTTTCTTCTGACATATAAAATAGGAGACAAGTGACACTAATAAAACAGCATGGTAGTTAAGGGTTTTTTCTGCCTTTCATATGCTTAAATGTTACCAAAACATTATATACTCTGGACCTCTTCCAAACGAAGCTGCATTAGAGGCTTCAGGTCAATGTTTTTTAAGGTACAGTCCCACAAAAGTTAAGGTGGGACAATAAAATACATACATTGTGTCATGTAGCATCACAGGGTGTTATTCAGTACAATATAGCACCCCATATAGTATTTAGTTACTACTTGCCTGAAAAGAAGATCTATGTCTTTCCATCTTGCCGTTTACAATTCTGTATTTATTTGAATTATTTCAACAGTGACCTGTAGTTATTACATTAATGTTACTTGTGTACTCAGAAGTAAAAAAGTGTGAGAAAATTGTACTAAAAATTTGTCACCAAGGCCAGCAAAAATTACTTTTATATAGAAGAATCTTGTTACAACCTATGCAAAAGAGGGAGATGACTGATTAATATTTTAGTTATACTCTTTCAATAAATATGTAGACTACCTGTCACATTTCAGGCACTGTATTCAGCACTGAAATACAACTGTGCATAAATGCACACTATTAACTTCTCAAAGTTCATGACCTGTTGGGTTAGACATTAAACAAGTAATTATTTTTTTAAAAAAACAAATCAGAAGTTGAAAGGGAAAACATATGAGAAGTATCAAATATGCATGGCTAAAGTATTTTTCCATGAAGATGAATAGGAATCTATAGACATTAAAAGAGCAGTTCCCAACCTTTTCAGCACCAGGGATCGGTTTAGTGGAATACAGTTTTTCTACAGACAAGGAGGGTTGGATGGGATAGTTGTGGGATGATTCAAGCACATTATATTTATTGCACTTTATTTCTATTATTATTACATTATACTATACGATGAAACAATCATACCACTCACCATAATGTAGAATCAGTGGGAGCCCTGAGCTTGTTTTCCTGCAACTAGATGGTCCCACCTTGAGGTGATGAGAGACAGTGACAGATCATCAGGCATTAGATTCTCATAAGGAGCATGCAACCTAGAGCCCTTCACATGCACAGTTCACACTAGGGTTCATGTGTCTATGAGAATTTAATGCTGCCACTAATCTGACAGAAGGTGGTGCTCAGGAGGTAATGCAAGCAATGAGGAGCAGCTGTAAATACAGACAAAGCTTCGCTTGCTCACTGACACTCATCTCCTGCTGTGCTGCCTGATTCCTAACAGACCACAGACTGCGACTCGTCCATGGCCTGAGGGTTGGGGACCCCTGCATTAAAAGTCCAATTCTGTCCTGCATCTGGTAATTTACACATCTCCATGAAGGCCAGCTACCTGATGGCATGCGTGTTAATACATGGCCATCTAATCTGTGAATCTATAAGAAGGATGAGGGGTCACTCAATCTAGGGCAGCTTGCCATGCATATCAATAAATTAAATTATGGTTACCTATATAATCAATACACGTTAATGGCTACTTATTGATTCATCAACAACTTATTCTTTCAAGTTCTGAAAACACATGAGTTGTTCCCAGAAAACATGTTAATAACCTGTGGCTTAAGGTTGATGAGAACATTCCACAATGTGTCATGACAATACTGCATTAGTGTCAGTGTTCCTTCATTGCCCGATTGGAATTAAAATTCTCTATTACTCAGCAGTCCACTTAATGGGACAAAATTTCTGACCTATCTAATCCTCATTACACATAAAACTAATTGCATCCATGAGTTACTGAAATAAAATTTAGATCCTCATGCATCATCAATCAAGGGTAAATTTAGCAAATTGAAGCCTTTCTTCAATATTGCTTCTGTAACTAAGTAATATATATGTAAAACTTTACGTAAAATTTAGGAATAAAACTGGAGGAATAAATATTTCCCTAAAAGCTAGGTTTACATTGAGTATGACTGGCCAAGGTGTTTGGTAAGTTAAATAAATAAATAAAAATTGTATTAACGTTAACATATATGCATACATTAAATTACAAAGAAAATTATTTCACTCAGAATGTATAGTTTTGACATATGTATATCATATATCATAGGGTAGAAAGGATAATACTTAGTGGTTTCTGGACTTGAGATATAGTTTTGATATTGTCACATCCCAACATGGAATAGGAATCTGCTTTAGTCTCCCTTCTTCCTTAGATCATAGTTAATACAGTTGATCCTTGAACACACAAATTTGAACTGCATGAGTGCATTTATACATAGATTTTCTTCCTCTTCTGCCACACCTTAGATAGGAAGACCAATCCTTTCTTCTCTTCTTCCTCCTCCTCAGCCTACTCGACATGAAATCAGTGAGAATGAAGACCTCTATTATGATCCACTTCCACTTAATAAATAGTAAATATATATTATTTTATGATCATCTTAATATTTTCTTTTCTGTATCTTACTTCATTGTAAGAATACAGTATATAAAACACATAACATACAGAATATGTGTTAATTAACTGTTTATGTCATCTGCAAAGCTTCCAGTCAACAGTAGACTATTAGTAGTTAAGTTTTGAGGGGGAGTCAAAACTTATATATGGATTTTTGCCTACATTGGGGATTGGCACCACTAACTCCTACATTGTTCAAGGTAAACTGTATATGCAATGGATGGCTAGCCTTAAATGATGTGTGAGGAACACGTTAATGATAACATTCAAATTTTAGAATTCTCTCCAGGTTTATTCTCTTTCATGAACATGATTCCATTAGCTCCAAATCTATAATTTTGGGGATGATTCCTTTGTCTAATCTGCACTCAGCACTAGAAGAGAGGAGCTACAAAAGCTCTACTAGAGCTCTCAAGGAGAGAGTGGCTCTGAGAAGAAACTCTCCAAGATGGAGAATTCCTGACACACCATGCCAGGCTTCACAGCTCAAAGATTTCAAAAAATACATGTTTTCTCAGAAGAGCAATAAAGTCCATGATAAATTGCTCTGGATTTGAAAGCATTTTGTGATGGTTAATTTTATGTCTCAACTTGACTGGGCTGTGGGATACCCAAATAGCTGGTAAAACGCTATTTCTGGGTGTGTCTGTGAGGGTGTTTCCAGAAGACATTAGCATTTGAGTAAGTAGACTATGTAAAGAAGATCAGATTCACCAATGTGGGTAGGCATTAATCATTCCATTAAGGGCTCAAATAGGACAAAAAGGTGGAGGAAGGGCAAATTCACTTTCTATCTTGAGCTGAGACATCCATCTTCTCCTGCTCTTGGACACCACAGCTCCTCATTATCAAGCCTTCAGACTCAAAGGCTCACCCCAGTGCCGCTAACCCCTACCTCGGTTCTCAGGCCTTTGATTCAAATTGAATTACACCACTGGACTTCCAGGTTCTCCAGCTTGCAGATGGCAGACTGTGGAATTTCTCAGCCTCCATAATACGTGATCTAATTCCCATAATGCATAAATTAAACACATACACACACTATTAGTTTTATTTCTCTGGAGAACCCTAATATGCATATGTTCACCTAAAACATGTTTAATGTAGGTATCTCATCTTTCCAGGCTTCATCATGCATACCTGGGCAGTTATCTAGTGTAGTGCATGATACAAGAAACTAATGGTATTATTTTGCATATACCTAATAGATTTACAGTGTCTACAGTTTCCTTACTTATTTAAACCACAGGAAGTTTAATTCTTTTTTGTTATTTAACTCTACACATGAACTTTACACACTTCAAATGCTACTCTAATGATTTGCATTTTCAATCATAAGTTTATTTAATTTGTAGAGCATCTCTGACAGGTCAGACTTATATTAGCCTTTTACGATTCACAAGGGAATTAATGAGACCAGGGTCCTGCCTGTTTAGAACTGACATCCTAGAAAGAAGTAAGGCATTAATCCAATTATCATGAAGATCATGTAATTGCCTCCTATGCTTAGAATGCATGTCATTCTTTTAAGGTATGGTAAATGGCAGCAACCGTTTTACAAGCAAAGACTCCAGAGTCTGCATTCAGACAGCTCACTGGGAAAAGCCAAGGTTAGATCACCAAGTGGACAGAGAAAGACACCATGAAGGTTGAACAAGAGGGGACTGAGACCAATGGAGACTGCTGAGCCTGTTAGGAAAGGAGGATGAAGATAAAAAGAAAAGAATCATTTAATACCACATATCTGCTATGTGATCTCATTATCCTATCAAGTACATAAAACAAGAACAATGCATAGAAATATTCAATAGCATAAAATCATAAAACTGGTAAGAGATTACAACTCCAAGAAGTGTGATCTCTCTTCAAAATCTTTGTCAACTCCTCCTTCCCCCAACCCTCCCACCTTCTTTTTGCCCAAACCTCTTAAAAATCAGAGAGAATTTGGCTGGGCGCGGTGGCTCAAGCCTGTAATCCCAGCACATTGGGAGGCTGAGACGGGTGGATCACGAGGTCAGGAGATCGAGACCATCCCGGCTAGCATGGTGAAACCCCATCTCTACTAAAAATACAAAAAACTAGCCGGGCATAGGGGCGGGCACCTGTAATCCCAGCTACTCAGGAGGCTGAGGCAGGAGAATGGCATAAACCCGGGAGGCGGAGCCTGCAGTGAGCCGAGATCGCGCCACTGCACTCCAGCCTGGGCGACAGAGCGAGACTCCGTCTCAAAAAAAAAAAAAAAAAAAAAAAAAATCAGAGAGAATTTTTCCTAGTACCCACAGATTTTTTTATGAGAAGGAAGAACTATTATTAGAGATGACTGGCCTATTGCTAGGCTAGTGTATTCCCCAAAGAGAGGCAATGGATTCCCTTATACATCAAACACCAAAGACAAAAAAACTCTTGAGTAACAGTCTGAATGAGGTAAACAAATTCAGAAAGCTGTGCTCATTGCAAAATGGGGAAGGGAAATACAGGTTTTGTTATCTTTTAATACCAACAATTAAGTTAACATGAAAATTTTTTTTAGCGCCAACATATTCCATTCCCACTTTACTCTTACTATAAGGGACAGAGTAGGCAGCATTAGTCCCACTTTAACTAACAGAGAAAGACATTTACCACATGCTTGACTTGAGCCCTCTGGCTAGAAAACACATGGCAAAAGTAACACAAATGAGAGAATCAGGGATTTCTTAGTAAACAGCAACACATTTCAGATTTACAATACTTTAAAAAGCAAAGATCAAACATGCTACTCAATCCTACTTGATAAGCTGCCTCCATTTCCAAGGTTAAAGATGGATAAGAGTAAAACCCAACATCTGATTATTCCATGAACTCTCTCATCCACTATTTGCCATAGGGTATACAGTACTATATAAGGATTTGGGTGGAATAGTGAAGGAATATTTTAGACTTTAATTAAGCCATAGTTCATGTCTAAAAGAAAGCTTGTAAGCTAACAAAATGAAATAGATAACAATGTAATGTTATCCAGGTGTTTTCAATAAAACCTTGCCTTTTATAATCCCACTTCAGGACTTCTGAATCTGCAGCAAAACTCAAGCGAAGTGGGTAGGATTCGCTGAGCCTTCCACTCATGTTGTGATGGGAGCTACTCATATATGGCCACTGAATTTAAAGAGTAAATAACTGGAGAAAGAAGAGATAAAACAGCCTTGTAGACACATCTGAGTGGCATATTTGTTTTTCTTTTCCTTCCTGTAAGACTAAATGAATGTAGTATGTGTGATTTGACCAAGAAAAGGAATGTGTGGAATGACAGGATAAAGGTCACAGGATAGCTAGCATGATGCTTGACAGAATTTAAACTAGGCCCATGAAAGAATGTTCCAAGAAAGCTGCAAAATGTGTCTCAACCAACAGAGGCAAGATCTCGTGAGAATCCCTTGTCATGGTTACAAATGAGGCCAAATGGCAGTTAATAGTGGAGGTTGCCTTGAAATTCTAAATATCCACAAACATTCTTACTGTTTGATGAGCTACACCAATTTTTCAGTGAATAAAGTTAAGCTGAAATATTTACAAGCAATCATGTGCTGGATAAATTCATACATGTTTGGCTCAAGAAAAATGTCTCTAGGTATCCCATGTAACAAACAAATTGGTATATTCACAATAACTATTTTCCAGAAAATAAAAATTAACGCATCTAGTTCTACAAAAAGAGGCTACTTTATTTTAGATTATCATCATCCTTTATTACTTAATTTTTTCCCTTAAGATGAATACTATTAACTGGACTCCTAACAGTCTATTAATTATTAACATCACCCTTTGAGAATCTAAGAAAATAAGCATTGTATTAAAAACAAATATTGCTCTTTTATAATACCCTCCAGAACAAATGTAATGGTGGGAATCCAGGCACAGATATTTAAATTAATACTCTACATATTATAGGGAATGCCAGCAAATAAATGCAAGATTTCTGTATTCCAGGAACTCATAACATAGCTGGAAAAAAAGAGACAAACTAAAAAAAGTAAACAACACAAAAAGACAATACCATGAGCTATCAGCTGTCAAGAGGTTGGGCTAGTTATTAAATGTCAGCATCCATAAGAGTTGTTTAGCTAAATATTATGCTTGTACATGCATGAAGCTGTAGTAAAATGAATCTCAATCCACAAACTCAAATTGCAAAAAATAAGTCAATTTCTTTATTTTCTTAAAACCAATTTAAATTTGACTCTGTTCTAGCATCACACCATATGATAGAAAATCAACCACAAGAACACACAAAGATCATACAAAGATCCTGGGCTCTTACATAATGCTAAGAAATTGGGTGCTTTCCCTACTTTTCAGTAAGGCTATTGGTCAAAATCACTGGTTTACCTACTGTCTCACCCAGGATAAGCTTTTCCACAGCCAGAAATTCTGATGTTTCTGTGTAGTGCTTGGGATATAGGATTCCTATGCCAGGATCCACACTTTCACATAAGACTTGAGATACAGGATTCCCGTACCTACGTCCAGTCTTGTGTGTCATACTCAGGATAAATCCTGTGCCTAGGTCCAGCTTGCCTAGGTGCCCCCAAGAGGCTACATCTTCTAATGGCTTCTAACTTTTCCAGATGTTGCCATAATCTGCAAAGTTTCCTGATACTCCTGGAATACTGAAAACCTCTGGATTCTGCCAACCTGGAAAGAAAAATAAGTCCCTTTCATTTATTTCTACTTTCCCTTTTTAGAACAATTCATATCACCTCTGCAACAAATCCAAGCTTCTACAGAAGAAACCAAGAGTTTCTAGCATCAGTTTCTATTTTCTGTCTTGCAAAATCCCTAGCTATCTGGTTGAAAGGAGAAAAAATGTATTTTAACAAGAACAAATAGTATTAACAACACAAATTAAAAATTATTACCATAGATTTTCCTGCTACCAACAACACAGAGAAAAAGTTATTTAATAATTTTTACAACATCTAGACAAATATATAGGTAAGATAGAATCATCCATCTCTCAACAAGAAGTTGTTACCATCCCAGAGAAAAACTTTTCAGAAACTTGCCCAATGGTGACTAACTTTGAAGTGTAACACAAGTAAAGCAATTTGAGGACAAAGATCCATTTGTACTCATGATAAATGAGTACAAAACCATAAAGAAACATAAGTAAATGAAGAGTACAGAGAAGAGAAACAGGCAAACTAATGCAAATATAATAACATAGTTGCATAGAAAAACCCTTTAAAATAAATGATATACATTTCAAAAATGTCAAAAATATTACCAGGCCATATACTTTCTCACATCAAATGCAGTAAGGTATAATAGGAGATAGGAAGTCTCCCCTTTAGACCCTTGTGATTTATCCTTCGTTTGATGAGCACTTACTGCAAAAACAGAAAAGCTCCCTGAAAGAGTTGCATCAATCACTTTTGCCAGTTTCTGCATAAAGGTAGAATCATTCATGTCCTAGATCTGAGACAGCTCTGAATTAAATATGATACCAAAAGTACCTGTCAAAATGCATTGAGTGTCTCCTATCCAGATATTGAGTTAGGTGCTTTACATGAAGCATTTCATGTAACAGCCAGAGAAGTTCTGTCAAGCCGGTTTTTTTTAATCATTATTTTACAGGTGAGGGAACCAACGCTCCAGGAAGATAAGTCAGGTTTTCGAGGTCACACTGCTAGTGACTGGGAATCACGAGGTTATAATTCACATATTTCTAATCTAACCTTTTCTGATCTAAGACCCTATGAAATACCATTGATCTAAATCAAAGGGATATTTGAGCAAAAATACTAACCTAAAACCTTAATGAAATCTGACTGATATGGTTTGGCTGTGTCCCCACCCAAATCTTATCTTAAATTGTAGCTCCCACAATTCCCACATGTCATGGGAGGGACCCAGTGTGAGGTAATTGAATTACAGGGATGGGTCTTTCCCATGCTGTTCTTGTGACAGTGAATAAGTCTCATGAGATCTCATGGTTTTATAAAGGGGAGTTTCCCTGCACAAGCTCTCTCCTGCCTGTCGCCACGTAAGACGTCCCTTGATCTTCCACCATGATTGTGAGGCCTCCCCAGCCATGTGAAACTGTAAGTCAATTAAACCTCTTTCCTTTATAAATTACCCAGTCTCAGGTACATCTTTATCAGCAGCGTGAGAAGAGACTAATACACTGACGTACTTCTAGGCATCAAAGGAACTGGCTGAGCCCCGTTAAGAGCAAAAGGCTGAAGAGGGACATTTTCAGACTCGTACACCTCTAAGGAAAGGAGGGACCTGCAAATGCCCAAGCTTCAAAAGTCAGTTCACTACCTTCAGACTAAGAGGGCAGGTAATGTTTCCCCCAGGCATGTGATGTGCTCCGTGGCTGTCTCAGTGTTCAGTTCCACAGGAAATACCATCCTGATATGACAGAAACAATTAAAATTGACACAGAACTTGTTTCCATAAAACTAAGGAGTAAGCCTGAGCTCTAACAATCTTACCGGGGCAACTTTGGCAACATCACATCCTCCTTCTTAAGGCCATTTTTCAACAACTTTATAGAATTGCTGGGAGTCAGACAATGTAAGCAAAAGTACTAGACAACCAACAGAACACTATACATATTATGCCTGTTATTAATTCATTTGAAAGTTATATAAGGAATGCTATGAGGATCGTGTACACCAGGTTAAGGTGGACTCTAAAACCATCTGCCTGGATGAATCTCATCTCAGCCACCAACTAGCTAGATGATCTTGGGCAAGTTACTTTGCCTATCTGTATGTACCCCAACCTCATCTGTAAAAAGGGGATAAAAATTGTCTTTTGTGAGAATCAAATGTGCTAATATAAAATGAAGATGATAATGTAAAATGGGGATACCAGTAAGGATTGTTGTGAAGAACATATGTGATAATGTATGTAAAGACTCTTGTAATGTTATAAGTTAGGTACCATTGTTAGTTAATATCAATCATTACCAAACCACCACCACCATCATCACTCTTAGTACGATTATCACTAAAGATGATTAAAGGTCTAAGAGTTATTTATGTAAGTGATGGAGTCCTCAGAGTTTTCAAACAAGATAAAAGGAAAAAAAAAGCAAAAAGACCTCAAGCTTTAACATTTATAGCATAATTATTTCCTGTGGGTGTGCAGACTGACATCTACAAGTACATACCAAGACAGAAAAAAAATTGCTATGTTTTGTTATCATTTGATATAAGCTGGATGCAAATTATCCTGTTTGTGAAGCTAATTTCCATTCTCATAAAAGTACTGCCTGTAAAAATATTATTCTAGTATACTTTTTAAATGAGAAACTGAGTTCACAAAGTCTTTTATTCAGATCTCTCCAAGCCAGCATATTATCTTCTCCCCATTAAAGAGCTTTAGGCCATCTGTCCCATCTAGACTACCAGCTGGTATGATCTCCAGAAATATTCCTCAACTGTAGGAACTAATTGGGTTTTTCCATATGTATAAATTGTAGATTAACTGTATTTACCAATAAAAAAAGTTCAATTTCATCTTTGTGGCAGGTGACCTGATCTTAATAATGAGGGTGAATCTCACAGGCAGGTCCTTTGGGATGGTTGTAATGTTTCTACTATCAAAGCTGTTGCTTGTGACAACTCTGGGACATTTTTTCTTATACAAAATCAAAGCCAGAGTTATGAACTCATTTAAAAGAGCAACTGTAACAGAAGAAAATGTAGGTTTAGAAGAAGTGATAATGACATCACCAGAAGAAGGGACACTGCAAAAATGTACCCTAACATAGTGTTCATAATGCTGTTATACAAAACATGATGGCTCTCCAAGATAAAATTAACCATTTCCAGATAGGATTAAACATAACTCTGAATATCTATGGACATGTGATTAAACATTATGAATTCAACAACCAAGCTATAATATAACTCATCTTTGTAAGGGAGACACTTAAAAAGAAGAGGAAAGGTGAGGACCTAAAAAAGTGAAATAATTCACCCATCAAATAAAATGTCTACAGAAAAAGATGACTCAGGACCACCAGGAGAACTTCAAAAGCCAAGTCAAAGAGCTTTAGCGTTTCAGACATCCTTACAGTCAGTTGTTCACGTCTCCATTGCATTCTCTCCCTCCCTTTCTCCCAGTACACAGCACCACCTTTGTTCTCCCATTAACCCTTAAACTGGGAAGTCTCTTACTATTTTCTCATCTTCCTGCCATCCTCTGATGAGGATTTGTTATGAGGACCTGTGTTTGGTCATCACAGGTGATCTCCACATCCCACCCCTATAATTATTAGTTGACCCCAAAGCTTTCATTAGGAATACTCTATGCCTGACTTTTAAATCAGGTAGCAAAATCATTGTGAAGCTGCCCAATCTGGAGCATATTTCTTGGGTTCGGATCTTGGTTCTGTCACCACCAGCTTGACCTTGAGCAATGTGCTTGACCTCACTGCCCTTAGTTTCCTTATCTATAAATTGAGGATCATGACAATAGCATTTAGCTTTAAAAGCTGTTGTGAGAATTAATTAATTAATGCCTGTAAAGCTCTTAGAAAAACGTTTCATAGTATGTGCTTGACAGATGTGAGCTATTATTTTCATGTCACTAATGTTGACCCTGTGTTCTCCTCTTCTATTGGTTCCTTTGCTCTTATTATCTTCATTCCAATTCCACATATTAAGATCCCTGCCCATCCTTCAAGACCCAGAACTGTTGCCAGTTCTTCCACTGTTGCAGGAAGTCAGGGACCCCAAATGGAGGGACCATCTGGAGCCGTGGCAGAGGAACATAAGTTTTGAAGATTTCATTTTAATATGGACATTTATCAGTTCCCAAATAATACTTTTATAATTTCTTACACCTGTCTTTAATCTCTTAATCCTGTTATCTTCACAAGCTGAGGATATACGTCATCTCAGGACCACTGTGATAATTGTGTTAACTGTACAAATTGATTGTAAAACATGTGTGTTTGCACAATATGAAATCAGTGCACCTTGAAAAAGAACAGAATAACAACGATTTTTAGGGAACAAGGGAAGACAACCATAAGGGTGACTGCCTGCGGGGTCGGGCAAAAAGAGCCATATTTTTCTTCTTGCAGAGAGCCTATAAATGGACACGCAAGTAGGGAAGATATTGCTAAATTCTTTTCCTAGCAAGGAATGTTAGTATTAATACCCTGGGAAAGGAATGCATTCCTTGCGGGAGGTCTATAAACGGCTGCTCTGGGAATGTCTGTCTTATGCAGTTGAGATAAGGACTGAGATATGTCCTGGTCTCCTGCAGTACCCTCAGGCTTACTAGGGTGGGGAAAAACTCTGCCCTGGTAATTTGTGATCAGACTGGTTCTCTGCTCTCGAACCCTGTTTTCTGTTGTTTAAGATGTTTATCAAGACAATATGTGCACCGCTGAACACAGACCCTTATCAGTGGTTCTGCTTTTGCCCTTTGCCCTGTGATCTTTGTTGGACCCATATCAGTAGTTCTGCTTTTGCCCTTTGTCCTGTTCCCTCAGAAGCATGTGATCTTTGTTAGACCCTGATTAGTAGTTCTGCTTTTTTGGCCTTTGAAGCATGTGATCTTTGTACCTACTCCCTGTTCTTACACCCCTTCCCTTTTTGAAACCCTTAATAAAAACCTGCTGGTTTTGAGGCTCAGGCAGGCATCATGGTCCTACCGATATGTGATGTCACCCCCAGCAGCCCAGCTGTAAAATTCCTCTCTTTATACTGTCTCTCTTTCTCAGCCGGCCGACACTTATGGAAAATAGAAAGAACCTACATTGAAATATTGGGGGTGGGTTCCCCCAGTATTCTCCCATATGCCCCTCAGCTTCTCACTCAAAAAGCATCAACCCCTGTTCTGAAATCCCCAGGGGGTAACCCCAAACTCAGCTTCATATTTTCTAACTTATATTGTAGAGATGCATGTTCATGTCTTGTCATATTTATATGTTTGTACATTTCTAGACAGTAGGTGCTGTGTTTGTGTTTCCCAGTGGCCTGCCCTAATTGAAAACCCCTGATACATATACAGTAGATCTGAGCTGTTCAATTTTGTAGCCACTAGTGGTGTATGGATTTTAAACAAATTAAAATGAAATTAAATTAACAATTCAGCTCTTCAGTCACCCTAGCCAGATTTTAAATACTCAGTAGCTACATGTGAGCACTGGCTACTATATTGGATAGCACAGATATAGAACATTTTCATAACCACAGAAATTTCTGTTGGATACTGCTGCAATAGATAGTACTTGAATAAATGTTTTTTAAATCCCCTCTGTATTTTAGAAATGTGATTCTCTTAGAAACTTTCTATCTCATCAGAGCTTTAATCAAACAAATGCTGAAAATGAAAATGAGATTTAGGTCATCAAGATAATTCATTCTGTGAGACTAGTAAAAAACAAAACAAAACAAAACAACAAAACACTTTTTTTTCTACAAGTAGAGTAGTAGTGAGGGAACCAGGAACCAGTTTCACATTGCAGCCAGGCAAACAGCTTAAAAGATGCAAAAGACATCACATCCTTTCAAAATAATGGAAAATGCCTACTCTGTGGTTCTAGCATGACCACACTTTAAGCCATAGCTAATTCATGCAAAATTCTCACTCAGATTTCTAAATTTCTTCATAAAGTTTCAAACAGAGTCTTTCCAGGAAATTTTTTTAAAAACAGCATATTTTCTTTGCACTGATATTAGGTGAGGTTAAAACCCTGCCAGGGCTTCCTGTTGCACTTAGAATCAAGTCAAAGTCTTTTGGAATGTTCTTGAGTTTCATCTGTCACCACCCTCTCTGTTACTGGCTGGCTTGCAGCCATGCTGGCCTTCTTTCAGTTCATGGAAACAGGCAGCTCCCCAACCCTCCCAGCCAACACAGCTCACAACATGCTGCACAACACACACTGTGCCAGATTTCTTCAGTCTTCACCTTGATTTTCACTCCCTCAGAGCTGTCTTGCCTGACTACTCCTTCCAGTACCTTGTTATTTTCCTTCACGTGTAACCTGATATTTGTTGTTTATCTGTTTATTGTCTATATCCTGCAGTAGACATTAAGTTTGGTGAATGCCAGAACTATACTCTTTTATTTCCCACTATTTACCCAGCATCTTATGTTGCAGTGGCTAGATACTTAACACATGTTTATTAAATGAAAAAAAGAAGAAGAATCTCAGATAATTAATTTTGTTGAAGGAAATAATGATTTTTATTTTTAAAAAAGGAATTTTAAGTTAACTTAGTTTTGTGATTGCCTTTATGTGTGCTGTGGGGTAAGGGAGAGAGAGAAGATGGAACGAGGTTTAATTTTGAAAATATCACATAAAACTATCAAATTTATCCTTCGTTCAAATTTGTAAGGTTTGAGAGACACTTACTTATTGTTAGAAAATTATGAGACAGTCCTTTTTGGTGTGCAATATGAGATTTGGTCTCTTTTAGGGAAATAGTGAACTAAGATTTAATCTTAAATATTCATTAAATTTAGTGGCTTAAAATACTGGAGCAATGCCCAGATGGAAAGTGGCAAGATATTTAATTTGATATAGCTATCTAAATGTCCTCTGAGTACTTTTTAAAAAGCATTTTCATTAAAAATAATGAATTGTTTCACTCTATTAGTTTGGGTTAGAAAGTTAAAAAAATAAAATAAGGCAGATACACTAAGAAAATATCAAATGATCATAAAAAATTAGATGTCTCCTTGAACTTATTTTTACTCTTGTGCAAATCACATTACATATCTATGTAATAAACAATATACAGTATAATAAATTATTTTAAATGACACTAGATTATAAGATATGTATGTATATCTTATGTATGTGTGTGTGTGTATATATATATATATATATATATATATATATATATATATACATATATACACATACACACACACACATACAGGCATGAAGTACTATAAACTTGATTTCCTATATATGTCGACCCACATGCAGAGCTGGTTTATCCATGGTCAGACAATACATTTTTGAAAATAAGCCAATTGGATGTATACAAATTTGGAGAAGCACTTAAGCTATGCAAAACCACACAAATTATGGTCCCTGAATTCAGCTGAACAAAATATACAAATTATACAAATTACTACCAGAGTGGCATGAATTCTGCTACCTTCCTCTGCCATTTTAATTCATAAGTCAAGTTGTGACCTTAATCAAATGTAATTTTAGAACTGGAAGGGGCTTTAGAAAGGTTCGGATGATTTGTTTATTTTGCTCTGCTGATAATTTCACATTTGCATCATAATTACATTTCTCTAAGTTCACTGACATTTCAGTTAGCTTCAATGATCATTAAAGTTTTTTCTTCTTTAATCTACATTTGGGTCATGCTCATAGGGCTGTTCATATGCAAAGAAACCCATCAGAAAATGGCTGATTTCCACATTGTACAGTCATTCTACTTGAGACACTGAGGTTGAAAAATAATTGTCATTTTTAACTAAACATTATGCAACTGATAACTGAACATGGTTATCACTGATAACTATCAGGCATATTCATTTTTGGAAGATACTGAAACATATTTTCAGCTGTGTTATGCAATTCATACCATGTACCTTGTTGCTATTTGAGGAAAAGACAGTTTTAATTTACATCTCCTAATAATAAAATGCAGTTCTCAGTGTTAGCAATTGTTAGCTAGTGAAAACTCACTGTTCTTTAATTTCTACATAATATATATAGACGCCACTGTTACTCAGGTGGTTAGATACCCCAGGTAGATAACCTGACCTGCAGGCAATTGTCTTGTATGTCTTGACCCACCCATGAAGCAAGAGCTTAAAGCAAAAAGTGGAGACACCTTTCAATTCCAATCTCTTACTCTAAGACCAAAGCATCCTCCTGTAGGTGCCATTGAGGCCCAAAAGATTCCCATGAAATATATTTTTAAGGTCACTGAATTTTTCCACCATATATTCAAGAGGATACATTTCACTGGGGAAAGAGAAGTCAGAGCCATTCCATTTAAAAAGAAATCCAATCTCTTTTCAGAAATGTTACCCGCAGTTGAAATTGAGCAGGGAAATTTAAAAATTTTAAATAGTGGCTGAAGCTTAGTATCATATGGAATTTTAAAATTTGTCACAGAATTAGCAAACCTGAGAATACATATTATGAAAATGTTTTAGTGGGATGAATAAACTCTTCATTGCAGAGTGGAATATGCAGTTAGATAAATGCAAGTAACTCAATTTCAGGCTTTCTTGTGAATCATCACAGCCTCATTATTACCCGGTTGTCAATAATGATGTTAGATGAATGAATGAATGAATGAGTACAGTTGTCCACATTGTTCTATATTTGTAATAAACTTCATATTTAAAACATTTAAATTGAAAATTTTATACCCTATTCATTAAGCCTCTTATAAAATGTCACAATGAAACAATTTTACTTAAATAGTGATGACTACTACTTCTCCCTTGGAATACAACATCTTTTCTAACTCACATTTTTACAATGCTTTTCCATAGGAGAAGCATGTTTGACAAATTCACCAAGATGAAGCGCTAAAGCTAATGTTTACAAAATAAAAAACTGGTGCACAGAAGACGTCTCCAACTTATTTAGCTTCCATTCTACAATCCACAAAATAAAGTAATCATTGCCTCTGCACCAGGATTACACATGAATTCATCAGGATTTCTACCTGGCATCCTAGCATGTGATTTACCAAGAGACATATTGATATTGTCTTCACAGGACATAAAATAGAACAAATAATATTTTCCATTTTCATTATGCTTTCAGAAAATTAAATGGCAAAGAGCATACTGGGAATCTGTTATGAGATGATAATAAAATTGTGTAATTAGTCAGTGTCCAGAGGCAGAGCTGTTCTCCAGAAGTCTTCTTGAGGTTTCCTAAGGGAGAAACTTTCTTCCCTCTGGGATTTTATTAGGACAAATCCAGAGTCTCAACCCAATAATCCAACAAGCAGATATAACCACAGGGTACTAATCCAAAATGTCATCCAGGACTCCATGATAATATTATCCAGAAACAAATGTAACTCCCTATTTTTATACTTAAATTTATCTCTTGTTAGTTTCTAACCATATATTCATCTAGTGTTTTGTTCCATGGTAAATTGGTAGTTTACATGGGATTACAATGAAGGGATTATAAAGCGGTAGAGATTATTTGCCCAGCAGATGGTTTATGTATATTTAAACAGATATGAATAAGATTTTACAAAAGAAAATACAAGCTTATTACCAGTACAAAGTATATTATTAATTTTCCTTTTTTTTTTTTTTTTGAGATGGAGTTTCACTTTTTCACCCAGGCTGGAGCGCGGTGGCGCAATCTTGGCTCACTGCAACCTCTGCCTTCCGGTTTCAAGAGATTCTCTTGCCTCAGCCTTCTGAGTAGCTAGGATTACAGGTGCCCACCACCATGCCCAGCTAATTTTTGTAGTTTTAGTAGAGACAGGGGTTTCA